>NC_000003.12:151205574-152455574 GCF_000001405.40 Homo sapiens
CAAATGTTGGGGTCGGTGGTCACTGCCACAGCCGGGCACAGGTCTGAGGACTTGTTTTTGTTAAAACAAGCCATGAGATACAGGAGATTCTGCCTCTTACAGATGGGGAAACTGTGGTGCAGAGAAATTAAGGCCCACTCAAGCCTGCACAGTTAGACCCTAGCGTCCCAGCTCTTAGTTATGCTTCTTACAATGAAATTGCTGGGGACAGTGATTACAATGGAGGCCATCAGGTCAATCCGGTCCCCCTTCCCATTTAGTATTTGTAACCATTTGAATTTGCATGCCATTGGGTGGTAGAACAGTGTACCACTGTTCTTGCCTTCCTCATGGAGTTTTCAGCCTCTGGAATGTGAATTTGGGACGCTCTTACATCAAAATAATTTACAAATGGAAGATTTTTATGATCAGTCACTTCTGCCACAGCCTGTGCAACTCCAGTTCAGCCCTCTCTCTATAGCCGTTGTGCTTCAGGGTTATGTTTTGAAAGAAAATAATTTTTTTTTTTTTTTTTTTTTGCACATAATATTCTTTCCCACCTGCGTTAGCCCAAAGATTTTTTTCTGTGCTCTGAGATTGGTAGCTTTAAATCTGAGAGTGACTGATGTGATTAAGCAGTGTAGTTTTAAAGTGAAATGTAGACGTATGGTTTCCATGTTACTGTTTCTGTATTATTTAAATTCTGCCTTGTTTTTTTTTCTTTACTGAAATGGAGAATACATGTTTGGAAATGATTTGAAGGCAAATTTGTTTTTTTCACATTCTTGGAATGTGAACTCAGTTAAAAGAATGGCTGGGTACATTACCCTGTCATTTCCCCTTGACAGTCCTTTTGGTTGTCTGCCTTTTTGTTGATGTTATTGCGTCAACATTTCATTTTACCTTTTGGTTGTGAGGTGTGACTGCTATTTGGTCCATGGTTAAAAGATAATTTATGGAGGGGAAATTTATAATAAAGAACTTTTAAAGATTATCTCGTTTCTTTTTAGTCACTGAATTTCATGCTTTTTTTCCCCCATTTGTTTGTTTATGGTCCATTTCTTATGAACTTATGACTAACACATTATCTTTTTTTTTTTTTTTTTTTTGAGACAGAGTCTTGCTCTGTCACCCAGGCTGGAGTGCAGTGGTGCAATCTCAGCTCACTGCAAGATCCGTCTCCCAGGTTCACGCCGTTCTCCTGCCTCAGCCTCCCGAGTAGCTGGGACTACAGGCACCCACCACCACGCCCAGCTAAATTTTTGTATTTTTAGTAGAGATGGGGTTTCACCGTGTTAGCCAGGATGGTTTCGATCTCCTGACCTCGTGATCCACCTGCCTCGGCCTCCCACAGTGCTGGGATTACAGATGTGAGCCACCGTGCCCGGCCATGACTAACACATTTTCAAAGCACAGAACACATTTTTAAAACTTTTTAGTTACTTTCCAGGAGAATGTTCTTTGGAGAACATCTCCCTTTTCCTAGCCATGTGATTTTTTTTTTTTTTTTTAAGACAGGGTCGTCTTACGTTGTCCAGGCTGGAGTGCAGTGGTTATTCAGAGGTCTAATCATAGCTTGCTGCAGTCCCAGACTCCTTGGCTCAAGCAATCCTGTTGCATCAGCCTCCTGAGTAACTAGGACTACAGGGGCACAACACTGCACCCAGCCATGTGAATATTTCTTGATCAAGTATTTATGAAAAATTATAACAGCAAATATTTATCAATTACAGGCTGCCTCCTGAGCTCTTATCCTGGAGAATATTTTATGCTTTGTACAGGAATGAAAAGGAATCTTATCACCTGCTATGTGCTGTTAGAACCTGTGGGAATCCGGGTATTGTAATGCTCCAGACTGTGGTGGGGTGAATAGGAGCTTCTTCAGAATGAGCTACAAGGTGGCATGCTTGGGGGATGACACAGATAATTGGAGTATGAGAAATTTTGGGGGGGACTGTCAGGCAATTTGGGGGCTTGGGTGTCTCTGTGAGGAAAAGATTGAGACCAAATCTTGGATGCTCCCTGGGATTTTAATAAAGTAAGCATTGGAGAGCTCATGGTTATACAAGGCAAGGAGCTGTCAATTGGGCAGTATTAGGTGAATCTACCAACATTGGAGTTTGCTTGGTTAGGAGAGAAAGTGGAAGGTGAGAAGCCAGTTAAGGAAAGATTGCAGTCATTTTAAGTGAGAAGCAATAAGGATCTGAAATTACATGGGAAGGGAGGAATAGCTGAGAACCACTGCAGAAGTAAGATCACTGCAGGGTGGGGTAGAGAGGGAGCAGAGGAGACTGAGGTTTTAGTCCTGGGAAAGGAAGTCTGAGGAGAGAGGCAGCTTGGTCAGATAGAAAGGTGAATTTGCCTTATTGGCTGACAAAGTTTTTATTTGATATAGCTTAGATAGATTTTTATTTTATTCTTTTTCATTTAGGTTTTAAATGTTTCTCAGAGCTTTATCTGTCATTAACCAGAACATTCTGAATGTACTTTGCAAACACTTAAGGAGCTCTTATTTTGAATGGCCTTGATGGAAATGCTGGTTTTCTTATTTAAAATAAGACCATTTTTCTTATTTTTTACCTAACTACTTTCATACTGTTAGCCAGATATGAACTACACTTGGCCATGCCAATTTTTTTATAGTTGCTTGTTTTTCTTAACAAGAAAGTGAATTTGATGTGGAGTTGAAGTTGGCTTTTATAAGGATTATGTTCTCATGCAGTCAATATGATATCAGAGAGAGCTAGTATTCCTTTAGAAAGATAATGGTTGAAAGTACAACATAACTAACAGCTTGAAAAAAGCTGCAAGTTAAATGTAGAGACCCTTTTAGCTTAGAAAATAGAACATTGAGGCCGGGCGCTCACGCCTGTCATCTCAGCACTTTGGGGCCCGAGGTGGATGGATCACCGGAGGTCGGGAGTTCGAGACCAGCCTGGCAAACATGGTAAAACCCCATCTTTACTAAAAATACAAAAATTAGCCAGGCGTGATGGCGGGTACCTGTAATCTCAGCTACTTGGGAGGCTGAGGCAGGAGAATCGAACCCTGGAGGTGGAGGTTGCAGTGAGCTGAGATCACGCCACTGCACTCCAGCCTGGGGGACAAGAGCAAGACTCTATGTCAAAAAAAGAAAACAGAAAAATCAAGAATTTAAGTAATATGTAATATTGTATGGATATGATGAGGGCCATGTTTTCTTGGTGTTCATTTGTGTCAGGAAATGGAATGATAGGAAAGTAAGCCCTTTGCCACACACTTCTGGGGCAGGTTTAGCAGGTCATCAGATGATGGGGGATTTGGGAGAGAAGGGAGAAGTAGTGCAGGTATGGGCTTCCCTTGCCATGCTGATACCATGGGAGTTAAGGCTGGTGACACCTGGAGGCTGATAAAGAACAAATTTACTCCCTTGTCTTAAGTCCTGTGTTGCAGGTCCCCAAAACACATGATACAATATTTAGGAAGTGGAGTGAAGTGGCTAGTGGCTATGACGGTGACCATGAGAGAAGCCATAGAATCATACAATGAACACCTTCAAAAAGTAACAAGTAGTCTTATAAGTTTTATCAGTGAGAATACCTGTCATATATTTTCCTGTTTATTGAGGTGGGCCTATTTTTATAACACCCCTTTCTTACTTACACCCAACTTCTATTGAAGCAGGGGGAGATAGGAATGCAGTAACATCTCATATTTCCTAAAAATCTTGAGATTGCTTTGGGGCGCACTTTCTTGTTTGTTTTTTTGTAGCTGATTCACATGTAATATTTATCACATACGTTTACTGCAGAGAAATTAATACGACATTTAATCATTTTGTACAAGCAGTACTATAAAGTGGTTAAAACATTTTGAAAAGTGACCTGTGGGAAAGAAAAACTACATTTTGTTAAAGTGGTTTTTTTGACGGGCATGTCTTGTCTTGAAACGGTAATCCACATGCCATTAGAGTCTTGTGGAAAATAGTGAACAAAAGGAAGTAATGGCTTTTACTGTTGAAGACCACACACTACCAAACACACAAACCCTCACAGTGCTGCTTACCCGAAAGAAATCCCGTGTCATTTTGGGGGAGTGATCTGTTATATTTGTAATTTGTATAATATTATCTCTTGATGTTACAGATGTTTTTTGTATTTATTGATGCTTTTTCTCCAGAGTTGAAAGATACAGATGGCAGCGATAGGGTTAAGGATAGAGCGCAGAACTAATGACACATACTTGACTAACATCATCAAGCAGAAGTACAGCTTTGTGTGAGGGTGTTTTCTAGAACTTCTGAACTCTTTAGATTACTCTGTTAGATAAAGCCAGTGTATCACGAGTTTCTCATTTGTAGTTGCCAAAAGAAAGAAAGAGAAAAGAAACCAATTAAAATTGGGCTTATTGGCTGTGGGTATGTTTTTAGGTTAGGACTGATGCAGGCACTCAGCTTTGTAACCAGGACTGGGTTTGTACCATGTCTTCAGTGTGCCTTCCATGGTGTCAATTTCAACTCATAGGGTGCTTTAGGCTCTCTTTCCTATGGTAGCCAGATGAAAGAAGTGCTTCTAGATCTTATATCTTCATGGCACACCCTCCAGATAATTTTTTCAGAAGCCTAGAACTTGCTCTTATTAGGTCAAATTGGATCATGTTCCATCCCAACTTGTGGCCAGTGGAATCAGACATGCTGATTGCCTAGAGTCAGTTATGGCTGGCCCCTTATGTGGGGGATGGGGTCAGCTGCATATGATAGCTGCATGGTTGAGAACAGGACAGAATGACTTTCCCAAAGGAAAAGTTTTGCTTCTGTTTCTGGACAAAGAAGACGGAGGCTGAAGATGACCAACGAATGAGCACTAGTGATGACAACATTTCGTAAAAGACCATTGCAGGGTTCATCCACCTCAGTGGGTAGATGTCAGTGTGTGATCTTTTTATATGATTATGATCTTTCTATGATCTGTTTCTTTATTACTCTTATCTCAAATATTCCTTTTATAAAAACACCTTAAAACATTTTGTATAGGTAGTTGAATCACTTATGCATCAAAATGGAATGTAAGGATTTCTGTTAAAGGGAGGTTTTTAGTCGTCATGAGTGACTTTTGAATATCTTTCTGTGAGATTTCTGCATTCCACATGTTACAGAGTAGCCATTAGCATATTCTATCTGCAGGTATATTTTCTTTTCATTGGTGCCCCAGCAATGGAAAAACTTTGTGACTTTTCGTATCTTGAAAAATGAGGAAATAATTGACTAGAGCTGAGAGCCCTTTGGCCTCTCTTGGCAGAGACTCTGAGGCAGAGGCTCTCAGCAGACTGTCATTAGCTTCCCCTGTTTCCTTACAGCTGTGTTTACAGTGCCTTCTGCAGGCACCTGAGTTGTAAGCCTCGGTGGGCACCCTGAACACTGGCGTGCCTGCACTATAGCTTTATCTACAAAAGGACCTGGCAAGTGTTCCCTGTTGCCCACCTACACTAGTGCTAGTGATTTCTGGGAAGTCGCTGGGTTAATTTATTATTGCTGGTGCTCTGCCACTTGGTTTTTAGTTGTTACTCTGGACCTGAAAGTTCTAATAGGTAGTAACTATTACTCAGCTGTTGCTTCACAATATCCTTATCTGCAATCCATGTTGTTTCCTGAAAAATATTACTTTTGCATTGCTATTCTGCTTTAGCACATGCTTACAAAGGCATTTCTTGGTGCTACTCATCTTCTCTTTTTCACTTTCACTTTTTTACCATGGCCCAGTAGGGGGCATTTAAAACCCTAGTATTTACTCATTTGTCCTGGCCAATGTAAGTTGTGAAGAATAAACACTGCCTTTGTTTTTTTTTTTTGTTTCGTTTTTGTTTTTTGTTTTTTTTTTGCAGATGTAGTTAGATAAACAATTATAGCAAGCTTAGTTTACCAAGCACATTTGTGATAGCATAGCAATTTTCGTTTTTTATTTTTTGAGACGGTCTGATTGACCCAGAATTGGGAACTATTAGAACAGTGGAAAGTAGATACTGAGGGAAAAAAAACCTGTCCAGCTTTTCCCCAATTTAGGGTATTTTTTTCTGAGTTTTGCCTAAAATATTGATGAGGTTATAGGACATATGAAGTACTTTTGTTTCTTTTTTTGACATAGGTTCTTGCTCTGTTGCCCAGGCTGGAGTGCAGTAGCACAATCATGGCTCACTGCAACCTCTGCCTCTTGGGCCCAGGTGATCATCCCACCTCAGTCTCCCCAGTAACTGGGACTATCGGCGTATGCCACGACGCCTGGCTAATTATATTTTTTTGTAGAGACAGAGTTTCGCCATGTTGCCCAGGCTGGTCTTGAACTCCTGGACTTCAGTGATCTGCCCACCTTTGCCTTCCAAAGTGTTGGGAGTACAGGTGTGAGCCACCATGCCCTATCTGGAGTACTTCTTCTGAAAAGTCACTGGCAGATAGAATTTTTGAATTCTCTATGTAACTGTCTCCATTGTATTAGCATGCATAATTGAGCATATAAAGAAACTACATATGTCTTGACTGTGAGGAAATCTGGTAATGTTTCCTCATATGTTGATTATTAAGAAAAAATAGACAGTATTAAAACATTTCTTTATTAGTATATAGACAGTAAAGCATGAAATAGATACAAACATTACTTATAAAAATGTTTTGAAAGAACATTTGAAAAATAGATGAATGTCTTCTAGCCAGTTAATAGCAGAGAAAGAATTTAGTTTTGGTAGCTCATAAGTCAGTAACCGTATGCCATGTCTCCAGAAGTAAAATCCGTCTGTTTTCCAGAAAAATGTGATGTGTGAATTTTCATTTTATGTGTTATTTTGCACTCATTAATGTAAATTTTAGATTTAAAAAAATCAAGTTTATTTGCTTTCTAAGAAAATGGTCTCCTTTCCCATTCGCCAGTAGATTAATATATGTTCTACGGTGTGGGTGTGTCTTTTTCCCAGTCATCTTATTTTTCCCATACTATTGAACAGGGGAAGTTGCTGATAACGTATGCCAATATTTAGTTTCTCTCAGTAAAGCCTACTTAAAAATATTCTAACACCAGAACCCCAGGCTCATTAAATGACGTAAGTCTTTGTAGAAAACATATTTAGCATGTATCTAATATCCTCAAAGTGCTATCAGAAAAAAAAAATTTTCTTGCTAAGTATACAATTAATATTCCTCTTCCTTTGCAGTGCCATGAAATACATCAATAAGGGGTTTCTTAAGTGATTGTCTGGGTGTCAGCTTTTCCTGCTTCTTCAAATCAGGAAAAAAACCTGACTTTTTATTGCAAACAGCTCTCTAGCCCTTCATCAAACTGTGCCTGCTTTCAAGTTAGTCTTTAAGGACAGTGTTGAAAACAATTACATACTAGATTCTGGTATTTAGAGAAAGAAGATGCCTGAGTGAGTTGTCTTTGATTATGTTGTGTTTTATTTACTATTTAAATTTCTACATTAACTGACCAGACTAGTGGTTATAAACTTTAACTTATTTTAATATAATAGAATTGAATAATTGTATGTATTAATTTTTTATTAATAGAGAATAGAAAGGTCAGTATTAGAGAAATTACTGATGGGTATGTTTTCTTTGATGTTACAAAAAAGCATGGAAACTTATATTTGAATTTTATTGAACTAAATTGGATGGCAGTGCTAGAGATGATATTTATGATGAGGGCACATATCTTATTGATTTCTGTTATGTAATTGAAGATGACAACATGCACACGTGGTCTTTCTTTGGAAGAGGGTAGGAACTCACAAAGTATCTGTGCTTTCAAGTGTTGTATTTCCTCTTTTGATTCTGGAAATGTCTAGGTCATTCTGAGCTTTTAATGGAATGTGCAATTTCTTACATAAGATTTCCCTAAACGGCTGGCATAGAAAGAAATAAATAATAGGGTCCAAGCATACATTTGCAGCAGATAGTAGCAGAGTGAATTCTTTCATATACCGCAAGATTTCTTTTGACTGGCAGCTGTAATGAGCTTCGGTCTGACTCTTTGTGTAGGGGATTCTGGCAATATGGTAAGGTACAAAACAGACAAAAAACACAAACACGATGCTGAATATGTTGCGGCTAGATTTCTTTTTGACCGAAGTGGAATTCCGACTTGACTTAAGGTGGGACTTAAAGATTTTCTTTGTGATAGCAGTATAGAAAACGATTAACAAAAGAAACACAATCCAGAAGATGGCCACGAAGATGTAGTTTGATGCTTTGTGCCACTTCCGTCCCAGTTCACTTTTCAGTTCTATACATTTTATTTGTGTAACCTCCCTAACACTCTGGTTGGTGAGAATAATATTTGGAACAGCAAGGAGGAGCATGAGCATCCATACTATCACTGACAGAAGTTTGCTGTAACTCACTGACTGGATGAAAGAAGTCCAAAGAGGCTTTACAATTTTATAATATCTGTCAAAGCTGATGAGCCCAAAGAACACAATGCTGACGTACATGTTGACGTAGAAGAGCACGGCAGAGACCCTGCACACAAACACGTTCAGCTGCCAGGGACCAAGGCCTGAGTCACCAAGGATCTTGAAAGGAAAAGTCAGGCTCATCACAAAGTCAGCAATAACAATGTTCTTGAGATAGATGATGAAACTCTTAGAGCTGGGCACGTAAAAGAATATCCATCCTGACACTCCATTGAGTAGGATTCCTGCAATGAAGACCATACAGTACAGCACAGGAATGATCTGCTGAGTGATCAGGAGGTTCTGAGAGCAGGATTCATCTGGAGGCTGTGTGGAGGTTGAATTGATCATCTTGTAACTTCTGAAGGCAGAGGCCTGAAAAGAGGTGTGAACTGGTCACTCATAGGGCACTTATGGCCTCCAAGACATTTGCTGAGTAATAAGGCAAAGGGCAATGAATATAGTCAAACCTACCAAATTTTTGAAGCCACCTTTTTACTCTGTGTAAGTTAGACACTCATCCCTCCCTCCCTCTGTTCTTCCTTTTCTTTCTTTTGGTCTTCCTTTTCTCCTTTCCCTCCCTCTTTCCCCCTTTACCCACCAACCCCCACTCCTTTCTTCCTTCTCCCCTCTCCCCCTCCCTTTTCCCTCCTCTTCCTTCTTCCTTTTTTTTGGGCAATGAAAAGGGAAGAATGGAGCAGACAGGTGGCAGTAAAGAGAAACTGGAGCAGCAGGGCAGTCTCTGAGAACTTCTAGGTAATACGGAGACCAGCATGCCCCTAAAATAATAATGGTTCCCTATAAAACTCCAGAGTTCTAGGAAATACTCATTTAGGTATAATCTTAAAAGGTAGTAACTGTAAAAGCAGAATTAATGTTTTATTTTATTCAGAATCCCATGTGTAATGTATTTTTTTAAAACCTATGTTGGAAATGTGATTGTTTTTTCCTAAAAGAGAAATTTTTATGGATTCATAAAAATCATTATAAATGTTTACATATTAAGAGCTATTCAGACGGACCTTACTTTTAGAAAAGTGTATTCTACATATATGTTGGACATGAAGACAGTGTCTAACAAACATATACATTCAAATGTTAACCGGTATTTTTGGTATGGGATTATGGGTACCTTTTCAATATTGAGCTTTTTTTTTTTCCCATTGAAAAACTGATTTGCATTATTTTAATAAATTAGAATACAAATACAAACAAATGATAAAAAGTACTTTAAGCATTCTGAGAAATGCTTCCCAAAGTACATTCTACATCTGTACTATTCAGTATGGTAGCCACTAGCCATGTGTGGGTATTGAGCACTTGAAATATGGCCAGTCCAGATTGAGATGTTCTGTTAAGTATAAAATGCACACTAGACTTTGCAGACTTGGAATGAAAAAATGTAAAATATCTCAGTATTTTTAATACTGATCACATGTTGAAGTAATATTCTACAAATGCTCTATTAAATAAAATATATTATTACTCTTAAATTTAACTTAATTTTACTTTTTAAGACTCTGGCTACTAGGAAATTTTAAATTACATATGTGTTTCACATTATGGTTTTATTGCACAGTGCTGTGCTAGGTGTTATCCAGAACTTCTATTGTTTAGGAATCCTGTATATTCTTCACTGATGTCGGAAGTGTTGATTTAGGGCAGAGGGAAGACTAGAATTAAATTCAAAAGGTTATTTGATATATCGGAACAGATGTTTACTGCCCATCTTATATGTGAACAGTACCAATTATCCTGCTTAAAACCCTTTAGTAGTCTGTCCTTGCCCTCAGGAGAATGCCCTAAGTCTGTAATGTTGAAGTCCTTTCTTGTTCTGCCTCCTGCTTCCTCCACCCCCAGCACTGAGTTCCTGCTGTCCTGGGCCCATCTGCCTCCTTTTAGGTTCTGTGATTTCTCTCAGCCTGGACCTTTGCACAGACTTTCATTTGTGTGGAAAACTGTTTCCATACCTTCTTGGCTGGCTAACTTCTCTTTATCCTCAAGGCCTCAGCTTAGCTGTCACTTTCCTTAGGAAACCTCAACTTTCCTAGCCTGGTTTGGGGTGGGTTGAGTGTGTGCTTATCATCCTGTGTCTTTCTCCTATCAACACTCCTCTCTCCAGCTGTTTGTCTCTTCCACTACTACAAGCTCCTTCAGAGGAGAAAGATCATGTCATTTTTTTACTCTTGAATTCTTTGCATAATATTTAGGGCATTAGATAGTTAAAATATTTGTGAAATAAATGAATATGCACTCTGGGAATACAAGGCATGAATCCTTGCTCTTAAGATTTATTCAGGGATCAAGGGAAAGAAAGATTGTGGGAACAGTGGGTACCTTGATGTCAGAGAATGCATCTTTTTCATCTGTATTTGTGGTGCCAGCACAGTGCATATCACAGTGAATGACAAGTTAGGTTGATACATTTAAGCATGACAAAGGGATATTTTGAAATATGGAATATGAAATACAGTCACATTCCACATAAAAAATAGTACATCCATGTAAACTTGTGTGCTGCTTCCTACACAAGAATATCTTGTTTCTGCGTATTTTCCTTTCCCATATGCTTTCCTTTTGCTTTATGGCAAAACTAGAAATATTGATAGACTTGATTTTGCCAGTCTATGGACTTCCTATAGAAGGAATGAGTACCCCAAATCACTTCCTCCACAAAACCTTTCACTAGCACTATTCTTCCTCTTCCCTGTAGCCTTGTGTGCTTGGCTCTGGGCATGATGGGTTTGTACTCATTTGCTTCTTTGTAGGTCTTCTATCGCCTTTCTCCTTATGAGCCTGTTTCATATTTTAAAAGATAAGGGAGGGGGAGCACATTTTCCATTTTTAGCTGTCTACTGTGACTAAGAGTCTGTGGCTGGTAACTAATTTGTCTGGTAACTGTCTCTTGACAGTTAGATGCATTTTGGTTTAAATGCCAGTCTTGCAGAGCTTGAGAGAATGCATGCTGCTGTATTCCCAGGTCTAATTTGGTTTCCCAGTCCTAAGCCACACAACCCCCCAGCGCCTGGCCATTGTGGTGTCATACTCATGGTAGGTACTGAGTACTTGTGGGATTCACTTGAGTTTAAAATATAAAAAACTGTAGCTGTTATTTTGGAAAACAGAAATAATAACTGTGTAATATATAGTTATATGGTGAAATATTGAATAATTTCCCAGAAATAATTTAATGAGAGCCAAATTCCTTTCCTTTTAGAAATATTGTAGAAGCCACTATTTATAGAAATAGTGAATCCCAGAAATGATTTAATGAGAGACATAATTCCTTTTCTTATAGAAACCCTTATAAAATTATTTTCTCAGAGTCTTGTGTCTTTTGTATTTTTGAGCTGCAGTATTTCTGCATGTGACCTAATGCTGCAGGTCCAGAACTCTGCTCTCAGATTCCTCAGGTTGCTGGGAATCTGCATGTGTATGCCCTGGTGATATACACCATTCCCCTTCACTGCTCCCACCACTTTGAGTTGGATGGAAGGGACTGACTGACCAAGGTAAACTTCTAGAGCAGCTTTGCCTCCTGAAATGGAGTGAATGCACACAGCTTACCTGCGCCCTTTCCCCAAACACTGCTATTTTGGCAGTTTTGATGCAATTGCAGATGAGCCTCCAGTTTAGGGTGGGAGGTTTTAGACATGCTGGTTGGGTGCCTCTGCTACCCTGTGCCACTGTCTGGTTTGATACAGCAGAGGCTCATGCCAGGACAGATTTCTTCATCTTAAAGGAACACTCTAAAGGAACAAGCTAAAGAGAAATTCCAAGATACTCTTGGTAGTAATTTTTGAACTCTTAAATATTGATTTTTTTTTAAAAGCAGTGGGGTTAATGGTGAGAACATACTGTCTTACGGGTTCAAGTGTCTTAGAGCATGGCAGCCTTTTCTGTAGGGCAGATCAGAGCAGTAATAGACTGAGAGATGTGTGGAAAAGAAGCTCTCTTAAGGCAAGTAAGACCAAATTATATATTGAGACCAAAAGGCAGGAATATGTGTTGGATGAAAATCAGGACAAAATCATTAAAAAAGACATGCATCATTTGGACCTCGTGATATCTACTCAGTCTCCTCTCCTTATCTTTAGTACAGATTGAGATGATTTAATGTCCTCATACAGGGACCTACAGAAACTTCAAATCTTTCACAAATGAAGGAAATCGTTTTATTCTCATGCTGATTTTATACAAAAATGTAAAAATAAATAAGAACCAAAAGAATCAGAAAAGAAGCTTTTAGTGTGCTCAGCAACCCTCCCTTCCCTGCCCACTTCTCAGTTGATTCACTGTTTCTTACCAGCTCATGCCAGTCCATTAAAGAGGAGAGATAGGCAACAGAAAAAAATTAAAAGATGAACAGGACTTCTGGATGATGATTAACTGGATTACTGGATAAGCAGGCAGTCTGGTGAGCCAGTTTGTGTAGGTGTCTGTTTGTGGAGCCCTGCTCATTGATAGTTACTTCTGGTATTATCACTGAATTTCTGCTGTGAAAGTTGTCATTATGTTAACCTTGAGGCTTTAGGAATATAAACAATGCTTCCTAAATTCTAGAGATCACATTTAAGAAAGATTCATATATATAGCTAAACTTTTTAAAAAGGAATACTGTGGCCGGGCACGGTGGCTCAAGCCTGTAATCCCAGCACTTTGGGAGGCCGAGGTGGGTGGATCACGAGGTCAGGAGATTGAGACCAGCCTGGCCAACATGATGAAACCCTGCCTCTACTAAAAATAAAAAAATTAGCCAGGTGTGGTGGCATACACCTGTAATCCTAGTTACTTGGGAGGCTGAGGCAGGAGAATTGCTTGAACCTGGGAGGCGGAGGTTGCAGTGAGCCGAGATCCCACCATTGCACTCCAGCCTGGGTGACAGAGCAAGACTCAGTCTCAAAAAAAAAAAAAAAAAAAAAAAAAAAAAAAGAGGGGGGGTATACTGTAATAGTGTAAGTCTTGAAATTTTCTTCAGTGAAATTTTGCCTTGTTTCACAAATCCAGATATATGAGAATGAAGTGGTCTGAAATGTTTTAGCCTACATTGTCTACTGTCACTTTGGAGACTTTGGTAACATAATTAAAGAACATGGCAGAATGAGATTTATGAGGCCCAAAGACAGTTATTAAAGTGTAGTGGGAGCATTGTGTAGAAAGAATGTCAATGCCAAAGATTCAATCTGATTTAGATAGTGAGTGCACTTGTCCCTTAGTGCAGTGTAATATCTTAGGATTGTGCTGCATGAAGTGTTTTCAAGTTGTCATGTATTACAGATAACCTCAGGGTTCTCTCTTTGGACAGAATTTAATTGATACAAGGCTGTGCAAAGCATTGCTCACTCCAGAAATACGTTCATCTTAATAAAAGCAGGCTTAGTCAGCTCTGAGTTCATTACTCATCTGTGTAATTATATACCATGACCTATTTTCCTCTTGTATTAGAACACCTTCCACCTTCCTAATTGTGAGCTGTAATTCCTTCTGTGAAGAAAAGAATTTTTTCTTCATAGCACTTCGATGAAATTAACAAAGCTCTTGATAATACTTGAGGGATTTAAAAAATTACCTTTTAAGATTTTTTTTGCATAATATGAGGTCTCTTTTCAGTGAAGGTGTTTTGCCCAGTGAGCGTTTGTCGTCTTGAAGTGGCCCAAGTGTTTTTTCATTAAAGATCCTGCATTACACAAAACAAAAAACCAAAGATTTAAGTGAGCACCTGACTTTTTATTGGGAAAATATGTCTGTACTTACTTCTTAAATTCAGC
This sequence comes from Homo sapiens, assembly GCF_000001405.40. NCBI lineage: Eukaryota > Metazoa > Chordata > Mammalia > Primates > Hominidae > Homo > Homo sapiens. The sequence continues at coordinate 151,219,734 of NC_000003.12, forward strand.
TTGTGTAATTGTGAAATATTTCAACATGTGCATTTGTTGTTTCACTATACTTGCTATTTGTTGTCATTATTGATTATTGATTTGGTTGCAGCCTCTTGTGGGAAACTTAAACTCTGAGAGCTTGGGCATGAAGTGGTTTTGGTTATTGGTTTATATTACCCCCCCCCCCCCCTTGGATATGGATGATCGAATCAATTTATCAAATGACTGAATATAACAATTCATCTTAGCCATGAAATCATAAGTCTAATTGCAGGTGGATTTTTTTAATTGTTTTGTTTTTTAAAAACCTTTGTCTTATTGACCTTTTGGGCCAGATAATTATTTATTTTTGGGAGCTGTCCTATGCATTGTAAGATGTTTAGCAGCAGTTCTGACTTCTGCCTACTAGATGCCAGTAACCCACTACCCAAGTTGCGGTAATCAAAAATGTTTCTAGACTTTGCCAAATGTCCTCTGAGGGACAAAATTGCCCTCATTTGATTACCACCAGTGTAATGAGACTAATGTGTGGACTTTGCAGAGATAACACCTGAAAGCCATGTGGTCTGATAGGAAGAGGATAGGTTTAGCAAAATGGTGGTTGGATTTGGTTCTGCCTTAGTCTAGGTTTTCATATTTCTGAATTCTTTAAACCAGTGAGTGCTCCCTAAACTTTAATGTGCATACACATTACCTGGGATCTTGCTAAAATGAGGACTGAGATTCCATTATGTCTGGAGTTTGGCACGTGATATGGTTTGGCTCTGTGTCCCCACCAAAATCTCATCTTGTAGCTCCCGTAATACCCACATGTTGTGGAAGGGAGCCAGTGGGAGATGATTGAATTATGGGGGTGGGTCTTTCTGTGCTGTTCTTGTGATAGTGAATGGGTCTCATGAGATCTGATGGTTTTAAAAACGAGAGTTGCCCTGCACAAGCTCTCTTCTCTTGTCTGCTGCCATGTGAGACATGCCTGTCACCTTCTGCCATGATTGTGAGGCCTCCCACCATGTGGAACTGTAAGTCCAGTAAACCTCTTTCTTTTGTAAACTGTCCTGTTTCTGGTACATTTTTATCAGCAGTGTGAAAACGGACTAATACAGTAAATTGGTGCCAGTAGAGTGGCACATTGCTGAAAAGGTATCTGAAAATGTGGAAGCAACTTTGGAACTGGGCAACAGGCAGAGATTGGAACAGTTTGGAGGGCTCAGAAGAAGACAGGAAAATGTAGGTAAGTTTGGAACTTCCTAGAGACTTGTTGAATGCCTTTGCCCAAAATGCTGATAGTGATATGGACGATAAAGTCCAGGGTGAGGTGGTCTCAGATGGAAATGAGGAACTTGTTGGGAAATGGAGCAAAAGTGATTCTTGTTATGTTTTAGCAAAGAGACTGGAGGCATTTTGCCCCTACCCTAGAGATTCGTGGAACTTTGAACTTGAGGGAGATGATTTAGGGTATCTAGCTGAAGAAATTTCTAAGCAGCAAAGCATTAAAGAGGTGACTTGGGTGCTGTTAAAAGCATTCAGTTTTATAAGGGAAGCAGAGCTTAAAAGTTCAGAAAATTTGCAGCCTGACAATGCAATAGAAAAGAAAATCCCATCTTCTGACGAGAAGTTCAAGCCGGCTGCAGAAGTTTGCATAAGCAACAAAGAGCTGAATGTTAATCACCAAGAAAATGGGGAAAATGTATCCAGGGCATGTCAAAGGTCTTTACTGCAAGCCCATCACATCGCAGGCCTGGAGGCCTAGAAGGAAAAAGTGGTTTCGTGGGCCCAGCCCAGGGTCTCTGTGCTGTGTGCAGCCTGGGGAATTGGTGCCCTGCATCCCAGCCACTCTAGTGTGGCTGAAAGGGGCCCTTGTAGAGCTCAGGTCATGGCTTCAGAGGGTGCAAGCCTCAAGCCTTGGCAGCTTCCACCTGGTGTGGAGCCTGCGAGTGCACAGAAGTCAAGAATTGGGGTTTGGGAACCTCCGCCTAGATTTCAGAATATGTGTGGAAATGCCTGGATGTCCAGGCAGAAGTTTGCTGCAGGGGCAGGGCTCTCATGGAGAACCTCTGCTAGGGCAGTATAGAAGGGAAATGTGGGATTGGAGCCCCCACACAGAGTGCCTACTGGGGCACCATCTAATGGAGCTGTGAGAGGAGGGCCAACATCCTCCACACTCCAGAATAGTAGATCCCCTGACAGCTTGCACCGCTGGTCTGGAAAAGTTGCAGATACTCAATGCCAGGAGGGAGGCTGTACCCTGCAAAGCCACAGGGGTGGAGCTGCCCAAGACCATGGGAACCCACCTCTTGCATTGCGTGACCTGGGTGTGAGACATGGAGTCAAAGGAGATCGTTTGGGAAGTTTACGATTTGACTGTCCTGCTGGATTTTGGACTTGGATGGGGCCTGTAGCCCCTTTGTTTCAGCCAGTTCCTCCCATTTGGAATGACTGCATTTACCCAATGCCTGTACTGCATTGTATCTAGGAAGTAACTAACTTGCTTTAGATTTTACAGGCTCATAGGCGGAAGGGACTTGCCTTGTCTGGGATGAGACTCTGGACTGTGGACTTCTGAGTTAATGCTGAAATGAATTGAGACTTGGGGGACTGTTGGAAGACATGATTGGTTTTGAAATGTGAAGATATGAGATTTGGGAGCGGTCAGAGGTGGAATGATATGGTTTGGCTCTGTGTCCCCACCCAAATCTCATCTTGTGGCTCCCTTAATTTCCATGTGTTGTGGGAGGGACCTGGTGGTAGATGATTGAATTATGGGAGTAGATCTTTCTGTGCTGTTCTTGTGATAGTGGATGGGTCTCATGAGATCTGATGGTTTTAAAAATGGGAGTTGCCCTGCACAAGCTCTCTTCTCTTGTCTGCCACCATGTGAGATGTGCTCCACCATGATTGTGAAGCCTCCTCAGCCATGTGAAACTATAAGTCCAGTAAACCTCTTTCTTTTGTAAATTGCCCATTCTCAAATATGTCTTTATCAGCAGTGTGAAAATGGACTAATAAAGCATGATATGCTGCTGGTCCATGTACCACTCTTTGAGTTAGCATCATTTTTTTCCCCCAGATCCTGTGCCCAGGAGACATTTAATAAAGGTGATGATGGTAAAATATTTTTGTTGTAGTCGGGACTTTAGACAAGAAAAATTATATTCCAAGTAGGCCTGAAATCTAGGATCTTTGCCCAAGTTTATTCATTACATTTCATCATAATCTTCCCATCTTTATGGTCTCTTGGAAATGTAAATTGGTATTTTATACCTATTTGAGAGGTGGCGATTGTGATCATCTTATATTTACTTAGAATGTTCCTAAAAAGTCATGAGATTCTCTTTGGAAAGAAAGAGGTTAAGTTCTGCATGGAGTAATAATCTCAGTGGCCTAGGGCAGTATGGAACATGTGCTGGTTGTAAATCATATATTCTAACTTTACAACATTGAGGCTTTTATTAAAAAGTCCAAAAAAAAAAAAAAACTAGATGTCAGTGAGATTGCAGAAAAAAGAGAACACTTATGTACTCTTGTGGGATTGTAAATTAGTTCAGTCCCTATTGAAAGCAGTGTAGAGATTTCTCAAAGAACTAAACATAAAATTACCATTTCACCCAGCAATCCCATTACTAGGTATATACTCAAAGAAAAACAAATTGTTTTACCAAAAAGACACCTTCATTCACATGTTTATTGTAGTACTATTCACAATAGCAAAGGCATAGAATCAGCCTAGGTGCCTATCAATGATGGATTGGATGAAGAAAATATGGTACATATACACTGTGGAATACTATGCAGCCATACAAAAGAAATCATGTCCTTTGCAGCAACATGGTTGTAGCTAGAGGCCATTATCCTAAGTGAATTAACACAGAAACAGAAAACCAAATACCACATATTTTCACTTATAAGTGGGAACTAAACATTGGATACACATGGACACAAAGATGGGAACAGTAGACACTGGAGACTCCAAAGACGGGGAGGTAGGAAGCGGGGAAATGGTGGAAAAACTTACTCTTGGGTTTTGTGTTCACTATTTGGGTGATGGGTTCACTAGAAGCCCAAAAGCTCAGTGTCACACAATATACCCAAGTAACAAACTTGCACATGTAACTGTTGAACCTAAAAGAAAAAAAGAAAAGAACATTGCCTACTCCTGGGGAGGGAAGTAGGAGCAAGTCCAGCCTCCTTACACCCAACCAAATACCTCGTGTTTTAACTTACAAGTGGGAGCTTATAAGTGGTAGGGTGGTTGGACTTTGCTGTATCTGTGATATTTTATTTCTTAAATTCTGAATCAAATATGCCTAATATTACTGCCTATTAACACTGGTGACTGGTACATTGGTGTTATCAACATTAGTGTCTGCACTTCTGTTTTTGTATATTTAAATTATTTCATAATTAGGAATAGAAATATCTATGGAGAATGGATTGCCTTCAAATAATGCTTTTATCAGTACCCACTTATGACGTGCATTTTTCTTCCTCTTCTTTTTTCAGTTCTTATAAAGGTACAACTTTTATATATTTTTTTTCCTTCCTTTCAGTCCAGACATCAAAAGCTTTAATACACAGTGCTCTGGATCTTTTTCTATGAGATAAATACTTGTTTTCTAGCTGATTCTGTATCAATAGAAAATAGTATAGATGTATGTAATCATTTATACATTTTTAAACTTACTGAAGCCATTTTCTTGCTGCTTTAATCTCTCATGCCTTAATGTTTAACACTTTTTTTTTTTTTGGTGTCAATGTGATCGCCTATGCGGTTTTCATAGTATTTATGTGTCGTGTATTTATAGTTGTGTTATTACATTTTATGTTACTAAAATAATTTACAAATAACTGTCTCATCTGTGTTCTGCATTCCTGTGGCACTCTTGTCCGTGCCCTCTCTAGGCTCAGTCAAGGAGAATCTCACTTTCTTCTTCACCCAGAAGAAGGAATCCTCCTCCCACCCCCTATCTTTTGTCATCACCCAGAGCATTTAAAGTTTGACACTCACCACACTTCTCAGAAGCTGTCAGGGACCTAATTTCTAAGCCTGTTGTCTTTTTCTCAGTTATCCTATTTCCTGACCCTCTTTGCAGCATTTGATATCATTGATTTCCCCTTATTGAAATCTGCTGTTTATATAGTGTAACCTTTGCCTCCTGTGTACCCCTGATATTTCTTCCTTTGCCAAGGCCGTTTGTTCATTTGCTCACTAAAGCCATCAGAACATGCTTATTACATTTTATGTTACTAAAATAACTTACAGCGTTTTACATCTTTAAAATATTTTATATTATTTACTAGTGTTATTTAATTCTCTCTGTCATCAGCCTCCTAGCTTTTCTTACCCAAGCAGAGCTGGATATTTTAGAACTTCTTTCACCCTGCCTATTGGGCTTGCCTTTCTGCCCCAGCACTGTGACTCCTTAGGGCTGGGTAAACAATGTCCTATGTTTCTAAGTCATAGACCTGTCCAGGGTGCCCTCGACTTCACAGAAGTTGCTGTTCTCTCTCTGTAATTGGCTACACTCCCCTTATTTCTCAGAAATCCTTCTTCTGCTTAGCTCCTGTGTTAGTCTATTGTCTGCTGCTATAACAATACTACGTATTGAGTCATTTATAAAGAAAGGAAATTAATTTGGCTCATGGTTCTGGATTCTCTGAAGCTCAAGATGGAGGGGATGCATCTGGTGAGGCCTTCCTGCTGCATCATGGTGGAAGGGCAAGTGAGCATGTGAGACCAAGAGAAAAAGAGGGCCAACTTCTGCAGTAATACCATTAATTTGCTCACGAGGCCTTTGCTATCATGATCTAATCATCTCTCAAAGGTACCACCTCTTAATGCCGTCACAATGGCAAATCAATTTCAAATGAATTTTGAAACGGACACTCAAACCGTAGCAGCTTTCTGTCAGATCCTATCGGTAGCTGTCTCATCCGTGTTCTGCATTCCTGTGGCACTCTTGTCCGTGCCCTGTCTAGGCTCAGTCAAGGAGAATCTCACTTTCTCCTTCACCCAGAAGAAGGAACTCTCCCACCCCCTATCTTTTTTCATTACCCACAGCATTTGATGTTTGACACTCACCACACTTCTCAGAAGCTGTCAGGGACCTAATTTCTAAGTCTGTTGTCTTTTTCTCAGTTATTCTATTTCCTGACCTCTTTGCTTGCAGTTTTTGATATCATTGATTTCCCCTTGTTGAAATCTGCTGTTTATAAAGTACATTGTAACCTTTGGCTCCTGTGTACCCCTGATATTTCTTCCTTTGCCAAGGCCTTTTGTTCATTTGCTCACTATAAAGCCGTCAGAACATGCTGCCATGCCCTATGGAAACACATCAGGGAACTCTCAGGAAGATTCCAGTCTAGGGGGAGGCTGAACAGAGGGACACTTCAAGGTATGACATGGGGTCATCATTGAAGGAGGAAGCACAGGAACACAGTGAGCACGTATCTAGTTTCAGAAATGGTGGCATCAGGGCAGCCTTCCTGGAGCATGTGATAGTGAAGATTGACAAATGAGTTGGCTTTAGCTAGGCAAAGAAGAAGGAAGGAGTTTTGGGGTGAGAGAGCTATAGGAACAGGCATCAAGACTGACACGAGAGGCTGTCACAGTGGGGGAAAATGGATGGCCTAAGCTCTTGGGTAACATGATGGAATCTTGCCAATGAGTAAACGTTTACGTTACAAATGAGGACAGTGATGCTTAAAATGGTTAAGTGATTCATCAAAGGGCACCTAACACATAGCCAGACAGTATTCAAACTAATGTCTGATTGATTCCAAGCCAGGGCTCCCCTGCTCCTGAAAGAATGTGGGGGCAGCATGTTTTATATGAATGTGATCCTTTACACAGGCCCTTCAACATTTTGCTGGAGTCGCATCTTGAGAAGTCAGCCAGTGTTTTTTTTTCAAGAAAGGAATGTGCATGTGTGTATGTTTGAGAGTATATATATTATTTTTGTTTTTGATCTGAGTTTTAAGGTTTTGCATGAGGTGGATGCCTTCAGTTTCTTCAGTTATCTTCCAGATACTGCGGCATAGAGAACCTCCTTTTGATTTGCCAGTTTCTAAAAGTATTTAAAATGAGTTTCTGATTTTTTGACTCAGTTTTCTATCTCCTGCGTTGATATCCAAAGAGAGATACAGAGTCGGACTATCATGAATGGTGATTACAACAGGTAACGTTAACCTATAAATGGTGGAAACTCTTCTGCAGGGAGAAACCCAGATCTGCTGCATGTGGTTTGGATGCCACACGCAGATCCCCTGGGGCCCCTGGCACAAGGAGAGCTCTGCTTGCTGCTGTTTGTCACCTTCAGCCAGTTTTCTCTGGCAGGAGATGTGAGCTCAAGATCAGGTCACTTGATCCTAACTCCTGCTGCTGTGACCCATCGACTTTACCTTCAGTTAGAATCCAGGTCAGTGACCAACATGTGTTAATGTAACTTAAAATTGGCTGAATGGTGTGGCCACATACTTTCATTGAGGAGCTGTGCTAAGTTTTCACATTAGAAATATCTAAATATTCTTCTTAGGCTGAATTGCAGATACCCAAGAACTTCCTCCTCCACCAAAGCATAAATTCGGCCCTCTCTTGATTCCCTCTTGATCTTCGTATTCACAGTCTTTACAACCCATAAAGATAAAAGAAATCTGAATTTCTGCTACAAACAGATCCAACTCTTGATTATGTGTGAGAATGGTAAGGGGGGACGGATTAGGTTGGATTTATAAACTGATAACGTCCAAACATAGTCTTTACTTTGTATTCTAATCGCTTCCCTCAAAACACTTTTGGCATAGCTTGTGGCAGACTGCAAGTCTAGCATATTGGCATGTCTAAGAACTCCAGCCTGTCTTCACTTTGTGATTATGCAAATGGATCATGGGAGCTGTCAGTGGAGGGTGAGGTGTGGCATAGGCACCTCATGACCTCCAATGGATACATAGTCATGCAGTCTTCCCGAATGGCAAACTGGGGGCCAGGAAAATGGCCACCCACTGTTAGCCTTTACTCTAGGGACTGCATCTTGGTAGTCAGGATGGACCTGTAATTTTTTGCCTATAATGATTGGAATAGTCCAGGGTTTCTCAGCCTTGGTACTGTTAACTGTTTTTTTCGGTTTCAGTTCTTTGTGGGTAGGCTGTCTTGTGTATTGTTGGGTGTTTAGCCGCATCCCTGGCCTGTATCCACTAGGTGGCAGTAGAACGCCATGGTTTGTGCAACCAGCCACGTCCCCACACATTTCTAAATTTTCTTGAGAACCACTGGAATGACCCCTTAATGGTAGGTATGTTTCAGATGATTTTGATACAGGAAGAGAATTTAGCTTTCTTGTTGGGGTCAGACCTTAACTGTAATTGAATAACTCATCAGCAGTAAGTAATCTGTATGCTAAGGTCTAGGAATGTGAAGTGTGCTTTATTTACTGCTCTGTTGGAATAGTGGACAGAGGACAGACAGTGCAGCATAATGATTACATGCATGCTTGTGGGATACAGTGGGCCTTGGCTACATGTATGGCGCTAGAATATTGCGATAATTATTAACTGCCTTTGTGTATCAGTTTTTACATGTCTAAAATGAGGGGAGAAGTAGTAGCTACCTCAGCTACATCTAGGGTTCCTGTTCCCATAAGAATCAAATACCTGGTGTGAGGCAGGCTGTGACTCAGTGGGAACATTGCGCGTACAGGGAGTGACTCAGCTGATAACAGAATAAACTATCAGGCTCCTGACAGTTTCCCCTCTTCTTTAAGTTGATTTAAGTTGACGCTCTTCTACACTGAAATTCAGGGCTGCAGGAGGCACAGTAGACCCTTTGCAGAGTGCTCTGAGCTTCCTCCAGTATGTGGCCCAGCAGTGCTTGAACAAGGGACAAATTGGGAGAGGTTTTGCTTCTGATGATCCCTCTATTCTAGTCACAGGAAGTGGCACTCAACAACAGAGTGTATGTATGAAGTCCAGAGTGTTTCAGTTCTAATTTACCAGTCCCTACACAATGCTAATCTTTCATGAGAGTGGCACAAAGCTCTGCATCACTCCTGGCTTCAGGGTTTTGGGAACCAATTCTTTTTTCTCCTGGAACTAGGTTGAGCTGCCTGAATTACTGAATTTTTTCCAGCCTGTTCTTCTGCAGCATTGTTTTGGAATATGTGGTCCTATTCCCTGGGGCCAGGCAAGGAAATGAATCCATGACCTCTTTTCGCCTCACTGAGATGGTATTTGCATTTCTCAGGCAAGCAGTACTCAGATCTGCAGATCATGGGGCTGTTAGACCATTAGTGGTTATCCTTTGCTGTGAAGATGAAGACAAATTTCCATGTGTGAGAAAACAACAGCTTTAACTGCTTAGCTGAATATCAACCACTTGTGTGTTTGTTCAAGATTCAGGCTTATATAGCCAAAGGAAAAGAATATAAATATCCAGAATTTTAAGTGGGAGTAGAAATACTGTACAGAAGTGATTCCCATATACTCTCTAACCCAAAGTGTTGTATGTTTCCTCCCTGTTTTGTGTATTAATCCCTGTTAGAGGGTTCTTTGATTTTAATAAAACATACTGTGGTAATAACTTATAAATTCAGCAATTCTTTTTTTTTTTTTTTTTTTTGAGATGGAGTCTTGCTCTGTTGCTCAGGCTGGAGGGCAGTTTCGTGATCTCCGCTCACTGCAACCTCGCCTCCCGGGTTCAAGCGATTCTCCTGCGTCAGCCTCCCGAGTAGCTGGGACTACAGGCTCGTGCCACCATGCCCGGCTAATTTTTTTTTTTTTTTTTTTTTTTGAGACGGAGTCTCACTTTGTCGCCCAGGCTGGAGTGCAGTGGCACGATCTTGGCTCACTGCAAGATCCGCCTCCCGGGTTCATGCCATTTTCCTGCCTCAGCCTCCCTAGTAGCTGGGACTACAGGCGCCCACCACCATGCCTGGCTTATTTTTGTATTTTTAGTAGAGATGGGGTTTCATCGTGGTCTCAATCTCCTGACCTCGTGATCCGCCTGCCTCGGCCTCCCAAAGTGCTGGGATTACAGGCATGAGCCACTGCGCCAGGCGAACTGAGCAATTCTTAAACGAATTTGTGTTTTATTAACTAGAGCATGCAACAATGGAGCAACTGTATTAGTTGCAAACTTAGTAGGACTTAAGGGTGAAAGATGCACTTTTATGCAGCTTGAAGATGTTGTTCAAGTTGTATTTGAAATCAAAGACCTTTACTTTTTATGAGTCCTAGGCTCACATGTTGGGATCTGTTTTTTTGTTTTTTGTTTTTGTTTTGGATATGGAGTCTCGCTCTGTTGCCCAGGCTGGAGTGCAGTGGTGCGATCTCAGCTCACTGCAAGCTTCGCCTGCTGGGTTCACGCCATTCTCCCGCCTCTGCCTCCCAAGTAGCTGGGACTACAGGTGCCCGCCACCACGCCTGGCTAATTTTTGTTTTTGCATTTTTAGTAGAGACGGGATTTCACCGTGTTAGCCAGGATTGTCTTGATCTCCTGACCTTGTGATCCGCAAGTCTCGGCCTCCTAAAGTGCTGGGATTACAGGCGTGAGCCACCGCACCCGGCCGGGATCTGTTCTTGAATATGCGTGTCTGTTTTAGAACATTCCACTTGTGATATTTCACCTTTCCCATGAATTTCAATAGAAGTCAGTCAAGTACAGTGTAAGAAAATAGTCTTATGTCTTGCCCTGCCCCAGGGGAGCTGTTAGATGCCATTTCATTATTGCCTCAGGTATAATACCTGTATGTAAAAAAATTCTGATAAACACTCCTTTCTCGTTATACTATACACTACACTTTGATGCTCATTGACATCCTTGGACTGTGAAACGTGCCAGGACTAGTTTTGTTTTACTCCACGCTTTTTTTTTTTTTTTGAATGCACTTCCACTTCCTTCTAATGTTTCTTTGAACTCTATGTGTTATTGCTTTTCTCTTTTCTATTTTCAACGTCTCTTTCTAAGGGCTACTTCCCTTCAAACTTTAAACCTGCTCAAAGTCCTTAATAAAAAAAAGTAATAAAATCTGTATGTCTGTAAGTCATGACACCCCAATAGCTGTAAACTTGCTCAAGCCATTTTTAAATAACAAAAGTGAAACCCCCCTGCCAATGCAGAAGTAGTGACTTCCCACTGTCAGTGAGCTCATCTTGTTTGGAACTCTCACTAGCCACTGAAAGGAAACAGGGCTCCTTAAGAGAAATTACTGATTTCCGATCAGGTACAGGAAAAGTATAAGTTGAGTTGTGACATCTTTTGATCAGAAAGCAAGGAAGTGCTCAGACCGATTAGGAAATGCTAAAAAAGGACACAGAAGCCGACTTGAGGGCACTCCTAGATCTGGGACAGTTTGGGCATTAATGAGAATGATAGCAACAGGTGAAAATACATTGAAAACCAAAACAAATTCAGGAGTTTATGGTGATATTAAAAGTACAGATTACAAAAAGGTAGGATGCAAATGAGAAAGCTCTTGTTTACAGGAGAATGCTGGCTAGTAAAGGTAGAAGAAGGGTAGAATTTAGGACATCACCATTTTGCAACCTCAGTGTGATAACTGATTCAGGCAATAAGCTTCAATTGTGGCCAAAAGCCACTGGGTGAATGGGTGTGGGAGAATAGTATCTTTCAGTCTGAAAACATACTCCCCCATCATTTAGAGTAATAAAAAGTATACCTCTGAAGCAGAGAGATCTGGTGGTCACTGAATGATCCAACTTACCAAAAGTGAGATAATCTGGCATCGTATGCCTCCTGATATGATTTAGTTAGATGTACACAACATACTTTTGTAATAAACTGTATCAAAAATCTTCAATGAGCAATCAGACAAATTTAGAATATGAAACATTTGATAAAGCAACCAGCCTTGGACTCTTTAAAAAAATCAATGCCACGAGAAACAAACATGATGGGCTGGAAGGGGACAGTCGTAGATTAAAACAGGCCAAAGAGAAATAACACCGTTAATGAGTGGTGATTGTTGGCTGGAGGGAATAGCCATACAAATTGTTTTGAGACAGTTGTATAACTCTGAATACAGATTCTAGATTAGGTAATATTACTGAGTAATAATCTTCCCAGAAATATTGATGGTGTGGTTAAGCGAGAGAGTATTTAGAGATGCTTATTGAAGTATTTAGAAGGGAAGGGTCATGATTACCTGCAACTTATTTTGAAAGTACTTCAGTACAAGAAAACAAAGTGTTATGTTTGTATGTTTGTATAAACTTGTGTATTCATGGGCTTTTTTTGCTGATATATGCATGCCTATATGCACATATACATGTATACACACACGTGTGTGTGTTGGTTTTGAGGGAAGGGTCCTGTGCTCCGTGCCTGACAGGTAACGAATGCCTAATAACAGTCTCCTGGGTGTCTCTGCTATTTTTCTTACCTTTCCTTCTTACTTTCCTGTGGGGTCTCCTCTGCCCATCCTTAAAATTGATGTTTCTTGTTCTATTCTTGGCCATTTTCTTTTCTCTTTCTATATACTCCTCTATGCCAAAGTAGTCTTTACTTAAAACATTGTTTGTAGCTCTTTGAGCAATCACAGTGTTGCTTTCCACAATGGTTGAACTCATTTACCCTCCCACCAATGTGTGGAAGTGTTCTCTTTTCTCTGCAACCTTGCCAGCATCTGTTATTTTTTGACTTTTTAACGATAGCCATTCTGATTGGTGTGAAAACAGAACTACCATTTGACCCAGCCATCCCATTACTGGGTATAAACCCAGAGGAATAGAAATCATCCTACCATTAAGACACATGCACATGAATGTTCATTTCAGCACTATTTCATAATAGCAAAGACATGGAATCAACTTAAATGTCCATCAGTGACAGATTGGATAAAGAAAATGTGGCACATATATGCCATGGAATACTATGCAGCCATAAAAAAAGAATGAGATCATGTCTTGTGGGAATATGGATGGAGCTGGAAACCATTATCCTTAGTAAACTAACAAAGGAACAGAAAACCAAATACCACATGTTCTCACTTATAAGTGGGAGCTAAATCATGAGAACTCATGGACACAAAGGGAACAGTAGACACTGAGGCTTACTTGAGGATGGAGGGTGGGAGGAGGGAGAGGAGCAGAAAGATAACTATTGGGTACTAGACTTAGTACCTGACAAAAAAATCTGCAACAAATCCCTGTGGCATGAGTTTACCTATATAACCTTCAGATGTACCCTTGAAACTAAATTTTTTTTAATATTGTTTAAAACCATCATCTGTAAAACAAAATTTTCTTTTCACCTTTCAAATATTCTTCTAACAGCTATTACCAGACAGTGTATGTGCTATTGGTGATAAAGCAATAAAAAAACACCAACATTGTCCCTGCCCTCTTGGAGCTCAGAGCCTGCTGTTCTGGCATCTGAGCAGCCCCATTTCTTTCCCCTCCTCCCCTGAACATCTCTAGTTTCTGCAGATCTGGGTCATTTGCAGCTCTGGATGTTGACGAGCCCGGCTGCCTCACCTCCACAGGGTAGCACTCTCGTGCCCTCTGAGTTTAGTCATGCCTCACCTTGAGCTACGCTGTCTTGTCATCTCTTATTCTCATCACATTCTGTAGCAATAGCTACCATTCATTTTGAGTTTTGTGTTTTACCAAACACAGACAGTGTTAATTGCTTTTAAATATAGTCTTTCTTTTCAATGGAATGTTTGATACTTTGAAAAGACTACATGTAGTATAAGTTAAAGCACAACAAAAAGAACATAGCACTGGGCCGGGCGTGATGGCTCCCGCCTGTAATCCCAACACTTTGGGAGGCCGAGGCTGGCGGGTCACCTGAGGTGGGGAGTTTGAGACCAGCCTGACCAACATGGAGAAACCCTGTCTCTACTAAAAATACAAAATTAGCTGGGCGTGGTGGCAGGTGTCTGTAATCCCAGCTACTCGGGAGGCTGAGGCAGGAGAATCACTTGAACCCGGGAGGCGGAGGTTGTGGTGAGCCGAGATCGTGCCATTGCACTCCAACCTGGGCAACAAGAGTGAAACTCCGTCTCAAAAAAACAAAAACAAAAACACAGCACCGACTTGAGAGCGAGAGTCCCACAGGCATTCTTGGATCGTTCCTGTTCCTCCTCTGCCATCCGCCTTTCTCCGCCTTGTGGTAACTCTGTCCTGAATTGTGTGTTTTTTATTTCCTCCCTTTTAAAACTAATGATTTTAGTCCATGTGTACATACATTCCTTTGTAAAAATTGTTCATGCTATATGTAATCTTTTAGGACTTTAAAACATAATGCTGAGTAGAGAAATTTAAAAAGTCTATCACTTTGGAAAGGGAATTGGAAATACTTGGTGAAGATGAACATTCACTCACTCTGTAGCTGAGCATTTTAACTTTTAGGTGTATGCCCTAGAAAACTCCTGCAGATGCATGCCAGGAAGCATGTCCAAGAACACTCATAGAAGCACTGTTTGTAATAGCAAAAATATGGAAATAACCCAGATGATTATTGACAGGAGAATGGGTAAAAAACCCATTATTTGCCTAGTGAAATTTTATGCAGCAGTGAGACTGAATTAACTACAGTTAGTAACTTTCAAAGCTTCAAGTGGTCCTGACAAGATAGGAGTAATCCTGTTTTATACTGGAGGATAACAAAGCCTAGAGAGCTTGAATAAATTGTCTGTCTAGGTATTGCAAATAGTTACGTTGTAGAGCTGAGATTTGAATCGAGGTCATTGCCAGTTTACAGCCTTAATCAATGGAAAATATTGCATCCTACTGAAAGTATTTGTTTTTACTAGCTTGTCTGTTTTACTGTGTTGGGAGAGAGCTTTGTATTTTCAGTTAACCCAGCAAATGGTTCATAGTAGGTGCTGTATAAACTTTCTGATGAATGACCAAAAATATCCTTATTTTACACAGGAAGAAAGATGAAGGGAGCTTAATGGGTTGAGTAAGTTCCCAGATATGGTAATCAGAGCCCCTACAACTAGGACCCAACCATTCGAAGCCTCAGTTACTGTAATATCCAACCTGTATGTTCTTAACTTGGTTGCATGCCTCTCTTCTAGTAAATGGCTGGGAGAAGCCTGGCATAAGTGATGCCCATATAATGTGGACTATCATTAACCCTGCTGTCAAGTTCCTTAGTCAGGGGTCACCATCACTCTCCTGGTGGGTAGCAGAAGCCTATCCTCAGCTGTGTGACTCTTTTACCTATAATAAGAATCTGTCCAGCCTGAAGCAGCAAACGTTCCAGCGAACTTTCTTCTATCTCTTCTATTTCTAACCACGTCATGGACGTGGTTAACTTGTAGAAAAAGCTCAGGCGTGTTTTTTTGTATGCGGTGGAGGTTGTGAAGAAAGCAGGGTAGCAGACACTTAGTGCCTTTGGCAGGCAAACCAATATTCCTTGTAGATGTAGATTATTAAGCTACTTAGGTATTTTGGTCCAGTGGAACAAAAATTCAAAATAAAAAGTAAAAGCTTAACCTACCCACTTGAGCTTTTTGGTCATCTAATGCCTGGCAGAACTCTGAGCAGGTGCATGTTTTCCTCAGTCTCATTAAATTGTGAAAGATTTCTGGACCTTTGTAAACTGATGGGGGCAGGGCCCTGCAAGCATGACCAGCTGAGTTTTGTCAAGCTCTGCATAAGAGTAGCAGGAATGTTCAGGTGAATGTGAATATTCCCTATAGTGGGGTTGAAGTTTGATTCTGAAAAGATCTAAAAGCAACTCATGGCCTGGCATGGTGGCTCATGCTTGTAATCTCAACACTTTGGGAGGCTGAGGTGGGCAGATCATGAGGTCAGGAGATCGAGACCATCATGGCTAACATGGTGAAACCCCATCTCTACTAAAAATACAAAAATTAGCTGGGCGTGCCTGTAATCCCAGTTACGCGGGAGGCTGAGGCAGGAGAATTCCTTGAACCTGGGAGGCAGAGGTCGCAGTGAGCTGAGGTCGCGCCACTGCACTCCAGCCTGGTAACAGAGCTAGACTCCATCTCAAATAAATAAATAAATAAATAAATAAATAAGTAAAAGCAACTCACTTGGGCAGAGGTCCTTGGAGCTGGCTTCTGCCTGTGATTGTCAGTCTCTGGTACCTTTGTGTGGCTGCCACATGCTGGTCTCTGTTAAAATGTCACCTTCTCAGCAAGGCCTTTCCTGTTCATGGCATCTAACATAGCCATTCCCCCTATGTCGCATTCTCTAGCCTCTTACCACGTTTGTTTTCTCTTGTCTCCCTTTGTTGTTTAAAATATTAGGTTGGTGCAAAAGTAATTGTGGTTTTTGTGATGACTTTCAATGGCAAAAACTGCAATTACTTTTGCACCAATCTAATATTTTTTAACTTATTCTCCTCTCCCCCTATTCTTACATACAGCCCTTCTTAAAGGTAAGCTTTGCCAGACCAGAATTTATTTCTCTTGTTAACGGCAAAATTAGGAGGTCCCAGAATAGAGCTTGCTCTACAGTTAGAAGCTCAATGAATATTTATGGAATTTCAGAATGAACTTACTTATACAACTTTGGTCAAATTAAGGATTTCCTTAACTGTCAAATGATGAGTTTGTTCAGCACTTCTAGAGTTTTAAAATGTACTTTTATATTTTGAATTGCCACTTCAATGTGCATAGTAGATTAACATATATAGATATCCTTTTAAATCTCTGGATCACAGAATTAGAATAATCATAATTCTTGATTCAGGAAGCATTCTTGTTATGCAGCATTCAAGCAAGGATGACTTTTTACAGATTTATTTTGTTATTCTTAACGATGTTAATAATCTCCTTCAGACTCAGTAACCAAAACGAAAGCCAAGACCTTGACAGTAAGCAGCTGCTCTTGTCTAAATGGTCCATCCTCCCACCCCCATGCCATCTCTCTGGATACTTTTATTCCACATTACCTGAGTCATGTGTTCTTCAATCTTTCACTTTTCCTGTTTTACAAATTTTTGTAACATCTATATGTATTCCTAAAAGTGTGTGTGAATGAAGTTATGATTTTAAAACTGTATGTAATCTCTTCATGATTTTTCTATATATTTTACTGACATAAATATATAAAATTTGATTTCATATATATCGTACACATCCATGTTATTAAGTATTGCTATAATTAATTTTGTTTTGGTTACTGTATAGCATTCTGCTGTGTGACCATATCATAGTTAATTCAGTTTCTTGTATTTGGGGTATTTCCAGGTTTTTGCCATTGTGAGTCATGCCGAGATGCATATCTTTGTTGCCTATTGATGGACATTTGAAAATTTCTCGTGGATATAAACCTAGGAGTTAAATTGCTGAGTCAAGGACAGCATGAATGTTAAACTTCAGGAAGTGATGCCAAACTTTTTTTTTTTTTTTTTTTTTGAGACGGAATCTCGCTCTGTTGCCCAGGCTGGAGTACCAGTCTCGGCTAACTGCAACCTCCGTTTCCCAGGTTCAAGCGATTCTGCCTCAGCCTCCATAGTAGCTGGGACTACAGGTGCATGCCACCACGCCCAGCTAATTTTTTGTATTTTTAGTAGAGACGGGGTTTCACTGTGTTGGCCAGGCTGGTCTTGAACACCTGACCTTGTGATCCACCTGCCTCAGCCTCCCAAAGTGCTGGGATTACAGGCGTGAGCCACCACGCCTGGCTTTTTTTTTTTTTCTTTTTTTTTTTTTTTTGAGACAGAGTCTTACTCTTGTCGCCCAAGCTGGAGTGTGGTGGCACGATCTTGGCTCACTGCAACCTCCACCTCCTGGGTTCAAGCGATTCTCCTGCCTCCGCCTCCCAAGTAGCTGGGACTACAGGTGCCCGCCACCATGCCTGGCTAATTTTTTGTATTTTTAGTGGAGATGGGGTTTCACCATGTTGGCCAGGCTGGTCTCGAACTCCTGACCTCAGGTGATCTGCCCGCCTCGGCCTCCCAAAGTGCTGGGATTACAGGTGTGAGCCACTGCGCCCAGCCGCCAAACTGTTTTCCAAAGAAGTTACACTAGTTTATATTCCTACCAATGATGTGTAGTGATCCTGTGGATATCAGTCCTCTCTGACGTTTTATCTTTTCAGATTAAAAATTTTTTTCTTATGAAATGTTATTATATTGTAGTCTTCATTTGTACAGTGATCTCAAATGATATGGGCATCTCTTCATATGATCACTGGTATTTCTATGAAATGTCTAGTCACATTTTTTGCTTATTTTTCTGTTGGGTTGTTTATGCTGTTACTGATTTGTAGACTTCTTTGAATATTGTTGATATTTTGTTTGGTGTCTCTACTATAAATAGGCTTTCTAGATTGTGACTTACTGTTTTCACTTTTAAAGTTATATTTCAAGAAGCAAAATTTACCAATTTTAAGGATCAAATTATCGTTTTTTTCTTTTCTAACTAGTGCTTTTTGTATCTTAAAACTTTTCTGTCCTAAAGTTTAGAACAGTGCACATTTTTTCTTTTTTCTTTTTCTTTTTCTTTTTTCTTGAGATGGAGTCTCGCTCTGTCACCCAGGCTGGAGTGCAGTGGCACTATCTTGGCTCACTGCATCCTCCGCCTCCCAGGTTCAAGCAATTCTCCTGTCCCAGCCTCCCAAGTAGCTGGGACTACAGGCACCTGCCACCTTGGCCGGCTAATTTTTGCATTTTTAGTAGAGACGGGGTTTCACCTTGTTGGTCAGGCTGGTCTCGAACTCCTGACCTCAGGTGATCCACCCGCCTCAGCCTCCCAAAGTGCTGGGATTACAGGCGTGAGCCACCGCGCCCAGCCTGGAACAGTGGTTTTTAAAATGTGGTCTGCAGAACCACAGGGGTTCCTGACACCCTTTCAGAGACACTATGAAATCAAATCCATCTTTATAAGAGTACTAAGATGTTGCTATTTTCATCGTGCTGAAATTTGCACTGATGGTGCAAAAGCCATGATGTGTAAAATGTTCAGGTGTCTTAGCACAAATCAAGGCAGTGCACTCAACTGTTCATTGCATTTTATACCTTACTGACATACAATCTTAAACAAGAAAAGAAAAATCAGTTTTACCAATTGCTTAATAAAGCAATACTAGTTTTTATTAAATCTCAACCATAAAAATATCTTTTTAATATTTTGTGTGCCAAAATATTAATTATGTATAAAGTACATTTGCTACTTATGATTGTCTAGAGGAATGAACACTTGTATAATTGAGTTATAAGCTGAATTAGATGCATTTTTCATGGAACACCATTTTTACTTGATCGAATGACAAACTAATAATTGTACTTGGGTGTTTGGCAAACATTTTCTCAAAACTGAATGAACTGAGAGACAATTTTTGACAATGATAAAATTCAAGCTTTCAAACTGAAAGCAGAATTTTGGAAAGCTTCTGTCTGCTGTTGTGAGTTTCGTAGCTTTCCGGTATTGACACTGTGAGGAGGGGCAATATTAATTAGTATGATTTTTTGGTACTGTAGAATGAAAAGTGTTTATATTTACAAATTTCTGCATGAATGTATTTTATCTACATGACCAATGTATGATGTTATAAAATTGGGCATAAGTAAAACACATAGACTTAAAGGTCAAGACCAAAAGATTTCAGTGTTACAAAGTATAAAATATTCATTGACATGGTTTTAGATCCAATATTGCAATCATGCTTTAAAAAACCACCTGTTGAGTTTTGTGCTGTCAAAGAAGAAAATCCAGAAGGCCATTATTTATCTGTATGGGATTGGATTTTCTTCAACATACTTTTAACCTAAACATTTTGCAAGAGATTGGACATGGAAGTGGATATGAGAATCCAACTGTCTTCTCTAGGCCAGATGTTAAAGAGATTTGCAAAAATGTAGAATAACATGACTTGTTGACATAAATTTTTTTGAAAATATTTTTCATAAAAATGTTACTTGTGTTAACCTGCTATTTAAAAGTTTTATAACTGTCACAATTTTAATTTCTAAAATAATAAGTATGGATAGGTATACACAAAAGCTCTTTGAGGTCCTCAGTAATTTTTTAAGAGTAAAAGGGATCCTGAGACCAAAAATTTGAGAATTCTTGGCTAAAATACATTTATCTATATTTTCTGATAAGAGATTTTGTTATGGTTGTTAGTTTGCTTGTTTTAGCACTCCAGCTCTTAAGCTATTAAATATATGTATTATACTGGACTGTCTATAAATATCAAAAAAGGACACCACATTTTATGAAGAGTAATTAAATTTAAAAATATATGAAACTTCCCAAGTTCATTTTTGTAACTTGTACAGAACACATATCTTTCACTTTGTTTTCTTGAGCATTTTTAAGGTTGTTTATCTACCCACCAGATGTGTGAATCAAACAGGAAGTAATCCTGATGTCTTTCTCCCACCTTTTTTTTTTTTGTGTGTGTGTGTATGGCCACCACCTGTGGGTCTCACAGCCCCTGACCTGTAATTCCAGGCTCCATAACTGTCAGGACCATTGTTCTGGCCAGGAAGGAGTGGCCCCGTTTTTTAGAGTGTAGATTACTTAAGGTAGTAGGTAGTCAATGGGCCTGTGTCAATAGATGTTCACTACCTGTGTACTGACACGACGCCCAGTTTTTTGTGGGAATGATGGCAGGTAAATTGGGAGAGGTACTCCTTACCCTTTATTTCTGTGATTTCTTTTTTGGACCTCTGACTCTCAGATTACAGCTCAAGCAGTTTCCAGTGGGATTTTACACTTTTATCCTAATAAGTTATTAGCAGGGATGGGAAGGAAACTCCATTTTAATTGAATAGCTGCTGCGTGCCAGGTACTAGCATGTCTTGTTTAGTTTCTCAGCAGCTGTTTGGCTTTATCTGTTTTAAAATTTATTTAATAGGAAGTGGGACAGAAGAGGGTCACAGAGGTGAAAGAGCTAAAAAACAAAACAAAAGGTGTAGCTCAAGATCATGGCAGATTCAAATCTAGTTGTTTATCTTTAAGCATCTCCTTTATCTACCATGCAAGATTGCTTCTATGAAAATCTGAGTCCCAATAATATTGACTATTTTATACAGTGTGATTATTGCTGCTGTTATGTAAATATCCAGTCAAGGGACTGACCAGTTTTGTGCACTCTTGCATCTAACTTGTATTTATATATTAATCATGGTTTTTATTGGACCTGGTCATTTCCTTAGGTCAGAGACAAGGAGTGATAGGTGAAAGGGTAGTGGATTTGAAGCCAGATGACTTTATTCTTCAAGTACCATGCTTGGTCTTGATTAGCTGTGTCATCTTGCCTGAATCACTGAACCTCTCTAGAACCCTATTTGCTAATTGGTGAAACAGGGGCAAGAATAGAAGGCCTTTTCCAGTGTCTCCTGGTTGCCAAAAACATCCAGTGAGATGAGAGTATCTGTGTAAAGGCTTTAAAAACGGGGGACTATACTCATGGGAGTTTAGTACTTGTACTTGGAAGTGTTAGTTAGAAGTCTTAGATCTCACTATCACATAAAAATTATGTAAAATATCATTAGTGGTTTTCTCCTTGCCCTTTGGCATCTGGGATTGCCTTTTGAGACTATATCTCTTTAGTTGGTTGAGTGATCAAATTGTTGATATTTTACAATTTTTTACCTTCAAAAATGGCAATACCAAAGGTTATTAGTAAAATTACAAATGTTAAAATATATGTATTTGTATCAATATCAAAGAGTATGGCAAAAGGCAAGTAAGCCTAGATTTTATTGTAGTTTTCAAAACAAACTTTTACTCTTGATTTTTTTCTCCTCAGGCTATCTTGAATTCCATGTGTTGATCCCTAGCGACTTATTAAATGTTTTGTGTTGAAGAAACACTAAAGGCAGTGAAGCATCTTCCCCTATAATGGATGGGACTGATGGACTGATGTGGAGAGATGCAAATGCTAGTCTAGTCATTTTAATTATGTTAACTGGAATACATATGCACACACACTTTCACAGTGGGTTATATATATGTGTGTGTGTATATACACACACAGTAGGATATTTTATATATGTATATACACACATATATACACATACACACATACATAATTTTTTTTCATTTTTCTCTTGTGAATGCTTTCTTTGTGGAATACTGGCAAGAAAGTTGGGAGGTATAAAAATGAATTAGGGGAGGAGCCAAGATGGCCCAATAGGAACAGCTCCGGTCTACAGCTCCCAGCGTGAGCGACGCAGAAGACGGTGATTTCTGCATTTCCATCTGAGGTACCGGGTTCATCTCACTAGGGAGTGCCAGACAGTGGGCGCAGGTCAGTGGGTGCGCGAGCCGAAGCAGGGCGAGGCACTGCCTCACTTGGGAAGCACAAGGGGTCAGGGAGTTCCCTTTCCGAGTCAAAGAAAGGGGTGACGGACGGCACCTGGAAAATCGGGTCACTCCCACCCGAATACTGCGCTTTTCCGACGGGCTTAAAAAACGGGGCACCACGAGATTATATCCCGCACCTGGCTCGGAGGGTCCTACGCCCATGGAGTCTCGCTGATTGCTAGCACAGCAGTCTGAGATCAAACTGCAAGGCAGCAACACGGCTGGGGGAGGGGCGCCCGCCATTGCCCAGGCTTGATTAGGTAAACAAAGCAGCCGGGAAGCTCAAACTGGGCGGAGCCCACCACAGCTCAAGGAGGCCTGCCTGCCTCTCTAGGCTCCACCTCTGGGGGCAGGGCACAGACAAACAAAAAGACAGCAGTAACCTCTGCAGACTTAAATGTCCCTGTCTGACAGCTTTGAAGAGAGCAGTGGTTCTCCCAGCACGCAGCTGGAGATCTGAGAACCGGCAGACTGCCTCCTCAAGTGGGTCCCTGACCCCTGAGCAGCCTAACTGGGAGGCACCCCCCAGCAGGGGCACACTGACACCTCACACAGCAGGGTATTCCAACAGACCTGCAGCTGAGGGTCCTGTCTGTTACAAGGAAAACTAACAAACAGAAAACACATCCACACCAAAAACCCATCTGTACATCACCATCATCAAAGACCAAAAGTAGATAAAACCACAAAGATGGGGAAAAAACAGAACAGAAAAACTGGAAACTATAAAAAGAGAGCGCCTCTCCTCCTCCAAAGGAACGCAGTTCCTCACCAGCAGCGGAACAAAGCTGGATGGAGAATGACTTTGACGAGCTGAGAGAAGAAGGCTTCAGACGATCAAATTACTCTGAGCTACGGGAGGACATTCAAACCAAAGGCAAAGAAGTTGAAAACTTTGAAAAAAATTTAGAAGAATGTATAACTAGAATAACCAATACAGAGAAGTGCTTAAAGGAGCTGATGGAGCTGAAAACCAAGGCTCGAGAACTACGTGAAGAATGCAGAAGCCTCAGGAGCCCATGCGATCAACTGGAAGAAAGGGTATCAGCGATGGAAGATGAAATGAATGAAATGAAGCGAGAAGGGAAGTTTAGAGAAAAAAGAATAAAAAGAAATGAGCAAAGCCTCCAAGAAATATGGGGCTGTGTGAAAAGACCAAATCTATGTCTGCTTGGTGTACCTGAAAGTGATGGGGAGAATGGAACCAAGTTGGAAAACACTCTGCAGGATATTATCCAGGAGAACTTCCCCAATCTAGCAAGGCAGGCCAACGTTCAGATTCAGGAAGTACAGAGAACGCCACAAAGATACTCCTCGAGAAGAGCAACTCCAAGACACATAATTGTCAGATTCACCAAAGTTGAAATGAAGGAAAAAATGTTAAGGGCAGCCAGAGAGAAAGGTCGGGTTACCCTCAAAGGGAAGCCCATCAGACTAACAGCGGATCTCTCGGCAGAAACCCTACAAGCCAGAAGAGAGTGGGGGCCAATATTCAACATTCTTAAAGACAAGAATTTTCAACCTGGAATTTCATATCCAGCGAAACTAAGCTTCATAAGCGAAGGAGAAATAAAATACTTTACAGACAAGCAAATACTGAGAGATTTTGTCACCACCAGGCCTGCCCTAAAAGAGCTCCTGAAGGAAGCGCTAAACATGGAAAGGAACAACTGGTACCAGCCGCTGCAAAATCATGCCAAAATGTAAAGACCATCAAGACTAGGAAGAAACTGCATCAACTAACGAGCAAAATAACCAGCTAACATCATCATGACAGGATCAAATTCACACATAACAATATTAACTTTAAATGTAAATGGACTAAATGCTCCAATTAAACGACACAGACTGGCAAATTGGATAAAGAGTCAAGACCCATCAGTGTGCTGTATTCAGGAAACCCATCTCACGTGCAGAGACACACATAGGCTCAAAATAAAAGGATGGAGGAAGATCTACCAAGCAAATGGAAAACAAAAAAAGGCAGGGGTTGCAATACTAGTCTCTGATAAAACAGACTTTAAACCAACAAAGATCAAAAGAGACAAAGAAGGCCATTACATAATGGTAAAGGGATCAATTCAACAAGAAGAGCTAACTCTCCCAAATATATATGCACCCAATACAGGAGCACCAAGATTCATAAAGCAAGTCCTGAGTGACCTACAAAGAGACTTAGACTCCCACACATTAATAATGGGAGACTTTAACATCCCACTGTCAACATTAGACAGATCAACGAGACAGAAAGTCAACAAGGATACCCAGGAATTGAACTCAGCTCTGCACCAAGCGGACCTAATAGACATCTACAGAACTCTCCACCCCAAATCAACAGAATATACATTTTTTTCAGCACCACACCACACCTATTCCAAAATTGACCACATACTTGGATGTAAAGATCTCCTCAGCAAATGTAAAAGAACAGAAATTATAACAAACTATCTCTCAGACCACAGTGCAATCAAACTAGAACTCAGGATTAAGAATCTCACTCAAAACCACTCAACTACATGGAAACTGAACAACCTGCTCCTGAATGACTACTGGGTACATAACGAAATGAAGGCAGAAATAAAGATGTTCTTTGAAACCAGTGAGAACAAAGACACAACATACCAGAATCTCTGGGACGCATTCAAAGCAGTGTGTAGAGGGAAATTTATAGCACTAAATGCCCACAAGAGAAAGCAGGAAAGATCCAAAATTGACACCCTAACATCACAATTAAAAGAACTAGAAAAGCAAGAGCAAACACATTCAAAAGCTAGCAGAAGGCAAGAAATAACTAAAATCGGAGCAGAACTCAAGGAAATAGAGTCACAAAAAACCCTTCAAAAAATTAATGAATCCAGGAGCTGGTTTTTTTGAAAGGATCAACAAAATTGATAGACCGCTAGCAAGACTAATAAAGAAAAAAAGAGAGAAGAATCTAATAGACCCAATAAAAAATGATAAAGGGGATATCACCACTGATCCCACAGAAATACAAACTACCATCAGATAATACTACAAACACCTCTACGCAAATAAACTAGAAAATCTAGAAGAAATGGATAAATTCCTTGACACATACACTCTCCCAAGACTAAACCAGGAAGAAGTTGAATCTCTGAATAGACCAATAACAGCATCTGAAATTGTGGCAATAACCAATAGCTTAGCAACCAAAAAGAGTCCAGGACCAGATGGATTCACAGCTGAATTCTACCAGAGGTATAAGGAGGAACTGGTACCATTCCTTCTGAAACTACTCCAATCAATAGAAAAAGAGGGAATCCTCCCTAACTCATTTTATGAGGCCAGCATCATTCTGATACCAAAGCTGGGCAGAGACACAACCAACAAAGAGAATTTTAGACCAATATCCTTGATGAACATTGATGCAAAAATCCTCAATAAAATACTGGCAAACTGAATCCAGCAGCACATCAAAAAGCTTATCCACCATGATCAAGTGGGCTTCATCCCTGGGATGCAAGGCTGGTTCAATATACACAAATCAATAAATGTAATCCAGCATATAAACAGAGCCAAAGACAAAAACCACATGATTATCTCAATAGATGCAGAAAAGGCCTTTGACAAAATTCAACAACCCTTCATGCTGAAAACTCTCAATAAATTAGGTATTGATGGGATGTATTTCAAAATAATAAGAGCTATCTATGACAAACCCACAGCCAATATCATACTGAATGGGCAAAAACTGGAAGCATTCCCTTTGAAAACTGGCACAAGACAGGGATGCCCTCTCTCACCACTCCTATTCAACATAGTGTTGGAAGTTCTGGCCAGGGCAATTAGGCAGGAGAAGGAAATAAAGGGTATTCAATTAGGAAAAGAGGAAGTCAAATTGTCCCTGTTTGCAGACGACATGATTGTATATCTAGAAAACCCCATCGTTTCAGCCCAAAATCTCCTTAAGCTGATAAGCAACTTCAGCAAAGTCTCAGGATACAAAATCAATGTACAAAAATCACAAGCATTCTTATACACCAGCAACAGACAAACAGAGAGCCAAATCATGAGTGAACTCCCATTCACAATTGCTTCAAAGAGAATAAAATACCTAGGAATCCAACTTACAAGGGATGTGAAGGAACTCTTCAAGGAGAACTACAAACCACTGCTCAAGGAAATAAAAGAGGATACAAACAAATGGAAGAACATTCCATGCTCATGGGTAGGAAGAATAAATATCGTGAAAATGGCCATACTGCTCAAGGTAATTTATAGATTCAATGCCATCCCCATCAAGCTACCAATGCCTTTCTTCACAGAATTGGAAAAAACTACTTTAAAGTTCATATGGAACCAAAAAAGAGCCCGTATCGCCAAGTCAATCCTAAGCCAAAAGAACAAAGCTGGAGGCATCACGCTACCTGACTTCAAACTATACTACAAGGCTACAGTAACCAAAACAGCATGGTACTGGTACCAAAACAGAGATATAGATCAATGGAACAGAACAGAGCCCTCAGAAATAACGCCGCATATCTACAACTCTCTGATCTTTGACAAACCTGAGAAAAACAAGCAATGGGGAAAGGATTCCCTATTTAATAAATGGTGCTGGGAAAACTGGCTAGCCATATGTAGAAAGCTGAAACTGGATCCCTTTCTTACACCTTATACAAAAATCAATTCAAGATGGATTAAAGACTTAAACGTTAGACCTACAACCATAAAAACCCTAGAAGAAAACCTAGGCATTACCATTCAGGACATAGGCATGGGAAGGACTTCATGTCTAAAACACCAAAAGCAATGGCCACAAAAGCCAAAATTGACAAATGGGATCTAATTAAACTAAAGAGCTTCTGCACAGCAAAAGATACTACCATCAGAGTGAACAGGCAGCCTACAAAATGGGAGAAACTTTTCGCAACCTACTCATCTGACAAAGGGTAATGTCCAGAATCTACAATGAACTGAAACAAATTTACAAGAAAAAAACAAACAACCCCATCAAAAAGTGGGCAAAGGACACGAACAGACACTTCTCAAAAGAAGACATTTATGCAGCCAAAAAACACATGAAAAAATCCTCACTGGCATCAGAGAAATGCAAACCAAAACCACAAGAAGATACCATCTCACACCAGTTAGATTGGCAATAATTAAAAAGTCAGGAAACAACAGGTGCTGGAGAGGATGTGGAGAAATAGGAACACTTTTACACTGTTGGTGGGACTGTAAACTAGTTCAACCATTGTGGAAGTCAGTGTGGCGATTCCTCAGGGATCTAGAACTGGAAATACCATTTGACCCAGCCATCCCATTACTGGGTATATACCCAAAGGATTATAAATCATGCTGCTATAAAGACACATGCACACGTATGTTTATTGTGGCATTATTCACAATAGCAAAGACTTGGAACCAAGCCAAATGTCCAACAATGATAGACTGGATTAAGAAAATGTGGCACATGTACACCATGGAATACTATGCAGCCATAAAAATGATGAGTTCATGTCCTTTGTAGGGACATGGATGAAATTGGAAATCATCATTCTCAGTAAACTATCGCAAGAACAAAAAACCAAACACTGCATATTCTCACTCATAGGTGGGAATTGAACAATGAGATCACATGGACACAGGAAGGGGAATATCACACTCCGGGGACTGTTGTGGGGTCGGGGAGGGGGGAGGGATAGCATTGGGAGATGTACCTAATGCTAGATGACGAGTTAGTGGGTGCAGTGCACCAGCATGGCACATGTATACATATGTAACTAACCTGCACAATGTGCACATGTACCCTAAAACTTAATGTATAATAAAAAAAAAAAGCAAAAAAAAAATGAATTAGGACTTAAGAAGTTGCATTTTCTCCATTTAGAGAGTCATTTGTTGACAAGAGTCACAGTTTTTAAAAAAGCTCTGCCTTCCCTTAGTTGCAGTGTTCTTATAATGTATTCAGAAGACAGGGCTCCTTTTAAAAAGATTTTCTTTTGTTTACTTTCTTTCTTCTTCTTCTTCTTTTTTTTTTTTTTTTTTTTTTTGCCTGAGAAATAATCTGGAGTAGATTCTAAGCATGTATATTAAGTTTCTAAATTATCTATTAGTCTAGATTTTTGGAAATTACTACATAATTTATAGAAAAACTACACAATAATATTCCTTGTCCTTGCCATCCACAAGTTAAAACAAAAAATGCTATGAATGTTTGTTATTTAAATGTTTAACGCTCAGAGGAAGCAATCAGAAGAACCAAGGAAAGGAAAATTAAAACCTAAGACACTAATAAAAAATAAAACAGCAACTATGAGACCTATTTAATTCCTATTTCTTTCCTTTGAAAATAAATTGTGACTCACCATTAAATCCATACCAGTGACCCATGCATTTAATATTTTAGAGAAGACATCACAGCTGCCTTGCATGAAGTATTTCACCTTTGGTTTCATTATTTGTAGAGTTTTAGCATTTTGTGCTTTTAAACCAAACTGTCTGGTTTTTGTTTTCTTTCTTCAGTATATTCGTTCTTTATTGGACTGTCTTTGCCCTGAGATTATATATATCATAACCCAGCTGTACTGGTCCACTTTATCATACCAAATACTAATTTTGTCACTACCCACATACCCATCCGACTGTCTGGATAATAAGTATTTTTAAAATAGGAATTTCCTAATGCCTAATGTACAAGCCCCATGAAAGGAAATCATGCCTTATCAAATTAAAAAAGGATACTTACAAGGAAAATTTAACTAGACTTGGTTTATTACTTGAATTTGGAAAAGTCTTGCATAGCCTATAACTCTGTGACTCCATCCATTAAAAAAAAATTTAGGATGTCAGCACCACACAAAGCCATTTTACATTGTAATCACAAATATTATTTAACTGTACTCTGCATTAGATGGAATTTTCTTACTTACCAATTTTTCCAGTCTTTTAGGTTCTCTGTAGGCAAGATAGGATCAGCAACTGAGTGTAGCATTTGATGTTGAGGGAAATAGATTTTGCTCTCTGCTGGACTGCTCGTGTTGACCAGTGGGAAACACTGCATTAGCTTTCAAATCAAAACATTTAAAGTGCTCTCTGAAATATTGACATCTCGCCAAATGCTTGAATGTCAGGTACTACAGATGTCCAGTATTCTTTGGAGCCCAGCTCTAATATATGCTTGCATAAGTTGGACCTGATTTGGATTTGCTTAGGGTTACAGATTAGCACGGCTTGACCAAATAGTAAATAGTATGAAACCAGCTGTGAAAAGGGAGACTGAGCAAGTGAGAGCTCCAGCCAGCAGGAAGATAGATCTTTCCCATGCTTGTTTATGACCTTTTCCTGTGAAGCTGTTGTAATAATAGCTTCTGTATTTATTGGGAAGTATTTTTAAGTTGTAATTCACATGGTTTCAAACTAATTCCTTGAAATTAGTTGGAAAACCAAAAAATATTTGAGAGTAAAACATCTGCACGTTTCCTTCTTTCAGTACCAGGGGAGGAGGCAGGAAAGCTGTTTAAGTAGGTGTTAACTTGGGGGTCTTGATTGGTGCAGGGCAAGATAACTGTCAAATGAGAAGAGATATTGAAAGGACCCCAAGACTATGCTATCTCCTCTGGGACTTGGGGGATTTGCTCCTCTAGACTTATCCTGGTCTAGGGATGGACTTGATGCATGCCAGTACCTCTTCTACTCCATCTGTTATCCTGACACATTTCCAGCCTTGAATGGGGGCTTTTGGGTCTCCAATCATTCTTCGTATTACTCCTTGACTTAAATCTGGTTTCACAACATTCTGTTTCTGTCCTGGGTTGTTACTTGATCCCAATGCCTGGATATTTCCTTCTTTAACAAGTTCTTCCTGGGGATTTCTGAAATTATGCTCTGGATTAATACAGTCATAATACATCTTTCAGAAGGAAAGGCCTGAGTCTCCTATACTCCGTCTACTTGAATTCATCCAGTTTAGGGCCTATAGCATCAACTTTTCCCATTTTACCAGTTTCTTTCCTTCTGTCCTAGAGAGGCATGCTCACGATCAATCATGCCTGTTATCATTATCAAATAAAATAAAGCGAAAACCCTCAAAGCTCTCCCTTAAATGTGAATCCTCTTTATTAGCAATCATCCAGTCGGTACCTTTATCTCCTTATCCAAACTTGTTGGAAATGGTCTGCGTTTGCTGTCTCCACTTTCCCATTCACTCTGTAATCTAGTCCACTCTGCCTTCTGTCCTCAGCACTTATCTAGAACTGCCAAAGACCTCCTCATTGCACATTCCTCAATCCAATTGACATTTTGAAAGATTTTTTTTGTCTTTGAGGTAGCTTTTTTGGGATTGTGGTGAAATACACATAACATTTGCCACCTTAACTATTTTTAAGTGTTCAGTGACGTTAATTACATTCACATTGTTGTGTAACCATCATCACCATGCATCTCTAGAACTGTTTTCATCTTGCAAAACTAAAATTCTGTACCCATTAAATAATAATTCTCCATTTATCCTTGCCCCTAGTCCCTGGTAACTACTGTTCTTCTCTACGAAGTTGAATACTCTAGCTATCTCATAGAAGTGGAATCATACAGTATTTGTCCTTTTTTGACTGGCTTAATTCACTTAGCATAATGTCTTTAAGGTTCATGCATTTTGTAGCATGTGACAATTCATTTCTTTTTAAGACTGAATAATATTCCGCTCTATGTATATACCACATTTTGTTTATTCATCTGTCCATAGTCCTTGGGTAGCATCCACCTTTTGGCTATTGTGAACAATGCTGCTATGAAAGTGGGTATACAAATATCTGCTTAAGACCCTACTTTCAGTTCTTTTGGTTATGTGCCCAGAAGCAAAATTGCTGGATCATGTGGTAATCCTATGTTAATTTTCTAAAGGAATTGCTGTTTTCCATAGAGGCTGAATGAACCATCTTACGTTCCCACCAACAGTGCACAAAGGTGTCACTTTCCCCACATCCTTGCTAACACTTGTTTTCCATTTGTGTGTTGTGTTTGTTCTTTCTTTCTAGTAGTAGCCATCTTAATGGGTATGAGGCATTAAGGCAGCTTTTGATGATGATTCTCTCTGTGGTACTTTGGCATACTGCCCTTGTACCTTTCTGACACTGTTCCCTCCATGATTAAGGGCTTGCCCTCAAATGTTGATGTTTTATGGATTCCATCCTGAGCCCCATGCTTTTGCCTTTCTCTGCCCTTGCCCTGCCCTGTTAGCACTTGTGACATCTCTGCCAGCATCTCTCACCACCTTGCACCTCTGTACACTGTTGTTCCTTGCACCTTTCTACCCAGATGCTTCTTGGGTTCTTCCTACTCAATGTGTCTCTCTCAATTTGTGATAATACCATCTACCCATTACCCAAGCTGTCAACAATTAAACACTCTGTCTCATCCATTCCTAGCCAGTCAATCTCCAAAGCCTGGTGATTTTTTTTTTTATGCTTAAATATTTCTTGACTGTTATTCCCACCAAACCTCAGGTCATTTTTTGTCTGTGTTCCCTGCCTTCAATCTGCCTCCCACCCACAGGGTGTGTCCTCCACTCACCCGTGAGAGGAATCCCTCTAAAATACAAGCAGCACTGTGTCCCTTTTGTGGGTCTCTAATACTTAAAAGATAAGTTCATGGTGTTTAATTCAGTAGAGTGCTCTGTGATTTGACACCTCTTCTTCCACCACTATTTGCCTTGGTCTGTATATCACAGCAACACTCAATTGTTTGAACTCTCTGTGAATATCTGTGGTTCTTGCCCCATTGCTTGGGCTTAAGATCTTTCCTCTGCCTAGAACAGCTCTCTGGAATAATTTCTCTTCTTTCACCTGGCTTATTCTGAATTTGAATTGCATTTTAAAAAATTTCAGCTATTTGTGTACTTGCTTCTCAGTCTTTATTATATCCACATGCCACCTGATCTGTTTATATCTGATATTTATGTACATGGAATCACCTTAAAAATTAAATGTTTACCCTCATCCTAAGTAAAAATAGCTTTGAAGTCACAGATTTTGATTCTTTTAACATACCTTGAAATTATTACATAACTGTGTAATTTGTCTGAGTTCTATTTAACCTGTGTGTTTATCCCTGTGGAAACATACTACTTTCAGATGCAGTTGGCCCACCCTTTCCTATGGGAGGTTATTCCTGGACCACCCATCCCCTCCCTCCCTATGCAGGATAAACTCACCTTCCTGTGTTACCAAAAAGTACTATTAATATCTCCATTCATTCATCTTTCTATCCATCTGTTTATCCAGTCACCCAACTAATAATTTATTAGTAACCTTCTGTATTAAATACTGTGGGAGGTACAACCAGGAGTAGTGCTTAACTTGTTTATACCTTGTGTTCCATTATTGGGACACTAAGCTCATGGGAGTTATTCATATCCTATTGCTCATGGTCATCGCTAAGATCTGATTTTTCATAGAAAATAATTGCAACTTCTGGCATAAATACTGATTTTTAATTGTCTGCCAGTTGTTTCTCCCAACTAGATTGGGTGAGCTGTTGAGAGCCAGGGCAGTGTCTTAATTTTGCATCTTTGGCACCTGACATTTTTATTCATTTAATTAAAGGAATATAAAAGTAAAGATGTGTTGCTTCCTTAATTTTCTCTTTCAAGTTTTACTTATACTTGTGTTTCGTAAATGATACTTCTAAACATGTTCATAAAGGCCAGAGTGAAAGTAAAAAAGTAAAAGTTAATATGTTCATTTTTATTTTTGAAGGCTTATGATGCATGCAAATAGACTGTCTTTTGTACATATTCAGTTTGCTATGCAGGAGTAGGTTTGTTCATATGTAATCTACTAACTTATCTACTAACTAGATAAGTTCTAGAACTTATCTAGAAAACCTTGAGTAAAATGTGTGTATTTTAACCAAAACTGGTATTTGGGGTTGTGTGGATCAAACCTAGTCCAATTTTATTGATTTAAAGCAATGACTGTAGTGTTAAAAGGAGCATGTACTACATTAAAATGACATAGGGAATGTGTATACATTTAGGAGAATATTTATTTTAAGGGAACTTGCCCTTAAAATAAATATTACATGTCGTGAGCTAAAGGGAGAAATTATGTTGCCTTAAACTAAAGTCCCTGTCTTTTGAGTTCAACACTCTTGGGAAATTGTAAGGAAAATGTATTAACAGAATCCACTAGCATGCAGCTAAGGACTTCTGGAGATCTGGGGTCATGACAGGCACCCTGTATAGTGATATAAATGTCAGTGTCTGAGATTTAAGAGCCTGTTCCGAGAAAAGCCAACAAATATGGAGAGTATATTCCTATAAATGAGTTAATTGAGAGGCACGTATACTGCACTCAAGTTTTGCACTGTGCCGGAAACCATTGACTGTCCCAGGGGCCTTCCGCTCTTACCCCTCACTCCAGTTTAGAGTGGAGCAACAGCAGCATAAGATACACATTTTAATATGGCTTAGATCATGTTCATTTCCAAACACACCTTCTGTTCTCCCTCCTCTGGCCTTTGTTGGGCCGTTTCCTAAGCCTGGCATGGGCCCTCTTAAATTTCAACTTTAGTGGAGCTTTCCTTTATGTTCTTACTGAGAATGAATGGTTTTCCTCTCTCTGAATTCCTATAGTGCTTAATTTAATTCTACTTAGGCCACCCCTCAGGCTTTGTACTGTATCACAGATGGTGATGGCTGTGTCTTCTGATTTTTTCTTTTTTTGTGAGGGGGTGGGTGGGTATTTTGCTGATGTTGCCCCAGTCTCATTCATGGAGTCATTTGGCTTGTCTGGGGAATGGGGTGGGGCAGGTGACTTTTTTGCAGCCTCTCTCATCCATATTGCCAGGCTGTCCAGGATTACTTTCTGGGCTTGAAACATTGTCCTTTTGCTGAGAGCAATCCATGGACACCTGACTCCTAAGACTTAGCTCCACTGAAAAAGGTCTTTCATATCCAAGAAGGTGATTTAATTTAATCAGTGAGGACCTCCACTACTTTTTTTTTCTTCTTCTAGTCCAAGGAATGGATACATTTGATATACCTTCTTTTTGTTTTGATTTTTTCTTGTTTTTTTTTTTTGTTAATTTAAACTTTTAAGATTTATCAAAGTTATGCATTTGTGTACTTTAAGAAACAATTTAAAAAAACATATAATGAAAAAAATAGAAGTCCATACCCTTTTCTTATGCCCTGGTAGCCACCTCTTTTTCCTTTTATCTATTTTTAGGTATTAGTGCCTGTATTTCTTATGTAACTGGAGGTTCTTGGCTTTTGATAGTGTCTGTTGACTTCCTTGTGTGGAAGATGAGGATTTAGCTCACTGTGCACGTTTCCCTTTACCAGATAATTATGTCCACAATTTTTGGATAAATCAGCATCTTTCATTCACGTAACTAGAGCTATATGAGTATTATTTATAGCAGAGGCTTAACATTTACGTTTGAAGGATTGCAACTCCCTAATTTCATCTAGTGACCAGGGGAAACCTTGCTGTCTTGGTCTAATGAGGGCAGGCTTCCCTCTGGGTTCTGCCTGCCCATTTGCCCATTTTCCCATTTATAATTAGTTGAGATATGTAAACATGCTATATAAATGTTAGCTGTTATTATTTCAATATTATAATTTGAACCAAACCTTATTTAATCTAGTTCTTAGCTATACGTGTATGTGTAAGCTTAAAAGTACTTTTGTGAACAGCTGCATTTAGAGAGAAATGTGAAGTCCAAGTGCATGTTTATGCATATGATAAAACTTTCGCAGCATAGATGCTTCTTAGCATTACAACTCAACAGGCAGAGGAGATTCGTGTTGACAAATGTGCTTGTTATTAATAACTTTGTGTTACATTTCACCGGAGAGACCTCTAGCTTACCAGTTTTAGGCCTTTTGCTTTTGGCAGGTTGCAATTATTGCTGTCTTATAAATGTCACATACATGATATATATACACACTTCCAAAACTGTGTTTTTCATTCTTGTCGGAATAGTTGAGACTTGTCTGCTACCAAAAGTCTGAGTCAGATTCTGATACTTTGCCTTGCTGCTCTTTTTTTTGTAGTTTTCCCAGAAACTTTATATTATACTTAACAATATAAATATAGTATTATACTCATAATAAGCGAGGCCTTTGCTTGTATTCATTTAAAAATGTAGAGAAGCGCTTAAAAGATAGGAACTTTCGAGTCACAAATAGGCAGGCTGAAGATTGACTTATGGAATTGATGAAGCTGTTGGGAGACCAATTTCATGTAAGAAGGAGCAATCTGAGGATAGAACTATCAGCCATATAACAGGGGATGTGAGAGGGATACAGTGACTTCCATTTGTTTGTAAAAATGCTGTTTTGGGATTTATACTAATGGGTACCCTTCATGTGTGACATGCAGTGTGACTTAAATATCTACCTTAGCTTTTGCCATAGTTCAAAAGTTGGGGGAGGGAGTTTCTAGATAATGAGCATCCAGTAGAGTAGACGGAAAGTCCACGGCAGTTAAATTGCTCAGCAGAAAAGGCCAGGGGGAGGGGGCTGGGGGTGCGGGCAGGCGGTTTGGGTATAAATGCCCACCAACTTTGGTTCTGCCATGGCTGGGGAGGAGGGTCTGTGCTGCTATGGGCCTTTTCAGACATCTCTAACTGAACACACGCGATTTTTCCTGCAGCTTCCCTTCTATAGTGGAGCTTAGAAAGTCTTGTCAAAACTGGCCCCTGAGATGAAACCTTTGGCCATCTTAAGCTAGTGTTTTATCCAGGACAAATGAAGAAAAAATACAGCGAACTTGTTTACTCCAGCATAGAGACAAAGTCAGGATTAGATTAATTGTGATTCTTTGCAGTTAATGCTACATAACGTGGCATATGGAGTTAAATTTGGATATACAAGCCAGCAGCACTGCCTTGTATAAACCAGGAGACCTCAGGCTGGTAATGTAATCTCTCTCAATCTGTTTCCCCATCTGCAAAAAGAGTCTAGTACTACCTGCACTATTAAAGTTGTTGGAAAGTTTAAATCACGTAAGGTGTATTTTCTTACTATAATGCCTAGCTCTAAGGTCAGTAAATGGTAGGGTCTCTTTTTACTATGACAGGCTAATTGTTCCTTTACAATGCTTTCAAAACTGCATGGTTCAACATATGCTAGATAGAAATACAGTGCTATGCTTTGTGTTTTTAATGAATATTAATTGTTATGGAAAGAGCCAAATTTGAGTAGGTCTTTGACCCAGCCACTGTGGTTATAGGAAGGCTCTTTTAGATACATAGCAATACATAACTCATGGAAAGTATTTTCAAATTATAAATCTAATACAAGAGGAAATAAGATCTCATATGCAGTACCCTGGTAAACTCAAACTATTACGGATGGGGCACACATGATGGAGTGCTTCTCGGAGCTTTACATTTTTGCCTCAACATGCCTAAGGTAATAGGAGATATTCTCATCTGTGCTTTACTCTGTGGTCTCAGTAAGGAAGGGATGGAGACACATCCAGGATCAACCAGAGCTGGTGGTCTTTCCCTTGGTCCCCATTGCCAGTCCCACCCTGTCTCCACAGGGAGTGTGAATGAGGATGGCTCCATCTTTCTTCCCTCTTGTCAACCACAGAAATTAGGGTTTTGCTATTTTTTTCCTAATGTAGGCAAAACATGTGGTCCTAAAGTACCTCTCCATTGCCAGAAATCACAACAGACTGCTGTCCTACAGGAAAGACAAAAGCTTATTACACTAAAGATGAGTTTCTCGTATTTTAAGATCTAAGAGATGCTAAATAATAGTAAAGGCAGGAAACATTTATTTTTCTTAGGTAAGGAGAACAAAAACTCATACAAGCAGAGCATTTTGTTAATACTTTGTTAGTTCAGCTGACTGGTTATTAATCCAGTCTGTTTTTTTTTTTTTCTTGGTGGGAAATGACAGAGGTTTTTTTTTTGTTGTTTTTTTTTTTAAATGGGTCATGGGGAAAATAGTGTTTGAATTTGCTAAATAATCTCTTGCCATTTGCCAAATCAAATATCACTTATCAAGTCCACATATGAAGTATGTATGATTTGCCAGGAGTTAGGATACTTAACCCTGTATTAGAAGCACATGGATTTGAAAACAACAGAAAAGCAGCACGATACAGCTGCTTCTGAGATACAAGAAATGGTGTAGTTTTAAAAAGAAATGCTTATGAGAGATTTTAGACATTTTTGAGCTGTTAAGTTTTCTAGAACCATTTGGAATGATTTTGAAGTGACCTCGCCTGGAAAGCATATTTATGTAGTTTCTTTCTCTGTACCACTTATTCTTCAGCTTCAGTGTAATTCTCAGTTTACTGTATGCCAGTTGGCATGTTGTAGTTTAAATATTTTCAGAACCTTTCCACTGCGTATTAATCTCTTAGACAGTTGAAACATTTGTTGACCTGTAGTCCTGTTTTTTTAAATTGTTTATGTGAGAAACAATATATCTGAATGATTAAGAGCATTGTCTCCAGAATAGATTGCCTTAGTTAGAATACCGGCTGAGTTACACATTAGCTTTGTGTCATGGGGCACATTACTTAACCTCTCTGTGCTTCAGCACCCTCATCGTTAGGAGAATCTGTACAAAAGTGATTATAATATCTACTTCAGAATACTGTTGTGAGGAATATTGTTCTGTATGCCTGGCACATAGAAGAGAAAAATAAATATTGTCTGTCATCAGTATTATTTCGTATATGGAGAACTGAAAGGAGCTTCAAGATTTGCATTGTGTGGGCTTTCATACCATCTTCAAGAGATGATTTTTTGGAGAAAACATGCTTTTGAAATTCAGTGTAAACATGGTATTTATGGAGCTATATCTCACAACAATTTTCCTCTGGCTTACATTTTAGACCACCTTTTGTTCAAGTGTCATGTGGACCACTTGGCTTAGATGAGAGTCACACAAATTTTTATATTCCAAGTTCCTCCTTCTCTCTCCCTACTACAGCCTTTGAATGGCAATTAATATTGCTGCTTCCTTCCCCACCTTCCCTCTCTAGCTTCTTTTAGGCATTTTGTAAATAGATAACATAAGAAACAATTTGTTTTGGCCACAAGTTCAATTTTTCTGGCATAAAGCTGTATTTATTTTTGATATTCCTGATTAGTAAAGGTGCAAGCCCAGTATCTATACCATTCCAATCTGTGGGTCCCTGAGTTGCTCCAAGGCATTTACAGGCAAACTCCTGGGATTCATTTTCTTCCACAGGCCCAAAGTGGGAGTTCCGATATGGTATGAGACCACTGTGAGATGGATTAGAAAGATCTGGAAGCTAGATGGGAACTAGCTCGGGCATAATCAAGTACTCTTGACCCTCACAATTGTTGCTTTCTAATATAATTTCACTAGTTCTTCCCACTTTCTTTAATTCTGTTTGTTGTCTTGTTGCTGACAAAATAATTTTTAGTACTTTCTAATGTGGTCATTGTGTATAAACCAGGTGAAGAAAATTTTCTGTTATTTTCTTGAAGAATAAAATAAAAAGACTGATTCATGAAATGCTATCTGAGGCTGGCCCTGGGTTAAATTCCAGGGTATCCCTTGCAACAGAACAATGAGAATTTTCACATTCTTAGCTGTTTTTTTGAATGACTGCTAAATCTCTAGGGCTGTGGTGCATCCTGAGGAACTTGAGGATTTTCCTTTTCTACCTTTGTTCACTTTAGATCTAGCCTCAACAAATAAACATCCTTGGGCTTTTTAAGAGTCCAGCCTGATCAACATGGTGAAACCCCGTCTCTACTAAAAATACAAAAAAATTAGCCAGGTGTGGTGGTGCATGCCTGTAGTCCCAGCTGCTTGGGAGGCTGAGGCAGGAGAATCGCTTGAACTTGGGAGGTGGAGGTTGCAGTGAGCTGAGATCGTGCCACTGCACTCCAGCCTGGGCGACAGAGCAAGATTCTGTCTCAAAAAAAAAAAAAAAAAAAAAAGTCCTTCCCTACTCTAAGGTAGAGGAGGCTTTGTGGATGGGAGCTGTGGATTCAGGTTGTGTGTGCTGTTAGCCTCTGCAGGCTTCGCCTTTGCCACCTGTGAAATGGTGCTGATAAGTGGTGCTGCACACACATATGTAATATGTATGTATTTACTATTAGCAATAAATCAAATTTAATTTTTAAACGCATTTGGGAAATGACATACTTTAAATATACTGGAATAAGGAGAACCTTTTTTAACACATGGACTGAAAGGTTCACCTAAGGTGGTGCCTCTGCATATTTCAACTCTTTGT
Source organism: Homo sapiens (assembly GCF_000001405.40). Lineage (NCBI taxonomy): Eukaryota > Metazoa > Chordata > Mammalia > Primates > Hominidae > Homo > Homo sapiens. The sequence continues at coordinate 151,259,173 of NC_000003.12, forward strand.
GTTTGATTAGTTATCCTGCTGTAGGATTACGGCCACACAACTCTCTGAGAACAATGGTTTCTGTGAGGTGCTATCAACCTCTGGCTTTCCTTCAGAAATAGGCACTCCTTTTGAACTATGCTATATTTTTCTTAAAGCCTTTAAGATTTAAGGAGGAATTTTCTGATCTGAGGTACAGAACCCCAGGAAATACTTTCAGTGAGATTTTATTCACCAAATGCTTAACCAGTACTGATTTGGATAGGGTGGTCTTCTAACTTATTAGTCAACCTGGACACTTTTGAGAATGAAAAGAGGACTTAATTACATGGGGACAGCAGGAGTGAACTGGGTCTGTCTCAGGCAAACTGGGGTATGTGTTCACCCTAAGAATAAGTAGACACTGGATAATCAGAATAAACTTTTCAAATACTAAAAATTTTTTGCAAGCTCAGGTCTTCATAAACATCTGAAAATGAGCCTCAAGATAGGTAGGTTTTACTTTGTCCCTCTTTGCAGTGAATGCTACTATGTGCAAATTTATTGAGCTTCTACTGTGTATAAATACTCTGTGTTAATCTTTCAGAGAATTCTTCCACTTAAACGAGCTCATAGCATTTCCAAACAAAAGTTTAGAGTCCTGGTTTATAGTTCTTGCCCCAGTGCATTCTTTTTTCACTCTGTTTATTCTATTTTAAAGCTGATTCCTTCATGACGTCTCTGACTGTGTTAGTTCATCCTGTTCTGTCCTTTCTGTAATCCTTGTATTTTAATTCTAAGTTTGGAAACCAATCCCCTTTTGGTATGTGGTAAATATTTTCTTCATGTGATACATAAAAGATTGGTAGGCATTGTGAAGTGGGGAGCTCGGGTTATTTTGTATTTTGTTTTTGTCAACCACAGCATTCAGCTCACTGCTGGGGATATGGTGATGGGTGGGACTGGGGACACCATTGGTGGGCTTAGGGTAGCAGATCATGAGTGTGTTTCAGTTGTGGAAAGAATGAGGGCTAGTAAACTTAATGGACACGGTGTTTAAAAATAAAGAAAAGAGCCGCAACGTCACCTTATCTAGCCTAATTAAATTGTATGGACTTTCTGTTAAGAGTTGATACAGCCAAAATGCATTATGAACTTATGTTAACCTCTCATTTCCTTCTTAATCTAGGTCTACTAATATCTTTTAAAAGCCAGTTTTTGTTGTTGTTTGTTTTTTGAGACAGGGTCTTGCTCTGTTGTCCAGGCTGGAGTGAGGTGGCATGATAGTGGATCACTGCAGCCTTAAACTCCTGGGTTTAAGCAGTCCTCCCATATTAGCCTCCCAAGTAGCTGGGACTGCAGGCGTGTACCACTGTGTCCAGCTAATTTTTATATTTTTCATAGAGATAGGGGTCTCACAATGTTGCCGTGGTCGGTCTCGAACTTCTGAACTCAAGTGATCCTCCTGCCACAGTCTACCAACATGCTGGAATTACAGACCTGAACCACTGCACCTGGCCCTAAAGCTGGTTTTTAATGACATTTTACATAAGTACAGCTCAATGCTGACCGGCTTTGTTTCCCAGTGATCACTTTTCTGAGGTTTGTAGGTATTTGGACCTAGTCTTTAAAAGGTAAATAACTGTATTCTTGTAAATAACTGTAATCTTTTTTTTTCTCTTCAGAATACTGTTCCTGCCTTAGTTGTATTCAGACTAAATTATACTCAAAGCTGAGACGTTTCCAGTAAAGTCAACATTTATCTTTATCTTGACGGCGTCACATCCATTTTTCTGGCCTTCCAGTTTCCATCTCCCCAGACTGATTTCCTTGATGGTGTGGATGTGTATGGTGTCTTTGGTTCTGTGTGTTGCAGGGCAAGCATGGCCTGAGGATCCCTGTGTGTTTAACAATGGAATGTCATCGGCTTTTGTTTTTTTGGAGGGGAAGCATCTTGATTTTCAGGGCCATGTTTATTTATGCATTTAATTCTGAAATAAGAGGGGGTGCAATTTTATAAACTAAATTATACTGTTCCCCATTCTCTTTTGGAAATGCCCATGAATGAGACAGATTAGAGAGGTATTTTGCATGAACGAATGATGGAGAGACCAAAAAAAAACCCCAAAAGGCAGAGGTGGAGATACATTCACAGCCACAGTTTTATCCTAATATCAAAGCTGGTTTCTAATCTAATAGGATATAAGGAATATGATAATATTTGCAGGATTGAACTGATAGTCAAGTGTAGCCTACCTGGAATTGTGGAGGGTAAGAGGGATGGTGGCCATGGCTTGCTAGGTAATTCCTGGGTAAGTAATGGAGAAACAGCCATTAGTTTTCATACATTACTTCCGTTAGAGAGGTTGGTTGCTTATCTTCAGAATAAAGTAAAAATGCCCACATAACTCCTTAAGCTGGTGGTTCTCAAAGTGTGGTTCCTGGGCCTGGATCAGCATGACCTGAGAACTTGCTGGAAATGCAAGTTACCCAAGACTCCCAGACACCTCCATTCCTGAAACTCAGCCTCTGGGGAGGGGTCCAGTGGTACGTGGTGTTTTGTTTTGTTTTGTTTTGTTTTGTTTTGTTTTGTTTTTGTTGTGTTGTGTTTTGAGACAGAGTCTTGCTGTGTCATCCAGGCCACAGTGCAGTGGTATGATCTTGGCGCACTATAACCTCCACCTCCTGGGTTCAATACATTCTTGTGCCTCAGCCTCCCGAGTAGCTGGGACTACAGGCGTTCGTCACCATGCCTGGCTAATTTTTTTGTATTTTTAGTAGAGACGGGGTTTCACCACGTTGGCCAGGCTGGTCTTGAACTCCTGACCTCAAGTGATTGACCCGCCTCGGCCTCCCAGTGTGCTAAGATTACAGGTATGTGCCACTGCACTCAGCTGAAGGGGTAGATGTTTTAACAAACATGTTAAAGTTTGAGAATCACTGTTAAAACTACTATTTTTTAATAGCTTTGGGTTATGAATACCTTTCAGAATTTATTGAAAGTTAGATAGCTAGAAAAATGTACAGACACATTTTATACACTAGCAGGGAATTCATGAACTCTCCTGATTAAGTCCCCTGTTATAAAGGAAACATTTTGGTTTCAGGATGTATCCCATCAGAAGTATTAGATTTTAAGTCACACTAGTGATAGTTTGGATTTGAGAATTTGATTATTGTTCATCTCCAGTAGCATGAGTAGCCCTGGACTGTGGTTTGCCCCCAACTTTTTGTGGGAAGAATTTGCACACTGAGATATCTCCAGACATTAATGCTGGGCCCTGTGGTGAATGTAAACATGGTACCTATGGGGTGGCCCTGACACCTGGCTGGCAACAGTGGGTGCCTGCTTGCTCAGCCATAGACTTTACATAGTTCAGCCTTTTGGAGGTCCCTGTGCCAGCCACTGTGAAGGAAATTTGGTGAGGCCTATGTTAAAAGCTTAGTTTGTATATGTGTTTTTTAAATTTACTAAGGGATGCATGGGCAATGTAAATACATTAGAAAATACAGAAAAGTAGAAAGCAGAAAATTAAAATCACCGACAGATTTATTCTTGGGTAACCAGTTATTTTGTTGCAAATGGTAAAATGCACTAGGAAGATAACAGGAATAATAATAATACCTAAGACTTACTGAGTTTTTATTGTATGCCAGATACTGTTCTAAATTCCTTATTTATATTAACTCATTAAAACCTGATAGCTTCTATATAAAGTAAGTCCTGTTAACGTCTCCTCAGTTAAATGATAGAGGGCAGTAAGGCTTGGTGAGGTTAAGCATTTTGCCTGAAGACACGTAGCTGGTAAGGATTTGAGTTGAGGCAGGGGAAGCCGTAGTTCTCTAGGGCATCTTAACATGTACCCTCTGCTGGTCTTTAGGAGGAAGAGAAAACACTGCAATGAATGACTGTCGCGTGGGGTGGCGTTGGGGAAGAGACCCATGTAGGAGTACATGGGGTTGACGAGTGAGGATTAGGACATGTCTGCATGGGCGAAGTGGGTGCAGAGATGGATCAACAGCTGAGGAGTGTGCACAGGCCCTGTGCTTTTAGGATGGCCCAGCACCCTTTAGTGATTTGGCTAATCAGCCTCACCTTCAGCTATCTTCCAGTCCTTTGTCATCAGCACGTGAAACTGCTGAAATAATGCCAGCTGAGTGGACCTCCCCAGAGTGTCTTAAACTTGTGAGCATCTGTTTCATTTTAAACTGGATAACATTGCATTATTACAAACATGTGGAACCAGAAGGAAATGTACAAATGTGGTGTTCACAATTTGCTATCATAGTGAAGGCTGACAGAATTATCATAAGTCACTGAGCCTTTAAATAACATTTGTTTGTAAAGTTGTTTTGTTCTTTGATTTTGAGTTTAATGCCAACTTGGGTCATATCAACTTTCCAAAATATCATGAGCTTTACGTGTTTTATCGTTAATTTAATTTTCCTTGAAATTATTTCCCAGAACATCAAATGGGAGTTTTAAATTTTTTAAGTGTTATTTGAAAGAAACAATCCAAGAAAAAATTAATTTAACATGTTCAGTGAATAAGGACTCATCTCTAAGAGATTAATGTAATATAGAGATTAAGAATGCAGGCTACAGGGTTGGAATTCCTGGATTCCCGTACCACCCCCCCCACTTATCAGCTCTGTGACTCTTGGTAAAATACCTAACTCATCTGTTAAATGGTAATAATTCTCTTTACCCCATAGGGTTGTGGTAAGAGTGAGACAATACAAAGCAGTGTTGAAGTCAGTGCAGGGTAAAGTGTGGCACAGCCTTCAGTTAATGTTAGGAATTGTAGAAAGGCAGATAACGATGGACAGAGGCTGAGATCTCTTACCACCACTCCTTCCCTCTCCCCTACCCACTTAACAGTATATCATGGTGACTTTTCCATTTCAGTTTTTAAAGTTCTGCCTTTTTCTTTTGAGTAGTTCTACTTCATTTCACTGAAGAAAAGAATCATAACCATTTTTCTGTTACTGGACATTTGGGTTATTTCATTGTTCAGTGTTTAAAGATCTCTGTACTTGTATTTCCTTGTTCCCTCCCACATTCCCCTAAAATCTTTGAAGGTTGTGTTTTGAGGTTGGTCTTCAGTACAGCTGCTGTAATTGATTTCATTATTTTGTAAGCACTTGTTTGCTGTGACATCAAAAAGAGTTTGTGCTCACTTAGCATAAAATTAAGTAATTATTGGACATGCCATCTTTTAAATGGAAGAACTGAACTCTTCTCACGAGGGCAGTAGGAGTGTATTTTGTCAGTTAGGAAAGAAGAAACTGCTTAAGAGCTTTTATTGAAAACGCCTTATGGCCTGTCTCAGAAATTCAAACCTGAGCTTATTAGTTGGTTTATGATTGTGTAAAGCGCACATCTCTAAGATAACCATAACCCAGTATGGAGAGTTTTCTCATTTATAGTTGATGGGGTTTCTTTCTCCTGAAATTGTTTCCCTCAAATTGCAGTTTAATTTGTGTATTAAAAACTGCTCTGTCATAATCAATGCTGGGAGCAGGAGCCTCCTGTGACCTTCCAGCCTGTGCCCCCTACCCCAGCCAGCTGCAAGAAGGAGCTCTAAAAACACAAATTAAGTCTTGCTACTCCCTTGCTCAGGCCCACCCAGTGCGTGTGTGTGTATGTGTGTGTGTGGTCTCATCACACTTAGAAAACATCCAGAGTTTGGTCATGGCCTGCATGGCTCTACATGACCAGCTGGCCCTGCCTGGTTCTCTGACTGTACCTCCTGTGGCCACTGCCTTGCCCTTCTCTTGTAGCCACACTGGCCTTCTTGCTCTTGCTCCTCCACTTCAAAGATAACACACCCATCTTCTCCATTTGCTCTTTCTCCCTCTTTGTCTCCCTTATTTCTGTTCTGATCTCTCATCTTCATGATGATTTCTTCCTCTCACCCTATTTTCCAGAACTCGCCATTATGTCCTGCCTCCAGCCTGCTAGATTATTCTTCAGTGCAGAACCACTTGTTATGCTGTGTGTCGCCAGCACCTAGAGCAGTATCTGGCACAGTGGAAGTATTCAGTTAATAATGGTTGAGCCAAAGACGGAATAAACAAAGGGGAGCTACTCATAGAATATAATGTACGATGCTCTATTCTGAGACTTTAAATAGTCATCATGGAAACTGAGTAGATCTTTTGGCTTTTAAAGTTAAAGAGATCAGGAAAATAAAACTGTTGAGTTTATTTTTCCCAGCACAGACGTGGAATTTCTGAGAATTTTTTAAAAAGCAGAAGTTTCACAGACTGATTTCTCTTTTTTGAGTATCATTATCTTCTGCTTCTTTACTCTTATATTTGTGTCTTACACCATGAGAGCCTTTTCGAGTCTTTATTCTCAACTGCCCACTTGCCGGTCACTGCCATCATCCTCCCTATCTCCTCTCAAATCACTGATGACAGATTTTCAGTTATATTCAGGGTTTCTCTCTAAGAAAATAGGCAGTATACAGCAGGCTCATCATAAGAATATTCCTTTTTATACGGAGGAATCTGAGTAGGTTTTAAAATGTTTCTTGGCTGGCTTCTGGCAGTCCTCATAGGCCTTCTGGGGTTCCAGGGAGACGGATGGTGTCCCCATCTCAGCCTCACCAAGAGTATAGTATTTCTGGTTCTGTCTTATGTATTGGTAAGATTGTGTTTGTATAAAAAAATTTCTCCCTGCAAATTAAAGTCAGAACACCTATGAAATTGGAAGGGTCTCTTGGTCCTTTTCAGGGAATCATGGAAAGGCTTGGAGCAGAGTCTTGCGGCCCTGAGAATTGAAGATGGCAGGCAAAGGGCATCAGCGCTGGGCAAGTCTGATTAGTTCTGGTTCAAAGAGGCATTTAATTGTTGTCTGTGCCTTCAGGTTGCTCAGTTACAAGAGTTTCTGAGCTACTGACTTAGATTCGACTTGGCAGTGTGCACAGGTGCCCTTGGCTTTGCTGCCATCTTTCCCCTTTCAGTTCCCCTTTCTCCTTAGTGCTTTTGTTTGCAGCACAACGTTGTTACGGCAACTTTATGCTAATGATGCTGCTGCCTCTGTGCCTTTGAGGAAGGCTCATCTGATTTCTGTTAAATAAGTAGATGTCCCTTCATGACCTCAATTTCCAAGGTATTCAACATCTTCTATTAAAATGAGAACATGAACTTATCAAAGCCAAAATGTTAACAAATTTGTGAAATATTTGAACCCTATCACTGCATGTGTCTGGAAATCTCAAACAGAAGAGACTTTTAGGATCACATTTACAGTATCATCCAGATAGAAAGCAGTTTAGTGTTGAGCGAACGGACTTAACATTAAACACAGGTTGCCTAGACTCTAGACATTTTTTAAATTATATTTTTACAGAAGCAGTTGTATAATAGTGCAGTCCTTTTTAAAAATCGCGTTTCAATTTTGACTTCCACCTTAGCGTTAGCTATAAGAGATGGGGGTTGCTGTCTTATTTTCCTTGAACATTCTTTCCTATTCTAGTACCTTGAAGATTTTAAGTAAATGAAGGAGTGGATGAGCAAGTGATATGAACATATCAGTGGAAAGGAACTCCAGCCATGGGAGGAAAGCTTTGGGACTTGGTGGCTTGGCACAGGGAAAAATAAAGCATACATGCAGGAAATAGTTAGCTGCCTGGTAAGAAGAAAGACTAAGGTCAGAGCAAAAAAGTGCTGTAGATGTCCTACGAAGGGAAAACTTCCTTCTCCTGGGAAGGAATTGGTATGCTGTCATGCCCAGCATGTTGTAGGAGTCTGTAACTTTTATAAACCCCCACCTTCACATGAAGTCAATCCATTCTGTCCTGGAGTGTTTTCAGTATGGTTTAAAATGGATTTTATGGGATGTTTGGATTTACTTTATACATAGTGTTGACAAATTACATCTATACTGTAAAGTACAAAAGACTTTTTCCTAATTTAAAATTGTCTGGGCAGCTCATTCTAGAGTTCATTTCTTGCGTGTTAGAACTCCTTACATTCTTGAAGTGAAGTTTATTTTGACTGTTTACAGGAACTATCAACTAAACACTTCATGGAAGATGTGACTTATGACAGTATTCCTTACTGGGAGATTTTTGCTTTCTTTATTCTTTTTGACCTTTGGCTGTGAAAAGGATTGTACATTGTCATTTAGAAAGGCATAACAATAATGAAGTGCTATTAAGGAAATGGTAGTCATTGAAATACTTCATGAGAAAAGGAATTTAAGTGTATAATGTAATCAAATTTAAGTAGCTAATCACAAATCCCCTTTTCTTTTTAGAAAGAAACAATATCAAGGTTATATGTTACTTTCTCTTTTTTCACCCTAAATTCTAAGCCACTATTGATTATCCCTGAAATGTTAGCTTGTGAATCTGGGTAATTGTTAAAAACAGAAAAGTGCAAGCTACAAATGAGAGCCTCGGTCCTTGCTTAGATGTAAATAGTTTTCCTATGAATTTAAAACATTTTTTTAAAGCCACCTAAATCCTATAAAATAATGCCAGTGTTTCAGGCTATAGAAAATGTCTCTTGAGAGTAATATCTTGTAACATGTATTACTTATATATATAAGTCAGTTTTCAACAGAGCTGCTGTGAATTACTGTTTTATGGCCTAATTCATTAAAAAGAATTGCCTAATTGTGGTGTAGAAACTTAGGCACTAAGGCAGAGTAATAAGAAAGGAACCTTGCTAAAACATGGAGCATGTTTTGGCTGAATAATATCAAGGAAACAGCTGTCAAAATACAGTGTTTGAGAATAGCTTTTTAAAATTTCTTTGTACGTAGAGTATTTTATCAGTTGCTAAGTACTTAAGAAATGCGCTATTATCCTAATTTATGAATTTCTCCAAATGCCAGTAAAATGGACAAGGGTAATTTTTGCTCTTTTTAGTCTTATGCGTTCTTAGTAAAGTCTCAAGGAAATAGCTGGAAATGCTCTGTTTTAATATGCATCGGTGGTAGTCTTTAAACAGTGGGAATACTTCTTTTTATGTTTTCAGCTTACATGTTTTCAATACAAAGCATTAATAAAACATTTTTTAAAGCTACCTAAATCCTATAAAATAATGCCAGTGTTTTAGGGTATAGAAAATGTCTCTTGAGAGTAATATCTTGTAACATTTATTACTTATATATATATATAAGTCAGTTTTCAACAGAGCTGCTGTGAATTACTGTTTTATGGCCTAATTTGTTAAAAAGAATTCAGTCTATGCTAATGACATGGTAATTTTCTAACATATATACAAAGAGGAAGAAAATATGGTGAGCATACTGCTCTCCATTTTCTGTGCTGAGTTAAACTGCTATTTGTACAGAAATGAAACTGGATTATCCCTGCCCTAGTCAAGGCATGTCCTAGGCAGAACCATAACATGAGTTCTAAATGGAAGCTTCCAGGTTTCTCCATTTTGTCTAATTTGTGAGTTAGACATTTTGTCAAATTTTGCCTAATTTGTTTCAAATTTTGTCTAATTTGTGAGTTCATTCCCATTAGTGGTTTTTTAAATCTAGAATGTTACTGAGGCTGAGCATAGAGCCTTTAGTAAGCTTTGAAAACACATTTCTTCTAACCTATAGGGCATTTATAAGTGAGTCAGCAGTGTTTACAAAGCACTTGTTCTCTGCAGAGAGCTACTAACAGATGAAATGGAGGAATCAAGGAAGCAATTTAAGATGTATCATAGACCTAAAGGTAAAACTAAGACCACAAAGCTTCTAGAGGAAAATGTAAAATACCTTCCCAACCTTCGGTTGGTTTTAGTATGCAAAATTTTTTAGCCACAAAACAAAAAAAATTAAGTTTTCTGAGCGTCTTCCTGACGAGAAAGAAGAATTGTGGTCTGGTTCTTGAACTTTCCTAGCGGTGTGACCCCCAAAACCAAGACTACTTCCTGCTCTGAGACCGGAGGAGACATTGGCCTCTCTGGGCTTGCTGAAGAAGGGAGAAAAAGAACAGAAAGAAGCAATTGAATATATTGACGACGTACAAAAGGAAATACAGGCTGGGCGCGGTGGCTTATGCCTATACTCTGGGAGGCCAAGGTGGGTGGATCACCTGAGGTCGGGAGTTCGAGACCAGCCTGACCAACATGCAGAAACCCCATCTCTACTAAAAATACAAAATTAGCCAGGTGTGGTGGTGCATGCCTGTAATCCCAGCTACTTGGGAGGCTGAGGCAGGAGAATCACTAGAACCTGGGAGGTGGAGGTTGCAGTGACCTGAGATCGTGCCATTGCACTCCAGCCTGGGCAACAAGAGTGAAACTCCATCACACACACACACACACACACACACACACACACACACACACACAAAATTCAGAGACTTAATGAACAAGCCAGTGGGGAGATTGTGAAAGCAGAACAGAAGTATAACAAATTCTGCCAACCATTTTTTGGAAGAGGTCAAAATTGATTGCCCAAATTTCAAATTTTTGGGTAACAGCATTTGTCAGCCATCCACAAGTGTCTACATTACTTGGGGAGGAAGACAAAGAGGCACTGTATTATTTGACGAGTTGAAGTGACAGAATTTGGAGGTATTAAATCAGGTTACAGAAAGATTTTTATTTTGATGAAAATCTTTAGTTTGAAAATAAAGTTCTCTCCAAGGAATTTCATCTGAATGAGAGTGGTGATCTATTTTTAGAGTCCACTGAAGTCAAATGCAAATCTGGAAAGGATATAATGAAAACGTTCCAGTCAAACGCAGAGTAAAGTCAGCAGGAAGAGGCAGCACGAAGAACCAGAGAGCTTCTTTACCTGGTTTACTGACCGTTCTGATGCAGGTGTTGTTGAGTTGGGAGAGTTCATCAAAGATAATACTTGGACAAATCCATTACAGTACTACTTGGTTTTCAATATGGATGATGAAGAAAGGGAAGGAGATAAATGATGAAGAAGGATGGGAAGATATTGATAAAGAAAGGGGATAAGGATGAAGATGAAGAAGATGAAGATGATGATGAAAGGGAGGAAAGAAAGGGGGTGAAGGAGAAAATGACTAATAGAACACTGATAGGTTCCAACCTTTTTAAAAATTTTCTCCAGTTCCTGGGAGCAAGCTGTCGTGTGTGTGTGTGTGTGTGTGTGTGTGTGTGTGTGTGTGTGTGTGTTTTCTTTTGGGCTCAGCTGCCTTGTTCTTGAGGTCTTTTTTTCTCTACACCACAGCTCTCAACTTATTTGGGGGGAAAATAACTTGAGCAGAATACAATGGGAAAAGGATCTCTACCCCTTTCTGTTCCAAATTCATTTTTATCCCTTCTTGTCTGAACAAAAACTGTATGGATTTAATACCACTGAACTCTCTGGGGAAAAAAGAAAAACCTCCCTTTGCTCTGCTGGAATTTGCATGGTGCTAAGCCCCTGTGTATTAGTGCACAGAATTTTAGCGCTTTTCTTCCTTTCTCTGTGTATTATGCTCAGAACACTGTGTCTCTGCGTGAATATGGATAGTTAGCATTTGCCAACATGTATCTGTCTACTTTCTCTTGTTTAAAAAAAGACAAAACAAAAAATGGGACTATGTAAGGTCAGCAAAGGGTGAGTTTGAGATGTTTGGGTGGGTTAAGTGTGTATTTTGACAACATGGCTTCTCCTTTGGCATATTTAATTGTGATGTTTAATGGGCATCTTTGCAGTTTAACATGACACATTTAAAATAAGTTCTCTCCAGTGATGACTCTTGCCCTGCCACTCGATGGGACAATCCACAGAACCTGCAGGATATTATTTAGAATTCACATTCTCTGTTGTACTTTTGTACCTGTCTATTTTAAAATTTTCTTTTTATTTCACTGGAAAGGAAAGATGACACTTAGTTTTAAATGTTAAAAGTGTACAAGTTGCTTTGTTAGAATAAAACTAAATGTGTACACATACCCAAAAACCAAAAAAAAAAAAATCCCCAAATTTAAAACTTTCATTTTTTTTGTAGACACCATTAAGAAAATGAAGGCAAGCCATAGATTGGGGAGTAAATATTCACAAAAGTATCTCTGTTAAAGGCTCAGACTATTTAAATAATTTTCATTACTCTATAATAAAAAGACAAACTCAGTTTCTTAAAAAAAATGCTGAAAAGATGCAAACAAATAATTCACAAAGGAAGCTGTTTGGTCAAGGAGCACATGAAAAGATTCTCAGCCTCACTTGTCAACAGGGAAATACAAATTAAAATAATAAGGTAGTACTTTCACCCATTAGAATGGAAAAAAACTTGACAATGTTAAGAATTGACGAGGAAATAGAATAATTGATACTTTGGTATATTTTTGGTTATAGTGTAAAATAGTAAATCTACTTTGAATAACGGGTCACTTCTTATCAAGTTAAACATGTTGCTTCCTTGTGACCTAGTAATTTCACTCCTAGGTGTTTACCCAGGAGAAGTGAAAGTGTATGTCCATAGAAAGACTTATATTAGAATATTCATAGCAACTCTTTTCACAACAGCCAAAAGTTGGGAACAACCCAAATGCTCATCAACAGATTAAAATGGGTAAACAAATTGTGGTATACTCATAGAATACCATATGGTGATCCGGAGGATGATGCGGGCCCACAATATAGGTAAATCTCAAAACATGCTGAGCAAAACAAGTTAAATCTCAAAACATGTTGAGCAAAACAAGTCAGACACAAACGACTATGTACCTTGTGATTCCATTTCAGTGTAGTTCTAATACTGGTAGAACTAAGCTCTAATGAGAGAAATTAGGAATGTAGATGGCTGTGCCTAGAAAAGAGAATGATGAAATTTTTGTGATGGAAATACTATTTATCTTAATTGGGGTGGTGATTATATGGTGTCAAACCTCAATGAACTCTACACTTAAAATCTAATTTTCATTTATTGTATGTGGTTTATACCCCAATATAAATTAGGGGAAAAAGTCAAAGGCACAAAACTTGCTCTTGAAGCAATACAGATGTTGAGCATACACAGAGCAGATTGTAATGTGTGTGTAAATGGTATAGGGTGCTTGAAAGAGGGCAGAAGTGACAGTGTGTACCACATGAGCTTGCAGGAAAAGGCAGGATAAACAGAAAAGGCTTTCTGGACAATAGATGGTTTGTGCTGTGTTTTGAAGATGCAAAGAGGTAAATGTTTTTAGGACTTGGGGATAAGATTTCTCAAATAGGGTCAAGGTTTCTCAAGTCAAGAGGTCAAGATAAAAATAAAACAGGACATGTTTTTGGACAAATAAACATAAATTGAAGTTGTTTTTCTACTCAGTATATCATTCCCATAGTTATCAGTCTATCATTTCCCATATATATGTATCATGTCCCTCTTACAAGACTCATCTTAATTCTGCTTCTTCTGTTCTCCAGGTGCACCAGCACACAGTGGTATTTCCTCCTCCCAAATTCCCATTTTCTAACTTATAAATTAAAAGCACCATTTAATTTTTCCTAGATTATATCCTGTTTTTCAGTGTGGATATTCTTACAAAGTGCATACTCGGGAAAGGTTGTTTGTCCTCTGCCCCAAGTATAAAATATTGAGTACACAACCAAATCCTGGTTAATTAAGATTTGGTGGGTAGAGGTTGACAGATGTGCAGGAGGTGGGGACATCTGTGGATATGGCTTGAAGTGTGGAGTTGTAGATTTTCTTCCTTGTATGAGTGTTAATGGCTATAATGTTTTGACTCTCAACTATGTACCAGGCATGATAACTCTTACAGCCATTCTTCTAGGTGGTTATTTTTGTTCTGTTTTCTACAGATGAGTCAACTGAGCAGGGAGAGGTTAAGGAACACACTGGAATTTTGAATACAAGTTGAGTATCCCTAATCCCAAAATCTGAAGTCCGAAGTGCTTCAATATCCGAAACTTTTTGAGGGCTGACATGACTCTCAAAAGAAATGTTCATTGGAGCATTTCAGATTAGGGATTCTCATCTGCTAAGTGTAATGCAAATATTCCAAAATCTGAAATCTGAAACACTCCTGGTCCAAAGCAGTATGATCAAGGAATATTCAACCTCTGTATCTCTTTGGCTTCCATTGTTCTTATAGTCATCAGAGCACCACACTATGTTATTGGGAAAGAAGATGATGCTGGCAATGACAGCAATAAACATTGTTGTGTTCTTTTTTTTTTTTTTTTTTTTTGAGATGGAGTCTTGCTGTGTCACCCAGGCTGTGGTGCAGTGGTGCGATCTCAGCTCACTGCAGCCTCTGCCTCCTGGGTTCAAGCAATTCTGCCTCAGCCTCCTGAGTAGCTGGGATTACAGGCACACACCACCATGCCCGGCTAATTTTTGTATTTTTTTTTTTTTTTTTTTTAGTAGAGACAGAGTTTCACCATGTTGGCCAGGCTGGTCTGAAACTTCTGACCTTGTGATCTGCCCACCTCGGCCTCCCAAAGTGTTGGGATTACAGGCGTGAGCCACTGCGCCCGGCCTGATTGTGTTCTTATGCCAATTACTGTTCTGGGTAATTTATGTATATAACTCATTTAATCCCCATAACTCAGTAAGGAAAATGAGGCATAGAGTTGTTAAGTGACTTTATTAAGGTTGTATTAGAATAAGTGGTGGAGTCAAGATTTGAAGCCAAAAAGTCTGATTCTAGAATGCCCACTTTTCATTATTATGCTATACTACTTGGCATTGTACACATAGGGACTGGTTGTCTTCTTTAGAACAAGGCATATACCATTTCTTAATTGGGGTAGGAGTGGATTTAAATAAAACTTGGTGATGCAGACTGTTGTTTTCAAATCATATTTAAGACCCTCATTTTTGTCCATTCATGTAACATTTATTGAAAACTTCACTGTGTTATGAGGCTAAGACAGAGTCTTTTCTTTTGAGGGACTTTAAAGTCTAGGACTGGGTCTGGATTTTTTAAATCGTGTGGCCTCTAAAGCATTTTAAAGTTCTCACACTACTTGAACTAAACTGAGAAACTGGATTTGACTGGCAGTGTGCTAAAGTCGTGGCTCATGAAAGAAAATTGGTGCAGATATCTGATGAACCAACCCATATTCAGAAAAAAGGCCTCGCTGCCACAAAACCAAAAGATTAAGCAATTAATGTGCACTTTGTATTTCAAATTAAAATAATGTATTTAAGGTTTCTAAAAATAATTCCTACTTAACCTGTTATTTTGGTTAACCTGTATTTTTCCTTAACTAACTTGCCTCAGTGGTACCAGTTATAAGGACAGCTGCTGTGTATCAAACTCAGTGATAACAGGGACAGCTGGTCTGACATCTTAGGTTTTCTTTTTATCTCAGACCATATCCTCCCTCTTCCTTTTTTCACTTCTATAAAGGTAGTGCTTATAGGCATATTTATAGTGGGGAAAGAGGCAGTGAAATCCTTGTGCAGAAACATAGGTAGGCAGTTTTGGGGGCCAGGAGAGAAAGAACATTCAACACTAAAGGCCACCTCCTAGGACATTTAACTGAACTAAGTATCATTTTTCATATTCTGTTTTTGTCATCTGTACATGCAGGGCTATCAGCTCCCAGCTGGATTAAGGTTAGGGATTTGGATCTAGTCAGTAAATGACTTCTGATGAGATTAGAATCGTCTCCAAATCCCCATTAAGGAAATAAAAATGTAATCTTATAAGTTATAATATGTCCAAAGATTGTTGTCATAATTGAATGACTATCAATTCCTAGGAGTGATGATGTTAAGGTTTGTGGATATGTCTGTTAGAATGTAAGCCACCAGAGGCCCAGAACCTTTTCATCACACCATCTCTACCATTCCTAGAATGTTGGCTGCCTCATTGTAAGGAATCAGTGTTGAATGAATAAATGGCCAAAATATCCCTAGAGTGAGAAGGGGATTTCATTCATCATCTGTAGCAGGATGGAAATGTTCTTAGATGAAACCTTGTGTGAGCTCTCCTACCAACCTTTGACCTTAGGGCTCGACTCACTGGGAAGATCACATCAGCAACAGGTGAGTTCTTTCCAGCCAGGTGTCTCTCCCACTATAGAAGGTGGCACATTTCCCATCTGCTTGGTATAAATGGCTCCTAGAGTCTAGAGGCTATAAGTGATGTGATGAAAATAATTGCGTGTGTATGATCCTGGAGAGTATCGAGGATCAGATTTTTTTCCCCAAGTGATCACACCACAAGTGTACAGATCGCTTTGGGCCAACCTCAGAAGCCAACTAACTGATCTTTTCCTCTTTTCTTTGGTATCTTAACCTCAAAAGCAGATGTCATATAATTGGGTAGAAGCCAGCACCCGTCCCTGGCTGTTCTTTTATTTGAATGATGAGGGGTCAGAACATGATATCTAAGGCCTTTGATGCTTTTCAAAAACAACAGATGGGAGGTTTCAGTGAAAAATAAAAAGCTAGCAATTTAATTTATACCGAGTAAAGACAAAAATTTCAAAGGAATCTAATCAGATCTAAAAGCATATGACCAGTATTTCACTTTGACTTTAAAGAACAGGTGGATTGAGAAGCTTTGCTGTGGTAAACTTGGTGTTTCGGTGAATTAATGTAACCAAATGATTACTATAAAAATAGCATTCATTAATTACTAGATTTATCCTTTTTAAGGGTGCTAGGGAGGAAAAGAAAATTCCCTGTAAAGAAGAACCAGAAAATTTAGTAAAGAGGGTTTTGGAGACCTGATTCTCATGCTACTTAGGAAGCTGAGAATTTAAAATAGATTTTACATAGTTTGGTTGTAGGTATTTTTTCTCATTAAGATAGGATATTTTTACTGAAGTTGATTTATCTAGCTGTGCTGCTCAGACTTTTAGGAGGCAATGCATCTTTTAGTATTGCGGGGTGATGGTGGGGAGGCTATGGGTGTAGCACCAGACTTGAAGCTAATTTGAAATCCCAAGTAGTAGACAGCATCTGGCCAATGAAATGCCTTCTTAGCATCCAGTATGAACTGGCAGGGTGATCATATTGATGATCATAATTAATTTATTATACAATCAAGGACACTTTTGAGATAGAAAGGAGGCACTATTTTCAATTATGCCCAGACAACAGGTGAAAACTGGATCTGTCCCAGGACATGGGGTCACCCAAAACTGAATGTGCAACAGAATTACCTGGAGGGCTTGTTAAAAGAGATTGCTGGGCTCCACCCCCATTGTTTCTGATTCTGTAGGTTTGGGGTCAATAATTTGCATGTCTGACAAGCTCACTGGTGATGTTGATTCAGCTGGTATAGTATCTGCACTTTGAGATCCACTGCTCTATCCAAACAAACTTGGCACTCTTGTACTGATATAATTTTCAATTAAAGGAAACACTCCTTATTGTCCATCATCCTCCACTAGACAGCCTTCTGCAGGTGAGGATGCTCATGATGATGGCAGAATATGCTTGTGTTGGTGTCAGCCTACCTCCTGGACTGGTCTGTTTTTGGTATTCTAGAGACTGCTCACACTGGGAGGTTGAAACAGCTCACTTGTGACCGACCTAACTTCTAAGGATATCCTGGGGCCAAATGGAATAAACCTGTGACTTCTGAGTTCATAGAGCCTTAGGCTTAGGGAAGCCTCAACATCTAAATTCACTCAGAAGCACTTTATAGAGTGAACGTTCTTCTAGGGAGCCGTGTTCTTCTTCTGTTCAGCACTTTAGAAGCATCATAGGTGGCCTTGCTCAGGATAGTCACACCCTCTGTACCTGCTTCAACTGTGAAGTGGGCACCGTAATACTTCAGGAAATTATACTTCTTCCTCTGCACCCGGCCCACTTCCCCTGTGTCTTCATGCTTTGAGTACCTTGGAATCTCCCCACTGTTCTTTTGGTTTTATTTTTGTTTGTTTTTGTTTTTGAGACAGGGTCTCACTCTCTCGCCCAGACTGGAGTGCAGTGGCCCGATCTCAGCTCACCACAACCTCTGGCTCCCAGACTCAAGCGATTCTCCTGCCTCAGCCTCCTGAGTACCTGGGATTACAGGCATGCACCACTACCACCCAGCTAATTTTTGTATTTTTAGTGGAGATAGGGGTTTTACCACGTTGGCCAGGCTGGTCTTGAACTCCTGACCAGCCTCTCCTGAGGCCACTCACCTTGGCCTCACAAAGTGCTGGGATTACAGGTGTGAGCCACCATGCCTGGCCTCCTTGTTTTTTTTTTTTCCAGACATGACAATATAGAGTTCATTCATATATACCAATGTGTTAATTGTGTGCACACAATTGTATGCATGTTTGTATATATAGTATTCATAAATTTTACCGAAATATAAAATTCATTGCATGTTTACAAATCATAAAATATGCCATTTTGGTATTTTCCGAGTGCATTGTTTTCTTTTTAACTTAATGGCTAGGTTTTTTTTTAGTGCTAAAACTGATTATCAAGTTTGTATGTTTTAGAAAGATGAATATACAAACTATTTATTTTTTTACTAGTGTGATCTTTGATTCATTTTCTCCGTAGGATTGATTGTCCTTGGTTAACAAAGTATATGTAGACAAGATGGATTGCATGGGCTTGGTTGAATAAGCTGACATTGTGGGTCTGTGCTAATTCTCCTGAATGTAATTTAATTTATAATGTTTAAAGAATTGTAAGTAATTTAGCTGATTAGTCATAGACTATAAATAAGTAGCATATGAACTCAAATATTTGCTATGCCTAGGACAGATATTTCTGTGATTTACAATTTAAAGGCATTTTATTTTAGTAGGTGTTAATGGGGTTAACTTATCCTAATAATGACAAAGATAAAAACTTTTACCTATATAAGTGTATGTACAAGTAAATGCAACTATATATCTGTACACATATGCAATTGCAAACAAAGACATACTGACCTAAGTATTATGCTAATCGATTTTGTAGTTTTGAGAAGCAATTTTAATACACATTTACGAGCTTTTGAAATGTTTGTCCTGGATGAATACCTTTTAAACATTTTCCTTGATATCTCTTCATCACAGATATATTTTGACAGCCACGATTGGAAATCCTAAATCATAAATGATAATATTTCAGTATTGGATCCCCATATTAGCATGGGGAAATATATTAATATACCAATTATAGTTGTCAAACAAAAAGTAACCTACTGAGAAAAATGTGAGTGGCAATGGTTCAGTGTTCCTCAGCTTTGTTGCTGCCCAGCTCAGAAATCTTTTCTGTTCCCATGCACCATTCACATACATGCAAGTCATTTCATGGAAAAGCTGTTTTCTTACCTGCGTCTAGGCCTTCATCTGTGAGAGTCATGCTTCACTCATTTTGAAATACCTCTCATTGTAGGCTCCAAGGTAACACTGTTACAGAGTTCTTGCTCATCTTCAACTACGGATGAAAATCAGGAACTTGACAGAAACCACAAGATAGTGGGTCCCTCTGCTGCTGTTGTCAGATAGAATTTATTGAAGACTGGGACGTGGAAACAAAGAGGAAGGAAGAGACGTTTTAATCTCTGTGGGTGTTAGGCTGACTTCTGAGCTAGTTCCTTTCCTCCAGTAATGCAAAAACAGTCCTGCTTTCTTATTTCTCCTCCTACTTTTCCCCACATCCCTACATCATCTGATGCACAGCCAGGCAAAAACCTGTTTTCTTTTCTAACCTTTGCCATTGTCAAATTCAACATGTGGTATGAGGTGGAGAACTGATGTGTAAGATATGGTTCTTTCTGAAGCACCCTCAGAAAATTGTCAGCAGCTTCACAGTATAACGTGCAGAGATGGGTAGTTGGAGCTACCTGGAAATGCGGAATTAACAGAATAAAGAAGTATTTTGACACCAATGTCGACATATTCTAGATAAGAGGTGTTGCATTGTCATTTTTCCCACATTAATTTTCCCATATTTGAACATTACTGATAAATAGATCACAAGTAGGACTTCAGATAAACTCCTCGTGTGTTAACATTTTGGTGTTTGTGCTGTGTTACTATTTTGAAAGTCTTCATATTTTTAGTTCCTTTCAGGCTCTGTAATATAATTGGTGATGTCCTGCAGTGCTCCACTGTCTTTCCCATTGACTATTAGTGCCATTAGATTTGGAAGTTTTCAGAAGATGGCTACAAAGTCCTCTTCAAAGTGTATAACTCAGAACCAGAAAGAAAGAAGACAAGGGGCTGAAAAGCTTACTTTATAAGGTTCCTGCATTTTAAGTGTATTTACTTAGGCTGTTCCATTGCCAAATTATGGGTAACAACTAGTAAAGTTCAGCTTGCCTTAAAAACATAGCTATACATTTAGTTATAATAATTATAACTGGCTTATGACATGCCCGTTACTATTCTAGTTGCTTTATATGTACTTGCTACGTAGGAGGCAGTGTTCTGGACATTGGAGATGGAGTAGTGACTGACACATACCCAAACAGTTATTTCCCTCATGAAGAGTATTTTCTTACTTTCTGTCTCACAGACTTGCTAGTCACTGTTGATCCTTGGCAAAGACCTGTGAGACACAGAGCTTGTTTAGAGAAGTTCGCCATTTCTCCCTGCCAGAGGGACTCTTCTTCAGACCCCCAGCGGGCCCCAATAGTCCTCACTGATGCTTTGATTGAGGGGCTAAGAATACTGATGTGCATAGAGAGGCTTGTTAGCTTCAGCTGCAGTGAGATCTGGTAGGTAAATAAACTTAAGGACAAGTGGATGTGAGGAGGAGCCGCTAGAGCCTGGTTATTACCAGGGCACATTGCAGAGTCCTCCAGATGTAAACATTTTGCTGATTAAATTGATGATTTGGCAGGAACCGTATCTCTAAGGTGCGACTCTCAAGACTTCCCTGATTTATTGCAGGAGATGCTGTTTACTCTGACAGTCTCAAAAACACCCATTAATTGTTCCGGGTCCCTTTTGTGCTTCTTGACTTCCCCGTGGGGTGTTTCACATAGATGTTATTGAGTATGACTGGGGAGAACATGATAATTTGTTGCTTCTTGACTTCCCCGTGGGGTGTTTCACATAGATGTTATTGAGTATGACTGGGGAGAACATGATAATTTCTTTGACTGGAGCTGCTTGCTTGCCTCTTAATGCCAGGAGTTGCAAAGTCCAAGGCCAAAAGGATAGCCCTACAGGTGGTCCCCTCGTGGCAGGTGGTACAAATGGGTTGGACTCTGTGTAAGACACTTGGGAGTAGAGGGAGTATGGAGAAATGGAAAGCTAAAGGGCCCACCCAGGGGGACAGTTGTGTCTGGAAGCTTGCCAGAGTCATGGGCCTCATCTTGGGATGGGCCAGTGTCTTCAGAACATTAAACGCTGATTTGCATGTACTGTTCTAAACACTCTGTGTGTTTTAGCTTGATTACTCACAATGGCTCCATGAGTAAAGTAGGTCTGTCTACTACTTCTTCCCCACCTTTTTCTTAATAGACAAGGAAACTGAGGCATGGAGATGTTACATCAGGTTGCTGGAGCTGGGCAGATCCTGGAGCCTGTGCACTGCTACTGCCTTTATATGTCTCCTCTGATTTCATTTGTTGGTGTCTAAATCGAATACCTTACAAACCAGTGTAGACCTGATACCCTGTGGGCTAAAACAAAACCTGAGTGTGCACTGTATTGGGCTTGTGAGCAGTCAGCTTGTGACCTCTGTTCTGTGGTTTTATTGGCACGTAGCAGTACAAGGATGGTGAGGGGTGGGTAGGGGGCAGACAGCTAGGCACTTGAAAGGAAAGCTCATCTGGAAAGATTGGATCGTCTCAAATGCACATACTCGTACACTCGATTGAAGCGTACTCTGTGCCTACTAGATCTTTTCACAGCCAAAACACCTGGCAACCCTTGGAGAAGTAACTATTCCTTTTTTTCACAAGTAAGAAAATAGAGCCTCAGAAAATTTAACAGTTGTCTAAGCTAGAAAGTAGCAGGACTGGACTTTGAAGTAGTCTTTAGGTTGTGCTGTACATTTTGTGGATATGCTTAAATCACAGTTTAGCTTGTACACATTTTCCTTTATTAGAATTGGAAGTAAGTATTAATGTTTGAAAAAATATTTTAGCCTGACAATATTTATTCTATCTTCATATGTTTTTGAAATTAGATATTTTAAACTAGGCACGGTGGCTCACGCATGTAATCTCAGCAGTTTGGGAGGCCGAGGCAGGCAGGTCACAAGGTCAGGAGCTCCAGACCAGCCTGACCGACATGGTGAAACCCTATCTCTACCAAAAATACAAAAAAAAAAAAAAAAAAAAAAAAAAAGTTAGCTGGGCATGGTGGAGTTCGCCTGTGATCCCAGCTGCTCAGGAGGCTGAGGCAGGAGAATCACTCGAACCCGGGAGGTGGAAGTTGCAGTGAGCTGAGATTGCGCCACTGTACTTCAGCCTGGGCAACAGAGTGAGACTCTGTCTCAAAATAAATAAATAAAAAATAAAAAGATATTTTATTATGACTTTTAGCAACGTAGGTAATGACTCTTTTCAACACTAGACACCAGGCATAATACAACATAGCCAATAACGACATTATAATTAAAATAATAGAGGGCCTGGTCCTTGTGTGCAAGAATCTTTTAAAAAACAAAATCTAAAATAGTCAATATTTTCCTTTTATCTGTGGTGTTTTGATTTATGCTAAATAGTTCTGAATTCCCATTTCCTTTGGTGGAATCCTAAGATTAAAGTACTGTGATTTCCTCCTGACTAATCTTTTTCTCAGAGCCCTCAACATAACCCTGATATGACAACCACCCCTAGCCCACCCCACGTGCTCACACATTCTCCAATACCATTTAGAGACAGGACTCTGCCTTATTAGTAATAGGACTGGTTATATATAAACATCCCTTGTGTATTCATACTACAAATAGAATGAGTTTAACACACGTAATCCCCAAATATGTCTGTAACTGTTTCCAGTCAGTTTCTATCCAGGCCGTCATCGACTGCGCATAAATAGCTGGCTGGCTTACATTTTGATTCCATAAATGTCCTATTTTGCTCCTTACCCCGGAATTCACCTATGCATAATTGTTACCATATGTCTTTTGAAATCATTTTTCTTTAAAGTAAGTACAGAGACAACTTCATTGTTACTGCCCTTCCCCTGCCTTTCCCTGGTTGCTTTATTGAGCATAGTGAGTAAGACACTAGCGCATCCGGCCTCATCCCCACTTGCTCTCTTGGAGACTTGTTCATGTGAGCCCTGTATAGACCTTATTCTTTTTCGTAGCTTTGTAGTATTCCATAATTTGTTTAATCAGTACCTATTGATGGATTTTCAGATAAATATGAACATTTTCAATGAATTTATTTTAACCATAGCAGATATTTGCTGGGTTATATAATTTAGTTTTTTTTTGTTTTTTTTTGTTTGTTTGTTTGTTTTGCTGGCAAGTTATTTATAATTGTGTGTGTGTGTTTTGTATGTGTTGGGGGGCATGGCTGCCGAAAGGATTCCACTGGTTGTTGAGAAAGATGTTGACGTAAGAATGTAGAGGATTTTAGTAAAGGCCCGGTGTAAACATTTTATGAAAGTACAGTGTACAAGGATATTTAAAGGAAGCATATTTGGAAATTGTCCTCTATAGGATCTCTGAAGGAACTAGCATCCAAAATGCTTCTTGTTGGATGGCTCTTTTACTTGTAGAATGGGGGTGAAAGTCAACTTAGTACTGTATTAAAAGAATGATGTGAGCCAAGGTTTAATGTTAGGAAAGCCAGCAAAGGTGGAGGAGCGCGTAATGTCGGGGATCCAAAATGTCACGCTCAGGACTTCCTAATTTAGTGTGCTGTAAAGTTTTTGAGCTTTGTAGTAAAATAATTGAAAAAGTGTTTTGAAAAAATTGTAATCTGATAGGAAAACATTGAATGCAGACATGCCTTTTTATGTTTCCCTATGTGAAGCATTCAGTTCTACCAGCTTGTTGATTTAGAGTAGTGGAGAAAGGGGGCAGAAATTACATCATTAAGATGTGAGATAAGTCACCACATTATAAAATAATGCCTTTTTGTTAAACCTCTTGCAATGAATGACAGGACATGGGACTTCATTGGCAATTGTGCACTTGCCTTCATCTGAGAATTACAATGGAGAAACAAATGCCTGGTACAATATCACCCCCTTCTGGTAGATTGAAAGAAGTAACAGTTTTTAAAAAAATTAATAGGTGCAATTTGTACATGTATTGTAGGCAGTTCACAAAACCTCACTTTGGTGTGGATACTAACGTTGAGTCATGGTTGATTGTCTAATCCCAATTAGTTGAAGTGTGCAAACAGATTTTCTGTATTGCTAGCATTAGATTGGGTTTAAATCTTGAAAATCAGAAGGACTGAATCTCGACTGATGTTAGCAAAGAATCAGAATTTAGAACTTTGTTACAAAACAAAAACTTTTGTATGTGTATTTTCTCTTTTCAGTATTTTTTTTGGAAAGATGCTGAGGAAGCAGAGGAAAGCATTTTCTTTTTCACCTTGAGGTCTCACAAATGTGTCATCTCTGATTATCTTCCTGTTGTTCCCATTTGCTTGCAAGACTCACCACGTCTTTAGACATGTCCCTAATACCTCAGTGTTGTCATTATTCTTCTGATGTGGCCTGTGTTTCTGTATCATGCCTAGCCGTCCTTGCTGGCTTTGTTTTGTACCCGTGATGTTCACTACCATAGTACATACTCAGAAGTATTTGTTAATTGAATATCTGTAACCAAAATATGGGGAAGACAGAGAATATTCTCCAACTCCGTGCTCTGGTTCTGCAAGTAAAGATAAATGAGATAATGGAAATTATCTGAGAACAATGACTATGAATATTTTAAATAATATTATCCCAAGTGTATTAAATCATCTAATCACTTGTAGTTGTACACTTTTGAATCCCTTTTGTAGATGTCTGAATCCCTGACCTGCATAATGATTCAACTTAGGACAGGTAACTAAGAGGATGACACGCCGCTTTATCAGACAGTTTATTTACTCAGTACCCTAACTGCTCAGCTTTTTAATACAGTGATAGAACAAGTTAGGAAAACAGGCCTTGGGAAGTCACTGAGTGAGCTGGAATGAAACTTAATGAATGTAAGAACATACTTCGTTTTTGTCAGATAAACTTTCCCACAGTTGTTCTGATAAACAGTGCTGCTTGTCATCCTGCCACGATGTGTGGGAGGAGCATGGCCTCAGCAAGTTTAAGGAAAGATTTGTGGTGTTGACTTTTCAGGGAACTTGACTGAGGGTTAACTGAAATCAAAGGAAGTGCTATGGGTGATCACATGTAGAGTTTTGTTTGTTTTTTTTTTTCTACCCAAAGAATAAGCCGCACCTGACATTATGTAGATCAGTCATCTCTGCCCAGCAAATGATTTTAGCTAAGCACACTTATTTTTAGTTCTGGGTTGTGGGAGGGTTGTGTGGTTATCTTGGTAATTTAATTTCCTTGGTGGCCTGACTAGAATAGTGGTTTTAGGCAATTAATGCTGTAGAGAGCTGCATATCTTTATAATTAATAATTTGAGCACAACAGTTATTCTTAGGCTATTATGTGTGGACCTGTTAGTTTAATCAGAATGAAGAATCAGTGAGGCCAAATTTTTTATGTATGTTTGTTTGTTTGTTTGTTTGTTTTTTGAGACAGAGTTTTCGCCCTTGTTGCCCAGGCTGGAGTGCAATGGCGTGATCTCAGCTCACCACAACCTCCGCCTCCCGGGTTCTGGTGATTCTTCTGCCTCAGCCTCCCAAGTGGTTGGGATTACAGGCATGCACCACCACACCTGGCTAATTTTGTATTTTCAGTAGTGACAGGGTTTCTCTATGTTGGTCAGGCTGGTCTCGAACTCCCGACCTCAGGTGATCCACCCACCTTGGCCTCCCAAAGTGCTGGGATTACAGGCGTGAGCCACTGTGCCCAGCCCAAAATTTTATATTTAGTCTTTGAATGAGCCATTTAAGGAACAGCTGTGCTGGTTACCCTTGTCTAATTCTCAGTGGTCATGAGGTGGTGCTGTGGTCTGAATGTTTGTGTCCCTCTAATATTTATGTGTTGATAAAAAGAAACAAAATAATGGCATTTGCAGTAACCTGGATGGAGTTAGAGATCATTATTCTTAATGAAGTAACTCAGGAATGGAAAACCAAGCATATGTTCTCACTTATAAGTGGGAGCTTAGCTATGAGGATACAAAGGCATAAGAATAATACAGTGGACTGGCCGGACGTGGTGGCTCACGCCTGTAATCCCAGCACTTTGGGAGGCTGAGGTGGGCAGATCACAAGGTCAGGAGATCAAGACCATCCTGGCTAACACGGTGAAACCCCGTCTCTACTAAAAAATACAAAAAATTAGCCGGGTGTGGTGGCGGGTGCCTGTAGTCCCAGCTACTCGGGAGGCTGAGGCAGGACGAGAATGGCGTGAACCCAGGAGGCGGAGCTTGCAGTGAGCAGAGATTGCGCCACTGCACTCCAGCCTGGGTGACAGAGTGAGACTCTGTCTCAAAGAAAAAAAAAAAGAATAATACAGTGGTCTTTGGGCACTCGGGAAAGGATGGGAGGGGAGCCAGGGATAAATGACTACACATTGGGTACATTGTACACTGCTTGGGTGATGGGTGCACCAAAATCTCAAAAATCACCGCTAAAGAACTTCTCCATGTAACCAAGCACCACCTGTTCCCCCAAAAACCTATTGAAATAAAAAAAAAATAAAAGAAAAAAACATATTGAAATCTAATCCCCAATGTGTTGGTATTAAGAGGTGGGGCCTTTGGGAGGTGACTAGGCCATGAGGGTAGAGCCCTTGTGAATGGGATCAGTGGTTGTATAAAAGAGGCCCTTTGACCTTCCGCCATGTAAGGACACAGGGCACCATCCATGAGGAATAGGTCCTCACCTCACATGGAATCCGTTGGCTCCTTGATCTTGAACTTCCCAGCTTTCAGGACTGTGAGCAAGACCTTTCTGTTGTTTATAAATTACCCAGTTTAAAGTATTTTGTTACAGCAGCAGGAATGAACTAAGAGAGGTGAGTTGTATGATGGTGTGTGGTTATGATAGGAGGATTTATTCAGAGCCCACCTTCTACTTGATTGGGCTTTGCAATCATCAGTCTCTCTCAGGAGAATCACAGACTTCCTGTGACCCCGCTGTTGTAGTTAGAGTACTCTGTGCCCTCACATGGCTCTACCTCCTGATCAGCTTTTCATTTAGTTGTGGCCTGCAGGGAGACCAGTGCCTTGGAAAGGCAAATGTAGTTTCTGTCTCTAAAGGTCTCTTGAAATCAATACAGAACATAAATTTTGTACCTACCAGTCCATAGTATTAGGAAAGATTTGTGATAGTTTTGCTTTGGAGTAGAGAAAAAATATAAATTAGAATTTAAATTATTTATTCCTTCTGCAAGCAAAAGCAAATATTCAAATTGGATGGGCTGTGTTCCTTCTTGTGGTGTTAAGCAAAAAACTTCAAGCAATAGGCACTAACTCAGAAAACTGTTCTCCATGCTCTTAGGAAGCATCCATGAGAGATTTTTGTTAAATAGCTGCTAATCCAGCATCCAGGGGTTCACAGTTTGTGTTAGCTCCATGGAAGAAGCTTCACAGGAGGGGGAGCTTCTCATTGATGAAATGGCTGGATTCATGGAGTTCTTTTTCCTTAAGCTGCTTGTTTTATTAGGTAATGCTATCTTAACATAGACATATTTTCCTATGTATTGTGAACATAGGGGCATATATTCTTGTTTGCCTACACAGTCCCAGTTGAAACCTGTTGTGCCAGCTCAGCAAGCAACACTTTCACTCTCAAAAGTGTCCTGGTTTTGACAATAAATTACATGAGCCATTCTAATTTATAATTATAAGGGAATAAAATGATCGAAAGTGTATGATTGATTGGCTTAAACTAATGTTCTCATAGTTAGATATTGTCTGTTATGCTTATTAATCAGTTTTTTCAGGCTTTAGTTGAGAGGGCTTCCCAGCTTCAACCCAAGCCTTAGAAAGTTACTTCTTCATCTCTAATTAGGGGCAATGCTAGTACTTCCTTATGGGTTTGTTTTGGGGATTAAATGGGTTAATACAAGTCGGGTGCTGGTATGTAGGGAGTGTTCAGTAGACATTAGGTATTTTAATGTTATTAGAAAATAATCAGTCAATGTTAAAAGTTCTAGAAAAGAGTATGCAAAAGACTGGCAAGGAGCAGAAAAATCAAGACCTCAAGTAGTATTGCCATCAATGTAAATCATGGCAGTTGGTTTATTTTTCCTCTCTCAGATGGCACAAAGTAAGAGGTGGGATACAGGTCTGCCTACCTCCAAAATCCTTTCTTATCCATGAGACCAGACTTGCTACTGCTGGGGTTGAGCTACAGTGGGTACCAGGCCAGGCAGGGCAGAGACCTGCCTTGTCTATTTCTGGGGGTGGAGTGGCAGGATTTGGTAAAAGGTTGTTAATGGGAATGAAGAAAAGAGGGCACTCAGATTTTCAGTTCAGGGGCCTGGGTATATGATGGTATTGTTAAGTGAGTTCAAGGGTAAGCGGCCTCCTTGGATGGGGTGGAGACAGAAAGTATTGCAGTCCTGGTGACAGCATGGACTTTGTAGTCAGACACCAGAGCTTCAAAACCTGTCACGATCACTTCACTTCCTAGCTAGGTGTGCCTCGGTTTCTTCATCTGTAATAGGATATCTACTATATAAGGTTCTTGTGGCGATTTAAAGGTTTATTAAAAAGTAAAGCATGTAGGACAGTGACTGATGAGCACTGTGTAAGATTTGATCATTATCACTATTTTTAACTTGCCTCTTTAGGGATTTCTATGGGAAGTATATCTATATATCTACAGTTATCTTTCAAATAGCATTTGTACAAAACTTCAAAGCAGTCATCTATTGAAGCTTTTTAATAAACTTTATAGAAATCATTGCTTTCTTTTTTTACCATTTTTGTGATTAATAGAAGCGGCCCAGAAAAAGTTTACCCTTTATTTATTAATACTCTATCCCTTCCCAAATTTGGTTGGTACCTGCTGATATCTAGAGATCTGGGATTCTATATTGCTTGAAACCTTGGTCATATTCTTCTATCTTTCCACAAATGGCTCAGGAATCCAATCAGGGTTCTCAATGTAGGCATTACTGCCCCAGAGAGTATTTGTTGATTTCAGGATATTTTCTTGTTGTCCCTATGTTCAGTGGCTGGGACCATGAATGCTTTATAGCATGCAAAGTATGAGGCACAATTCTTACACAGTGAAGAATTGTCCCATGCTGCTTATAGGAGTGACCCATTAACTTTCCCATGGGTGAAAAACTTGTTCATTAATATCTGAGCCTATAATTTAAGTCTATTTTACATATAAATGTATTTTTTCTGGTTTAATAGACACCAGCCTAATTTTTCCAAGTATATAGCTACTGTCTACTAAATACTTTATTTGGAATCTTGTCAAGAATTATTTATTTTGGAGATCCACATCACTAATGGTAATGATATAAGTTGTGTTTGGGTCACAAATATTTGTATCTGTTAAAAATTCACATAATTAAATGTATAGATCCAAGCATTTGACCACTTCATGTTGAATGAATGAATGACATTATTTCAAATAGTTCTGCCTAAGCATTTACATGTTCCATTACATGTCATTATATATTTTTCTCTCCGTTTTTCCTTTGAATTATGATTATGGTTACATATACACTTGCAGGCAGGCCTTGATTTCACAGTTCTGACATGTATTTGAGTTATCATGATTTAGTTAAATAATACCAGTCTCCCTGCAACAGTCCAAATTTTAGTTACCACATTATATTAACTGTAAGTAGTTGCATAAAGCTATCAAACTTAATTGATAGCTCTCCAGTTCGCAGCTCATCATGTAAATAACATACAGGAGTGGCCAGTCATCTCACTTCTTTCAAAGTCTGTTGGAGATTGGTCACTGCACATCTGGTATTCAGTTCATGCACAGGTGGCAGCAAAGTGTGTAGTTGTGTTGCCTCCTTGTTTGCCAATAATAAACTCCATGACATTTTACAAAAAGAGATATTTGAAAGAGGGTATACCAACAAAAATTAAAGTTCAGGAGAGAAATGAAAAGTGATAATATAGGAAGTGAAATTTGAATCACAGGCATATGGAAATACAAAAGAAATAGCTAACCAGGGGAAGGTTAAACCTCTATAATATGCTGTTAGATGAACTTAATGAAGGCAAAGTTATTAACATCTACAGGGAACGGATGAGCTATCCCAGAGTAAGTGATGCTGACAAGAAACTTCACAATTAAGGAATTTTTGAAATATTTCATGACGTAGAAAGCACAAAGGATAAAATGTTGGAAGTTGACTCATACTTACAAAGGTACATGACAATTCTATAAGGCATAGAAAAAGATACTCACTCTGTATTATAAGTTATATACTGAGAAGAAGTCAAGAACTATTCAAGGACGTATGATATGGTTCAGGTTTTTTGCAAAATACGTAGAGGTAATTCATCGTTGGGTAATTGACAGATGGCTTTCTGTGTTACGAAAGATATTTTGCTTCAGGCTAGCAGTAACCATCTTAAGCATTGTATATAGCTTTTTAAGACTGTTTAAAAACTATCATGGGTTAAGGGGCTGATTTACATTCTTTATGCTAAACTTGTTAGCCTCAATTATACATGCTATGTGTTTGTCTGCATATATATTTATGTAAATGTGTCCAGAATGTTGAAAAGTCTTGCATGTAACATTTAAACCTATACCTAGACTTGGAGACCCTGGGGAACCTAGTATCTATTTGCAGATTCTTGTCATAGGCTGATTAAATCAGATGTATGGTTCAATTCTAGGAGTTGCTGGGGAGTCTGCCCAGACTACAACCACTGAATATTCTCGAACACAATTTTTTTTTTTTTTTTAAAGACAGAGTCTTGCTCTGTCACGTGGGCTGGGGTGCAGTGGTGCGATCTCGGATCACTGCAACCTCCGCCTCCCAGGTTCACCCGGGTTTGAGCAATTCTTCTGCTTCAACCTCCTGAGTAACTGGGATTACAGGTGCACACCACCATGCCTGGCTAATTTTTGTATTCTTTTAGTAGAGACAGGGTTTCACCATGTTGGCCAGGATGGTCTTGAACTCCTGACCTTGTGATCACCTTGGCCTCCCAAAGTGCTAGGATTACAGGCATGAGCCACCACTTCCGACCGTACTCTAACATAATTCAAAGAGAAGTTGGCCAGTTTACTTTTATTAAAAATGTTTGCCTAAACTGAAATAAAAGGAATTTCCAATTTAATTCTGTATCTTGAGTTTCCAACTAAGGAGAAAAAGAGATGTGTGTCTCTAAGGATGACTTTTTTTTAAATCATTTTTATAATTTTAGATGATTTCCTTTCATTGTGGCTTATAAGAAAACTTCAAGAGTATTCAAAATGAAAGTTGCATTCAAAGTGAATCTTAGGAGTTTCTTGATAAATTGATGGAAAATTTTATTTAACACTGGTAGTCTTACTCCTCCCTATTCAGTTCTAATGATGATTTTGTATACTTTTGAAACTATAAATTATACATTTTTAAAATTTTTCTATAAGTTAATTTAGAAAGAACAGTCTATTTGTAGCATTTTCCCATGAAATTCATGTTATTACAGCCTTGTTTTTTTTTTTTTTTACATCTGTAACAAAACTTCTTGACAGCATTAATTATTCTCATCAAGCATTTCCATATTACACTGAACTAGGCAGCTGCAGGATACACATTTGTATACATTAGCATTAATAAGGATGTTTAAAGGAAAACTTTAGCAAAGTGCTAGGCTGTGTTACTGTGAATTCGAATGCTGTAAATAGGACAAAAATTGAATTTTCTTCACCTGTTTTGTGAATTTTACCACTAGATGGTGATGGAAGACTGGGGAGTGTGCTGAATTCTGCATCTACTATGATACTTGTATTATGTTGAAAATCGAAAATGTTTGTTCTTAAGTATTTAATTTTAGAAGTCATTTAGGGGTATCCAGAGATTCTTTTATGTATCATGCTGAGCACAGTATCTTTTTATATGGCGTGTGCTTAGTATTTATTGATAATTGGCTTCTTGTGGTGCTTAGTCTGGGTACAGTCTTTATAAGATTTAAATGGTTCCTACGCTTTATTTTGTCCTTGTTTTCTGTTTTTTTTTTTTTTTGTTTTTATTTGTTTTTTTCTAGTATGTCACATTTCCTTATGGTGGTCATTACATGTTTTTATGTTTAAGCTGTATTTATTCTCGTTTGCATGTGTGCACACACACAAAATTTTGACGTATTTAAATTTCTGCATTCCCTTAGGCACCACATTCTCTTGAAACGATGGTTGAGAAACAAAATACTATTATACAATTTCAAATTGAGGGTAAAATATTTATGAAGTGGTTTAATGAATATAACAGTCAGTAACACACACATTGAAAGATTTTCTACAAGATCAGTTTCTCTGAATGTCAGTTTTATGAAGAATGGAAAATTTCCTTTTGGAAATTCTCTGAATATGTTTCTTTTCTGCATAAAAGGAAGAATAAATACACTATTTATTGCTTTCT
Organism: Homo sapiens; assembly: GCF_000001405.40. Taxonomy (NCBI): domain Eukaryota; kingdom Metazoa; phylum Chordata; class Mammalia; order Primates; family Hominidae; genus Homo; species Homo sapiens. The sequence goes on from NC_000003.12 coordinate 151,291,559, forward strand.
GAGAAGATTCTGAAATACTGAATGTAATCCAAAAGCCCTAAGTAAGAAATTTTGGATTTCAAATTTTAGATTATTCCCAAAAGCCAGTTTTGAAAAAGCAATCAAATGTAATTATTTTATTCAATATTAATAGAGTATTATGTAACTTCTGACACTAGCATCATGTATTATTCCCATTGATGTTATTTAGCTCATGTAAATGATTCATTTTTCATTGGCCTGGATAAATATTTTTCATGCCACAGCGTGGGAATTGGTATGAAATATAAGCAGTTTGATATTGATGGTTTTTGTCATATGACTTTTAAAAAAATAGGGATGATGTTCTCTGTGTTTTTAGCCTACGTTTGAAGATATTCCATTGATTTAATAATGTCATGTAGGAGAAATAAAGCTACTATCACATTAAACATGCCTAGTAACTATATAGCAGTCTAATTTTAGAAACATTAAAGTGGGATTTAGATGTTTTAAAGACCTCTTAGAATTGAGGCCTGAATGAAAGGATTAAATGAGATATGGGATAGAGAAGTACTTGCTAAACTCCAGAGTGCTGAATGGAGCCAGTTGATGCTGTTAAAGAGGTCATACATTTAATAGCTTATATAAACACGAAAGTAGATAATATCATTTTTGAGATTATTGCCTGGGAGCTGTGGTGTGGTAGAAACAGAGGATGAAGAGGATAGGACATGTACTGAAGGTATTTTCCCAGCAATAATATTGCTCCTTTTTTTTTTTTTTTTTGGATGGAGTTTTGCTCTTTTGTCCAGGCTGGAGTGCAGTGGCATGATCTTGGCTCACTGCAACCTCCCCATCTGGAGTTCAAAAGATTCTCCTGCCTCAGCCTTCTAAGTAGCTGGGATTACAGGTGTGTGCCACCATGCCCAGCTAATTTTTGTATTTTTAGTAGAGACGGGGGGTTTCACCATGTTGGTCAGGCTGGTCTCGAGCTCCTGACCTTGGCTTCCCTAAGTGCTGGGATTACAGGTGTGAGCCACTGCGCGCAGCTTGCTCCTCTTCTTTTTTTTGAGATGGAATTTTGCTCTTGTTGCCCAAGCTGGAATGCAATGGCACGATCTCGGCTCACTGCAACCTCCACCTCCCGGGTTCAAGCAATTCTCCTGCCTCAGCCTTCCGAGTAGATGGGATTACAGGCATGCGCCACCACGCCCGGCTGATTTTGTATTTTTAGTAGAGACGGGGTTTCTCCATGTTGGTCAGGCTGGTCTGCTCCTCCTCTATATATATACGGAAGCTGTAATTTACCTGTGACTTTCTGGGGAAAGTGGAGAAAAGAATTGGCCTTTCAAATTGCCTTTTCTTAATTAGCTGATCTAAAATATGACTATCTTAATCTAGCCAGTGACACACAATTGGGGGCGGTGATAGCTATGCAAATGACCAACTGAGGTATATATAAATTCATGCACTTCAGTGTCCATTGCATTTATAGAATTGGAATCTTGATGGACAGATATTTTGATAGAAGTCCTCAGATAATCCTTTTAACCCCTTTGCCATTAACCTCTCTGCTAAACCTGACTGACTTAGATAGAGTAAGACACTAGACACTTAGAGTAAGATTCTTTGTAGTCCCTGAATTCTTTTCCTCTACCTAACAATGATAGTCATTGTTGAGCTAAGTTATTCTTGTGCTCTCATTTTTGCTCATTTGAGCTTCTTAGAACTTTGCAGTTTACAAGACTCTAAATGAAGTATTGTACTGTGTTATTCACGTGTGTTTGACTGTTAACCATAACGTCTTCTTTTAGTCAGCAAACACGCCTTCACTCCTCCTCTGTTAATGCGTCTCCCACGAGGCATTTACGATGCTGGAGGGCAATCTCTTACCCAGAGGAATGAAAGGTAGTATCACAGGAGCATCACAGGAGTGGGGGTGAGGCATGAAGCACAGAGAGGAGGCAGAAGCATTTCCACAGCTCATTCCTACTTGCTTTTGGAGCCCTGAAGGTGGGCTCTGACCTGGACACAGAGGGTCCTAAAATGAAGCCCTTACACACACACACACACACACACACACACACACACACACACACGGTCCTAAAATGAAGCCCTTACACACACACACACACACACACACACACACACACACACACCCTCTACCTTCATTTCTATAGTGTTGAGTAAAGGAAAAAATAATTTTAAAAAATCCCCACACAGAGAATGAGGGGATGACTGCCAAAGATCTTAGTTTATAGATGGAAAGTAGTAGTTTCTTTTCCTATCCTTCAACTTCAAGGATAGATATAATTCTCTTTTCTATACTTTTTGTTCTCTGCAAAAGTGGCTTCAGAGCAGCAGCTTTTCCTGGAGGATGGCCACAGTGCAGGGACATTGCTGTGGCTCATTCTGCCCTTTCACTCTGCTCCTCAGACTTCCAGCCATTAACCCTGCCATTCACCCATACGCTACCTCTTGTTTATCTCTTTGCTATGCTTTAATGTTTTCCTTACTTTCAAATTATGACCCCATTTCATATCATTTTAGTTCTTTGAATTCATATTTTTGATGGGCTCAAGCAAGGATAATGAAAAGAAACATTTATTTACACTTTGTACATATCGATTCCAACAAACAATAAAAGGCCTACACATCAGTGTAATCATAATATATGCGAACTTCCGATCTTCTCACACTTTGCAGTGATCTGATGCTTTCACTCCTGGTTCTGATATTTGATTTTTTGAACAGCCTTCTTGAAAATGACCTACACATGAAAAAGTAAATTATTGGATCCAGGCAAACATTACACGCAGACAAGAAAAGTGTAATTTCTTTGCAGTAATATAGGATTTTTTGTGCAGATTCATCTAAAAGCCTGTCTAAGTGACTAAAAGTAAAAGGAATTCTGCACAAGTGATATGGTAGAAAGCAGGTAAAAAACACAGCCACAACAACCCTGATGCTCTGGTTATGTTTTCGCTTTCGGCTTGACTGACTTATGAATTGCCTGCTGGATTTGTGGATGTACCTGGATATGGCTATGTAACATCCGATCAGAATCACCAGCACGGCCACAAACAAGCAGCTGTTCACATAGGTGACTGCCGTATGCCATTTGACCCCCAAAGGACTTTTAAGTTTTGAGCAGTCATGGATATTGTCCTCTGTTGGCTGACCATTTGTTAGGATGATGTTTGGCAAAGACAAAACAGCCATGATCACCCAAACACAAACAGATAAAACCTTCGTGAAGGTTATGCTGTACATCCGAGAGTCCCCAAATGGCTTGACCACCTTCAGATAGCGATCAATGCTTATCAGCCCAAGGAACACGATGGAAGTATACATGTTTGCATAAAACAAAACTGAAGTGTATCTGCAGAGAATAAACTTGAAGTACCAAGGTCCAAATCCTGCATCATGGACTATTCGAAATGGAAATGTCAGCGTCATTATGAGGTCTGCAACCACTATGTTTTTGAGATAGAATATGAAGCTGGTTTTATTCCTAATGTGGAAGAAGATCCACACTGCTAAACCATTCAGCAAGATGCTTGCCACAAATATAATGAGATAAAGCACCGGCAAGACAATTGTGTCAAATTCATTGTGAAGGGTGGTGTTCTTTCCTGGCCCGTCGCTCCTGTTGCCTGAATTGTGACTCTCTTGGCCGTGCAGCTCGTTATCTGTAGGAGAAGTGGGGAGATAGGACTTCAGTGCTTGGCAAGCATGCCCACAGGCTACTAGGTTCCCTTACAGACCCAACTTTTTGTTATTTCAGGTGAACTTAAAGATGTCATCAATGATTTACAGAGTCAAGGTAGCACATTGTTAATGTTTTGAGTGGCCAAAGAATTAGTGACCTTCTCTCACTACCCTGCCTCCCTCATATCAGGACCCTTGAGTAAAAAGTCCCATTTCTGATCCCCTTTGCCAGCCTTTTGAAAATAAACATACCAGTGTAAATTATTCCGATTCTTACTCCCATGTTTGATATCATTACAAATAGAATCAACAAAATGTGGACAGAAAATTGAAATTTTCTATAACAAGAAAATACAATAGCCAACACATGGTTATTGTTTCAGTGTAGTCTTTGGCACCCTCTTTGAATATATCTTCCCTTCCCTTGCCTCAGTTTTAAGCTGTTTAATCATTAAGAATTAAGAAGCTGTAAAACTAGTGGGTCATTTTGAATTTTTTGCCTGTGACTTTCTTATAGTACTTAAGATATTTTAGGGATCATTGATAGGAATAGAAAGAAAATGTCTTGGCATTTTTTGTAAATAAAAAGAAAATCTACTGTCTTCTAAAGTGAACAGACAAAAAAAGTCCTGGATACATACAGATCTGACTTGCTGATTCTCTGAAATCTGTTTTCACCTTAGTAGAATTTAAGTTGCAGGCTGGTGTGAAGTTACTGCTGATTATTATAAATATTTACATGTCATCTAGTAAATTCTTCATTAAAATGCATTTGTATAGTCAGGAGTATCCACAAATGTGTTTTTGTATAGTCTAATGATAAATGCTGATTTTGTTTTCTCATTCTTATTAAGTTTTGCAGATTTACAGTTTATTACCAAAGAGGACAACTTGTTAAAAGTAATTGCAACCTGGTATATTTTTTTTGTTTACAAGGCTAGGTTACGCCTATTGTATTTATTGTGGGAATTTTTAAACCTTTTGCTTCTTTGGAATTTTTAGTTTCTGTTGTTAAAGACCTGTACCATATCACTGCATCATATAATCAGTGAAATGGGTCATGAGCATTTGACTTATGTGGCAGCCATGGACATGGGCCTCTCATGTCTCCTACTGTGGGGAGCATGATGGACAGGTAGCTCCTGCTGTGGATCCACCACCACATTCTTGCTGCTGCCACGCTTCCCGCGGACTGCTCCAGGCCTGTGATTGAGCATGGCAGGGACACCAAGACAAACCTGTTTTTGTAAGAGGAGGGGTTTCTCTGACAAAGGACTTTGGCTGGAGGAGTACTTACCAGTCTTCAAACCTTTTCTTTGAACTTTCTTCAAACTGCACTGTTCCTACTCAATCTTCCTTCCTTCTTTCTCCCACAAGTGGTTGGAAGGCTGTGCCAGCCTTCTGCTTGTCCCCATTTTCCCTGGTAGCCATTTTCCCCAGTAAATCTCTTGGCCATTTAAGCACATTTTATCATCATTATTTTTGGGGAACCTGAACTAATGGAATTAATTTATAGATTCACCTTTTGGAGGTAAGGTTAGAAGGAAGATCATTTCTCAATTTTTACTTCCCTGTAATTAATAATATTTACTATAGTTATAATTATGTTTTGGAATGGTTTTGTTATAGAGATAACACCATGAATTTAAGCCCTCACTGCCCTGCACACAGGCAGTTTAGTGTCTGTTTTGGTTCCCTTCTTTGAGGAGAGAAACAGGAAAGTTTTGATGATTAAAATCCAAAAACAGATTCCTAAATTGCTGCTTGACATCTAAGTGCAGGCTCTTCCTAATTCTTTCCCTTTTATTCCTTACCATGAGTGTTTTTAAAAACTGGTTTCCCTGACCTAACTATCCTTACACAGGCTAGTAATTTATATCTGGACTAGCCTGTTATGAGACCCATAGTATTACTAAGCTTTACAAGTTAAAATGCCTGATTCAGCAGCCATCTATATCACTGCTGCCAGTTTGTAATATTTCCTTGTACAGTATCATTCAAGCCTATTTTGATTTAATGACGTGTTGTAGTCTTGGCTGTTTTTGCATCATAAGATCCAAATCAGTATCAGTGACGTTAGGAACTTCTTAAGATGTGTGGCTTTAACTGAGTTAAGATGTCTGCTTGAATTAATTTACCCAATTAAATGATTAGCAGTCACTTTCATCTAACCTGGGATAGAACTCTTAGGGAAATAGAGAGAGGACATGTGAGTTTAAATCGGAATAAAGGGTCCAGCTGAGGGACACAGCCTGAAAAGGAGCAGCCATGTCATCTCTTGAGGTGCTGGCTGTGCCTTGTAACAATTACTTATGAATTGCTTTTCAAAATCATTTTAAATACAAATATATTAGTTCATGAGCTACAGCATACTTGGCAGGGAATATTTCAACTGCTTGTGTTGGCTCCCTGGGGATCTGCTATGCATACCTATCGTGGAGTGCAAGAACCCCTACTTCACAGTGTTGCTTAGGGATATGAGTTCCATATATCATTATAATATTTTAAAGTTTAATTATATGAACACATTCTTATTAAATGATGATATTGATGATGATTTTGCCTAACAATTATGGTTATTATTAAAGATAGTCTCCAATCAGAATGTCAAAAAAGGTTGTGTGTGTGTGTATACATATATACATATATATATATTATTACTCTCCTGGTTATTACTTCATTCACAAATTTCACATTTAGGCAGCAAAGCTTAAACAAATTAGTGGTTAAAGCCTGTTATGGGTTATTTGCTGAAACAATATGGTAGTAGAGACAAAAAATGGTTTGTAAGAAGCAGATGAGCCATTACTCATCTGGTTGCTCTGGAAGGCTCAAAACTTAACTTTGAGAGTTTCGTGTGATTAATTTGTTTTTTAGAATTAAGTTTATATCACATTCTTTTTTGCCAGCTAATGCCCATCATTTATTCTCTATCATTGCCTTAAATATTTCCAAAACGTATAGGTGTACTCAGAAGCATTTCTCTATATGATATTTCCACTCAGGAATATTGACCAGTAAAAGTGAATGGCTTTCTTCACCCAGGCAGTTTTATCATGTTGTTCTTCCCTGACAGTAAAGAACTTGGCCAAGTTAGGAAACATCTTTAATTGACAGTAGCTTGGTCATTCAGTTAAGAAAAATTAGAAGCTGTTTTACAGTGTAAAGGCTGTTTTCTCGCAATATGTGCATGCAATGTTGGATATTATCAAACATGATTTCCCCATCCCTTCTTCTTGTTTACTAGGGTGGTATTCTCTGGATTGTATAGTGCAGGGCTTGACACAGAGCGATAATTGAGAGTAAAACCTACTTTGGTATTCTCTCTGACTCTCATTCCAATTCCTTTTAAATTAACAAATGCAGTGACATAACTCAGTTTACTAGTTCCATAGTAAATTATTTTGTGCCATGTGTGAGGGTGGTATTTGTTTGGGACGTAAGGGAACTTTGGCTGTCTTTGCCGGGGGGAATAGGTTTGTGCATGTGTGTGTACAGGACTGAGTGTGTGTGTTGGGGAATGCTTGGGCTTTGTAGCCAGATATAGCACAAACCACATGTGGCTTTAAACTTTTAAATTTAAATTAAACATAATTTAAAAAATTAATTTCCTCAGTCATACTAGCTACGTTCAAGTTTCCCGGTAACCACATCTGGCTACTGTATTGGCCAGTGCAGATACAGGGAATTTTCATCAATGCAGAAAGTTCTATTTGACAATGCTGGTTTAGCCTCTTAATAACTGTAAAATGGAATACATAGCTGTCTTGCTGGATCTTCTGAGAGTTAAATGCTTTGCAAACATTTTGACTACAGTATCTAGTACTTAGTAGGTATGCATTCTATAACATAAAGCTTAATTACCATTTCTCTTGTTAATAGAGTCACATTATGAATGACAGAGTAGGGAAGAATCTGCCACTTTTGCCTTTGGTGAAGCTACATCATTGTTCACTGGGACGTGACACTTGGCACAAAATGTGAAAGTCTCAACATATGTCACTGCTCTACCTGCCAGGTGGGAATGAAATAATAAAAGTCATTCAAATTATAGGGTGTCACTACCAGGGCACAGCTGCCTAGGTCGGTCTTTCTTTCTTTCCTTCTTTCTTTCCTTCCTTCCTTCTTTCTTTTCTTTTCTTTTCTTTTCTTTTCTTTTCTTTTCTTTTCCCCTCCCCTCCCCTCCCCTCCCCCTCCTCTCCTCTCTTTTCTTTTCTTTTCTATTTCCTCTCTCTCTCCCTCTCTTCCTTTCTTCCTTTTTTTTCTGATACAGAGTCTTGCTCTGTCACCCAGGCTGGAGTACAGTGGTGCGATCTCAGCTCACTGCAACCTCTGTCTGCTGGGTTCAAGCGATTCCAGTGCCTCGGCCTCCTGAGTAGCAGGGACTACAGACGTGCGCCACCACACCTGGCTAATTTTTTGTATTTAGGTATGATCATTTTCCAAATAGTTACCCAGTAGATTAGGTAGATGTTATCTCTGGCCTCTTGGGGAACCTCATGAACCTTGGTTTAGACTATTAAATCTGGAAAGTAATACGTAATTTTAGTTTGTGTTTAAAATCTTCCATAAATATTATTAATTTAATCCTACTTGTCATTTTAGAGATGATGTCTAGATGAAACAAAGTTTAAAACAAAATGATAGCAAGCTAAATTTATCTCAGCGATACTGTCCTGCATGTTTGCTGTTTTATACATAAGGAAACACAAAGCTAAATGCTGGTTTATTTTGTTAGTTGGTTCTCTGACCATTAAACTCCCCAAATTCCCAAACAGTGGAAATAATAGTCATCAATAAAGTAAGATTTTCTTTGTATCTCTTACGACGGCTTACTTGGTAATTTTGCAAGCGTCAAGTTGAACCCCATTCTTCAGTTGTGATGCACTGTAAGCAAAGATGCGTGTCAGGAAACACTTGGGGACGATTGAGGCGTGGGTTCAGCATAGGTTATTCCTGGTTTGATTTCTGGGGAGAAAATGAAAAATGAGGAAAAAATCATCTGGGAAGGAATTTTAAAATACAACATTTTGGTCTTTTCAGTTAAAGCAATTGCCTCCACGATTCAGAAAGCATGTGCTCTTTGGAGATGAACACCTGGGCCACACAGAGTTGCCCTCTTTCATAATTCCCTGCTGGGAGTTATGTCTTGTGGGTGACTTTGGCTACATACCTTAACATTTCTGAGCTTTGCATTCTTCACAACATCTTAATAAAGGTTAGCTGAGACCATATGTATGTGCAATGTTGGATATTATCAAACATGATTTCCCCCACCCCTTCCCCTGCAGCTGGGTCTGTTCCCTGTTCTCTGGATTCTATCACGTATTGACCATAGAAAGCAGAATTCCTGGGAACTGTTCTGGAAAGTGCAGCTAAAGTAAAATATGCTTATAGGACAGTTTACCATTAGGGGAAGTCACACTCTTTCTCATGAAATAAAACCATGTGAGACTTTCAGGTCCCATCACTGATGTTGCTTAAAGAGACCCCAGGTAACCTCATTCTGTCCAATCACAAAGCAAACTTGAGGCTGGTGTGAGCAGTTACTTTTGTCCCTGCATATGTGCTGAGATAGCAGGGAAAGGGCATGTGGGAGGCAGGAGTATGTGTAAGAGTTTGCAGTAAGTGGAGAGGCAGTTATTATTTCTTTTTATGTTCCTGTGTGTGTCCTTCTCTTCTGTTTGCAAATATCACATGTAGCTAAGGTACTTGATTTGGTAGTAGATGGAAAAAATGGTTTTTAATTTTTCAGTGATGCTCTCCACCCAGAATCCACTCTTTTGAGAGTTTAGACAGTCTATCCATACGTCACCTTGAACAGCTCCGGTATGTGGTACACAGCAGAAGTCAGAAAGTGTTTTTTTGGTTAATGCAGCATAGGCAATGATTAAGGCTCTCAGAATCCCTCCTTTTTGGGTGCCAGCATCACATTATTTTTTAATGTAAGGCAAAGAGGTAAAACTCTACTTTCTTTTTATTTATTAAAGTTTACTGGGGAGAATGACTGACGCAGTTAATTTTCTAGACTTTATAATAATGATCTTTGGATTTCAGTAAGCCTAAAAAGCTTGAATCCAGTTTCTCATGGAAACATTTCAAGGAAATTGCCTGATAGACACATTTTTAGTTTTATGTTTCTCTGTTCTCAAGTTGTATGGTTGTCCTCTTCAGATGGCTTCCTGTAACCTTCCTCACTGACAGTTGCAGTAAGAGAGAGAGAGCAGACAGTTGGCCAATAAGCAGGACATAGAGAGAGAAGACTGGGAGAAAATATTTGCATGTTATATTTCTCATAAAGGATTTCTATTTAGACTATGCAAAGAACTTTTACAGCTTCTTAATAAGGAGAACAGAACCCAATTTAAAAAAGGTCAAAAGATTTGTCTAGACATTTCACCAAGAGCACAGGGAAAGACACTGAACATCATCAGTCAGTAGGGAAATTCAAATGAGAACCACAGTGCTATACCATCTTGCATCTACCAGAATGGCTGTATCTGAAAAAGACAGACAGTAACAAGTGTTGCTGAGGGTGGTGAAAACAGGACCCCTTATACACTGATGATAAGAATTTAAAATTACGGTACAGCCACTCTGGAAAGAGTTTGGCAGTTTCTTAAAAAGTTAAAATCAAATGTATCATATGACCCAGTAGTTCCACCTCTAGGTATCTAGCCACAAGAAATGAAAACTTATGTCCATGCAATGACTTGTATGCAGTTGTTTATAACAGCATTATTCATGATAGTTAAAAGCAGAAAGAAGCCAAGTGCTGACTGGAGAGTAGATGAGTCAACTGTGGTATAGGCAAAGGATGGAATATTACTCAATAAAAATAAGTGAAATACAGCTATTGTATAGATGAACCGTGAAAACGTTTTGCATGAGAAAGAAGCCAGATACCTAAAGACTACATGTGTTTAGGTGAAATGTCCAGGAAAGGCAAATCTGTAGAGGCAGAAAGTCGATTAGTGTCTGCTGGGGTTGGGGGCAGGAGTGGAGGGCATTAAAGATATTATTGTTTTGCTCCTTAATCCTGTGTTACTGTATGGTAAGGCAATTCTTGAATTATAATTGCTAACTAAAGATAAGGAGTTATTCTTGTAGTGTTAAAGATCACGGAATGTGAAAGTCAGAACATGCTAAATTCTGGTAACTAAGAGATCACAATAGACTTTTGGGAAATCTGCTTGCCCCATAATCTTTTGAATCATGGGAACAATAATACCTACTTTATAGTATCTAGCATCCCTCCTTCATGAGGCTAAATTGAATATACATTTATAAATTAAGTGCTTTATAAATGCCAGTTTCTGCTTCTGTTATTTCCATTAATCTTTGCCTAAATTAAAGTCAAGATCTTGTTACTCTTATTGGAACTCTCTGGTTTAACCAAACTGCAGACTGTCAGCCATATGCCTGAGTTTAATTCCCTACTTTTCTTCATACCCATTCCTGCCCTGTGAATGGCCTCCTTTCTCCCCTCTCTCCCTACCTTGGGAATCTCTGCTACTTCTTCAGTACCAGCCATAACCTGATCTCTTTCATAAGGTCGTTTACTAAGAGTCTGCTCATATTTCAGGCCCTGGAGTTTATAAAGAAGAGAAAGGTACATTTCTGTCCTCAAGTTTAGAGTCTAGTTGAGAATCCAGAAATAGACCATTTCAATATCGAATGAGAGGTTTGGGATGCTGTGAAGATACAGAGGTGTACCCGAACTGAGGGGAAGCAAGGATTACAGAGGTTCCATGACAACTATGATGCCCAGGTTGTGGCAGGTTTGCCCAAGGTCCAATCAGAAAGGAGCACATGGAAATGCTGAGTGTAGCCAAAGATAAGGTATAATAGTCTACTGAGGAACTGGTGACAGCATGTAGAGATGGAGATATATGACAAAATATGAGGCATCTTAAAGAATCTGTGGCTGAATGATGCTGGTGAAAAGGGTTAGAAGATTGTTGGAGGCCTCCCAGGTATTTGACTATAGATTTTAGTCTCTTTCGCTGATGTAGGACCCATGAAAGGACAAACACGTACTGGGAAGAGTGGAGTTTAGTTTTGGATTGGTTGATTTCATGATGCCTGTGTAGTATGCATGTGGAGGTGTCTACTAGATGATTAAAGAGAAAGGTCTGGAGCTTGGAGAAGTACTCCTGGCTGGTGATGTCTATCTAAGGCCAATAGAAAATAGGTGATAGAAGAAGCTGTGGGAATGAATGAGATTGTTCAAGATGAAACTGCACAGTCGGCCATGCATGGTGGCTCACGCCTGTAATCCCAGCACTTTGGGAGGCCATGGTGGGTAGATTACCTGAGGTCAGGAGTTTGAGACAAGCCTGGCCAACATGGTGAAACCCCATCTCTACTAAAAATACAACAATTAGCCAGATGATGTTGCGTGCACCTGTAATCCCAGCTACTGGGGAGGCTGAGGTAGGAGAATTGCTTGAACCCAGGAGGCGGAAGTTGCAGTGAGCTGAGATCACGCCACTGCACTGCAGCCTGGATGACAGGGTGAGACTCCGTCTCAAAACAAACAAACAAACAAAAAACCCAAAACCACACAGTGGAGTGAGAATAGCAGAGAGCTAATGTAGACTTTTTAATGGAGCAGTCTTAGGGTGAGGGGAGTGCCTGAAGGAGAGGCCAGAGAGTTGGGAGGATTACCAAATAATAATAATAATGTCATGTGAACCAAAAAGAGAGTTTAGGAAATGAGGAATTGTGACTAGTTTTATCCTGTGGGGGAAGTCAAGTGACATAGGACAGCAAAGTGCCACTGGATGGGATTCAGCAACAAAAAGGTCATTGTTCATCTTTGCCAGTGCTCCACGTGCTGGGGGGCCCAGGGTGTTTTGGGGAGAGAAGCCTAATGACAGAGGGTTGAGTAATGATTGTAAGGTGAGGAAGTGGAGGCAGCAATCTCAGAAAACTCTTTCAAAAAAAGAACATGCCTGTGACAGAAAGGAGACAGAGAAGGTGGGAGGTGGAGATAGATAAAGGATTAATGGAGGGTTTTCTTAAGCATATCATTCAATGTCTGGCATTTAAAAATGTTCTGGCCAGGCACGGTGGCTCATGCCTGTAATCCCAGCACTGGGTGGCCGAGGCTGGTGGATCACCTGAGGTCAGGAGTTCGAGACCAGCGTGGCCAACATGGTGAAACCCTGTCTCTACTAAAAATACAAAAATTAGCTGGGCATGGCAGCGTGCACCTGTGGTCCCAGCTATTCGGGAGGCTGAGGCAGGAGAATCGCTTGAACCCGGGAGACCTTGCAGTGAGCCGAGGTCATGCCATTGCACTCCAGCCTGGGCGACAGAGTGAGACTGTCTCAAAAAAAAATTTTTTTTCCAGCTTGGATTAAAAAAAAAAAAAATCCTGCCTTGACCTCTAGCCAAGTATGGTGGCACCGTGGTGGAGTGTATAGAGCAAGGATTTGATTCTCTCATTCTCTGAATTACAGCCCCAGCTCTGTTGGTTTTAGCTTCTAACCCTCCATTTCTGCCTGTATAAAATGGGTATGAAGACTCATCCATTATAGGTTGACTGCGAGGTTAAAATGATGAACGTTTACAAAGCAGCCTGTGTACTTGCGCAGGGTGGAGCTGAAGTCGTTTTAGTTCCTGCTGTATATCATAGGTACACAGTTGAATTTATTTAGCACTTCATAGGCTGGACAAGGGGGTTGAGGGGGGTGGATCCTTGCACCTTGTTTATGCTGAGATGGCTGTGTGGCTGGTGGCCTCAGCTGCCCTCTCAGGAGTCATTTGACTGATACTTTTGCTCCAATAGCTTGCCCTTCCTTTAAATTGTCTCAGAGCCTTACCTGCCTGCTGTCTTTCTGAATGATCAGTGCCTCAGCTTCAGCGCTCCCTGTGTGCTTTTACTACAGTGGCTCTGCATTGTCTGCATGTCCCAGCACTTGCAGGGTGTTGCAAGGAAGATTGCTTCAGTGGTAGTAAAGGGCTTGGTTCCAGGACCTGGATCCCGGGCGGGAATCCTGCCCTGCCACCTACTGTTCCTTCAGCTGAGAGCTGATGAAACCACACAAGAATGTGATGTTTGTGGTAGGCCTAGGTTTCACAGTCATTCCTGAGGTTAGATGGTATCGCTGCTTAGAGACCTGTTTTTTTTCCAGCCACCCATTGGTATTTTCCTTTGGCTATTTTACTAACCATGTTTCTTTGTTGTTGGTTGTAAAATGAGGTTGGTGGAAAAGGATTAACACATTCTCAGTTTCTCCTTGCTTTTGGACCCCGAACTTGGTGGTTGATACCTTAAGCAATCTTCAGAGCTACCCTAGGACCTAGATATATTTCCACCCCCGCCAGGTAGGAAGATACGAGATTCAGACAGTTTAATTAAGTTGCCCTGACTCACACTGTGAGTAATGGGTAGAGCTGGGATTCATATCAAATACAATAGAAACTGAAATTGCAGTTCTATTATACTGTTGTGGAGTAAAAGTGAAGAATGATTCTGGGGGGTTATTTTAGAGGACAGGAAGTGGGAGGGGGGCAGTATTGGGCAGAGGTAGGAGTCTGTTTTCTCCATCAAGCTTGTGAAGGAACTGCTAATCTTCCAAACTAGAGGTCTAGTTTTATTTGGCCTGAACAATGTTGAAAACATCAGGAAATTTCACATAAGAATCCAGATTTGGAACCCATTTTGAAAGATGAGAAGATTTGCTAGCATCCAGCATGAACAATCCAGCACTATTAGTTGCCTCTTCCTGATGGGGAAGTGAGCTCTCTCCAGTTCTCTGGCTCACAGCATACGCGTTGACATCCCTGGGCCACCTCTTTCAGGAGCATTACCTGCCGGGTCCTACAGTCAGTTGATTTGGCAATGATTATTCCGCTTATCATTTAATCTTATGTGGCTATACTTAACCTCTATAGATCCCCAATTGTTCTACTTTGATTATAAATGTATCTTTCCCTTCTTCTGTGTCTCTCCTCCCTGCAAACGCCTGATTTTTCTTGTATTACTGACCATCACTTAACCATTTCTTTTCAAATGGTTTTTCTTATACCTCTTAGCAACCCAGAAAAAAGTAGTGACAGGAGGTCATGTTGATTAGTTCACACCTGAGAATGTGTTAATAGTCACAGTGGAGCTTTTCTCTGTGCCTGCCCCTCTACTGGGGCCTTTAAGTGAAAACCCTACTGATTGTGTTATAAAACTGCTTTCGGTGGGGAAAAACTGAGGTTTCTGGTGTTACGAAAAGCTTCTGAGTAGTGGAATAGGGACTTGACCCCAGTTGTGTTGGATGCCCAAACATTTGCTCTCTCCCCAGAAGGGCTATGGGAGGACAACATCCAGGACTACTGAACAGCTACTTTGGACACCCAGCCTTGTGGTCCACACAGAGCCAGCCTGCTGTTGCAGTTCACTGGATTGGATCTTGGCATGGGTGGGGAGTCATTTGTACCACGCCGGGGGAAACTCTGTCAGCAGGAAGAGCAGGCCGGTGTGCCCTGCCCTGCCATGGCAATGCTTTAACTCTCCCTGGGCTTCATCTCTCTTGTTATTGCCCTCTGGTCAGGATCTTGAAATATCAGTGCCAGTTAAATGCTGGCTCCCTAAATGCAGTTGCTCATGATTAATTTTTGACTTAGTGTTTGGTAGTGGTGGTTCTCAAATGACAGAGTTATAATATCAATATCTTTGCTATCTGTCCTCCACTCTCCAGTTTTCCCTCTAAAAGCTCACATCTGAAATTGTAAGAATTTGAGATCTGAAGGTTTATTTTGCCACTTTAGTTCTGAAAAGCTATACTGAACTGATTGATTATATAGAGATATTGATGTAGTTCCTGCATTTTTGTGGTAAAGAGATAGTCTTCACAAAAGCCATCTGATAGAAAGTTTATTTGAAAGATACAGGATCTCTTCTATTTTGGAATCACCTATAATCTAAGAATCTTTCTCAGTTTAAGCCTGACTTTATGTGTATGTGTATTTGTAAATTTATGTGTGTTTTTCAACAATGCTAAGATTATAGCTCTGCTGAAGGCCTGGGGAAAGAGGCAGATTACCTCACTGGTTATGAGTTACCTCTTATTGTAATGGAATTAGGTCACTGTATTCATAGCACATTTCATTAATGCATGCATGGAGTTAGTCTCCTAAATGTGTTGGAATGCAAAGCACAGCAGCCCTTCATTCAGGTTTTTCAGGTGCTACACTGATGTTCTGTTCTCATAGTTTTGCTGGTACATGTAGCTTACAAATAGACCTATTTTGGTTAACAATTTAGAGTTAAATTTTTTTTAGGTGACCTCAGGTAACTTGCTCTGTGTGTGTGTGTGTGTGTGTGTGTGTGTGTGTGTGTGTGTGTGTGTGTGTGTTTAGAGCAGATGGGGGGTTGATGTAAAGTGGATTGTAAACTCCCTGAAGACAAGATTTGTGTCTAATGGTTCTTTATAACCTTAACCTCAAACCTGACTATTCTTTTTGACAAGTGAGGGAACTGAGCAGGATTCAACAACCTGCCCAATACCACACAGATGGTGAGAGGCAAAACCAGGAAATGAGCTCTAGCTTTTAAGACCCCAGAACAGGCTGCCTCTGTGGTGTTGCTTTGCTGGCCTAGTGGAGTGTCAGAAGTAGCTTCCCTGGTAGAAAGTGTTCTAGACTGAGATTCCCTGACCAGTGCAAAGTATCCTAGACCTGGATTCAGTAGGCAGCTGTTAAGTTTTTGGCTCAGTCTGTGACCCTGTTAAGCATTGTACCTCACAGAGCTTGAGCCTCCTCATCTATGAAACAGGGAGAATAATAAATACCTGACGTACTTCCCAAGGGTGCTGTGTGAATGTGGTAAGAAAACATATGTTAAGTCAATTTTATATTGTAAGTGCTATAGTAATGTAAAGGTGTAATTCATGGCAAGTATACTTTGCTTAAACATATTTCTTAAAAAGCATATTTAAGAAATATGCTTTTCTTAAACAGAAAATAAAAATACACTTTTTAACTCAGTAAGTTGTAAAATTTGAGTAAAATTCCTACTACTCACATTACTATGGCTATTGTGAGTCAGATCAGGAGATCTGTATCACATTACTATGTAGTTGTGAGTAATAAGAATTTTACTCAAATTTTACAACTTACTGAGGTGAAACATGTATTTTTATTTTCTGTTTAAGCAAAGTATAAATTCCATATAGGTAACTTCTGGATCATTTATGTAAGAGGCTAGTCAGTTTAGGGGCCACAGTCCCAGTAGCCAACATAGTGGTTTTAAATGAATATGTTCTAAACTAAATACATTTCAAGTGACTTCTGGCCCTTAAAGATATTCTTAGAATTCAAGACTCCAGGTAAAGTCTTTAGTTGTTTGATTACTGTTTACTAGGCTATTAAAAGATGCAGAATGCTTTTCACAAGTTCATGTAGATGCTGTTCCTTGTTTTGGAATAGCATCCTGTGGCTTAAGCATTCTACTTAAGAGTTATAATTATTCTTCATGGTGGTGGTGGTGGCGTCACCTTGATATTTTAATACAGTCATCATTATAGTTTTCTGGGCTGTGGGATATGGTGCAAGTATTCTCCAGACCTTTCCATTAGAACTGTTGTCAGGTTAGCTACCCTTATTCTTGTAATCACAGCTTAACCAAACCTTAATGCTGTTTAAGTTAATGGAGTAAGACAATTACCTAAGAGAGCATTTTTACTTCAATTTCATCACTTGTCTTCACTGACAATTTTAAAATTCTCAAGTGAAGTCTTTAATATGAGTGGATATTTCACCTTTCTTAATCAGCATCAAACGTTCACTCTCATTTTTCTCTTCTCATGAATACAAATAAATAACCCACCCTCACCCATATGTAGTAAAAGGATCTGGGATCACATATAACTCATTTCATGAAATACACGCACACACACACACACACACACGCACACACACACACACACAACGTTTCTTCAAAGTAATTCATACTTCAGTGAATTTATCAACTTCTGGCATTAATCATGTTTTAAACAATGTCTCTTAAACTAATAGGAATATTTGAATTAAAATATTTTTCTCTGGCTTGATTTATAGATGTAGTAACTTCCTCAACTAGGAGAAATAGTAACCTGTATATTTGTATTATCTTAATATTTGCCACATGCATTTTCCTGCTATTCACATTTCTTTTCTTGATGTCCTCTTCTGTCACAGTCTTCACTGGCTTACTGTCTTATATGGGATACAACTCAGGCTCCTCTGCAGGTGATGAGGACCTCCTGACCTGACCTGTATACCTGCCCACTTTATAGTTCCTGCACCAGACCCTCCTTACCTTGCATTTTATCCTGAAAATCCCTTCTGCCTCTTATCTATTAGGCAAGCTCCCTATACCGCCTTCAGGTGTAACTCATCTGCCTCCTCTTCTCAGAGCTTTCCATGTTATCCCCATGTGCCACATAAGTGCTCCTCAGCCCCTGTGGTTTCCCATACCTCCAGCTGTTGTATTCTATTTTTGTTGTTTGCCTGACTACCAGAGTGTCCTTGCATCCTTTTATCTCCAGGGTCTAGCAGAGTACCTGCGGGCACAGAGTCAGAGTTCAAAAACACCTTTGACTTACTATTAGGCAGTCATGGAATTTGGCCTCCTCTCTGACTTAATTTCATTTTGGAAGGCATATGTCAGTTTTTTGTTTTTTATTTTTAACAATTTTTTTTTCTGCCTTCTGAAGTGAAATGGTACAACCCAGGGAGGGGTGGAGACAAGAGTAGGAATTGGCCATTGACCTGTGTAAGGCATGGCTGAAGACCAGGAAGAAGGCCTGATCAAACCATTAGGAGGCTAATCAAACGCTGGGCCTGCTGACATTTCTGAATAGCTCACTGTAAAGTTGGGGGAGCTAAAGTGGAGGGCTGCAAATTCAAATGCCAGCAGCAGCCCCACAGGTTATGTCAGTGAGGAAAGTCAGCCAGGTATAAGAAGAAACAACAGTACCAGTATGCTAATAAAAGACAGCTAGTATGTCTAACACTTATGAAATTTTCATAATTAGAATAAAGTACACTGGGGAGAAGGAGGCAGAAAGGTTTCCATAGAACAATTATGAAGAAACAGCAGTAAGATGAAAATATTTAAAGTGAGCCACATGCCTGGACCCCATTATGTTGTCTTATCCTGCCTCTGTAAAATGGCTTTGCCTGGATTAAGCTTTGAGTTGGTGTCTTCAAGCATTCAGCCCTTTTCACTGTGCCTACTCTTTGGGTGTTCAATACAACATTGGTTCTTTATGTTAAGACTCATGGGAGAAAGTTATTTCTACTCTACATAATAAGAATGGTGTTCTGTAGGCCAGCTATGAATTTATCAACACCAAATCATTATGCCTTCTTGTTTTCCTGTTGGAGTTGAGATCCACCTTAAGGCCCAACACCATCTGATAGGGATGAATGCATTTGGTGAACTAATTTCTCATATGGTTTTTAATTTCCCACCATTCTTTTTCCCAGGCTTCATTTGTTTAAATTTAAGTTCATTTGAATTAATTTCATATTAAGCATCTCCATAAAACACCTTATTTTTGTTGTTGTTGGAACCAGAAAGATTATAAATAAATAATTATATGAGTACATTGGAAGGAGAGCTTAGTTGGCTTGAAGTTAATCAGGTTGTAATTGACAGAAGAGGAAAGGGAGGCAGTATGGGAAATGTACCATCTCTAGATAGGAGCTGGGGTGGGGAAAAACTTTAAGGGTAGAGTTGTTTGGCTTTGCCACCCTGGCTGTGAGACAGTTATTTTGCTGAGAGCATCTTCCAGGATGGGGAAGCCATCAGAGCAAGAAGTAGTGTACCATGACATTTATATTTCAGGTGCCTGCAACTTTGAGCACTCAAACTGAGTTCCGCACTGGCCAGTTGTTTAGTGCCTGTCTTATTTGCAATTTCATATAGACTGTAAACTGGATATAAACAGACCATGGTAAGATCCAGCATGACTCTGTGAAGGATTGAGTACATTTTAGCATTTCTGGGTCTTAGGATGAAAAGTAGAGATAATACTTGAGGTATTGTACTGTTGGCTCTAGGCACAGAATGAATAGTTTTTAAAATTATATATATATATATAAACTGTGTGTGTGTGTATATATATATATTTAGTGTTGTTGTTTACATTATGAAATTAGAATGAATGTTTTAGGGTAAAGGGAATATTGATGTTTAGCAGATACTATAGTTTTATTTTTCCAGCAGCCATCATGGTATATGCTGACACATTGATGTAGTAATTACCTTTTAAATGGCATTTACTATTCTTCTATTAATTTGTTTTGCTATATATAATATAGGCATGTACCGTTTTGACCTAATGCAAGCCATTATCCTCTAAAAGTTTTCATTTTTTAGGTTTTTAAAATGCTTAGGTGTGACAACTAGAATACAATTGTAGCTGCGATTATTTAAGGATTGCATATTACTTTGAGCCACATTCTACTTCATCATGATATGTAGCACTGTTTTCTATATAAATATATCTAGTAAACAGTTAATTTTAGGCCAGGCGTGGTGGCTCATGCCTGTAATCCCAGCACTTTGGGAGGCTGAGGTGGGCAGACCACGAGGTCGGGAGTTCAAGACCAGCCTGACCAACATGGTGAAACCCTGTCTCTACTAAAAATACAAAAATTAGCCGGGTGTGGTGGCAGGCACTTGTATTTCCAGCTACTCAGGAGCTGAGGCAGGAGAATTGTTCGAACCTGGGAGGCGGAGGTTGCGGAGGTTGCAGAGGTTGCAGTGAGCCAAGATCACGCTGTTGCACTCCAGCCTGGGTGACAAAGCGAGACTCCGTCTCAAAAACAACAACACAAAAACAATTGATTTTGCAGTTTTTCCCAATTTGTCTTGGAGCCGGTTTATCTAAAAAAGTTTTGAAAGGCCCAGTGATTTATTTTCAGTTTTATTTGTAATTTTGGGGCCTAGCAGGTCTGAGGAGGAACAAGATGGGGGACAGGTAGGTCATCCACCCCGAAAAGAGTATAGCAAATCCTCAAATGCCTACAGTCTAGAGGCAACAGATATTTATGCATTGTTTTCTTGGATCTCTCTTTTTAGTTCTCAGCCTGAGAGCCACAGAGCTTCATACTCTAGTATGTGCAAACAGTCCAAGTATTCTGTTAACTTTTTTCTTTCTTAACTAGATCATAAGCTCCTTTAGTACAGGGACTTCAGATCATTTTGTTTCTGCTGCCCTTTTGGTATACTGGCCTTTGCTTTGGAGGCATTCCGAATCTTGATATAGTCAGTAAAGGGTACCCTCTAGACTCAAGGACTTGGAAAACAAAGTTTCACTTTGTTATATGTCCTCCAGAGAGTTTCTCTGGTGGTCAAGAGACAGTAATATCTTTGACCTGAGAGCCTGTTCAGGCTACAGGGCAAAACCCTTTCTGGGAGCTTGAGAAGTCTAAGTGTCTATCTTGCTACATACAACAACAGTAAAAGAGCTCCCCAAATGCTGGCTAGTATTATTGTGTGCCTAGAAGTGTTCTAAATTACCTATGTATATTTTAATTTATTAAAAGGACTTTGGATTCACATTACAGGTTTGCCACTTACTTGGGCAGGTTACCCAACCCCTCTGTGCCGCCTTCTTCTGTAAAACAGCCCTCATAAGATTGTTTTGAATGAAGTATTACCATAGCATAGACCTTTTATTCAAACTTGACATGTAGTAATAACTCAGTATTGACATGCTACTTGAGTGGGTAGTAAGAATTAGTACTCTAGTTTTTCAGATGAAAAAACCTGAGGCTTAGAGAGAATACTTGGAATACAATATACTTGGGCTATTTGCACATGTTATTTGTTCTTTGAGCAGATATGTGCTGTCGCTGGAGTGCTAGAGCTTGCCCTCATTAACACCACTAATGAGGGGCAGAGCCTGGATTTGAACAGAACGTAAGCCCATCTCAGTGCTGTGCTCCTAACTACCGCTCTGCTACTGCCTGCACAGAAGTTTGGTATTCATGTGCTGATTAGCACCTGATGCCTCCTTTGGGAAAACTACCAAGTTAAAATAGCTCCAACTTGATTGCAGGGGATCATGCACCCAAGTTGGCCATTTATCTACTGTAGTCTATACTATGGTACTAGTATATGGTAAATATACAATAAGTCTATATCATTTTACATATGAAACTACCCACAAAAAGAGGTAACAGCAAATACAGCGTGGTTGACTGTGGGCAGTGGTTCAAGGTCAGAGCTGTGCTCCCTACTGTTATGCTTGTTAAGCCTCAGTTTGCTCAGCTGTAAAAGTGGATAATAGTAATTTATACCTTAAGGTTGTCTGAGTTAAAAAAAAAAATGCATGATAAGGCCAGGTGCGGTGGCTCACACCTGTAATCCCAGCACTTTGGGAGGCCGAGATGGGTGGATCACCGGGTCAAGAGATTGAGACCATCCTGGCCAACATGGTGAAACCCCGTCTCTACTAAAAATACAAAAATTAGCTGGGCATGGTCGTGGGCGCCTATAATCCCAGCCACTTAGGAGTCTGAGGCAGGAGAATTGCTTGAACCCAGGAGGCAGAGGTTACATGGTGGTGGGCGCCTATAATCCCAGCCACTTGGGAGGCTGAGGCAGGAGAATCGCTTGAACGCAGGAGGCAGAGGTTGCAGTGAGCAAAGATCACGCGACTGCACTCCAACCTGGTGACAGAGCGAGACTCCGTCTCAAAAAAAAAAAAAATTGCATGATAAAATATGCAGTAATCTTGTCACATATCAAGCTAGATGTATATGCTAATTATTGTTGTTTTAGTATTAAGGATAGAAGGACAGTTTGTGCCATACGGATCCTATCTAGTACATTAGAAAAGGTCATTTAAGGAGCTTTGCTCTTCTTTTAAAATGATGGAAATCATTAGAAATTACTGTTTAAGAGAAACTATAGAATCATTGATATAAATGACTTAATGTCATGGCTTACACTAAATGGAACTTAATCAGTGCTCTCGCTTAAATGTATTTTAGTGTAATTTTTTAAATGTTTGGCCAATAATAATATTAATGAAACAAAATATGTTAATTAGGTACAAGATAGAGAACAAATATTCTATTCTGCCTGTGTTTGCCATATAAGGAGGGAGAGGATTTCGTAATATTTGTAAGGTCAGAAAGAACCTGTCTTTCACCATTGGCCTGAAGCAGAAGGTCTGAGAGGTGGGTGCATCTCATCTAGTTTTTAACAGCAGGGTCACCTTGCATTTGCTTCTGCTCTTGCCTCCCTGCTTTAGATAGTTACAAGTATAAGAACTGCAGCTGGCACTTGTATTAATACTTGTATTAATGCAAAACTTTCAGCCAGGTAGGAAGAGCAAATAGTACATTCATCTTCATCTTGTAGAGGAAGAATCTGAGACCTAGCGAAGTCGAGATTTGATTAACATCACGTAGCTGGCTAGGGGCAGAATTGGGAAGGTCCTCATTTGTGGCTCTACCCCATTTCCTCTCAAGCATTCCTGTGTGCTTGGTCCAAGCCTTGGGTTCTTTCATTACCAACCCCAGCGTCTCAGCATATCACCTGGATCGTGGGAATCTAGAGATGCAAGGGGCCTCTAATGACCCTCTGATCTAATCCCTTCATTTTACCTGTGAGGAAGGGAAGTGAGCTCCTGGGGAATTCAGAGACTTGCCTAAGTCACACTGATAATATTTGGTACAATCAGCCCTTAAACCCAGGTCATTTTGCTGTGAGTCCTGGGCTTTCTACTTTAAACCCAAACTACTGCCTCTTGCCTGCATAGAGAACATCTACCCTGGAGACTGGGGGATGCTTCTAGGGAGGTGACTTTACGTAGATTTCACCTCACTTCTGTCCTGTCTTCACAACCTTACCCTTTATTGGGCTTTGAGGGATTTTCATGGATTTTCCAGGCTTTTCTTATTTCAGGAGCATACAAGGAACTAATGGCCATTGTGGTCTCCTCTATCTTAACTTTCCTTGGTATTTTCTCAGAGTAAAGAGCTAAGCGTGAAATATTTTGTTGTTGTGGTTCTTAAAGAGAGTTAAATGCCAAGATATTAAGGAAGAAAAGCAGGCAGACTCTGAAGAGCACAAACAGCACAACTCTAAATAAGAACATTCCTTTTAACTTAGTCTTCCTTTTCCCACCCACATCTCTGAATGCAGTAAATCCTCTTAGCATGTTATCTCTGGTTAGGGCATTTTCTCAGTGTCTTCATGAAATAAAGATTTTCTGGCGGGATACTTTCTTTTTATAGGCTGTATCCTTAAATATGAAATTCAGCCATCCATCTGCTCTTCTAGGCCCTTGTCCTTAACCCATGTATACCTGCAACACATTTCAAGTAGAGGTCAGAAACAAGAGTCTGAGGATGAGATGTTGCTGAAGGATTAAGAGAATATGCCTCTTTGATCCCTAACTTCATGGAGACAGTTAATCTCAATTGGCAGAAATAATAAATATCAACAGGGTGTCTGGCTTTTTTCCCCCCAGTATAAAGTAATATAGAACCAGATTTGTTGCTGTTCATATTGCTAGTAAATTGGAGAACAATTATGAAAGAAATCTCTTGTTAAAAATGTTAATATACCTAAAATAAAAGCAGATTCAACTTGAGAATGTGATGTAAAATTCCATAGCAGATAAATCTTAAAATAAGAAATCAAAAAGTCACTCTACTTTAGGCTCATCTATCTTTTAAAAGTCCTTATTAAAATTTAAAAGAACTGAGATCTCCATGCTTGCTTCTTGTTTTCCTCATTGCAGTGAAAACTTCCCAAACAGTTTGAATGTGGAACAACAGTAAGCTGTTCCTAACCTGTTTGTCAGTCACTGGGCAGTTTTCTCAGTGCCTTTCCTGACATGTTTTAACATGACTTCTCCAGGGATCAGAATGAGGATTGCCCTGTTCTTTGTGGTACAATGAAAAGACTGAGATTATTTTATCAAAATGAGACAGTTGGGAAAGAGAAAAATCTTTGTCTCTCTCTTTAAAAAAAAACAATACGGATAAACGATTATGAAACAAATTTTAAGTTTTGGGTCCTGGGAAACAATTATAAGAGACTTTGACTTTTACTCATCTAATAAAGTAAATGTGGTTTAAAAAAAAATGTACTAAATAGGAGTGATTGCCAAAACATTGTTTCTACTTTTGAAGGCACAATATGTAGTTTATATTTCTGCCTGCCTGAGCTGGAAACAGTTGAAGCTTCATGGCTCACAGTGGTGCCTCATATCTTACTGTCAGCATTCTAATTTCTAGTTTTTCTTCAAACCTCAGAGTTAAGCAGAAGTATAATTACAGTTTTTAATCATTGCTGTGTCTTATCAACCACGGCTTTTAAGAAAATGAAAAATTTTTCGTTTACCTTTCATTGTGGTGGCTGGCTGTCCATTCACCTCATACGGTGTCTTCAAGTTGAAACAGGTTTCTTGTCTCTAATTAAGAATAAGCTTTGAAACTAAGGTCGGCAGGGAAGTGGATTTTCTGGTAAAGCATGAAAACGAAACATCTCCCCTACCAGACAAGGTAGGTATCTCCCTTACCCCTTTAGAGATTGTCCTTTGGGGCACCCTTTCAAATTCTCCTGCCAGGCGACTACTGGAACAACTTGCTCTCTTGCTAATGTAAATGACTCATAACTAAGAGTAGGTGAGATTTGTCGACTGGGGAAGAGTATTTCCTGAACCTGCAGGAATCAGATGGTGATTCACCTGAAGGAAACACAGAGGGCTGGAGCTTAGACTGCCAGAAGTCTGCTTAAGGAGTGGGGGATGAAGTCTCGGGTTGGGGCCTACTAACTCATCAGATCCAATTTTTAGGTCATTTTTTTTTTCCAGCCTCCTATTGCTATCTAGAAAACATGTATTTGCAGCCTTCCTGCCAATTAAATTTTGGATTAAAAGAAATAAGAATATGCTTTATGACAGATGAATTCTTTGAAAATATTATTCTACATATTATTTAAAGAGTATTGTTGTAATTGATAACTTTGGAAACTTGTAGTCTTATGAAACTAATGAAATCTGTAGACATATTTTTACACATACACAATAGACATATTTTTACACATACACAATGATAAGTATTCAAAATATGTTAAATTATTCAGGGGCTGGGTTCACTGACTCCTTTGAATGCTGACCTTTAACATAAAACAATTTATTTTATTGCTTTAAAAAAGCATCCAACAATGACAAATTTATATAATCATATCACTTTTTTTTTTTTTTTTTTTTTTTTTTTTTTGTGAGACGGAGTCTCACACTGTTGCCCGGGCTGGTATGCAGTGGCATGATCTCAGCTTGCTGCAACCTCCACCTCCCGGATTCAAGTGATTCTCCTGCCTCAGCCTCCTGAGTAGGTAGGATTACAGGTGCCCACGACTACACCCGGCTAATTTTTTGTATTTTTAGTAGAGACGGGGTTTCTCTATGTTGGCCAGGCTGGTCCTGAACTCCTGACCTCATGATCCGCCCGCCTCAGCCTCCCAAAGTGCTGGGATTACATGTGTGAGCCACTGCGCCCGGCCACTTTTTCTGATTTGTAAATAATTTTCTTGCTTTCAGATGAGAATCTCAAAGATTCTGATATTTTCTTGAATGCAACATTTAAATACATTTAAAAAAATAAAATTTCATCAAATGGAATCAAAACCTGTTATTGTGGATGAAGATAAATGAAAATAATCAAAGGTGAAAACTTTTTTGGAGTGAATAAATCTATAATAGGTATTACTTAGTGTTTACTTGTGTCTTAAGGAAATAATGTGTACGTACTAGTTGATTTTCCTTATGTTTTTACAGAAAAACAAATGGGTGTTTAACTTAAAAATCAAGAGTTGGGTATCAAAATTATATTTTTTGTATTTTCCTATCTGCTTCCTAACCATACAAAAACAGACACCTACAATTTTAATTTTTTTTTTTTTTACATTCTGCTTTGGGTGGATTAAGTATGTTACGGAAAAGTAGCTAGTCCTGGGGAAGGTGTTTGAATAACAATTAGCCAACTTAATAATGGCCTAATCTTTTAAGAATTTGCAGATTTACAAACAATCCTTCATTTAGTTTTGACTCTCTCTGTGCTATTTTATACTTCCCCATTGATTTAGCATTTGAAGCCAGTTTCTTTTCTTTTCTTCTTTTTTTTTTTTTGAAACCAGTTTGTTGTATTTTGAGCAGAAGGGTTATGCTATGCAGACTTTAGTTTGGGAGATTTGTCCTTGTGTTGACCTTTTTGCCATTTTTTCATGATGATTCATAAATAATAAATGAGGTACTGCTCATAATTTGACATTTTACTGCCAGAACAACTAACTGTTAAGTACTAAAGGCATCAGTCAAAGGGAGAAGCATCTCTTATGGCCCCCATAAAAGTATGTTGTGCAAAGAACTTTGCTGCAAGTACTGAGGATTATCACCCCAAATTTCCAGTGATGTGTATAAAATCTTAGTAGGGAGCTTATTCTGACAGATATTTGACAGGCTTCTGTTATAAGAATAAAGACCTTTTAAAAAAAAGAGAGGGCCCTACTGTGAAAGGGTTATCATAGGCCCTTCTAAGTGCGAAGAAGGGCTTGTGAGGGGCCTATGAAATTTTCCTGTATAATGAAGCATCTTTAACTTTATGTGTGATGGTGTTAAGTAGGAAATAAGGTGATGTCCCTTCACTACAGTAGGTGGCCCCCTTTTTCTCCTGAAGTGGGCTTGGGATAGGATGCACTTTTTCCTTTCCCAATACCTCTGTAAGCAACGTGCCCGGGACGGTAGCCTAACAGCTGGCTTGGAGTGTTTCAGTGTTTCGTTGGCTGGCAGCGCAAATTTAGTATAGTAACAAAAAAGTTAACGCAAGGCAGCCTTTATGCGTTAGTCTTAAAGTATATTATGCCAGTCTCAAGTTGGGACTTGTGAAAGCTGGTCTTACCTAACATTCCAAAAGGGAAGTAATACATGTTTAGTCATGAAAAAAGTGTAACACTTTGATGCAAAGAGCAGCTAACAGCCAGCCCATAGCTTTATTATTGTTCACATAATCGAAAGGTAAACCAGCATAATTTTTTTCCTGCTGGTTTTTATAGCAAGTCTCACATTTCATAAAAGCCCCGGGAATCTTCATAGCGATAATTTCCTTTCCACTTCATTGGAAAATCCTGTTAAATGCAGGGCACTCTTTTATTAATTTTGTTTAGCCATTACAAACCCCAAATTTATTTTAAATACAGAACATCCAGGTGTGTGTGTGTGTGTGCGTGTGTGTGTGTGTGTGTGTGTGTGTGTGTGTGTGTGTCGGCCACCAGAAAACTTTAAAAAATTTTGTTTTGTTTTTATACTAGGGTGATTTTTTTCCTTCTAACATTATTTTTAAAGGTATTAAGACTACAAACAAATTGAAAGAATTGTTCAACTAGATTTCATCTAGATTTATAAATTGTTACTGTTTTT
The DNA here is from genome assembly GCF_000001405.40 of Homo sapiens. Taxonomy (NCBI): domain Eukaryota; kingdom Metazoa; phylum Chordata; class Mammalia; order Primates; family Hominidae; genus Homo; species Homo sapiens. The sequence goes on from NC_000003.12 coordinate 151,319,662, forward strand.
CACATATACTCTTCCCCACTCCAACATATTTACTGACGACAGTAAAATGTCAGATTATGAGCAGTACCTCATTTATTATTTATGAATCATCATGAAAAATGGCAAAATCTGCATAGCATAACTCTTTACTCAAAATACAACAAACTGGCAACAAACTAAACCAAACATATTTGGTTTAGTCACAGAAATTCAAATGAGGATTCCCGTAATCTTACTGATTTTTCAAAATATATTCTTAAAGAGACAGGGGCGCTCAAGGAGAAAAAGTGTCACATCTTCGAAGGAATTAAAATAGGTAAGATTACTCATAAGCCTTTCTCAGTCCTGAAATGAACTCTTTATTCTGTTTTCTCATGTTTTTGATATGAGACATTGAGCAAATGTATTACCAAGGCTTACCTTGGTTTCTAGTGGTTTCTCCATGGCATATGACTTTTTCCTCCCTTCTTTCTTTGGCTTTTCTGCATTGGTGTGGACCTGGGGACAGTGTTTCCTCCCAGTGTTGGTAGGCATAGTATTTGTGTTATAATCTCATTTTTCTGTATCACTAATCTCAGATGTATCTGTTTCTTCTTAAGGAAAATGCACATATAAAGGGCGTCATAGTCCTTTATAGTACACTAACTTGTTATTACAAAACAAAGACAAGCAGGGATCTAATTGCAACATAGCTCAAGGTGATCTCTCTTGAATGCCCGTGTTGGTCTTTTCCATGTGGCTGGAACATGCAACAAGGATTATAGTAAAACCTTTGCCCAAGTCTTACTGTTCCATCTCTGTACACAAGTCTTTCTAATTGTGGCTCACATCCAGTAGCTGAGAACTTGTGCTGAGTATAATTATTATAAGCCCTTTAATAGTCAGTCCTTTGACAAGATTGGTATCATTGGGTCCCTATGCTTGAATTACTGTGTTTAATCTGTCATTTGAAATTATTTGTATCTATCAGGTCTGCTTTACACGAAACACCTTTTTCTGGTATGAGAACTTCATTTGATTAAAGGGAAGGGGGATGGTTTGGAGATTGAGTCTGGAGATAAGGCTGCATCTCTGACTGTTGTCCTTTTACTGATACTCCTTCCTATGCTGGGCAACTTAATCTATCTCCTTGCTTTGTAAATCTTGCTTGTGCGAGAGGCAGTGTCCGGCTGTGACAAGACTAGTGATTGGGGTCAGGTAAACTCCAATTTGGAACATCTCCACTTAGCAGCTTTTTTTACTTTGGGCAAAGCATATCTTCTTCTGAAAATGAGCATGGCAATGCCTGCCATGTAGGGTTGTAAAGCTTAAATGAGGTAATCTATTCAGGATAAATATATACAGTGTAGTTCCACAGTGTTTGGAACTTGGTTGGCATTTAAGGGTACAGGAGCACTTTGTCTTTTGTCAGAAGGTGAAGGGAGAGCAAGCGAATGAATGGGGTGTCTGATGCATGGTGGAGTTGGAATGATATGCCTCAGCTTAGAAGTTAAGGTACATCCATAATTTTGGTTGCTTTTAGAAAGCTTCTGGTTTCCTATTAGTGACAAACTGATGATTGCTTGAAATGCTTTTTATAATCTTTTTTGACAGTTTTTTTCTCCTGTAAAGAAGGAAGTTTGGACTTCTTTATTCCAGACTATCTGAAATTGTGGGAATCTATAAAAGCTGAGGTTAGAATATATGGGGAGAGAAGGGAGGTCGTCTCAGTAGGGTTACTGTGTTCAGGATAAAGCTTCATTCATTCACAGTTTGGGCATTTTTGGACTTAGGAAACTCAGTTGTACAGTTAAATAGAATAAAAAAAGACTTAAAGACCAGTGACATTATGTGTATATATGATATAAAGTCAATACATAAAGCTAATATTTTTTTTAAAAAACCCAAAGCTATGAAAGCCTTCAGAAATACATTAGATACAATTAAGATCAACACCAGTAAGTAAAGTCATATACACACATTTAACGTTTAAACTGAAGTTCAAAAATAAAGGTGGACATTCTGTTATTATGCCTCAGGATGTTATATTTGTCAGTTTGAGTTGTATTACAAGAGTGGCAAAAGTTCACATGCTGAGTAAGTTATGTAATTTTTAAAGAACTAGTTTACTTCCTTAAGTCTTAAATTTAATTTCCTTTCTCTTTCATATTATCTTGCCTTTTTCTTTCCCTTTTATCACTCCCCCCAATTGTCTCAACTTCCATTCCTACCATTTTCTCTTAGTGTCCCCATCTCTCCTTTCCTCTGACTTCCTTTCTTCCCATCTTATTTTTTTCTATAAGGACTTCATATTAGAATGAGAATGGAGGCAAGGAAGCAGAAACCCGGGTTACATGGATATTGAAAATATTGATACACCCAGTTTCTGACCAAGGCTGAGTTCTCTGGCCTGTGTGGTTGCACCCAACTGTTTGATTTGTACTTCTCTGTTAGCTATTTCACATGGAACATGTTCACTATGCACATCATAGCATAGAAAGGAATTATTCTACATGTTCATAGAAATCCCTGGGAAAAGCCTAACTAATATAAAAGCTGATTTGTTTCTCCCTGGAAGTCTTTTGAGGCAGGGTCTTGCTCTGTCATCCAGGCTGGAGTGCAGTGGTGTGATCATGGCCCACTGCAACCTCAACCTCCTGGACTCAAGTGATTCTCACACTTTTGCCTCCCGAGTTGCTGGGACTACAGGTGCATGCCACCAGGCCCAGGTAATTTTTTTTTTATTTTTTTATTTTTTGTAGAGTTGCGGTTTTACCATGTTGTCCAGGCTGGTCTCAAACTCCTGGGCTCAAGCAATTCACCTGCCTTGGCCTCCCAAAATGCTGGGATTATAGGTGTGAGCTACTGCATCTGGCGCCCCATGGAACTCTTTTAAACTGACTTATCCATTATGGGAAGATAAGGGTTGCTTCTACTTCCTCACTTCCCATTCACAAACTGGAGCTCACCCCACTTCCACCTCAGAGTTATCGTTGACCTTATAGTTGTAGATTCATCACTTTTGACTAAATTTAGAGTGTATAATTCTGTTGGCTATCTCTTCCTCCTTGAATCTCTCTTGTTCCTTGGTATTCAGTACACTGGACTTCCTGATTCTCCTTTTCTACTAACACTACCCACTCCTCCCAGTTCCAAGGCATCATCCCCTGTTCCTCTTCTGTCTGTTGTGACCATGAGACCTGTGTAGTATGGCCTCTGGGGTTCTCATCTCATTCCTTTTTCTCTCCCTGTCTCAAAAAAGATTATTCCCTAGACCTCTAATCTTAGTCCTATTTTTGGAGCCTGGGTCCATATTTTGGCCCAGCTGTGGGCTCTTTGACCCTAGCTCTTTCACTGATACCTCAAATGGAACATACCCCAAATCCACTTCTGTGATGATGACCTAGCAAATCGTTCAAGCTAACGGTCCTGAGAGAAATCAACCCTCAATTCGAGGAGAAGGGGGTGGAGGCATTATGGATCCCATTGCTAATATATTTTACATGTTAACCACATGTTTTACATAGAGTCCCCCACTTTCAATGGTCTTGGACTCTGAACTTAAAACCTCTCTCCCTGAGAATGTCTGGAAGGTCCATGTCAGATGTTTTCCCCATCATTCTTGCCTGCATACATGGAAAGCCTCTTTAATTGACCTGGCCTCACTGGCTCTTCCTTCAGTCTAGAATCATCCTATAGTTGGTCAATTGATTTTCCTAAAGCACAGCCCAGAACATGTGGTTCTTCACCTTAGAAACCTTCAACGACTCATTAGTGAAGACTAGATGTCCCAGTACAGTGCTTGGCTGTACAGTCCTGCATCTCTGTCCCAAATGTATTCCCTATGTCATGTGCTGTAGGCTCAGGCCCCCTGCAACCCTCACGCTCCAACCACAGCACAGTTCCACCCCTACCTGAGCCTGCCTTGAAACTGCTTATTGTGCCGCAGGGTTCCCTTTTGAATGCTCTGTTTTCTTCAAGTTCCAGTTCAAATTTCCATCTCCTGTGAACCCTTCTTCATTTTCTCCATGTGGAATGAATTGCCTATTCCTTTGAACTTCTGTGGTGTGTCTCTCACACCTCTTATCACATCTTGAGTCATTATAATCTGTGTTCCTTACCAGTGTTCACCTTCTAGAGATGCAAAAGGCCCTGTACCCAAGTTGATGATGAAGGAATGACTGGCTAAATGAACAAATGAATCCACTATTGGGGAGTTTACTCCCCCTGAGCTCTCAAGTGCTGGAGGGACCCCTGAAGTAATTGTAGGTGCCACTATTGCACCATTCATACCCCTGAGGTTGTTGAAGCCCATTCGTGTTGAGACTTCTCTCTTCCCCTCTAAGAAGCCTCCTCATTCTCCCTAGTGGGGCCTTTGAGGAATTCTGCTAAGTCTGACAGGACAGAGAGGCAGTGACCAGAGCAGTTGAGGTGCTGGTCTTGAGACCACCTTCCTGGGTTTCAGTCCCAGCTCTGCCCCATTTGTTGGTGAGTGATGTGCACCATGGGCAAGGTGTATGTTTACTTTGTGCTTCAGTTTTGTTCCTATTTTTAACTAGAGAGCCTAGTAGTATTTGTCTCATAAGATTGTAGTAAGAATTAGAAAAATGATAATCTTTGTAAAGAGCCTGGCACACAGCAGGCATTCAGGAAATGAGTGTGAGCTGCTTGGGTAAGGTCCTGGGAGGTTCTTGTTAGCCTCTAGGTCAGGGCTTATTACCTGGCAGCATCTGGGCTGGTTACTACCCACACAGAAACGTATCGTTTTTGTGGGGTCAGGGAGCATGGGGGTGGCTACGGAAGTTTTGTAAATAACAGGAAATATAGCATGGGAGACTGGAATTGTGAATTCACTTGAGAAAATTAGACCTGAGGTTGTAAATACAGTTGTTAAGAATATGGGCTTAGAAGCCACGTCTCAATTAAAGCCCCATTCCTGCAGATGGCAAGCTCTGTGACCTCATGCAAGTTACTTAGCCTTTCTGTTTCTCAACTTCTTGATCTCTAAAATGAAGATAATAAGCATTTCATAGCCTGCCTGGGATTATTAAAGGAGACAGATGTGCTGCTTTGTTGTTTTGATGGTTCTAGCAATGTGTATTTGGAGAATCTCTCCAGCCGATTCCGGTAGCCACTAAAATTTGCAAACTAATATGGCACATGTGTTCTGTATTCATATTTCCTACATTTGGTTTCTATGTAAAATTTCAAATGTTGAGATGTGTTTCTGGGTGCTTCAAATGATTTGTAAATTCTGCACTTTCCTTAGTAGGGCTACTGTCTTCTAAGTATGTTTTTTCTTAAATAATAGATAATACTGACTTTGGGTTTTTTTGCTCTGGATATTCTGTTAATATCTGTGTGAACTTTGATTTGTTAATTTGCTGAAGGAATACAGTTTATGTCGGGGTAAGAGTTAAGTATTTTAGAAAGAATACCTTGGAAAGTTATGAAAGGCAAAAGCTTTTAAATGGATATGGAATGTAAGAAATAATGGGATTAATAAGATTGAATGATTGTTTTATAAGTTATGACATAATGACTTTATCTACCTTTTGGCTTCCATGAATTGAGAATTCTCACTCCTTCTCTGCCTCATCCTTTCCACTTTACAGTTATCTTCCTTGGTTTCTCAAGAATTCTTCCGAGTGTGGGAACTTCACTCCCTTCAACCCCTCTCTTTTCTTGAAGGTTATTGGGAAGATCTTATCCTATTTATTTGTACAAGTAATTACATTTTAACTTTTGACAAAAGCCTTTGTATTCTGAGCTCACATATTCTATCAGTCCAAAGCTATTATTTTCTTTTATTCTTTTTGGTGTATCATTTATGACTATATTGTAGCATCTTGTTTTTTTTAATATTTTAGAACTTAGTATTTGTGATTGCTAGTTTAGGAAGTTCTTCATTTTGTGAAAGTGATTTTAGGAAGTTCTTCATTTTGTGAAAGTGATTTTAAGATCTCTCTACTATGCCTCTTCACCACGTTCTTGATGTAATAGATTATTTTATTCTACAGATCAGGCACTCTGCCTTTGAGTGGAATATTATAATGGAATGAAATATTTGTATTTATGGATGACAGATTTGGTCTTGGAATTTATCTTGAAAGATCTTTCCCAAAAATTGTATACTTTAGGTGTACCCACATTAAGTAGAGATTGAAATTGTCATTAGAGGCAAAATACACAGGTTACCCCACCAGACATACCTGGCTGTTTAACAAGGGTAGCTTGGATGCAGTTATTTACATGATTATAGTCTATTTGTGATTGTGTAATGTACTCAGTAGAGGTAATATGGATTTAGTGGCATCCCTAATAGTAATGATTATTTAATTCTTTTATCAGAGAGAATGAAGATCAGACATCAAGAGTACTTTCTAAAGGTGTTTGTTATATTCACAGTTACAAATTTTACTTAACCATTATCAATAGTGCATAGCTAAAGGATTTTGTCAATAGCTTTAAAACTTTGGATTTGGCTATTCCATGATCCTCCTGTTGTCATGATCATTCACTAGTGACCCCAGGAGCACCACAATTTTCAGGCCCTACATACATGTTATAGGAGAGTGGACAGAGCTTGAGCTTTCATTTCAAGAAATTTATGTTGTCTTTGGATAATAAAAACATCAATGAGAATTGGCTTCCCTTTTGCTTCTCTAATACATAAAATAAACCAAATGGGCTTTATTTTATCAAACATTTATTGATTGCACAATGAAACAATCTCTCCTTTCAGATATATACATCAGTTACTAAAAGAGTAGATACAAAGGTCAGGAAGTAATTACAATGCAATGTGATAAGTTTAATAATATAGGTGTGACAGCATACAGAGGAGGGGGTGATTGGGTTTGAGGTGATGGTGGGATATTGGCCAGGTAATATTTCATGGACCAAGTGATGACAACATAGGGTTTCACAGATGGATAAGAGTCTTCCAAGTGTACCAGGGGGAAATATACATGTGTGGTGCCAAAACAGAGTATGGCATTTTCTGAAAGTTAGAAATTTATACAAGAGTATAAAGTTCAAGAGATGGATAAGTAGCTAGGAGGTAAGGCCAGAAAGGTAGGCAAGTTCTAGGGCCTTTGAGGCCATGGAAGAAAACGTGGGCTTCACCCTACGATGGTCGTGTTGGAGCTCGTGGCACATTTACAGAGCTTAACTACTCCTTTATGTATTTTTTCTAGAAGATGTAGACTCTTATCCATCATTTCAGAAAGCCACATTTTACTTTTTTGAATCACAGAAGGATGCAAGAAAAAATACCAAGGTAAATAAATACAAGCAGGGTCACCATCCTTTGAAAAATCTCTCAATATGGATGTTACTGATTGTGGGTCAGCAATTACGTCTTTGTATGTATCGAGAATAGCAATTCTATTTAAAACATCTGTAGACCATGGACTGTAGGTCGTATTATGGGAGATACCAAGAAAATCTGGCATGTCTGTCTCTCAAGAAGCTTTAACATTTTTAGCGGATGCAGTCAAGAATATAGCTAACTAGAAAAGGGAGATCTGCATTGAGAACCCTATCACACACCCAAACAGTAGAAGTATTTGTTTTTAATGAGGAGGGTGGGGCAGGGGGATAGGGGTTGTGGTCCAGGAAGGCATTGCTGAGTAGGTGCCATGTTTAACCATCATTAGAGTATTTGCTGGACAGAAGGAGAATTCCAAAGAATAGTTAACACAGCATTCTCACACTTGAATTGTACACACTTAAGGTGTAAGCAAAGTGGCTTAATAATGGTGCTTGTGCCTCCTATGGTATATTATTGTAATGTGAAAGAGGCTGTTTGTAATTGTAAGGAGAAAATCCTTTACCCAGGATTTCAGAGGTCTTGCTGACCCACTTCAGTTCCTCAGACTCTTCAAGTCTGCATCCCTTTCAACCCCTGGCTGCAGTTTTCAGCAATGGACTTCAAGAGTTGGGCGTTTTTTTTTTCTTTCAGCACATATCTACATTTAAGGGGCACAAAAGCAGTAGTGTTATGTGAATTGTGGAAAAGAATGTGAGAAGGTGTTTGGAGGGGAGGTTTGTAGGGATATACGTTTCTCCTTAGTCTTTTCCAAAATGTTAAAGTGAAATGCTCTTGAAATTAAAAAAAAAAAAAAAGAAAGAAAGAAATAATGACCTCTAGTGGCCATTTGTATCCTGTTGCATTCTCTTAGTAATGGTTCATTCAGCTTATGAATAGATCTATGTGGATTTAAATTTTATATAATCTTTTCTGTACACGAGGATAATAAAATGTAAGAGAGCATTTGTTCCAATCTTTTTTTCTTGGTTAAATTTGATTTCCACATTATCTACGGAAGTCTCATCAATAAATAGAAGTTAACCCTATGTACAGTTGTCAGCCTAAGGTTATGTTGTCTGTCTGACTGCTATGATTTTCTTGGCTTGATGCTGTGGTCTTTCTCCCTTGCATACATGGTAGCTTTTCTGTGAATTTTTTACATAAGAATATGTATATTAAGGGATCCATACAAATGTTAGTTGCTGCCAAAAAGAGAGTTGTTTCTTTAGCAATAAACAGTTGATTTTGCAGTCTACAGTCAGTCTTATTGTTGGTTTGACTGTGAGTATATGGAACTCTGGCAAAATGAAATGGAGCAAAACACACAAAGAAGACAGCCACGACAACAAATACTTTGCCTTCCAGCTTTTTGTTGTTTTTTCTGTCCTTACTTTTGGACTTTCTATAAGAATCATATACTTTTTTTGCAATAACCACATAAAACACAAGCATTAGGATAAAAACAGTCCAGAAAATAAACTGGCATATGTTATTTACCATTTGATGCCATTTCAGCCCCAGAGGCCCCTTTAAGGAAGCACACTTTTTCACAGACGATGGTGTTGCTTCCTTGTTGCTCAAGATCGTATTTGGCAGGGAGATGAAGAACAAAAAGAACCAGATGAAGATTGAGACCGTTTTTGCAAAAACAGGTTTTTTTAGAAAAATATTTCTCAAAGGTCTGATGATCTTGAGGAATCTGTCAAAGGCTATGAGCCCTAACAGCACGATGCCCACATACATGGTCTCATAAAATATCACCGAAGAAAAACGACACACAAAAGCTCTGAGCTGCCAGGGTGCCAGGTGTGAGTCAGAGAGGATTTTGAAAGGAAGCATGAGTGTCATTATCAAGTCGGCCACCAAAGTGTTTTTGAGGTAGATGATGAAGGTGGAGGAGCTGGGGATGTGAACAAACACCCACAGAGCCAAAGTATTCAGCAGGATGCCGGTCAAGAAAACCACTGTGTAGAGGGCTGGGAATACCAGCTGTACTATCCGAGTGTCTCTGGGGCACCGCTCAGATCTGTTGAAGCCTTGCATCACTGTGGTGTTCATTGCTTCCAGTGTCACCTGTTACCAATAAACATATATACAAACAAAAGAAAACAAAAAGCCCTTCATGATTTTCAAATGCTATTTTTTAAAAACAGACTTTATGTTTATAGCATATTAACATCCTGCATTTATCCAACACTTTCAATAGATGTGTTGAAAAGGAAAATACTGTTTTCTGGCTAGAATTTTTAAAGCATATAATACATTTTTGGTACTTTTAACAGTACCATTACTTTCACATCCTTGTGAAATCCAAATAACAGGTTCTGCCTCATTCACAGGTGCTACTGTTAGCCATAAAACAAAACACTGTTTAAGAGATAATAATACATTATTATTACTAATACATCAGATTGCTGTAAATTATGTAATTTCTTATGCTCATAAACTATGGTTTGTAGAATATTAACTTTAAAGCACCTTTTTTCCCTTAAGCATATTCTTTTATATAAGCAAGCACACTCATAATAACAAAAATTGAAATTCACCTTTGGGAGGATACTCAGTTCTCTCTGTCTTCTTATGGCGGCAGTCATTAGTTCAGCCTACAAATGAGCATGTGAAGCAAATGTTCTGCTTTCTTATAGTGGATTTCCTTCCTTATTTTTACTTATGTAATGTGACCCATTAGAACCTCTTCATATTTAGACCTTTGGGACATTTGCTAATACTCTATTTTAGTTCAAACTTTCATACTGTTAATCTGTGACTTGAATAAAGAAGCTTATTTGCAATTATCTTTAAATTTCTTCATAACTTTCTTGAAGTTTATCTTCTTGATCTGCATGTTCAGTGAACTTTTTGAGTGCCTCTTGTATATAGTGGAAAGTAGAAAGATGAAGAAAATAGTCCCAAATTACAATCAAGTAGGAGAATAAGACTACCTAAAATCAGACAGAATAATCTTCTGTATCCTTGTAAACTGGATTTTCCAGTAATTTGTGTTCAGGAAGACGGTATGTTTATTTTTGTAGGTATTTGACTTAGTCTTCTGGTTTGGGGATCTCTGAGAGTTAACATGATGTTTTCTGAGAGGTGAAGACTATTAGATCCAGATTTTTGGAGTTAGAATCCCAGTTCCACCAATTAATTGGGATTAGATTATAGATAAATGATTCAACAGCTCTGTGTCTCAATTTCCTCATCTGTGTAATGGGTTTGAAAATAGTATCTAACACACTGTGTTATTAAGAATGAATTGGTTGCCTGGAATAGTGCTTGACATATAGGAGGCACTAAAAAATGTTAGCCACTTTTAGTGGCTTTTAGTCCCATTGCCATGGGAATGAATTGCAAATCCAGATAGAGATATTATACTCTTTCACTTAGTAGAGGGCCATTTTTAGAAATCTTTTTTGTATTTGGTGTATTTCGAGTGCAGAGGACTTCAGGAATTTCATCAATCAACATTGGGCCAATATCTGTGCATTTTTTTTGCTTTAATTCTCTTCAAGTTTGAAAGATGTAATGGTGCTTTTGCATAGAGAAAGTTGTTGTCCATGGCAGAAATCTACTTGCCAGGTAGGCATAGGAAAAGCGGAAATTAGGAGATCTTACGGAGGATGTGGAGTTCATGGTGAGTTTCATTTCATGTTTCTTGCCACAAGTGTTACCATGGAGTTAGACGAGACTAGTGTTAGTTGATCACAAAGTTTTGGGTGACTTGGCTTTGAATTCTGAGAAGAAAAACTTAATATCCCCCTGGACATTTTAAAATATGAGGCAATACAGTGTCTAATAGTTTTGATTAGACTACCCAATAACGGCACAGTTTGAAAAATTTCTCTTTGACTGAAATAAATTAATCCTTGGGAGTATAGATTCAAGATTTCATTAATAGAACATACATGTATGTCTTAAACATAAATGTATATCTTTTTGTTTGCTTCAGCAGAGGAAAAAAAATCCTTTATTTCTTAAGTAGAGAAATTTAACCTACAAAATTAATTGTAAATTTTCCTATAGCCCCAAATCCATAATCTAAAGGAAGATCTGGAATAGTTTTTCTTTAAGCAAGATAAATTCTGTGCAGGATAATTTCATAATCTGAAAACTGGAAATCACTTCTTGGTCAAATTTCAAAACACTGAAGTGTGGGAAACTTTCCAAAGAGGAACTGACTTACAGTGCCTGTTTCTAGAGTTATGGAAATAGAGTCTCTTAAATGTGGTAGATGTCAAAGTGTTTGACTATAGTAAATATCCAATAGATCATTCATTTCTATGTGTTTGTGCTTCTTATGTATTAGCTGATTTTTCCTTAGTTTACAGCAGCACTATTGCCTGCTGGGGAGGCCTTTTGCCCTTGAAGACACAGCTGAGAAGCTGCTCAGCAGAATGTTTAGGCGCCAGAGTGCCTGGGCTCAATTCCTTTTTCCAATTCTTTCTTTTCTTATGACCTTAGGCAAGCTGCTTATGCCCACTATGAAATGGTTGCCTTATCTTTACAATAAAAATAAATAATAGTATTTGCTTTACAGTGTTGTTAAAAGAATAAAATGAGTGAACATTCACCAGTGCTTAGAATAATGTCTGTCATGTGGTAGGTATCATGTAGGTTTCTTGTTAAATGAAATTGAAAGAAAATTGGAATGTTGTGCATACATATGGTGATGTCTCACGAAAGGAGAGAAGAATCAAAGAAGATACAGTGAAAGATCCCAGAGGCTAGGAGCCTATCAAATGGGAATAAACTAAACATTTAAGATCCTATAGGGCTCTAAGGAAATGTAGTTAAAAATCAGTAAAGTCACACTAGCTATACTGTTTTAAGTGATTATATTATCTTATTTAATCCTTAACAATCCCCAGAGATTGGTCCCATTTTTAGAGTTGAGAAAAAAGGAAATGCAGAAGTTAAGCCATTTTCCCCATATCATGCAACCCAAATCTGCCGTAAAGTCACACAGTTGGTCTGGTTCCAGAGCCCATGCTTGGAACCTGCCTCACTCTCTTGCCTCCGATTAAGCCATAGATAGGGTGACAGTGGAATTGTTTGCCAAATTCTGGAGTTCTTGAGCTGAAAGTTCCTGATGTGTGAGAAGGAAACAATCAGCCACAATGTTTAATGGACTTGTGAAACTTTATGCCAATGTAAATTGAGTGAAAGCAGTGTGATCAGAAGGGATACAAAGAAGATAAAATGAAAAGTCACAGAAATCAGTCTCTAGCCAGATAGGAATAAACTACTATTTCCATTTGTAGTCTTATTTGGGATTTCTCAGTTGCATCAAAATTGACAGTCCAAGGCCCAGTACCATATAAATAATATGTGAAAAGATGAGGAAGTATTTGCTTTCATTTGGGATGAAAATTGAAGTAGGAACTCCTATACTTCTATACTCTTAGAAAAGACTTTTACTTCCCATCAAAGTATACCATGGTACTTTCTCAGATTATGTGAAATTGTTTTAAAAATTCCATACAAGAGTAACTAAAAGTGGTAAACTAAAAGTGGTAATAATAAGCTGAAATAAGTTATACTTTTTATTAATGTAACAATCTGTTTTTCTGAGTAAGAACAATAGTAGAAAATATCTACATGTAGCTAGAGATAGGCAATAAATTCACTGCTATTTGGAACATTTAATATTTCACACTATGTTTAAAAATTGAAATACAAACATATATAGTAGAAAGTGAAAGTTAATACATATACATACCAATATATGTGTACAAATATATTTACATTTATTTATGTATTGGATTTTTGTTTCATTCCATGTTAGTACATGTAGACTGACGTGATTTTTTTTTTAACTTTATTTTAGGTTCAGGGGTACATGTGCAGGTTTGTTACATAGGTAAATTGTGTTTTGTAGGGGTTTGGTGTACAGATTATTTTGTCACCCAGGTGATAAGCATGGTACCGGATAGGTAGTTTTTCAGTCCTTACCCTCCTCCCACCCACTACCCTCAATGTAGGCCCTGGTGTTTGTTGTTTCCTTCTTTGTGTCCATATGAATTCAATGTTTAGCTCCCACTAACAAGTGACAACATCTGGTGTTTGGTTTCCTGTTCCTGTGTTAGTTTGCTTAGAATAATGGCCTCCAGCTTCATCCATGTTGTTGCAAAGGACACGATCTCTTTCTTTTGTGTGGCTGCATAGTATCTCATGGTGTATATGTACCACATTTTCTTTATCCAGTATACCAATGATAAGAATTTAGGTTGCTTCTGTGTCTTTGCTTTTGTGAATAGTGCTGTGATGAACACACACATGCATGTGTCTCTATGATAGAATAACGCCTATTCCTTTATGTATATACCCAGTCATGGGATTGCTGGGTTGAACGGTAATTCTGTTTTAAGTCCTTTGAGAAAAGCCAAACTGCTTTCCACAGTGGCTGAACTAATTTACTTTCCCACCAGTAGTGTGTAAGTGTTCCCTTCTCTCCACAACCTCACCAGTATCTGTTATTTTTTGACTTTTAAGTAATAGCCATTTTAACTGGTGTGAGATGATGTCTCATTGTGGTTTTGATCTGCATTTCTCTAACAACATGCCAATCAAATTTAAAATCAGTTATGCTACATAAATTTACCATAGTTAAGCTGCGACTGATGGGCATGTAGTTAGTTTACGATAATAGTTTTTCTCTATTAAAAACAATGCTATAGAGCATGTATGTGTCCATATATTTTTGAGCATTTTTTCTAGCATGTTTGTAGGAAGTTTCCTAGAAGAAGGATTATTGGTTCAGTCCTTCTAGGAAAAAGTTATTTGTCAAAATGTTAAATAATATTTTCAAATAGTTTTCCAGAAAGATTGTACCAATTTATTGTTCAATTAAGAGTGGGATTCTTGGCCAGGCATGGTGGCTCACACCTGTAATCCTAGCACTTTAGGAGGCCAAGATGAGTGGATCATGAGGTCAGGAGTTCAAGACCAGCCTGGCCAAGATGGTGAAACCCCGTCTCTACTAAAAATAAGAAAATTAGCCAGGCATGGTGGCAGGTGCCCGTAATCCCAGCTACTCAGGAGGCTGAGGCAGAGAATTGCTTGTACCCGGGAGGCGGAGGTTGCAGTGAGCTGACATCATGTCACTGCACTCCAGCCTGGGTGACAGAACAAGACTCTATCTCAAAAAAAAGAAAAAAAATCTTTTAAATTAATTTGAAATCTGTAAGTGAAAAAGCCATGTTATATAAATATAAATTTATTTCCTTATTGGTGATGTTATGTGTTTTTTCTTTCTTTCTTTCTTTTTTTTTTTGCCATTTCTATTTCTCCTGGAAATTGCCTTTTCATGCTCTTGCCCCATTTAAAAAAAAAAGGCGATTTCTCACTACCTATTGATTATGAAGTGCATTTCCACATCTTTAGTTCCCACTGACAGTATTGTAATCACACCTTGAGTGTTGGCAGTGAACAGTGATCAGATGTCTTCAGTGCAAAATGATTGAAACACCTAGGTACAAAAAGAGAGTTGTGTTTTTTTTTTTGTAAAAGGTTTTTTTCCACCTGTTTTTAAAGTACTGGTCCAGGGGGAAGCAGTCTTCTTTTTTAATTTTTATTTGTTTATTTATTTAGAGATGGAGTCTCACTCTGTTGCCCAGGCTGGAGTGCAGTGGCTCAATCTCGGCTCACTGCAACCTCGTGTGTTCAAGCGGTTCTCCTGCCTCAGCCTCCTGAGTAGCTGGGACTACAGGTGCCCACCACCACGCCCAGCTAATTTTTATTTTTTTAGTAGAGACAGGGCTTCACCATGTTGGCCAGGCTGGTCTCAAACTCCTGGCCTCAGGTGATCTGCCTGCCTCGGCCTCCCAAAGTACTGGGATTACAGGTGTGAGCCACTGCACCAGGTCCCCCAGTCTTCTTTTTTTTATAGAGCCAGTTAGAAAATACTTAGGTTTTGTGAGCCATGCAGTCTACATCACAGCAACTCAGCTCTGTCGTAGCATGAAAGCAGCCATGGATAAAACCTGAATAGTTGTGTTCCAATAAAACCTTATTTATGGACATTGAAATTCAAATTTCATATAAATTTCATTCGGCATGAAATTTTATTCATTTGATTTTTTTCCTCACAAACATTTGAAAAGGGGTACACGTGATATTTCATGTAAGTATACAATGTGTAATGGTCAAATCAGGGTAACTGGGATATCCATCACCTCAGGCATTCATTTCTTTCTATTAGGAACCCACTCTTTGAGTTACTTTGAAATATACAATACAGTATTTTTAACTATAGTCACCCTATTGTGCTATGGAACACTAGATATTATTCCTTCTCACTAACTGTATTTTTGTACTCATTTACCAGTACCTCTTTATCTCCTCCTTCCCCATGACTCTCTAGTAACTGTCATTCTACTCTCATAAATATGTACAGTTATTATGTATCCATAACAATTAAAAACAAAAATGAAAACAAAACATTCCTAAATCCCAAGCTGTACAAAAATAGGCAGTGGGCTGCGATTTGGCCTGTGGGCTATAGTTTGCCAACACCTGCTTCAGACCTTTTCTGTAAGAAACCACTGAGAAAAACTGTCAATAACCAATACCTTTAGGACTTGTAAGCCACTGAGGCTATGGGCAAGACTACATTTTGTTGTCTCATCTTTTGAACTTTTCACATCTGGACCTGAGTCTACAGAATTTGGCTTCATTTAAAAAAGTAAAACTCACTGTGAAATGTGGGGTTAATATATATTAATATGCCAAAAGCTAGAGATAATGGCATGTTTTATGTATAATGATCCCTCCATAAATACTAACTCTCACACTGTTTTGAATGGGTTTAGTTTGATGTAGTATATGATGTCTAAGGTCTCTGAATAAAGATATCCCAGCAAAGTGTGATTTTAGAGTTTTATGTAAAATTTCCATGGCATATATACATACTCATAAAACATAGGTAATTTCAAATACTTTCAGTTACTTTTACTAAAATACCATATTACTATTAGCATTTCTGTTTATTTCATCTCTTGTGGAAATTGTCATCTCAGTGACAAAGATTTTGGGGGTAGTTTGTGTCCCCTCTGTAGTCTCCGAACATCTGACCTCCATGACACTGTGAAGTAGTCAGTTTCAGTCCATGCTCTACCCCAACTTGAATGGGTGGAGGGATGAGTCTGCCTTTCATTTTTGTTATATGCAAAAGAAGAAGGTTAGATTAGTTGATCTCTAGATTGTCTTCTACCTCAAATATCCTGGTATTCCTATAGAACATGTAAATTTATGCATATGATTTTAGAGTGAACTGTACTAGTCTACATAGCAGAAATTATTACTGCTGTTT
The DNA here is from genome assembly GCF_000001405.40 of Homo sapiens. Classification (NCBI taxonomy): domain Eukaryota; kingdom Metazoa; phylum Chordata; class Mammalia; order Primates; family Hominidae; genus Homo; species Homo sapiens. The sequence goes on from NC_000003.12 coordinate 151,336,245, forward strand.
ATCCCAGCAGTGTATAGGTTATATACTATATGAACTGTCTCTGTATCTCCACTGACACTGAGTGCTCACTTTTAGTGGTGCCGGAGAAAGAAATGTGGCTGGTTGGAAATGAATACCACTTAGTAGTTAAATGAGTTCAGCTTCGTAATGAAATAGAACTCAGCAGAGGTTGTAGAGGGTTTCAATAAAAGTGATTATTATTAAAGTTCAGTGAACTTTATACAACAATACACCCTTTTATTTCTTCTGGCATTATATTTAGGTATTGATGTCTGTTCCTCCTTCTGTTTGAGAGTCACCTCTGAGGATCATAAAAAATTGAGATAAGTGATGTAAACTTCCACATGTGTTATATGTTTTGTTTATGTTAAAATAGCGAATATGCCTTGTGTAGAATTAGACTGCATGTTATAAGTCTGACCTGTTTTATCATTTACATTTGAACTTATTGAAATGAGAAGTCATCTTCAGAAGAGACTTTGCACAATAACATGTAATAAAGGTGTTGGCATTAATTCTTAAATGGATTTGATGTAGTTGTATATGGTATGGTGAGTCATGGTATCTAATATCTTTGAACAAAGAATTTACAACAAAGAATGATTTAGAGTTTAATGTAAATTTTGTATTTTATACACACCAATACAAACAAGTAATTACAAACAGATCAATCACTTTCCTCTCAGTAGTTATGCTGTGCAACTTTGTAATCATATTTAATTAATTTTTTTCACTAAGGTAAAATGTTCATTAACCTAATTAGCAGCTATTTTCTAGAAGCTAATTAATAAAGGTAAGTGTCAATGATGGTATTATTGAAGTTGTAAAAAATTAGTAAAACTAGTTTCTCTAGAATTAAGGAAATATTTCTATATTTTTTAGTATTAGAATGTCATAAAAGTAAGTCTCCTTATTTTAATGACTTCGATATTTCTTCTCTTTATTGTAAAGGTCTTCTTTAAATCTTTATCTTCTAAATAAACATAAAAAATTAAGTCCAATCAAATACAGTTTCAATTAGTTTAAATCCCTTAGGTTTTTGCTAATAATGAAAAGTTAATAGTTATTATTCTTTGTGTATCCCACTTACTTAAATTTTTATAAGTATCCCAATAGGTCAGGATTTGGTTAGGGGACTAGGATATATATACATTTTAACTATCATTTTTGGTAAGAAGATTATATCCAATTGATCGTTCTTCCTTAGTTGATTATGAAAAAATAAAATTGTGAACGATAATGTATTTTAAAAATTACAGTAAATATTATATGATTACTCATTTTGGCAAAACTCTGCAAAACATGAATTCTGTGTAGTTTTGCATGCAGCATGACAATTGGATGTCGTTTGTTTTGCTGCTAATACAGCTACAGTTTAGATTAGTTTTCTATATTTTAAGATAGCTTTTCATACTGGAAAGGTAAATGAAAATTGCTTTTGTAATCTTCTGTTTCTTTAGAGTCATTATTATTAACTTAGTTGCTTCTTCGTCAGTTAATATTTTTACTTAGCGCTTTGCTTTAACGAGTTCTGAACACAAAGAGATTGAAATATTTCCTTAGTTAATTTGTTTACATTGGAGTCTCTTCATTTGGGTCACCACCATCCTGTTCTTTTTTCCTATTGTCCTGGGACAGAGATGTTGCAGAATTGGGGCACTTCAGCATACTTATCAAGGAATTTCTGAAGGACTTGCAAAGGAAAAAATAGATGAACGGATCCAGGCATGCATTTAAGGAAGTTAACCACAGAGTGCTCTCTTTCACATAGAACAGAGTATTTTCAGCAGTGCAGTCAAAGACATCCCGGGTTTGGCTCAGGGTGTAAGGAATTCGGGCAAAATGGAAAGGAACAAAACAAATAAAGAATACAGCAATGATAATGAAAACTTTGACGTTCACCTTTTTCCTGGGGACTTTACCTACACCCCTCGTTCTTACGTATGACCGGTACAGTTCTTTTGTAATGAGTGTATAACATACAATAACAATTAAGAAATTAATCCAGAAAATGACTTGACAGATGTAATTTACTATTTCATGCCAGACTAGACCGAACTCTGATTTAAGGAAAGAGCATTTCTTCACATTCTTGTCTCTCGGCTGCCTGTTGGTCAGAATCATGTTAGGCAAAGAGAGTAAGAACATGAATGCCCAGATGACAACAGAGAGAATCTTAGCCCCCAAGAGATTTTTGGGGTTGGATGTTTTAAATGGCCTGGTGGTCTTCTGGTAGCGATCGATAGTTATCAGTCCCAGGAATGAAATACTGATATACATTGTGAAATAAAATATGACGGAGGTAACTTGACACACAAAAGTTCTCAGTGGTCCTGTTCCCAGTTTGGCATCACTAAGAATTTTGAATGGAAAAGTCAGAATCATGAGAAGATCAGAAATGACTGTGTTCTTAAGAAAAATAATAAAGTTTGATTTACTCCGGATTTGAAAGAAAATCCTCATCGCCAGGCCATTTGTGATAAGTCCAACAAAAAACAGGACAGTGTAGAGCAGTGGGAAGAGGACCTGGGTGATTTTGTAGTCTCTGGTGCACAGACTGGTGTTACCAGGCGCAGAGGTGAGGTTGTCGACGGCTTGCATTTCTTGTTGGTTACCTAGAGAACAAAAGAGAGGATGGTTATTTTCAGCCTAAGGTAGTTATTATTGCTGTTATCTCTGTGTGTAACTTTTTTGGACACAGCCTCCTCTAAAAGTTGAGGTTTCTCATCTTCATTGTAGTAGTTAGTATGAACACAGAAAACTGAATCCCAAAATATTTCATTGCAGCAAATATTGCATCTCTGCTGAAGAGAAATGATCTGAAGTACAATATGTGAAGTTATAGATGCTTAGTATTTTTTTATTTGTTGAATGTTTGCCTCTTAAAGCACATTTTGTCTTAGAGCTCACTCATATTTATATGCAAAAGCTGGAAGAGAAATAATGGGGCTGTGCTTTACTCTTCTCTAGCTTCCCCTCCATGCCTTTTAGCTTTTTGGTTTCTATTCACAGTCACTTTTCCCCCCAACGTCCTTATTTCTGAGCTTCTTTTACTGTAGTACCGTCAAAACAGTTGAGAGAGAAATGATGGATAATTGCCTGTTAGAATCCTAAAGTAATAAAAAGGGGGAAGAAATTGATGGAAAATTACTCTTGGGAAACTTATTAAATAAAATACTGAATCAGTAAAAAAAAAAAAAGCTGACCTTTTTTCTTTATATTTGGAAGATATTCCTGCCTCTATATTGCTCACTCATTCAAAGATTGGCCTCACGGAGATTCATTATTCTGCTTCAAATATTTTAACCCATGTGTATCTTATTTCCAACTTTCCTCAGTGTTTTGAAGTTGCTGCATACATTTTCTTGAATATCATTCAGTATAAATTTTAAAACAGTAAAAAAAAAAATAAGAGTCAGAAATGGCCTGTGTATATATGGTCATGAGTTGGCATTCCTCAAAACAGGGCATACTTTCCAGATTTATGGAGTGTGTAATGGTAGCTAAAATAAAATATAGGTTATTACCACAATAGGCAGCTATAATGAAAACTTAACAAGTGACTTGAATATGCTATATGGCATCTACATCTTGGGAATTTGAAATGACGTTTGTAATCTTTTTATTTCACCAGAGATAAGTGAAATTGATTCTATATAAAATATTCTTAATAATCAGAGATATATTGAAAGTACAAATAACAAATTTTAAAAAATAACTTTCGTGTAAAAGATATTTAGATAAATGAATGTAGCACTTAAATTCCCCAAAATGTCCATGGAATTCCTTTCTGTCCTTAATTATGGAAGGAAAACGATTAAGAATCATGTTGTCACAGTATGGCTTCAATTTTCAGCATCTCCTCACCTATTTAGCGCTTTAAAATAATGCTAAACAAAACCTAATGTTTTCCAATACAAGATCACTGATTTTAACCTTTCCTGCTACTGCTGTGTGGTCTTAGTTCATCCCTGACCGTTTTGGAAATTCGACTTAGTGAATATACATTTTGTGTAGTCTGTAAGATATTTAACAAGTATTCTTGACATTGAGAATTTCAGCTCCCTTTATCTGTATTTAAATCTCATTTTATACTTGAGGCAAAGTAACTAAGACCATTTATATTTTATTTCTATGCTTTGTATAATTTTTCTTAATAAAGAGGCTAATTAACAATTGTCTCTGACATCACTAATTAGACTTCTATTTTAATTATAATTTTTATTCCAAATACATGCTTGCATTGATAGTTATTAAGGTTTACAATTTTAAGAGAAACTTGGAAAAAATGTACACACATATCAGAGTGTAAATACATATATTTGTCAAGTACTTGTAGAAATAACATTACCTGATAACTGTTGATTCTGGAGGGTTTGAATGTATCCAGTAAGTAGTAGTTATTGCAACCTGCAGAGTGGCATCTGGTATTTTCCTTTTAATGTCTTAGTTTAGTTGCCAAACCTCTTTGTGATAGAGGATTTCCTGAGTTTTCGTCAGTAAAGTCTTGAGTGCTCTAGAGAGAAATAGAAGGAGAGAAAAAGAGGGCTTCACAATCAGAGATTGTCTTCAAACACTGGACTCAAAGCTATGCAGACACTGAATTTCTATCTGTCCTCTTTTAGGACTTCTGCTTTTATTTCCCAGGAAATGTGGGATGAGGATGGCTGAGAAGTCATCTTTTAAAAAGCAATTTAAAATCTTGCGGCTTTTTACTGAAACCTGCTATAGAGTTGATGATTTATAACTTCGAGTTATGGTTATTTTCTATGCAAATGATAAATCCAAGTTGAGATCAAGCCTTCGAAGTCTGCTTCCTGGAGAAGATTTTAAGCTTGCTTTCTTGGGTGGTTAATTTATCTGAAATATATTGTGTACAACACTGGGTGATGTATTTTCTTCTAACAAGTAATTATGTTAACTCAAAATGCGTGCTGGCTAGGGATGTTAAGTCTCTGGCCCTTTGTTTTTCCCTTGGTTAATAATGTCATTATTTTAAACCTGTGTTTGATTAACTCCTTTGTAGGTGAAACAGCTTCCTTCTATTATAAATTAGCAGATTCCAAAATTACATTAGAGAAGTGATTGTATCCATTGCCAGGCTTATTATATACTGTGTCGTTCATGCTTTTCTTGAATAGAATTTAAATATAAACAATTTTTTTTTGTTTCTTTACCTAACTTTGAGTTTTTGGGAAAATATAACATTAAATTAAGGCATCCTTGTATCACAATTATTTACAGTTGTTTAACTTTGAAACCAGAAGGGCAAAAAATATGTTAGGGGTGAGATTGAAGGGCAAAGTGTTTTGCTGCTTTAACTTTTTTTTTTTAATTTTATTATTATTATACGTTAAGTTTTAGGGTACATGTGCACAATGTGCAGGTTAGTTACATATGTATACATGTGCCATGCTGGTGTGCTACACCCATTAACTCGTCATTTAGCATTAGGTATATCTCCTAAAGCTATCCCTCCCCCATCCCCCCACCCCACAACAGTCCCCAGAGTGTAGTGTTTCCCTTCCTGTGTCCATGTGTTCTCATTGTTCAGTTCCCACCTATGAGTGAGAATATGTGGTGTTTGGTTTTTTGTTCTTGCGATAGTTTACTGAGAATGATGATTTCTAATTTCATCCATGTCCCTACAAAGGACATGAACTCATCATTTTTTATGGCTGCATAGTATTCCATGGTGTATATGTGCCACATTTTCTTAATCCAGTCTATCATTGTTGGACTTTTGGGTTGGTTCCAAGTCTTTGCTATTATGAATAGTGCCGCAATAAACATACGTGTGCATGTGTCTTTATAGCAGCATGACTTATAATCCTTTGGGTATATACCCAGTAATGGGATGGCTGGGTTAAATGGTATTTCTAGTTCTAGATCACTGAGGAATCACCACACTGACTTCCACAATGGTTGAACTAGTTTATAGTCCCACCAACAGTGTAAAAGTGTTCCTATTTCTCCACATCCTCTCCAACACCTGTGCTGCTTTAACTTTATGTAAATATTGCTTTGCAGAAACACACCTCCCTGGTGTCTCAAACTGCAGTGTCCTTCTGTTATCAGTGGGAATCATTTGTGTTGGTGCCTTTGCTGTGAACACGTTTTGGTTTTTTCTTCTGCGTTTTGAGTATTTGTCTATGTCTTTACATGTTAAATATCTTCATTGGTTTTCACAGTGCAGAGCAGCAGCTCTGCATCACTTGGGAACTTGCTAGAAATGCACATTTTTGGGCACCAATCTAGCTGAGTGAATAAAAAACTCTGGGGTGCCCCACCCTGCATCTGTATTTTAGTGAGCCTTCCATTGATGCTTGGTACACTCAAATGTGAGGACCACTGATTTAAATGGAATAAGAATTTTGTTGCCATTTAGAACTTGAAGCTATTAATATCAGTCACTTCAGACACATAATAATCCCCAAATGTTGGTCATCTTAAAGGGATTAGTTTGATATTAAACTCTTGGAAAGGGTTGTATTGTTATTTTTAAATATGACTATTGTAAACAAATCTTAGCCTTCCTTATTTGTTGGAGTCTCAAAATTTTAAAAAGAGCTTTTATGCTGTATGTACTTCAAATAATAATTGTCAATATTTAATTTCTTACACTGTCATGGATTAACTCACTTTATTAATAATCTCAACTATTCTCTGAAGTACGCGTATCATCCTCATTCTCTGGATGAGGGGAACTGAAGAGCAGAGCAGTGAAGTTAGATGGAGACCCCATTCTGACCTGTGCTGTCTAGTTAGCCTTAGAATCTGTATTTGTGTATTTCTGTACCTGAGAATCTTTCCCTATCACACCCTCTCCTCAACCCCTCTCCCACTAAGAGGCCCCAGTAGTGAGAAGTGAATCTCGTGTGGGATGGTTGTACGTCTTTCAATAAAATAAGGACCATACTCTCCTTTACAGCAAATTGTAAATGCTAAAGGATGTTTATGATGCTTTTTCTAAGACCATCAAATGAAACAAGGCTTATTCAAGAAAATGATTATTTTTAACAAATCAATCTGCCATATTACTAATTCAGAATACTTAAGTCATACTACCTTATTGAGAATTTATATTTCTAAACCTCTAGAAGGGCTAACAGTAGAGATTTGAGGGATAAAAGAAGGGCTTCAGTTCTTGATCTAAATTAACTTTATTTTTCCTCTGATTTTTAACTCACAACCACATACCTATTTACAAACCACCTCTGATAACATTTTTTCATTGGAGGAAGACTGCCAGTTAGACCACTTAATGCTGAAAGTGACTAAAATCTTTAAGTGAAAAGTATCTCAGTTACAGAAGTATATTTTCATATGAATAGAAGCAGAGCAAGTTATAGATACTTTAATCTCTCATTAGTAAATAACATCAACACATACAGTTTGTAGTTATTTGTGTTAGTGTTGGGAACAGAGCTAACTTTGGTTGGTTTGGTTATTTTGTATAATTGAGATGAGTTAGAAAAATGAACAGAATTTTTACTTTTAAGTGGCTTAACTGGTTTGTTTATTTTACCAAGTCTACTAAAGGTAGTCTGCTCATCTGAAAATGTTTGCTTCAAATGGGATTACTCTGAAACCTGTAGTCTTTTGGAACTGGGCAGGAGGATAGAGATATAATTATGACATTTGATAGCTCTTAGGCTGTTTTAGTTCCAGTGGTCTCTGGTTCTAAATGTGGTCATTTTGACATTAATATTTTGTTTGAGGGTGTGTATTTTAAAGCAGTGCATAGTCATGTCTGCTAGCTTGGCTTTATCCATTGGAATATAGAAATTTAGGTTAGATACCAACAGGTTCCAAAAGTAACGAGTCTTGGGCATTGAAATATTTCGCAAAAATGAATGCCGTCTTTTGTGACCTAGTTATCTGACATCCCAGTCTTAAGTGTTCTGCTTGCAAGAAGAGGACTAGTAGATATATAAATATCAGTCATACTGTGGACTATAAGCTGTGTAGAACAAAGATTTAATATACAAATGTAGTTAAATCCGCCTCCTATTTTCTTGATTTACAGAAAATATACTCTATGTATAGTTACTAATGATTAAAAAAAAACCTGTTAATTTCTTCATTCCTGTAACAGTTTCCTCATCCATGTGCACACCCATTCTTCCTCCCAGGCTCGAAGCTTATTCCTGATGGAACATTTATATGAACTTGTTTTATTCTAAACAAAATAGCATGGTATATTGAAAGATACAGCTGAAAGAAATAGTGTTTTAAGGCATCTTTTAAGAGTTATTTAATAAGCTAAAAATTTTAACTAAATGCATTTATTGTTTCTAAAGACTGGTTTTTACTGCTTTTCTTAGAGACGTGATAGGTTGCTATGTGCAGTTTACTTCCGGATATATACTGGATTTGCATTTGAAGTAGAGCATGCAAAAATTAGGAAGTACTGGGAAGTATGAAGTGCCATATTTTGTCTTATCAGAAGGACAATTACATCCACTTCATCTGTTTTTATTAGTGTTTGGAAGAAAGGAAGCGCATTCTGAGTGAGATCTTTTTCATTTTTCCTTAAGGACATTAGTAATTTAAAAATTCTATGATAATTGAATCATTGTTGAAATATCAGAAAATGTGAGTAAGGTGAAAGGATAATACACAGCTCTGATCATCTTACCATCATTATGACATCTTTGTCAACACATACACATTTTGGCAAAATTTCTAATCAGTTATTTTAAAGAAATAAAGATGAATTAGAGCAGACCTCAATTCCTTTAACTCCATTTCTTCTTTCTAAGGACATTTGGCTCAAGAGACATATTTTAATTCGTGTAGTACAACAAGCCTGCCAGGGTTTTGGGCATGCATGTTTCTAGTTTCTTCATCTATTAAGTTTCTGTGAGTATGAGATAATATCTGGAGAAAGAAAGTAATTGATCTAAAGGACGAGATTTTTAGAACTTAGTTTACATGGGAGATGACACATTCAATTCAATAGCAGCAGGTGGACTAGGATAAAAGAGGTAGCCTGACGTCTCCTGTAACAGACTCTCCAGTTGATGCTTTTCCTTGTCCAACAACTGTATCCTTGAGGGAATAAACAAGAGTAATTTTTGGGTGTTTATCTCAGATTATTAATATTACTTACAACTGTGCAACTTGAGGGCGTTTAAACACCAAGTTGAAAGAGCAGAAATCGTTGATACTTTTGAAAATATTTGGTATATTTTCTTAGGTTGACTTTATTCTCATTTGTTATGAATTGCTATTTGAAGGCTTCTACGTTTTCTTTCTTTTTTCTTTTTCTTTTTTTTTTTTTTTTTGAGACCAAGTTTTGCTCTTGTCACCCAGGCTGGAGTGCAATGGCACCATCTCGGCTCACTGCAACCTCTGCCTCCCAGGTTCAAGCAATTTTCCTGCCTCAGCCTCCCGAGTAGCTGAAATTATAGGCACCTGCCACCACGCCTGGCTAGTTTTTGTATTTTTAGTAGAGATGGAGTTTTCCCATGTTGGCCAGGCTGGTCTCGAACTCATGACCTCAGGTGATCCTCCACCTCAGCCTCCCAAAGTGCTGGGATTATAGATGTGAGCCACCATGCCCAGCCTACATTTTCTACTTGTATGAAAAACTGATGTAAACAAATCTTGTAGGCTCTTGAAAAATAGTAGCTTCTAAAATGCCTCTGCCTGTCCTATTTGAAGACTACTGTAGTAACACCTAGCATGAGTTCCCTGAAAATATTAATGCTAAGAAAGGAATACTGTCTTTACACCCCTTATAGAGGTTGAGCAGTGATTCTTTTCCAGCTCACTACGTGCTGCTTTTGCTTTCAGTTTTATCCCTGCATTCTCAACTCATGACTTTGTTCCTTGGCCCAACTCCCTGAGCATATCAAGGCCAAGGAATGATTTGAGCTTCTTAAGTGTCTTCTTCACCTCAAAATGTCTTTTTATTTTCACTAATTTTCTTTTTTTCCCGATGGTCAAGTAGAAAGATGTTCCTTTCTTTCTTTCCATATTAATCCAGCTAAGAGGCCATTGTCTCTTATATCCTTTATCATCAGTTATCTGTTCCCCAATCTTGATTTCTACTATGGAAATTTGTTTATTTGAAAGATAGGTCTGAAACAAGAGTCTTTTGATGATCTTCATAACGCTCTTTCCTCTCAAGCTGTTGTTCTTCATGCCCAACTCCTGGTAAATGTGGGTCACTTCCCTATCTTCACCATTTCATCATCACCTCTTACTTTAACCGCTTGTTTCTTAGCTTTGTGCCCTGCCACTTAGAGAAACTTCTTCTCCTTTGAGGTTCACACATGGTTTGTCAGTAAACAAGAAGTCACATCCATTGTGACTTCTTAACCTCACTGGACGTTGTCAGTGACACTCTTTCTTATGTATCCCCTCCCCTGACTTGTGTGACCCTGAATTATAGTATCTTGTTAATTAAGGAGCATGTATGTGCACCATTTGCTGGCTTATTTCTCCCCTCACCATCTCAGCTCTCTTAGCCCTTCTTCCCTAAACATAATGTGAAGGTTTTGCACCCCTCCCAGGACTTGACATACTGCCCTTATTCCTGAGCTGTCACCTCTGTGTTAGGGCCCATATCAAACCAATTACTGGACATTTACACATTTCTACCTACCCTTCAAATTCCTTGCAATTACATGTAAATTCAAAAGTTCCCTGCTGTTATAATGTATTAATTTTTTATACATTGTAAATAGATTAATAATAATTACTTGGTAATATAAACAATACTATTTATTAGTATACATTATAAATAATTTTAACTAGTGGATACATCTTGAAGTCCAGTGAGATGCACATTTACTCCTTGGGTTCAAAAGCCTGATCCTTTCCTAACTTCTTAGATACCTCTTCATTTTGCTTCTTAGTCTTCATTCCCACCACTAAAACTTAGTTCACCCTACAAACTTTTTTACTCTAGCTTTGTCTCTCACATCTCCCCTTCATTTTTCTCAACACTTAATCATCAGGTAAAGTTTCCTACAAAACTAATTTTTCTCCTTATCTTCACCTCTGCCCTATTCCTTTAGCTATATATTTGTTCATTAGTCTGCTTATTTTGTATTTAGTATGTTCAACAAATATTAGATGCTAATTCATTGCCTATTAAGGAGATTATAAAAATGAACAAAACAGACATGGAGTCTTCCACAAAATTTACACACTAATGAGGAAGACAGACATTAAACAAATACCTAGAAAATAAGTGAATTATACTGTAATAAATGCTCCAAAGTCTACTTCCCCTCCTTCTGTGGGGAGGTTTTCAATAAACTGGAGTGACAGAGTGAGGGAACTGACACTGTATTTGTACATAGCATTTCAGCAAGTGAAATCGTGGCTATGAGAGTATTTTAGGTGTAAGGACGAGCAACAGCAAAGGGAGGAAGTGCCCTGGAGTCTTGGTGAAATGTTGAGTAAGGCAGTTCGGTGTGGGTGTGGGGGATGTGCAGAGGAGGAGGGGAAGTCTAGCATGTGAATTAACAGTAGTGAACACTGTCCATTATACTTCGAAGCATTTTACACGCTTTATCCCAGGTTTTCTCACAAAAACCTTACAAGGAAGCGATGTTACCCCATTTTTCAGAGGAAGAATTAGAGGTTTAGAAAGGTTTATTATTCGAGATCATGGACTTGGCAAGTGGCACAACCAGTATGCAGTCACAGCTCTCTTACCCCAAGCTTGGGCTATTATCAGTAAATTTGGAGCCATAGTGATCCTGTGCGATGTGAGGAGCACGTGGCTCTTTCTAGGATGCTTTCCTTCACCACCCCTCTTTGGACTTCTAGGTCTGTAAATACTACTTTGATGACATTGAATCTGTGCTCCTTGAAGACAGGAATCATTCATCCTTGTATTTTTTCAGGGCTCCTAGCATTTTGTCTTGCCTCAAATAGATATTCTATAAACAGTTACTGAATAACTATGCTACAGTCATCAGCCTTCACATGGACATTTACATTAGGACCATCTGATATGCCTTAACTGAAAACAATTGCCAAAGCATGTGACTGGCACTGCCTTCATTTTTCATAATTTTATTAGTGCCCCCCTGTTTCCTTCCTAGGGTTCATATGTACACAAACCACCAGACCAAAAAAAAAAAAAAAAAAAAAAAGAAAAAAGAAATATATCAGTAATTCTCTGTAGCAACAACGAAAATGGGAAATTAGCAAGCAGCTCAGCTCATTCAGATGCGCAGCCAGCTCTAGGGATCACTGCTTATGTCATTTGTATCCTATGATTAGGAATATCTTTTGAAAATTTGGGAGAGGTACTCAGGATATTAAATAAGAACAGCTTCTAAGAGAAACTCGCTCCTAGCTTCTTTTTTTTTTTTTTGGAGGCAAATTTGAACACCTGAAACATTAAGAATCATTTGGGGGTGGGGAATAGATAGATTGGCAGGGCATATAAATGTTTATTTCTTGTAATGTATAATAAAAAAGGAACCAGTGCAATGGGAAGCAGTGGCAAGTGTGTCCCTGAGAAAGACAGACCGACACAAAGACTGAGAGCCAAGTAACAGAATTGGAGAGAGAAAAACAGGCGCTTAGTTTAACGCTACAGAAGCAATATGCTACTTTGTGCAGAGTACACATGTGAAGTACTCCAGGTCAAACATTGGACTTCTCCTAGTCTGAGGTTTTTGTTCTTTGTTGCTGCCACTGCTAATTAGGAACACAGTGCAGTTTGTTTTCTCTGTGAGGAATTCTTTTCTCATATAAGCTCCTTAGGATAAGATGGATGCTGTTGGGAAGGGTAAGTGCTTGCCATGGGCAAAAATATACATAGAGTAAGAAAAGGAGGTTTACCAAAGGATAGATTTGGACATTTTCTAAGAAAATGGAAGATTATAAGATCCAAGAGAGAAATTGCTATAGAAAGATTCAGAGCCAGGCACAAGAGAGGGCACATCTTGGACTCTGTTACTTTGGCTGAGGAATGTGTTCAGTGGTGTGCATATGCTTTCGTTATGCTGTGACTAAATTTCTTTCCCACGTGGGGAAAAAAATGGTGCTTGGATTCACTGTGCCTATGGGGTGGTGGTGGAGAGGTGGTCCAGAAGGGAAGAGTGGTGATGTCAGAACATGTTTGCATTTTCAGCTGTTTGCCTCACACCTAATGACACCTACACGCTTTATTGTTTTGTCTTTTGGAAATAAATATACATGTATCTCACACAGTCATGTTGGAAATAAATGGAATATATATAGTTTTGTAGAGATGAAGTCTTGCTCTTTTCCAGGCTGGTCTTGAGCTCCTGTCCTCAAGAGATCCTCCCACCTTGGCCTCCCAAAGCACTGGGATTACAGACAGGAGCCACTGCACCCTGTCCAGGAATATTTTTTATAAAGGTGTTTGAGGATCCTAGCAAGATATTTTTCCCTAAATGTAAATATTTACTATTGCTATATATAAAACCAGGCTTATGAAGAGATAACATTTTCCTTAAGGGAAAAATATGACTAGACAATATGTTACATGATGTGAAATTAATACCATGTTCAATTTTAAACAATGAAAAGTTTTTCAATAGCCAAAACTTACTTTGTAGGGTACGCCCACATCAAGTGCTTCTATTAAGACTTCAGGTCAGTTGACACTTTTTTTTTTTTTTTTATAATGTTAGCAAGTTCCAAACTGGAAAAACAAGGGTGTTGCCAGTGGAGGTTGAGGTGAATTGAAGGGAGGGCGGGATGCCACCACCGCAAGCCAGCATGGAGGTGCTGTGGTCAGTGCATTTCAGGGATATGAAATGCAACCCCACCCCTGCAGACAAGAGTTTCAGAATGCATTTTCTGTTTTTCAGGATGAATCTTCAAGTCATGAATGTAACCAGCGCACAATCCTTCTCTATGGAGTCGGCAAAGAGCGTGATGAAGCAAGGCATCAGCTGAAGAAGATTACCAAAGATATCCTGAAAATTCTAAATAAGAAGAGCACCACAGAGACAGGGGGTAAAGAACCTTAATGCATTTGCTCCCATTGTGTTGCCTTTTGCCTTCCCTCTGAGCACAGTCTTTATCAAAGTGTTCTATGTCACTGTCAACAGAGCGTTTCCCCTCCTGAATGACTCTCACATTGAAATGTGAACAAGCACATTTAAATTTTAAAGCCTTGTTTCCATTTATAGCAACCCTTGTATTAAAATATTAATACAAGGTATTAATATTAAATATTATTTTATTAAAATATTGTATTCCATAGGTAGGTGTAGGTAATTTATTCTGATTTTTGGTATACTTCTCAAATTTTCTATAGTAGTAATAAATGAAGTACTGAAGAATGAGTTGAAAACCTTTAGTCTGGAAGAGATCCATTTCTCTGTTTCTTTACCATAATTTTCCAAGCTTGTGGTTAGTTTTTTTTCTGGGGCACTCACATTTGCATGTTAATTGAAAATCATGACAGCATATTTGCTCACCTTTTCTTGCATTATTGAGAAAAATGATTGCAGTAGGTAGTGATGGCTACCTATATCTCCAAATGATTTCAAATAAAAGAATTTGATCTTTGCTCTATAATGTCTTCTTTAGTTGAAATGCTCTTTCCTCATCCTTTTGACATAGTTTTTACAGTGAAGCTGTGCCTTTATGTTGTATCACCACATTGCATAATTGGAATTTTGTAATTATCCACTTCACGTTTGCCTAATTATTCTTTTCAAGGTTTGTTTATTTCATTAGGCAATCAAATTATTTTAAATATATAATTAGGTATCCTGCTACCACCACTGGTGTTTATTTCTCTAATACTTAAATCATAGAAGGAAAAAGAAAGTTTGTGTTTACTCTATGTAAACAACATTCTTCCTGCACGTGGTATAAACCACCTCTAGGAGCCCTACTGTTCTGTAGTACATATACTTTTTTATGGACTCTTCACAGGAGATCCAGTTCCTAGACTTTAGCAGGATAAATTGCTAGAATTTGTCCACCCTAGATCTTTACTAGAGAAAAATACAGATCTTAATAATGAAGATAGGTTCTCTTTCTTCCCGGTCAATCATGGTGCACATGCAGAAACATGGTACAAGAGGCAGTGTGTTTCTATCTGCATATGGCATTCTGGGTATCTGATGTCAGAGGTGATAGTCCTCAGAACACAGTGGGAAAGTTATCCTTCCTGTTATTCACATCACCTTCCCTAACTCCCTTCCATTCCCAGTTAAGGGCTTTGAAATACCTCAGCTCTCTGAGGAAGCAACCAAGAGTTGTGGAAGGGAAATGAAACCTTCTTGTTGATGTGTCATTATTGAGTTTGAAAAAAGAAAGTGCTCTGTCTAAGAAAACTGTTTATCTGTTGTTTTGGTGTTTTCTCTGTCTTAGAGAAAAGAGGAAACAGTTGCATTTAGAAGATTGAATTTAGAAGCCCTGAAACTAGCTAGCAAAGAATATTTAAAACTACTTTTGGTATACTTGGCAATGGGGTAGGGGGGAGTCAGTATTTCCTTCAGGAGGTTCGTAATACATATTTTATCTAAATTATTTTTAGAGGGTCTTTCCAGAGCCTATGGAACTTTTTAGAAGGCTTGAGGGGTATGGGAAGGGGAAGGAAGCAATGTGGTATCCTTTTCTGTTGAGCGTACTAACTTCCTTCACAGCTTTTTAATGCCACACTATAGTTTGTCCTGTCTTTGTAGCAGTCCCTCAAATAGGCAATTCTAGCATATGAACTCACAAAGCGAAAAACATTGTTGTTCTGTGCTGCCTTTTGAGAAACAGGTGAGGTATTCCTTATACGAAGTGCTTGGGACCAGAAGGGTTTTGGATTTTGGATAGTTTCACATTTTTGAATATTTGCATATATAATGAGAAATCTTGGGGATGAGACCCAAGTCTAAACATGAAACTCATTTATGTTTCATATACACTTTATATACATACCCTGAAGGTAATTTTATTTTTCTCTTGGGGATGCTTAATAAACTGTGTTGTGTGTCTACATTTTGACTGTGACCTGTTATGTGAGATCAAGTGTGGAATTTTCTACTTGTGACATTATGTCTGCACTCAAAGTTTCATATTTTGGAGAATTTCAGATTTTGGATTCTCAGAATAGGGATCCTCAACCTTTTTCAGTAAATAGAAACATCATCTGTGGAACCACATCGTTGGGAGGGGATTTTTGACTTTCTTTCATTTTAGATAAAGTTCCTTAACCAGAAAGCTGTTAATTTGGGATGTAGTGAGCTGCTGTATTGTAAATAATCTTAATTTTAAGTCACTAGTTAAAACTTAGTGTAAGCACCAGAAATTAGCTAACTGTACTTCATATTAATGGAAATATGCCCACTTTTTTCAGCAACATGAGTACTGGTAAGGAAAACAGACCTTGTGTTAGCATGTATTTGATTTCTGGGAACACATGAAAATAATATTTTGAGGAACCAACTCATTTAGGAGTGTTGTCAGATCAGCCAGGTCTTGCCTAGGGGAATTTATAGTATAAAGTTTAAATAACATTTCCAGTTGAATGATCAAAGTTCATTTTTCATTTGCCTTGACCAGTTATCTTTTTTGGTTGTCAATGGTGTATCTTTTGAAAATATTAGTGAAGTTTACTATGACAACCTTTAAGAGGCTAAAGTTTCAGGACTTAAAGATTTTTAAAAAAGAAAATCAAAATTAAGCAACAAAAGAGCAATAATATGTTATAAAAGCAAATTAACATAAGAAAGATGAGGAAAAATATATATTGACTATAATGTTACTCATGTAAATATCATTAAAATAAAGTATTTCGTTGAGAATCACCACTGATTTCTTACATTTTGCTGTTAAAATGAGTATAAATTGCTAAGAACCAATTACATTCTTTTACATGAAGTTTTAAGAAGTTAGTGATACATAGATAAATGGAGTCCATTAACACAAACAAATAAAAAGGTGCACTTGGGAGTTTTTAGTAGGATCTACTTCTTTAAGTCTGTTGTTATTATTTGTTTTGTCCCAGGAAGAACTGAATCAATGCATTAATTTCACTTTTAAGGCATTTTGTGCACAAGACTATTGATGTTAGCTCTTCAGCCTTGGATCAAAGATGTTAGTAAATGAAAAATTCAAAACTTGGTTATTTTAAACATGCTCATGACATGTGAGCAGCTACAGTGAAGGCAAAATTTCATACATAATTTGTACTTTTGAGAATAGACATTGAAAAAATAAGCAGGTTTAATGAATTTGTTAGTTCCTAATCTTTGCATTATATTTGGTGTTACTGGCCAAAAGTGGCACAAGCTTGTAACTTATGTTACCCCAGCACCTTTAAATTCTGATGTACTCTAGCATCAAGGTTTCTTTGTTAGGGAATTAGAAAAGAACCAGCCTTGTGGTGTTTTGTTTTATTTTGTTTTTGACTGTAACCACTAATTGCTTATTGTTGAAAGAGAAGTCTCTTTTATTTTCATGTTATTGTTTAAGACCATTACATTTGCCATTAGCAAAATATTTTTGAGTTCAGTGAAATCTTGTTCATTTCTTGTGTCTTTAATAGAGAAATCTGTAAAGTAACCTTTGTTCTCTGAAATTAAACTTTCCTAAAGAAGACGACAGTGTGAGGAGTAGAACTCTTGTCTTGGTAGCCTTTAACTACTTAGAATCACAGTGCTGGCCGGGCGCGGTGGCTCACGCCTGTAATCCCAGCACTTTGGGAGGCCGAGGCGGGCGGATCACGAGGTCAGGAGATCGAGACCATCCCGGCTAACACGGTGAAACCCCGTCTCTACTAAAAATACAAAAAATTAGCCGGGCGTAGTGGCGGGCGCCTGTAGTCCCAGCTACTTGGGAGGCTGAGGCAGGAGAATGGCGTGAACCCGGGAGGCGGAGCTTGCAGTGAGCCGAGATCCCGCCACTGCACTCCAGCCTGGGCGACAGAGCGAGACTCCGTCTCAAAAAAAAAAAAAAAAAAAAAAAAGAATCACAGTGCTAGAAATGACATTATCAATCATATATCCAACTTTTCCTTTTTGTTTTTAGATTTGTCTTTGTAAACATAAAATATTAAAGTATTTAAAAGCAGGATTGAAGCTAGCTTTGGATTTTATTGTTAGAACAGTTAAGAAGAGTACCCCTAGAATAAGCAATGCTTATTTTTTTTAATTGGAATTTTCTTCAAACCTCTTTATGCTAATTTGATAAACATGTCACTTCTTCATTAATGTGGAATGATTTAATTTTTTGCCACTATTAAAAAAGGAATCATGTAATTTCTTTTTTAAAAAATATATTAAACTGTGTCAGAAAAGTAACAAGATGAGTCTCCAAAGAAGATGCCAAGCAAGTGTTTGATTAAGTCAAAGTGAGCCCAGGAGATCTCCCCACCTTCATTGTGGATATCATTGTAATTTAAAAGTTGTTTAGTGAGAAATGTTTATAAAGGCACTTTTTATGATAGCTAAAATCTGGAAACTACTCACTAGAATGGTTAAGTAAATGGTGGTACAGTAACACATTGGAATACTGTAAATAAGTGAGAATTATTAGTTTTTAGAACACATTAAAATTACCTCAGCAACATGAATCAATCTTAAAAGCATACTGTTGATTGCAAGATGCCAGATGTGGAAAGCATATACTATATGATTTCCTTTATATATAAAGTTCCAGTGTAGGCAATAGCAATCTAAGTTGTTAGGTGTCAGGATTTTGATCTCCTAGGGAGGGAGACATGCCTAGAGAGGCCTGAGGGAGTTTCTGAGATTCCATTCTGTTACTTTGCATTCAAGTCTTATTGTGTATTTATTTTATTGAAATTCATAGAATTTGTGCACTTTTCTGTATGTATGCTATACTTTAAAAAAAAGTATCCATTAAAAATGTCGAGAGCTTCTATTAAATGGAAAATAATGGATCTGCTTTATGTTTATGTAGTTGGGGACGAAGGACAAAAAGCCAGGAAGAACAAACAGGAGACATTTCCAACACTGGAGACTGTGTTCACTAAACTCCAGCTCCTTTCATATTTTGATCAACATCAAGTGACATCTCAGGTAGCTATTTAAAGCTGTTTATTATGCATTTGCAGTATTCTAATTTACTTAAAAATTTTTTTCATGCAGTATATTTTCTCAACCTTAATGGTTTTAGACATATATTTTATAAACATACTTGGAAGTATCTCAGACTATTGAGTAGTTCTTTTAAGTGTCAGGTTGCCTTCCTCGAAGGATTAATTTTTATTATGTACTTTTTTTGTCCTTATGATAATAATCGGTGACATATAAAGTAATAGCTAATGAAATAGTTAGGTTATTAGAGTTTGGTCCTATATTGCAATTGATGAGAAATCTGTTGATGATTGAAATAAAATACTACGACATTGAGAAGAAAACACATCTGTTTTGCTTTACAAATCCATTGATATTCAAATGGTTGTGTCTAAAAATTAATATTTGTAGTTGTTCTACCATTAGAATACTTAAGATTTAGGTCTGAATGACAACTTTTTGTATTTTTTAAAATTGTAGTTATGAAGAAATCATTTTCTTTGTACATAGTTTTATAGTTTCTATAGAAACACGTTTTGACTTTCGTCAAAGTAGAATCATGTATAGATTCAACTGTCTTAAAAAGTAAAAATGATTTATCTTAGTAAAAGATTATTTAGAATATTGGTCTTACAATATTTTTGTTTTTATTTGCACAGATTTCTAACAATGTGCTAGAACAAATCACAAGCTTTGCGTCAGGAACATCCTATCATCTCCCTTTGGCTCACCACATTCAGCTCATCTTTGATCTCATGGAGCCAGCACTGAACATCAACGGACTAATTGACTTCGCAATACAGGTGTCAAAGAGACCATGTTTCTCTTACTTTTAGGAAAGCAAATCCACCAGGCATTGTGCAATTTAAAGTGAGCCAATTAGCTGGGCACAGTGGCTTGTGCTTGTAATCCTGGCACTTTGGGAGGCCGAGGTAGGAGGATTGCTTGAATCTAGGAGTTTTAGACCAGCCTGGGCAACTTAGTGAGACCCCATCTCCACAAAAAATTTAAAAATTAGCTGGTTGCATGCCTGTAGTCCCAGCTACTTGGGAGGCTGAGGCAGGAGACTCACTTAAGCCCAGGAGGTCAAGGATGCAATAAGCCATGATCATACAACTGCACTCAAGCCTATGGGACAGTGCAAGGCCCTGTCTCAAAAATAAATAAATAAATAAAATTTAAAAAATAAAAATCAATGAACCAATTGCTGTACATTAACATCATTTTAGGGACATAGTACAATTTTGAATAATTTAGACATTGTGAATTAACAGTCTTAAACTAACATTTTATTTAAAGTTGTGTTCATAGTTTTCAATTAAATAATTATCATTGGTGCCAAAATATATACCATTTAAAAATGTGAGAGTTTTGAGTGTTTCTTCTGTTTTTTTTTGTTGTTGTTGTTGTTTTTCTTTTGGTCTTTGTTATTTTCCTGAAGCAAAGATGAAAGTTTATTTGCTCTTTATAATAGAGCATGTTTTAGGTTAAGAGCCAGAACAAACCTTATGATTTGATTTGCCCCACTGTGTTATTTCTTATGCACATTTGAGTTCATTATTTCCTTCTGCTATTAGCAAACAGAAATAAGACTTGGTTTCCTTTGTTTATTTTATAGGAGATATTAACTTTGTTAATGAAAAGAAAAGCCAAATAACTTTCATTTTATTAAAAAGACAAAGGGGAGAAAAGTGAGGGGTGGGGTTTTCTAAAATTATACAGTCCAGGACCTTGCACTGCCCTGAAGTTTCAGTACCTTATTTCAGCACTGGGTACTTCCTAATTGTATACATCCTGATGTCTAGACAGAAGAACAACTCTATAAATTGGAAAAGGATTAAAAATTTTAAAAAAGTTAAATTTAGGGAATGTATTTGTAGTGTAATGACTCAGTATATCTATGGTTTATAAAAATAAATGTTTTCTCTATTTGTTTTGGCACCTACATGTTTATTCAGTCTTTTCTCCTGTTACAGTTACTAAATGAACTGAGTGTTGTGGAAGCTGAACTGCTCCTAAAATCCTCCAGCCTGGCAGGAAGTTATACAACAGGACTGTGTGTCTGCATCGTGGCTGTTCTCAGGCGCTATCACAGTTGTCTAATCTTGAATCCTGATCAGACAGCCCAGGTGTTTGAAGGGTTGGTATATAGCATGTCATTGTTGTTTTTCCAATCTCAGAATGTATAACTAGTGATGAAATATTATAGTGGCTTTAAAAGAAAAATAGTACTGATACCTGTTTTAGTTAAAACATGGTTAAAGAACACTCTTGCCAGAAAACATCGATCAAAAAGGTCTAAGCATGTAAAGTATGTTCTTTCTAATAATGTGTGATTCCTTCTTCCCTTCCTCCTTGCCTTTCTTCCCTCTCCCTGGTTTCTAAGTACAAAGCTAGTCATTTATAGCACTCTACGGTTAATGTTGGCCAGCATCCTGGCATATTATGAATAGTGAATGCTGTAACTTCTTTATTCATGTAATTTCAGTTTATGTTTGCAGACTCAACATCAAATAAGCTTTGCATACATTATCATCTTAGAAATTTGGTTCTTCAATTGCATTTCTTTGATTAAAGATATCTTTTGATAAGAATTAACCTAGAACAAATTACTTCATTTTCAGTTGTAGGCTGGGGCTTACTCTACTAATGAAGTTGAGCTACAGAATTAGCTAATACCACCCCCATTAAAGACTGAGGCTAAGGCACCAAATTAGTGTAAATGAGCTCTCAAAAACTTACATAAGCTGCTTTTTATCCACTCTCCAGGGCTTTTTATTTAAACACAGAAAGACAACCTGTTATTTCTTTCTCTTCAGTTTTTCCTTCTGAGCTCAAAAGAATCATGGGGTTCTTTGGTTTTATAGTACCTTTTATTTTTTTAATCTAGCACATGTAATCAATTTATATGCTATCCTAGAATGATATCAATTTAACAGTAGCTATTCTGGGAAAGAGGAAATGCTACCTTTATTTGTATTAATTACATGTTATGAAATGAAATCTGAAACATCCTAAAAACATCAGAATGTAAGAATATTTACATATTAGAATTCAGGAAATAGAGAATTATTTAATAACTCAGCTACTGTATAAAGTTTGAATTTAGTATTATTTTACAGCCCAGGAAATTGAGATTCAGGCCTGTTAAGTGTTTGGTGAAGTGATGTACCCTATATCACATAGCTAATAAATCTCACAGATTTTAATAAAAATCTTTCGAACTGGAAGCTTATTCATGCTGTTTAATCTATGTTCTACTTTTAAAATAGTATATTGAAACCCATTAGTTGGTCATGAAATGAATTTAATGGGTTGTGACAAGTTTTTTTGTTTTTGTTTTTTGTTTTTAATATTGTTATTTTGAAATTGATTTCAGTATCATTTAGTTTGGCCTTGAAAATTTTTATCCTGTTAAATATTCATAAAATCATATTTGACATTAACTTTGTTGTATTTTTACCTTATATTAGTAAGGGTAAGTATTATGCTTAAAACTATTATTTCACTTCTTCGTACTTATGTGAACAGTACACTGGATTACGATGTGAAATGTTTTTCTTATTGCTTGCAAATCAAAGAAGTTGAGGAAACACTGACTACTATACGATGGATACCTAAACCTAACAGACTCTGAATAAATGTTTATTTACTTTAGTCACAAAATAATTTTTCGCTTTATAGATAATATCAGGATTTTGTTTAACTTTTATTTTAGAACAGATTTATTACAGGTTTATTACAAAGGTATATTGCTTGGTGCTGAGGTTTCAGGTTATGATTGAAACCATCAGGAAGTGAGCATAGTACTCAGTAGGTAGTTTTGCAGACCTTTCCTCTGCTCTCTGTCTCCCCACTTCAGTAGTCCCCAGTGTCTGTTGTTCTCATCCTTATGTCCACGTGTACCTCATGCTTAGCTCCCACTTACAGTGAGAATATGTGCTTGGCTTTCTGTTTCTGCATTAGTTTGCTTAGGATAATGGCCTGCAGCTACATCTATATTGCTGCAAAGAGCATGATTTTGTTCTTTTTTATGGCTGCATAGTTTTTGGTTTGCTTGTTTATATAGTTAACAGGTTGAATCATTACTTTTCTTCTTAATTGTGTGACACTTTTGTTCTAATTGGCAGCTTTTACCTGCTGCTAGGTAGTCCCATCTGTTGATGTCATTTCACAGGGTTTGGGATACTACATTGCCATTTCCTCAAGAAGTCTCCTTGGTTCCACCTATGGTACCTGTGATTCCATTGTCCTCCTTGGCCTAGACATCCTATGTTCTCTCCACTTTGCCCTTTCCCCTGAATAGTACAGAGGAGTTTGATCTGGGAGTCTGGAAACCTAAGCTGTTGTCTTGCTTCTGCTAGAACTAGCTCTTTGCCTTTGAGCAAGTCACCCCACCTTTCTGCCTCTCAGAGCCTCCTTTATACAATAAGGATGGTGAATCAGATAGTTTCTAAAGCTTTTTTCGTCTTTAATAATCTGTCATCTGTGACTCCGTTAGTGTAATATAATGGCTGAGCCCTGTAACAAAATACAAGATGGTGATGGAATCAGATGCACAGATAGGTGAATGGACCACAAGTGTTTACAGCTGTGGTGTATGGACTTCTGTGTTGTATGGACTGTGGACAAAGAGGCCTATAACTACAGGAGTTATACAGAATATTACAAAACAGAAGGGGCTTTATCTTCTTATATAAGATAAACTAAAATAAATTTATTACTAGTTGGTATACATAGGGGAATGTATACATGCATAAGGGGAATGTGACTCCAAACCATGAACTGCTTATGCACTTGAAAATGGGTTTTCCAGATTGACTGCTTTGAAGCATTGCTCCTTTACAAAGGAGAAAACTTGGGAATCTTTGCACGCTGATGGAATTTGTGAATCTGCGGAGGCAGGGGCTCTCTACAACAGTTTTCCTTTTGTGTCTCAGTCCCAGCAACTTAATCGGTGGATTCCTCCATACGTACCTTCTTTATGAAGGAATTTCTTTCCTTGCTTTTGTTTCTTGTCATCAGTGACATTTCTGAAGTTTTTTTTAAAATCTATTTCAGTGTCATAATAGAAAAATTATATTGTACTGAGTTATTTACTATTCTATTTATTAGTTTCAACAATCCAATATCCTTTTTCTTACCCAAGTGATACATATTTTCATTCTAAAAGAGTCAAATGATAACCCACATAGTACAAATCTATGTCTTATTTCTTCGTATATTTTTCTCCTCAGGTTGTGTGGTGTGGTCAAGCATGTCGTAAACCCCTCAGAATGTTCTTCCCCTGAAAGATGCATTTTAGCCTACCTCTATGATCTCTATGTGTCATGTAGCCACCTCAGAAGTAAATTTGGAGACCTCTTCAGGTGAGTAGAAGAGACTCAAAAGGACAGAAATAGGATCATGCCTATGTTTGTTAGTGACCCTGACAATATTGTCATCCTTTTGAATAATGAAAGCTAATTGCAATTGTATCTATTAGGCAGTAATTTTGATATACTCATGATTTGTTTAAACTGAATATTAAAATAGACAGGGACAATACACGATAGTCTATTACACAATGTAAATGTGTGATCATAGGTTTTTTTTCCCCCAATATTGAAATGATGTTAGGTCTGATTTTATTTCTTCAATAAATAAAGTATTTCTTAAGATTTTACATTTTCTATATGTTGTACAGACAGTGCATTTTAAGTAAGTCCTACTGAAGTAATGATTATTTGATATATCTTTCCATTTTAAGTTTAAAATTCAATTTGGATTATAAATCTAATAGAAAGATCAATGAGGCAGCTCTTTGTATTTTGCTTTATTTGTATCCCTCTTGATTTTGATATCTACCTTTTCTGAGCTGACTTTTTGCATTACTTGGATTAGCTTTAATATCCTTTGGGCATTACAGTGTTTCATTTTTTATTTCCTGGTGACTCATAGAAGGTTCTATAGCCCCATTCACTTTTCTAGAACTTTTTCAGACTGTGTTTACTTTTCCTCTTTTTTCACAAAAACAATTTTGCTGTTTAGCAGGTAACTTTTTCATGTGTTAATGAGTTTTTTTAAAATGACCAGTACCCTCACTGAATAACATTAAATCAATGTGCATTAAAAGTAGGAAACCTGGTTTCTATTACAGATTGTATTAGATTCAGGTTCAGCTTGATAAATGCTATCTAATGTTTCCTGGTATGAAAAAAATAGAACTGAATTAATCATAAAAAGGTACTGTAAATTCTGCAGTTAACCTACTTGCTATCTTAGACTTAAAATTCATGACCTGATAATGATAGTAGTATTTGATTCCTGTCAATACATCTTATTGCTGAAGGAATATTTTATTGTTTAATGAGTCCAGAAAGTTGTATTTTTATAAATATTTTTATTTTCTTAATACTCTTATCCAGAATTTGTATTGAATTATTTTTGGCTGTAGCTATAACCTTTATTACAAATTACTGTAAGTGTGAGAGACAATATTCTGTGCTTTGCTCTTGAAATCACCCCACTCAGAACATTCTTTCAGAGCTATTTGCATGCTGACTTCTTCACTCCGTTTGTCTTTCTGCTTCCATGGCCATTCCTACTTCAAATAGCATCCCCAACTTCCTGTCATTCGTTGTATCTTAGCACTTGCTACCCCCACAGGCAGCACTAGGGCTGGAAAGTAAATGCTTATTTAATGTTATTTTGAGGACAATTATTTACTATAGATGGGTAGGAGGAGAGTGGTAGAAGGTAATAGCTAAGAAAACAAATTTGGAATCCAGAAGGAGGTAGGGAAAGGATGTTCAACTACCATTTTTTTTCCTTTGTCATACCTCGTATCCAGTTTGTAAATTCTGTGATCTCTGCCTTCCAAGCATCTCTAGAACCTGCCCATTCTTCACCCTCTCTTTACCGCTGTGGATACCTCTGCTTGGACCATTGCAGAGTTCTTCTAACTGGTTTCCTTGCTTCCACCCTTAACTCTAAAACACATTTTCAACATCCACTAAAGTGATCCTTTTAATATACGAATGATTCACAGGCTTTCAGTGATTTTCCACCCACTCAGAATAAAATTCACCATCCCTACCTAGCCTTCAAGATCTGCAGGGTCCCATCTTCTCTTCCACCCCTTTCCCTCTGTTTATTGTGGCCACACAGACCTCTTTACTGATCAAACACTCTAAGAACAACCCACAGTAGGGCTTTTGCACTTTATCTTACGTTGCTTGTGATACTTGTCCTCAGTTACTTGTGTGCCCCACTCCCACACTTCACTCACGACTGTCTCCCTGAGCACACCATTTTAAATAGCACCCCCATGTCATCATTCTGAGCCTCAGCACTTGCTACCCCCACTGTAGATTCTATATTTATTTATGGCCTGGCTCCTCCTTAGAATGTATGCTTCATGACAGCAGAAGCTTTTTCTATTTTTTTCACTGCTACATCCCAGTGTCTTGAAGAGTATGTGGCTCTTAGTAGGCACTGAAAAAAAAATCTGTTGAATGATAGTTATATCTAAGACAATTCATGTTTTTAATGGTATTAATAAAGTGTGAAAATATGAAATGGGTTAGGTTTCAAAATAATCCTTTGTGAAATATTTGAGTGGGTCTTAGGAAATATCTTTCCACAGAAATTGTGTCACAATTTAAAAATACTTAACATTCTTCTCTTACTTTACATAGAGCTTTCCATTTCAGCTTACATTTTTCAAAGAGCTTTCTCTTACATGATTTAGTTCTTACAGCAGCCGTTTTTTTAATAGTGAACTTCCTCAGACAGCCCCAGTAGCCTATTTGACCCTTAATACTCCTGCAGTGTGGTGCAAATAGGTTAAATGAGGTAATTCAAGTAACATGCGCTGGGCGTGGGGTGTGTGGAAATTTAGGGTACCAGCACACAGTGAATAGAGTAATTACTCAGGGGTCAGCAGAGTGGCACATCATAGTGATTGGCACTGTCTAAAGTTTCCTCTATTTGAAAAAATGAAAGAGAAATACAACTTTCTTGGGATATCTTGAAGTCAGAGACCTATTTGTAGTTTGAGATGAAGAAAAATGGGCAAACAAAAGCTGGATACACAGAGAGATTTCTATCAGTATGCTGATAAAACAACTTTAATAATTTTATCTGAACCACCATTCATAAAGTTGTGTGAGAGGAGTATTTTTTTCTGAAACACCATTCACACAGTTGTGTGAGAGGAGTATTTGGGGGAGATACAACACTGGTCACCTCTACCACTGATTGAGCTACTGCTGTGTGCCAAGCACTGTGCTGGGTTATTTCCATCAAGAGCTTTATTTCTCACATCAACCTCAAGAAACTGAAAATGTCATGACTCTGAATTGCAAACTTGTATCCTTCAATGACAACCAACACATTTTTTAAAATATAAGTTGTCTACACAGAAAGAGAGTGTAGAAGATTGTAATTGCTGCCATTTAGTAGATGACTTTAGTCCTCTTTGTTAGAGTAGTGCTTCCCAAGCATTACTTGGCACTTGATTTATGTGGGAGATCTTGTTACACATACGGACTCTATACACCCACAGTGGAGGCCCAGGATTCTATATTTTTAACAAACACCCCAAAAGTGATTCTCAAGGAATAGAGCTGAAACTACATTTTGGTAAACATTGAACTGAACAATCTCTGTTTTCTTAAAGCTATTGACAGTGGCAATAGTTTAGAATAGAGAGTCTTTGTGACTTTTCATCTTCGAGGGACTCATTCCTGGCTGCCATTGATGCAAGTATATAACAATATGGGGTTTAAAAAAAAAGCCATAGGTCACCACAAACCACAAATACTTTTGCTGCCAAAAACTTAATCTATAAAACAGACTTTCTGATGCATAAAAGAGCTTTTGAGTAGAGAGAGTGAATGTTGTTTATGGATATGCTACCTACAGAAGGTAAGCACAAATGGCTAAGTTTATATAGAATCTGAGATTTTACATCAAATCTTTCTGCCAGTCTCATTCACAGAGCAGGTTTGGAGGAGATAGGTTCTAATTCCTGTTATACTTCTAGTAGTCTATATCTGATTCAGACGTAACTCACTGAAACATGAGCTGTTTTTATATGATAGAGCAGGCTCTTTAAAAATCTCTTAATGCCTCTGAGAAATACAACATGATAAGTTTTTATGAATGATATAATAGTTTTTTCACTTCCATAGAATTTGTGTATTATCCATATCCCCTTACTAGAATGTAAGTTCATTGAAGACAAGGAATGTGCCTCTCTTTTTCACAGCTGTGCCATAGTCTCCAGAATAGTCTTGGCACACGAACTTCTACTGCGTACACTATACCAGAGAAATAGTTTTGTAAGATATGTAATTAAGAGTACTCTTATGTGTAATTGAATCTTTTTTTATTTTTAAGTAATAACACTTTTCAACAACTGTTAAGACACAGTTGTTGGAAGCCATAGTAATTTCTTTGATTTTTAAAGCATGTAAAATGTAGACCATATTTAGGAAATAATTAAGATTTATAACCAAATACTTCATTTCTGTTTTGTTCTTCCACCTATTTAGAAATTATTTATTGAGGAATTTCTACATTCCAAAGTACTTTGATTAGCGCCAATTAGTAAGAAGTTCTAATTAAGAACTCATAATGTGAATCTTCTCTAGGAATGCATTACAGTTCCTGCCATTTAATATGTCCTTAAGTGAAATAGTTTTCTAGTTATTCTAGTTTTATTTTTCTGTTTTAACTTTTTTTCTTATAACCTCAGTAGTGCCTGTTCAAAAGTAAAGCAAACCATATATAATAACGTGATGCCTGCAAATTCGAACTTGCGATGGGATCCAGACTTCATGATGGATTTTATTGAGAATCCCTCAGCCCGCAGCATCAACTACTCAATGCTGGGCAAGATCCTCAGTGACAATGCGGCCAATCGCTACAGCTTTGTCTGCAATACACTCATGAATGTATGTATGGGCCATCAGGATGCTGGCAGGTGAGATGGGTTACCCTGGAATTCATGATTAACCAAAGAGTTGTTGCCTTGGTGCTTCTTTGAAATTGATGTCGTTAGTAAGTGTCTGGACTCACATTTGGCTATCATTTGCTTTTTCTAAATCTTCTTTTATTCCTTAATTTACCTCTGCACTATCTTTTAATTTCCTTAACCTGAGAGACAGTGCTTTCTTATTTATTACTCTGGCATGAGATGTTTTCAATATGGCCAACAATTACATGATTTATTTTCAAAAACATATAATAAAAATATAAATAAGAATGCCTGTATTTTGAAAAAAACCGTATTTGGGTCCACCTAAATTACATGATGTCTATAAATTTTTTGATGCCCTTAAAAATGTAAATCGTAGCTCAGATTTATTCACGAAACTAAAAATATTCTAATTCGTGTATGTACTGATTATTGTTTGTTGCTTAACAGCATTGTCAAAAATATTTGAAGCCATTGTTATCTTCTTCTCAAGGTTCTACTAAGTTATTTGACAAATGAGTATTTTATCTGTGAATCTAAGAAAATGACTTGTTTGATGTTAGTGAAATATATGTTAATTAAGTATATCACAGGTGAGTATTTCTCTTTTGTACAAGGTTACTTTCTGTGTCTTCTTTTTCTTTTCTAGGATTAACGACATAGCCAATTTCTCCTCTGAGCTTACGGCTTGCTGCACTGTTCTTAGTTCAGAATGGCTGGGGGTTCTGAAGGCTCTTTGTTGTTCTTCAAATCACGTGTGGGGGTTTAATGATGTACTTTGCACTGTAGATGTAAGTTTTCTTTTTCATTTAAAAATTGAACTGTGCAATTAAATATTTAGTTAGTGGGTAATCTTTTTGCTTTTGGCTTTTATTTAATTGATTCAACTGAAATGTTATAAAATATTTTTTCTTTCTCTGTCCAAAAGCAGTAAACCACAATGACATTGCCAGGGATTAAATACATGAAAAAAAATAGAAATAAATAGAATGCATAGTTTAATCTGTAGCAGAGGGGCCAAGAATTTCTTTGTTTCCTGAAATTTCCATTTAGTTGAGATTTCTTCCATATGGATGGTCTCTTCAGAGCTGTTTTTTCTTTTTACCAACTGCCCTGGATTCCTCACAGCATGGGACATAATCTAACTAAAGCAGTTCACATTCTGAAGAAGGCCACTTTGATATTTTTAAGTGCAAGGCGCAGTATACAAATAAAGGCTTTGTTGGGTTACATAAGAATGTCCAGGTCTAGATTCCGAGGATGTCCGGTGTTTTTTGGCAATTAATGCCTGGAAGATGATGAAAAGATACCCCTTGTATATATCACTGACTTCCTTGGATATCATGTTGCATCCATGATGTGTGTATTTCTTTAAAAATCTGTCTTGATTCTTTACTTCTCCTGTTGCCACTTATTGGAGTAGTCTTTGTCGTACACTAGTATCTCTTATGCATAGTTCTTTATACATCTTTACACCTGCCTCTCAGTTGAAGGTTGACTTCTGAATTCTGCTAATCAGGACTGGTTGGATAATCCTATCTCTATATCTTCATTATATGAAGACTTAAGAATTTATGTATATAAAATTCATAGATGTGGCCTGCTTTTCTGGACAGAAGAGACTTAAATTTTTATCTTTAATATAGTTTCTTAATCTCTTAGTTGTTTTTTTAAATTACACTTTACCTTCTGCAATTCCTCATCTAAAAAATTGGAATTAATAATAGTGTGAACCTTATGGTGGTGTGCTAATAAATAAGGTGATTTTTGCAAGTTAACCATAGTCCTTGGCATATGGTGCGAATCAGTATGAAGATTGCTATTGTAGTTGTTTTTCTTATTATTTTCTGCCAAGGTCACGTGAGATCTAGAAAGGTAAAGATTTCACTGTGACTGAATTAATTTCCCCCTCTGTCCTTTTTCTTCTTTTTAAATTTAAGAGTCAATTGGAAACTTTCAGAGTTGTTTTTAAAACGAGTTTAATCATTAAAGAATCCTTAGTAGTTACCACTGAAAGGAACTCCAAAACCTTAGTGAGGCTTGTTTTTCAACTAGGGGGAGCCTCCTGGTTTTTCCCTGCCTTCTAATTGTCTGACTCTTAAATGGTATATCTTGTTGCAGTCTGCCAAAATGTTTTAATGATGTTACATCTTGTAGTGATTTCCTGATTTTCCATTTTTGTTGTTGTGTTTTTCATTTGCATGTATGCAAGTCAAAGCTCAGTATTTTCTTACAGCATTGGAATGTGGGTAAACCTCATTCATTGTTTTATAAAATAGAAATAGGCCTAGAGGATAATCATCATGATATGTTATCATTTCCCTCTGCTGGTTCATGTTGGGATTTGAGATCTTATTGGTATTGCCTGCATTCTCTTAGTTATTAATCTTAGATACTGCTTACAAGGTTGTTAGGTATTAAAACCTGTCAATGTTTTTCTTGAAGGTGAGTGACCTTTCATTCCATGATTCATTAGCTACTTTCATTGCTATTCTGATAGCACGACAGTGTTTTTCCCTGGAGGACGTCGTGCAGCATGTCGCACTTCCCTCTCTTCTAGCAGCAGGTAAGGCAGCATCCATGAACATCCGTTGCTCTTTGATTGTTGTCTTGATGGAGTGGTTTCTAACATTACAACACAGGGAAAGGAGTATTTGAGGGTATGTATATTGGGAAGTGGTGTAGTATCAAGGTAGATATGGTAGAATTTTAATAGTTATTTTATACAAATTAACATGTATCACCGTGAAAAAGGTGGGAAACTGCTATGTTACAGTCTGTTTTAAGGAAGCACCAAGATTTCTCAGAAAAATAGCCAGGGCCTTATTTTCTTACCATAAGGAAAATTTATTTAAATAATTATTCCAGGAAATTTAGCTTAATAGGAAACCTGAAGGACTTGTTCCCAAGTGTGTTAGAAAACTTGCTTTTCCAATCCCCCTTTCCTAGCTTGTGGGGATGCGGACGCCGAGCCTGGGGCGAGAATGACATGCCGACTCTTGCTTCATCTCTTCCGAGCTCCCCAGGCCTGCTTCTTACCTCAAGCAACGGGTGAGCTGACTGCAGAAAAATCTGATTACCTTTTCATTGGTAGCTAAAGTTTCTAAAATGACCAAATAGGCTGTCCCTTTCTGTAATTGCCTTCTTAATTTTTTGGGCATGCCCTGGGGGTGATGAAGGGTGAGATGATACTATTCATTGAGAGGGCTGTCAGCACCTTTTATCTGTGTAATATCAGGATATATTGAGAAATACGAATCAAGAGTTAGTAAGCAATAAAAATACCTCTGCTCTTAGGCCAAGCCATGCTGGTGGGCAGCATGGTCCTCTCACGTACTGTGTGTGTTGGTTCTGAACCACATCACAGCAGCTTAGGGCAATGGTGATTTATTTTATTTTATTTTATTTTATTTTATTTTATTTTATTTTATTTCATTTCATTTCATTTCATTTCATTTCATTTCATTTCATTTCATGTCATTTCATTTTATTTCATTTCATTTCATTTCATTTCATTTCATTTCATTTCATTTCATTTCATTTCATTTCATGTCATTTCATTTTTTTTTTTTTTTTTCCAAGACAAAGTCTTACTGTGTCACCCAGGCTGGAGTACAGTGGTGTGATCTCGGCTCACTGCAACCTCTGCCTCCCGGGCTTAGGCAATTCTCTTGCCTCAGCCTCTCAAGTAGCTGGGACTATAGGCATGCACCACCATGCCTGGCAAATTTTTGTATTTTTAGTAGAGATGGGGATTTCACTGTGTTGGCCAGACTGGTCTTGAACTCCTGACCTCGTGATCCACCTGCCTCGGCCTCCCAAAGTGCTGGGATTACAGGCGTGAGCCACCGCACCCATCCCTCATTTATTCTTGTACTAAGTAAAAGGAATAAAGTAAGAATTTTAGGGGCGTTGGTGAAGTCTGCTCCTAAAGATCATTTCCATATAGATAGGCATGTGTCTGTGTGAGAATCAACACAAATATGTGAAGGTCCTACTAATCTTGTTGATGTAGCTCTCTGAGGAGGAACGACATTGTTTTAATAAATAAAAAGAAAAGGATAAGTGAGGAATACTGGCCATGTTTCTTAGTGAATCCATGAAGCATCAATTAAAGCAAGCTAATGGCAATTAAGCACCCACAGTCTAACAATGAAAGGCTGACTGCCTGTAAATAATTACAAAACATTACTAATGATGGTAATGAGACTATTAAAGATTTGTTGTTTTTGTAGGCAAACCTTTCCCTGGAATAAGATCATCTTGTGATAGACACCTCTTAGCCGCTGCTCACAACAGCATTGAAGTGGGAGCCGTGTTTGCTGTCTTAAAAGCAATTATGATGCTTGGTAAGATTATTCTGACCCTAAGCTTCTTGGTTAATCACCAGAAATGAAGGCAAAATAATTTATTTTCAGGTTTAAATCTAGTAGTATTATTGGAAACATGATACTGTTTGATCGCTTATTCTCCTGGAAAAATTAGTGGTTTCTCCTAGACCAAATACATCAGACTCTGGAAGATCCTGTCCCTTATCTAGTGTCTCTGGGGGAACTTACATGTAATATTTTTTATGGTATTTTAGTTGCATAATGTCTCATTCTGATGTAAAATAGGTCCTCAGACCCACAGGGTTGTTTTGCCTTCTCTGGTGGCAGAAATCACACTTTGTGAGAGACAGGGATGACTTGGTAATCTAACTAAATGTTTACATTTTATCCAGATTATATTTCAGGAGCAGAACACCAGAAAATCTGAGTCTTAATCTTAGTATTTTTGCTCCTATCATGACCCTGAACGAGTATATTTCCTTCTACCTTTGTTTTTTGATGACCCAGGCAATAGTTGCAATGATGTTGATATTATTGATAAATCAATATTAAGTTTCACAATAATTTTTTTCATTTAATTCATAATGTCCAAGATGTTCTTTACATCCTTATTTGTAAGAATTTTCCTGGAATAATAGCACTGCCTTTTCTCTTCATTTACAGGGTAATACATTAAAACATTATTCTGTAAATCTTAAAGGCTTTGAATGATTAGGAAGTCTTCAAGTCAGACTGCCTAATTCCAACTTTGGGTACCTTCTTTTGGTCTTGACTCTTATGTTCAGAAGTAGCTCCCCTTCATTAGAACAGAAATTACTGAGTGGATAGGAATTGCTTTAGATGAGTCCTAAATAACATGTTTTGGGCTATAATCTTGCTCTGCTTTGGAAATGTTATTTGGTGATGATGAGGAAGGATAACAGAATTTTCATAAAACAAGCTATTAAAACTTCACCTTAAGAAAGGATACACACACGGGCCTGTGAATTTTGTAGTAAAAAGGGGAGGTAGAGCCACGTCAAGGACCACAGCCTCCTCTGAGTGTAGGCGCTTATAGATTTATACAGCCAACATTAAGTGCTCATTTCAGTGAGTAGAATTTCCCTACTGTGATCATATTTGAAGGGAAGGTCAGTTGGTCGGTTCTACTTAATAAATAAATGTAGGGACCATAGAGATAGGGACTGGCTTTTTTACCTGTGGTATTTCTAGTGCTCATCAGAGAAGCTAGCAAAGAATCAGTTTTCAATAAAATTATGTTGGAAGTGTGAATCTATAAATGACAAATATGCTAATGGCAGAAACCAAGATGAGTACCTTCTAGACACTGGCCCCATGATTTGTAGGATTAGTCTAATCTCAAGTAGAATTTGCCCACCTCTTCATCCACATAATTTGGAGGATTCCCTGGGTCTAAGAAGTCAGGATCAGGTCAGTTTAACGTCAGCAGAGCTTTGAGCCAGGTGGGCACTGAACGCTCAAATGTATTCTATTGTCAATGCAATTGCAGAAGGCCTGGCACAGACTCTCATACCTTCTCTGTTGTCCTAACATCTAAACTAAATGAGGATCTCCTAGTATGGGGCTAGCAGGTACTGTTTTTTCTCTTTCTTTTCTTTTCCTTTCTTCTCTTTTCTTATTTGCAGAAGCTCTAATTTATCCACCCTACCATGCCCTAACCAACTCTCAATTCCTATCCACCAGGATATATTTTGAGTTAGGGAGATGGGACCATTATATCAAATTTGGTTTTTAATTTCTACAATGTAACTCAAGGTATAGAGGTAGTTGTTTACATCACCTAACGGTAGTGAAAGCATACTACATTTTGGTACTTGCAGAATTTAGTCTTTTCTTTCAGCTCCTGAAGTGATCTATTAAATGAAATCCTGTGGGTAAAGTGAAGCTGGTACTCTTTGTGTTTGTATTTTAATGAGAAACATATGATTATATATTGATAAATTGAAATACATTATTTATTCCTCTCCTCTGCTTAAGATTTTGTTAGTAAATACTCAGTAAGCCATTTTTTTCAGCAAAGTCAAAACTTTTTCTTGGTTGACTTGTGGGTTTTAAAAGGCTTTTTCCATTAACTTGGGCATTGTTTTGCCCACTTGCTGCAAGCAGTGAAGGCCTACTGTAAAAGCATTTGTTGGTTCCAGGAAATTTTCTTGTCAAGGCCTATGATCCTGTGAGTAAAAGGCAAAAGTTTGAAGGCTGTGCTGTCATTTGGCAATCCTTATTTTGAATTTTTATTACTCTCTCACTTTTAAAATATGATAGTTATTTGTCTCTCATGGCTAGAGTTTTCTTATTTCTAGCTATTCAGACATTCTGTTTAGTTTCTTTCCCAGAACTTTGTTATGAAGAAAACACTTTCCTTAGCTTCATTTCACTAAGTATACTAAAGATTTATCAGGTAAGGTTTTCTAATTTGTATGTTACAGAGAGGAAGGTAAAAAAACAGGGGTTATTCAATGAATGCCCTACTTTTCAGGGCTTCCTTAGTATGCATTGCCCTTTTCCATTCCCAGGGAAATAAATCTCTCTTGTCAAGAAGTTGATAGTAAGGTGGGCTAAGGCAAAACTTTTCTCTTGACCTATGGATAGAAAATAAGTCATTGTAAGAGAAGAAATGGAAAAGGGACATCTAGAAGGGTGAGTAACCCATTTTTTCCTTGTCTATAAGTCAAATGAATTTGAATACATTCATGCTTGAAATATTGGTGAAACCAATGTTCTCTGATTACTTAGTGTGATTCATAATGGCCTTTCCAAGTTTGGTGAAACTATAATTATACAAACAAAATAAGGACCGAGTCTTGAACTTGCTTTTTCTCCATTTCTGTTAGAAACTTCTCTGGGTTCATGCATTTATGCTCTTGATCCATTCTCTCTATTCCTGAACAACTGGCTATTCAATAATAATACTGTTCATATATTTTAAATCCCTGAATGCTATCCTCATTTGCTCCTCAATTATTTGGCAATATTTTGAACTTCTGTGATTTTGCTTTTGTGATTCTATTACTTAGGAGATGCCAAAATTGGCAATAACAGTGTCAGCTCTTTAAAGAATGATGACTTCACCATGAGAGGTTTGCGATGTGATGGGAATGCTGATGATATCTGGACTGCCTCACAAAATCCAAAATCCTGTGGGAAAAGCATTTCCATAGAAACTGCCAATTTAAGAGAATACGCTAGATATGTACTGAGGACTATCTGTCAACAGGTATTCTAATTTAATTTGCCTTTTACTTTGAGTACGTAACTCTTCTTTTGGAGAGAGCTACTTACACTTATAGGAAACTTGTGCATAGGTGGGCCTTTTTTTCTTGCTCACTTTATTTCGAAATAATTTTAAGTTTGCTGAAAAGTTGCAAGAATTATTTTTAAAAAACTCATGTCCATCCTTTACACGGATTTACTAATTTTTACATTTTGCTACATGTGCTTTGTAATTTGTATGTGGAGATGTGGGTGCATATACCTATTTTTTCTGAATCATTTAAGAGTAGATTGTATATTTTATTCTTTTGAATATTGCATTATTTCATAACATAACCAAAATATAGCTATTAAACATCAGAAAATTTAGCTTTTGGTACAGTAATTTTTTCTCATCTATAGGCCACAGTTCGATTTTATTAATTGTCCCAGTATTGTTGGATTTGTCTGAGGTTTCCTGTAGATTAGCTTCAGATTATGCATCCCTGGCCAAGATACTACAGAAATAATCTTGAGTTCTTTCAGGTAATCATGTCTGAAGGCATGTGATGTCCATTTGCACCTCAAGGGTGATGTTAATTTTGATTAAGATGTTTCCATTGTATAGTTTCAAGATTAGTAACTATACAGTGGGGACTGTGTAGTTACTAATTTTCCCCTTGCAGTAAGCAATCTTTGAGGAGATACTTCGAGACAGTGCAAATTTTCTTCTCCTTGTTTAACTCCCCCACCCCTCATAAGCATTCATTTTCATTCTTGCCCAGTCTAGTCTTTACTATGATGGTTGCAAAATGGTGGTTTTTTTTTTTCCCCAACTTCTCCTCTCCCTTCATAATATCAGTTTGTGTCCTATTTTAAGGAAGAGCCTGCCCTCCTCTCCCCTGTTTATTTATTATCCATATGGGTTATAATATACTGTACTTAGTTATTTTCATGTTCAGACTGTCCCAGATTTGTGCAGTAGGAATCTATTCATCCTATCACATCATTTGACATTTTAAAAATAGTTGGTATTTTCATAGTTTCTGGCCCATGTTGTACTTTCTCTGCCCCGGGCCTGGAATCAACTATTCCTCCAAGGAGCCCTTGGTTCTATTTAGCAGAGAACGTTACTGAGAAACCAAGATCTGGGTATTATGTATGCTCATGGTTATGGAGTATCATTAATTCTACGACCTGTCTGCAGACAAAGCTAGAAAGAAAAATATATCCATACACTTAAATATATGTAAATATATATATTTATGAGGTCCTACTGATACCTTCAATTCCAATCCAACCCCACAAAGTTGTTCTGTGTTTTCCCCTAATTCATATTAGTATCACCTTCTTCCCTAGTAAGAATGCTGATTCCCAAAAACGTCAATTTACTTGTTTGTTTAATTCTATGATACATCTGAAATAGTTTTAAAATGTTACACATGGCCGGGCATGTTAAATGTGCTATCCAGCGCTTTGTCAAAAAATGATTAATTAAAATACAGTATCAAAAATGTACACTAGGCTAGGGCGCAGCGGCTCAAGCCTGTAATCCCAGCACTTTGGGAGGCTGAGGCAGGTGGATCACTTGAGGCCAGGAGTTTGAGACCAGCCTGGCCAACATGGTGAAACCCCATCTCTACTAAAAATACAAAAATTAGCCAGGTGTGGTGGCACATGCCTGTCATCCCAGCTACTTGGGAGGCTGAGGCATGAGAATCGCTTGAAACTGGGAGGCGGAGGTTGCAGTGAGCCGAGATTGCGCCACTGCACTCCAGCCCTGGTAAGAGAGCAAGACTCTGTCTCAAAGAAAGAAAGAAAGAAAGAAAGAAATGTTACACACATACCACTAGGAAGAACAAACCTACCTAAAAGGCTTTGAAGATTTGTTTGCAATTCCATTTTCTCTAAGGGTTTAAAATACTGTGTTCAAAAATTATTTGAACTTTTCCCATCCCTATGAGTGTATTCTTTATGTGAAATAGAACTAGGTTCATTTGGTTTTGCATTATTTAAATTCCTTTCTTGTCCCCAGCTCTGGCTATAGAATAGCTTACTTTCAAAAGTGAAACTATACAAAAAAGTATACTCAGAGATGTGTCTCCCTCCCATATCCCTCTTACCAGATGATCCAGTTTTATTATTTTTTGGTTTATTCTCCCTCCCATATATTTGTTTTAAAAGTTCTCTTATAAAAAAAAAGTGACATACCTTATATATTATTTTGTACTTTGCTATAGGTGTCATACCGACTGGGTCATGTTTTTGTATTTTTACAGGCATGTTATAACTATGGTAAAAGATAGCTACATAGTCATATAAGTATTGAGAGGCAATTGTGTGTTGGTTCCCAACTGTGAGTGCATATTGGAATCAGCTGGGGCATTTAAAACAATTTGGATGCCTAAAAAATTACTGATATTTGGGTGCCACCACCTGAGTTTGACTTAATTAGTCTGATGTGGGCCCTGGGCATGGAATTTTATAAAGATCCCAGGTAATTTTAGTGGGCAACCAGCATTGAGCCACTGGTATGGTGGTTAAAAAACAGACTTCACCCGAAATAGATCTGGGTTCAAATTGGGCTCTGTTACTGTTGATGATTTCTTACTTTATTTAGTATAATAATTTGCCTTTGAAAAAAATGGTAAAGAAAAGGCAATAGGAGTTTAAATTGGTAGAAACTCTTCAGAGGGTCATTAACCCCATGCATCTATAGCCCCCCACTCACACTGGACCCAGCAATTGCACTTCTATGAAATTACCCTAAGAAAATTATTGTATAAAAAAGAGATGTGCACTACTACTCATTTATAATGATAACATTATTCATAATAGTATCAAAAAGGAAGATCGTTTTCTAAATATTTGTTATACTATGTTGTATCTAGTCAGTGAGATAGTACAATGTATTCCATAAAAATTATGAAGAACGTATATCTGATAGAATCATTATATAGCAAGTTAGAAAAAACTGACACAAAATAGTGCCTAGAGCAAGACCTTACTTTCCAGTTAAAAACATACTAATATTCTCTTTATTGTCTTTTCTTTTTTCCCATTAAAAAATGTTTTTAAGCAAGTTCTACTTTGTATTTTTTAGAAGCCAAAATGCTAAAAATTTTGTTTTTTAAAATTTTTCTACCTACTTTTTAATGTAATTTTTTAAATTGGAAAATTCCTATCAGTTTTCTATTCAATTATGCACTGTGGATTTAGTACATATTGCATATATATATACCGAAAGCCAGTGCCTGTCAATCTAATTGCCATATTATTTTTAGGAATGGGTAGGAGAGCATTGCTTAAAAGAACCTGAAAGATTATGTACAGACAAAGAACTTATATTGGACCCTGTGCTTTCAAATATGCAAGCACAGAAATTACTGCAGCTTATCTGTTATCCTCATGGCATTAAAGAATGTACCGAGGGGGACAATCTGCAAAGACAGCACATTAAGCGTATTCTTCAGGTCAGTCGTATACAGATTGTGTTTCTGTCATTTGATAAATTCTTCGTAATAATAAAAAGAGTTACTTCCTCTCTTTTTTTGTCCTTGCTAATTTGTGATTTCAATTCTGATTTTTATTCCCACACATTTTCTGTGGAATTGACATACTTTATTTTTGGGTGGATGTACATGCTGCAAATTGTATATGATCATCAAACAAATATTGATATTTTAAATCAGTATTGTATTTACATGAGAAATATGCTTCAGAGAGGGGCTATGTTAAATATATTATTAAAGAAATATTGAAATCATTTTGGATTGGGATTGGTTAAATAGATTTTGAAAGGAGAAATGCTTATTTAGTTTCAGTGCATAGCTGAGTCAGGCACAGTATTAACTAATTAATAATTAATGTTTCTGTTTATTGGTTTGTATCGCTACT
The DNA here is from genome assembly GCF_000001405.40 of Homo sapiens. Taxonomy (NCBI): domain Eukaryota; kingdom Metazoa; phylum Chordata; class Mammalia; order Primates; family Hominidae; genus Homo; species Homo sapiens. The sequence goes on from NC_000003.12 coordinate 151,376,639, forward strand.
GAATATATATGCAGCAAGATTGGGAACCTTTTGACTCATATAAATTATTTCATTGTGTATGATTATTCTGCTCTTTCTTGAGAGAAGGAGTACTGTAAGAAATTACTGTATTTTAACACATTTGATACCCATAATGTTTTAATTCTTTCCATTTTTCCCAGAATCTTGAGCAGTGGACACTGAGGCAATCCTGGTTAGAACTCCAGCTAATGATCAAACAGTGCTTGAAGGACCCTGTGAGTTTATATTGAAAGCTTATCTCTGTATGAAATTTTATAAAAAGCAAAAACACGTTGATGTTTGAGGATAAAGGAATACACATATGTGCCAGTATTCTTATATCTAACTCTAGGGCTCTGGTTCTGTGGCCGAAATGAACAACTTACTGGACAATATTGCAAAGGCAACAATAGAGGTATTCCAGCAGTCTGCAGACCTAAATAATTCTTCTAATTCTGGCATGAGCCTCTTCAACCCAAACAGTATTGGAAGTGCTGATACAAGTAGCACGAGACAGAATGGAATAAAGACATTCCTAAGGTATTTTTGTCTGTTGTTTTATTGAACTGTCATGAATTTTTCACAAGTAACGGTAAATTTTGTGTAGCACAGTGATTTTTCTTTAAGTCATAGGAATGTGAAGAACATAGTTACTTGTAAGCAGGGATTATTATTAATAAGTTAATGAGTAAAGCTGGGGTGAATGATAGCTTCGGAATATTTGATTGAGTAGGCTTAAACACCTTGAAACTGCAGGTGAACTCAGGTTTGGTTCATGCTTTCAGTGTCCCTTAGTCTACTGTGTTACGTAGTATTCATTATATGGGAAACGCTTTTTCCACCATTTTTATTAATTAATTATTTTGCACAAATATATCCTGGTAATTTTTGTGCAGAATTAGAACCAGTAGGCATATAAAGTCTTAAAGTAATTATTTAATCATGAAAGGCTGATTTGTATTTCATCATTTTGGTATAAAGTATAACTAGCGAATTTTAAACCTTAAAAATTAGCTATTAGTATGCTTACATATAATATTTCATATTGTAACTGTGACAGAAAAGTATATTGTTTGTTGGACAAAGTGATTGTTTTTAATTAGAGAGAGGGGGTCATCGGAAAACATTAAAGTCAGTTTAGTTACAATATCCTTCCAGAACTGCATGTTTTATTGCTTTCTGTAGGCTTAGGTGGAAAGCTCATGCAAATGTCTAGTGTTCGGAAAAAGGAAAGATAATACAGAAATAAAAGGGAAATTTTAGAACAGTCTGTGTGTCTCATACATCAAAGTTTCGCTTTGGAGTTTCTGTTATAACTGTGAGAGCAGGGGAAAGGATGCTTTCTCCGGTGTAACACCTGTTTCTGATTTTAGTTCCTCCGAACGCAGGGGTGTATGGTTGGTGGCCCCCCTCATCGCCAGGTTGCCAACTTCTGTGCAAGGAAGAGTGCTGAAAGCCGCTGGGGAAGAGCTGGAGAAGGGACAGCACTTGGGTTCTTCTTCCAAAAAGGAAAGGGACAGACAGAAACAGAAAAGGTGTGGCTGGAAGATGGGCGTCTGTGTGAGAGTTTAAAGAATAATTGAGAAAGTCTCACTTCCTGTAAACCTGTGTGGTCACTGTACCCACAGTCCACTGAAATTTAGTTTTTAAATGGAACTGGGAATATTCTATTAGGCAAGGCTGTCTTATTCCTAAAAAATTTCAGGTTATAATCCTTAATACATTAGTTCTCAATTCTGCCTTTATATCCAAATCACTGCTGAACTGTTAAAAACAGTGATTTCCGAGACCCGCTTTAGACCAACTGAATCAGATCTGGATAGCTACCTGATCCCTGTATTTTATTTTTAATTATTTCTATTTTTTTATTATTTAGATATTTATGTTTAAAATAAATATAATGTATAATTCTGGCATGTTGGTGTCTGAACTAGTTGCTCATATTTTTAACATTTAGGGCTCCTGTTCTAGACTAGACATTAAGACTCCTCGGCCACCACAACTAATGTTTTCTTAATTTATTTTATGCCCAAGAAAAGGTTTCAAGTAATTATATTTGAAAACCGTGTTACTGAGAAAGAAAGAAACCTCACCCTAATGTGAAAATGCCAAGAAACCTAGGAGTAAAGGAAAAAAATTGATAATTTCTTCCATTAAAAAAATATTTTAAGCACATAGATTTCTTGTCCACTAATGAATAATACTATAGTAGCCACCATTTATTGACTGCTTACAGAATGGCAACTCCTCTCTAAAACTCATTATGTACATGAGCTTTTAAAATTCTTATAGCAATCATGTGGTAGGTACTCTCATTATCTTCTTTATATCATGTTGAAACAGACACTTAAAGGTTACATGAGTTGCTCCAGGACACACAGTGAAGGACATAAAGCCTGGGTTTAAATCCAGGAGGTCTGGCTTCTGAGCTTGTGCTCTTAACTACAGTACATTTTGGTAGAGACCCAGCATTGTATGTACTGTATTTGTTTTACATCTGGTTGTTTTACCATGTTGGCCAGGATTAATTAACCAACAAGGAAGCATAATTCTAATTTTCAAATCATATTTGCTGATAGGTGAGTGTATGTGCATTGCCTAACTTCCCATAGGCAGGACAGATGGTATTGAAGAGACTTGAAAGATCGCTCTTCCCACATCAGGGGCTCTTTATTCTGCCCATGGAGAATAATGCTGATTGAAATATTTTGGCCTAGGTCTCATTTTAAGAAATTTGTCTTTCCAACATGGCGCTTTGTTTGTCAATATGATTTGTTGATTATTCTCTAATTGAAGACATTTTGTTAAAATGCCAATTTAAAACAGAATTTTTAACCAAATGCCTTGACACCTCTTTACCAGTGGATGCTGCGGGCTATGTTGGAGCCTGTGGGCTGTGTTGGAGCTGCACACTAGGGGTCGCCAGCAAGTACACTGTTTTTGGAGTCCTCAGCCCTGGCTGATGAATTAGCTCTACTAACACCCTGCTTTTTGGTCTTGGGAAATGTGCTGAAAAACAAAATCAAACCCCAAAACAAGCTCAACAGACATATATATAGGCCTGTTTTCCCAGACTCTAAAACAAGAGTTTTATATGAGAACTTTAAAAATTTTTAATTTTATCCTGTGTATAAATTGATATTCTTTCTGATGTACATTTTTAAATTCTGCATATTGATGTAGAAGATGAATTCACTGTCTTCTACCCTCACTGCCCGGCATGCTCACATGCAGTATGGTTTGATGCTAGTTTGAGAATGGCTTCGAGGGCAATTAGAGCATACGAAGTGATTTAGAAGCATTACAGTGGCTTTTAATTTTATAAGTAGAGGTATGATTTAAATTTTCAAGCAGTCTTTGGCTATTTACCACCTCTCTTATTTATCTAATAGTGAGGCAAAGAAATGAATGTTGCCAGAGGAAGTAATGCATTATTTCTAACTAGATCTGTTGTTATTATTACTTCCTTTGTAGTATGTCTCTTTTGAGTCAACAACCCTTCCTCTCACTGGTACTTACCTGCCTTAAGGGACAAGATGAACAAAGGGAAGGCCTCCTAACATCTCTCCAGAATCAAGTTAACCAGGTAAAGTATAGTATAATATTAAGACAGGCAAATATCTTTCTAACGGCATTCATTTATTTGCCTTTCAAATACTGAGATTAAATTAATAAGGGCCAGGTGTGGTGGCTCATGCCTGTAATCCCAGCACTTTGGGAGGCGGAGGCTGGTGGATCACCTGAGGCCAGGAGTTCGAGACCAGCCTGGCCAACATGGTGAAACCCCGTCTGTACTAAAAATACAAAAATTAGCCGGGCATGATGGTGTGCGCCTATGATCCCAGCTACTCGGGAGGCCAAGGCAGGAGAATTGCTTGAACCTGGGAGGCAGAGGCTGCAGTGAGCTGAGATCGCGCCATTGCACACCAGCCTGGGAAACAATAGTGAAACTCTGTCTCAAAAAAAAAAAAAAAAAACAACTAGTAAGGTTACAAAATGTTTTGAGTAGACGCTGAGAAACAATCCATGCCTTATTCTTCTACCTGGCATTGTAGACACCACAAGATTAACAACTTTATATTAATGAGATATATACAATAAATGTGTACTGCCTATAAAAGTAAAATTTTATATATTGCATATAACTTTGAACTATCTGCCCGTCTCCTAACTCTGCCTCATAGGAGAGGACCTGGAGCAATCTATGCTGCAGTAGGCATGGCAGTGAGTCCAGCTCCTCAAGCTTGGATGCCACATTATCAGGCACGCTTTCAGCTTGAAATCTGTAGGTTCAGAAACTCAGTTGTATTGATGCCAACCAAGTACACAAGAAATAAATCAGAAGGCATGTTGGTTTATTTAGAAATAATTTGGACATTGCCTTTTCACCAAACACAGTTCTCCTGGTCACTGTTTGAGGCTCTTGCATCTATGTACTATAAGGAAACTGAGCATTCACAACAGAAATTGGAGAGCATGGAATTAAGCAAAGTGGATAGATTGGTCTTATGAGGTGTTTTATCCTGATACACAGCCTAATTGACCCCTTCTTGTGGCACTGTGTTTCTATGACACCATGTCTTTCCCTCGAATGGTACTAGATGGACATGGACAAGGACACTTAATCTTATTTGATCCTCTTGTCATTTCTCACCTTTTGGGTAGGAGAGATCTAGATATAGCAATCATAGTGAACCTTTTTAAATGGAAGTCACATATTACCTCAGTATACCTAGTATAAAAAATTCGGGCTGATAAGGCCAGACATGATTTGACACTGGCTCTCTCTCCTACCTTGTCTCCTACCAGTCATGGCCCTCTTTCCTCCATGGTTGTTGCACTGGCCATGTTACTGTTCTTGAACTTGCTGAGCAAATTCTCATTTCAGTGCCTGTGCATCTTTTCTTCCCTTTAGGTGGAAAGATTCCCTTCCAGAGATTAGCATGGCCTGCTCCCTTCATTCAGTTCTCTGTTAAGATGTTACCTCCTTCGGGAGGCCTTTGATCACCTCTAAAAATAGGACCACAGCCATTCTGTATGCCATTGCCATGCCTCAAACCACTTGTTACACTTAGTTTTATTTGTCCCACTACTATTATTTGAGCTCCATGAGAGCTTGTTGTTTAGTTAACTACCTTGCCCCCTTAAGCCAGCCTTAGGGAGGGGTTCATTTCTTCTGATGAGATTTGGGAAGTGCTTTCCTCTCACCTTGCAGGGTACTTACAGGTCATCTGTTGGGATGGAGTACTTCTGCATGTGACTCATTTGAACTCTTTTAAGATGACTCTCATTAATGACCATATTTCAGAGCATGATAGGGTTTTTGTTAGTGGTTTTTTGTTTTTGTTTTGAATTGCACTTTTTTTTTGCTCATCTCATCTGATTTTAGGGTGTTGCCCACTTGTGGCTCCCTTTCCTAAGCAAATTTTTCCTTTTCCAGCATTAGTGTGAGTCAGTGAGGAAGTGAAGAAGCAGCCCACTTTATAAACTGATAAAGCCACTTGGCTGATGTCTGCAATGCCATATTTTTCAAAGTACCGTGCGTTCTCTTTATCAAGGAAGACACATACATAAGATAGCAGACCTTCTCTTCTATAAAACATCAAAATAATACATTTGCTAGGGTTCAGCAAGTCCCTAGAAATATAACAGGACTGAGGCAAAATGTAATTCTCTCTCTCCAGTGTTTTTCTTCGTAAGATCAATGAGGTAATGTATTTTAAAAGTTTTTATTAATGCTTAATTTGATGGCCCTCTCAAGCATTTTCCCAGACTTAATCATAGGCTAGCTATATAATTATATAAGATTTTCTTCCTCCACCTAGAACGGCAAATGCACAAATAAATAGCCAGATTTCTTTCTGCATGGAGGAAGAAGAAAGCTAAAATTTTATTTAGCTTTGTTTGTTAATTTGTTAAAGATAAGAAGTGGTTTTTTGCTATCAGTATAAAGCTCAATTTATCTTTAAATGAGAGAAAAATTAAACTTTAATGGGGAGTTTTTTTCCGGATCTTAGATTTTAAGTAACTGGAGAGAAGAACGATACCAAGATGACATAAAAGCGCGGCAGATGATGCACGAAGCATTGCAACTCCGCCTAAATTTGGTAAGTGACATTTCTAGTATTTTCCCTCCATTAAACATATTTACATGTGAAAATACCTCCAGCTTTCCACTTCTCCTAAGTGCAAAGTCTGCATTACAAGGTGAGGCCTTCCACTCTTTGCTCTCTGTAATTACTTCCCTGTTTCTAAAGCCTTCTGTTTCCCTTGCTGCTTTCCTTCCTGTCTGGTCAGACATCTAGACAGTGCTAGGTATTTTAAGCATAGATTTGCCTTCTCTACCTCTACCCCAGTGAATCTCTCCTTCTCTTCAGTTTGTGCTAAGAATAAATCTGAGAAGACTGTTATAAGTGTTAGCTTCTACTATACTTACTTAAAACCATTTAAAAAGTCTTTTAACTCAAAGTTTTGTCCAACTTTCCATCAAATTGATTATAAAGACAAATCCCACAGAGAAGTTTTATAGAAATTTAAAATGTCTCACATATTGTGCATTCCTTGAGTTTTCTTTTCCCATCAGGCAGGCCCAAGTGCAGGCCCCTCTGGAGGATGGCCTGCCTGATACTTTTGCAGTTGTTTCTAACCTTGTCCCAACACGTGAACTGGTAGGTGTGCGGGCCAAGCCTCCTGCCCACCACTGCTGTGATAGTGGATGTTTCCATATGGTATTATGATAGCAGGCTTAGATTCAATAGTAATTGTACAGCAAACACAAAGATGCAGATAATTGGATTACATGACTTTGACATTATTCAGGTTTAATTCAACTATAATTGCATCATAAAACTGGACATCATAAAAGATTTGGAACAAAAGAAAGCTAAGTTTATTGGTGCCCACATTCAGATACTCACGTCCCTTCTTCATTTTAGTTAATGTTTGAATGACTGAACTGTGCTGAAAGAACTAAAAATAGTGATAAACATGTAGGTAAAAGAGAAAAGATAAGGTAATCTATAAACTAGAGCATCCCTTGTTTTTTTAAATAAAAAACAATCAAAATTTGATAACATAAAGCAATGGGGTGTTCTTTCTGTTTTACAGAATGCAAATATCTTACTGTATTTTGTCTGCTAGGTAGGAGGAATGTTTGACACGGTGCAGAGGAGCACCCAGTGGACTACAGACTGGGCCCTGCTACTCCTTCAGATCATTACTTCAGGAACTGTTGACATGCACACTAACAAGTATGTTTTTATCACTTCACATTGATTTTGCTACATGTATGCATGGTATAAGCTTTGATATACTGATGGCGATTTCTGCCACATCTTATTTACTTGGATGCTATTAAAAATTCTGTGCCTTGAATAAAAATACTCAGTTAAATAAGTGTATTTCAGTTTCACTTTAAGATGAAAATAATTATTTTCTTTCTTAGTGAATTATTCACAACAGTTCTTGACATGCTGGGTGTTTTAATCAATGGAACGTTAGCCTCTGACCTATCAAATGCATCCCCTGGGGGATCTGAAGAGAACAAGCGTGCATACATGAATTTAGTAAAGAAACTGAAAGTAAGTTTGAGATCAGCCTGTATTATGAGCTCAAGTTGTTTATGGATTTATTATCTAGTGCATTTTAATTTATTACTCATTAAATGTTATTAATTGTATTCAACTTAATTTAATGTGATTATTTGCTATTTGTTTCACCTAACCTTATTAGTACCCAGAAGTTACATGCACATAACCTTGATTATTTTTTATTGAAAACAATTACATTATAAAACATGTTTAATTTTTTAAAGAACTTTAGAAATCCACTGTTAAATATATAACCAGAATACTAACATTAGATAGATTTAGGATAACTCTATGCTTGGACTGGCACGTGTAATTGAAAAAATAGCCATCTGCATTGAAATTTATAAATCGATTCATTTGACCGACCACTAACAGACTCCTTTAAAAAAAAATTGTAAGAAAACAGTGCAAAAAAGAAACCAAATAAATCTGATGCATTACCAATCAAATAAATCAATGGTTACCTTGTAATCTGACCCTGGACATGAGAAAGTGTTCTGTTCTGCAGCTCCTGTCTTCTGATTGTGATCACTACCCTGGATTTTTGTCATTTCAGCACTATGATGTTTGTTGTGTAACAACAGTGCCTTTGTATGTGTTCTATTTTCTACTTAAATAGAAGAAATGAAACACTCATTGCTCTATTTGGAACTGCCTTGTAGAACATGTTCAGGGTTAAAGAACATGCGCTAAGCTATAAAAAGGGAAATGTTTCATAGGGGAACTTCCTTCTGGTTAACTTTTGCCTTCATTGTAATTTCTGTCCCACTTCTCACTCTCTCTCTCTCTCTTTTTTCTTTAGAAAGAGCTAGGAGACAAGCGATCAGAAAGTATTGACAAAGTTCGACAGTTACTACCTTTGCCGAAACAGACATGTGATGTCATCACTTGTGAACCTATGGGTTCCTTGATTGACACAAAAGGAAACAAAATTGCTGGATTTGACTCTATAGATAAAAAACAGGCAAGAGTGAATGTTTTTTCTTATATATAAATTTATTTACAAAAGATGAAATACTTTTTTTTGTCTTACCATAGGATATATAAAATATATTAATTTTGCTGTTGATGTTTTTAAGGCATATGCTTGTCTTCTAAGTGTACTTAGTCATTGGCATTATCATATAAAGAGGTCATATCTTTGAAGATCTACGTTTTATATGTTTAAAGGACTTAAAATGTTTCCCTGAATTTAAGTAAATTTTTGGAAACCTACCAAGAGAAAACTAAGTAAAAGCTTAGTGTAAAAAAAAAATTGCATAAATAAGTTCTGATTATACTTCAGATTTAGAAGCAGAATATATTTATCAATGAAAAATTTCTTGTAAGCTGAGCATGGTGGCACATGTCTTTAGTTCCAGCTACTTGGGAGGCTGAGGCAGGAGGATTGCTTGAAGCCAGGAGTTTAAGGCTGCAATGTGCTAGGCTCATGCCTGTGAATAGCCACTACACCCTAGCCTGGGCAACAAAGTGAGACCCTGTCTCTGGGGGGGGAAAAAAAAAAAAAAACCTTCCTGTAGTAAGCTATTTCAAATAAAAATTATTTTAATTGTTAGGATATTCTCTATTCCTATCAAGCAGTATTTAATGGACATTTGTTTTATATAAGATATTAAAGATGGTTCTCTAAAATATGAGAAAATTGGTCAGTTACTCTTTTAATGAACAGTAAGCAACCACCGACATTCCACAATCACCAAGATGAAAGACAGAGTTCCTACCCTCAAGGGGGAAGTAGACAGACAATTACAGTGTAATGAGATTTGTGTGACATGGTACAGAGAGAGTATTAGGGGATAGAATAGAGGGTCCCCAGGAAAATTGACACGAGTCATTTTGAAGGATTAAGAGTTAGCTGGGAGGTAGGGAAAATTGTGGTACAAATAAAGGGAGAGTTTATATGAAGACATGAAAGAATCAGATTTACCAGGGAATTTAGAGTAGCCTGAGAATCTAATACCAGTTTGTGTAAAGAAAAAAAGCTAAAGTCATGGTCAAGTTTGAGTTTGCAGTGTCAGCGGACTTCCTGGTAGTAAGACATCTGGAATCCATTTGGATGTGTGGTTTTTACACCAAGGAAAAAGTTCTCATCTCAAGACAAATATTAGGAAACAGTCAATTTACAGGTGGCAATTGAACCTTGGTTTTATTTTGTTTTACTTTGTTTATTTATATTTTTTGAGATGGAATCTCGCTCTGTCGCCCAGGCTGGAGTGCAGTAGTGCGATCTTTGCTCACTGCAACCTCTGTCTCTCGGGTTCAAACGATTCTCCTGTCTCAGCCTCCTGAGTACCTGGGATTACAGACATGCACCACCAGGCCCAGCTAATTTTTTTTTGTTTTTGTCTTTGTTTTTTTTTTTTTTTCAAGACAGAGTCTTGCTCTGTCACCCAGGCTGGAGTGCAGTGGCGTGATCTCGGCTCACTGCAACCTCCACCTCCCGGGTTCAAGCAATTCTCTGCCTCAGCCTCCTGAGTAGCTGAGATTACAGGTGCCTGCCATCATGCCTGGCTAATTTTTGTATTTTTAGTGGAGACGGAGTTTCACCATCTTGGCCAGGCTGGTCTTGAACTCCTGACCTCGTGATCCACCTGCCTCAGCCTCCCAAATTGCTGAGATTACAGGTGTGAGCCACCACACCTAGCCTTTTTTTGTATTCTTAGTAGAGACGGGGTTTCACCATGTTGGCCAGGCTGGTCTCAAAGTCCTTACCTCAGGTGATCCCACCCGCCTCAGCCTCACCAAGTGTTGGGATTACAGACACGAGCCACTGTGCCTGGCCTGAACCTTAGTTTTAGATGAAGCTACTCATAAAAGAATGCATATAGATAACAACAGTAACACTTACATCTTAGGGAATGACTGAGTAGTTATTTGGGGGCCATTTAAGGAAAAATATTTTTAAATTGACATTTTAAGGCAAGTGCCAAGAGATGTCACCAATTAATGTTAAGAATAAAAAGAGGGTAACCGTTTTTTTTTTTCTAGAGTCAGTAAATATAAGCTTGAGTTGAAAGACTTTACTTATTCCTGCTGCTACAATTTAATTCTCTAATAATAATATTATATTCAGAGTATGGCTTATTAAGTACAGGGCCCACATATTGAACCAAGTTCATGCAGATTTGGATTGAAGTTAATACTAACCCAATTACAGGTTGACTATAACTTGACTCTTAAATTTGATATTATCTTCAAAATTATAAATAGATTACAGAGATTTAGAACTGGTTATAATTTAGTAAGATTAACTTTGCAGTGTTAGAATTTTTAGCAACAAATTTTTAGAATTTTTTTAGCAAAAAGAGGAAATACACATTAACAATAAAATATGCTAGACTGCCTCTGTTGCCTAAACAGAGCATCATGTGGTTAAAGAACTGTAGAACCGGGCTTACAAAGGTCTGAATTCTAGCCACTGCTCTCCGGTGATGTAGCTGTGTAACCCTCTCTGCTGTATTCTCGGGTTCTCTAGGGCTCATGCCAGCCAAAGTGTTCTCTGACTCCATGTCCCATACAAGCCTGGCCTATGAATAAGGAAAAGATCTGAGTGTGCTATCTTAGAGCGCTATTTTCCCACAGGGTCTCCAGGTCTCTACGAAGCAGAAGGTGTCCCCGTGGGACTTGTTTGAGGGTCAGAAGAACCCAGCTCCTTTGTCCTGGGCCTGGTTTGGGACAGTCCGAGTGGACCGAAGAGTGATCAAGTACGAGGAGCAGCATCACCTCCTGCTGTATCACACACACCCCATGCCCAAGCCCCGCAGTTACTACCTCCAGCCACTGCCCCTGCCTCCTGAGGAGGAAGAGGAAGAGCCCACATCTCCAGTTTCTCAGGAACCAGAAAGGAAGTCCGCTGAGCTGTCAGATCAGGGAAAAACCACAACAGATGAAGAAAAGAAAACAAAAGGAAGGAAGCGCAAGACGAAATCTAGCTCAAGAGTTGATGTAAGTGGGGAAAGGAAGGAGAACCTTGGCTCATTAGCATTTAGTATGAGATTTACTCGTGCCCAAATCATATCCCTCGAAACATTACCAAGAGCAGGATAAGTTTTGTTATGACAGTTCTCCTAACAGGTTTCTGCATTAACTGAATGGCACACAATGACTTGTCACAGACAAAAGATTAAAGCTTTTGATTTTCCGTCCTCCACTTTTAATAATTTTATTTTAATTGTAGGCTTCCATTGTAATATTTAATTAATATTTCAGTGCCTCCTAATTTCCTCGGGTTTGAAACTTGAAATTTTTAGAACTATACAATCCCATTCTCTCACATATTTTTAATATGTCTAAAATATTTATTGTATTTTAAGTGGTTGATATCTTCAGTAAATTAACATAAAAAGCTCTATTTGGTTTTTCTTTGATAAAACTTGGAGTTAGCATAGCCAATAGGATGTTCCTGAGATTTTATGTTTTACTATTCCATCTTACCCTCATATATTTTCCTTCTTTACCATGTTTTCAGACTTTATAAAAGATGAAAATAAGCCTAATTTAAAATAGTTTTACTTCTTGTTTCTCTATTAGTGTTCCCCACGTATAATAATCTTTTCATTACAACAGAAATCTATTTGATGGTGATTTAGAAATAATTTTATAAACCTTGAGAAGTAATGCATAAAATGTTTTTCTATTTAAATTAAATTAAAACCTGGAAAATATTTGATAGAGGATTTGAGACATTTTTAATGAAATTCCACAGCATTCTTGCTGCACAGTGGAAGAAATATTCACCATTTCATTCAGATATTCATGATTGGTTATTGTTTACCTATGTGAGAACTAAAATACATCTTTTCCTAGCTGATAGCTTGGTGATTAATACTATTTTAGAAATGACCACCACCACTTTAGGATGCCACTTGAGCATCAGTGCCCCCTTCTCATTCAGTCTTCCTACCAGTATTCCTTTGTCTTGAAGGGAAGTTTAAAATGGTCCAGACTGACACTCCCTCAAATTTGGGGTTTCCAGCCTGTCAGTCCACGTGGATGGGCTTTTGTTCTTTTCTGATGAAAAAGCCCTGAAACCAATCCTGCTCCCCAGGTCAGTCTGGTCATGTCCCCTCTTCCTCTATTCTTCCTGAAGCTCCCTCTTTTCAATGAGATATGCTCTTCAGTAAAATTGCAGGGAAATGAGATTTTGTTTCTCTTCCATCCTCTAGGGCTAGACTAGATGAGGGAAGGTAGGGAAATTGAGACCTTCAGGTGTGATCCTTACAGGCTTTGCAGCTACTATAAGGAAGAGGAAGCATGGGGGATGAGGGGAGTGTCTACTTCTTTAGAACGATGTCTGGAAAATTGCAAGTGAAATACCATCTTGGCCAAAGAGTGGTTCTGAAGCACTGTAGGGCTCTCTGGCGTAATTCTCCAGACCCAAGATATTGGAAAGGCCTTCTAAGATGAAATGATCATGAGTCTTAGCAACTGAAGGTGCTTTTTCAGTGATGAGTGTCGTTCAGTATTGGTATTCCTGACACACTTGTAGTCTTTTGAAATAGAATTCAGAAGAGATCCTTTTCCATCTCTGCCCACTGCAAGCCAAGCACTGTTTAAGTCAAGGAAAAGTTTACCTCAAATGAATATTTCCAGGGGATTTATTAGCACTCTTCCTTCCATCTTCTCCTTTATAAAAAACAGCTTTGTACATTGGGATAGGAGGTACCTCAGATAGCTTACTGAAGTTATTTGCATTAATTAGCTGTGTGATATGTGGAGTTACGTAACTTTTTAAAAAACTTTATGTTGAAGGAATATCCACAGAGCAACATATACCGAGTGCCTCCTAATTACTCGCCTATCTCCTCCCAAATGATGCACCATCCACAGTCCACCTTGTGGGGTTACAACCTCGTGGGCCAGCCCCAGCAGCCCGGCTTTTTCCTTCAGAACCAATCTCTTACTCCAGGTATGTGATGAGAAAGCACAGATCACTCAGAGATGAGAAACAGCTTGTGGTTCTCTTTGCTTTTAACCTGAAACCTCCACAAAACTTGGACATTTCAACCACTGAGTGCTCAGTTGACATTTCTGTAATTCCCTTCACACAGAAATGTTTTTTGTTTTCTAAAATAGGTTAAATTACGAGTTTATGTACTGATTTTGGAACTTTTATTTAGTGTTAAAAGGAAATTAGCTAGTGATGAAAATCTAAGCTGTAAGATATAAAAGTTGATAACGGTTTTATGTTATAAAATGTGTGTATTTTTATCAGATATAATTCTTATTGGCATTTTAAAAGATTACACAATATTGCACAGTGTCTTTTATTGTTCTGAATTATCATGACAGCTAAGAAAATTGGTTCAGCAAGATTTAGATAACAACAAGGAAAACTACCATAGTAAATGTTCCTGATTTTAGTATTGCTTTGGTTCAAGCCCAAGTAGATTTCTCGTCCCAAATGAAAATTTTCTAAATGAAAACATCTCTTAATGAAAAATGAATTCAATTTTCTTTCTATATGAAACATTGCATGTTTTAGCATATTTAAATTATTTGAAATCTGTCAGCATTGTTAGGATGTGCCATTTTAACAAATAATTTTTTAAATTTTTCTATTGTGATTTTTATTATAACTTGAGTTTGACATTTTGAGGTCTGTGGAAGAAAATGTTTCATTTATGGCTTATAGCAGGGGGAAATCCATATTTTGTCCTCTAAATTAATGGTTAAAGGAACTGGTCTGGTAGTTAAGCGTTTTAGATTCAAATCTGGTTCTACCACTCTCTTGCTGTATAATCTTGGCCAAATCTTAATTTCTCTGTGCCTCATTTTGGTCATCTGTAAAATGAATATGCTAATACCTATTCCCATAGGGTGGGTGATTCAGTTATTTATTCAAGAATGTATTGAGCTTCATGATACAGTGGACCCAGTTTTGGATGCTAGGATATTGCAGTGACTAAAGTGTGCAAAATACCTACTTTTTAAAAGATGAAATAAAGTTTATGTTACACACACATACATATGTAAGATTTAAAAGTAAATTGTAATAGTTATATAGCCTTTTGAAGGTAGCCTGACCCCACAGACATGTTCAGTAAGTGATCTTCACATATTCCTAGCTCAGGGCATTTGTGCTTGCTGACCCCTGTGCCTGCAGTGCTCTCCCTCAAATATCTACATCACTTCCTGCCTGTCTCCGTTGGGCTTGGTCACATTACTTTCTCACTGGGGCCTTTACTAACCTGTTTTAAATTGTAGACCCATACCCCTTCCCTGTACCCTCTGTTTCTCTCTTTTTTCTGTTTCTCTGTTGCAAGCACATCCAATCTTTTGGCTTCCTTGGGCCACATTGGAAGAAGAATTGTCTTGGGCCACACATAAAATACACAAACAATAGGCGATCAACTACAAAAAAAAAGAATCACAAAAAAAACTCGTAATGTTTTAAGAACGTTTACAAATTTTTGTTGGGCTGCATACAAAGCCATCTTGGGCCGCATGCAGCACACAAGCCATGAGTTGGACAAGCTTGCTCTACAGCATCAGACTTGCTTATATCTTACTTTCTTATTGATTTATTATCTTCCCAGAATGTAAGCCTCGTGGCAGATATTTTTCCTATTATGTTCACTGCAGTATCCCCAGAACTTAGAGGAACCTCTGGCTTTATAGTAGGCTTTTAAAAATAGATTGTTGAGTGAATGAATATAGACTACAAACTAGACTCAGAGTGAAAAAGAAGGATGCAATCATCATCCTTTTAAACTTCCTCTTTTTAATGCCACGGTCCATGTGAATTTTTAGCCATTTTAAACTTTGGAGATGTAGAAGTTTGTTTGTAGATGTAGAAGTTTGTTTGTAGATATTTGACACACAAGGACTGTCTGTGAATTGAAAGCTAACTACTTTGTAAAAGCACATAATCTCTCCCTATAGAATACTATAGAAAGCTTTTTATAAACTGAGGAACTTTAGGTGTGAGATGGCATTTAAAAAATAAATTTTGGGCTGGGCACGGTGGCTGACACCTGTAATCCCAGCACTTTGGGAGGCCAAAGTGGGCAGATCACCTAAGGTCAGGAGTTAAAGACCAGCCTGGCCAATATGGTGAAACCCCGTATCTACTAAAAATACAAAAAACAAAATTAGCCAGGCATGGTGGTGCCTGAAATCCCAGCTGCTTGGGAGGCCAAAGCAGGAGAATAACTTGAACCTAGGAGGCAAAGGTTGCTTGAACTGAGATTGCATCATTGCACTCCACCCTGGGTGACAGAGCGAGACTCCATCTCAAGAAAAAAAAAAAAAAAAAAAAAAGTAAAAATAAATAAATAAATAAATTTTGAAAAAAATTATTTTTGAGGATTTATATGAGCAAATTTATTTTCATTTAAACAAGCACAATCTAAAGTTACAAGACAGTATGTACAGCATGATTCCATTCATATAGGGTTTAAATGCAAAACAATCTCCCACCATCACTCACATACAAAAACATATGTATCTTTCCTAATCTTTCTCATATATACACACCAGTATTATAAAGTTGTAAGGAAATGCATAGGATAGTAAACTCCAGATTCAGAGTAGCATTTGGTAGGAGTAAGTGAGGAAAGTAATTAGGTGTACAAAGGGCTTCAGCCATATTTGTAATATTTTATTCCAGTAGTTTCTCAGAGGTACAAGATCATAGAGTTAGGAAAATTTTTAAAAATTAGATTATAGTTTAATCTTTAAAAAGAATTTCCCTTTTCTGTAAATGAGTCTCTTTTTACATATCAATATACATAATTCTTAACACGTAATATATGTTCTGATTGTTGCTTCAATAGAAGTTACCCAGCCATGTGTTACTTAGATTGATCTTCTGTTTTTTTCCAAATGCTCTTCAAATGCTGCTGAATGACTTTGTAAATAGAAGAAGATGGCTGAGGCAAATCTCACTCATTTTAGAGGTTTCTTGTGCCAAGGTTGAGGACATGCCTGGGAGAAAGGAACACAGAATCACAGGAACATCTCTGCTTTTTCCAAAGAGGATTTGGGGGCTTCCGTATTTAAAGGGGAAAGAGTAGGCAGTAGGGGAAAGAAGAAAGAAAAAGAAGGGGAAGTAGATAAAAGGAGTAAGCAGTTTCATTCTTTAGAGGCTTTGATCAGCATTCCCTGAATCTACATTTTACATATGAAAGAAGCAGGTTAAAGGTTTAGTCAATTACGGTGTTGAATCTGCATTTTTACATAAGATTAAGTAAACATAGAGTAGAGGAAGAAGTCAAGTATATATTTGTCTCTGATAAGTGGAGGGATGACTTCTAGTTCTGTCCTGCTCCCCCACAACCCCCCCTCCCACCGTAAAGATAAGCTGTTAATTTTAGGGTAAATCTTTTGGAACCCACAAGGAATTTCCTTGTGAGCAAATTATGAGGGAGACCTCCTAGGGAGGTATATAGCCTTCTATCTTTGTAGCTATCTATTTAGGAAACAAACCAGGGGATAGTTTTGCATGACTCAGTTCCCAACATTGACTTTTACCTTTGTCATAGTGAGTTTGGTGTCCCAAGATTTTTAGTTTCCTTTCACAACTTCATAAATTGTATTGCTGATTGTGGCACTGAGTCTTTAAAAGAATGTGGGTTTTTCCAAAAAAACAGCTTTAAAATGTTTGTTTTCATCATACACCTTGCTTTATAGAAAAGATAAAACAACTTTTGTGAGGTGCTT
This sequence comes from Homo sapiens, assembly GCF_000001405.40. NCBI lineage: Eukaryota > Metazoa > Chordata > Mammalia > Primates > Hominidae > Homo > Homo sapiens. Next base: position 151,393,891 of record NC_000003.12, read on the forward strand.
ATGTAGAGGTTTTTTTCATTTACATGTATCAAGGACTATTTTTGGTGAATGAAGAATTTACATTTATTGTGAAGCCAGCAAATGTCGACTTTTTTTTCCCTAACTTTTAAATGCGCGTGACAAATTATAATATACAAATATGTAAAGGATTTCCTGTGGTTTCTTAAGCATCGGTATAATAGTTGCTTGTTTATTTGATTTTTAGCCTTCAAAAAAGATGTTTTGTCATTACAATCATAGTACTTGAAGTTTGCAAGCATTTCAAGATTTTAAAGTATTTTCATGCCTCTGCTATAAAACAGGCATTTTCATTTTGCCATGGTGAAAAGACTTTAATGACATGAGCTTCAGATTTGATGAAAAGTACAAAAGGATTTATATGAATGGCTTAAGAACTTGGCAAAATACATCACAAAGGCAGTATGTTTTATACAAGTAATATGTTCCTGAGGGCCTTGCCTAATTTAAAACCCATGTAATTATGAAATTATGCCAACAACTGTATGTTTTACACATTTCAATTTATGAACTGAAGACCTCCATGAAATTAAAGTAGTATAATTCACTTCTACATCACTCCCCTCATCTTTTGTAAGTTATGCAACTCAACAGGTCTATAATATTTGTGGCAGGTGGGACAGTGCATTTTTTTCTACTTTGTTCATAAAGTGAGACTTAGAAGGTGAAATTTCTGTGTTTTGATACATAAAAAGACCTGTTGCATTAACGTAGTTAGAAAGTGTTTCCTTTTGGTTGCTTTTGTAGGTGGCTCCAGATTGGACCCTGCAGGCTCCTTTGTCCCAACCAACACCAAACAAGCTCTGTCAAACATGCTACAGCGGCGCTCAGGCGCCATGATGCAGCCGCCTTCTCTTCATGCAATCACATCGCAGCAGCAGTTGATACAGATGAAGCTTCTGCAGCAGCAGCAGCAACAGCGACTTCTCAGGCAAGCCCAGACTCGGCCTTTCCAACAGGTTTGTCCAGACCCCAGCAATGGAGTCCTTTGCATTTTATTACCTCTGCTAGCTTGGGATAAGTTTGGGATATGTAGCATATTCTTTCTGTATGCATATCCCTGTATACTTGTGTGAGTGCAGGTCTATCTCTCTGTTACAGGCTTGTAAATAGTTTTCCTCCATTGTACTTTACTGTTATCATTGCTCAAATAAGAATTTGATATGTCTTAGGTTTATTAAAAGTATACCTTAAAACAAAAAGAAGGGCTGATGACTTTTGGTCAATTAGAAGAAGCAGGCCTTTTATCCTTGAGGTGACCTTCTCTGAGCCCTCATTTTTCTATTATAATTACCACCATATTCTGTACTACTTTCAGCTCTTGTGTTCATGTATTATTTTTAGACTTATTACTGTGAGGTTATGTCTCTGAAGCCCTGATGTTTCCTAGGTTTTCTCTGATAGTGCCCTGCCTTTAATTTTTGTTTCTAGTGTATATTTAATAAGGTCTAGAGCAGATAAATTATAAACAACAGTCAGGATCTGGATACATTCAATTTAATTCTTGATTTATATTTCTATTTTTGTGGCCTATAACTCAATGTTCTTCATAGAAGACAGTGATCCATGTTTAAGAAAACATCAGCACTTAGTATAAACTCATGAAACACCTATGCGTCTGTACATTAAAATAAAGTGTGAGGTGAGAATGGGGATTTCTTTTTCTAGTTTCTGTATACTTGTATTTTCTAGCTTTTCTAAAATGGTCATGCAGTATTTTGATAATAATAGCTAACACTAATAGAGCACTTACTATATGCCAAAACATTTCTAAGCACTTTAGATGTATTAGCTATCTTAAGATACCAGGGTAACTCTATGAGTTAGGTACCTTCGTGATCCTCACATGGAAATAGCGAATCTACAGGTACATCCTGCTCTAAGAATAACCATAATACTTTCAACATAGCAAGAAATTCAAATGCTTTAAAAAATATTCTTTGTCTTTTGGATAACTTTCTAGGCATATCTCCGTTGTGTAATTTACGGCACTTCCTGCATTTGGGCCACTTAGTGATGATTTTGGTGGATGGTGATGGCAAGGTTAGTCATTATAAGGACAAGAGAGAAGAAACCAATTGAACTGTATGATGACGCAAGCAACAGTCATCACCATGTGCTTGTCTCTTCCTGACCTCTAACAATTAATTGCTTTAGCTCCCTGAGTGTCAGAAAGGATGAGTCTAAGCTGCTGCTTGCACATAAATGATGAACATTTGATTAAAATATGAAAAAAAATTATTTAATTTGCCTAAATAAGCAACATGTTTAGAGCCATTTAAAACCTCATTGGGATTTTTAGCTCTTTTTTGGGAATCAGCAAAAATAGAGTTATACTATTGCTTCAAATCATTTTTGAGTTAAAAAATTTCACTAGAAGTTGAAAAACCATCCCACTAGAATGAATTTAGCCCTCTTTCAAAGTAATAACGCCTAGGGCCAGGCGTGGTGGCTTACGCCTCTAATCCCATCACTTTTGGAGGCTGAGGCAGGTGGATCACTTGAGGTCAGGAGTTCAAGATCAACCTGGCCAACATGGTGAAACTCTGTCTCTACTAAATACAAAAATTAGGCATGGTAGAGCATGCCACACTGTAGTCCCAGCTACTTGGGAGGCTGAGGCAGGAGAATTACTTGAACCTGGGAGGTGGAGTTTGCAGTGAGCCGAGATCACGCCACTGCACTCCAGCCCGGTCAACAGAGTGAGACTCCGTCTCAAGAAAAATAAATAAAATAATAAATAAAGTAAAGTAAAACTTGCCACTTTAATTCATTTTTTCATATCTACCTTTTTATCACAAGGCATAGTTTTTCTTATTTATAGCCCACTTTCAAACTGTTACTGCCAAATTAACTTTGAAGTACTTGTTAAGTTGTTCCTAGCACTAGGGAAAAGCCCACTGGGCCATTATGGGTAAATATACCTGTTTTTAAAAGGTTCACTTCCTGATATAAGCCATGACAAACGATTTCAGCTAGAAATTTTTTTAAAGCATTTAATTGAATAATCTACATGTAATCAAAGATATCCTTGCATATTTGGGGAAGTGTACCTTGATGACACCATTACTTTTCTTTCTCCTACCAAAAATACCTGGCTGTATCCTTTTGTACCACCGACAGTTGTACTGCTTGTACCAATGGGAATTAATTGTGATTTCATTCTTTTTCTGATTCTTTTGTGCTAACTCCATTACAGTGTTGGATTTTTTTTCTTTATTCTTCTCTTTTTAAACTTTTAAGACCAGAAATGCCATCTTCAAATAGTAAAAGCTCCACTTCATAACAGTGATTGTACAGTATTCACCTCTTCATCTCAGACTCACTTCATATTGTTTTTAACAGTTGAAACTTAACTATGGAGTCTCTGAAGGGCTTTCACAAGTAGGATATGTCTTTTTCTCTCATCATTCTTCAAGTGTTAGATAATTGAGGAAAATAGTATTCTTAAAGGAAGAGAAATGCATACATTATGCAGTCACGATGTACAGTGATCCTGTAGTACATCGAGCTAATGAGATTTGCATGTAGCATCCGTCATGGTACCTGTACTTAGGAGGTTCTGAGGAAATGTTAGTGCCTTTCCTCTCAATAGATCATGTATAAGCTATTAATATAACTGGAATTTAGCAAATATGGTCTTATGGCAGAAAAAAATTCTTCTGATAATCCTTCAAAATCTAAAGACAGAATTATATGGAATGTAAGCAATATTGATCAATTGTTTTAATATCTGTTGCTGGGCACAGTTTGCTTTTCTAGTGAGTACTGACCATTTCGTGCTATGGCAGGAAGATTTTCTCAGGTTACTCACCCACATATGATATGAATTTCTCTAGCTACATAAGGACTAATAATATAGTTACTTTTTCATTTTTTGGCTTCTTGTAGAGAAAAGTAAGTAGATATGTTTTTATTCCAGAGGTCCATTTTCTTAAATATAACAAACATATTAGAGAATTTCCATTTATATTAACCTTCAAAACTGATTTTGGAATTCAGCAGATGCTTTTATAGGCTGATGAGTTTCTCCAGGTTTTGGATGTGACTGCTTCCTACGACAGTTTTCTAGTAACCCACTGGTTACCCCCTTTTCTTATGAGGTCAGACACTGGGCTGTATACTATTTTGTATTATCCTTTCATCTGCTAAGCACACGGTACAATCTGTGAGCTGTGTATCAAATGAATAATGTAAGATTTGAACAGTTGCTTCCAGGAGCCTAAAGTTTCTTAGTAGCCTTAATCCTCAGCATTCTGATTTTTATCCACACACCCTTCTCATAGCTTTCCCTTCCAGTGCTTCCAGAAACTGACCCTTCTAGTGACGTCTGCTACAGTTGTTTTGGAAACCTAAATGGGAAAGGTAAACATAAATTCCTGAACTCAGGATATATCTAAGACCTCACAGAGTCCCCTTATCCTCTTTCTGTCTAGTGGGGGAAGTTGGCATATGCAGAAACCATCCAGCCTTCAGTGATACACAATGAAAACTAGAATTCCATAAAATAACCCTCTAGTTCCACTGCAGAGATTGTACATGAGCTTCAGTCAGTCATGGAATATTCTGTCATGGATTGTCTTATATTTCCTCAGGAATGTGTTAAGACAGTGTTTAACACAGTACCTAGACAACAAGTGCTGAATAGCATGGATATTGTTAAGTATTTTAATGAGATTATTTGATGTAATAATTGTTATAATTGAGTATATTTCCCTATAGCTTTAGTGCATATGGACATGCAGAAAGATGTTTTGGCAAGAAACCTGTTTTCATTCTTCTTGGTTGCAGTCTTCATCTAGGAAAATACAGTAGTCCTATCACCCTGCTTATCCACAGGGAATATGTTGTAAGACCTTCAGTGATTGCTGAAACCACAGAGGACCAAACCTGATATGGACCATGTTTTTTCCTATGTATAGGTACCTATATGATAAAGTTTAATTTATAAATTAGGCTCAGTAAGATACTAACAATATCTTACTAATAGTAAAATAGAACAATTATACTGTAACAAACATGTAAATGTCGTCTTTTTCAAAATCCCTTACTGTGCTGTACTCACCTGTTTTCGGACTGCAGTTTTCTGCAGGTAACTGAAACTGTGGGAAGTGAAACCGCAGAGAAGTGGCGACTACTGAAAAAAAAGAACTATTTCTATTTCTTACTCAATATCCTGTATTTAGATGGGACTCAGTACAATGGTTACACTATCTTTCTGTGCCTCAGAGTCCCATCTATAAACTGGAGCTAATACTATACTGTACTTACTTTATAGGGTAGTTGTGAAGTTAATGATTAAGTATGTGTAAAACAGCCCTTAGAACAGTGGATGGCTCATAGTAAGTGCTCAAAAAGTGTTAGCTGTCATACTTATCGTTGCTGCTTATTAGTATTTTTATGGTTTGTTATTTCAAAAGAAATTCATTTCCCATAACAATATTATTTTCTTAAATATGTTAAGCTTTAAAATAAAAGCATATCAAATGGTTTACTTGTATAATTACATAAATTGCCATTAATAGGATTGGTTTAATCCTCATTTGCTTAGTGGTTACCAATAGAACAAACTCATAAAAAGGAATGTTGTTTTGTCATCCTAATTGTCATTTTAGCTTCTTAGAGTGGTGTGTTTTTGTTCTTTAAATACTGTGATACTTGAGAGACTTATTCCAATCTCAGTGTTAAAAGTATCACTGTATTTTATTTTTCACATATTCTGTTAGAACTATCACAGAATATAGAATATTGGTTATAATGCAAAATGCTGCTTTAATTATTTTCCACTCATTCCTTTCTTATACTCGGTATTTTTCTTTTGACAACAGGAACTTTTTTTCAGCTCACCTCACCATCCCCCTCACTCTATCGATCATCTAGGGAAGGAGCTTGCAGAAGGAATCTTAAGGAATTCCTTCTTTCTTTTTTTTTTTCTTGAGACAGGGTCTCCCTCTGTCGCCCAGGCTGGAGTGCAGCGGCCTAATCTCCGCTCATTGCAACCTCTGCTTCCCGGGTTCAAGCGATTCTCCTGCCTCAGCCTCCCGAGTAGCTGGGACTACAGGCATGCACCACCCCGCCTGGCTGATTTTTGTATTTGTAATAGAGACAGTGTTTTACCATGTTGGCCAGGCTGGTCTCGAACTCCTGACCTCAGGTGATCCACCTGTCTCGACCTCCTATAGTGCTGGGATTATAGGCGCGAGCCACCGCGCCAGGCCTTAAGGAACTTTCATACCCCTCACAATATCGACATCTAGGGAAGGGGCTTGCAGAAGCAATCTAAAGTTTTGACCCAGGAAAAGAACTTTATGCCTTGATTTATGGTGTTGCTTTATCCTGATTTTTTCTTTCAGTATATTAAATTATTTTATTTTTCTTTGTAATAATTCCAGACAGCATATTTTCAAGAGTCCAAAGAAGGATAGACAGAAGATATGTTTAGCTTGAATTGATTCAGACAAATTGGTTAAAAAATGCACTTGGTTATAGGCTCCATACAGATCATTAATCATAAGGATTTTTCAGGACAGAAAAGAGGAAGCTTCCTTTCAGAGGACAGGAATGTGTGCCCAGTTATAGCTAGTATATGTAGCGACCAGTACATGTAGCGACTTGTAAAGAGGTTAGGTTATCCACCGTGGAGCAGGTCCCATCATTTGTGTATCCAAATCAAGGAAATAGGTAATTTAAAGAATGAAGGATGACTGAGTCAGAACCTCCCAGAGCTGTTAGCTCCTTGGCAAAAATGAATCTGTGACTTCATGGGAACATGCTCTTGGATTACCATTTAAATTGAGTAATTACCCTTTGTTCGGTAATTGATCTCCCACCCTAAGGAAATGGTATCACCTTGGAATATGTTTATTTTCTCTATCCCTCCCACTCACTCTTTAATGGTATACATATTTCAAGCATAGAGACGAGAATAGAAAAAATGTAATAATCACTAATGCACTTACTAGCTTTATTAAATAATATTCTTCCATAATGCTGTAGATTATTTTTTTAAAAAAAATTACAGATGTGGATGAGTCTCCTTGTATCATCATTTCCCTCCCTTCTTCTAAAGTGGGAATCCCCATCATGATTTAGCATTTTACTTTCTTATGCATGTTTTTATACTTCTAATCTATACGTTTGCATCCATCAACATAAACATTGTACAGTATTACTTTGTAGATTTGAAATGTTACGTAAATGTTCTCACACGTGTTGTATTATTTTGCGGCTTTTTTGTAGCTAATTTAATTATTTCTACTTTATGTAGTTATATTCATTCATTTATCCTGTTGGATGTTATTTCATTACGAATATTAATATGTTATTTATTCATTCTGTTGATGGTCATTTAATTTATTCAGTTTTTTTGTTTGTTTTTTTTTTTAACTGTTAACTGTTACAGTAAACATTCTTTTACATTTCTTCTATACATGTGGAAAGTTTTAGGGTGTGTACCTGAACATGGAAATGCTGATTGATTTTGAAAGTGGTGGTGATTCCTCTTAGAATAGTATATGAGCATTTTTCTTTCTCCATATTCCCACCAATGCTTGGTGTTATCAGACCTTATTTTTCTCAATCAGAGCAGGTGAAATGGTATTATATTATGACATCTTAATTTGCATTGTCCTGATTACCTGTGAGTTTAACCATTTTTTATAACTTTGCTAGCTATTCAGGTTTTCCCTTTTGTAAATTTCCTGATCATATAAATAGAGCATATTTCAAATGATAGTCTCATTTGTTAAAGGTAGGCAAAATAGTCTTGTTGAAACATATTTTGAGTATTGATAACTAATGTGTTTATTCAGAGGGTGTAATTAATATACATTTCAATGACAAAAATGAACTTAGGAGAAGAAAACCACTGTCCTGGTAAATATGTCCTAAACTCTATCATTTTGGTTTTTGGGTAGAAAGCATGTTCAGGGAGGTGGGTGCTTCACTTATTACTTATATCTGGTATTTCTCTGTTTATTTGAATGATGAGGAAGGTGCTGATTTTATTTGCTAAAATTATGATTAGGCAGATATAATGAGCTCGGAGATAGTGTTTGCAGCTTGATTTTTATGAGAGAGGGCAGAAGATTGGATGGAGGGGTGAGGAAATGAATCACCAATACAAGCATGGCAGCTGGATCTAAAGACCAATGTACAAATGCAATCAATTATGTACCTATATGTAAAATGGTGAGAATAGGTATTATTTGCCTGGGAAATTCCTCCTATACTTTCCAATCCTCAGTATAGTAAAATGCTTTTTCTATTATTGGTGAAATCCTTTGCTTCATCTCTATCTCCAGAACTCAGTGAGCTCAGGGAAATTTTTAACATCTCAGTAATATATCCTTTGGCATTTGAATATATAAATGATTTAGAAAGGGACTCATTTAGTTGAGAAATAGCAATTTTCCCCAGGTATTCAGTTGACTTTTCCTAAATCAGATTACCTTTTAGTGTGCAAACAGTGGTCGCACTATAAATATTTGCTGTCTACTGTGATTGGTTGAATGTGTGGTTAATCTGATGATCTCTTCTTACTTGGATTTACTGGGGATGGGGCTAATTACATCCTTCAAGAACATATGGCCTGCTGACTTGTTTACTTAATGTCTTGTCTGCTTAATGTGACCCACATGTCCTGAGCTCCCCCACTGGCCCTAGGGCGGGAAGGACCCTAGCCCCTTGTTGGTCACATGGGGGTTCCAAAGCCCCTTAGTTGCAGCACGTTTTGGTGTCTGATATCTCCTCTACTTCCTTTATGTCACCATTTAACCTCCATGTTGTGCTATTCTAGTATATGAATATCACCATATTGTTTATCAGTGTTGCAGTCTGTAGTGAGGATGTTTGACATATGAATTAATAAAACCCTTATAGGGCCTATGTTTTTAAGTCTTGACTTCCTGCAACATTGTTTTAAATGAAATAGTTCATATGTATTTTGGCTACCCACGTCATTAGGCTAAAAAATCTTATCTGTATTGTCTGCCATTTTCTTGCTGTCCCCTTTCTGTAGGACTTCTGTAACTCTGCTGTCTCCCTTCTGGAAGACTTTGACAACATAATGGTAACACCCCTGCTGTCATTCCTTCCTTTTTCTTTCTTTTCTTTTTTCTTTTTTTTTTTAATAAATTTTTATAGCATTGCCCTTTGAACGTCAAAATGAGAAGCAGGTTTTTCTGTAGCTGGTAATAATTATAGTCTTCATTTCACTGTTAACTCGGTTTATGTTTGAGACTGTAACACAGAATCATGAATGCATTGACCATGTTTAATTTAATGGAAGTTTTTTTCTGAAAATGCACCCCTTTGATCGCCTCATGATTTCCATCATATACATCTATGGTATAGAAACCAATAGACATTCATGGCCTGGGCTTGGGAACATAGACCAGTTCGTGCACCTTCATCTCAGTCCCAGTTTTGAACCTGTCTATTCCTGAGCTCTTGCTTCTCTCTGTGGTAATTTATATCATTAGTAGAGGAATGCATGGCATGCTGATTCATAGGCCAATGCAAGATAATGAAAACTGTGGTTATGAAACTTACCCTCTCATCACATCCCACTCACTGGCTATTCCCAAAATCTCAACGGAACACATCATCTCTATTTTCTTTCCAGTATGGAGAAGATTTTTTTTTGAGCATAGGTCTTGTGCATGCATGTCATAAGACTTCATCTCTACTGCTTTGCCTGGGCTAGCTAAGAATGCATGTTTTGCATTAAATTACTTATAGGTTTCTGTATCAGGTAGCCAACCCACAACATAAACCCAAGAAGCATTAGAATAAAAAAGAGCACACATCTCAGATGTGACTGTAAGTTAACTTGTTTCACTGCCATTTTAATGGGTAACATTATCTATACATTGATAAAGATATCCTTAACTGCATATTCAAACTTTGAAAATATTTAGGTTATTTAATACTTGTTGTATAAGCATTTTCTCCAATAGTTATTTCAGCAAAGGAAAGCTTGGAAACTTTTCTGAAAAGACTCAGTTTTTCTTGACAGTTTATGGTATTCAGGGGGCAGGTGAGGATTTTATTGAAAAACTTGAGTTAAACTATGAAGTTCAAAAATGTTTTGGAGACAGCTTATGTTTGCTATAGGGCATTGTTTATTATTCAGGTGATAATGTAATTCAGATAGAAAACAATTTGCATCAATCACTGGCTTTTTAAAAAATGTTTTTATTGACAGCTATTTTATGTATAAGTATTTAAAGTCAAAAGAAGGTTCCGTGATTTCTATATTAATTCAAAGTAATGAAAATGTGTATTTTTGCTATCCATTTTACCACTCTTATTTTTCTATAATATTCTGCTTTCTTAGGAAGTTAATGAATCTATACTCAATCAGTTCTTATAATATATGGACATGCTAAAATCATAAAGGTTCATTACTGTATGGGATGTGTTTGTTTTAGAATGAATCAGACTATTCTAGCAGTTAGTTACTGTTCATTGATTCCCAACCAAGTCGTATTTGAGGTGAAAACTTTTAAAAGTATCAAGCATAACTAGCCAACAAGACCTCTTATAATTTAGAATTTCCTCTCTCTGTTGTCTGCAGTTGAAATAAACCAGTATGATGTAATGACCACAACTTCTGGTTCATACCATGTGGTGTTTTAGCCTAAAGCACTCAGTAACTTCCAAACTAGGAGTTATAAATAAAACCCTTTCTGCTAGGTGACTTGTAAAACATTACCCACTGGTTTTTGTTATGTGCCTTTTATTACTTTTTTCCAAATCAGTATTTCCAGAAACCAAGTCACAAAATCTGGCTGTGGTTTTTATAGATATAACTTGTCTCTCTACTTGTAACCCTTAAACACTACTGAAAAATTACTAAATAAGGATTTGAATCATTACTAGTAAATTGAGTGGATAGGAAACTCCTGATTCTAAAATGCTCTGATTATAATCCTTACTGATTGCTAATTGGAGGTATAACCAGTCCTACATGAAAAGGAGATCTTCACATTTTCTCATTTGATTGAGGGTGTAGTTGCTAATACAGATCAGATTAAGACACAGAAGAATGAAAATTATGTTCGAGGATCATTAAAAATTTAAAACTTATCGGATGCATTCATTTCAAATTATGCCAAAAGCCTTTGAGTCAACATCTCTTTGAGCTCACATACTTCTGTCTAATTAAAAAATACAGCAGTAAGAGAGAGAACTCTTCTTATAAAGGTTAGGAAGATAGGTCAGTATTGAACAGCACAGCTTCTTTAGAAGTTTTTTAAAAATGGAAATTTTAGAAAGTACATATTTATTTAATGTTATATTTTGTTTATAGAGGTAAGCCCAAAGCAGAGTGCATGAAAATGAAGTAAAGAGACCATGTGTAGGAATTTACCTCAGGTAGCAATGTAGAGATGGGCTTATACAATTATTAGACTGTCCCAGTTCTCTGTAGATCATTCCCTTTGCACATACAAGTCAGGTATCTGAGCCATGGAAGCTTGAGCAGGGAACAAATATCTTATTCTCTCTTACTGATATGCTTAAAATCACATAGCACCTGCCTAGACACAAATATGCCACCAAAAACCATCTTCCTGCAGGCTGGATGCAGTGGCTCATACCTATAATCCCAACACTTTAGGAGGCCAAGGTTGGAGGATCTCTTGAGTCCAGGAATTTGAGGCCGCAGTGAAGTATGATCTTGCCACTGCACTACAGCCTTGGCAACAAAGTGAGATGCTGTCTCACTTTGTGTTTCACATAAACAAAAACAAACAAATCATGTTCCCATATAGTTCTCTCCATGCATTAAAAAATATGAAGTTAAAGTGGCCTCAGTTGTTTTGGTTGAGCAGAATAAATAGGGAGAAATTAAGTTACTCTTCAGATACTAATGCTGGCAGGAAGAAGAAATCATTAGAATGATAGATGCTAAACATTAAATTAAATTTGAGTTTTCAAAAGATGGAGCTGACAACTGTGAAGCAATTAGAAAGCACTTGGTAAAGTAATTGATGCTCAAACATAAATCCTAATTTGCCTCTGGATTTCTTGGTTAACAGATAAACTAAATTAAATCTTAGTTATTCTGAACAGATATTTACTGAGCACTTACTATATGTGCTAGGCACTAATTAAAAATAAAGCTTAAAAATTTTTCAGAAATTAACAGATAACTAAGGTGACCAGATGTCCTGATTTGCCAGGCATGGTCTCACTTTGCCCTCTTGCCCTGTCTTGTCCTAGTTTGGATGACATGTTAGATAGTCTGTTCTTGGTTTAATGTGGCCAAACCCATGCCTACCAACATTTAAAAGTTTTTTTACTAATTCTCAGTCTCTAGTTTCCTTTATTATTCCCACATTGTGGTTCTTATTTAACATTTGTAAAATATTTCAAGTTATTAAAGAACTTATTCATTCTGTTCTCAACTAATTGAACTGTTTCTACAAATTGAAATAATGTGTTCCTGACATTATTCTTGGAAAAACAAAGAAAAGTAGGAATCCATTTCATTCTGATAGGAGAGATTAGGGTGTTTTCTTTTTAGGAGCACATGATGATAACAGCTATGCCTGGCAAAATTGGGAAGTGCTAGTCAAATAGGGATGTTTGTGATTTTCTCAGGGAGAATATTGCATATCTGAATTATTTTCCATACTTAAGTAGTATGTTGGGACAAACTGGTGGTCAGGAGGAAACATAATATGCTCACATATAAATAGTTCACCTTTAGACATAAAGGTGGAAAATGTTAGGGTGTGTACCTGAACATGGTATAAAACTATATACAAAAACTATATTTCCATTTGTATTTCTTTTTCCTTTTAAAAGTATGGCACAATTTTCTGAATGTTTTGTGATTTTTAAAAATGTAGAATAATAGTTTTCAGTTTCCATTTCTTCTTCTTCTTTTTTTTTTTTTTTTGAGATAGGGTCTCATTCTGGTGCCCAGGCTGGAGTGCAGTGGCACGATCTTGGCTCACTGCAACCTCTGCCTCCCAGGCCAAGGAATCCTCTCACCTCAACCTTCCAAGTAGCTGAGACTACAGGCACGTGTCAGCACATCCAGCTAATTTTTTGTATTTTTTGTAGAGATCAGATTTCACCATGTTGCCCAGGCTGGTCTCGAACTGCTGGGCTCAGGTGATTCACCCGCCTCGGCCTCCCAAAATGCTGAGATTAGAGGCGTGAGCCACCGCACCTGCCCAGTTCCTATTTCTTAAATTCCCATGATCTCAACTAATATATGTAAATAAGAATATTGCCCAATAGCTCAGATATATACCTTATTAGTATTCTAGCTCCCCCCACCATGTAAGTCATAATGTGTTTCATAAAGTTCTTCAATAAAAGCAAAAGAAGAGCGAAGAGTTAGAAAACATCTGCTTTATGCATCTGAATGCAGCTGTCACATGCAGATCGCATTCTGCTTCCCACAAAGCCAAAAGAGGGCACGAGTGTTATAAACTACCTATAGATCCCTAGATTCTAACTCATATATAAATAGTTGATTTTTCTGTTTTGTAAAAATGGTAATATACATATATTTGTCTCTACAAAGAAGCACAACAGTATGTCTCAGGGACCTTGTATGATGCTAGTGTCCAGGAGTGGTCTTTAAGGATCTGGTTGATTTAATTATTCCTTGGCATAGTGTTTGGAGGATCAAGAGCCATTTGGATTCTTTGGGAAGAACAGTTTTAGGCTCCTGATGGTCATACTGTCATGGTATGTGTTCTCACAGAGGAAGTTTGGGCTATATTTCTCTAACCCAAGCAAATGGAGATACAATTGTTTTTTTAACAGATTAATGAGTTAGAGACTAAGAGTATCTTCATGATAGCCTACTCTGAAAGTAAGATTCTTGTATGTATAAATACCCTCAGAGGTACACTCAAAAATTTATGTTTCATTCATGTGTAGATAGATAGTCACCTAGAGAGATGCTGAAGTTTCGTAAATGGCCACGTGATTTTTTTTGTGGGGATCAGAGAAAGGGCTTAACTGTCTTAGGTATGCATTTGGTTTTGGTATCTCATTAATAAGGCTTAATAGAGATTGTCCTTTTGGTTTTTCATTAGGATGATTTTAAGAGGCTATATGTCCTTAAATAATAAGCACCAAATAAGTATTTTCATCCTTAATGTCACACATGGAGGCATCTCATGATAATGGAAAGAGCCCTAGGCTTTCAAGTCAGACTTCCTGGAGTTTAGATCATGGCACTGCCAGGTCTTGCTGGGCAAGTTTGCTAAGTTGCTTAAGCTCTTTGAGCCTGGCTTTTCCTGTCTGAAGAAGATGAGAATGATGCTCCTTTCCTATAGGGTTCTTGTGAGAAAATGAGAGTAAGAACCAGAAGCCCAGCCTCTGAAATATGATCGATTCTTAATAATCGTTGATATCCTTCCTCTTAAGCTACATATTTATCCCTTTCTCCCTGCTAGAAATACCTACACTACTTTTCAAACACATTAAAATAGCTTTATGTAACTATAATTTAGCACTTTTTAAAATGAGAATCTCTGTTAAAGACAGTAGTAAAATAATCCTACAATAAATCTCATTCTTTACAATCAGTAAGTCCTGAAAAAAAAACAGAGTGGTAGGAAACTAGGATTATTTTTATGATTATTACTGCAAGCTTCCATGAAGTAACTTCTGCCACCAAAACATAAAACACACATACCATTGCTCTTGTGAATATATTTGTTTTCTTATGGCCAAAACATGTATTAGATTAAGATTGGTGAACAGATGTTAATTGGTTTTATTTTGCATTGTAGTTGGTTGGAATTATGTTTGCCATTAACTTACAAAATTTATCGACTATATTCTCATTGATTTTTAGAGTCATAGAAAGTACTAAATGTATTCCTTGAATATCTGGCTAAATAGGCAATTAGTAGGTCACTGTGAAGAAGCTTCATTAAAAAGTCATAAAAATTTTATATGCCACCGTGTGTCTGTACCACACGTTCTCTTCCCTTTATAGGCACTGGGTAGTGCAGCCCTGTGGTTCCAGATTTCACACTTAGTGGGACATTTATACCCTGGCATGTATTGGAAGCCAGCTGACAGCCTCTCTGCTGAGCAGACCATTGATAACTTAGGCTTGTATTTATGGCTTTGTTATCATTGGGAAAATCTGTAGTCTTCTTTGGAAGGAATAAGTTCAACAGTCTAAACACATAGGATATTGATGAGAAATAATATTTAATACATTTTGAAAATCTTTGAGTTCTTTATCCATGTAATGAGATTAGATGTGGGTTATTTGGATTATTAACCAGAAGCTCAAATCAAGCCCTTGCTGTTATGATCAAGAGTTTGCTTTGGCTTTGTTTTCCAGGGCCAGCCGGGGGACCAGGCTGCTCTCTTTGCTGCGCAAGCACGGCCCTCCCCTCAGCTCCCTCAGTATCCAGGGCTGCAGCAAGCACAGGTACCCACATTTGCTTTGTAGGTACTGACAGGATTTTCAAAGCTCTTTATTGGAGGTGGGAAATTAAGTAAATAGAATATATCAACTCCCTATAGGGTCTAGAACTTGATTACTTCTTCTACTTATAGATTATAATTGATATTTCAAAAAAGCATGATCAGGATTGTTGAAGTCTTAGGATTGATTAAGGAGCATAAAACATTCTAGAAAACCCTTTAAAAGTGTAAATTCAAACCTTTTATTAGTGATGATTATAGATATTGAAATACTTAACAATCCCAGAGTTACTTCTTTTATGTTATAATGTATAATGATGTAATTCAGTTTTGAAGTCATCATATTTGGGCTGGACTCAGTGGCTCATGCCTGTAATCTGCACTTTGAGAGGCCAAGGTGAGAGGATTGCTTCACCCCCAGAATTTGAGACCAGCCTGGGTAACATAGTGAGACTCAGTCTCTACAAAAGAAAATAAAAATTAAAAAATTAGCCAGGCGTGGTGGCATGCACCTATAGTCCCAGTTGCACGGGAGGCTAAAGTGGAGGATCGCTTGAGCTTGAGAGGTTGAGGTTGCAGTGAGCTGTGATCTGTTGCCTTGGGCAACAGAGCAAGACCCTGTCTCAAAATAAATAAATAAATAGAAATTGTCATATTCAAAGATAGCATCAATGAGGAATCATGGTAGAATAAGAAAATAACGGGGCTTGAAATCAGACTTTGGCACAGTTCCTAGCAACTTACTAGCTGTGTGACATTGTGTGAGTTACTTACTCTGAGCTTCGGTTTCCTTCTCTGTAAAATAGAGATGAAGTGTATGAGGACAACCTATGGAACAACCAGTGGAACTAACCTATGGAACTAACATAGTGCCTGATACACAATATAATGCAAATCTTGAGCTACTTTTACTAATAATTTTGCTATTTCTGTATTCGTATACTCTCACCCCATCCCTCTGGGAATCAGGAATGCAGGGGTGTTGGCAAGATTGCTAGTTGGATTGACAATTCAATCTATGTCCACAGCTGAAAGAAAAGCCCACATTGGCCTACACAGGCACTGCGTCCTTCAGCCTGGATCCATTCATGCTGCCTGCTAGAAGTTCATTATCCATTTCTCTGTCTTCCAAGTCAGAGGCATTAAACTACCTGAAAATGTGCTTTGAGGATTTGAAGAGCAATGTTGTTCTACCTTAATTAGCATTGTGTTCTATAAATTGTACCTAGTGATCCAACAGAACTTCAGGTTTCTCTTTTCCATAAGGTGACAATACACAAAGAACTAGGTACTTGTATATTAATATTCATTAGGTAAATTAAGTGTTCACATTATTAGTAGAGTGCCAAACTAGGTCCAGCCCGTACTAGAGGATAATGAACAGTTACCAATTGCACCATTCCTGGCTAAGGTATTAATAGTTTTTTGTTATTGTTTTGGAACTGGTTAGTTACTACACACACATTTATCAGACCTGAAGAGGTGTAGTCACATACTGGAAAAGTGTATTTCATTATTTTAATTTACATTTGAGCATGGGTAGCTTTTCTAATTTTGGAAATGATATTAATAATACTTCATCTGTTGAACTTTGGTGTCATCTGTGCACTGAAGATTTAGATGCTTGCCTGATTGTTTCTATATAGAAACATGCCCTTCTCTAAAAATAAGCAGCTAATCTTAAAAGCCAGTTTAACTAAATGAGGATTCATTTTTTTTAAGTTGACATTTCTGGTGAGTCATTACACAGCCAGATCATTCTGTGGCTTTTCTGACCATATTCCCTGCATCCAGGGTAGTCCTCCTCAAATTTTGAGTTATGAGAACCTTTGAAAACAGTGAATTTCAGGGGAGTCCTCATGGGTTTGTTTTTGCCCCATATATCGTAGTGATGGGAAAGCTAGGTGATAAGTTGAAACATTGACTTCTTCCCTTGTGCCTACCTGCAGACCATGCCACAGGGCTATACAATGTATGGGACACAGATGCCTTTGCAGCAGACATCGCAGCAGCAGGCTGGCAGTGTGGTCCTGTCTCCCAGCTATAACTCCAGAGCCTATCCGGCCGCACATTCCAACCCCGTGCTAATGGAAAGACTCAGACAGATTCAGCAGCAGCCGAGTGGCTATGTTCAGCAGCAGGCCTCGCCGTACCTGCAGCCCCTGACTGGCTCTCAGAGGTGATACATGTGGAAATGATGATGGCAATAATGAACAGTCACATTCTCGGGTTTCTTATGCTTCTTATAGGGCATGGTACTTTATCATTGTTTTTATGAGCTTGCATATTTGCAGATAATTTGCATTCTGTCATCTCGTTTTTAGTAGTATCCAGATAGAGGTTCAACATAAAGAATGCTCCATCTTGTTTATTTCATTAAAGATCCTTACAGTTTTGACTCATGTCTTCCAAGACATGAGTGTAACAGTCTTTACGTGATAGTGTGTTTGCTTCAGTGTTCTTTTTTTTCCTCTTCTTTTTTAAAAATTCTCTGAACATATCTAACAGAGAAAACTCTTGATTATTGTTAGGAATGCCTTACTACAATTTGTTGATTGGAGCAATAAAATGTGTGATTGCAATACTAATTGTGCATGGTGCACATGAGAGTTTTGTTATAACTTAGTTTCTACCTTTTCCACCTCAAAGATATTTGGCAAAACAGGATTATGATAGACTTTTTTCTGTTCTTGTTTAATTAGATCCCTTAGAGTGTATAACTGTACTGTCTGTTGTAGTAGCTGCCAGCCACCTGTGGCTGTTTAAATTTAGACTATTTAAAATTAAATTAATAATATAGTTCCTCAGTCACACTAGTCACATTTCAAGTGTTCAGTGGTAGCCAAATGTGGCCAGCAGGACTAGCTTCAATGGTGTGTGACGTGCACTGTGTTTAGAAGGGCCTGTGTTTAAAAAGGCTTCATGCTTAGTTTAATGCTCTGCAGTTTCTCTGTGGAAATTCTTACTAAGTTTTGATCAGGGAGCCTTGTGTTTTCGTTATTCACTGAGACCCCAAAATTATGCAGTTCGTTCTTGTGGCTAGTAGTTATCTTATTGGACAGCGCAGAGAGAAAACATTGCAGCCATCATAGAAAGTTCTGTTGGATAGTACTGTCTTAGCAGCATCATGTAAAACGTGTCCATCTAGTGGATAGCAGCACAGCTCCCATCTGTTACCATCAATGGCTGCATGACGACTCCAAGTAATCGCTCTTTGGAAAGTTAGCAAGGTTGATGGTAACACATTTGAGAAAATAGATATTTTGGATAATAATTTGGAAAATGTGCATTGTATGTACAATTTTTATAATAAATAGCAGCATAGCATGGCCCACAAACTTGAATTTCAAAGCCCAAAAGTTCTGGGTTCAAATCCCACCTGTGCCATTTGCTTTCTTAATAAGTTACCTCTAGCTCTGTTTTTTCATTTTTAAAGTAGGGATAACGAAACTGCTGACCTTAAAGGGCTCTCTGGTGGGGAGTAAATGAAGTAACACATTTCAGACCTTTAGTACAGTGCCTGCTTCAAAGTAAATGCTCAATTAATATTCCTCGTTGTTAAAAACTATTAAATGTTTAAAAAGTGATTTATTGCATGACTGCAATTTTACCTTAAGTCATGTGCTTGCTGTACTTTTTCAAGTGGTCACATCTATTATTTTAACCACTGGGCTTTAGTCTATTTGAATTGTGCAAAGGATTATTGAGCACTGATTGTTTCTTGGTTGGTGTATGTCATGTGCTGGTAGCACTGATTAAAAGTTTGACATTATGCTTGGGCCTGAACCAAGTTGCATTATTCTTTGCCAGACTGAACCATCAGGCTCTACAGCAGAGCCCTCTGGTGGGCGGGGGAATTGATGCTGTGCTGACTTCTGCACATCCAAACCTTCCCTCCGTGCCCCTGCCTCAGGATCCCATGAGACCCAGACAGCCGCAAGTTCGACAGCAGCAGAGACTCCTCCAGGTACGGGGCAGGGAGATGAGGGCAATGCCATCACCCTTCAGACAGTGCAAATATGCAACAGTCATAAAAAATGAAAAACACTATAGTTGTCAATTGCCAGATTCCAAGGATCCCTGTGGATTTGATGCTAGGAGCTACATTGGTACAATTTAGTTACAACTTGGCAAGAATTTTATTTTCTCTGTGTATCTACCAGGTTATGGGCAGAAGAGTACGTTTTGCAGAACATTCTTCCCATTTCACAAAGGTTTGGGAGGGCAGACGGATGCCTTTAATAGAGTTGGCCTCAGCTTACCCAGTCTCTGTTTAAGTAGGAGCCATGCAAATTTTTTAAAAGTGTCATAAATGTGAAAACAAAAAACTGAGCCATCCAGAGCTTTCATCAGATTCCTAGAGCATTCTGCAATCTAAAAACATTTCTATAACACCTCTGGTCTGATAAGGCTGTGAAATGGGAGGAACATAGACTGTTTCAAAGGATATTTCATCTTGTCTTTGTTAGAATCCAGAGAACTGTCATTCACTTATTTGATGTACATTTTAAGTCAGTTAGATAAAGGGTTCTTCCCCTTGATACATTTTTTTTTTTTTTTCCCCTTAAGACGGAGTCTCCCTCTGTCACCCAGGCTGGACAACCTCCACCTCCCGGGTTCAAGTGATTCTCCTGCCTCAGCCTCCTGAGTAGCAGGGATTACAGGCGCCCACCACCACCCCTGGCTAATTTTTTTGTATTTTTAGTAGAGACGGGTTTTTGCCATGTTGGCCAGGCTGGTCTCAAACTCCTGACCTCAAGTGATCCGCCCACCTCGGCCTCCCAAAGTGCTGGGATTACAGGTGTGAGCCACCACACGCAGCTTCCTTGATATGTTCTTGTTTCTGACTTGCTTATTTAAAAAATATAGGCCATTATGTTTACCTGTGTCATTTGTCTTCAATATTAACAAGCTTGTCCTATGTTATTGGACTGGAGATTTCCTAAGGAGACTGTACAGTGGGCTCTAATCTTATCAGCAGTCCAACTTGAGATACACACTTACTTTATATACTACCAAGAACAGAACACCAAAAATGAGGAATCTAGTAGAGCTGGAGTGCCCAAGGGCTGTACTCTCAACTCGGTATGAGGTCAGTGAGAAGTAAACCTGCCATGCAGAAAGGGACACAAAGGAGCTTGGATGTCTTATCCTTGACACTGGATAGAGGGGAGAAACAAATATCTCCCCTGAGCATTTGAACCACAAGCTCCGGTGGGTTTGAGTCTGAATTCAGTGTGATCCACAAAATTCTGGTTGGTAGTGCCCAGGTGACAGGCAAAAGCCAACACACCCTCTGGAACTGGGCTTCCCAATTATAAGATGCCATTAGTAGTAAGATGTCATTAGTTCCATCCCAATTTGTGACCTGTTAAAAATGTTAAAAAAAAAAAAAGTTGTATCACAAAATTGATAACATGTGGTAACCGATTAGGAGAGTATGGCCTTCAGATAGCAATCTCAGTCATTGTATAGATGTTGTTTCCAATGGTAAAAGCTCTCTAATCCTGTTTTGTCATGGAAATACTTATAGTACCTATCTCTTAAATATGTAGAAAGGATTAAATAAGAATATTCAAGTAAACCACTCATTTGATAATTTTACGATTAATGTTATGACTATTATCATTACTATGAGTACTCACTTTCTTAAATCATTTTTTCCAAGTTCTGAGGCTATGTTTCAGAATTTTTTAGGATTGATAATTTATATTTTGCTCTAGTTTAGAATTTCTCATTTCCAAATCACTGAGGAAAGTTACCACATTATTTGTTTACTTACCAGTTTTAAATCTTATGTTGGTGTTTTTCAAGGCTGCAAATACGGAAAGCCTTTTCTTATTAGACCATATGTACTTTTTATCCTAATTAGCATAATATGTCCTTCTGGTAATTTTTTCATCATCAACACATTCTTCCCTGGAGATAAGTGATTTGCTTCTACAACAGGATTATACTTCTTTTTTGGTGACTGGCCACCTCTGTAAAGGAAAAAGTTAATAATGATGAAGTTGGGTTAATTTTTCTTAGAAGAGGTTCTAGAGGGCTAACTGGAGAATCATATTGCAGTCATTGTGATTTGGGTCCAACTTGCGTTGTTCTTGTTGGGATCATGCTACCCAGACCTCTGCTAGGATTCCAGATCCATGAGCATTGTCACTTAGTGAGACATGCCATATGGCAATAGCTATTTATTAGTTGGCTGTAAAGCAGACCAGTAATTGAGGGGATAGTATGCAAACCAAGTTGGAAAAGTACAAAAGATGAAGAAATGTCTAGACTGTCATCATTATCAGGATGAAGTGTTTGGGTGGAGGAAATTTTAAAGGTCATTGAAACAAAACAAAACAACTATTAATATTTTTCTCTCCTCTGTGTCCCACCTTGTGGATGTCTGGTCTGTGCTTTTTCTGTGACTTGGAAGCATTTTCCAAGAGCTGTGTGTTTGAGCCAACCCTGTTACTGACATGATTTCTGAATTTCTGATGTAAATTATGCCAGAAGGTGTCATGGCGACTAGTCTGCCTCTTCCTTTTGGAAAAAAACAAAAAACAAAAAAAAACCTTTAAGAATTCTGCCAGATATCATAAAGAATGAGAGGATTACTACTGAGCAGTCCCCGTCCAACCTGTAGTGTAAGAAGGGATAAAACATGCGGAAGGACAAAGGACATGAAAGGAATTAAAACAGTAAGCAGAAGGGATGGCCCCGGACAGCGCAGTGTGGAATAGACAGCAGTACTGACTGCCAGTGGAAGAGATCCGTAGGGTTGGGGTGGTCCTAGAAGGCTTCATGGATGAGCAGGTTTAGGTCTTGCCCTCAAAAGGACGAATGAGGTTCAGCAAGGTAGAGATGCAGCAGGCAGGTATATATTGTTTTTACTACAACATAAAAATTAGATAAAAGGTATATGGGGGAAACAGATTCAGCAATGCTGTTTTCTTCTTCCTTTTAAGTGTATAACATTTTTACCCTCTTTCCAGATGCAGCAGCCCCAGCAGCCCCAGCCCCAGCAGCCTCCCCAGCCCCAGCAGTCCTCGCAGTCCCAGAGTCAGACCCTTGGTCTCCAAGCAATGCAGCCCCAGCAGCCCTTGGTAAGGCCTGTTGTTTTGGAATCAGACATGTGGGTTTCTTCTTTAAAAGCAGGTTGCATTGTTCATGTTCATAAGATTGTTAAGAATCGACAAAGCCTAAGTATACCCTAAAAATTTTTCCTAGAACTTTACTAGAGTTTTATTGTCATTGTAGTTGGTATATTTATTTTCATAGGAAGATACAAGTAAATATTTGGGATTCAGTAGGTTATACCATTATTCTTCAAAATTTTTCGGACTGTTCCACAGACAAAATTTTTTACATTGAGACGTGGTCTTTTTTTCCTAAACAATGATAAAACGATGATTTACTATGTATGTTTAAAAGAGTGTCTTACCATACTTTGATTTTTACTATAATCTCAAAAACCATGGGCGCACTTTCTAAAATATTATCTATTATCTTCAATAAGAAATTGTTTTTCATTCAGTTAGCACTTGCTGCAAGAGTTTTCATGTAACTCACAGTCGGATAGTTCACTTCTCTAGCTTCATAAATCAAATTTGGAAATGTCATATGCATAGCCATCAAA
This sequence comes from Homo sapiens, assembly GCF_000001405.40. Classification (NCBI taxonomy): domain Eukaryota; kingdom Metazoa; phylum Chordata; class Mammalia; order Primates; family Hominidae; genus Homo; species Homo sapiens. The sequence continues at coordinate 151,416,956 of NC_000003.12, forward strand.
GTTTTCTAAACCTCAGTCATTTACAACAGCCATATTCCTGTTTCATTAATTACTTTTTTTTAAACTGTCATCTTATTATATTTGCTTAAATAAATGTAGTTTTCAAAGAAGCATTTTATCATTACCATCCATAATTATATCACTTGCCACATATTGGAAATATCTGTGAAAGTAAATACAAAAATAATTTAGAAGGGAATCTCCATTTAACTGAGTGATGTGAATTGCATGAATGAGCCCTACCTACGATGAGCTGGCTGACCGCTCATGTCTCACACTTTGAGAAACACTAGTGTAGACTGCCTTCAGCACAGGATTTTTAAACTAGCTGGTTTCACAACTTGTAGAAAAGGGGGAACAACGTGGTATAGAGATAGTACATGTGGAGGGATCAGAGTAGAGTTAGGTGGTTAAAGAACTGCGTCCAAATCAGATTGACCAGAACATGGTCAACTGGAATAGGGCATCCATAGTACATTTAACAAACTCTGCGTAAGCCAGTTTGTTCCGCTCCCCCAGCTCCCCCCCCGCCTTTTTTTTTTTTTTTTTTTGAGACGGAATCTCACTCGATCACTCAAGCTGGAGTGCAGTGCGATCTCAGCTCACTGCAACCTCCTCCTCCCAGGTTCAAGCAATTCTCCTGCCTCAGCCTCCCAAGTAGCTGGGATTACAGGCACCTGCCACCACACCCAGCTAAATTTTGTATTTCACCATGTTGGCCAGACTGTGGTCTTGACCTCATGACCTCAGGTGATCCACCCACTTTGGCCTCCCAAAATGCTGGGATTACAGGCGTGAGCCACTGTGCCCGGCCTATTCCCCATTTTTAAGTTAATTCTTTTTAATTATGGATCTAGTTTTTCCAGCTCTGATTTAAAAATATATATATGTTTGTGACATTTACTGCAATCTACTTCAGAAAACCTTCTTAAAGTAGAGGTAGTATGTAAAACTGCACTGCCTGCCTACCTATCCAATGTGTATTAGCAGGAACTGGCTGTTACTTAGCAAATGTTGTAGAAGAGATTCCTTTGGATGCACCACTGTTAGCTGAGTCTAGTGTCCCGTACAAGAACGAGATACACCTTTTGTTTTGAAATAATTTCAAATGACAGAAAATTTGCAAGAATAGTACAAAGAATTTCCATAAGCCCTTTACCCAGATTTACTAATTCTTAACATTTTGTCACATTTGCTTTATTATTCTCTCTTTCACTCCCCCCACCTACTGCCATTTAAACATACATGTGCCTCTTTACCCTTAAGTACTTTCACTTTTTTTTTTCCAAAACAAAGATATTCTTTTATAAAAACTGGGTATTATTAAAATTAGGAAATTGAACATTACTACAATGCTTTATAACCTATAACTCTTTTGCAGATAGACAAATTAATGCTCTTTATTGCATTGATTTTCTTTTTCCCCTGGTTCAGGATCATCACATTTTGCATTTGGCTTTCATGTCTTTTTACTCGCCTTCATCTAGACCAACTCCAAAGCTGCCTTTTTGTCTTCATGAAGTTGACATTTTTAAGGTCTATGGAATGTTTATTTTGTAGAATGCTACTCAATTTGATTTATCTGCCTAGATTAATCATGATTAGATTCAGATTATACATTTTTGGCAACATTAGAGGTGCCATTGTGTCCTTTTCAGTGTATGGCATTAGGATATACATTGTTGGTGATATTACTTTAATCCTTTTGTGTGTCTTGTGTCTGATAGATCTCCCCACTGTGAACTTATTATTTTCCCTTTGCAATTAATAATTTATGAGAATAGTTTGATAAATCTGTCATTACTCATCAAATCTTCACACACTACTGTTAGCATCTATTAAATTATTCTTGCCTAAATTCATTCTTACTATGGATGTGGAAAAATTATTTTTTTTTAATTTTTAATTCTTTTAATTATGGATACATAATATTTGTACATATTTATGTACAGATACGTGAGATTTCGATACAAGCTTTCAATGTGTAATGATCAAATAAGGGTAATTGGGGTACCCAAAATCGCTTCAAGCATTTCTAATTTCTTTGTGTTATTTCGTGTTGTTTGTGTTTCTTTGTATTCCACTTCTACTCTTTTAGTGATTTTGAGACATATAGTAAATTATTGTAAACCACTGTTGCCCTATTGTACTACCAAACACTAGTTCTTACTTTGTAATGGGTACAAAATGGTGATTTTTCTTACTCTTATGTTTCTGCATTTAGCAGTTGGTATTTGTATTAGTTAGGGTTCTCTAGAGGGACAGAACTAATGGAATAGATATGTATATATAAAGGGGAGTTTATTAAGTATTAACTCACATGACCACAAGGTCCCACAATAGGCTGTCTGCTGGCTGAGGAGCAAGGAGAGCCAGTCCAAGTTCCAAAACTGAAGAACTTGGGAGTCCGGTGTTTGAGGGCAGGAAGCATCCAACACGGGAGAAAGATGTAGGCTGGGAGGCTAGGCCAGTCTCTCCTGTTCATGTTTTTCTGCCTGCTTTATATTCGCTGGCAGCTGATTAGATGGTGCCCACCAGATTAAGGGTGCGTCTGCCTTCCCCATCGCACTGACTCAAATGTTAATCTCCTTTGGCAACACCCTCACAGACACACCGAGGATCAATACTTTGCATCTTTCAATCTAATCAAGTTGACACTCAGTATTAACCATCACAAGTCCACCCCTTGTCTACTTGAGCCCATACACACCTCCTGAGATCAGACATAATCTTCAAATAAAGACAATAGTAAGGTCGTAATTACAGCTAACATAATACAACTATCCTTCCTGCAACCGGAAACGCACCAATCCCCAACCCAAATACTATTACATAAAGTTAACAATGCTTAAATCCTGATATGAAGTCAGTAAATCCTATGTCACATGATAAAGGAAAAGGAAATAAAATTAAGATATTAGTACAAGTGTATACCTGCACAAACATGTTTTTAACAAAAGGAGGAAGTACTCATGACAGTTACAGTCCGCTTTTCTGCCACTGTCACGTGGTCATAGCTGGTATTGATGACTACCTTCTTCTGCTACCCATTCTGTATTCCCTTCACCTTCAGCACGCACCTCAGCAGGTCGTGTTTTTCTTCCTGGTTGAGTGACCCAAAGCATTCCTGAGGGGTCTGGATCATTTGTAGTCCTGTCTGGTTTGGGCTGTTGTAGTTTCCCATTGACCTTAATCACAGGGCATAGTAACACTAAGAGACGCCCTAATGGATCTCGTGTATTCCATGAATACTCTTCCTTACCTCTATTGTGGAATAGTAGACTGATTTCATCTTGATAGTCCGGGTCAGTCACCCCAGCCAACACTGTAACTCCCTTCTTAGCCTGTTGGCTTAAAGGTAGGAGGAGCCCAAAGTGTCCAGGTGGCAATCTTAATTTCCAGTTTAATAGAATCATTGTATTCCTAGTGGCAGTGTTCCTCCCTCTGGAACTAAGACCTCTAGGCCAGCAGAACGTAATGTTGTGGGAACAGGAAGCAAAAATTTTGCTAGTGGATCACTAGGAGTGATGGTGAGTGGTGCCACTTCCACTTCTACCCCTTGATTCCTGGACTTGTGAATCCTGGCTATGGGAGAAACAGTACTATATATTGGATACTGATTAAGAGCATACACGGCCTTCTGGAGAACTTTGCCGCAGCCCTGCAAAGTATTGTCACCTAATTGGCATTGTAATTGTAACTTCAAAAGGCCATTTCACCATTCTGTCAATCCAGCTGCTTCAGGATGATGGGGAACATGGTAAGACCAGTGAATTCCATGAGCATGAGCCCACCGCTGCACTTCTTTAGCTGTAAAGTCAGTGCCTTGGTCAGAGGCAGTGCTGTGTGGGATACCATGATGGTGGATAAGGCATTCTGTGAGTCCACGGATGGTAGTCTTGGCAGAGGCGTTGTGTTCAGGATAGGCAAACCCACATCCGGAGTAAGTGTCTTCCAGTGAGGACAAACCTCTGCCATTTCCATGGTGGAAGAAGTCCAATATAATCAACCTGCCACCATGTAGCTGGCTGATCACCCTGAGGAATGGTGGCATATCGTGGGCTCAGTGTTGGTCTCTGCTGTTGGCAAATTGGGCACTCAGTGGTGGCCGTAGCCAGGTCATCCTTTATGAGTGGAAGTCCACGTTGCTGAGCCTGTGCGTAACCTCCATCCCTGCCACCATGGCCACTTTGTTCATGGGCCCATTGAGGAATGACAGTGGTGGCTGGGGAAAGAGGCTGAGTGGTGTCCACAGAATGGGTGATCCTATCCACTTGATTATTAAAATCTTCCTCTGCTGAGGTCACCCATTGGCGAGCACTCACATGGAATACAAATATCTTCACAGTTTTCAACCACTCAGAGAGGTCCAGCCACATACCTCTTCCCCAAATTTCTTTGTCACTAGTTTTCCAATCATGCTTCTTCCTGTGCTTTACTGTGTTTTTTTTTTTTGTTTTGTTTCTTTGTGTTTGGAGACAGTGTTGCTCTCTCACCCAGGCTGGAGTGCAGTGGCGCAATCTTGGCTCACTGCAACCTGCACCTCCCGAGTTCCAGCAGTTCTTGTGCCTCAGCCTCCCAAGAAGCTGGGATTACAGGCACGCACCATCACACTAGGCTAATTTTTGTATTTTTAGTAGAGATGGGGTTTCACCATGTTGGCCAGGTGTCTCGAACTCCTGACCTCAAGTGATCCACCTGCCTGGACCTCCCAAAGTGCTGGGATTATAGGCATGAGCCACCATGCCTGGCAAGAAAATTTTTATATATCCTTTTATCTTTCGGTATTTTTCTTTTTCTTAATAGTTCCACTAAGATGCATTGTATGTATTATAAATATATTTATTTATATTTTATAAACATCTCCAGCAGATTCAGTTCTTGGTACTAGCCAAAGCTCTTCATTCTTTGTTTTTTTCTTTGCTAGAGAAGAGGGTGGTAAGGTAGCTGTTGAAGATAAGTGAACTCTTCCTGTTTTGGGGTTCTGATTCATGCTGTATCAAAGTGGTAATGGTAACACATTGCCCCCCATCCCCTGACTTGTCCTGCTGCTATCTGGTGACATTCACAGTTGAATTCAATAAATGCTTTTTTCTTAGGGTAGTGCAGAAGTGATTGCAGTCGTGTGTGTGGTGGAGACCAGCACCCTGCCAGATGTTATAGAGCGTGCCAGTGAAACATCACTTCCTGCCACTAGAGGACTTAGAATCATAGGAAGTGGCTCAATGGCAGCACTGCCTGTGGAAAGTAGTTTACGGTTGCTGAATTTTTGACAGAAGAGCTGGAGGCATTGTATTAGTTTGCTAGAACTCCCTAACAAAGTACGCAAACTAGATGTCTTCAACAACAGAAATGTACTGTCTGTTTTGGAGGCCAGAAATCCAAGATTAAGGTGTCAGCAGGGTTGTTGGTTCCCTCTGAGGGCTGTGAGAGAGAATCTGTTCCATGCCTCTCCTCCAGCTTCTGGTGGCTCGCTGGGACTCTTTGGCATCGCTCGGCCCGTGGAAGCAGCACCCTGAGCTTTGCCTCCACCTTCGCAGGCATTCTCCCTGTGCATATACGTGTCTACTTTTTTATAAGGATACCAGTCCTTATGCGTTTTCACTTTTTATAAGGACACCAGTCATATTGGTTTAGGTCCCATCCTAATTATCTAATTTCAACTTGATTACCACTGTAAAGACCCTGTTTCTAAATAAGGTCACATTCTGAGGTACTGGGTGTTACGACTCCAGCATGTCTTTTTTAGGGAACATAATTCAACCGAAATAATAACAGGTCAGAAGGTGAGAGAAGTTTGGGAAGCCTTGACAGAGGAGGCTGAATGTGGCAGATGTTGAAGGCAGTAGGATTTGATTCATTGCTTTTTTTTTTTTTTTTTGAAAAGAAGAAATTGAATGTTAATTTTTTTTAGAGTTAGAATTCAAGTTTTATTTAGAATTAATGAAAATATATTTTTTTGTTCTTTTGTTGCTGTTGTAAGAGGAACAGAACTAGGTTTTTTTTTTTTAGCTTTTGCACAAGTCCCTTCTATTTTAATGCATTCTAGGAGATCATAAAAATATATATATATATATATTTTGAAACGGAGTCTTGCTCTGTCACCCAGGCTGGAGTCCAATGGTATGATCTCAGCTCACTGCAACCTCCACCTCCCTGGTTCAAGCGATTCTCCTGCCTCAGCATCCCGAGTAGCTGGGATTACAGGTGCCTGCCACCATGCCCAGCTATTTTTTTTTTTTATACTTTAAGTTCTGGGGTACATGTGCAGAATGGATTCATTGCTTTTTGACTATTTTGTTCATCTCTTTGCTCGTTGACGTCATCAGCTGGGATGTGTGGGACAATGATCATCCCTTGGTTTTGGCTGTAAAAAATCACTTTAAAAACTTATAAAAAGTTAACAACTTGTAAAAAGTGACTCAGGGCAGAAATTAGTGCTTCTTTAAAACGTGTCACCAGAAAACAGAGTTTTTCTGTGAAAAGAGCAAGAAAGACTAAGAAAAGCCTATGTTTACAAATTAAATCTGGTCTGGACTTAATATCAATGCCTGTGTTGCCATCTACTTACTTCAGTTGCTTGTATTCTGTGAAGGAAAAACATCTGGAAATAAAGACATGGGTACCCTTGCTGGGAAAATATATTTGGCATGTCTGATTTTGGCCTAAATTATAGTTCTTGACTAGAAAAATATTTTTAATGCTTATTAAATCATTAAATAATTTTAATGCTTCTTGTTGTGATTAAGTTAATTCTTAACTAAATATGTTGACAGACCATGATCTATTCTTTAAAACTACTTCCAGTGTTAAGAAAATAATGTTAACACCATCCCGCTGCATCATTTCCTTTCATCTTAAACTCAGGTTGTCTTAGTTTGGTGACTTAAAAAAATATGCTAACAGAAAGCTTTAAATAGTTGGCTTTTTACATCGACTGATCCTTGTGTCCGTTTCATATTATATTGAATATTTGCCTTTTAAAAATATGCATAATGGTAGCAGTAGTTACTTAATTACATTAAATTTTAGTCAGTGATCACTTGTGAAATTGTCCTTGACTCTTCCTCAAGAAATTCATTTGTTCCATTCAGAGAAATTGAGATATTTTTTCAGTCTGCCTCTGGAATTGGGAAGTAGCAGGCACAGATAATATGATTCTCCTTTTGAAGTGGAAGAAATTAGGTCCAGAGAACATTGAGCTACGTTGCCTTCCTTTGCATGAATTTGGAAATTTTTTTTTTCTTTTGGAAGGAAAAGAAGAAGTAATATTTATAGAAAGAGGTTGGGGAAGAAATATCAGGAGATTTCTGGTAACTGGATAGCCAATATATTTGATATAGTACTTTTTTCTTACTAAACTGTGTACAGATTAGATGACTCTGCCGGATGCAATGGCTCACGCCTGTAATCCCAGCACTTTGGGAGGCTGAGGCGGGTGGATCACGAGGTCAGGAGATTGAGACCATCCTGGCTAACACGGTGAAACCTGTCTGTATTAAAAATACAAAAAATTAGCTGGGTGTGGTGGTGGGCGCTGGTAGTCCCAGCTACCCGGGAGGCTGAGGCAGGAGAATGGCGTGAACCCCCGGGAGGCGGAGCTTGCAGTGAGCCGAGATTGCGCCACTGCACTGTAGCCTGGACGACTGAGCAAAACTCTGTCTCAAAAAAAACAAAACAAAACAAAACAAAAAAACTCTATGCAAGTTACTAGTTACCTTGAAAATAAACACACAAAAAATTCTGAAACACATCAGCTGCTAGCTCTGTCTGAGAGTGTGGACTGAGAGTGTGCCGCCCTGTGAGAGTGGAGATGTGGCTGAGTGCATGCACAACCCTATACGTTGTTGTTCCTTCCGCTGCCGCTTGTAGGGACGGACGACCATGCTTCATTCGTCGGAGCAATCTGTGGACTCTGTCAGTTGGTAGTGCAGTTTTAAAATAAATGTTGCTTTGCTGCTTTGTTCTTTTGGTAACAAATGAAGTGGTCACAGCAAAAACCTCTTAACTGTCATGAGGGAAGGGATGTATTTTACTCTGGTGCCCTTGGAACCCAGAAGATTGCCTGGATTTTGATAAATATTTGTTGAATGACTCATTTGTTGGATGTCAAAGCAATGAAAAAAACCTTTGTTAAAATCACACATTATCCATAAGAAAGGGAAAACACAATTCAGGAGGCAAGGTGTCCAGACCATCTGAGCATCGGTAGGTCCATTACTGAATCAGTCCTGCAGCTGATTTTGTCAGCATATGCTTTCGCTGACGGGGCAAGCTCAAGTTTTGAGACAAAAAATATTTAAATGATGTTTATTTAAATAGAAATTACTAATTAGCAGCACATTTTTGCCTATGCTGTGATTGAGCAGAAGAAGTAAATGTTATTGAATAAAATAGGAATTTAGAGATCAGTCAAAATACATCAAAATACATTATCAGAATTTTAATTTTAATTTATTTTAGAGACAGAGGCTCAATCTTGTCAGCCAGGCTGGGGTGCAGCAATGTGATCATGGCTCACTGCAGTCTCAGACTCTTAGGCTCAAGTGATCTTTCCACCTCAGCCTTCCAAGTAGCTGGGAACTACAGTAAATACATTTTTGTTTTTGTTTGTGTGTGTGTGTGTGTGTCTGTGTTTAATTCAGCAAACAATGGTATTTCCTGGAGAAGTGGTTATACCATGTTGATTAGTTATACCTGACAGTAGTAAGCTGGGTATTCGGTCTTGTGGTTACAGCAGGAGCATGGCATGGCTTCTGCCTCTGAGAAGTAAAAATCCAGAATCCTAGAGAGAGAAGCAATTATCATGTTAAACCATATGTTTGCTAATAGAGGCATTTACACAGTACTAAGGATACAAAAGCAGTGATTCACTCTTTAAATGCGTGAGGGAATGGATGATAACTTCAGCTGATCTTTGAAGGATGAGTAGATTTATGGGAAGGGTAGAGTGGAACGAAGTGGGGAGGAAGTGTATTCCAGGAGAAGGGATGAACATCTGCAAAGGCACAGAGGGGAGAGATCATCTTCTGTATGGATATGGGCCAAAAAATCTTTCCCACTTCATTTATCACATTTGAATAGGGAAGGCAAAACATACATAGATTATGATTTGGGGGACCTCTAGTAAACCTTACTGAACCTATTTATTGACCTGTTTTGGTAAATTAAAAATTCAACTCCCACCACAGTGATGATTCCAAAATCTCACCAGGCACCTGAATGAACCACTTGGGGGAGCCATTTTAAAAATTCAGATTTCTAGCACATTAGCTACAGAAATTCTAATTCAGGAAGTCTAGAGAGGAGTCCCGGGAGGATAATCCTTTAAATTTCCCCCAGTGATTTTGTGCTGCCTCAGCCACATACAGGGTTCAGTTCTTCACAGGAGGGGTTCAGTTTGAATTGAAATGCTCAGTAGTGAGGCTTCTGTAGGGTGTTGGAGGCAGCCCTCATCCCCTAGTGGTAGGTGCTCCAGAGCCCAGAGAAATTGCATCTGGGGCCTATTGCCTGTGCATGTACAGGTGAAAGCAAGTTAAAATTAGTAGCCAGAGGCCTTGAGAGGAAGCAGATGTGGTAAAACACTGTAAGAAGATTGTAGATATAGATCATGTACTTCTGGTCAGTTTAAGGAAGTTGGTCAAATTTCTTGGCCTCAGAATCTTTTCATGTTCACAGATTATTGCAGACCCAAAGAGCTTTTGTGTATCAATATTTACCATGTTAGAAATCAAATATTCGTTAATACTAAATATTGTTATGTTTAGTACCTAAAGATAAACTTATGTTCCTGGAAGTAACATGCTTTTATGAAAAATAGGCATATATTTCAAAATAAAGTTATATGAGAATGACATGGTTTTACTTTTTTTTTTTTTTTGAGACAGGGTCTTACTTTGTTACCCTGACTGGAATGCAGTGGTACGATCACGGCTCACTGCAGCCTTGACCTCATGGGCTCAAGTGATCCTCCCACATCAGCCTCCTAAATAGCTGAACTACAGGCATGCACCACCATGCCTGGCTAATTTTAGTAATTTTTTGTAGAGATGGCGATTTGCCATGTTGCCCAGGCTGGTCTTGAACTCCCAGGCTCAAGCTGTCTGCTCGCCTTGGCCTCTCAGGAGTGCTGGGATTACAGGTGTGACTCACTGTGCCTGGCCTGGTTTACATTTTTGAAAATTTCTTCAGTGTCTGGTTTAATAGAGAACATTTGATTTGTTGTAATAGCACATGTTATGTAGGCTCTGGAAAGCTGTAATGTACGTGCATGAGAAAATAAGTGAAAAAAGCAGATAATGTCTTAGTATTTATTTTGAAAATGGTTTTGACCTTGCAGATAACCTGACAGAGTCTTGGGGACCTCTCCCAGGAATCCCTGGATCACAATTTGAGGCCCTCTGACTATGTACTACCTCTTAAGCCACCCTCACACCACCCTGAACTCCCCAACACACACACGCATACATGTGTACACAAGCTTCCTAGGGTATACCTAGTTACTGCTTAGGCTCTGCAAAATATAGTATCTGAGGCAACCACTACAGTGTTTTATTCTGTGAAATACTCTATTTGAAGCAGGCTTTAAATGAACATAAAGAAGGCAGCTATGTGTTTGTTGAGTGAATAAATGTTGACTATTTGTACACCATGTACCCCAATATGCTGTTCAATCAGCTTAGACATCTTTATAGCCAGCCTTTTAGAATCTGTAATTATTTCTGAATAAGTTGATATTTGGAAGCTGGTATTTTCAATCATGGATAGGCTTGAGGGGAATGTAGTGGTTGGTCAAAGGGTCCAAAGTTTCATTTAGACAGGAGGAATAAGTTTTGTTGATCTATTGCATAGCAAGGTAACTATAGTTAATAATGTATATTCCAGAATTGCTAAAGTAGATTTTAAATGTGTTCACCACAGTGAAATAAGTCTGCAAGATGATAGATGTCATAGATATGGGACATTTTCTGGGGGCAGCAGTCTTAACCAGTCAGAAGTGAACAGCAAAATTTGACATGAACTCATTGGTGGCAAAAGCTGACCTGAATAGACATGAGGCTCTTTTCATTTATCCTACCTGATATAATTATTCATGTGCTTGCTACAGAAATGTAATATGCTTGATTATGGAGTGCTGTCCTACATTTTGCCTGGTCTGCATATTAGGAGTGTTTCTTAGTAAACTGCATATGTTCAGATTCCAAAGCACATATCTGTCTTAGGACTTTGGATAAGAGATTGAGGACAGTTACAGCTAAGTCAGGATTAAATATGCTAATAGACACATAGAATGTCTGGAACAGTACCTGGCACATAGTACAATAGTTTCCCCAAGTAAGCATAAAAACTATTGAATAGAAAAGAATACTAACATTTCCATATAAATGAAAGATTGATTTTTATTTTTCACTCTTGATTTGGGCAATGGAAAAAAATGGCAAGCTGCTGCTTCTCTAATTTGTATTGGGGAAAATAGTAACATTGGTGGAGGGAATAGTTCATTAGTTTTGTGGATCTTTCTTGTTATTAGGAAAGTTGTGGGAATTGAAGGCTCTTAGAATTAGTCATTCCATCAGTTGCTACTGAGCACCTGCTGTGTGCCTGGCAGTACCGGATATTACAGATACATCAGTAGGTATGCCAAGCCCTTGTCTTTCAGTCACTCACTGTCTAGTGGGAGAGAGAAAGTTGAACCAGCTGTCATGCCAAATATTCAGTTTTGAAAGTATCAGCTTGGTAATGCCCTCTAAATAGAGGATAAGACAGGATTGCCACATAAAATACACGGCTCCCAGTTAAATTTGAGTTTCAGGTAAACAATGAATAACACTTTAGTGTATATCCCAAATACTGCATGGGATATACTTGTACTAAATGCAATATTTGTCATGTGCAATATTTGGGACATGCTTGGAACTAAAACATTATTGTTTATTTGAAAATCACATTTAACTGGACGTGCTGCGTTTTTATTTGCTAAATCTAGCAACTGTACTTACAATCCTGGGCTATTCTTGACAAGCTCTGAGGAGGAAATAGATGTTGCACTGGCGTTGGGTAATTGAAGAGTCTTTTTCAAAAGACAAATTACAAAGGTATGGAAAACCAGCTGGAGGTGATGGCCCACTCACTGACTGCCCCTAATCCCAGCGGGACAAGAAGGGGAGAGAGGTAGGGAGGCTACCTGACAGGAGCTGCAACCTTCCCGGTGTGGGGCGTGGCCAGCCAGCAGAGACTCATGGAGGAAAATTGGCAAAAACAAAACTTCACTCTGCTCCCTCCCAGCCTCACTGTGCTCCTATGCTCCAGTCTCCTGGGAGCACCTCCTCCCCACCTAGAAGTCGGAGGGCAGAGGAGCCAGCCTTGTTGATGCCCTCCACACAGGCAGCCTGGTGAGCACACGGAGAGTGGGCACATGGGAAACAGCCAGCACCGTGCTGGTGTATGTGCCTGTGTCAGAACGCCTCGTTTATGACAGTGACAGACCAGGAGGAGAGAAGAGGGTTGGAGGAGGAGAGAAGGGGAAGAAAGAAAAGGAGAAAACGATAGTCTGAAATTTGAAGATCAAGATAAAAAAGTAAATTGGCACTACCAGTGATTCTAACCAAAAGTAATTTTGCTTCTGGTAGATGCTGCTTTTTTTCCTCTTTGGAATAACCACAATTTCTTGCATCAACTTAATAGATAGAATCAGGGCATGTGGTCCCCTATATTGTGCCTCTCATCTGATTCTTCCTACAGAGCCTGTATTTGCATGGCCCTGGGAATTAGCACTTTCTTAAAGTTAGTGCCTCACTCACTCATCCTGCCCAGGCCCGGGCTCTGAGGGTGGGATTAGCGAACCTTCATCCTCCATCATATGGGGAGGGTATAGTCCCAAATGAGCCCTAGTCCTAGGGCACCACCCTGCCTCACCAGATTATTTTCTCCCATTTGTGCAAGGCACAACCTGTAGTCCTTGAACAAATCTTCCAACCAGAGAGCTTTCATTTTGCCAGTATTAATATCATGATACTCATGAGCTAGCTGGTGAAGGGTGAGATGACCAGGATCTTTGAGCTGCTGAGCTACGTCTGTAGTGTGGAGTTCTTCATTGGGGCTCTTCAAATAAATGCCAACTAATAACCTGGAGCTTGGGTTCCTGAATAGATGGGGTACTTCAGATGTTCACCAGATGCACAACAAGGTGTAGATGAAAATTAATCCACACACAGTTGTCATAGCCCTTTTTTCGTGAAGTGTTGAGAAGTACCTTACAGACTGGCCCTGCGAGTTAGTCTCTGTTCTTGTCTGTGATTGGCACCATGGAATGATTTCTGTCCTTTCTCCTGTCGCCATTACAGTTTCCCAGGCAAGGCTTGCAGCAGACCCAGCAGCAGCAGCAGACGGCCGCCTTGGTGCGGCAGCTCCAGAAGCAGCTTTCCAGTAAGTACCCCTGTGTGTCATGGAACAGACAGCTCCCGGAAAATTAAAAATAAGCCAGCGAAACGTAAAGTGGCGGCTCTCCCAAGATGGTACCATCTTCCTCAGTACAATGTTCATGTTATTTGGTTTAGCCCAAGGTATTTTCATTCTGTCTTCGTTTGGTTTTGGCTTGAATGCTTCCTTTCCTGGGAAAGCCCCAATTTTTCTCAAATTCAGTGAAGATACTTTCTTTTTGCTTCCACCAGAATCTAGAAATATTTCTTCTCATTGGGGGGACTCCTATGGAATCAAAGGTGTCCTTTGTTTAAAGCTGGAGAGTTCAGGGAGCATCAGCTAATGCCCTTAATTATACAGATGAATAAAGTTAGCTGGCCTCCCGAAGATCTTCAGATACAGGGAGGCCAGCACTAAACTGTCAGACTGTGAATGTTCTTACCACTGCACCATCCTACCCTTCTGATAGTGACTCATAAATCAAAACCTATAACATCATACACAGCATGATCGAGACAGTGTTTTCTCCCTAGTAATCTTGCCTGTAGTGCTGGTGTGGTGTTTTTGTTTTGTTTTGTTTTGTTTAATGTGCTGCCTTTCTAGAGAATTTACCAATAGCCCATTTCATCATACCTCATCTCAATGCCAGCAGTGTGCTCCCATGAATTGAATCACCCCTGGGCGGGTGTCATAGGACGGAAAATCCTTTTAGAAATGGGAGCAAGCTCCCTGTGATGCAAAGAATATTAGCCTGGAAGTCAGAAGACGTAAATTTTGGTGTCAGCTTGGCTGCCATTATCTGGATTGTGTAGTTTTTCCATCCGTGCAATGAGTGAGACTAGCAGTTTCTTCTTGGTCTTGGATTATGTACTTGTGAGGTACCAGAGGGAAGACTAGTTTGTGGTGAAGGCAGTGGTGCAGGTCTGGTAGCCTGCTGAGACATAAGGAAACAGGTCATGTAATTACTGAGGGGCAGCTTGGTTTTAGTCTTAATTTTCTGCCTGGCTGCTGTGTGAGTTGATTTTCTGACAGAGGGATATCCCTCTTACACCTTAGTGTCTGTCTCTACCAGTGGATACCCAAAATTTTTTTTCTTCTTTAAAAATATTTTCCTCTTATGGCCTCATTTAATGTCAGTTAAATCAAGTAAATCTTCATTTCTAGCTACTGTTTACTGTTTAATAGATCTGGTCTATTAAAACACATTTGTAATTAAAATCTCATTATGTTTCACTAATTCCAGAATCCTTATTCTTATAGAAAATACAATCTTAAGGCAGATTTTTTCTTCTAGTGTTTAGAAATAGGTAACTATGATTTTTATAAAGTGGCATCTGTTTGGGGAAAGATATCTACTCTTAGTTCCTGTCTACCAGAGCTCAGCTTTTTGTTAAAGCCATCATTTATGGAGGACTCTCTAGGACCCAGGCACTAGGACTTTCCATGTATTGATTTACTTTATTTTTAACCCACCCTGTGAGATTATGTATTATTACTGTTCCCACATTACAGATGAGGAAGCAACTGAAGAACGGGAACATTGACTAATTTGCCCAAGGTTTTTCAGCTAATAGAGCTGAGGCTTGAGCTCAGAAGCATTCCTTCCAGAGCCCACCTCCTAACCACAGTATATACTCAGCTGCCTGATAAGCAGTTATGCCACACTCCATTGTTGAAGGGTGGTGACTAAACTGAGCTGCTCACCACACAACTCCAGAGGGCTCCTTTGATAGCATGGCCCATGTGAATGGGGCCTCCGGATTTGAATACTCCAGAGTTAAACAAGCAGTAGCTGTTTCTAAGCCCATGTCATTTTTTGGTATCTACTGACCATTCCTTGTTTCTGTATGCATGTGCAGGCATGCATGTCTACATAGGCACACGCTTGAGTCATCACACACGGACAGTCTTGCACCTGCATATACTCTTGCACAGTTCTGTTGTACATACCTTATGGCTATTTGCAGAAAATTGCCCAGTTCCAATCTAATTTTTTCTTACCAATTATGTGTTAAAGTAGAATTGCTGACTTTCATAAGCATTTTGAGAACTTTCAATGTTTTATGAAACTTTTACTGTATTCCTTTTGAAAGTTAATACCAAGTAGTTTAGTTCAGAGGGAGACACTCTGGATGGGCCAGTAACCTAAATCCTGCGGCCTTGCATTGGCAAGTGTGGACTGTGAATAAAGGTGTCCCCTCTGCAGGGTGGTACTTGAATCCCACCACAAGGGTTTTTCAGGGCAAGGATAGTACTCTCCGGCCATTCTGTTTCCCTGTACCTGCAGCTGGTACTGAGAGCAGTGACAAGAGGGTAGCATCCATCTGTGCAATAGTTTTGTGTCTGTAATTTTGGTTCAATTTATTTTTCTCCTTAGGCAACCAGCCACAGCAAGGAGTGACTCCGTATGGGCATCCTTCACACTTCTGAATCTGCAAGAGGAGAAGACATGACGTTTTATGTTTGCACTGAAAAACAGAAAATCAAATTTAATGCATTAGTCATCTTAAAAATGTCCCTTTTTTTCATTTCTTTGACATTTTACTATATTTTATGCTACATCTCACAAAAAAAAAAAAAGGTGTTTAAACAAAAAGCCAAGGAGAAGTTGTGGTTTGATTTTGTTGAATTCACCTTTAAAGTAGGTTTACAAATGTGAATCATGCAGGCAGGCCTACTCCCGGAAGAGTGTGCTAGCAGACCTTTTGAAATTGGTGCTTTTTTTGAATCTCACATTTCTAGAAAGAATGGATTATGATGGATCTAAGGTATTTATGTATTTCATTCATTAATGATGACGTTGTTTTTTTTTTTTTAATTTTATTTTCCAAACTGTGCTGGACCAAACTACTGATTTGAAAGGCATGTCAGATCTTGACAGAAACATGGCCTGTTTATTCTGCATTCACCTGTGATGGTGAAACGGACATTTATTTGCATCGCTCTAATTTGAAATGTTTGTAATCTCATAAGCACTTTATAAACTTTGTTCTTATTTATGTAGGACTCTTCTTTGCTTTTGTTGTGGTCAAAAGGTGCTGAAACAGATTGTTGCTTCGTACTTAAACTTCTTAAACCAAGAACCTAAACCAAGGTTTCTTTGAGAGCCGCCCTAAGATGTGCGGAAACCTGTTAGAAGTAGCTGTACTCAAATTTGTTTTGAGGCAAGATCATTGATGAGAGTCATTGTGAAGGTACAACATGTAAATCCTAAAGGCCTGAAAGAACTGCAGTGGAATCGTCCAACTATTTATTGCCAGTTTTGGTTCTCCTGAACCTTATGCCACCTTAAGGGGAAAAAAAAATCCAGTAGCTGGCTTGAGATTCCAGTGCTCACACTTGACATGGTTTCCAGAGAATCTGGCCCCAAAGTCCAGAAGGCTCTGGTTTTCATAAAAGGTGTATTTGCTGTTTATTTTGTATGGTAAGTATTTGCTCTTTTGAATTTAATTATTACTGTCAGTGTCAGTCTTGGTTGTGTATTGCATATACTGTATTTATAAATTGGTGCAAAAAGCACAAGTAAATTATACATCAAATTTATTATAAAGAAATAGTAACTATTTTAACTTTGTTCAAGTATGTGGTAATTTGCTCCTATTAGAGTAAAAAAGAAACCAGTAAATTATCAGTTTGTGTAACTTAAGAGTATTCTATATAATATTTTTTTAGATTTAGATGCATAAAATTTTGAATGTGAAAATTGCAGGGCATTTTAAAACATATGTGGGGGATATTTTCCCATGTTCTCTGTTATTTCATTTTCTTTTGCCATATGATTTTACATATAATATAGTCAAGCATACTGTGAATAGACTTGTCTATAATGAGCAGACCATGTAAATCTACTTTTTTTAAAATGTAGCTAGTACAACTTTAGTAGACATTTTCTTTTGCAAATCATTATCTATAAATAATTTATATCTTCCTGGGTGAGTTACTCATTGCAAAGTTTGACTCATGCAAATGACCTCAAATACATGTCAGCTTACTTTGCTGTGGCAACATCCATGTGAACTGCTTTGTACACTGTGAAAATATTTCACTCCAGCCTGCCCATTTTGTGTTTACTCTGGGCTGGAAAAGACTTTGCCAAAACATTAAAAACTATTCTTTTCACTAAATTAATAGTCTATCTGCTTTCAGAAGATGTATCATCTATCTGTACACATTTTTGCTGGTTTTGTATATCAGATTTTTTCCTCTCAAGAAACATACTTAGATAAGCTAATGAAGTTGTTTTCTTCAAAGTAATATATCTATATAATGACTGCATTGGCAAATCAACCGAAATGTGAATGTTGTGCCTAGTGAGTGAGTCATGTTCCATCATTATTTCTTTCCAAATTTCTTTGCCAGTTCAGTTTGAACCATATATTTTGTAGCTCAGCATTGCAAACAACAGTAATACTGTTTTAAGAATGAGTGTTATAATTGCATAGCATTTGTATGCACTTTATACTTTGCAGAGGTGAGTTAAATTATTAATCATTTTGCACATGAAAGCTGTGGGGCATATCTTTTTTCTTTTTTTAGGTGAGGAAGTTATGCTACGACTCTAATTAATTCCACGATTCTATTGAAAGTTGAGGAATGCTGTTTTACCCCTGCGCATTATAAAGAAAATAACTAGAATTACTTTAGTCTTCAGATTTTCTCCCTGTTAATTCTGTATCTTGAGAGGTTTCTTTTTTTTTTTTTTTTTTTTCTTTTCTTGCAAATGCATTCTTTTGCATTAAGATGGTCACAAGGTAAAGCCCTGTGGCAGAACCTGGTACTTTACCTTACCAGAGGAAATTACCTTAGAATAAGATGGAGCGAGACCCCAGCTCCCCTTAAAGACAAGACCTTGAAATCAAATGGAGTCAGCTATACCTATCAATCAATCACAGTTCTTGGATATAAGAAGCCCATAGACTCTCTTGTTTACACTGTAGGCTTTTTCTTAATAGGGTTGCATTTGTCAGTCATTGCATTTACCCTTCTTGGCCTGGAAGTAGAGGAGATCAATGCGTAGCTTTGACCACTTCCAGCCACAGGGTACTAACATCAGACATAAGTTGCAACCAGGTCACATTTTAGGCTGAGATGGGGCTAACTGAAAGTCAGTGTGATGAAAACCCAAGGGCGCTATTCCACATGTCTCAAATGATTGGCAGGGGCTAACTTATTAGTAATTCTCGGTTTTGTGCACTGAGATATCTAAGACCTATGGCATTTTTTTCCCATTTATAAAGCTCCTATAATTCTTAAGTAAGTACTAGGTGAATGTTTGAATAGATGCTGGAGAAATTACACTGGAAAACCCCACCCCTAGATTTAGATAAGATCAATCATTTAATATTCCCCAAATTAATTCAGGTTGAATTAAGCATGTAATATAAATTCAGTGAATTACAAAAACACATTTTGTGTAGGATTGATCAGATTTTAAATACAGTGAAACTTCATTATATATAATAGACCTAGACCCTCCCAAGCATTTTCCCATCCCATAAAGAATTAATGAAATGAAATGCTTATAGAGCAACGATTCCTGCTCAGAAAAATTTCCTTATAAACAGCTCCAAACCAGGGGTGCCTGAGCTAGATTTTAAAGTTATAAAGAAGTTTCATTGTATTTTTAAAACCTTTTTAATGGGTGTATTTGGACAAAAATAACCCCCTTTTCACATTTTATGATGTGCAGGTATTACATTGCTTTTTACATGTGGAAAAGTGAGCCTGCATTTATTTTTAAATGCAGTTATTAAAACATTTTTGTATTCCCCATCAATGAAAATTTTCAGTGTGAACAAATGGTGAATCATAAGACAGTTCAGTGCTTATTTTCTGTAGGTTTTAGCAAAAAAATTTATAAACCACAAAATATTTATACATCAGGATGGTAAATTTACATCATAAAGATTGCAGATTTAATATTTTCCATTGTCTCTGTTCTGAGTGCCATGCTTGTAACATTGATAGGAGGTGGACACTAGGCAACTGGTATTAGAAGTTCATTTTTTTACTGAAAAATTCAGGTACATTAGCCATTTGTTATTTTATAGTGAACCGTTTCAATGTTTGTTTATTGTTATTTGTTGGCAAAATAAAAGTGCCTTAAGTTAAAAGTTTGTTTTGAGATCCATTAAATAAATCAGTATCATCAGTTCATAATGCATTTATTTACAAGTCCTTTTATTTTGCATGTTCATTGTAAATTTAATACTGTAAATGTATTCAAATTCATTTACATGCCTATGGCTGCCTTTGATTAAACTTCTTCCAAAAAATAAATTCTGCCCAGATGTTGTTGACTTTATTATTTCATGTCAGATTACTTGAATATACGTTGCTGCATAATCACTACCAAGTGGGTTCTTTGCTGTGCATTTGTATATCCCAGAATCGGAGGTTTGGGGATTCTGAATGACTAGGGTACCTTGTAAGTGAAGCTGCTCACTTCCATGTGTCCTCTCTTTACTTGCCGTTGAGAGAAGGGAGTGGTCAGGCATCTCCCATGTGATTTCTGGCTTGGGAACTCCCAAGGCCACACAGTGGAGCTGAAAGGCTGCCCCTGTCCTGGTGACAATACTCCTGGGTGGACGATTTGTAATTCGGGGAGGGTAGGCTACAATCATTACTGGAACAGTAATCAGTGTATGACCAACACTATTTTGAGCCTTACAGATATAGTTTCCTCTGTCATAAGCTGTTGCTTCTTTAATGACTAAGGTGCCATTGTCATGCAATATGTATTTCCCATTAATTTGAGGCCTGTCTACTACATAACCACTTGGCATAGTCCATTTGATATTTGGCTTAGGGATTCCATCAGACACACAATGCAGTGATAGAGATTCTCCACTGATGCCTTTTACTGTCCCTGGTGCATAGGTAAGAATAACTGGCTTCTGGCCAATTTCTAATATGACTAATTTCTCAATATAGCCAACTTTATTCCTAGCTGCACAGCGATATTTTCCTGCATCCTCCCGAGTTGTTTTAGAAATGATAAAAGAACCATTGCTTGCTATCAGATACTGATAACTTTGTGGTCCATTGGAAAATCGTGTGCCATTTGGTAAAATCCAGATTATTTCAGGTGGTGGGTTACCATCAACAGAGCAATTCAATGCTGTGGACTTTCCCAGCTGGGCAACTATTTTTTCATTAAATGGATTTCTAAATGTCGGTCTTCTCAGCATTTCCAGTACTTCTAACTGTACTACCAACACGCTCTCTCCACCTTCATTTCGGGCCACACAGATAAAGTCGGCTGAATCTGAAAGCCTCACATTCCTAATTTCCAAGGTTCCATTTTTATGGACTGTGATTCTGCTTCCATAGTATGGGGCTGTGAGGAAAATATTGTCTGGCATGATCCACATGACTTCAGGAGATGGTGTCCCTTCAGCTCTGCAGTCAAAGTGTTTTTTGGAATGTCTCACAGCTGTGGCTTTAATAACAGTTCTGTTTGTATACAGACCATTGATTAATGGAGGTTTAGAGACCACATCCAGTTTGTACATTTTGGTGTCATCCCCACTGGGATTTCGGGCTACACATACGTACTCTCCAGAATCGAGCAGTTTCACTTTGTTGATGGTCAAAGACCCATTGGCATGAAATGTGTACCTATCAATGGAGAAGGAAATCATGTCATTGGAAGGCAGCAACCAAAATATTTTTGGTTTGGGATCCCCAGTGACCTCACAGTCAAGGACAGCTGTGTCTCCAGCTTTGATTCTCTTGTTGGTTTTGTTACTCTGCCTTATCCGGGGAGCAGCTGTTATAACTGTTAAGTGGACCTTCATTTCATCTTTCCCTAGGGTGTTCTGGGCATAGCAAGTATAATCTCCTTCCTCCGCTACCCCAACTTTGTTGAAGTATAAAGTTCCATTGTTGAAAAGGGTATATCTCCTAGTCCTGTGGCCACTGTCATCGGCTTGCATTGCATTGTTGATCATGGTTCCATCAGGCAAACTCCAAGATATCTCTGGCACTGGGGAGCCGGAAGCTTTGCAATCTACTTGGAAATCTTTCCCATGGAGCACTTGCTTTCTAAAATACTGCTTGTGGTCAATTTTGGCAGGTTTCAGTCTTAGGCTAACATGCATCAGTATCAGATCATCCCCCATTTTGTTTCTTGCCACACACAAGTAGACACCACTGTCTTTTTCTGTTACTGATCCAATAAACAGGGATCCATTAGGGTAGACGTGGATCCAGCTGCCCACTCTAAGGAGAAAAGAGATTCATTTGAGTGTGCAGCTGTTAGCAATGAGGGAAACTGTTTTACTCAGGATTGCCTCCCTCTGCCCCAGCTTTATTGAAGCATGACCAATGAAAATTGTGTATCTTTGAGGTGTAGAACATGACATTTTGAGAGAGATATATATACATTTTGAGGTGTGTGTGTATATATATACACATATTTGAGATATATATATATATACATTTTGAGATATATATATATACACATACATTTTGAGGTATATATATATATAGAGAGAGAGAAATGACCACGATTAACTAGCATGTCCATCACCTCATAGTTACCTGTTTTTGTATGTGTGATTAGCTTTAAATTGTTGCAATAAAAAAATAAAATTACTACCAGCTTATTGTCTTCTAAGCCATTTGCTGAAAGATGAAATTATCTAATTGAACAGGTATAATTTAGTGCAAGTAAGTATTTCTCAGATGGAATTCAAATGAATCTCCGTTACATAGTAATTTTTTAAAAAAAATCTTAATGAAGAGGCACATGCTAGAAATATGGGAGTTCTAGACACCATGACTTCCTTGACCATTTCACATACCAAGTAAACTAATTGGATCCACAAACATGGTGATTTTGTAATATATATAGGTAAACTCAGTTGCTCAGAAAAGATGCCAGATGATACTTTCTAAACAGTTATTAGTAACAAAACAATTACTGAATCATTTGGTTAGAAAATTCTACTTTGGCTGGGCACAGTGGCTCACACCTGTAATCCCAGCATTTTGGGAGGCCAATGTGGGCAGATCACTTGAGGGCAGGAGTTTGAGACTAGCCTGGCCAACATGGCAAAACCCCATCTCTACTAAAAATACGAAAAATTAGCTGAGCATGATGGCACATGCCTGTGATCCCAGCTACTCGGGAGGCTAAGGCTTGAGAATCGCTTGAACCCAGGAGGCTGGGGTTGCAGTGAGCCGAGATCACACCACTACACTCTAGTCTGGGTGACAAAAATGAAACTGTTTTAGAAAAAAATAAATTTTACTTTGTTAGAATACCAACGCAAGGTTCCTTAGAAGGTTGTTGCAGCATCTGCCCTCTATGGGCAGCTGTACAGTGACTAGTTTTTGCACTAGATTGAGCTGTGTGGAATACCATTTTTCTCCAGATGTACAGTGGCTGCACAGCCTATCATTACCAAATTTAACCACCAGATGGCAGATCTTTCCTGGTAAAACTAAATCTACTTTTTTAGACCAGTGGAGACTCAACTGGTGCTAAAAGTGCTATCAGGGATACCTATATGAGAAAACGTCTTTCTTATTTTTGGGCAACATGGGCTAAGCAGGTAGATAAAACGAGAGGAAAGTAAAAACTGTTTTCATAGCATAAGTGCTAACCAAGTCAAACAGCCTCAAGTCATTTCTCTCTCTCCTATTTTCTATTTACTTTATATTTTTTTGAGACAGGGTGTCACTCTGGAGCCCAGGCTAGAGTGCAGTGGTGAGATCACGGCTCACTGCAGTCTCAACCTCCCAGGTTCAAGCAATCCACCAACCTCAACCTCTGAGTAGCTGGGACTACAGACACACACCACTATGCCCTCCTAATTTTTTTATTTTTTGTAGAGACAGGGTCTCACTGTGTTGCCAAGGCTGGTCTCCAACTTCTGGGTTCCAGCGATCCTCCCGCCTTGGTCTCCCAAAGTGCTGGAATGACAGGCGTGAACCACCACACCCAGTCATCAAGTCACTGTTATTCTCCAGCAAAGGTAAGTATGGAAAGTATTATAGTAAAATATTAGAGAAAATTTTTTTTTCCCCAAGTATGGAAGGAAGTTCTCTGGCATATAAACCAAAGTAAAATCAATACAAATACACCTAAAGGAAGGGAAACTGCCAGGTGCTTTGCACTGGTTGTTTAATCTTGAAGTAATTCCCTCACTATACAGCTGAAAAATTGGTATTTAGAGAGATTTAGCAACTTGCCTTAGGTCACAGGGCTGGTTCTCAAGCCTTACGCTTTCCACCATGCTATACTGGCATTCTTTCCTAATGCTTTCTAAAAGTATTGGTTCTTAAACTTGGCTAAACATTAAAACACTTGTGGAGTTTAAAATAATAATGATGTCTGAGTCTCACCTCCAGAATTTGACTTAATATGTGTGCAGCATGGCTTGGGCATCAGGATTCTTAGAATTTTCCGGATTAAAGGTTTCCATGTGCAGCAAAGAACCACTGTTCTAACTGGGTTCTCAATGAAGATCCCTCATCAGCTGCATTAGAATTACATGGGTCGAGTTTAAGATGCATATTCCCCGGCTTTGGTTTCCTGAAATTCTGCTTCAATAGGTCTCGCCAAGGATGTAGAAACCCACTCTTTAAAAAACTTCCCAGCTAACATAAATAATTAAGTTTGAACACAAGTGTCAAATTTTAGCAACAAAATCACCTGGAGGGCTTTTAAGAACAGATTGCTTATTAAAACAAAATCAGAGCTCCTGATTCAACAAATTCCCAGACAATGCTAATGCTACTGGTAGGGGGTCTTCCCTTGGAGAAAAACTGGCTTAGAGTGATATCCCCTGCACCCAAGATCTGATGCAACTGGAGATTGTGACATATAACAGACAGAACTATTGATGTTTCTTTTTATAAACTAATATTTTTGAGAGAGATAATTTACTTTTGAAAATAGAAGGTTTCCCAGAGTGGAAGACAGAATTCTTAATAAAGATTAATGCAGAGGCATCTTCAGCCTCTCCAAAGCACAAAACTCACATTTCATAACTCAGCATTTAAAAATTCTAAATCTAAACAAATTTCAATTTAATTTAGGTGATTTTTGATGACATTTGAAAAACTTGAGAATTAACATTTACTTTTGAACTAAAGATCACAAGTTAAATTTATTAGCTGTATTCAGTATCAACTCGTGTCATTAGAAGAAAATCTTCAACTCCTAAGCATGAGTACAAATTCACATTTACTATGTGTAATTTTTTTGCATGGATGTTTTCTATTAATGAATAAACAGATATATAAGATGGAAATTCTCATCCTCATTTTTTGTCCTGTAATGGAAAACCATTGTGTAAAGTCATGCCACTTGCAAAAAAAAACCTCATAAGCTATAATTATTGATTTTTGAAGATATAATTTATATAGAAAGCCAGCTATAAAATGAATATTGAGGCCAGGCACGGTGGCTCATGCCTGTAATCCCAGCACTTTGGGAGGCTAAGGCGGGCAGATCACGAGGTCAGGAGATCAAGACCATCCTGGCTAACATGGTGAAACTCCGTCTCTACTAAAAATACAAAAAATTAGTCGGATGTGGTGGCGGGTGCCTGTGGTCCCAGCTACTCAGGAGGCTGAGGTAGGAGAATGGCGTGAACCTGGGAGGCGGAGCTTGCAGTGAGCAGAGATCCTGCCACTGCACTCCAGCCTGGGCGACAGTGCGAGACTCCGTCTCAAAAAATATATATATTCATATGCCTATAACAGACCAGAGAAAGTGTGTATTTGTATATATGTGTCTCATCACATCAGAATGCGGGGGCCCTGAATATGTTTCACTTGGTGGAGGTCTTAATATTGTGACTTTCACAAAGTGCTTTGTAATTTTAGGAAAGAAAAAATTAAGTACTGATTATAATGAAGTTTAAAATGTCGAATAGGGGACTCAGACGAGTAAAATAACGGAGTGTCTCTCTCTAGAATCTCCACTGCATCATAAAAATTCCCTTCTCTGTTTTGTTTACAGAGAGTGTGAATATATTTATACAATTACTATTTTTTTTTTTTTTTTTGAGACAAAGTCTCACTCTGTTGCCTAGGCTGGAGTGCAGTGGTGCAATCTCGGTTCACTGCAACCTCTGCCTTCCAGGTTCAAGCAATTCTCCTGCCTCAACCTCCCAAGCAGCTGGGATTACAGGCGCCCGGCCACCATGCCCGGCTAATTTTTTTTTTTTTGTACTTTTAGTAGAGATAGGGTTTCACCATGTTGGCCGAGCTGGTCCTGAACTCCTGACCTCAGGTGATCCATCTGTCTCGGCCTCCCAAAGTGCTAGGATTACAGGCGTGAGCCACCGTGCCTGTCCTACAGTTACTATTTTAAAACTGTGCCAAGTATGGAGATAAATGAGATTTTTTAATTCTG
Organism: Homo sapiens; assembly: GCF_000001405.40. Classification (NCBI taxonomy): domain Eukaryota; kingdom Metazoa; phylum Chordata; class Mammalia; order Primates; family Hominidae; genus Homo; species Homo sapiens. The sequence goes on from NC_000003.12 coordinate 151,442,748, forward strand.
CCTAAAATATAAAAACCCTAAGAAGTTGACCCTTTGAGTTAAGCATGTGAAAAGAATGGTTTTTGTATTCAAATGATCTCAAAAGATTAGTTTTTTTTGAGAGAGTTTCCTTTATGTCCAAAGTCTATGTGTACTCTAAAACTGCTGCTAGCCTCACTGTGTCACTTTTTCCATTTCAGAAGTTGTACAGCTAAATACATAAAGCAGATAATTCCAACCCAAAGGTATAGACTTACCTATGCTGCTGGTCGACCACAGCCTTGGATGGTAACCTCCACATTATTTGGGGTTTGGGCTCCCCAGTGGCTGAGCAGTTCAGTAGTAATTTGTCCCCAAAATTCACTTCAGTCCTTTTCTGGGATGCAGCTTCTATCCTGGGGCTGGTCACTCGCTCTTCCATTGTAAGCATTACTACTCTTCGCTCCGAACCAGTGGAACTGGTAGCAATGCATTCATAAGTGCCCCTGTCTGAAGAGGCTAGGTTTCTTATATACAAAGTCCCATTTGAAAATAAGAACAACTTGGAATTGGTAAACTGTAATGGTTTCACTTCAGTGCCATCAGAGAGGACCCAGTAAACGCTGGGCTGAGGAGTTCCTTTTGCAGTACAGGGCAGTTTTAAACTTTCACCCCAAGTGCCTACAATGACTTGCCTCCTTTGCTCTAGAATAACAGGTGGTGCTGCAATGACTTGTATTTTAACCAGCAGTGAATCCTGGCCACCTGGGTTGCTGGCCACACATTTGTAAAAGCCACGGTCATAAATACTGAGATTGTGGAGGACCAATGTTCCGTCAACCGTCACCACAGCCTGCCTACTTCCCTGGGATGATTCTGAGACAACTGTTTGGTTTGCAAGAATCCAGGTAACTGTAGGGCTTGGCCTACCTTCTGCTCTGCACTTCAGTTCCACAGTGCTTCCGGAATGAACTGTGATCTCTTTGGTACGTCTCTCCAGGATCCTGGGAGGATAGGAAACCACAGACAAGGTGACATGAAGGTGGTCTGTGCCAAACAGATTGGATGCGGAACACAAGTACTGTCCGCGGTCCTGAATTTCCACCCTCTGGATGGACAGGGTACCATTGGGGAGAACCTGGACCCTGCTATTCTGTTTCCTCTTAGATAAATCAAGTCCTGAGAAGAAAAAAAGAAAATTATTGCTACGGGTCATCAAAGTTTATTTAGAAAACATAAAGCTATCGTTTTTTGGGCTACTAAGAATACATTTAAATTAAAATGAAAGCCCAGCCCTATGGCTCACTTGTATAATCCCAACACTTTGGGAGGCTGAGGTGGGAGAATCACTTAAGCCCAGGAGTTCAAGACCAGCCCTGGAAACATAGTGAGACCCTGTCTCTACAAACAAAAAATAAAATATTAGCTAGGTATGGTGGTGTGCACTTGTAGTCCCAGCTACTCAGGTGGTTCAGATAGGAGGATTGCTTGAGCCCCTGGAGACATGATTGTACCACTGCACTCCACCCTAGGTGACAGACCAAAAAAAAAAAATTAGGACATCTAGTCTTCAGATTGCTAAAATTATTCCTGGATTATTTTATTTAATTTTATTTTTATTGAGAGAGTTTCACTCTTGTTGCCCAGGCTGGAGTGCAATGGCACAATCTTGGCTCACTGCAACCTCCGCCTCCCAGGTTCGAGCAATTCTTCTGTCTCAGCCTCCCGAGTAGCTGGGACTACAGGTGCCCACCACCACACCCGGCTAATTTATGTATTTTTTTAGTAGAGTAGGGGTTTCACCATGTTGGCCAGGCTGATCCTGAACTCCTGACCTCAGGTAATCCACCCACCTTGGCCTCCCCAAAGTGCTGGGATTACAGACGTGAGCCACTGTGCTCAGCCTGGATTTTTTTATTCACATAATTTTACTTTAAAAGCCAGATGGTTCAACACAATAACCATTCTCTCTTTTTCAAATCATATTACTTTGAATCAGCTTTTGAGGCATTCCAAAAAATGTTCTTAGTTAACATATTTAATCCCTTCTGATGAGTGAAAATATGCCAGTGTCAAATGAGGATATTAATAGTTTCTTTGTCTTAGAAAAATTTGAAACTGATACTGATTCTTTGGATGTTTAATCCCAAAACATAACAATCTTCTTCTTGTTTTCTAACAAAAACTAAGTGTAAAGAAAAAGTTTCACATACCTGATGGGACTCTGGTCCAATGAATGGTGGGCAGGGGATTTCCAACAGCTTCACAGGGAAGAAAGGCATCTGAGTTAGCTGGAATAGTAAAACTTGCAGCTTTTCCTCCAACTATCCTGGGCTTTTCAAATATATACCTAGACAAAGAGTCAAAGGGAAGGAGTTTGGAAGTTGTTGCTTCTTGAACTGGTTTCTTATCAAAGTCACTCTTCTTTGTGTTCTTCTGTCCATCCCAATCTGAAACAAGAGTGGTGGCCTCGGACAGGCCTGTAGTAGCCAACATGCTTACTTCTGGCTTTTTGCCTTTTTCAGCAATTTCTGAGTATGGTTTGTGCCAAAATTGGTTTTCTGCCCAGGGAGATGGAGTTAATTTAGAATTCTGTGATTTAACTGTTGTTAGTGCTGGCATGGGAGTAGAATGTAACAGATTAGAGTAGATGAAGTGAGTGGTTCCAATTGTGAACTTGGCATTTGGGTGAACCTTGGGGGATGTTGCAACCTCTGCTACTAATTGCTGTGGTTTAGCATTGTGCCTTGAGGATTCGTGCAGCTTGACCACTGTATTTGTCATAAGCCCGGAAATGGGAGTCGCCACGTTGTCAGTAACTGCTCTCTGAGTAAAGGGAGGGGAGATGGGAACTGGCATTAGAGTAGCACTGCTGCTCAAGAATGGTGGTATGGTTGAGTGTCTAATGATTGCTTTCCTAGTTGTGGTACTCTGGTGTGATTTGCTGGACAAAGTTGTTTCAGAAGCAATTGTGCTCTTCAAAGTCTGAGTACTTGCTTGGGCTAGTTCTTCAATCACATCTGTCAGATTAAGAGTTCTTGAATGAAAACTGATTGTGCTTGAAATCCCAGTTGTGTTTTCTGGTGGGGAATGAGTGAATGCAGAGACACTGGGCTTGACTGAAGTTTCGGCTGTGGTTAGAACAGGAGGTGTCATAGCAGTGGGTGTAGTGAAGCCAGAACTCTGGTCTGGAGAGATGTTTGGGTCAGTCCTGTTCTTCTTTTGAGGCTCCTGTTCTCTTTGTATTGTTTGTGCTCTAGATCTCTCTGTTTGGGTTTCATAAGTGATGACAGATGCAGGGAAGGTAGGAGTTGTTGCTGGTATTGCTGTTTGCGTTGATATGATGCTTTTTGTACTTGAGTCTTTGCTTATAATACTAGGAAGCATAGGGTTAAGGGGTGGGAAGGGAAGCTCCTTCTTTGTTGGAAGACTTCCAGGATTGTGTGTTTTGGTCGTAGTGTGGTGAGCGGTAGTCAAGGTATTAGATGGAATTTGCATCACACTTGTTGAAAGTGTGGTGAAATGGAAAGGGGAGACTTTGTCTCTGGGTAAAGCAGGAGATGTTTTAGGAAGCATCACAGCTGTGCTTTTTTGTAAACTAACTTTATGTTGATTCCTTAATCTGCCTTTTGGGTTATGGTTATTTACAAAGTTCTGTTGCCAGGGAATTTTCCTTCTTGAAAACCTTGTAATGGCTATAATAGTCATTGGTGGCTTGGTGATAGCACCTGAAAGTGACGATGTAATCACTGAATCTCTTTTAGCTTCATTGGTGCTAGACACACGTGGGTAACTGGCGTTTACTTTGTGAGTTTTTTCCATGGGTATGGATGTTGGAGCATATGTCATGACTGCACCAGTTGGAGTCACTTGGGAAATTTCAGTCCTGAAATATTTTATTGTGGGTGTTGTTTTCTCTACACTGGGTTTGTTCTCAAGTAGTAATAGTGGATTCTGGACTAGAGTTGTAGACTCTTCTGATGGGACTCTAGCAATGTCAGCTTTGGGGAAGGTGATGGGAGCAGCACTTGGAAAAGACAATGCTGCTGTGGCAGTGGTGAGCCTCTCCCTGGGAAGACAGGACAGACATGTCACATTGAGCACTGTGGCTGAGAATGCAGTAGTGCTTTTTTCAGAAGAACCTCTGGTTGTTGACCTGAAAATGCTGTATCTATGCCGTCGCAGAACTGGAGTTCTATATGGGCTGATAATCCGCCCCCTTCCGCCAATTTTCCTCTGCCTCCCAAAGCGTCTGAACAGCGGGATGTTAACTGTACTATTTCTAGGGATCGGAAACTGAGAATGAGCAGCTGTGTGTGGATCTGAAGGGAACGTGGAGGTGCTAAGTATTTGAGTAGTGTGAGAATAGAAGTGATTGTGCCTGGGTTCACTCACTTCTCTTACAGATGTCTGATGACTATTTGTGGTATTTACTGACTCTAATAATAGTTTGTTGGTGGTGCTACTAAGCATTTTGACATTGACATCTTTGATCATAGTCCTTACTGTTATTGGGGGTCTACTTTGGAAATGCTCTCTTCCTCTTCCCATCTGGTCAGAGTCCTGAAATTCAGTTGCTCCAAGTAGCAGTGGAAAGACAGTGGATGAATGTTGATTGGTTGTGCCTTGTATTTGGCTTGACATGGTTGGGTTTATATTCTTTGACATGGCTGTAGTTTTAATAGCAGTAGACAGTTTGAAATCTGTGGGTTCTTCAGGTGGTAGTATTTGTGAATTCACAACAGGAGAGAATTCTGTGCCATAATTTATGTTTGTCATAGGACTATCAGATATTGTTCTGGAGTCAGCAGTCACTGTCCTTGCTGGAAGGTTCAAAGCTTTAGTGGCCGGGACCATAAATTCCTCATGTAGAGCGAGCATGCCTGAGGAATCGTCTTCTTCACCAGGTATGTTTGGGAGTTGGGTGACCACTGGGGGTGGGCTCACTGTGGTATTTTCTCGCTTGTCTGGCATAGCATTCTTTTTAGCTTTCTCCAACAGTGCCGCCCAATGTTGTGGGTCAATTCTCCTAGCAGAGGGAGGGAAATGCCTCCTATTCTCCCTAAAACGTCGATGTGTTGAATCTCCACGTCGCTGGAGTGTTAATTCCCGATAGTTGTGCCTCTTACTTGTGCTTGAGGTGTGTTTTCCAACCTCAGCCTCCATCAGAGCAGATGTACGGAGTTGTGCACCTGGTGGCTCCTTAAGATGAGCAATAGGATTGGACTCATCAAGTCCAGATCCCTCTGTTTCTCCATCATGCTCCAAGGGCCTTTGTCCTTTCATCTTGACTGAAACTTGGAAAATCAAAAAATCAACCCCTGATGGGTTGGCTGCCACACAGCGATAATAACCTTGGTCTTTCGGGGTGACCTGTAATATTCTTAATGTGCCATTGTTTAGAACTTTCTTGTCTCTTGATGACTGATAGAGCACATTGTTTCCTGGAATAACCCAGCTAATAGAGGCATCTGGGATACCAGTAGAATGGCATGGAAGATCAAGTGTTTCACCAATGAAAACTGTGTGATGAATCCCATTTTCCTGATAGGCTTCGACCAAAGGTTCTACCACAGTTATCCTATAGGTGAGAATATCTGCATCATCATAATTGCTGCTTATACAGTGATATACGCCTGTGTCAAAACTATCAGCCATCTGGAGTTCCAATTTTCCACTTTTGTCTATTAGGATCCGTCCATCCTCACTGACATAAGGGGCTCTCACTTTACTTCCATCAGCTAGAAGCCAATCCACGTGTGGGGTGGGGTCTCCTTGGCCTGGGCAGTTCAGGCCAACGGTTCCACCTACCAAGACAGTATGTTCCAGCTTAGTATTGTTATCCCTTGAAATCATAGTCCATTTGTGTTTCACTGGCCTCATCTCTGCTCTTGGTAAAGTGATTTGAGCATCACTGGAGTACTGGATCTGTAATGTACTGAATGTGGTGGCAGTTCTGTTCAGCTGCAAGGAAATTTGGTCTTGCATTAACCAAGAGGGATCTGCTCTGAGATCTGCCTCTATGTTGGTAAAAATGTCTTCAGGCTTAGGAGCCACCTGTTTATATTTGTAATAGAGCTGCGGTGTTTCACTAAGCAAGTGGCTCCTTTCTAGTATCAGAGGAGAATCACTGTACAAAGCCAAAATTTGCCACACTGGCTGAATGTGACCGTAATCTATGTTGCACACCAAAAATGTTGAAAATGAAGTATTTAGCACGATGTAGTCATTTTCTTCAGTGAATGCAATGGGTGATGTCCTTGAGGGCTTTTGAATACTGCAGACCATGTTAGCTTCATTTCCAGACTGATCTGTCATATTCAAAGTGAGGGAGCCAAAGGGTGCCATGAAACCTTGGGGAGAGATGAAAGCAGAACTACTGTCTTCCAGAATAGTCAGGCTCTTTGATTTCAGGGATGAGTCAATGGTTGGCTTGGCACACTGGAAAGCTGCAGCTGAGACCATAGCTAACGGCTTGCCTTTAGAAGTCCTAGGGTTCATGCAAAGTGGACACTGCTGAGCACTAGAGGGACTTCTATCTTTTTTGCATTTTATTACATCTGGAAAAAAATCACAATTGAATTATCAGTTGTGACCTCTTTATGAATTGACACAAACATTTTGAAGAAATAGCTTTTGCTAGAAGCTGAAACAATTTGGAAATTTTAGTGTTCAATGGAAAGTTTTCTGATTTTTTGCTTCTGAATTTGATTTTTTAAAAAGCTATGTCTGTATACCCTGCTACAACATAATATGCATAGACATAGGATTTTGTCTATCTTATTCACTGCAGTATTTCCCATGTTCAGCAAATGCCTGATATATATTTGGTACCCAGTAAATATTAGTTGAATAAGTCATTTTTTTAAATCTAGGGAAACAAAATGATATGCTCATGTTTGTCAGTTTTTATTAATAACAGTTTAGTTCTATTTCTTCATTTTAACATTTTAAGATGGCCACAGGACCTCACTGTTCTTTAAAAGATAAGCTGTTTATTAAAGGATTATTTATAATTCCTTGGGTATCATTAAAAAACCCAAGTTTATTTCCATTATCCAAAAGAATATTGACTGAATTACAGGGTACCTTGACCTGGTCTAGCTTAGTAGCAACAGGAATTAAGAGAAGCAGATGGATGCAGGAGACAATGAAGAAGGTAGAACCAATCAATAGGAGGTGAGGATTGACTGAATATGGACAGTGACTAAAAGGAAGGGTCAAGGAAGACTCCGTTTTATGACTTTGGAAACTGGATGGTTGATGGTTCCCTTGGATGAGGTAGATGCACTAGAGCAGGTTCAGGTTTAAGGGGGAGGGAAGAACATTTTGCCAAGGCAGTGGGGAGGCTCATTAAAGGTCTGACATTCTGGCGAAGTCAGAGGTTGCAAGTCTTACAGCACTAGGACCAGCATTATAAGGACCAGCATTTCTAAGTCATAGGTGCCTTGTCTTTCAAATATTTGGATATCACATACCATTTAAAAGCTCTGCTCTGGTGAGCCTATTTAAAATGGCTGGTCACTGGAATACTTGGTAAGAGGTATAGACTTTTCCCTTACACAAAATACAGCCTGAGACATCCATGCTGTTCCATATAGTAGCTCTTATATGATGCACTGGACATGGCACTTAACAAAAGCATTGTACTTCTTAGAAGATCTAATTTGTCAGAGTGGCTAGATAGGGTCAAATCTCCTTCCCATGTGTGCACATGTCCTCTCAAAGGCTTAAGAAACTCACTCTGACCAAGGACACCAAACTCTTCTGCGTGTACTACAGTGTGACAGGTAATGTCACAGATGCCTGACCAGTGGGCATTCTTCAGCAAATTTTATAGTCTAAACCTATGCAGAGGAGGTGGCTGGCAAGTTGGGAAACCTTTGAACAATCATAAGAGTTGCCTCCTGGCTGGCCGCAATCGCTCACGCCTGTAACCTCAGCACTTTGGGAGGCCGAGGTGGGCGGATCACCTGAGGTTGGAAGTTTGAGACCAGTCTGACCAACATGGAAAAACCCCGTCTCTACTAAAAATACAAAATTAGCCAGGCATGGTGGCACATGTCTATAATCCCAGCTGCTCGGGAGGCTGAGGTAGGAGAATCACTTAACCCGGGAGGCAGAGGTTGCAGTGAGCCAAGATCACACCATTGCACTCCAGCCTGGGCAACAAGAGCAAAACTCTGTCTCAAAAAAAAAAAAAAAAAAAAAAAGAGTTGCCTCCCCATCACCCACTTGCCAACAAGCTGTATTCCTTTACCTACTTATCAGTACCCTGGGCTAAGACAACATGGCAGACTTCTGGCTTAATGAAACCTCATCATAGACTATGCTCACACTGTGGCATGCTTATTATTGCTTGCACTGAGCCAGAGTTAGCAGGCCTTGGACATCAGGTATTTTGCCTCAAATGCAAACCTGACCATATCACCCCCATTCCCTCGGTTCCAGCCCCATGGAAATCCTTTCCATTCCTCAACCCTGCCATGCCCCATTGGCTCTGGCATACGCTGTTCCTTCTATGTCCCGCACACTTGGTGTCTTTCATCATGACCCAAGTACTTACCAATCATCCTTCAGAACCCAGTCTGAACAGCACTTCTTCTGGGTGGGCTCCCTGTTTTATAGTCTCTGGGTACCCTTCACTTCTTATATCCTACTTTTTCATTATTCACTATTAGAATGACTTGTTTACTTATCTGTCTTCCCATGAAACTATAAACTTCATTCTTGTTCATCTGTATGTCCCCAGCCCTGGCCAATGGATGCTCAGGAAAGATCAGCAGAAGGAAGAAAGGCAGACAGGCAGGCAAGAAAAAGTGCCTAATTCTGTGACCATGTTTTTTTGTTTGTTTTTTCACATTTCAACTTATAAATTAAGATGTGCCTTACAATTGAGGATGTTTTACAGTAACAACTGACAAATTGGCAATCAATATAGCTATCACAGCTTGTATACCTATAAAGACTGTCATAGCTATTGTCATTGCTTTCCATTGTATCACATGTATTGGTGCTATGACATATATTAAATTTGCCTTTAAAATGTTTCAATTAAGATTACACTATGATTTAGCATAAAAACAGGTTGTCAAGTATGTAAAAAAGAATGGAAACAGAGCAGCAGAACATAAATTTCATATTCATGAAATGAATGCTCATTAGAGAAACAGCCACAAATTCATTTTATAGAAATGCTGCATCAACATCTTTGCAGAATCAAAGAATAGAAGATACCCACAAGTAGATAAAGGAGTGTTACATTTAACTACTGAGATCAGTGCAAAAGGATTGCCTACCACATGCCAAGTGAGGCACCTGAAGCCATGAACAACTGTCGAATCTCTTGAAATCATGAAAATTTTTCAAAGCAGAAGAGGTTGATGTGACTGACCCATGGGTCTCGTAAAAATTATTAAGTCATCTCAGTCAAAAGGATAACACTTGATTATTAAGACTGAAAGATGTGAGCCCCTATGGGTTTAATTATTTTACACATATAGAGTTATGAATTAACAACAGGGACACATTCTGAAAAATGCATCATTAGGCAATTTTGTTGTGCAAACATTATGCAGTGTACTTACACAAACCTAGATAGTATAGCCTACTACACACCTAGGCTATATGGTAAAGCCTACTGCTCCTAGGCTACAGACCCATACAGTGTATTACTCTACTGAATACTGTAAGCAATTGTAATACAATTGTAATTATTTATGTATCTAAACTTAGAAAAGGTAACATATTGCACTACCACTTTATGATGGCTACAATGTCACTAGGCAATAGTTTTATTTCACCTCCATTGTAAATCTTATGGGAGGATCATTATATATGCCATCTGTTGTTGACTGAGATGTCAGTATGCAGTGTGTGATTATGTGTGTGCGCATATGTATATGTACATATGACAGATGTATAAATGCATATATGATGTGTTTTTATACATATATGTAAGTTTGGGACATATTGAAACCACAGTTAAAGATAAACTAGATGCAGGAAAGGCAAAAGACTTCTAATAGGAGTAGATATAACCAAATGTTATCCATTCAAGAATGGAAGTATAGGCAAACAACCCAAGTGGTGAAATGGTTATTCTGATGGAGATGGGGTGGGTGGAGAAGCAGCCAGACTTCTCAGAACGGCTGAGCAGTTTGCTGGCTGGCTGAGAACCATCAAGCAGAAAAGGAAAGGAAGGGCTCCAGGCAGGGGCAGCAGCAGGTACGAGGAGGTAAAACAGCTTGTGGTGTGGCAGGAAGTTGTCCAGAGTTGTTAAGAGCAAAAACTGCCTGTGTGCCTGGGATGGGCAGGGCTGAGGGTTGGAGAGGAGGGAAAGGAGGCTGAGGATAGGCCAGCACCACACTATGAGGACCTGGCTTGTAGCCTAAGGAGCATGAGATTTATTCTCTAAGCCAGAGATCAGCAACATTTTTATAAAGAGCCAGATAGTAAGGATTTTTAGGCTTTGTGAAACAGTTCTGTGACACTACTTGACTGCCACAGTTGCCAAAACACAGCCATAGATGATGTGTAAATAATTCATTATTCTTGAATTATTTCTGAGATGTTATTTTCTCTCCTAAATTACCCTGGGCTCTCCACTTCCTAATATAATACCTCCAAGCAGATTTCCTCCACTTAATTGGGACAAAAAAATAAACAATATAGATACCTGGCTTCTCCTGTATCCAGTCAGACAACCACTTTAAATGGCAATCACAGGTCCATGGGTTTCCATGCAGGTAAAGGCTGTCTAGGTCAGGCATATAGGAGACCATCTCTTGAGGGAGGGAGGTCAGGAAGTTATCAGACAAGTATAGGAACTTAATGAAAGAGATTTTAAATATCTGGAGGTAGCTCAAAGAGACAAATGTATCTGGGTGGAGCTTAGTGAGCTGATTTCCTTCCAAGTGCACCAGGCGGAGAAAGTTGAGCCCATAAAAAACCTCTGGGTTTATAAACTCAATATTGTTGTGGTCCATGTGCAATCGTGTCAAGCTCCTGAGGCCATAAAAAGTATCTTTCTGAAGTTTTCGGACTTTATTATAGCTCATTTTTAAGACCTATGAATTAAAAAAAAGAACATATTTATGTTGTCAAAGGAATTTTCACAAGAGGGAAAAGTCCTATCAATAACAAAACTTATGTTGAAATTAATTCAGTGCAATTTATATACCTTCTTAGGATCCCAATTCAATCAAATTCATTGCAAATTAAATATGACAATATCAGAAAAATTAGAACACTCATGAACATTTGCCTATTTATATTAAGGAATGAGATATATATATTTCTTTTTTTCTTTTTCTTTTTTTTTTTTTTTTGAGACAGCGTCTTGCTCTGTCGCCCAGGCTGGAGTGCAGTGTTGTGATCTCTGCTTACTGCAACCTCCGCCTCCTGGTTTGAAGCGATTCTCCTGCCTCAGCCTCCTGAGTAGCTGGGATTACAGGTGCCCACCACCATGCCCAGCTAATTTTTGTAGTTTTAGTAGAGATGGGGTTTCACCATGTTGGCAAGGTTGGTCTCAAACTCCTGACCTCAGGTGATCCGCCCACCTCAGCCTCCCAAAGTGCTGGGATTACAGGCACGAGCCATCATGCCCAGCCAGGAATGACTGTTAAAATTTAAGATATATGAATGATATTGTGGTTATTTTAAAAAGATTTCTTAATTTTGAGATATATAGAAGTACTTACAGATGAATATTATGAAAATTTGGATTTGTTTCAAAATAGTTGAATGGAGCGGAGAATAGTGGGTAGAGGTGCAGGTGAGACATCTGCTATGAGTCCATAACTATTGCAGCTGGGTAATGGTCCATTACAGTTCATTATATTCTTTCTACTTTTGTCCATGGTTGAAAATTTTTATAAGGTTTTTTTTTTAAGTCTTAGTATTTCAAGTAAATTTAAGATTTCTTAAACATAAATTTTTCATAAGAGAGACTATTGATTTTAATTTATTGAGTTATAGTTCACATGCCATAAAATCCACCTTTTAAAGTGTACAACTGGCTGGGCATGGTGGCTCCCAGCACTTTGGGAGGCTGAGGCGGGCAGATCACTTGAGGCCAGGAGTTTGAGACCAGCCTAGCCAACATGACGAAATCCTGTCTCTACTAAAAATACATATACACACACAAAATTAGCCGGGCATGGTGGCACACACACATACTCCCTAGCTACTCAGGAGGCTGAGGCATGAGAATCATTTGAACTTGGAAGGTGGAGGTTGTAGTGAGCTGAGATTGCACCACCGCACTCCAGCCTGGGTGACAGAGCAAGATTCTGTCTCAAAAAAATAATTTAAAAGTGTACAATTTATTGGTTTTTAGTATATTCATAGAGTTGTGCAACCATATCCACTGTTAGAAACTTCTAAATAAAGTTTCTTTTTTGCGTTTTGTTTTTTTTTTTGAGATGGAGTTTCACTCTTGTTGCCCAGGCTGGAGTGCAATGGAGTGATCTCGGCTCACTACAACCTCCATCTCCTGGGTCAAGTGATTATCCTGCCTCAGCCTCCTGAGTAACTGGGATTACAGGCATGTGCCACCACGCCTGGCTAATTTTTTGTATTATTTAGTAGAGATGGGGTTTCTCCATGTTGGTCAGGCTGGTCTTGAACTCCCAACCTCAGGTGATCTGCCCCCCCTTGGCCTCCCAAAGTTCTGGGGTTACAGGTGTGAGCCACTGCGCCCGGCCTAAAGTTTCTAATAAACTTTATTTTGCACCTTAAAATAAAAACTAATACCCATTAGCAGTCATTTTTTCCTATCCTCTTAGCCCTTCACAACCACTAATTTACTTTGTTTCCATGGATTTGCCTATTCTAAACATTTTATATAAATGGAATCATACACTTTATGGCATTGTGTCTGGCTTCTTTCACTTAGCAAAATGTTTTCAAGACCTGTCCCTCTCATAGCATGTATCAGCCCTTCATTCCTTTCTTTGCTGAATAGTATTCTACTGTATACATGCACAACGCTTTATCTATCATTGGTTGATGGACATTAAGAGGTGTCTTATACTTTTTGGTTATGAGTAATATGACTAATTTTGAGTTGCAATTAAAATAATTTTGAATATTTCAATAGTGCTCAGGTATTCTCCAATTCCCTCTCCAATTACCAGTTGAACATACTCTCTCCCATAAAGAAAAAAGAAATGCTAGTAAACACCATTTCTCATCATATTTTCCTGACTTGGCCTGAACTATCATCTCTGTCGAGAATGCTTCTCTAGAATGCCAAGACCCCTAATAAGAAAAGAAAATATAAGTTGGCAACATAGAAGAGCTTTGCCCCAAATGTAACCTGGGAGTTCAATCTCCAACTCAATGTTCCTCAACAGCCATTGAAAATTTGGTCGAGAGAATAAATATATGTAGAGAATTCTATAAAGGACATGCAATCCATCTATTCCTCCGAAGACATACATTCCAAATAGAGCCTGATTAACCAAATCAACAGAATCACATAGCTACATTATACTCTATTGCTCTCACCATGGTTATAACCTCCCTTACATAGCTCTGGTATATGTTAGAAGGCTCTATGAACACAGGTACTTCATCTTTTACAAGGATATTATTGACTTTATTTTATGGCACTGTATTTTATGAGGAGCTTTGTAAGACATTTCTTTCTGATTTAAAAATCATACATGGCTGTGCTTTTCCTGAACAGTTTAAGTTTTAATAGATGTCATGTATTGTTAGCGTCTTGAAAGCTTCAAGTCCTACTTATAGCAGACTTAAAGGTCTCTATGTATGCATTTCCTCATGTTCCCTTTATTCTTTTCTCTAGGCTTATTTTACCTTTTACTTTCTCACTTACTTTTGTGATCATTCTTGCATGATTTTATGCATTCTTGGGAGTCCTCTTAACTTTAAAAAATTGAACAATGTAGAACATGAATAAGTAAATAAAATGAAACTGAAAATAGTACATTGATTTATATAAAACTATTATCTGTCTAAGATAGTCATTACTTTTAGGAACCACATTCAATTCCCAGATAAACATGACTAGAAGTGTCCTTTTAGGATTAAATTTTGAAGGTTTATCGTCTCTGGGTATTGATTTTTTTTCTATTAGCTTGAGGTAGTAGAAAACTTGCCTCAGAGTTCTTATTATTCTAATTTATACACACAGTTCCACAGTTAAAAATCAGTTAACATTCTCCATTGACGTCTGCTTCTAATTTACAGAATGTTGATTTTCGTATTGTGTAGAGATAGGCAGCCTTTGAAGGTCTATCTCACAGGTCCCACCTTACCTCTTTAACCTGCCCCCTCTCTCCATCAGTCTCACCTGCAAGGCCTGCAAATCTGAGAAGGTCTTGTCAGGGATTGTGTGAATGCCATTGCTGTGAAGCATGAGTAACTCCAGTTTGGTCAGGCCAGAAAAATCTGTTTCCATCAATCTAACCAAGCTGTTGTATCTGAAATAAAAAATGACATTCTAGGCATAAGCTAAGTCTGTCAACTAAAGTTCAAATGTCATAACCAAAATAAACACAAGAAAACTCAATACCTCTCTTTATAACTGTACTCTATTGAGACAATCAAATGCTTCAAAAACTGAAATTCACCAGATGCCACAGAAGGTCGGCTCTCTACCCAGTTCTTGCCATTTCAGTTACAATCACCCCCCTCATATTCTGGGAACTTGTCACATTTCTTATCATTTTCAAACTTTTATATATATGCTGTTCCCTCAGGTTGGAATGCCCTTGACCTCACCTTTTTCTATTTGTGAACACTTAATATCTAGCCCATTCTTTCATGACACTATCTCCTCACCACTCCCCCAGGTGGAATTCGTCAGCAGTGGTTAAGAAGCCTGGGCTCTGGAGGCCAGGCTTGGGCGTCTCGTTTGGGTATGATTACGAGCTCAGGCTCAACAGAGTAGTGGTACAACCCTGGGTAAAATCAGCAGGCTTTCTGTGCCTCAGTTTCCTCATCTATAAAATGTAAATAATAGAACTCACTCCAAAGGGGTTATGAGGATTAAATGGATGCAGTGCTTAACCCAATGCCAGCACCTACTGAGCACAACCTTAATGTTAGCTCTTAATATTAGTGACTGTCTCTAAAACACTTTGTATGCTCTATTAGTTTTTATTAATTGTACTGACCGTACATTTGTCTGGTCTTTTTAACGATCAATACACATCCTAGAAGTGAATAGTATATCTTACCATTGTATCCCCAGTGCATAGTACATGCTCACTAATGTCAAATAAACGATGCTAAGTCCAACATGTGTATTCAGACACACACAGACTTTTTTTTCATGAACGTTTAAAATACAGTCATATTTTTAAAAATTTAATTAGGCATCCATTTTAAATAAGTTTGTATGGAAAGAAACCAAAGGGCCTATAAAAAGGATACATATATATATATATGTATGTATGTGTGTGTGTGTGTGTATTATATAGGCAGACACTTCCAGTTACCCTGTCATCTCTTATGATGAATGATCATAACCCCAATAGTTAACAGAAACTATATCATTTTCCAGCAAAAATGTAGCCAGAAAGAAGCTTTTTACCGTCATGAGTCTCCCAACCTACCAAGAGGGACTTCAAATTCTAGAAGAACTTTCTCCTAATAAAAGTTTACCAGGAAAAGTTTTCTTATTGCCCCCAACAAACAAAATTCTCATGAGCTCATTTCAGAAAAGAAATATTGTTAAAACAATTGAGATTCATCTCCCAAAGTCATAGATGTTTGAGGGACAAGTCACTGCTGCGACTGATCCCTCTTTGAGAAGAGGAAACATGAGGTCTCACACACCCTAAATTGATGCGTTCCACATTGGGCGGGATGCTGTCTGGGATGGAAGTCAGGTACCGAAATGTGCAGTGTACCTCCGTAGGCATATAACAGGCACAGCGGCGAGGACAGGCCTTGCCCCCAGGGGTGGCGACCAGGCAGATCACAGCAAAGGAGACCAGCAAGCAGGTGATTCCTCTGCCTTTTACCTTCATCCTGAAAAAACATCATACCTCAGAGTTATAAAGAGTGGTGGAGCAAAGTCCCAGGACCACCACACACTCACTCTGGGAATCTGGGAGACCTTCTTTAAGGGTCGTAAGTGGTCAATTCCATTCCTACCCTTTGTGGTCATATGCACTCTTTACAAAACTATAGTGTGTGCTGCTGGCCTCACACTGCGCTTTATGATCAAGTGGGATATTTACTGTTGTGAAAATTTCTTCACAGCTTCTCACTTCTTTATGAAAACCAGCAATCCCTATTACTCAGGCATTCATTAAAAGGGAAACTGGAAACCATAAGAAAGATTGTGACAACTAAAATATATAGAATTTAGTTTCCTTTATATACATTAATTCTTTTAGAGTAACTTTCAAGAAACTGATTATAACAGTAATATCTGTGCATAATAAAACATTTGGAAACTGTAATTAAGCAGTAAAAAGGAAAAAAATTACTCAATCTCACCACTTATATAATCCTTAAACATGTTGTTGTATTCCTTTCCAGCCTTTTTCATCTATTGTGTGTATATGTATAGGTGTACATACATTTACGTGTATATGTGTACATGTGATCAAACTCAATTTTGTAACACATTTTATCATTTCATATATAATGTTTTTTCATTTTATTAAACCTTCTTCAGAAACATTTTTTAAAGGTTGTAATAATCCACTGGAAGGGAGAATAAATCTCTTTCTAACCGGTTTTCAAGTCCCTGCCAAAAAAAAAGACACATTGAACACTTCACTGCCAAGTAATGACCATAAGCAACAGCGACTGACCAGCTGAGAGGGCTTGAGCCATGCTGACCCTGTGCAGGCATGATGCTGTCTGCTTTTGCTCAGCTTCGGACATCTCTCTGCCTTTTTCCTTGGTCCCTCCTCCAGCTCATGGCTGCCACAGGAGGTGGGGAGCATAACCAGGGAAGAAATATGCTCAGCTTGTCAGAAAAAAAAAAATGGTATCTGTTACCCATATGTGGGGCAAGCCCAGGAATTCAAACCTAATTCTCTCCTGAAATGCAGGATTGAAATAAACTCTTTATTGTGCTTTTCCAAGCAAAATGACCTTCATAATTTGTAATAAATCCCACCGTTCTGTGGAACAGCATGATGTTGGATTCCACCAGCAACCACCCTTTAGCTACAAACTACACTGAGAAATAACACTGGGGCTGAACTGCTTGGATTTTCATACAGATAAAAAGATGATGGATGTATTATTATAATTTAGTCCAAATTAAAATTTAAGATAGGATTAATCATATGACCACTTTTGCCATCGTAACCACCTGGTTACAATAATTTTAAATAAGCTTTGTATGATTGGAGACAGCATTTCCACCTTATCATTAGATAAACAAAGGAAGGAACAGCAGGATGAAGGTAATTCTCTCGTTCAGCTTAAATAAAAGTTCTGGGTATGCCCACGTTCAAATTATTTAAAAGAGGATCAATAGCATAAGACAACACATGAATAAGGGATTCTCACAAACGTAAGGCTGAAAATGTACATAATGAAATAGGAATTGGCAATACCTGAGCTCTTCTTTCAGGTCCTGAGTCCTCTTGTGACATAGGCAGAGACAGAAAATCTTCCCAGGAAATGGAAAATTGTGTCCAAACCTGAGGGAGGAAAAGTTCTCTGCTCCAAAGTGAGCAAAAAGCCTTATTCTTTTTGGCTTACAGCCAGGAGTAATGCTCTTCAGGGAGACCTGGAGCCGCTTCCACAGCTTCAAAGTTCTATAACTCATAACCACATTAACCCAGAAGCGTTCTTTTATTATGATGCTTGCTGTTGCAGAAACAAAAGGCTAAGTGGAGGTTTTTAAATTTCCTTTCTCCTCCCTCAGTAGTGTACTTAATACTCCTTAAAGTTATCACTTGAATATTAACTACTACTAATCACTCCATTTTGCTCCAAAGTCCCAAGAGCTTCTCCTCAAATTGTCTTTTTTGGACAAATCTGTCACAGATGTCTCCATCTATTGATTGTCTTTCCTCAGTGTGTGTTTTTTTTTTTTGCCTGGCACCAGTCACCGAAGAATTGTCGTGTGCTTTCATGCCCCCACCTTCTCCGGGTGCGTCTTCCCTCCCCCACCCTCAGCCCTCCCCGCCCCAGCGCCCGCTTCTGCAGCCACGGTACTCGCTCCATTCCCACGCCAAGCCCCAGCCGGCGTGGGGTTCCAGCCCTTTCCGGGGAAGGATTGGCCGAGGCGCTCACCTGTTTGCCCTGGTGACCAATGGGCTCGAGCTGCCCGGGCTAGGTCCCGGGCTCGGTCCCGGGCTCAGCTGCTGGGGTCGTGCGGAGCTGGTCCGGAGCTCTGGGAGGGAAGGAAGGAAGGCGGAGCGAGGGCGGGGGATGAGCCCGACTTCTGTGTCTGGGGACGCGGCCGGGGCTCAGCAGCACAAGGATGAGAAACGACCACCGGGCCCCTCTTTATGTTTACGAGCGTGTGGGAAGCTAATTCGCCGTGGCTTCACTCTTTAAATTCCCAGGGCTTTCTCCTAGCAAGTTGGCAGGTCCTGGCTGGGTGGCAGAGCAGTTTCAGTGGCCGCCCGTTCATTTCCTCCTTGACCTCTTCCACCTGTTGACAGGTGGGCCTTTTGGTTTAAGGGTTTACGTAAATCGCCGCAGGCTGTCCTTGGTCCTGTGGCTCCCAAAGTTCTATTTGAAGGCTAAGTTAGCGTTAATGACCTGTGATACCTGCAGTGTCAATGTTTTATTTAAACCCCTCTTTTAAAAATAAGTAAATTATATTGCGTATATTTAAGGTATACAACATGTTATGGGCTATATACAGATAGTAAAATGGTTACTATAGTGAAACAACATATCCATCATCTCACATAGTTACCCCATTTTTGTTTTTGTGACACGAGCAGCTAAAATCTACTCTTTTAGCAAGAATCCCAAATACCATACAATTTTATTAACTATAGTCCTCTTGCACATTAGATCTATATAAATGTATGCTACTGTGTATTCTCTGATCTACATTTTTCCATTTCCTTTCTCCAACCCCTATAACCACTATTTAATTCTCTATCTCTGTATAATCGACCTTTTAGAAAAAGATTTCACATATATAAGTGAGATCATACACTATTTTTCTTTTGGTTTCTGGCTTATTTCACTTGGCATAATGTCCTCCAGGTTCATCCATGTGTGACAAATGGCAATATTTCCCTTTTGTTTTTTAACTGCCAAACAATATTACATCGTATATAGATGTCTCAGAGGAATTCTTTTAAATCATTATCACAGAACCGGATTTAAATACTACTATTTCTGCTTGGATTACATTCTCCTTTCTCATCTCCAACCCTACCATCTGGAGGCAGAGATGCCTCCAGAATCACCTCTACCAACTTGCCCACATGTAATATCTCCTGCAATTCTTGGTGGGGCTCCCAATACTCATAAACACTGAGTTAACATAACTAAAATGACCTTGTTTCCTTCCACGTAGTTACATAGCACTTAAGCTTTTGATGACAATTTGCAATGAATGTTTTAGGGCAGTGGATCTCAAGATAGGGTCACGGGTCCAGCATCAGCATTACTTTGGACTTCGTTAAGATCAAAAATTTGCGGGATCCATCCCAGACCCACTGATTCAGAAACTGTACGAAGGAGGCTTAGGAGTCCATGTGTTAACAAGCCTTCCATATGATTCTGATGCAGCTACAATGTGAGAATTGCTGGTTTAGTGAAATAACTTCTGAAAAATGTTTTACAAATACCAACTCATTTCAGCCTCACCATAGCACCAAAAAGCCTAAAAGGAAAGTATTTATGTTATTCCCATTTTACAAGTAAGGTACATGAAGGAAAGTGACAGAACTCCAGGCCATGTGGCTTGTGAGTAGAAAAGCCGTTAATTCAAACTCAGGCAGTCTTGCCCTATGGTCTGAACGTTTAACCATAAAGTTGTGGCTGCCTCACTTAGCTAAACATGGATAATGTGCCATATCCCATGCCGAGCATTCATGTGATTTATGGTTAGTAATAAGTCAGTTACCAAAGTAGAATTATAGAATCAGAGACTCAGAGTTAGAAGTAACCCTAGAAGCATGTATATGAACATGGTCTTTAGCTCTGCAGAGCTGACAAGATTCTTTTAAATTAAAAATTCACGTGATGTCCAAACTTGGATGCTTGCTTTGGAAATGTGGCATATTTGTCGGGTTTTGGCAGCCACAGTTTATCTTTCTCCCAAAGCTCCTTGGTGACCAACCTCATGGCTTCGTATTCTTTAGTCAATTTCTAACCCAGGTCTGGACTTCCAGACCTCAACTAGGATGAACCACAGAAAGATGACAGCAACATGTTAAACTTATTTTCCTAGGCTTGTTACCTGGGGTCATTTTCTTGCTATCAATTTCAAAGTGAACTCCTGATAGGAATGTTTGCTTCTCTTAAGAATTTTTATGAGATAAATCTCTACAATTGCTTTATGTCAGAGCTCTTCTCTGACGTATTTTCTACTTTTCATGTCATCTTCCAGAATTATTAGAAACCTGAGTCATATTGGCACCAATTCTAGTTCCATTTGCTCCACTTAATAACAATTCTAATATTTGTAATTACTTTTATAGTTAGAGTATATATGTGTCAAAGCCTTTATATGTATTGCTTAATTCTCAGAAATATTCTGATGAGTAAGTGCTAAAATTATACCAGTTTTTCAGATGAGATTGCTGAGGATAAAGAATGCTAAATGATTCAGAGCCAAAATACAATACTGAATTAATTTTAAAATTGTAAAACCAATGCTTTTAAGCCTTACATTTTCTGGTTTTTTTTTTTTTTTTTTTTTTTTTTTTTTTTTTTTTTCTGAGACGGAGTTTTGCTCTTGTTGCCCAGGCTGGAGTGCAATGGCGCAATCTCGGCTCACCACAACCTCCACTTTCTGGGTTCAAGCAATTCTCCTGCCTCAGCCTCCTGAGTAGCTGGGATTACAGGCACATGCCACCATGGCTGGGCGCAGTGGCTCACACCTGTAATCCCAGCATTTTGGGAGGCCAAGGCGGGAGGATCACCTGAGGTCAGGAATTTGAGACCAGCCTGGTCAACATGGTGAAACCCCGTCTCTACAAAAATACAAAAAAAGCCTTATATTTTCTATCTTCTTCCTGCTTCTATTTATAAAATTTGGAGAGTCCACAGCATATCAAAGAAAAGTTTCACCACTCTTTTTTCTAACCATGCTTAATAATGCAATATGTTTCTATAGATTCATATGGTTTACAAATCACTTTCACCTTTGAACATGGCCTCATTTAATAAGAAATATATGAAATTCAATGATAATGACTTTATTTTGTAATTGTAACTTTATTTTGCAGAAGTTAATTGAGTGTATAATTTGCCAAGATCTCAGAGCTGAGCATAGCGACTCTGAGTTAATTGTCAATCTGAACTCCTAAACCTGTGTTTCCTGGACTACGGTAATTTACCTACGCTTTAAGGATGGTTTGACATTTTAATTACCTCTCACTATAGTTTTACCTAATGATTTTCTTTAAATCCTCCCCCTCTTTTTGTTACTCTTTTCTTAAACAGTATTGTTGGTAAATTCTCAGGCTTTGTATTTTTTCTAGTAAACACGACAATAAATATACATCTTCTTCACCTTTTATATCACCCCTGAGAATTACATTTCCCCTCATCTCTAGGTCTTTGACATTATTTGCTGTCTTTTCTAGTAATTACTACTTCTTACTCCTCATCCTTAATTTATCATCCATACCATCCTTTACATCACCCTCCTAATCAGAGTATTTATTTAACACCAATCAACCAAGCGCAAGCAGTTACAAGTCATAGATCACCTGACAATCAGAACAAGCTATGAATTTTAAAACTGACTTATATATGTGTCAACAGATAACCAAATGCCAAAATTGTTACATATCTTTTAATCAGGCACAATCATTACCACCTCCCAGCTCCACAATTTTCATATTATTCAATTAACCAAACAGTCAAGACCTCCACTGAGTGATTCCAATAGCAGTGAAGTAGACTGACATCTTAGCCCTTCCTTTTTTGAAGTTACAGACTAGCACGGTAAGTGATAAGTGCCATGAAGAGACATAATGCAGGAAAAGGAGGTAGAAAGAAAATCAGTATCATCTTTCTTCCAATACAGTTGCAACTCAACCAACTAAAGTCAAACTACATGACTTGAAGACTTTATATATAGTATTCCAGATCTCTAACCTTTCAGAGCTTTCAGAACACCATGTATGGGTACAGTTTTGGAAGATGTGGAGAAAAATTTGAAGCAAATGCATGGTCCTCTTATAAGTCCATGGACTCTGGATTATAGGAAATAGAAAAACTACCTAGGAGGCAATTATAATAGTCCAGCCTTAAGACAATGAATTAAAGTGGTGGTTGTGAGAATAAATAAAGATTTTAGATCTGGAGGAACAAGAGTTAAGATTTTACTTAGGGAATAAAAGAGAGGATGGATGAATCTCACATTTTTGTTAGTGACATCCAAGGATCCTAGGAAAGCCAGGGCTGAAGTAGATAAAAGTTAGAAACCTGATATAGATGCAAACCTGAGAGAAGACTAAGGCAGAAGGAGCACAAGAATGACCATTGTTGTTGTCAAGAGTTTAGAAATAGGTGCCTGAAGAGCAGCTCTGCTGACTTTAGTTTTGTACTCTGGTCGCTGTAAATGCTCTGTGTTGCTTTTATGATAAGTATTGTATCAAAAGCCATTGGTTGAGGTTTGCAGAACTCACCATGATTTCTTAAGCCTGGGTAGGAGATGCACCTAAGAGATTTGAGAACTCTTCTAGTTTCTTCTTCTTTTTAATGAAAAGACATTATTATTACTTTACTATATAACATATTAGTGAATACGGCAGCTTGTATTTTCTCAAATGGGAAATGGCAAATGAGGCACATTTTTCTGATTTCTCCAGGAAGCTCAGTATCATCTGTCTTTTGGAGGATTTAATTTCTTATGACATCTGTCATACTATCCAGAGGATACCAATGGTGCTGTTACAGCAAACTAAATATGGCCTGAGAGGGACGTTGTACTTCTATATTTGAGTCCTTGTGGATGAACTGTAATCTAATTTAATCGGTAGACAAGATTGAAAACCTAACTTAGGAATATGCACCTGTAACAATTGCTGAGTCTTGGCCAATCCTAGCAGTCATACTTCAACCACTCATGCACTGCTGAGTGTCAAACTGTGTTCAAATAAGGCAAATGCCAACCTGTAACCAATCCAGCTGTTTCTGTACCTCACTTCTGATTTCTGTATATCATTTTCCTTTTTTTGTCTATAAATTTTTTCTGACCACGAGGCATCCCTGTAGTCTCTCTGAATCTGCGGTATTTCTGGAGGATGTCCAATTCATGAATCGTTTTTTTCCTTGTTCAATTAAACTTTGTCAAATTTAATTTGTCTGAAGTTTTAACAGATCTGGCATCAGAAGTGGGATTCAAAGTAAAACTCTGGCGACCCCCAGAAATACCAGGTGACCAGGCGAGGTACCCGCTGAGCCCATTGTGCTCACTGTTCTCTTGATTGTAAATGGAGGTCATGGGTGAGTTTTCTCTCAGATTCTGAACTCCAGTAACTTGTGTTTTGGGGTCTCTGAGTTTACTTGAGCAATACTTAGACTGCACCGAGTCTAAGATCAAATTGGATTTGATAATTAACTGGATTGAATTCAATTAGAGGCCTTGGACCTTGGGTAGGTACTTTATTTTTAATAATGGAATTATCTCAGTCCAAGGAGTCTGGGACTCCACCTTCTGGAACTCCAGCTAATTTTATGTATAAAAATTATGGGCCCAGCACGTGTTTTTGTTTTGTTTTGTTTTGTTTTGTTTGTTCGAGATAGAGTCTCACTCTGTCTCCCAGGCTGGAGTGCAATGGCACAATCTCAGCTCATTGCAGCCTCCACCTCCTGGGTTCAAATGATTCTCCTGCCTTCGCCTCCCGAGTAGCTGGGACTACAGGCACCTGCCACCATGCCCAGCTAATTTTTGTATTTTTAGTAGAGACAGGGTTTCACCATGTTGGTCAGGCTAGTCTTGAACTCCTGACCTCAGGTGATCCACCCGCCTCGGCCTCCTAAAGGGCTAGGATTACAGTAGTGAGCCATTATGCCTGGCTCAACGTGTGCATTTTTAGAAAAATGGGTTAACCCCACTAAAGAGAACTTAAGATGGTCGAAATGAGGAAGTTATAATTTGGAAAAAATTGTGTATTTGTGAGGCATATTGGAAAAAGACTATGTCCCACAGAAACAGTGGGACATAGTCTTTCATTGGTATGCAGAGGTCTCCAAAAGACTAAATGAATCAAAAATTAACTCCTTGAAAGATTCTTTGCAAAAAGCAAATGGAAAGCTTAGGCACCAGACCAAGGACATGACAAAAGAGGGCTGTGCTCTGACTGAACTAACTTCGACTGTTTCTTCTCTTTATCCATTTCTGCCTATATACTGAGTCCACTAACCTTTTTGCTAAATTACCCTTTCACCCTGAAGATGATGAAAAAGAGGAAGTTAGATGCCTTACAAAGTAAGACCTGATCAGCCAGGCCTGTCTGCTATAACTACTTTCACTCCATGGTCTAAAACTGAGCTTAAAGTTTTGTGAAGGACTTCCCTTATTCAAGGGAAAATCTCAAAAATTTACTGAGGAATTTAGAATCCTAATAGGAGCTTACAAGCCAGGGCTTCCTGACCTTTACCAATTTATTCACATGATATTAGGGCCTGATGAAGCTCAAGAATGGATGGCAGTAGCAGAATGGGACAAACCTGAGGAGGGTATTAAAGACCCCTCCAAAAGCTCCTCATGAGAAGGACCAAAAGTAGCTAGAAAAATGGCTGAGCCGGGCGCGGTGGCTCACGCCTGTAATCCCAGCACTTTGGGAGGCCGAGGTGGGTGGATCACGAGGTCAGGAGATCGAGACCGTCCTGGCTAACGCAGTGAAACCCCGTCTCTACTAAAAATACAAAAAATTAGCCGGGCGAGGTGGCGGGCACCTGTAGTCCCAGCTACTCGGGAGGCTGAGGCAGGAGAATGGCGTGAACCCCGGGGTCAGAGCCTGCAGTGAGCCGAGATCGTGCCACTGCATTCCAGCCTGGGCGACAGCGAGACTCCATCTCAAAAAAAAAAAGAAAAAAGAAAAAAGAAAAAAAGAAAGAAAAATGGCTGAAAACATTTTACATTCAATTTCTAATATTTTTCTGCAAAAAGTTGATTAGTCTGTCATACAATCTTGTAAACAAAAACAAAAGGATGAACCAGTTTGAGATTACAGAACTCGCTTAGAGACATTGTTTGTGAAACATTCTGGGCTTAAAGTACGGCAAGGAGTATTTCCTGCAGGGACTGAAATAGCATTAACTGCTCTATTATAAATGGACTCCGTCCTGAACTTAGAAGTTTAATTAAAAAACATAAGCTTGGATGGGAAGTTACAGATATGACTGAATTGGTGGCTTTAGCTGAACATTTTGAGAGGACTCTAGAGCAAGAAAAAGCTCAAAAAGCTAACAAGCTGACCCTTCAGTTACAATGGCTACAGGGGCTGCGACCAAAGGGACCTTTCTCATTCTCATTTTAAATCACAACCGAGAGATCCTAGAACAAGAAATTCTTTACCCCAAGATATCTGCCTTTATTGCAAACAACCAGGGCATTGGAAAAGGGATTGACCGCTTTTATGTAAGAGGTCTGCCAATAAGCCTCCCTTTAGGCTGAACTGTTTCTCCACTAGAGGGAGCCCAAGAGACCTTAGCCCTCCTGATAATGGCATTGACGGGGCTCCCAGGGATTCTCTACTAAATTGCTCCCGTAATACCTTTAAATGAACATGGAGAAACAGGTTAAAATAAATGGGGAGTCGTGTACAGTCCCGATGAATACTGGAGCTATTCTATCTACCATAAACCCCACTTTAATAAGCCAGTAAATCCCTAGAAGTAAAAAGGGTCATTTTTGTGAGGGTTGTTTGTATTTTTAAAATTTATTTTACGTTCCAGGATACATGTACAGGACGTGCAGGTTACATAGGTAAATGTGTGTCATGGTGGTTTGCTGCACCTATCAACCCATCACCTAGGTATTAAGTCCTGCACCCATTAGCTATTTATCCTGATGCTCTCCCTCCCCCTGCCCTGCTGCCTAGGCCCCAGTGTATGTTGTTCCCCTCCCTGTGTCCATGTGTTCTCATTGTTCAGCTCCCACTTATAAATGAGAACATATGGTGTTTGGTTTTCTCTTCCTGCATTAGTTTGCTGAGGATAATGGCTTCCAGCTCCACCCATGTCCCTGCAAAGGATATGATTTCATTTCTTTTTTATAGCTGCATAGTATTTCATGGTGTATACTTACCACAGTTTCTTTATTCATTCTATCATTGTTGGGCATTTGGGTTGATTCCATGTCTTTGCTATCGTGAATAGTGCTGCAATGAACATATGCATGCATGTATCTTTATAATAGAATGATTTACATTCCTTTGGGTATATACCCAGTAATGGGTTTACTGGGTCAAATGGTATTTCTGTTTCTAGGTTTTTGAGGAATTGCCACAGTCTTCCACAATGGCTGAAATAATTTACATTCTGTGGTGGGGGTTTCAAATCAAGTTCAAGACATTCCTGTATCTGAACCCATCCAATTAACATTGGGGCCCTTTTCAGAAAAATATACTTTTGTACTATGTGATGCTGCTCCAGTAAACTTGTTAGGGTGAGATTTACTTTCAAGTTAAAAGGGCATGTAAACCTTCTTCAGAGTTTCCTGATTCTCCTGAAGCAGAATTGTTATGCTGTCTACAGAAATAAATTGATAAGATAGAAACTCAGGCCTGTAATACCCCTGATCTCTCAAAAATACTTGAATGTTTATGGGCCTCTTCCCCAACTGATATAGGAAGAATTAAAAGTGTGCAACCTATGAAAGTCCAAATAGATCATCCTAAACCTTTGCCTAAATTACCCCAATATCCACTAAAATCTGAAGCAATTCAAGAGCTCTAACCAATTGTAGAAGATTTAATTAAACAAGGACTCATACTCCCATGCAGGAGCCCTTGTAACACTCCAATCCTAGCAGTTAAAAAGCCAAAAGGATGAGGTTGAAGATTTGTTCAAGATTTACAGGCAATAATAAAATTGTAATACCAAGATTTCCCGTAGTCCCAAATTCTAATATTTTATTATCTAATGTACCCACTGATTCCAAGTGTTCACAATAATAGATCTCTGCTCAGCCTTCTTTAGCATTCCAGTTTATAAAGAGAGTCAATACTAGTTTGCCTTTACTTGGTAAAATCAGCAGTACACTTGGCCTGTAATGCCACAAGGATTTACCAAAGCCCTTTCTATTTTTCCCAGGCATTGCATCAAGACTTAATGACACTACAGTTGCCTCAAAATTCTACTCTCATTCAGTACATAGATGAATATATGCTGTCCCACTAAGGAGTGCTCTGTAATGGACTCAGTTTACCTTTTACAGCAACTTTCATACAAAGGTCACAAGGCTTCAGTGGAAAAACTTAAGTTTTCAAGGCAAAAAGTCCACCATTTGGGATGTGACTTGGCTGCTGAAGGAATTTCCCTCTCAACTAAGAGGATAACAGCTATTCAAAGTTTTCCTTGACCTGCAACCAAAAGACAATTAAGAAGTTTTCTTGGACTTGCAGGATGTTGCAGATTCTGAGTTCCAATTTTTTCCTTAATAGCTTCACCATTGTATGAGCTCACTAATAATGCTATACCAGAGCCTTTACCTTGGGAAGACAGTCATGAGCAGGCTGTTGGCCAAATAAAGTTGACCTTACAACAGCCCTCATCTTTAGGACTTCCAAATTACACTAAACCTTTCACCTTGTTTGTTCATGAGTGTAACAATCAGGCATTAGGAGTCCTTGCTCAAGAACATGGTGGTGAACATAGGCCCATTGCATACTATAGCCTGCAATTATACCCAGTCACTAAGGCATATCCTAATTGACTAAAAGCAGCAGCAGCAGTGGCCAAACTGGTAGAAACTTCATCAGATCTTGTTTTAGGAAATGAACTTAATTTGCAAATCCCACACGCTGTGTAAAGTCTATTAAATTCCAACCAAACCCGCATTTTTCAGTAAGCAGACTAACATCTTATGAATTACTTCTCCTATCTCCTTCTAATCTTCATCTAAAACACTGTAATCTACTTAACCCTGATACTGTTATCTCTGCCCAATGATGGTGAAGACCACAATTGTGTAAGTGTAATGATATGATTTAGCTCTGTGTCCCCACCGAAATCGCACCTTGAATTGTAATAATCCCTGTGGGGATTATTGAATCATGGGGGTGGGTCTTTTCCATGCTGTTCTCATGATAGTGAATAAGCCTCATGAGATCTGATGGTTTTATAAAGGGGAATTCTCCTGCACATGCTCTCGTCTGCCACCATGTAAGACGTTACTTTGCTACTCATTCACCTTCTGCTTCCCCAGCCATGTGGAACTGTGAGTTAATTAAAAACCTCTTTCCTTCATAAATGGCCCAGTCTCAGGTATGTCTTTATTAGCAGTGAGAACAGAATAATACTTGTAGTGTCAGAAATAGTGGCCCTTCATGTTGATTTCTAAGACACTCCACTGGATAATCCTGAATTAATACTTTTTTATTGATGGATCCTATGTCAGAAACTCAGAAGGAAAATTTCAGGCAAGATACACTGTTACTACCCAAAATGAGTTAATAGAGAAGGGAACTCTTCCTCAATTTAAGTTGGCCCAACCTGCAGAGCTTTTTGCCCTCACCTGAGTTTGTCATATAGCTAAGGACAAGTCAGTAAATATTTATACAGATAGCAGATGCGCTTTTGGAATACTACATGATTTTGGAATGATATAGAAACTATGAGGGTTTTTCACATCTAGTGGAACCCCCATCAAAAATTGACTCAAAGTAGATGAACTCTTTTCTGCTATCCTTTTACTATTGCAGGTTGCTGTTGTTAAGATTGAAGCTCATACTTGTAGAACTGAACTTGAAAGTCAGGATAATGCTTTAGCAGATGTTTATGCTGAATCAGGTAGTGCTGAAACTGTTAAGATATGCAATCTGAATGAACTACATAAGATTAATCCAAGCCAGCTTCCTTACGACGACTTATTTAATAAACAATGCAATGCATCTCATTTGGAAAAACAAAATTGGTATCTAAAAGGATGTAAATTTAATGTAAAGTGCAGACTCATAGCCCAGATAGCTGCCTGGTGCTTCCTGAGTCTTTGAAGCTTCCATTGTTGAAAGCTCTGCACTCCACAACTCATCATGGAACAGACAAAATGATCCAATTATGAAAAAAATACTGGTGGGGTGACTTCCAAAACTGCTAAAATGGTTTATAACCAGTGTTTGACTTGTCAAAGCAATAATCCTGGAAAAACAATCAAAGTTTCAGGTAATATATGTCTACCACCTGATGGAGTATTTTAGCATTTACAGATAGACTTCATTCAACTGTCACCCTCAATGGGATATCAGTATATTCTTGCAATAGTTTGCATGTTTTCTGGTTGGATAGAGGCCTTCCAATGTAGTAAAGCTGATGCTGTGATAAGAAATTAGAAAATCTTTTTCCTTTTTTGGGGGATCCCTGGAAAAATCTTCCAGTGATAGAGGAACTCATTTTATTGGGCAAGTTATAAAGCAGTTAAATAAGGTGCTACCAATGCAGCGGCATTACCATTGTCCCTACCACCCTCACTCTTCTGAAAAGGTTGAAAGAACAAACGTCATATTAAAACTGCAGTTGGCAAAGTTAACTGAATCAATTGGGTTGCCTTGGCCAAAGGTACTACCTTTGGCTTTAATGGCAATCAGATCCACTTTTATTGGAAAACATAAGTTGACCCCTTATGAAATAGTCACTGGAAGGCCTCATGCTTCTCCTGCTCTCTTAAATTCTGATATAACTAAGTACTGCAAGGCTTTAATGCATTATGCCAAAGTATACTTTTGCCAGGTAAAGGAAACTTTTTGAGATCCACTAACTGAGGACAATCAGACCCTCCCCATGGTTTAGAACCTGGAGACTGGGTCTTCTGGAAACAATATCAGAGGAAGACTATTTTTGAACCTTGTTGGAAGGGACCTTACCAAGTTCTCACCACCCACACTGCAGTGAAGCTTCAGGGCCTTGAACCTTGGGTCCACGTCTCACAACTCAAAAGGACCCCTTCTGACTTGTGGAACTGTACACCTGTTGGAGACTTTAAGATAAAGTTGACCAGGGAAATCTCTCTCCAGGAAGAGATGCCATCCTAGTTGTGGACAGCTTTCCTAAGATCATGGATCAAGACTTCTCTACCATCATGAAAGCCTTATGTGTTCTTCTGTTTTCCTCATCTTTTGTTGCCCTAATCCTTTCGTTTTCTGTACAGGAAAATCCATGGGACCATAATCAGTTGATGGCTTTAGCTCAAGCTTGTGCTGAACACAAAACCAGAGTAATTGTTGGATTTGTGGGCTAATGCCAAAAAATCAGGAAATGATTCCACTGATGCCAATGCCTCTCTGTGTTCCCAGTGAGAATCACCCTGAGACTCCAAGGGAGGAATGGAAAACTATTATTGATATTCTAAACATCACTGCTATTTGCTTTCCTACGCTCACTAACTTTTTCAATCGATAACTTGATCATTGCCAATTATAAAAAAACAATCCAAGTGATGCAAGCAAAAGGTATATTGTGCTTCCAAGGTATCATGCACTCAAGATTTGGGAATTACCTATGTTGGTACAAGTAATTGCTTGTATAATGTAACTGGATTAAACCCAGTAGGGTCTCCTTTTACTAAATGTGGTTATACACCCTTACTATATATTATAAAGGAGCCACAAAAAAAGTAAATTTCCCACTGGATGTTGTTCAGGAGCTGTGCAGATTTATGGATGAACAAACTTGACTGACCTCTGCTCAAATGTAACTAGGGGGCCCTTTTTTCCAAGCCCTGAGGATCTATATTGGGTCTGTGGAGAATCTGCATATTCTGTTCTACCTCCTCGTTGGTTCAGATCTTGTTATTTTGCCTGGCTTGCTCCTGTTTTTTTAATAGCTTCCCCTGAAAATTCTCATGATAGCCCTTATAATTGGAGGCCAAAATGATCAATAACTGAAATTAGCACTAGCTTTGAAAAAGATAAGGATAAGCTAGTTTCCACTGATGAAATATTCCAGTGGGGCTCCTGGGGGCTCACTCTTGGTGGTAGTGGGGTATCAGTTGTATGGAATTTAAAGCTAATTTGTGAATTGGGGAAAATCTTAGATTTTGTAGCCAATTAGACCTCCTAGAGTTTCAGATGGGTAAAAGCTACTCTCTGAAAAGTAGATGACAACATACACATTCAAAACAAGCACTTAATGGAACATCATGCAGCTTTAGATATTTTGCTCAAGCTGAAGGCATACGTTTGGTGTTAAACAGAACTGAATGTTGTACTTATCTCACCCCTGATTTCGTTACTACAGAAAGCTTAATTTAAAAGGTGGGTGATACTGCTGTTTCCTTAGACACTACTACCAAATACCTTAAAGAAATCTCTCAAGAGAAAGGAACCCATGATGTGTTTACAGGAGCAACTGACAGTTGGTTTGCACATAATCCTAAGTGGTGGATGATACGCTTGGGTTTTCCAAGGGTTTCTAATCTTTATATTTCTTCCAATAAGTTTCCAAGTTATTATGATTTGTATTACACCAGGGTAACAAGGAAAATGAGTACCTCTTTAAATTAGGCTACTTTCCAGCGAACTATGGTCCTTAGTCGCTCTCACACTCCAAATGAGGACTAGGACCAATTAGACCCTAATATTGTTGAACTGCCTATATTGTATAAACCTTAACTTGGTTAATTTGGTTCAGTTCATATTAGTCCATTTTCACACTGCTGATAAAGACATACCCAAGACTGGGCAATTTACAGAAGAAAGAGGTTTAATTGGACTTACAGTTCTACATGGCTGGGGAAGCCTCACAATCATGGCAGAAGGCAAGAAGGAGCAAGTCACATATTATGTGGATGGCAGCAGGCAAAGAGAGAGCTTGTGCAGGGGAACTCCTCTTTCCAAAACCACCAGATCTTGTGAGACTTATTCACTATCATGAGAACAACATGGGAAAGACTTTCCCCCATGATTCAATTACCTCCCACTGGGTCCCTCCCACAATATGTGGGATTTCAAGATGAGATTTAGGTGGGGACACAGCCAAACCATATCAGAACTCTTATTAAGGAGCATGTCTTAGGCATTTTGATATTATTCTCTTG
The DNA here is from genome assembly GCF_000001405.40 of Homo sapiens. NCBI lineage: Eukaryota > Metazoa > Chordata > Mammalia > Primates > Hominidae > Homo > Homo sapiens. Next base: position 151,475,059 of record NC_000003.12, read on the forward strand.
ATAGTCACAGTAATAGCCCCCCTGGTGTACTGTATCCTCTTAAGTCTTAAATGTTTTGTATATAGCCATCCATTGAGAGTTAATAGTCTCACTCCAAATGGGTCAGCAAGAACATAAAGATTCATTCAGCTGGAAAAAAGATGTGACTTGTGAATTTCATATTGACACCCAAGAAGACATGTGAAGCTCCTTACTAAAACTAAAGAGGACTTGTAAACACACAGACCAAATAAGTCTTTTCGATTGTGAGAGAGACTGGTGTCAATGCCTAAAGTTTTGGTCAATCTCTCTAAATTGAGAGGTTAACCAAAAGGGGGGAAATGTTAATGCAAATTAAATATGGCCTGAGAAGGATTTCATGCTTCTATATTAGAGTCCTTGGGGATGAACCATAACCTAACTTAATAGGTAAACAAGATTGAAAACCTAACTTAGGAGTATATGCCTGTAACATTTGGCCTATCCTAGCAGTTATACTTCAACCACTCATACACTGCTGAGTGTTCAAACTGTGTTCAAGTAAGGCAAATGCCAACTTGTAACCAGTCCAGCTGTTTCTGTACCTCACTTCTGATTTCTGCATGTCCTTTTTTTGTCTGTAAGTTTGTTCTGACCATGAGGAATCCCTGGAATCTCTCTGAATCTGCTGTGATTTTGGGGGCTGCTTGATTCATAAATCTTTTTTTTTCTTGCTCAATTAAACTTCGTTAAATTTACTTTGTCTGACGTTTTCTTTTAACAGTGCTTAGTAGTAAAGAACATTTTGCTAAATTGTCATGAGTCCTTGCTCAAGGTGTTCAGCTTTTTCTTCTAATCTGGTTTTCAGCCCTAGATCATGTGTTTCTTCATTATTATGCACAGGATCTAGTCAAGAGATATGTTTTGTATGTTCATATGGAATGTCCATAGAAGGGTGCCATCAGACATCACATCAAACTCGACTTTGCAATTATAGTCATCTGGTGGAGAAGACTACTTACATTTATGACAGATACACTATGTCTGTCATAGTGTATCTTTGGATTTGGACAGTTCCAGTCCAAACATTTGGATTGGAAATGTTTCAAAATAATTCTCTGTGATATCACCTATTTTACTGCTGCTACTGCTATGATGTATTGAGATACTTATAAAGTGGTATAAAAATATGTTTTGAAGGAAACTGCTTTTAAACTGCCTCTAAGACATACCAATTTTCATCCCTTGACGATTCCTCACTGTAAGGTTCTTGTATCGGTTTGAACCCTGAGAGTGTGCCAACAGACAACACGAATAGGTGTGGAGAAACATGCTGTTTTAATGAGCGCCTGGGTGTAGGTGGGCTGAGGCCTAATAGGCCTCTGCCCCAAATGAGGATGGGGCAAAAGTTTTATAGTCTCCTATAAACAGGAAGCATCCTAGTCTGACGTAACTGCTACATTGTACCCGGATGGCCTCTTTCTCGATCTTCAGGGGTATCTTCCGGCCAGAGGAGGTATCTTCCGGCCAGCTCTCTTCCTGCTTCTGCTATCTTGCTGACACACACTGCTGACACCAAGTGGCCTTGCGCCTTGGGACTGGGCCTGAGAAGGGAGGAGTTAATTCATCTCCTTAAGCTTTCAGGCCCCCAGGGAGAATCTTACACTCACCACAGGCCTGTCATCTTGTTTCCCCCTCCAGTTTTGTTGAGACAAAGCATCAGAGGTTGTCCAAAAGTGAATGTGCTATGTTTAGAGAGGTGGCAGTACAATATAGTCAGGATTTCATGAGCATTTTCTAAGAGCAAGTGGAGAGTCAGAACCAGAGCTGTCAGCACATGAAGTAGACTCAAGTGCACTATAATTAACCACCCTAGGAGTTGTGTTTAGAAGATGCCTACCAGGTGTTTTCTGATGTCAGCCACTGGGAAGAGGAGTGAAGGAATGCAAAACCAAAATTATGGGCAAAACATACACAGTGTCTGGTTAGGCCATCAACTATGGTATAAACCCTTCTACACCACTGAGGCATTCTGGGGTATGGAGTTGTACTAACGTTGGTTGTAAGAATTTTGAATAGGGTAAGGTCTAGAGAATCATATCCTTGTCAGGATGCTGCTTTACAAATTTTTTTTAAAGCCAACAATTACACTGTTTATTATCTCTTCCCTTTTTTTTAATCTCAGCTGTGTCATTGATTTAATACCATATTTTATTAGAACCTTGCCCATTCTTCTCTAATACCAAAATGCCATGATTCTTCAAACCCAGTTTCTCTGATAGTAGGGAAAAGTAACGAAGTCCCAAAATTTTGTGAAAGCTTTATATGCTTTTATATATATACACAAGAGGTACTGTTTTCCAGTATGTTGCAGAATTAAGTATAAATAGAATAAATGGGGAAGTTTCTTAGGGGAGGTGTCTTGGATTTTAAGGATTTATCTTCATATACATAATTCACAAAATATTTAGAAGTTTTTATTTTTCATTGTTATTTTAAGTCACTAAACAATGTTGTAAAATATATTAGATGTTCTTCTCTTGAAATAAGCTATAGACATGTATTAGGAAATTATGAGAGAACGAAGCTTTATATGGAAAGATCCAGTAAAAAGGATTCCAAAAATCACCGACCATCATAGAGAAGTTACTTTGTTTTTCACTTCCTTCAACAGAGATTTAAATTTAATACATTCTGAGAATAACCACTGAAACAATGCAGAGCAAAGTTCATGATGTTAGAGAAGGGGTTGGCAAACTTTCTGCAAAGGACCAGATAGTGATATGTTAGGCTTTGTGGGCCATATGTTCTCTTTCACAAGTCCCAACTCTGCTTTTGTAGGGAAAGCAGCCATAGATAATATGTAAACAAGTGAGCATGGCTATGCTCCAATAAAACTTTATTCCTAGCCATGGAAATTTAAATTTCATATAATTTTAATGTATCACAAAATATTATTCTTTTGATTTTGCTTTTAATCATTTAAAAATTCAAAATCCATTCTTACATGCTGCCTTCTCCAGGGTGTGCAGGGGATCAGGTTGCAGCACCAGCAGAGCAGGAACTGGGCTGCCTGCCCCCACACCCTCAGGCAGCACCTTAAACCTTAAAACCTTAAAGCCCCTTAAAGTGACAAGGCAGTGGCAAAACAAAACAAACAAACCCATTCTTAGCTCACCATAGGAACACAGTCAGAAGGTGAGATTTGACCATAGTTTGCCTGCTCCTGTGTTAGAGCTGAACATTACCATGGTGTTCTTTGTCATGGAGACATTATCTGGACACTGGCATTTATTGTCATATTAAACTTTGATCTAGCACTTCTAATACAAAAGGGAACAGTTTAAGGGTTTTCTTTCACTTAAAATCCAGGACTAAATATCTAAACATTGCTTTAAGAGATTTCTCTTCAGAAGTCAAAAGTCACTTTTTGGACAGATCATAGCCATTGTGTAATTTGGAGTTTCTTGTGCAGTATTCCATGAGAATCCTGCCAGCATACCAGAGTAACATATTACAGCATTGACAAGATTCTGATGCAGTCTTAAAGGACGCCTAACTAGACAGATAATTTAAAACTTTGCAGTCTGCAAGTAAATGCCCTTTTCTTTTCAGAATTCTGTATTTAGAAAAGAGAGAATTTACTTCTGATCATCATAAGAAGACAATCAAATTCCAATGCTCTATAAGAATGAATCATTTTGCATTTGAGAAGAAGGATAAACACTAAAAGATAAAAGCACACACAAGGCCCATCCTTAGGGACTAAAAAAAAGAGTGTGATATGAGAGAAAGTGTTTAAGTGATAGGATGAAGTCATGGATGTAGCTTTGGATAAGATAAAATAAAAGACTTTTGTATTAAATTAAATTGATGTATGCTCAGAGAACATTAACCTAAACCAAAAATATCAAGGGTAAGATTCATCAAGTATTCAGAAGAAGCATTTTAAATTCTTAAAACTTCCTAACACCTACACTCTCAGGTAAATAGTGTTTAATATTTTGCAAGCCTTATTTTTCTGCTAAGCTTAAGTGAGGAAAGTCATGCCTGCAAATGCATAGCAGCAAGATATTTTCAAATCCTGTAGTCTAGGTCAAAGAAATCCCAGTTGTAGGAGTTGAAAGAGCTAAAGTTGAAAGAGTTCACAAAGATCAACGTTTTTGTCCTGTACATGGATTAAACACAATACTAGATGGAAAGTAGGATGCTGGTAATTAACAAGCTAGGACAGATTTACCCCAAGTCTTAATGAGAAAAATGGTTGGAAACTCTGGGTGACTCCTGCACATATTGAAAACAAATGTTTCTTTCTGTTTAATGTGAAAGCAAACTTTTAAACGTCTTTTAATTAAATTTATTTTTCACTCTTTTTGGGTAATTAATTAATTAATTAAAATGTCTTTTTATTAAGTTTATTTTCCGCTCTTTTTTAGGTTTAATATTTCTTTGATGGACAATGAACAGTGAGTCAAGACAGCCCTGACTAATATTTAACACTAAATTCTCTACTTAACAGAAAAATAATAAAGCATAAGAAATTCCTGGCTAATCTCATGGACACTTAGAGCAATTCACCAGCGAGCACAGTGGTTAAACATGTCCTCTACTAAAGTGAAACACAGAACAGACCTTTCCTTGTTAGGGCCAAGAGTGTTTACTGGAATCTGAGAACTCCAAATATGTGGCTCATAAATATGTCACTTTTTAACAATGCAAGGGAATATGGAAAATATAGCTATGGAGTGAATGAAAGGTCTGCAAACAGACACATTTAACTATAAATATGGAATATAATTTATATCCTCCTCTTCTATGCCACTGCTATTTACATCAGTGACATTTCTAGTCTTATACCAGGCAGTCTATAGAAACTTATTATCATGAAGAGACACAGTCTTTGCATTGAAGAGTTAATAATCTAACGAAGAAAAAAAAAATAAGTGACAAATCATTACTTTTATCACACTTTTTTTTTTATCACACACATCTATTCAGGAGTGCATATCCAAATAGCCACATATGAAGGTAAGCCTGCATTTACTGCTTTGATTTTAAAAATAATAGTTGCCTGAGAATGATGTCAGCAAGATGGCCGACTAGAAGCTCCTAGAGCTCTTCTTCCCCACTAAATCCTCCCGCCAAACAGCAAATAAACAACTATATTTTGACCAAAATAAAGAAGAGTACCATAGAACAGCAAAGCAGCAGCAGAAATCCTGCAGAGCACAGAAATCCAGGATGCTGCATGGAGAAGGGAAGGAAACACCTTTCCCTCACTACCTCCATCTTCCCAGTTGGGATCAGCTTGGGACTAGGAGAGATTTCTCTCTGCTGGAAAAAGGTAAGCAATAGGATCCCAACAGCCACCATTAGCATCGTGGACACTTTCAGTCCTCATAGGTGTCCTTCACAGGGTCTAAGCCCAGCCGAGAGAGCTCCTAGAGTCCACGCACTGAGCTACTTTCAGAGATGGAGCTGACGCTGTGCACTGACCACCTCCCTATGGCCCTTGCTGCTATTGCTCTGCACCATCTTATAAGCAGAGGCACAGTTAGAGTGCATGCTATTCCAGTGGCAAGCAGCCATTGCATCTATCTATCCCTGAGGCTCGGCTGCCACTGCACCATGCCCACCCAGTAGTGCACCACCCCCAAGCAGAGCTGCTTGGGTATAGCTGCTGCTATACCCTGAGCTTGGCCCAGAGCCAAGCTCCTGCAGAGCCACCCCATGCCCCCATCCCAGTTACTGCTGGATCCTCCCTATAGGGCTGAACTGAAGTAATACCCCACCCCTGCAGACCCAGAGGCTTGAACTACCAGAACATTTGTGCCCCCAGCACCACAGCCAAGGTATCACCCCATTCCCCCAGCAACCTGCATCTCCAGCACACTGGAGAAATGTGTCTTCAGCCTCAGAACAGGCATAGTACCCTGTCCCCCAGGGACCTCAGTCCTCCTGCACAAGGAATTATTGGTGTCCCTAGTGCCAAAGCTGAGGGCGGCAGCATGCTACGCCCCAGGAAGTCTGAGCTCTAGCCCATCAGAACAGTTGCATTTCCCAGCACCATAGCTGACATGGTGCCTGACCCCCCAGAGATCCAGAGGCTCTGCTGACTCACGTAGCTGCACTTTCTGGGGTTGAGCAGATGCAGACCCTTGCATCCCAGGGAATCAGACCCTTGCATGAGCCGTGTGACCTCACTCTCCAGGCTGAACAGGTATAGCACCTTGCCTATCTGGAAATACATTAGCCTTCTGCAGTTTAAGCTGCAGCACTCCACCTCTGTAAGGAGGGGTATCATCACTGTGTTGTTCCCTACCCGCAGGGTCCAAGCAACTGCAGCATCTTTCCATTCTTGGGTCCATGTTGCTGCTGCTGCACCTGGCCTCACAGAGCTAATTTGCAGCCCCAAATTGAAGCGGTCCTAAATTCAAGGCCTGAGGCTCTGAAGCATCCCTTCTTTCTTGCACAGGCTAGTGCTGTACCCTACCCCTCAGGGTCAAAATCACAGCTATATCTCAGGACTCTGGATAAAAACTTGGGTGTATCTCAGAGCAACCGACCCTGGCTTAGTGGGAGAAATGCATTCACTTGTGCCTCAGAAAGTGAACATGCACCTTAAATCCCCAGGGCTGCAATAGTTTTGTAAGACCTTAAGTCCACAAACCTGACTCCACAGCTACTCCAAGCACCTATGTCCTGGATTGCAGTGCCACTGTGGCTACCTATGACCCACGGAAGACTCAGCACCAACAGAGATCCCCTCAACTAAGATTTCCCACTGTGAGGAACTCTTAGCAAATCTGTTAACTAAAGAGGATTCTTAAAGTCCTTACCCTAATAACTTATACAGCTACTGTCACTGCCACAAACCCTGCAGCCTAGATCACTGAGTCACCCTCAGTCATCGCTAACATTGATCACAGCCAAAGAAACTGCATGGAGATTACTCCACTATATCCACATGGAACCAGAGTCACCACACCCTGCCCAACCGACACCCTCAAGCACATCTGCAGATAAAAGTAATTCCCTATGAAAGCCAATCAATAAAATTTGGAATAGCTGACTGCACAACCAGAGACATACGTATCAATGCAAGGACACAAGAAACATGAAAAAGAAAACAAGATACTATGAAAGGAACACAATGATTCTTCAGTAACTAACCCTAAAGAAATGAAAATTTATAAATTGCCCAAAAAGAAATTCAAAAATTCAAAACAATGATCTTAAGGAAACTCAGCAAGATGCAAGAGAATACAAATAGACAGTTCAATGAAACCAGAAAAGGAATTCATGACCAGAATGAGAAATTTAATAAAGAGACCGGTATCATTAAAACAACCACCAACACCACTACCACTAATCTTGGAGCTGAAGAATTAAATGAATAAAATAAAACATACAATTGAAAGCTTCAACAGCAGACCATACTGATCAGAGGAAAGAATCTATGAACTTGAAGACTGGTTTTTTAACATGACTCAGAGGGGCAAAAAAATAAAGGAATAAAGACAGTCTATAGGGCATTATTAAGCAAACAAATATTCAGATTATAGGGATTCCATAGAAAGAAGAGATGGAGAAGACAAAGAAAGCTTCTTTAATAAAATAATTGTGGGGAAATCCCAAGTCCTGGATGAGATGTGGACATGCAGACCCATTAAGATTATAGGTTCCAAAATAGATTCAACCCAAGGAAGTCCTGTCTTAGGCACATTATAATAAAACAGTCAAAAGTCAAAGACAAAAAGAATTCTAAAAGCCACAAAAGAAAAGCACCTACATCATAGATAAGAGAACCTTCATTACTATTAGTGGATTTCTAAGGGAAAAACTTGCAGGCCAGGAGAGAATGGGATGATACAGTCTAAGTGTTTTTTTGTTTTTTTTTTTAAAGCCCTGCTGGCCAAGAATATTATGCTTAGCAAATCTGTTATTCAAAAATGAAGGAGAATAGTCTTTTCAGATAAGCAAAAACTGAGGAAATTCATCAATAGTCCCACTTTATAAGAAATGCTTAAGGCAGTTCTTCAAATGGAAACAAAAAGATGATAATTACTGTCATTAACACATATGAAAAAATAAAACTTACTAGTAGAGATAAATTTAGAGTCAAATTTGGAATGTGCCAATATTGTAAAGCTGGCGTGTAAACCACATATATCTTCAATATGAAGATTAAAAGTGAAAATGGTCAAAAATAACAAAAGCTACAATAAGTTGTTAAGGAATACACAACATAAAAAGATGTAAATTATGACATTCAAAACATAAATAGGGGAAGGATAAAAACCTAGAGTTTCATTATGTGACAGAGTTATTTTTAGCTTAAAATTGCAGATTGTAAGTATAAAATATTTTATGTAAGCTTCATAGTAACCACAAAATAAAAAACTACAGCAGATATACAAACAAGAAAGAAAGGAATCAAAGCTTAGCATTATAGAAAATTATCAAATCACAAATGTAGAAAAGAAAAGAGGGGGGATTGCTGGCAAGATGGCCTAATAGGAAAAACTCTGGTCTGTAGCTCCCATCAAGATCGACACAGAAGGTGGATGATTTCTATATTTCTAACTGAGGTACCTAGGTCATCTCACTGGGACTGGTTGGACAATAGGTGCAGCCCAAGGAGGACAACTGAAGCAGGGTGGGGCATTGCCTCACCCAGGAAGCACAAGGGTCAGGGAACTCCCTCTCTTAGCCAAGGGAAGCCATTAGGGACTGTACCATGCACTCTGGCCCAGATACTGAGCTTTTCCCATGGTCTTCACAACCTGCAGACCAGGAGATTCCCTCCAGTTCCTATGTCCCTAGGGCCCTGGGTTTCCAGCACAAAACTGAGCAGCTGTTTGGGCAGACACTGAGCTAGATGCATGAGTTTTTTTTATATACCCCAGTGGCACCTGGAACACCAGCAAGACAGAACTGTTCACTCCCCTGGAAGGGGGCTGAAGCCACCAAGCCAAGTGGTCTGGCTCAGCGGGTCCCACCTCCACGGAGCCAAGCAAGCTAACATCCACTGGCTTGAAATTCTCATGCCAGCACAGCAGTCTGAGCTCAACCTGGAATGCTCAAGCTTGGTGGTGGGAGGGACATCTGCCATTGCTGAGGCTTGATAGGCGGTTTTACCCTCACAGTATAAACAAAGCCGCTTGGAAGTTTGAACTGGGCAGAGCCCACTGCAGCTCAGCAAGGCCACTGCAGCCAGACTGCCTTTCTAGATTCCTTCCTCTCAGAGCTGGGCATCTCTGAAAAAAAGGCAGCAGCCCCAGTCAGGGACTTATAGATAAAAACCCCCACCTCCCTGGGACACAGCACATGGCGGGAGGGGCAGTTGTGGGCACAGCTTCAGCAGATTTAAATGTCCCTGACTGATGGCTCTGAGAGCAGCGGATCTCTCAGCACAGTGTTTGAGCTCTGATAAGAGACAGACTGCCTCCTCAAGTGGGTCCCTGACCCCTGTGTATCCTGACTGGGAGACACCTCCCAGTAGGGGCCAACAGACACCTCATACAGGAGAGCTCTGGCTGGCATCTGGCAGGTGCCCCTCTGGGACAAAGTTTCCAGAGGAACGAACAGGCAGCAATCTTTGCTGTTCTGCAGCCTCTGCCAGTGATACCCAGGCAAACAGGATCTGGAGTGGACCTCCATCAAACTCCAGCAGACCTGCAAAAGAGGGGCCTGTTAGAAGGAAAACTGACAAAAAAAAAAAAAAAGAATAGAATCAACATCAACAAAAAGGACGTCTACTCGGAGACCACATCCAAAGGTCTCTGACTTCAAAGACAAAAGGTAGATAATTCCACAAAGATAGGGAGAAAACAGCTCAAAAAGGCTGAAAATTCCAAAAACTGGAAAGCCTCTTCTCCTCCAAAGGATCACAACTCCTTGCCAGCAAGGGAACAAAACTGGATGGAGAATGAGTGTGATGAATTGACAGAAGTAGGTTTCAGAAGGTGGGTAATAACAAACTCCTCCAAGCTAAAGGATCATGTTCTAACCCAATGCAAGGAAGCTAGCCTTGAAAAGAAGTTAGATGAATTGCTAACTATAATAATCGGTTTAGAGAAAAACATAAATGACCTGATGGAGCTGAAAAACACAGTACAAGAACTTCATGAAGCATACATAAGTATCAATAGCCAAATCGATCAAGTGGAAGAAAGGATATCAGAGATTGAGGATCAACTGAATAAAATAAAGCAAGAAGACATGATTAAAAAAAAAAGAGTGAAAAGAAATGAACAAAGCCTCCAAGAAGTATGGGACTATGTAAAAAGACCAAATCTATGTTTGATTGGTGTGTGTGAAAGTGATGGGGAGAATGGAACCAAGCTGTAAAACACTCTTCAGGATATTATCCAGGAGAACTTCCCCAATCTAGCAAGATGGCCAACATTCAAATTCAGAAAATACAGAGAACACCACAAAGATACTCCTTGAGAAGAACAACCCCAAGACACATAATCACCAGATTCATCAAGGTTGAAATGAAAGAAAAAATGTAAAGGGCAGCAAGATAGAAAGATTGGGTTATGCACAAAGGGAAGCCCATCAGACTAACAGTGGATCTCTTGGCAGAAACCCTACAAGCCAGAAGAGAGTGGGGGCCAATATTCAACATTCTTAAAGGAAAGAATTTTCAACCCAGAATTTCGTATCCAACAAAACTAAGCTTCATAAACAAAGGAGAAATAAAATCCTTCACAGACAAGCAAATGCTGAGAGATTTTGTCACCATCAGGCCTGCCTTACAAGAGCTCCTGAAGGAAGCACTAAACATAGAAAGGATCAACCGGTACCAGCCACTGCAAAGTCATACCAAATTGTGAAGACCATCCACACTATGAAGAAACTGCATCAACTAACAGGCAAAATAACCAGCTAGCATCATAATGCCAGGATCGAATTCACACATAACAATATTAATCTTAAATGTAAATGGCTAAGTGTCCCAATTAAAAGACACAGACTGGCAAATTGGATAAAGAGTCAAGACCCATCGGTGTGTTGTATTCAGGAGACCCATCTCACGTGCAAAGACTCACACATAGGCTCAAACTAAAGGGATGCAGGGAGATTACCAAGCAAATGGAAAGCAAAAAACAAAACAAAACAAAACAAAAACAGGGGTTGCAATCCTAGTATCTGATAAAACAGATTTTATAACAACAAAAACCAAAAGAGACAAAGAAGGGCATTACATGATGGTAAAGGGATCAATGCAACAAGAAGAGCTAACTATCCTACATATATATGCACCCAATACAGGAGCACCCAGATACATAAAGCAAGTTCTTAGAGCCCTGCAAAGAGACTTAAACTCCCACACAATAATAGTGGGAGACTTTAACACCCCACTGTCAATATTAGATTAATGGGACAGAAAATTAACAAGGATATCCAGGAGTTGAACTCACCTCTGGACCAAGCAGACCTAATAGACATCTACAGAATTCTCCACCCCAAATGAACAGAACACACATTCTTCTCAGCACTACATTTTACTTATTCTAAAACTGATCATATAATTGGAAGTAAAACACTCTTCAGCAAATGCAAAAGAACGGATATCATAACCGTCTCTCAGACCACAGTGCAATCAAATTAGAACTCAAGATTAAGAAACTCACTCAAAACCGCACAGCTACATGGAAACTGAACAACCTCCTGAATGACTACTCAATGAAATAAAGCAAGAAGACAAGATTAGAATAATGAAATGACAGCAGAAATAAAGATGGTTTTTGAAACCAATAAGAACAAAGACACAATGTACCAGAATCTCTGGGACAGATTTAAAGCAGTGTGTAGAGGGAAATTTATAGCACTAAATGCCCACAAGCGAAAGCATGAAAGTTCTAAAATTGATATCCTAACATCATAATTAGAAGTACTAGAGAAGCAAGAGCAAACAAATTCAAAAGCTAGCAGAAGACAAGAAATAACTAAGATCCGAGCAGAACTGAAGGAGATAGACATGAAATACCTTTCAAAAAAAAATTAATGAATCCAAGACCTGTTTTTTTTAAAGATCAACAAAATAGCCTGCTAGCCAGACTAATGAAGAAGAAAGGAAAGAAGAATCAAATAGGTGCAATAAAAAATGACAAAGAGAATATCACCACTGATCCCACAGAAATACAAACTACCAAAACACAATACTATAAACACCTCTATGCAAATAAACTAGAAAATCTAGAAGAAATGGATAAATTCCTGGACACATACACCCTCCCAAGACTAAACCAGGAAGAAGTCGAATCCTTGAATAGACCAATAACAAGTTCTGAAATTGAGGCAGCAATTAATAGCCTACCAACCAAAAAAAGTCCAAGACCAGACAGACTCACAGCCAAATTCTACCAGAAGTACAAAGAGGAGCTGGTACCATTCCTTCTGCAACTATTCCAAACAATACAAAAAGAAGGACTCCTTCCTAACTTATTTTATGAGGCCAGCATCATCCTGATATCAAAACCTGGCAGAGACACAACAAAAAAAGAAAATTTCAGGCCAATATCTCTGATTAACATCAATGCAAAAATCCTCAATAAAATACTGGCAAACCAAATCCAGCAGCACATCAAAAAGCTTATCCACCATGATCAAGTTGGCTTCATCCCTGGGATGCAAGGGTGGTTCAACATACTCAAATCAATAAACGTAATCCATCACATAAACAGAACCACTGACAAAAACCACATGATTATCTCAATAGATGCAGAAGTCCTTGGACAAAATTCTACAGCCCTTCATGCTAAAAACTCTCAATAAACTAGGCATTGATGGAACGTGTCTCAAAATAATAAGAGCTATTTATGACAAGCCAACAGCCAATATCATACTGAATGGGCAAAAACTGGAAGCATTCCCTTTGAAAACCAGCAAAAGACAAGGATGCCCTCTCTCACCACTCCTATTAAACATAGTATTGGAAGTTCTGGCCAGGGTAATCAGGCAAGAAAAAGAAAAAAGCATTTTCAGTTAGGAAAAGAGGAAGTCAAATTGTCTCTGTTTGCAGATGACATGATCTTATATTTAGAAAACCCCATCATCACAGCCCAAAATCTCCATAAGCTGATAAGCAACTTCAGCAAAGTCCCAGGATACAAAATCAATGTGCAAAAATCACAAGCATTCCTATACATCAATAACAGAGAGCCAAATCATGAGTGAACTCCCATTCACAATTGCTACAAAGAGAATTAAGTACCTAGGAATACAACTTACAAGGAATGTGAAGGACCTCTTCAAGGAGAACTACAAACCACTGCTCAAGGAAATAAGAGAGGACACAAACAAATGGAAAAACATTCCATACTCATGGACAGGAAGAATCAATATCGTGAAAATGGCCATACTGCCCAAAGTAATTTATAGATTCAATGCTATCCCCATCAAGCTACAATTGACTTTCTTCACAGAATTAGAAAAAAAACTACTTTAAATGTCATATGGAACCAAAGAAGAGCCCGCATAGCCAAGATAATCCTAAGCAAAAAGAACAAAGCTGGAGGCATCATGCTATCTGACATCAATCTATACTACAAGTCTACAGTAACCAAAACAGCATGGTATTTATACCAAAACAGATATATGGACCAATGGAACAGAACAGAGCCCTCAGAAATAAGGCCACACATCTACAACCATCTGATCTTTGACAAACCTGACAAAAACAAGCAATGGGGAAAGGATTCCTTATTTAATAAAGGATGTTGGGAAAACTGGCTTGCCATATGGAGAAAGCTGAAACTGGATCCCTTCCTTACACCTTATACAAAAAGTAACTCAAGATGTATTAAAGACTTAAATGTAAGACCTAAAACCATAAAATCCCTAGAAGAAAACCTAGGCAATACCCTTCAGGACATAGGCATGGACAAAGACTTCATGACTGACACACAAAAAGCAATGGCAACAAAAGCCAAAATTGACAAATGGGATCTAATTAAACTAAAGAACTTCTGCGCAGCAAAAGAAACTATCATCAGAATGAACAAGCAACCTACATAATGGGAGAAAATTTTTGCAATCTATCTATCTGACAAAGGGCTAATATCCAGAATCTACAAAGAACTGAAACAAATTTACAGGAAAGAAACAAACAACCTCATCAAAAAGTGGGTGAGGGATATGAACAGACCCTTCTCAAAAGAAGACATTCATGCAGCCAACAAATATATGAAAAAAAGGTCATCATCACTGGTCATTAGAGAAATGCAAATCAAAACCACAATGAGATACCATCTCATGCCAGTTAGAATGGTGATCATTAAAAAGTAGGAAACAACAGATGCTGGAGAGGATGTGAAGAAATAGAACGCTTTTACACTGTTTGTAGGAGTGTAAATTAGTTCAACCATTGGGAAGACAGTGTGGTGATTCCTCAGGGATCTAGAACTAGAAATACCATTTGACCCAGTGATCTCATTACTGGGTATATACCCAGAGGATTATAAATCTTTCTACTATAAAGACACATACACACATATGTTTATTGCAGCACTATTCAAAATAGCAAAGACTTAGAACCAACCAAAATGCCATCAATGATAGACTAGATAAAGAAAATGAGGCACATATGCACCATGGAATACTATGCAGCCATAAAAAAGGGTGAGTTCATGTCCTTTGCAGGCACATGGAAGATGCTGGAAACTATCATTCTCAGGAAACTAACAGAAGAACAGAAAACCAAACACCACATGTTCTCACTCATAAGTGGGAGTTGAATAATAAGAACACATGGACACAGGGAGGGGAACATCACATACTGGGGTCTGTTGGGGGGTTGCGGGCTAGGGGAGGGATAGCATTAGGAGAAATACTTAATGTAGATGATGGGTTGATGGGTGCAGCAAACCACCATGGCACGTCTATACCTATGTAATGAACCTGCACACTCTGTACATGTACCCCAGAACTTAAAGTATAATAACAAAAGATGAAGGAATGAAGCAGCTACAAAACAACCAGAAAACAAACAAAATGGCAGTAATAAGTCTTTACTTATCAATAATAACCTTTAATTTAAACATTAAATTCTCCACTCAAGAGTAGCTGAATGAATTTTTAAAAACAAGATCCAATTATATGCTGCTTTCAAAAGACTCACTTAAGCTTTAAGAACACACATAGGCTGAAAGTGAAGGGATAGAAGAAGATAGTCCATGCAAATGGTAATCAAAAGATATCGGGGTGGCTAAATTTAAAGTTGACTTTAAGTCAAAAACTGACAAGAAACAAAGAGTGTCATTATTTAATGATAAAGAGGTCAATTCATCAAGAGGACAGAGTGATTGTAAATGTATTTGCACCCAACATTGTAGAACCTAAATGTATAAATATTAATGGACATGAAGGGAGACATAGACAGCAATACGATAGTGGGGAATTTTGATATCCCATATTCAACAATGGATAGATCAATTAGACAGAAAATTAATATGAGAATACTGAATTTGAACTGCATTTTTTTTTTTTTTACCAAAAAGACCTAACAGACTATTTAGAACTTTCCACCCAACAGCAGAATATACTTTTTTCTCTAGCATTCATAAAACATTCTCCATGATAGACTGTATGTAAAGGCCACAAAACAAGTCTTACCAAATTTCAGAAAATTCACATAATATCTGATATTATTTCAGACCACAATGGTTTGAAATTAGAAATAAATAACAAGAAGAATCTTGGAAAATTCACAAACATGTAGAGATTAAACAACATGCTCCTGAACAACCAATAAGTCAACAAATAAATCAAAAGGGAAAATAAGAAATTTCTTGAGGCAAATGGCAATGGAAACACAACATATCAAAACTTATGGATGAAGTAAGAGCAGTTTTGGGAGGAAGTTTATAGCATTAAATACCTACATTAAAAAATTCCAAATAAATAGTAAAAGATTATGTCTCAAGGAACTATATAAAAGAATGAACAAACCCAAAATTAGCGGAAGGAAGGAAATAAAGATTAGAACAGAAATAAACAGAAAACAGAAAGCCATGGAAAGAATCAATAAAACCAAGTTGATTCTTTGGAAAATTAAAATTGACAAACCCTTAGCTAGTCTAAGAAAAAGAGAGAGAAGACAAAAATAAATAAAACAGAAAATGAAATTGAAGAAATTGCAACAGACACCTCAAAAATAAAAAGCATCATAAGGGATTATAAATGAACAACTATGTACCAACACATTGAATAACCTAGAGCAAATTGATAAATTTCTAGGAAAATATAACTTGCCAAGATTGAGTTGACCAGGCGTGGTGGCTCAAGCCTGTAATCCCAGCACTTTGGGAGGCCATGGCAGGTGGATTACTTGAGGTCAGGAGGTCAAGACCAACCTGGCCAACATGATGAGACCCCGTCTCTACTAAAAATACAAAAAATTAGCCAGGTGTGGTGGTGTGTGCCTGTAATCCCGGGTACTTGGGCAGCTGAGGCAAGAGAATCTCTTGAACCCAAGAGGTAGAGATTGCAGTGAGCCAAGATTGTGCCACTGCACTCCAACCTGGGTGACGGAGTGAGAAATAGTTACAATAGACAAACAAACAA
The DNA here is from genome assembly GCF_000001405.40 of Homo sapiens. Taxonomy (NCBI): domain Eukaryota; kingdom Metazoa; phylum Chordata; class Mammalia; order Primates; family Hominidae; genus Homo; species Homo sapiens. Next base: position 151,491,595 of record NC_000003.12, read on the forward strand.
ACAATAAATACATAAATAGAGTCAGGAAGAAATACACCAGTAGCAAGAGATTGAGTAAGTAATAAAACATCTCCCAACAAAGAAAAGCACAGGACCAGATGGCTTCACAGCTGAGTTCTACCAAACATTCAAAGAAGAATATCAGTATTTTCTTAAACGCTTCCAAAAATAGAGCCAGAGGGAATACTTCCAAACACATGAAGCCAGCATAACCCTGATACATAAGCCACACAAAGATACCACAAGAAAACAAAACTACAGGCCAATATTTCTGATAAAAATTGATATAAAAACCTTCAATAAAACATTAGCAAACCAAGTGTAAGAATACTTCGAAAAGATTATATGTCATGATTATTTATGCTTTTGGATATTGCATCAAAACCTCAGACCACAAAAGCAAAAATAAATGAGACCACACCAAACTAAAAAAACTCCTGCACACCAAAGGAAACAATCGACAAAATGAAAAGGCAACCTACAGACTGGAAAAAAATATTTGCAAATCACATATATGATAAAGAGTTAATATCCAAAATTTATAAAGAACTCTTGTAACTCAATAACAGAAAAACAAATAACACGATTTTTTTAAATGGGCAAAATACCTGAGCAGACATTTCTTCAAAGACTACATATAAATGGCCAACAGGTATATAAAGAGGTGCTCAACATCACTAATGAGGAGGGAAATGCAAATTAAAACCCCTGTGTCATCTCACACCCATTAGGATGACTATCATCAAAAAGGCAAGAAATCATAAATGTTGGCGAGGATATGGAGAAAAAGGAAACCCCAACACACTGCTGATGGGAATATAGACTGGTTCAGCTATTATGGAAAACAGTATGGAGTTTTCTGAAAATATTAAAATTGGAACCATAATCCCAGCACTTTGGGGGACTGTGGTGGGAGGATCACTTGAGGTCAGGAGTTTGAGACCGGCCTGACACCTCTACTAAAAATACAAAAATTAGCTGGGTGTGGTGGCGCATGCCTGTAATACCAGCTACTTGGGAGGCTGAGGCAGGAGAATCACTGGAAACTGGGAAGCGGAGGTTGCAGTGAACCAAGATCGCGCCACTGCACTCCAGCCTGGGTGACAGTACAGGCTTTCAGTGTTTAAGACTCATTCTCAAAAAAATTAAAGCAAACAAACAAAACCCCATCATATGACACAGCAATCTTTGTATATATACCCAAAGGAGATGAAATCATCACTTCAAAAAGATACTTGTACTCCTATGTTCACTGTAGCATTATTTACAATAGCAAAGATTGGAAACAGTCTGTCTGTTGATAAAGGAAATGTGAGATATATATTTTATATATGTATATGTATGCCTATATATGCATATGTATATAGTTTATAAAGAAATATTAATCAGCCATAAAAAGTAAAGTGATCCTGCCACTTGCCACAATATGAATGGACCTGGAGGACATTATGCTAAGTAAAATGACCCAGGAACAGAAACAAAAATATTGCATGATTTCACTCATGTGTAGAATATTTTGGGGAAAAAAAGGTTAAATAGAATGAAATAGCAGTTACTAGGGGTGAGGGTAGGGGTCAAAGAATACAAAGTAGCAGATATGTAGAATGAACAAGTGATCTAATGTACAACCTGAGGATTATTGTTAATAAAATTATATTACTGGTTTTTGTTAAATAAGTAGATTTTAGCTGCTCTTGTCACTAAAGTAACAATGTGAGTTAATATATTAGTTTGCTTCACTATAGTAACCATTTTACTATCTATAGTCATGTGTTACATAATAATATTTTGGTCAACGATGGACCCCCATATACCAGGTCCCACAAGATTTTAGTGAAGCAGCCTTGTACAGAGGTGCCATTTTTAATTTTTATAACATATTCTTACTGCCCTTTTTCTATGTTTAGATATGTTCAGATACACAAATACTTACAACTGTGTTGCAGTTGCCTGCAGTATTCAGTACAATAACATCCAGTACAGAATGCTAAAATGCTGTAATTCTATGCTGTATTCTTTGTAGCCTACAAGCAATAAAACATTCCACATAGCCTAGGTGTATAGTAGGATATACCAACTATGTTTGTATAAGTATACTCTATAATGTTCATATAATGAAGAAATTGCCTAAGGACACATTTTTCTCCATTGTTAAGTGACACATGACTGTATATGTATCCCATAATATGGTGTAAACCTCCCATATACAAAATAAAAGGTACCAATTTTTTGTGTTTTGTTTTTGGTTTTTGTTTAAAAAACAAACAAACAAACAAAAACAGATTGCTAGCCCACAGAAACTGAGATGACAAGTATGTATTTGTTGTTCTAAGTCACTAAATTTTAGGGGGTAATTTGTTACACAGCAATAGATGACTAAAACAGTAGAACTCAAGAGCATTGTAAAGAAAAAAAACAAAAAATTTATATTGTAGTTCTGGACTATTACTGATGTTTAATAAATACATTCCGGAAGAGAAAATAAGAAACATTGAGAAATTTCTAATTTAGTAGCTTTAAGATACCACATCTACAACTCAACTTCTCCAAAATACCTTTTAAAATTTTATTTCTTGGAAAGAGACCCAGGATTCCAAATTTTCAGAAGTATTCTATTGATTAACATAAATACTCCTTTGACTTTAATTCTAAAATGTTGTATTCTGTGAAATAAAGCAAAAAGAAGAAGAAACAATGATTTTTCAACATCTTCTAAATATAACTAGAATTTTCTATTAAGTTAGGAAGAAAGACAGGAGGGGAGCTATGTGCAGAAACCCCAGGCATATCTTGAATGGGAATGGCTTTAAATTCTGATGAAAATGTTAACTGCATTAAAAAATAATCATAAGGCAGCCTTACTAATTCAAGTAACTAAAAATTTGGATTTTTTTCTTCCCCTCTGCATTGTTTAGTGATGACTTTTCAATTGTTCATGGAATATCTGGGCTGATTTTATGAGCAAATAATGTAAATACGACTCAGGGTTGCAATTCTATTTTAGTTCCCAATTTAATAATCAGATCTTGACAATAACTGGACCTGATTGTACTTACAAGGTAATTATCACTTCATATTGAAAATACTGAGAAGTTTACCTTTTATTCATAGATTCTGTCAAAAATAGGGCTTACTTTTAACTGTAATTCTCTTGTTCTTCGATGGAAATGAATTTCACTATGTCTCTATAAAATTCATGTGCCAGGATTTGCTGGCAAAACAAGATAATCAGCAAGGGTTTGTCTGACAATTGTATTTTAAGGCAGTGCCATTAAATCACAAACACATTTTAGGAAAAAATATTCCAAATATTTTTCAGAAACCTTCTGGGAAAGGCTTATTACTTTATGTAATTCAATATTGGGCTTTTTGAAAAGCATAGAAAGAATAAATTGAGAGCCCAGACAGTATATGCAAGGTAAGGATGAACATTCTCCTGGTCTGGTTGTACATACTACCATGTGGTGCCAAAACACCAAAGCGTATATTGAAGTTTGGTTGGAAAATGGAAATGACATTTATACTTTCTGACACAATTTAATACTTACATAAACGTGATTACTGTTTTCTCTTTTGAGCAAAACTTTTTCTCTGGGCATTAACTGACTTAATCCACATCATTCCAAAGCTGCAACCTGGGCAATTTAGAAATTATGACTGGAATGGGAAACTTCCTGTGCTCATCAAGGTACTGAATTCTAACTATATTCTCATACAACAGAGAAGGTCAGTTGCAAAGTAAAAATAGCACAAATGCAGTTGTGTGAAAACTAAATGGGGATCTGTGGAACAAAACCTACTGTGTCTGTGATTATGATCTACCACGAATGTCAATGAATACTCATGGCTTATTCAATAAAAACATGTCAAGCTTAATGGTAGAATTTGGGCTAAAACACCAATTCTACATTATCCGTGACAACATTAGAGATAAAGTGAAAAAAATTAAGAACGACAAATAACTCAAAAATTTAATTTTCACTGTTTTTTTTATCAGACCTTTCATAAACTAATAACAAGCATCCCAAATGACCAAGTTGATATTTACCTTTTTTTATTCTGTCTTTCTACCCATTGCTGGAAATAGGCCCATGGAGTGAAATGGCCAAAAGGCATCTAGCCAGAGGGGAGAAGGGGAACATGAGCCAAATATTGAGGATTTCTCACAAATTGGATACTAAACCACCAAATAACATATTTTTCCTGAAACTGGTGAACTATTTAGACACAATCTTATATATGAGTGTATTCCTACTTCCCAATATGTACATCTGCACCAGGCTGAATAGGATCAACCATGTTTCATTTTCTTCTACTGATATTAAAGTTTGTATTGAGATTTGCTGGATTTTTACCATATTTGCTTATATCCGTAATGCTACTGGTCAAAGTCAACCTATGATTAAGGTTCAGTCTGATACTCATGTTCTATACAGTGCCATTAGAGGAAAAAACTTATGAAACACGTTGAATATAAGGCCTTTCTAGAAGCCACTTTTGCATCTGAACGGGAGGATACACTCCTTCTTGGCTTGTATGTACACGTGGTTTCAGCAAAGTAGGTCTCATTTGAAGGTCACACGGCTTTTGTCAGAAGCTCTGAAGCAGTATTTTTTTTTATACTTTAAGTTTTAGGGTACATGTGCACAACGTGCAGGTTTGTTACCTATGTATACATGTGCCATGTTGGTGTGCTGCACCCATTAACTTGTCATTTAACATTAGGTTTATCTCCTAATGCTATCCTTCCCCCCTCCCCCCACCCCACAACAGTCCGCAGTGTGTGATGTTCCCCTTCCTGTGTCCATGTGTTCTCATTGTTCAATTCCCTATGAGTGAGAACATGCGGTGTTTGGTTTTTCTGTCCTTGTGATAGTTTGCTGAGAATGATGGTTTCCAGCTTCATCCATGTCCCTACAAAGGACATGAACTCATTTTTTATGGCTGCATAGTATTCCATGGTTTCCTTAATCCAGTCTATCATTGTTGGACATTTGGCTTGGTTCCAAGTCTTTGCTATTGTGAATAGTGCCACAATAAACATACATGTGCATGTGTCTTTATAGCAGCATGATTTATAATACTTTGGGTATATATCCAGTAATGGGATGGCTGGGTCAAATGGTATTTCTAGTTCTAGATCCCTGAGGAATTTCCACACTGACTTCCACAATGGTTGAACTAGTTAACAGTCCCACCAACAGTGTAAAAGTGTTCCTATTTCTCCACATCCTCTCCAGCACCTGTTGTTTCCTGACTTTTTAATGATTGCCATTCTAACTGGTGGGAGATGTTATCTCATTGTGGTTTTGATTTGCATTTCTCTGATGGCCAGTGATGATGAGCATTTTTTCATGTGTCTGTTGGCTGCATAAATGTCTTCTTTTGAGAAGTGTCTGTTCATATCCTTCACCCACTTGTTGATAGGGTTGTTTTTTTCTTGTAAATTTGTTTGAGTTCATTGTAGATTCTGGATATTAGCCCTTTGTCAGATGAGTAGGTTGCAAAAATTTTCTCCCATTCTGTAGGTTGCCTGTTCATTCTGATGGTAGTTTCTTTTGCTGTGCAGAAGCTCTTTAGTTTAATTAGATCCCATTTGTCAATTTTGGCTTTTGTTGCCATTGCTTTTGGTGTTTTAGACATGAAGTCCTAGCCCATGCCTATGTCCTGAATGGTATTGCCTAGGTTTTCTTCTAGGGTTTTTATGGCTTTAGGTCTAACTTTTAAGTCTTTAATCCATCTTGAATTAATTTTAGTATAAGGTGTAAGGAAGGGATCCAGTTTCAGCTTTCTCCATATGGCTAGCCAGTTTTCCCAGCACCATTTATTAAATAGGGAATCCCTTCCCCATTGCTTGTTTTTGTCAGGTTGGTCACAGATCAGATAGTTGTAGATATGTGGCATTATTTCTGAGGGCTCTGTTCTGTTCCATTGGTTTATATCTCTGTTTTGGTACCAGTACCATGCTGTTTTGGTTACTGTAGCCTTGTAGTATAGTTTGAAGTCAGGTAGCATGATGCCTCCAGCTTTGTTCTTTTGGCTTAGGATTGACTTGGTGATGTGGGTTCTTTTTTGGTTCCATATGAACTTTAAAGCAGTTTTTTTCCAATTTTTTGAAGAAAGTCATTGGTAGCTTGATGGGGATGGCATTGAATCTATGAATTACTTTGGGCAGTATGGCCATTTTCACGATATTGACTCTTCCTATCCATGAGCATGGAATGTTCTTCCATTTGTTTGTATCCTCTTTTATTTCGCTGAGCAGTGGTTTGTAGTTCTCCTTGAAGAGGTCCTCCATGTCCCTTTTAAGTTGGATTCCTAGGTATTTTATTCCCTTTGAAGCAATTGTGAATGAGAGTTCACTCATGATTTGGCTCTCTGTCTGTTATTGGTGTATAAGAATGCTTGTGATTTTTGCACATTGATTTTGTATCCTGAGACTTTGCTGAAGTTGCTTATCAGCTTAAGGAGATTTTGGGCTGAGACAATGGGATTTCCTAGATATACAATCATGTCATCTGTAAACAGGGACAATTTGACTTCCTCTTTTCCTAATTGAATACCCTTTATTTCCTTCTCCTGCCTGATTGCCCTGGCCAGAACTTCCAACACTATGTTGAATAGGAGTGGTGAGAGAGGGCATCCCTGTCTTGTGCCAGTTTTCTAATGCTTCCAGTTTTTACCCATTCAAGTATGATATTGGCTATGGGTTTGTCATAGATAGCTCTCATTATTTTGAGATACATTCCATCAATACCTAATTTATTGAGAGTTTTTTAGACCAATATCCCTGATGAACATCCATGCAAAAATCCTCAATAAAATACTGGCAAATCGAATCCAGCAGCACATCAAAAACTTATCCACCATGATCAAGTGGGCTTCATCCCTGGGATGCAAGGCTGGTTCAACGTACACAAATCAATAAACGTAATCCAGCATATAAACAGAACCAATGACAAAAACCACATGACTATCTCAATAGATGCAGAAAAGGCCTTTGAAGTGGTATTTGTTATACAATGTATAGCGAATGCAGTAATGGGACATGTTAGATAAAGTTATACAAGTAGACAAATTGAAAATTTACACATCTTCATTTTTACTGGGAAATGAACTAAAAGCAGACAGCCATTTCAGAAGCTGAATAAGGATGTCCTGCTGGGCAAAGAGGTAGAATTTTTCCCCCATAATGGACCTCATTGTTAACAACTTTGCCTTTGTGTATTTTCAGAACATCTACTTACACTTGAGCATACTGATTTCAATTCCATCAAAGTTTCGCTCAATACAGGATAATATTAGTTCAGGAACTGGCTGCTAAAATGGACATTTTGGCTCATATTGCATTTGTTTTTAATAGGATTTTTTTTCAAGAGATCTAACAAATGTTTACCTTTAAAATTCTTAATATGCAAAGGAAGCCATAGGAGGCATTTACATTTAAAGTGATAGCAAGTGAGTACATTTTACTTTTGTACATGTTTTCCTGCACATCTGCAGATAATTAAACACTTGTTCAAATGAGAGAAAGCATACAATTCCTTTGGCTATGTATTTCATCTGAATTATTAATCTTGTCGAGAGCATTGGCAACAAAAAGCATTATACCCTGAACAATTCCTTTATTTTATTTGACTAAAAAAGTCTTGCCAGTGGTTGCAGATCTTTTGCTAAAAGGTAATGCCAACAGGGAATTGAATGAAAGCATACATTGAGAATACTTAATTTAGTGATGTCAGTTTGGCATTGGCAGGGAAATTTGTACGTTGTTTTCTGCAATAAAAAACACGTGGCATTACACAGTAAATCTTTCCAAGGATCTAGAGAACTGATTTTCTTGCCCCACCCAATTCTCAGTAAATGGCAACTGTGGATTACAGCAGAGTTTTGCTCAGAGAGCAGTTTGCTGAGTTCAAAGTCAGGGACTGTGACTTCAGTATCTGTGGCACTCTATAAACTCTCTATGAACAAGAGAATTGTGTTCATAATGGATGCCTAGTATTTTAACAAAAAATTCTTAAGACCCATAAAGAAGCAGTGTGGCTCCAGGACCCCACCAGAGGACATTCTACTCCTGTCTGTCACACTCAGGTGATTCAGCTCACACAGTGGTTTCAGGTGCCCCATTCGCTCCAACTCTGTAGCTTCTGATGGGATTAAAATGCACTTTATAATTTGTCTGAGCTCTGAAAACTGAAGAATAAAATATGGGCCCTGCAGGCAAAGAAATGTACATCTAAGGACTTGATGGGTTTGCCTGCTGCCATGTTACATGTAAAAGCAAATTATCATCAATTTATAATTTAATGATGAGCGACTTGGTGTTTTAGATTTTGGTTGAAGTTATACTATTTGGATTTCCATGAAAGAAATTGTAGTGTAAACAAGATACAAAGAAATTATAAACAAAATAGAATTACACTATTGTCATAAAATCATTTAAAAATAGCAGCATGATCATTTAATATCAATGTTGACATTAATTACCAATGAATTTTATTTATCCATTGTAGCCAACTCAACTTCTTAGGAATAGCACCTTGGTAGCTCAAATTATTCTACTGGAAAGAAATATGGCTGCAGTCAAATAAAAAATGTAACCTTATTTTCTATTTTAAGCTTTAATTTGCCACCAGTTTCATAAATGCACTAGATTAGCACCCTTTAGGAAAAGAGAATGAATCATGTATTGTGTATCTCCCAGACACTAAACAATATCTGATACATGTTATTAATATTTGAGGAATTGACCAGTATATTTTGCTATTATTTTTTTGAATTCTGAAGAAAGATTTTGAATTCCAAATTTCACATGGGGATATCTTAATTTTATTTTGGGGCAGCAAGCCCATCCCAGAAATAAGAAAGCTCAGATACATCTGCTTACTTATTTGCTTAAATATATGGCTCAATAATAGAACGGGGAATAGTAATGGCCAGACATGGCACATACCAATGTGTTCAGCTTTTTAAATTCATTTTCTTAGACAATTCTCCAAATTTTCACAATATCTACAAGCAGGTATTATCATCCCAATTTACAAATGAAGAAATCGAGACTCAAAAAAGCAATAAGTGACTCCTAAGTTTAGTGGTTACAAAGAAGCATTTCTCACCGATATTACTTGTCCATCACATTTGCACGTATATTCCATATCGTCTTTTCTCTGGTATTCAACCCTAATGAGCAGCCATTTATGGGGTTGTTGTTGTCAAACTCAAGGGAACAACTAAGAGATCATAGCAGATCTTGAGTTCCCTCTTACAGGTTCTATTGTCATTTATGTTCATATATTTCTGGTCACAAATCACATGGCCATGCCTGACTTCCATCAGGTAAAATTTCCCTTCAGGGAAAGGTGCTAGAAGTCACATGATATTATGTATCTATAATGTCAAGGAACCATGGATATATAATCCTCCCATGAAGAGGGACAACTCAAAAAGGATGGATATTTTGAACAAAAATACAATCTACCACAGTGGTAACAAAAGCCTGCTTGATTATAAGCGTGTGGATAATAAAAAACCAAAAAGATCTGTCCCAAAATTCAAGGGCTGCTTACACCATTGGAAATGATCCGTAAGGCAGTTTGAGGACTTTTTATTTTTTATTTTTCTTTTTAAGTTTGCCTCAAGCTTCCCTGTCTTCCGCACTTTTGTTATGCAGACTAGGATTTGAATTCTAGCCCATTCATTCAAGAGCTGGAACAAGTTATTAGTTTCTACTGCTCTTGTCAAACAGCCTCTCTGAATCTTTTTTATATGTAAAATAGGGATCATCATAACATTTAACTTCCAGGATTAGAAAAAGGACAATATATTGAAAATAATGTACTTAGTATAAAGCTTGGTATGCGAAGGCATTTAAAAAATGGTACCCGAGATTATTATCATTCAAGGATCTATTCAAGTTAGTCATCAGTATATGGATTCCTTCTAAGTGTTAGAGTATTTCTCAAACTTGAAACCTAAGAATGTCAGGACAGGATATCTGCAGGCTCCTTAGTTTGAGAAATGCTGAGTTGGTGGTTTGGCCAAAATGTGTGAAATGTTGATACAGAATTTTAGAGATTTTGCACAAACCAACAAACAAAATGATAGTCAACAAATCTGTCTCAGAAATGATTAAGAGTCTTCATAGGAACATTGAGTGTTTACGTAGGTAACCAATTTGAAAAGTACAGTTCACAAACATGCTTCCTTGACCTTTTCAGATATTGTTTATACAATATCAACATTGTTTTTGGAAAAATTAGTGAAATAGCTCTTTTGTTCTTGCCAGTAAAGTTACACAATAAATTGATAACAGCTCAGCATTTATTTCTCAGCATGTTTCTGTTTATTTCTTCTCTAATTTAAATCAAGGAGTCCTAGATTGGATGTATCACTTTTTACAGACCTAAAAGCTGTTAAAATAGTGAGAAATTACTTAATAGATCTTCCTACCCACCCCCATATATCCAGCCACATGTCTAAAATGTATTACTCTTGGCCTTATTTAAGTGCTCATGTTACACCTATGACTCTCCATAGCCACGTTTCTACGGAACCAAGTGTTCAGTAAACTGCTTTTCTTATCTGCAAAGTGTGAAATGACAAGTTTTATCTTTTTTTTTCATTATGTTAGTAAGAACTGATGATTTGCCAGAAGGTTTTTCATAGTATCAACAACAAGTTCAGGAAAAAATCTTAACATTTTGTAAGTAAATCCTTTTCACAGTAAAAATCTTAATGTTCTGGAGTTTAGAGAAAGTCATGGATTCAAGTGTAAGGGAAGATGGGTAAAGAAAAGAGCCTATGGAGTGACGCTTGTATTTTAGTCACTTTTGGCCTAGTATTTTGGCATGCTATTTGTAGAATATTAGCTCCACTAAAAAAGCAGATAAACAAAAACTCTCTCCATAGATTTTGCCACAGCTGCTTCCTGTTTTTAACTACACTTTAGCAAGGAAAAATTCAGAACCTAGGGTATTTACTTCGATCTGTTTTTATAATGGCTCAACCCTCCATTTTATTATCAATATTATAAAATTACTATATAACTAAAATTTTTTCTATTACTTTAAAATATTTTAAGACTTGAAGTAAGACTTCTAGCTTCCAGTTTTGGCAGGCTTGGTTATTTGGACCAACCTCTTACTAAAAAGAACTAAAGAGCTCATGTAAATTATTTTAAAATCTTCCTTAAAATCTACGAAGAGCTAACAATACAGCAAGAAAATACTGAGCAAAAACTAGAGTGATAAGAAAACCAGAAAGGTGCTTTCGTCTTGAGAGCTTTTGTGGCCTTAGCAAATTTGAACTTCTATTTTGAAAGGCTTTTTAGTGAGAAGGACAGATATTAAAGGGCCTTCTCTACTTGAAGTAGAAGGCTAATAGCAAAAACTCTCTCCAAAATAAATTGGGACTCCATCATCACTCTCAGAGTAAATCAGAAATAAAACAGCCTTCATCTTTTCTGTGTGAGATCATATCAAAAAATAATGAAGTTTAAGTCTTGAACCTGAACTAAAGGGTCCCCAGGCTGGCAGTGCAAAAGCAAAGGCAAATCCTCTCTGGAAGAAAATACTTTTATCTTAGGCCCTAAAATGCTTTACAAATAAATCTTCAAGTACAATGACCAGTATACTGTCAAAGATAATCAGGCCCACTAGGAAATAAGACACCAAGAGTGAGAACAAGCAGAATGAGCAGAAGCAGATTCACAAGGTCTTCAGTTAAAACATAAGTCACAGACAATAAGTTAACTGCAAGTATTACGTTTAAAGTAATATAATGTAAACTTAGAGATATTTGCAGGAACAAGAAAAAATAAAAACATGAATTTGAAAATACAAGTGGAATTTCTAGAAGTAAAATATACTTATATACAATAAAAATGAAGATCAATAGATAGCCTTAACAGATTAGAGACAAAGGAGTAAACTAAGAGATATATTAGAAAAAATTGTGTAGAATGCAGCATAGAGAGACAAAAAGATAGGAAGAAACAAAAAGGATAATTCATGACATTTTAAATGCCCAGTGGGTTCTCCTTTCCCACTGCTCAGATACAGCTGACTTATTAAGACAGAGGAATTGCAGCAGATAAAGAGTCTAATGCACGCCAAATTGGCTAAATGGGAGACCTGAGTTTTATTATTCAACTCAGTCTCCTCAAAAATTGGGAGACTGGAGTTTTTTAAAGATAGTTTGGCAGGTAGAGGGTTAGGGAGAGGGGAGTGCTGCTTGGTTAGATAGGAGATAAAATTGCAGGGGGTCGAGTTCTTCTTGCTGTCTTCTGTTTCTGGATGGGATCGCAGAACTGGTTGAGCCCAATTACCAGTCTGGGTGGTGCCTGCTTGTGCATCAGAATGAAGGGTCTCAAAATATATCAAACACCAACCTTAGGTTTTATAATAGTGATGTTATCCCTAGGAGCAATTTGGGATGTAGTGGCCTCTGGCTGCATGACACCAAAACCATAATTTCTAATCTTGTGGCTAATTTGTTAATCTTATAGAGGTGGTCTGGCCCCAGGCAAGAAGAAGGGGCTTTGTTTCTGGAAAAGGCGATTACCACCTGTTTCAAAGTTAAACTACAAATTCCTCCTATATTAAATTTAGTCTTTGCCCAGGAAAGAACAACGGCAGTTTGGAGGTTAAAGGCAAGATGGAGTTGGTTAGGTTAGGTCTTTTAATGTCATAATTTTTCTCACTGTTATAAATGCTTGCAAAGGTGGTTTCATCATAGAGTTGGGAATGAGAAATTCTAACATGTTTAATCAGAGTTTCAGAATTTGCAGAGAGAAAATGAGGCAGAGGTAATACCTGAAGAGATAATGTCTGAACATTCTTTAGGATTAATAAAAAATATCTTGATCCTTTTTGCTTATGGTCAATAATCCCATCATGAAAATCAATTGTTCTCTTAAATATTGACTGGAAGTCTATTTCCTATTTTAAATGAAAGTTCCAATAGTTACATATCAAACTCACATTTCCAATCAATTTCCCACAACATATACAAGCATCTATATATAAATAATGTTAAACAAAGGTTAGCCTAAAGCTAGCTGACTATTTTAAGTTCAGCCTAAAGGTTTCTCTGCACATCATGAACTATAACCTAAATGAAATTGTATACAGACTGTAGTCTACTCTTGTGGCAACCACCAAGTTTTAGCCAAACGTGGCCAACTGTTCGTGTTCAAGTAAGATAAATGCTGAGCTATAATCAATGCAGCTGTTTCTGTACTGATAAGATTTGGCTGAGACCTTTTCTCCAGTTCTCAGTAAGTTCCTCATCTCCATCTGAGATGGCCTCAGCCTGGACTTCATTGTCCATATCACCATCAGCATTTTGGTCAAAGACATTCAACAGGTCTCTAGGAAGTTCCAAACTTTCCCACATTTTCCTGTCTTCTTCTGAGCCCTCCAAACTGTGCCAACCTCTGCCTATTACCCAGTTCCAAAGATGCTTCCACATTTTTGGGTATCCCTATAGTAGCACCCCACTCTCTGTGGTACCAATTTACTTTATTAGTTCGTTCTCATGCTGCTATGAAGACCTGAGAGAGACTGGGTAATTTATAAAGAAAAGAGGTTTAATTGACTCACAGTTCTGCATGGCCGGGGAGGCCTCAGGAAACTTACAATCATGGTGGAAAAGGAAGCAAACATGTCCTCCTTCACATGGCAGTAGGGAAAGAATGAGAGCCAAGTGAAGGGGGAAGCCCTTTATAAAACCATCAGATCTCGTGAGGACTTACTATCACGAGAATAGAAAGGGTAAAACCACCCCATGATTTAGTTATCTCTCACCAGGTCCCTCCCATCACAAGTGGGGATTATGGGAACAATTCAATGAGATTTGCACATTTAGTGAGGAAAAAAATCATTGACTAATATAATAGAACTGAATAGAACTGGTTTCAAAATTATCAGGTGAAAAGGGGATCCTTAGTTCCCCGAGAACGAAGTTCTTTCTGGCTTATATATGTATAGGTATTAGGCCCTGGAAGCTGCAAAGTCTTATGGGAATGGTGAAATCTTTCTAAAGATATGTTACAGTGGACATTGCAAATGAACAACACTGCACTGAATTGCATTTGAAAATGAGGCCTCCCAAATTAGTCTTTTCTAGGGATGCCTATTAATATGCAGAAGTTTCTATAAATTTTCCGCATATACATTTAAAGACTTTATAAAAGGCAAATAAAATGATTAAGGGACTAGTTGATAAAAAAATTAAACCTGCTAATCTTCTGGCTTAATTAGTGTTCCATCCCAAAGGTGCAAATTAAGCTAACCTAGATAAGGTGTTTATATAAAACCTTCAGGCAAACTAGGCTGGCTTGCTTCTTCTTCCTTTTTTTTTTTTTTTTTTTTGAGATGGAGTCTCGCTCTGTTGCCAGGCTGAAGTACAGTGGTGTTGATCTCAGCTCACTGCAACCTCTGCCAACCAGGTTCAAGTAATTCTCCTGCCTCAGCCTCCCAAGTAGCTGGGACTACAGGCACACGCCACTACGCTCAGCTAATTTTTTTTGTATTTTCAGTAGAGACGGGGTTTCACCATGTTGGCCAGGATGGTCTCGATCTCCTGACCTCATGTGCCACCCACCTTGGCCTCCCAAAGTGCTGGGATTATAGGCATGAGCCACCACACCCAGCCTAGGCTTGCTTTTTTTTCCAGATCTATCCATGCTGAATCCAGGCATACAATGCTTTCTTGGCCCTATTCCTTTATGGACTCCACCAATTACCCTGAACTCCGTAATTTTAGCTAAAAAACAGTAGGTAAGTTAAAAGGAACACCCTGTTAAACTCAAATACACCTTTCTGGATTTTAATTGGCTATTTTGAAACTCTTTTGTCAAAGGAATTTACATTTATTAAAGGAAATCATTTTTAAAGATTTCTGCCTATGTATAATAAAAACTCTTACCATTCTTTTAAATTTATATAAGAGGTCATACTTTTGTTTAAGGTGCTTTTCTGGCCACCTTCTCTTAAGTGAACTTTTATTTGAGCAGATTCTTTTCCCTTAGTTTGATCAAATGTAGGCCTAAATTCCTTTGGTTTGAACAATATGTGGGCCTAAAATCTTAGCTCTGTGCTTACGAGATATAAAATATTTTTCGTTCCACCTAAGAGTTGTCCCTTTAGAAATGTAAATTTATTGCCTAGTTAACAATTTCTTATGGCAACAAAACCAGTAATTGGAAGATTGATAGACCAAATGGGGAGAAGAAAACTATTTCAAAACTGACAAATGAACGTTCTTTGTGAGAGCTATAAAATCTGCTTCTATGTATTTGTATCCCTATATGCATATGTGATATTTGGTAAATAAAGCTATTATAGTTTTTAAATAGTTGGTAAAAATAGAACTGGTTTCAAAATTATCAGTTAAATATAATTAGATACTTGCTTGATTTGACTGTGAGCTTATGGCTTTGGTTTAGAGTCTCTAGATTCAGGGGTCTGGATAGGTGGCCATGATGAAGTCTGGTGACATGTTCTTAGTGCCTAGACCAGCAGCTGCAAGCCAGAATCAAGTCCAATATGGCCCTTTATTCCTCTGCTTTCCCTGTTTTGTCTCCTGGTTATTTTGAGAGGGGTTGGATCCTCCAGGTATAGTCTTCACAGTTCTGTCTTCTGTCCTGATGGACTCAGAATGGCCCTGACCTTCATATTCCTCCTGGGAGCCACGTGGCTACTTGGGACCTAGAATTACTGGGGGAAGACATTAAGGAAGCTACCTGTGTCAGAGTTTCAAAATTCTTTCCAGTAATTTAAAATCTTAGAGTCATGTTATATTAAATTAAGTAGATAATCTTAAAATATCTGAGTAATCTGTAAGATACTGAAATATTGTATTCGTCCAATCTCATCCTGCTATAAAGGACTGTCTGAGACTTGACGATTTATAAAGAAAGGAGATTTAATTGACTTAGAGTTCTGCATGGCTGGGGAGGCCTCAGAAAACTTACAATCGTGGCAGAAGGGGAAGTAAACATGTCTTTCTTCACACGATGGCAGGAACGAGACAAGCAGAGCAAAGGGAGAAAGCCTTTTATAAAACCATCAGATCTCATGAGAACTCACTATCATAAGAACAGCATGAGGGTAACCACTACCATGATTCAATTACCTCCCAAAAGTCCCTCTGCCCACATGAGGATTATAGGAACTAAAATTCAAGATGAGATTTGGGTGAGAACACAGTTAAATCATATTAAATATTAATTATTAAATGTGAGTTTAAGTCTATATACCTGGAAAGTATTTTTATATGGTATAAAGAAAGCTGTCAATAAATAATTGACAATAAATAATTTGAAGGTCTGTCAATAAATTTAGATCTAGATCTATCAATAAATAATTGGAAGAACTATTTTTCTAAAAGATTATAAAATGGTTTTTATCTACAAATACTAATATAAAACAGTTCAAAATTACTTTCTAGAGTTTTCACTAGGAATTTGGCTACTAAGCATTAAAAACTACTAGATACGAGAGAAGCAATTCTATATACAGAGTGTACAAAGTCAAAATATGCATTTGATGAGGAAGTTATAAAGGCATAAAAATGTGTATTAAAAATTTTGTTTGGCTTAAAGTTACTTAAAAGTTTCAAATTGAAGGGGTAAAAAATAGATACAACAAGATAAAAATAGAAAGTTATGGAAAACATAAAATGAAAGGTTTATGGAAAGTTTTTATGAGGTTTTATTAAAATTAGTTTTAGTATTGATAATACACTAATATAAAAATAAAATTTGGTTCTCTCTTTTGAACAAAAATTTTGTGTAGCATTAATAAGACAAAGTATTTTTCACCTTTTGAGTAAACCGCAAAAAGGAAAAAAAGTGTGGAAGAGGAAAGAGAGATTCTGTCTCATGCTGTCTTAGGTCTTTTGATTGTTTGGGAAACTGAGTCTCCTTTATCAAAGAGTACAGGTTTTTGTTTTTAAAAATCTTCTAATTAGTACTCTGGTTAAATGACTATTGTTTTACAGTGATCTGTGATCCTATGTTGGTCAAATATTTTAAATCTTTGACATATTTGAAAAGCTTTACAAAATCAAATTTCAGCTTTGAAATTAAGTCTTTTCTGACCTCTAACTTTGGGATGCTTCAGAGGGCCCATGGAGCATCCAAAAGAGAGATAAACAGGATTATTTGACATGTTAAGTTACATGGGAAGCACTGTCAAATAAGAATAATGTTTAACCTTCTTCAGGTTATATTTTAATGAACGTTATTATATATGTTTCAAAATTGTATGGGATTTCTAAAATTCTAATATGTCTGAGTTTATGCTATCAATTATAATTATGGTTATTATGTTACCATAGACCACAGAAATATGCACATTTCCTTGTCAACTGTGTCTTTACTAAAGTCATTTCCACAGTTAATTGCTTAACTCTGATGCAGCGTCTGAAAACTTCACAGCACACAATCCTAGAATAAGGTATCTTTAAGAAGATTCATGAAAGGATGAAAAGGACCCTGGAAAACACTCTTGAATATCAGTATCTGTTAACTTTAGAATCACATCATTTGGACTGGGTAAGAATTCCTAGAGCTTTAATGAAAAGACTGACAGGTTTATTAAACTGCTAACCAAGCACAACAAAATTTAATTGAATTCCAAGAAAATACTTTACCAGATTTTCATGCTTAATCAGCCAATACTAAATTGTTTAGATATACAATTTGAATGAACTCCAGTCTCAGTCAAATTACCTATGATAACCCATCAGTTATCAGTGCTATACACCTAAATTGGAGAAACAACTGGTGTTCAAAAGGACAGCAGTCCAATGTTAAACATGGACTTATGGAGAACCAAGACGACCATGTTTTCCTTCCTGCGTCCTTAAAGATTTTATTAAAAGTTCTGGGGGTAGAGCCAAGATGGCTAAATAGGAACAGCTCCAGTCTACAGCTCCCAGCATGAGTGACACAGAAGACGGGTGATTTCTGCATTTCCAACTGAGGTACCGGGTTCATCTCACTGGGGAGTGCCGGACAGTGTGTGCAGGACAGCGGGTGCAGCGCACCGTGCATGAGCTGAAGCAGGGCGAGGCATCGCCTCACCCGGGAAGTGCAAGGGGTTGGGAATTCCCTTTCCTAGTCAAAGAAAGGGGTGACAGACAGCACCTGGAAAATTGGGTCACTCCCACCCTAATACTGCACTTTTCCAATGGGCTTATCAAACGGCACACCAGGAGATTATATCCTGCACATGGCTCAGAGGGTCTTACACCCACAGAGCCTCCCTCATTGCTAGCACAGCAGTCTGAGATCAAACTGTAAGGTGGCAGGGAGGCTGGGGGAGGGGCACCCACCATTGCTCAGGCTTGAGTAGGTAAACGAAGTGGCCAGGAAGCTGGAACTGGGTGGAGCCCACCACAGCTCAAGGAGGCCTGCCTGCCTCTGTAGGCTCCACCTCTGGGGGCAGGGCACAGACAAACAAAAGACAGCAATAACCTCTGCAGACTTAAATGTCCCTGTCTGACAGCTTTGAAGAGAGTAGTGGTTCTCCCAGCATGCAGCTGGAGATCTGAGAATGGACAGACTGCCTCTTCAAGTGGGCCCCTGACGCCCAAGTAGCCTAACTGGGAGGCAACCCCCAGTAGGGGCGGACTGACACCTCACACGGCCGGGTACTCCTCTGAGACAAAACTTCCAGAGGAACGATCAGGCAGCAGCATTTGCAGCTCACCAATATCCACTGTTCTGCAGCCACTGCTGCTGATACCCAGGCAAAGAGTGGACCTCCAGTAAACTCCAACAGACCTGCAGTCTGTTGGTCCTGACTGGTAGAAGGAAAACTAACAAACAGAAAGGACACCCACACCAAAAACCCATCTGTACGTCACCATCAAAGACCAAAGGCAGATAAAACCACAAAGACGGGGAAAAAACAGAGCAGAAAAACTGGAAACTCTAAAAATCAGAGTGCTTCTCCTCCTCCAAAGGAATGCAGCTCCTCACCAGCAATGGAACAAAGCTGGACGGAGAATGACTTTGACGAGTTGAGAAAGGAAGGCTTCAGAAGATCAAACTACTCTGAGCTAAAGGAGGAAGTGTGAACCAATGGCAAAGAAGTTAAAAACTTTGAAAAAAAATTAGATGAATGGCTAACTAGAATAACCAATGCAGAGAAGTCCTTAAAGGACCTGATGGAGCTGAAAACCACGGCACAAGAACCACGTGATGAATGCACAAGCCTCAGTAACCGATGCGATCAACTGGAAGAAAGGGTATCAGTGGTGGAAGATGAAATGAATGAAATGAAGCATGAAGAGAAGTTTAGAGAAAAAAGAATAAAAAGAAATGAACAAAGCCTCCAAGAAATATGGGACTATGTGAAAAGACCAAATCTACGTCTAATTGGTGTACCTGAAAGTGATGCGGAGAATGGAACCCAGTTGGAAAACACTCTTCAGGATATTATCCAGGAGAACTTCCCCAATCTAGCAAGGCAGGCCAACATTCAAATTCAGGAAATACAGAGAACGCCACAAAGATACTCCTCGAGAAGAGCAACTCCAAGACACATAATTGTCAGATTCACCAAAGTTGAAATGAAGGAAAAAATGTTAAGGGCAGCCAGAGAGAAAGGTCGGGTTACCCACAAAGGGAAGCCCATCAGATCAAGTGCTGATCTCTTGGCAGAAACTCTACAAAGCCAGAAGAGAGTGGGGGCCAATATTCAACATTCTTAAAGAAAAGAATTTCCAACCCAGAATTTCACATCCAGCCAAAATAAGCTTCATAAGTGAAGGAGAAATAAAATACTTCACAGGCAAGCAAATGCTGAGAGATTTTGTCACTATCAGGCCTGCCCTAAAAGAGCTCCTGAAGGAAGCACTAAACATGGAAAGGAGCAACTGGTACCAGCCACTGCAAAAACATGCCAAATTGTAAAGACCATCAAGGCTAGGAAGAAACTGCATCAACTAATGAGCAAAATCACCAGCTAACATCATAATGACAGGATCAAATTCACACATAACAATACTAACCTTAAATGTAAATGGGCTAAATGCTCCAATTAAAAGGCACAGACTGGCAAATTGGATAAAGAGTCAAGACCCATCAGTGTGCTGTATTCAGGAAAACCATCTCACGTGCAGAGACACACATGCTCAAAATAAAGGGATGGAGGAAGATCTACCAAGCAAATGGAAAACAAAAAAAAGGAGAAGTTGTAATCCTAGTCTCGGATAAAACAGACTTTAAGCCAACAAAGATCAAAAGAGACAAAGAAGGCCATTACATAATGGTAAAGGGATCAATTCAACAAGAAAAACTAACTGTCCTAAATATATATGCACCCAATACAGGAGCACCCAGATTCATAAAGCAAGTCCTTAGTGACCTACAAAGAGACTTAGACTCCCACACCATAATAACGGGAGACTTTAACACCCCACTGTCAACATTAGACAGATCAACTAGACAGAAAGTTAACAAGGATATCCAAGAATTGAACTCAGCTCTGCACCAAGTGGACCTAATAGACATCTACAGAACTCTCCACCCCAAATCAACAGAATATACATTCTTTTCAACACCACACCACACCTATTCCAAAATTGACCACATAGTTGGAAGTAAAGCACTCCTCAGCAAATGTAAAAGAACAGAAATTATAATAAACTCTCTCAGACCACAGTGCAATCAAACTAGACCTCAGGATTAAGAAACTCACTCAAAACCGCTCAACTACATGGAAACTGAACCACCTGCTCCTGAATGACTACTGGGTACATAACGAAATGAAGGCAGAAATAAAGATGTTCTTTGAAACCAACGAGAACAAAGACACAACATACCAGAATCTCTGGGACATATTCAAAGCAGTGTGTATCGGGAAGTTTATAGCATTGAATGCCCACAAGAGAAAGCAGGAAAGATCTAAAATTGACACCCTAACATCACAATTAAAAGAACTAGAGAAGCAAGAGCAAACACATTCAAAAGCTAGCAGAAGGCAAGAAATAACTAAAATCAGAGCAGAACTGAAGGAAATAGAGACACAAAAAACCCTTCAAAAAAAATCAATGAATCCAGGAGCTGGTTTTTTGAAAGATCAACAAAATTGATAGACTGCTAGCAAGACTAATAAAGAAAAAAAGAGACAAGAATCAAATAGACGCAATAAAAAATGACAAAGGGGATATCACCACTGATCCCACAGAAATACAAACTACCATCAGAGAATACTACAAACACCTCTATGCAAATAAACTACAAAATCTAGAAGAAATGGATAAATTCCTCGACACATACACCCTCCCAAGACTAAACCAGGAAGAAGTTGAATCTCTGAAAAGACCAATAACAGGCTCTGAAATTGAGGCAATAATTAATAGCTTACCAACCAAAAAAAGTCCAGGACCAGATGGATTAACAGCCGAATTCTACCAGAGGTACAAGGAGGAACTGGTACCATTCCTTCTGAAACTATTCCAATCAATAGAAAAAGAGGGAATCCTCCCTAACTCATTTTATGAGGCCAGCATCATCCTGATACCAAAGCCTGGCAGAGACACAACAAAAAAAAGAGAATTTTAGACCAATATCCTTGATGAACACTGATGTAAAAATCCTCAATAAAACACTGGCAAACTGAATCCAGCAACACATCAAAAAGCTTATTCACCATGATCAAGTGGGCTTCATCCCTGGGATGCAAGGCTGGTTCAACATACAAAAAAAAAAATCAATAAACGTAATCCAGCATATAAACAGAACAAAAGACAAAAACTACATGATTATCTCAATAGATGCAGAAAAGGCCTGACAAAATTCAACAACCCTTCAGGCTAAAAACTCTCAATAAGTTAGGTATTGATGGGATGTATTTCAAAATAATAAGAGCTATCTATGACAGACCCTCAGCCAATATCATACTTGAATGGGCAAAAACTGGAAGCATTCCCTTTGAAAACTGGCACAAGACAGGGATGCCCTCTCTCACCACTCCTATTCAACATAGTGTTGGAAGTTCTGGCCAGGGAAATCAGGCAGGAGAAGGAAATAAAGGGCATTCAACTAGGAAAAGAGGAAGTCAAACTGTCCCTGTTTGCAGATGACATGATTGTATATCTAGAAAACCCCATTGTCTCAGCCCAAAATCTCTTTAAGCTGATAAGCAACTTCAGCAACGTCTCAGGATACAAAATCAATGTACAAAAATCACAAGCATTCCTTTACACCAATAACAGACAAACAGAGACCAAAATCATGAGTGAGCTCCCATTCACAATTGCCTCAAAGAGAATAAAATACCTAGGAATCCAACTTACAAGGAATGTGAAGGACCTCTTCAAGGAGAACTACCAACCACTGCTCAAGGAAATAAAAGAGGATACAAACAAATGGAAGAACATTCCATGCTCATGGATAGGAAGAATCAATATCGTGAAAATGGCCATGCTGCCCAAGGTAATTTATAGATTCAATGCCATCCCCATCAAGCTACCAATGACTTTCTTCACAGAATTGGAAAAAAATACTTTAAAGTTCATATGGAACCAAAAAAGAGCCCGCATTGCCAAGTCAATCCTAAGCCAAAAGAACAAAGCTGGAGGCATCAAGCTACCTGACTTCAAACTATACTACAAGGTTACAGTAACCAAAACAGCATGGTACTGGTACCAAAACAGATGTAAACCAATGGAACAGAACAGAGCCCTCAGAAATAATGACACATATCTACAACTATTTGATCTTTGACAAACCTGAGAAAAACAAGCAATGGGGAAAGGATTCCCTATTTAATAAATGGTGCTGGGAAAACTGGCTAGCCATATGTAAAAAGTTGAAACTGGATCCCTTCTGTGCACCTTATACAAAAATTAATTCAAGGATTAAAGACTTAAATGTTAGACCTAAAACCATAAAAACCCTAGAAGAAAACCTAGGCAATACCATTCAGGACATAGGCATGGGGAAGAACTTCATGTCTAAAACACCAAAAGCAATGGCAACAAAAGCCAAAATTGACTAATGGGATCTAATCAAACTAAAGAGCTTCTGCACAGCAAAAGAAACCACCGTCAGAGTGAACAGGCAACTTACAAAATGGGAGAAAATTTTTGCAACCTACTCATCTGACAAAGGGCTAATATCCAGAATCTACAATGAACTCAAACAAATTTACAAGAAAAAAACAAACAACCCCATCAAAAAGTGGGCAAAGGATATGAACAGACACTTCTCAAAAGAAGACATTTATGCAGCCAAAAAACACGTGAAAAAATGCTCATCATCATTGGCCATCAGAGAAATGCAAATCAAAACCACAATGAGATACCATTTCCCACCAGTTAGAATGGCGATCATTAAAAAGTCAGGAAACAACAGGTGCTGGAGAGGATGTGGAGAAACAGGAACACTTTTACACTGTTGGTGGGACTGTTAACTAGTTCAACCATTGTGAAAGTCAGTGTGGAAATTCCTCAAGGATCTAGAACTAGAAATACCATTTGACCCAGCCATCCCATTACTGGATATATACCCAAAGTATTATAAATCATGCTGCTATAAAGACACATGCACACGTATGTTTATTGCAGCACTATTCACAATAGCAAAGACTTGAAACCAACCCAAATGTCCAACAACGATAGACTGGATTAAGAAAATGTGGCACATGTATGCCATGGAATACTACACAGCCATAAAAAATGATGAGTTCATGTCCTTTGTATGGACATGGATGAAGCTGGAAACCATCATTCTCAGCAAACTATCGCAAGGACAGAAAAACCAAACACCGCATATTCTCACTCATAGGTGGGAATTGAACAATGAGAACACATGGACACAGGAAGGGGAACATCACACACTGGGGACTGTTGTGGGGTGGGGGGAGGGGGGAGGGATAGCATTAGGACATATACCTAATGCTAAATGACGAGTTAATGGGTGCAGCACACCAACATGGCACATGTATACATATGTAACAAACCTGCACGTTGTGTACATGTACCCTAAAACTTGAAGTATAATATAAAAAATAAAAGTGCTGCATTCTGTGACTCATCATGGAGAAGATAAAATGACCAAAAAATATATAATATATATAATTTAAAAAATATATAAATTATATTACGTGTGTGTGTGTGTGTGTGTGTGTGTGTGTTTGTGTGTATGGTGACTTCTTAATTGCTAAATTGCTTATGACCAGTATTTGGTTTGTCAAGCCCAAAATCCTGGGAAGACAATCAAAACTTCAGGTACATCCCACTATCTGATGGGCCATTTAAATATTTATAGAGGGATTTCATTCAATTGCCATTTTCATTTCATGTTTCATGGTTATATAAAAGCTTTCCCATGCAACAAGGCAAGAGGGCTGACACTACATATTATGCTCATTATGCCACAGTGCATATTCATTTTCACCAGATAAAGAAAGCTTTTCATGGTTCACTGACTGAGGACAATCAACACCTTCATAATCTAGAACTCAAAGACTGGATCTTCTGAAGTAGACTGCCCTTGCTGTCCACGCTACAGCAGAACTTCAGGACCTTGAACCTTGGGTTCATAATCTCACAACTCAGAAGGTTCCTCCATATTCTTAGAACTGTACACCCATTGGAAACCTTAAGGTAAAGGTAACAAGGGAAGTTTCTCCCTGGAAGATGATGACATCCTTGACGTGAACAGCTTTATCACTGTCTAAGATCAATCTTGACAGATCAAGATTACTATCACAAGACCCTTGTCTTTCAATTCCCCACCTCCCCAGCCCCACTTATGCCTCTATGAACAATAGAGGTGAAAAGGGAGTCTGTTGTGTGCACTTGTGGGGTATACTTTAACCTGTGAAGGATTTTGCAGCCAGCCTTATATGTGGATAAACTTATGCCTTGACAGATGGAAGATGAAGGCCCAATGTATGTGAGAAATTTTAATGGCACGGACGTTGCCTCATAATCAGTCAGAAGCAGAACATTTGTCCACTCCTCTTAACCTACATCATGGGTTGAAGAGAACATTGCCTGGAAGTCTTCACTCTTCTAGAAGGGCATCATTTGTTAAGTTCCAGAAGCAGAACATTGGTCCACTCCTCTTAACCTACATCATATGGGTTCAAGAGAACATTGCCTGGAACATTTGCTCAATTAAACTATTTTAAATTTAATTTGGCTAAAGTTTTTCTTTTAACAGTAAAAACAATTAGATTAGGAAGAAAATGTTTAAAATACCATTTTCTAATCACTAAGCAATGAGTACAGTTGTCACCAAAACAGTTGCTTTAATGCAGTAATGCAGTACACATCCCCTTTGTTGACAGAGAGGGTGTTTTTCAAAATATGGATATAATTCTGATTTCCCACCAATTGTATTTGGGATGTCACATAGGACATTTATGTGACATTGCCTGGAAGTCTTCACTCTTCTAGAAGGGCATCATTTGTTAAGTTCTTTTTTCTATGGTTGGAAGTAAATGAGGCAATGATTAGAAATTTATCCTTCATGATAAGTTCTATAGTAGATTATATTATAAAGGCTATGGTTACACAACAGAGTTTAAATTCTATTGTGAAAGTTATGCCAAATAATAGAATCACTCTAGATTACTTACTGACTAAACAGGAGTGTCTCTGCAGCTGCTAGCCCTTCTTGTTGACCATGGAGAAATATATCCCATCAGATATTATAGAGATTTAGTTGTAGGGGATTAACAAAGAGACTGCTTAAAGTGAGTAGACTGTTTAGCTCATTCTTTGATCTATTTGATTTTAGGTCGTTTGGTTTACAGGCACCCTGGCCAAGGAGGGTACTCCAAACTCTTGGTATTATCCTCCTGATAGTCATAATAGCAGTCTCCCTGGTGCACTGTATTCTCTCAAAAGTTTTAAATCTTTGCATGCAGTCATCTTAGAATGTCAAATGGTCTCCCTTCAACTGAAAAGAGTCAAAAGAAATGTGTGACCATGAGGGCAGTGTAACCTGTGAATGATATGCTGAGACTGGAAATCCAATATGATAGTAACAGAGTGGCACTAAGGCCCTATGTTTTGGTTACACTCTCACCTAAGTAAGAATCTGACCGAAAGGGAGGAATTTTTAAACAAAGTTATGGGAGGCCATTGTTCTGGAATGAGCTCTTGCACTAAGTACCAAAAGACCAGACCAAACCAAAATGGAGTCACTCTTGCTAAATGTAACATAATCAAACTAAGACTTTAAGGAAACATAGATACTAGAACAGACTGGGTTTTGCTTTTTTCTCTTGTAAACAGGGCATTCCAGCATAAGGAGGTACCCTCTACTCTGACCCTTACAAAAAAAATATAACCTGAAGTCCTTGTTCTCACCTTACGAACCCCAGAGTTCTGTTATTTCCTAGTGGGTTTCAAGACAAATAAATACATTACAATGGTTTTGGTGCTTTCAATGACTAATCACTCTCTCCAAATTGAGAGGATGACCAAAAGGGGTAATTGTTAAATCAAGGTTAGCTTAAAGCTGCCTACTTATATATTTTAAGTTCAGCCTAAAGGTTTTTCTGTACATTGTGAACTATAACCTAAGTGGAGTTTATACAGACTGTAGTCAACTCTTGTGCCAATCACTGAGTTTTGGCCAAAGGTGGCCAACTGTTCAAACTGTGTTCAAATAAGAAAAATGTCAAGCTATAACCAATCTGGTTATTTCTGTACCTCACTTCCATTTTTTGTTCCTCACTTTCGTTTTTCTGTCCAGAAATCTTCTTCCACCAAGTGGCTGCACTGGAGTCTCAGCCTACTCTGGCTCAGGAGACTGCTCGATTCATGAATTGTTCTTTGCTCAATTAAACCATTTTAAATTTAATTTGGCTAAAGTTTTTCTTTTAACAGTAAAAACAATTAGGTTAGGAAGAAAATGTTTAAAATACCATTTTCTAATCACTAAGCAATGAGTACAATTGTCACCAGAACAATTGCTTTAATGCAGTAATGCAGTACACATCCCCTTTGTTGACAGAGAGGGTGTTTTTCAAAATATGGATATAACTCTGATTTCTCACCAATTGTATTTGGGATGTCACATAGGACTTTATCTGCATGTTGTTTTATTTAAAATGTTGTATTGAGTTTTGGGACATAATATAAATATTTCCTATGTAAGTATCAGCCAAAAGTTTTGTACTGAGAGATCTGTATGTTCTATGAAAGTTGGGTATTGATAACTAAGAGTCACTCTATTGGGAAAATGTCAAAGAAGGAGACGTTCTAAAGAGTACGCTAGTATTTTGAGGCTCTAAATTTGATAGATTTAGTGTTCAGTGGGGGAACATTTCCATCCTCACTTGGTTCTTTCCTTCCTCTTACCAAAATGGTGACTTGATTTATATGTGCAAAGTGCTAGCTATCTTTGACAGCTTCTGTGCATTGGGACTTTACACTTAAAACTAGCAGAATACTTAAAAATGCCAAGAAAATGAAATGGTTCTGATGAGATGGGAGATCACAGAATATGTATGATTGTTTGTATTTGTATTAGTTAGCTATTGCTACAATAATATTGTAAAACAACCAACCACAAAAATCTCAGTGACATGAAGCAATTAGCATTTGTTTCTTGTTCATGTGTCTGTGGAGACTATGGCAACTTAATTTTTATGCCAGCCTTAGGTCTTCCATACATTCAGCCACCCAGAGGCACATTTTTCTGTGAAGCTAATGAAGCTTAAGTTTTAGGGCCCTCACTTGCATGGGTCATGTATTTTTGTAAAAATTTCAAAAGTTAGATTTTTAACTGCAATTTAAGACCACTGTCTCTTTCCAATCCTCTTTCCTCATCATTTTTGTGTTAGGCCGCATTAGAATAGCCACAGTTTGGTACCTGGCTAAAGGGAGGTTAAGTTGGGGGATATATTTTATTTAGGTTTAGTGGGATATATTAATATGACTGGGAGTCACTTTCAACTTACCCTAAATTTAAGTAATGCCAGCCATCCCATTGTTAAGAATGTGGTTACTTTGGTGCTAGACTTTGACAAATGGATGGGCTGCCTGCAGAATGATAACTAATAGACATCATCTTTTTTCTTTGAGGTATATAGTGTGAAAGGCATGCTAAAAAGGCAAAATAAAGCAATGAATTCTTACTTCTGAAGGGGAAACAAAATGACTAGTTTTGATTGCTACTGTACTGTGAATGATAAAGAGCCACTGTCCCAGGTGAGAGTAAAGCCTTAGACATACTGGGCCTGTAGGCTACTATGTGCATTCTTTCAGTAAACATCTCCCAGTGAGAACATATTGACTTTTCAAGCTGAAAGAAAGACTAATATATTGATTTTGTTATAGTGCATATTAAAGATTTCATTTTGCTTCATATTGAAATAATACCTGAAGGTTTTGAGAATTCTAAAAGTCCTAAAGAGTATAAAGTGATAACTAAGTCTTCTAATCCAACTTTTGGTTCACCAGATTCCCTTTCTACTTTTTTTTCCTGTATCCTCTCAGTGATAGTCAATGTATGCACTTCCATTTGAAAAAAAAGTGGTAGCTTACAAAACACACTCTGGTGTACCTTTTTCAGATATTCAGGATTTTATTTTATTGATATATTTTGTTGTTGCCAGCTAATCCTGCCCGAGTTTGTTTTGTCTTCATAATGGTGACTTTATTAAATGTTTTATAGAATACTGCAGAGGTCATAACTGTTAACCTACCAAAGTATATTTAAGTAATCCAGTTTATTAGCATATCTTGGCTAGGAAAGGATGGTAAAAGTAGTCCTATTGCAGTTTAAGAGAATGAAAGAGAACTTGCTTCTCAGACATGTAAAGCAGACAAAACTGATAAAAATTTTATTCCTCTTATGAAAAATGTCACTGGTAGAAGTATTCTGATTAAAAACCATACTGTTTATACATTCATGATATTCCAAAGAACCCCATGAGACTAACAGTAGACCTCTCAGCTGAAACCCTACAAGCCAGAAGAGAGTGGGGGCCTATATTCAATATCTTTAAAGAAAATAATCTGCAACCAAGAATTTAATATCCAGCCAAACTAAGCTTCCCAGGCAAAGGAGAAATAAGATTTTTTTCAGATAAGCAAATGTTGAATGAGTTTGTTACCACCACACCTACTTACAAGAGATCTTGAAAGGATCACTAAATATAGAAATGAAAGTCTAATACTAGCTAATACAAAAACACACTTAAACATAAGACCAGTGTCCCTATAAAGCAACCACATTAACAAGCCAACATAATAACCTGCTAATACACAATGACAGAATCAAATCCACACATATCAATACTAACCTTGAATGTATAAAAAATGGCTAAATGCCCCACTTAAAAGGCACAGAGTAGCAATCTGGATTAAAAAAAAAGCAATATCCAATAGTCTTTAAGTGACCCATCTCACACATAATGACACCCACAGGCTCAAAACAAAGGGATGAAGGAAAAATTTACCAAGCAAATGGAAAACAAAAAAATCAGGGGTTATAATACTAATTTCAGACAAAACAGACTTCAAACCAACAGAGATCAAAAAAGACAAAGAAGGGCATTACATAATGGTAAAGGGTTCAATTCAAGAAAACCTAACTATCCTGTTTTATACCCAAAACAGGAGCACCCAGATTCATAAAGAAAGTTCTTAGAGACCTACAGAGAGACATAGACTCCCATACAGTAATAGTGGGAGACTTCTATACTCCACTGACAGTATTAGATCACCGAGTCAGAAAATTCAGATATGCAGGACCTGAACTCAACATTGGGCCAAATGGATTTGATATACCTTTACAGAACTCTCCACCCAAAAACAGACTATCATGCTTCTCATTGCTGCATGGTGCATACTGTAAAACTGACCACATAATTGGACATAAAACAATCCTCAGCAAATGCAATAGAATCAAAATCATATCAAACACACTCTCAGACCCCAGTGCAATAAAAATAGAAGTCAAGACTAAGAAAATCACTCAAAACCACGCAATTACATGGAAATTAAACAACATGCTCCTGATGACTTTGGGGTAAATAATGAAATTCAAAAGCAGAAATTAAGAAGTTATTTGAAGCTAATAAGAACAAAGATACAACATAGCAAAATCTCTGGGATACAGCTAAGGCAGTGTTAAAAGGGAAATTCATAGCACTAAATGCCCACTTCAGGAAGTTAGAAAGATCTCAAATTAACAATCTAATATCACAAGTGAAAGAATTACAGAAGAACAAATCAATCCCAAAGCTAGCAGAAGACAAGAAATAACCATGATCAGAGCTGAACTGAAGGAAACTGAGATACAAAAAACCATTCAAATGATCAACGAACCCAAGAGTTGGCTTTTTGAAAAAAATAAGACAGGCCACACTAGCTAGACTACTAAGAAAAAAGAGAAAATCCAAATAAACACAATTAGAAATGATGAAGGGAATGTTACCACTGACCCCACAGGAATAAAGATAAACATCAGAAACTTCTATGAACACCTTTATGAACACAAACTAGAAAACCTAGAAGAGATGGCTACATTTCTAGATACATACAACCTCCCAAGACTGAACCAGGAAGAAAATCCCTGAACAGACTAATAATGAGATCAAAAATCGAATCACTAATAAATAGCTTGCCAACCAAAAAAATCCCAGGACCTGATGGCTTCATAGCCAAATTCTGCCAGATGTACAAAGAGCTGGTATCATTCCTACAGAAACTGCTCCAAAACAATTAAGGAGGAGAACCTGTTCCCCAACTCATTCTATGAGGCCAGCATCATCCTGATACCAAAACCTGGCAGAGACACAACTGAAAAATAAAACTTCAGACCAATATCCTTGATGAACATCAATGCAAAAATCCTCAAGAAAATGCTTGCAAACATCTAGCAGCTCATCAGAAAGCTAATCCACTACAATCAAGTAGGCTTCATCCCTGGGATGCAAGGTTGGTTCAACATACACAAATCAATAAATGTGATTCATCACATAAACAGAACTAAAAGTAAAAACCACACAATTATCTCAATAGACATGGAGAAGGCTTTTGATAAAATTCAACACACTTAATGTTAAAAACTTTCAAACTAGGTATTGATGGAAAATACCTCAAGATAATAAGAGCCATCTATGACAAACCCACAGTCAACATTATACTGAATGGGCAAAAGCTTGAAGCATTCCCCTTGAAAACTGGCACAAGACCAGGATGCCCTCTTTTACCACTGCTGTTCAACATAGTTTTGGAAGTTCTGGCCAGGACAATCAGGCAAGAGAAAGAAAGGACATCCAAATAGGAGGAGAGGAAGTCAGACTATCTCTATTTGCAGATGACATGATTCTTTATCTAGAAAACCTCATAGTCTCAACCCAAAATCTCGTTCAGCTGATAAACAACTTCAGTAAATCAATGTACAAAAATCACTAGCATTCCTATATACCAACAACAGCCAAATTGAGAGCAAATCAGAAAGGCAATCCCATTCACAATAGCCACAAAAAGAATAACATACCTAAGAATACAGCTAACCAGGGAGCTGAAAGGTTTCTACAATGAGAATTACAAAACACTGCTCAAATAATTTAGAGATGACACAAACTAATGGAAACACATCTCATGCTCATGGATAGGAAGCACCAATATCATTAAAATGGCCATACTGCCCAAAGCAACTCATAGGTTCAATGCTATTCCTATCAAACTACCAATGACATTCTTCACAGAACTAGAAAAAACTATTTTAAAATTCATATGGAACAAAAAAAGAGCCCACATACAAAAGGCAATCCTAAGTAAAATGAACAGAAGCTGGAGACATAACGTTACTTGACTTCAAACTGTACTGCAGGGCTACAGTAAACGAAACAGCATAGTACTGGTACAAAAACAGGCACATAGACCAATGGAACAGAATAGCAAGCCCAGAAATAAAGCCCCACATCTATGACCATTTGATCTTCGACAAAGCTGACAAAAACAACCAATGGGGAAAAGAGTCCTATTCAATAAATGGTGCTGGGATAACTGGCCAGCCATATGCAGAAGATTGAAGCCGGACTCCTTCCTTACACCATATACAAAAATCAATGCAAGTTTTTAAATGTAAAACCCCAAACTATGAATACTTTGGGAGACAACCTAGGCAATACCATCCTAGGCATAGGAACTGGCAAAGATTTCATGACAAAGACACCAAAAGCAATCGCAACAAATGCCAAAATTTACAAGTGGGATCTAATTAAATTTAAGAGCCTCTGAACAGCAATGGAAACTATCAGCAGATTAAACAGACAACCTACAGAAGGGGAGAAAATTTTTGTAAACCTTGTATCTGACAAAGGTCTAATATCCAGCATCTATAAGGAACTTAAACAAATTTACAGGAGAAAAACAAAACCCCATTAAAACGTGGCAAAGGACATGAACATTTTTCAAAAGAAGACATACAAGTGGCCAAGAAGCATATTTTAAAAAGCTCAACATCACTGATTATTAGAGAAATGCAAATCAAAACCAGTCAGAATGGCTACTACAAAAAAGTAGAAAAAATAACAGGTGCTGGCGAGGTTGCAGAGAAAAGGGAACACTTACACACTGTGGGTGAGAATGTAAATTAATTCAGTCATTGTGGAAAGAAGCATAGTGATTCCTGAAAGAGCTAAAAGTAGAACTACCATTTGACCCAGCAGTCTATTACTGGGCATATACCCAGAGGGATATAAATTATTCTACCATAAAGGCACAGGGACATGAATGTTCACTGCAGCACTATTCACAATAGCAAAGACATGGAATCAACCTAAATGTCCATCAATGACAGATTAGATAAAGAAATGTGGTACATATATACCATGGAATCCTATGCAGCCATAAAAAAGAATAAGATCATGTCTTTTGCAGGAACATGGATGAAGCTGGAGGCTATCATCCTAAGCAAACTAACACAGGAACAGAAAACGAAATACCACATGTTCTTACTTATAAGTGGGAGCTAAATGATGAGAACTAGTGAACCCAAAGAAGGAAACAACAGACACTGTGGTCTACTTGAGTGTGGAGGGTGGAAGGAGGGAGAGGAACAGAGAAGATAACTATTGGGTACTGGGCTTAATACCTGGGTGATGATTTGTACAACACACCCCTGTGACACGACTTTACCTGTGTAACAAACCTTCACATGTACCCTTGAACCGAAAAAGTTAAAAATACATAAATAGATATTCCAAAGGTTGATTTGAGACATGTAATAATGGAAAGCTACTTTATCAGATTCAACTGAGTGGATTTTGATTTTTTCCTTCTTTCCTTCTTCCTTCTCTTCCATCATTCCTTCTTTCCTTTTTAGTATCAAATGTCTTTTCCAGCTATAATATTGTCAATATGAAATAGATAATCTTTGTAACAATTTTAAAAATGCATTACACCTTTTTTTTTTTTTTTTTTTTTTTTTTTTTTTTTTTTTTTTTTAAAGAGAGCCTTGCTCTGTCACCCCAGCTGAAGTGAAGTGGCACAATTATAGCTCTCTGTAGCCTTGAGCTCTAGGGCTCAAGTGATCCTTCCACCTCAGCCTTCTGAGTCACTGGGATTACAGGCACCAGCCACCCTGCCTGGCTCATTATAATCATCTTTAACACAAAACTATTTAGATTTTATTGCAAACACCTTTTTCTGACAAATTCGAGTAGTTTACGGAAGTACAATTAAGGCTATATTACAGAATATGCATAACATGTACATTTTAATTCCAGTTTAGTTGCCACTCTGAATTCAGGTAGCCACAAAAAATACTATTTAAGATTTTTGTTTAAGATAGAGTAGCATCCAAGTTTCCTAACTGTATTAATTTCTATTGCTGTGTAAGAAATTGCCACCAAGTTTGCTGGTTAAAAGAACACAAGTCTATTATCTCACATTTCCTGTGGGCCAGTAGTCTGTACTCTATTAAGGTCTCAGATGTGTTGAGATCACGGTGCCAGCCAGCTGCATTCTTACCTGAGGGTTTGAATAAGGAAAGAACTGCTTCCAAGATTATTCACGTTGTTGGTAGAATTCAGTTCCTTGTGACTGTAGAACAGAAATCTCAGTTTTCTTGCCCACTATTGACTGGAGACTACCCTAAGCATCCTTACCACATGCCCCACTCCATACCCTTACCCTTTGAATCCCTTCCTTCAACAAGAGCCCAATCTCTTTTAAGGGGTTTGCCAAATTGGTCAGGCCCACCAGGGATAATCTCCCTTCCGATTAACTCGAAGTACATTGATTTGAGACTTCATTACATCTGCAAAAATCCCTTCACTTTTTTTTCCATATGAAGTAACCTAATTACAGGAGTGAAGTTCATCATAGTCAATTCTCACCCACACTCAAGGGGAGGGGATTTTACAGAACATGTACACCGGGGAGCGGGAATCTCAAAGGTCATCTCAGAATTCTTCCTGCCACACCAATTTTAACTTCTTGTTGCTCCAAGGCCCCTCATCACTGAGCATCTTAGTGTCAGGAGTGAACTATTTATCTAGCACATAACCATGATACTTCTGGCTAACATTTGGCAGAACTGAAAGGGAAAAGTTTGAGCTACCTGTTGAAGAGATTGGGAAACAGAGTGAAGGTTTAGAAGAGGAAATGTCTCCAGTCTTGTTATTTTTCTTGTCAGAGCTCCACAGTCTATTGGATTGTCTAAGGCTGGAAGCCTTTGACCTTCCCTCCAGAGGCCAGACCTTTCTTCTTGTCATTTTTCTTGATTGTTTTTTTTTTCAGTTGTATAACTTTGTCCATAAATTGGTAATCTTTAGTATATTTCAGCGTTAATGTCATAATCTCAAACTGATGTTTTAAAAGACTTGGTATAATGAAAAAATGTTTAATGTTGCATCATTTTATTTTTTAATAACTTTTTAAACTGGGAAGTCTCTTTGAGTTCAGAGTATCTACTCCATAGACTTTTAGTACCACGAAGTTTCTATTGTCAATTTAAATTTAGCCTCTTCCAGCAATTTTCTGATTCATGGTTTCTCTTAACTTTCTTCTGCATAAGTTATTTAGGTTCTTCTAGTTCCTCTAATATTAAAAAAATTTAAATTTCTTTCCTTGATGTTTTTCTCATTGATCTCATTTTTTTCTTTTTCTGATGCATTTGCTTTCAGATTTACTCCAGTCTTCTCCCTTTCTTTCAAACTAATTTTCCTGGTTATCCTTAATGTTTTTGGCCTCATCTTCATCTTTACCTAGTTCCCTGCCGGAAGCCTTTCTTTCCACCCTCTGTATCAGGTGCTTGGGCAGAATGTGTGCACACTGGAGAGGCCAAAACTGCCTGCACTGTGGCCACCAGCTTGATCTTGGTATGTACATATGTGAAGGAGAAGTTCATGTAGCTCCAGCGTATGTGGGTGGAAACTGAGCAGAGTTCAGTTGCTGAATTTGCTTTTTGTTGACCTAACCTAAACCCTGTACAGATCTGGTCTTCCTAACTTTTGGTAGAATTTGTAGAAAAAAATTTTTTTCCCTATTCCATTGGCTACAAAAACCACTACTGACTTTAGAAGTCACTTTTTTCCTTTAGAATATTATACCTGTTAAAATTATTTTGCCTTTAAATGACAGAAAACTCAGCCCAGCCTGGCTCTGGAAAATAGGAAGATTTTTGGCTCACCTAACCTAATAGGCCCATACCACACCAGCGGGAGCTGGATTCACTCTTTTTTTTGGCTCATTTATGCTTCATGCTGGTTCCATTCTCAAGCAATTCCCTCATCAAAACATGTCTGTGGGGTCATCTATTCCTAATGAACAATAAAATGTCAGAATTCTTCTTGGCCCAATACATTTCTGAAGAGTCGATAATGGATTTTTTATATAGCAGTGATAAGGCAGATATTCAAATGTCTCCATAAATACTTTTTGACTTACATAACTTTTGTATTACCTTACATGTTACCCGCCCAATAAAAATGCTAGTTGACTGAAAAAGGAACAAATGGATATTTAAGTCCCAGTATTAATTGCCCAGAAGATAATTTCTAGTGTAAAAAAAGAAAAGAAAAGGAATAAGCAGGAGAAAAAGCATTGTTTTAAAAATCCAAATCTGGGCCAGGTGTAGTGGCTCATGCCTATAATCCCAGCACTTTGGAAGGCTGAGGTGAAAGGATTATTTGAGCCCAGGAGTTTGAGACCAGCCTGGGCAACATGGTGACACCCTGTCTCTACAATTTTTTTTTTTTTAATTAGCTGGGCATGGTGGTACATGCCTGTAGTCCCAGCTACCTAGCAGACTGAGGTGGCAGGATCACTTCAGCTTGGGAGGTCAAGGCTACAGTGAGCTGTGTTCATGTCACTATACTCCATCCTGGGTGACAGAGCAAGATCCTGTCTTGAAGAAAAAAATTGAAACCTGGGTTCAGATTTTAACTTCATCAATTAATAGCTGCATGACCTGAGCAAAATATTTTATGTTTTTAGCCTCATTTCTTTACACCATGAAGATAATACTCACAGTGCTTTTTTTCCTAGTATCATGCTGATTAAATGCAATGATACAGTAGGTTAAGCTCTTTAGATAGGACCTGGCATAAGAAAGCTCTTAATAAATATCAGCTATTATTATTAGCAGTGAACTTGAAACATAATAGACTCTCAGAAATGTTGGTTTCCTCCACTTTTATCTGTTATTCATTCTTTTTGTTGTCATTCATAATTTTATTCTATTAGGTCATTGCATTCAGGGACTGATCCAGATTTCGAGGGGCCTAAAGCTCATATAATTTATAAGGTTTTTTTAAAAGAGAAAGCATACAATGCTATGAATAAAAATTAGGTATGGGGGACTTGCTGGCATGATGGCAGAATAGGAACAGCTCCGGTCTGTAGCTCCCAGCAAGACTGATGCAGAAGGCAGGTGATTTCTGCATTTCCAACTGAGGTACCCTGTTCATCTCACTGGGAATGGTTGGACAGTGGGTGCAGCCCATGGAGGGCAAACCAAAGCAGGGTGGGGTGTTACCTCACCTGGAACGTACAAAGGGTTGGGGGATTTCCCTCCCCTAGCCAAGGGAAGCCATGAGAGACTGTACCGGGAGGAATGGTACCCAGATATATGCTTTTCCCATGGTCTTTGCAACTGGCAGACCAGGAGATTCCCTCTGGTACCTATGCCACCAGGGCCATGGGTTTAAGCAAAAAACTAAGTGGCTGTTTGGGCAGACACTGAGCTAGCTGCAGGAGTTTTTTTTTTTTTTTTTCATACCCCAGTGTACCTGGAATGCTAGTGAGACAGAACTGTTCACTCCCCTGGAAAGGGGGGCTGAAGCCAGGGAGCCAAGTGGTCTGGCTTGGTGGGTCCCACCCCCATGGAGCCCAGCAAGCTAAGATCCACCGGCGTGAAATTCTCATACCAGCACAGCAGTCTGAGGTCAACCTGGGATGCTTGAGCTTGGTGGGGGAGGGGAGTCCACCAATGCTGAGGCTTGGGTAGGCAATTTTACCCTCACAGTGTAAACAAAGCTGCCGGGAGGTTCAAACTGGGCAGACCCCATCACAGTTCAGTAAGGCTGCTGTGGCCAGACTGCCTCTCTAGATTCCTCCTCTCTGGGCAGGGCATCTCTGAAAAAAGAAAGGTAGCACCCCCATTCAGGGACTTGTAGATAAAACTCCCATCTCCCTGGGACAGAGCCCCTGGGGGAAGGGGCAGCTGTGGGCGCAGCTTCAGCAGATGTAAACGTCCCTGCCTGATGGCTCTGAGGAGAGCAGCGGATCTCCCAGCACAGCGTTTAAGCTCTGCTAAGGGTCAGACTGTCTCCTCAAGTGGGTTGCTGACCCCTGTATATCTTGACTGGGAGACACCTCCCATTAGGGGCTGACAGATACCTCATACAGGAGAGCTCTGGCTAGCATCAGGCAGGTGCCCCTCTGGGATGAAGCTTCCAGAGGAAGGAACAGGCAGCAATCTTTGCTGTTCTGCAGCCTCTGCCGGTGATACCTAGGCAAACAGGGTCTGGAGTGGACCTCTAGCAAACTACAGCAGACCTACAGCAGAGGGGTCTGACTGTTAGAAGGAAAACTAACAAACAGAAAGGAATAGTATCAACATCAATAAAAAGGACGTCCACTCAGAGACCACATCCAAAGGTTACCAACATCAAAGACCAAAGGTAGATAATTCCACGAAGATGAGGAGAAACCAGCGCAAAAAGGCTGAAAACTCCAAAAACTAGAACACCTCTTCTCCTTCAAAGGATTACAACTTTTCGCCAGCAAAGGAACAAAACTGGATGCAGGATGAGTTTGACGAATTGACAGAAGTAGGCTTCAGAAGGTGGGTAATAACAAACTCCTCCGAGTTAAAGGAACATGTCCTAACCCAACTCAAGGAAGCTAAGAACCTTGAAAAAAGGTTAGACGAATTGCTAACTAGAATAATCAGTTTAGAGAAGAACATAAATGACCTGATGGAGCTGAAAAACACAGCACGAGAACTTCATGAAGCATACACAAGTATCAATAGCCGAATTGATCAAGCAGAAGAAAGGCTATCAGAGATTGAAGATCAATGCAATGAAATAAAGCAAGACGTCAAGATTAGAGAAAAAAGAGTGAAAAGAAATGAACAAAGCCTCCAAAAAATATGGGACTATGTGAAAAGACCAAATCTATGTTTGATAGGATGAGTCACCTAAAAGAGACGGGGAGAGTGTTTCCCAACTTAGTTTCATTCTTCAGGATATTATCCAGGAGAACTTCCCCAACCTAGCAAGGTAGGCCACATTCAAATTCAGGAAATACAGAGAACACCACAAAGATAGTCCTCAAGAAGAGCAACCCCAAGACACATAATCATCAGATTCACCAAGGTTGAAATGAAGGAAAAAATGTTAAGGGCAGCCAGAGAGAAATATCGGGTTACCCACAAAGGGAAGCGACTAACAGTGAATCTCTTGGCAGAAACCCTACAAGCCAGAAGAGAGTGGGGGGCAGGGGGCAATATTCAACGTTCTTAAAGAAGAGAATTTCAACCCAGAATTTCATATCCAACCAAACTAAGCTTCATAAGCGAAGGAGAAATAAAGTCCTTTACAGACAAGCAAATGCTGAGAGATTTTGTCCCCACCAGGCCTGCCTTACAAGAGCTCCTGAGGGAAGCACTCAACATGGAAAGGAACAACCAGTACTAGCCACTTCAAAAACATACCAAATTGTAAAGACCATCGATGCTATGAAGAAACGGCATCAACTAACGGGCAAAATAACCAGCTAGCATCATAATGACGGGATCCAATTCACATATAACAATATTAATCTTAAATGTAAATGGGCTAAATGCCCCAGTTAAAAGACACAGACTGGTCTGCATGCTGTATTCAGGAAACCCATCTCACATGCAAAGACACACATAGGCTCAAAATAAAGAAATGGAAGAATATTTACCAAGCAAATGGGAAGCAAAAAAAGGCAGGGGTTGCAATCCTAGTATCTGATAAAACAGACTTTAAAACAATAAAAATTGAAAGAGACAAAGAAGGGCATTACATAATGGTAAAGGGATCAATCCAGCAAGAAGAACTAACTATCCTAAATATATATGCATCAAATACAGGAGCACCCAGATTCATAAAGCAAGTTCTGAGAGACCTAAAAAGAGACTTAGACTCCCACACAATAACAGTGGGAGACTTTAACACCCCACTGTCAATATTAGATCAATGAGACAGAAAGTTAACAAGGATATCCAGGACTTGAACTCACCTCTGGACCAAGCAGACCTAATAGACATCTACAGAACTCTCCACCCAAAATGAACAGAACATACATTCTTCTCAGCACCACATCACCCTTATTCTAAAACTGAACACATAATTGGAAGTAAAACACTCCTCAGCAAATGAAAAAAATGGAAATCATAACAAACAGTCTCTCAGACCACAGTGTGATCAAATTAGAACTCAGGATTAAGAAACTCACTCAAAATGGCACAACTACATGGGAACTGAACAACCTGTTCCTGAATGACTACTGGTAAATAATGAAATGAAGACAGAAATAAGTAAGTTTTTTGAAACCAATGAGAACAAAGACACAACATACCAGAAACTCTGGGACACATCTAAAGCAGCGTGTAGAGAGAAATTTATGGCACTAAATGTCCACAAGAGAAAGCAGGAAAGTTCTAAAATTGACACCCTAACATCACAATGAAAAGAACTAGACAAGCAAGACCAAACAAATTCAAAAGCTAGCAGAAGACAAGAAATAACTAAGATCAGAGCAGAACTGAAGGAGATAGAGACCTGAAAAACCCTTCAAAATATCAATGAACCCAGGAGCTGGTTTTTTTTAAAAGATCAACAAAATAGACCGCTAGCAAGACTAATGAAGACAAGAGAGAAGAATCAAATAAATGCAATAAAAAATGATAAAGGGGATATCACCACTGATCCCACAGAAATACAAACTACCATCAAAGAATACTATAAACACCTCTATGCAAAGAAACCAGAAAATCTAGAAGAAAAGAACAAATTCCTGGACACATACACCCTCCCAAGACTAAACCAGGAAGAAGTCAAATCCTGGAACAGACCAATAACAAGTTCTGAAATTGAGGCAGTAATTAATAGCCTACAAACACCACAAAAAAGTCCAAGGCCAGACGGATTCACAGCCGAATTCTACCAGAGTAACCAAGAGGAGCTGGTACCATTCCTTCTGAAATTGTTCCTAACCATAGAAAAGGAGGGAATCCTAATTCATTTTATGAGGCCAGCATCATCCTGATACCAAAACCTGGCAGACACACAACAAAAAAAGAAAATTTCAGGCCAGTATCCCTGATGAAGATTGATGTAAAAATCCTCAATAAAATACTGGCAAACCGAATCCAGCAGTACATCAAAAAGCTTATCCACCAAGATTAAGTCAGCTTCACCCCTGGGATGCAAGGCTAGTTCAACATACCCAAATTAATAAACATAATCCATCGCATAAGCAGAACCAATGATAAAAACCACATGATTATCTCAATAGATGCAGAAAAGGCCTTCGACAACACTCAACAGCGCTTCATGCTAAAAACTCTCAGTAAACTAGGCATTGATGGAATGTATCTCAAAATAAGAGCTATTTATGACAAACCAACAGCCAATATCATACTGAATGGGCAAAAACTGGAAGCATTCCCTTTGAAAACCGGCACAAGGCAAGGATGCCCTCTCTCACACTCCTATTCAACATAGTATTGAAAGTTCTGGTCAGGGCAATTGGCAAGAGGAAGAAATAAAGGGTATTCAATTAGGAAAAGAGGAAGTCAAATTGTCTCTATTTGCAGATGACATGATTGTATATTTAGAAAACCCCATCATCTCAGTCCAAAATCTCCTTAAGCTGATAAGAAAAGTCTCAGGATACAAAAATCAATGTGCAAAAATCATAAGCATTCCTATACACCAATAGCAGACAAACAGAGCCAAATCATAAATGAACTCCCATTCACAACTGCTACTAAGAGAATAAAATACCTAGGAATAAAACTTACAAGGGATGTGAAGGACCTCTTCAAGAACTGCCAACCACTGCTCAAGGAAATAAGAGAGAACACAAACAAATGGGAAAACATTCCATGCTCATGGATAGGAAGAATCAAAATCGTGAAAATGGCCATACAGGCCAAAGTAATTTATAGATTCAGTGCTATCCCCATCAAGCTACCACTGAGTTTCTTCACAGAATTGGAAAAAACTACTTTAAATTTCATATGGAACCAAAAAAAGAGCCCACATAGCCAAGACAATCTAAGCTAAAAGAAAGCTGGAGGCATCACTCTGACTTCAAACTATGCTACAAGGCTACAGTAACCAAAACAGCATGGTACTGGTACCAAAACAGATATATAGACCAATGGAACACAACAGAGGCCTCAGAAATAACGCCACACATCTACAACCATCTGATCTTTGACAAACCTGATAAAAACAAGCAATGGGGAAAGGATTCCCTATTTCATAAATGGTGTTGGGAAAACTGTCTAGCCATACGCAGAAAGCTGAAACTGGACCCCTTCCTTACACCTTATACAAAAATTAACTCAAGATAGATTAAAGACTTACACGTAAGACCTAAAACCAAAAAAGCCCTAGAAGAAAACTTAGGCAATACCATTCAGGACATAGGCATGGGCAAGGACTTCATGACTAAAACACCAAAAGCAATGGCAACAAAAGCCAAAATTGACAAATGGGATCTAATTAAACTAATAAGCTACTTCACAGCAAAAGAAGCTATCATCAGAGTGAACAGGCGACCTACAGAATGGGAGAAGATTTTTGCAATCTATCCATCTGACAAAGGGCTAATATCCAGAATCTACAAAGAACTTAAACAAATTTACAAGAAAACAACAACAACAACTCTTTCAAAAAGTGAGTAAATAATATGAACAGACACTTCTCAAAAGAAGACATTTATGCAGTCAACAAACATATGAAAAAAATCTCATCATCACTGGTCATTAGAGAAATGCAAGTCAAAACCACAATGAGATAACATCTCACATCAGTTAGAATGGCAATCATTAAAAAGTCAGGAAACAACAGATGCTGGAGAAGTGGAGAAATAGAAACACTTTTACACTGTTGGTGGGAGTGTAAATTAGTTCAACCATTGTGGAAGACAGTGTGGTGATTCCTCAAGGACCTGGAACTAGAAATACCATTTGACCCAGCAATCCCATTACTGGGTATATACCCAAAGGATTATAAATCATTCTTCTATAAAGACACATGCACATGTATGTTTATTGCTGCACTGTTCACAATAGCAAAGACTTGGAACCAACCCAAATGCCCATCAATGATAGACCAGATAAAGAAAATGTAGCACATATACACCATGGAATACTATGCAGCCATAAAAAATGATGAGTTCATGTCCTTTTCCGGGACATGGATGAAGCTGGAAACCATCATTCTCAGCAAACTAACACAAGAACAAAAAACCAAACAAGTTTCTGTTCTCACTCGTAAGTGGGAGTTGAACAATGAGAACACATGGGTGGGGAGGGGGGTCATCACACACTGGGGCCTGTCATGGGGTGGGGAGCTGGGGGAGGGGTAGCATTAGGAGAGATTCCCAATGTAGATGACGGGTCAATGGGTACAGCAAGCCACCACGGCATGTGTGTACCTATGTAACAAACCTGCACGTTCTGCCCATGTACCCCAGAATTTAAAGTGTATGTGTGTGTGTGTGTGTGTGTGTGTGTGTATGAAGGTTTGGGCAGGGTTATAGGAATCTAGAGGAAACTACAGAATCACCTTCACTGGATGCATGAAAAATGTAGTTCCATCCAACTGTTCTGTCACAGTAGTTACAAGCATACACGAACTTTGGAGTCAGACTGATAAGGGATCCAATACCAGCTTTATCAGTTTCTATGGGTGTGATCTTTGGCAATTAAAAAAAAAAGCTATCTACATTTCAGTTTTCTCATCTATAAAATTAAAGATGATACTATCTCTAAAGGTTTTTGAGAGAACTAAATGAGAAAATGTAACTCAAATGGTAACAACATCTGACACAGTGCAAAAACAATAACTATTAAATCTAGTTATCATCCCTTATTTTATTCCTAGTAGAGGTATTATAATGTGGGCCACCACAGAAACTTATTTTTGAGGATATTTGGCTGTAATAAAAAATCCCAAATAAAAGAAAAAAAATAACAAAATCACATACTTTGCAGCAACATGGCTGCAGCTGGAGGCTATTATCCTAGGCGAATTAATGCAGAAACAGAAAACCAAATAATATACTTCTCACTTATAAGTGGGAACTAAACACTGGATACTCATGGACATGAAGATGGCAAAAATAGACACTGGGACTACTAGAAGGGG
The DNA here is from genome assembly GCF_000001405.40 of Homo sapiens. NCBI lineage: Eukaryota > Metazoa > Chordata > Mammalia > Primates > Hominidae > Homo > Homo sapiens. Next base: position 151,535,463 of record NC_000003.12, read on the forward strand.
AAAAGGTTGAAAATCTAACTATTCGGTACTATTCTCACTACCTGGGTGAAGGAATCAATCGTACCCTAAACCCCACCATCACTATATATACTCATGTAACAAACCTGCACATGTATGCTCTGAATCTAAAATAAAAGTTAAAATTATTTTATTTAAAATAAGATATAAAAGTTCATATTTAGAATTAGAATTTACAATAAATTACATATATATAAAGTATGGTAGGTATTACAAATAGTGCAAGTCAGGAAATCTTTCAATTCTAATTATTTGCTTACATGCCTCTAAATTAACTTTTTTGGGCTGCATTTTCTTTGGTTGCTTCATTCTGTCACAAGTCTTACATTTTCAATAAAGAGAATAGAAAAATAATCAAGTCTTTCCTCTAGAATGATAGAGCAAAACTCATTTTTGAAATTGATGGCTTCGCAGTTTCTTTCAACTTCACTGTTTATTATTTGTAATCCTGTACATGGAGCTCCAGCTGCAGCTTCTTGCTGAGATGGCACTACTTTCAGGGGCAGACTTTCATATGTTTGCAGCCCCTTGATCTCAGTCTTCATATTCTTTGGAAGCTGCAATTTCTAGGTTGGCTAGGTCCTAGCTGCCACTGTGTCCTGTCCCACCATGGCTACTAGTCCTAGGGGGATTAAGGGGATGGGAGGTGGTGGTGAAATGCCATGAAGTCTAGCATTGACTTCTGAGCAGGAAGCAGGGAAAAAATCTCATTTGTGCCTTTCTCCTTGGAGTCAAAGTCTGGATACTTCAAGAGGTCCCCTGGGACAAGGTTGTCACTTGGGCTGCGTGGATGTGAAGGTAGGACTGGCAGCCTCTCAACTCCACCTACGGATCTAAGACCACCACGAGGGCAGAGAGGGTGACCCTCAGTCTGAGGTTGATGATTCTTTCCCATGTAGAGTTTATTTAGCAAATAAAAATGTAGGTTGCATTTGTTATTTGGGACCTACTTAAGTGAAAATGTTATTCATTGTTTATCTGAAATTCAAACTTAATTGAGCATCCTGTATTTTATTTGGCAACCTTATCACTGTGGCCCTACATGACAGCTTTGAAAAGGGTCCATGCAAGGAAGGGATCCTGAAGCTTAAGTTTCATTAGCATTGTAAATCTGTCCTGATTCTACTGTAAAGCTTAACCTCAGTTACTGTTAACCAAGGTTAACAATAAAATGTTCACCAAAAAAATGCCGAATCTAAAGTACCAGATTTGACTAGAGGCTAAAAAAGATTTTGTTTTCTCTTTACTTTTCCCCTTAAAGTTCATTTTGTTCAATTTGGCCCACTAATTTAATATGGGCCAATATTTTGAAGTCTTAATTCTGTAATACATCACATTAACTATGTGAACTACTTCTAGCATAATTTGATTCTTAAATTTGATATGCAGGTGATAAACCAGTCCTTTTAATATCAGAAAGACACAGGCAAATTACCTTGGCTGATGGGTATTGAAAGAACTATTATTCTAGGTCCTGTTGCTTTTAAAACAGCAGGCCCAATAAGAGTGAGATCCCCAAACTACAGAATTTAAGTTTGTTCTTTATTCGAGCATTTATTCTTTCCAATAACAATATTTGCTTGGGATGATTTGCAAGGATTTAATATGGGGGGACTGTGAGGGAAAAATTTTTGGGTAAGCCATCTCAAAGGCAATTTTTTTGCCTCCCTAAAGTTGGGCACATTAGTATTTGCTTTGATCTTGCATTGTTACTTTGGCCAATCAGTTGTGGCTAGAGCAGGAGTGTAGGATTTACTCAATACGTATAGCACTGAGTCATAGCAACATAGGTAGTAAAGAATCAGCTTGGGTTACTTTCTCTCAAAGGTAGACAGATGCTCAAAGATTTGTGACTTTCCCCTGAAGTCTGAAGAGAATAACAAGCTATTGATTTTTGTCAAAATTATAGAGAAATATTGATGAGGTTGAGGCCGAGAAGAAAGAACTATAGCCTGTCACTAGGCAAGTCTGCACTCTTTAGATGGAGACAACATCATTAAATCATTCAAAGCCAATTGTTCTACCATCTAGTTCATTTTTCCCCATCATGTACATGATGCTATGATGAAGCACTTGACTAATTAACCGAAATAGGGTTTATACTATGCCTTCTTCATACACCAGTTTAGCCACACTGTCAAAAACCAAGCAGTGAAGTTAGTCTGTAATGGCCTGTTATTGACAAAGGCATTCTAACTTTAGTCATCACTGTTTCCTCTTCTAAGTGTTCATGGACTCTTAAAAAAAATAATAATCTCTTCTAGGATTTTTGTCAAGCTCTCTGATCTGTAATTCAATAAACCTACCTTCTTTCCCTTCTAAAAATTGGAGCAACATTTTCCATCCTTCAGTCTCCTGGAACCTCTCCTGTTTTCCATGGTTTCCCAGTAATTACCCACAGTGGTTCAGTAATTATAGACATACGTTCTTTCTGTTCCCCAAGATGTAGTTTAGCTAGGCCAAAAGATTTGAAATCCTCAGAGCAGCTAGGATCCCTCTCATGAGCCCTCCTGCTTCCTCAGTTTCAGATTCCTCTGACTATTACTCACTCCTCACTTTTCCTGGGTCTACGACTTGGCAGAGATCAAAATTGTGGGATTCTTAATAGTTGCCAAACTTCACGTTTAGTTAAGGGTCTTCAGAAGGACCTACTAATTGTCAGATGCAGAGTCAAAGTCTCATTCTGCGACTTCACTGATAAACATATTTGATATTCTTAGAGGTTTCTTAGAATTGTGATGGGTCACTCCTGGGACCACCATAACACCAGAAACACAAAGCCCATAGAAGTTCATTATTGCCCACTCATTATTGCTTAATATATTTCTTTAATTATTAACTAAAAGCTTAAAAAGGCTGTTGCCCTTTTTATAACGAGAAGGACCTGGATTTTTTGTGGGTCTGTGCTTGTTTCATTTGGTTTTTAATTCTCTCTCACTTAAATAAGGACATTATAATGGTTTAAATGGTTAAATACCTCACTTCACAGCCAAGTAATAGTAGAAGAAACGTAAGACCACAGCCTAAGTAGAATGAGAAATGTAAGTCTTCGGATTATTCATTGGAATATAAAAGTGAGAAAAAGGGTATCTAGTTCCAATATTTAAACAAACACAATCACCAAGACTTTGATGCTGTTTTTCCATTAACACTGCTGACATCAGACCCCGAGCAGAATTTCCATAAAGAAATTTAATTTAAAATGTCCAGGACACAATATTGCTTTAAGAACATTACTCTTTCAACCCCCAAGTCTAGCGCAGTGTCTGGCATGTAGTAGTCACAGAACAATGTTGAGTTGAATTTACAAGCCCCACATAAAGAATGTAAGTTAAATCTTGGACCCTTAAAACCATTATAATTGTTTCACAGGCAGCAAGGGCTCAGGGAAAAAGAAAAGGTTTTAGAACAAAACATGCATTGTGAGAACTGTTACTCCAGCAAACGAAAACACATCCCAATAACAATAATACTTCAGTTTCTGTGGGCATTTGAAGAGGCACGATAAAGAGCCAGCTTTTTTTCTTGCCTGTGTTTTTAAAAACACTGGAAGAGGAACAAAAATTTCTGGCAGATGGCGATCAAAATATCAGCTTCATTGCTGTTGGAAAGGGGCCTAGATTTTGGTAAGGCTAGACCTGCAAATACAGATCCCTAGAATTAGGGACTTACTTTAATCCTTGCTTTTTTCCAGCGGAGTCCACATGTTACACATGACTACAGAAGAGTCACAAGTCACAGCAGTCCAGACAAACGCTCTGCTTCCCACGTGGAGGCTTGCTCTGTAACCCGAGAGAAGACCAGATGCAGACGTGAACTTTCGCATAGCCGCTCTTAAGAGGAAGGGGAAGAGAGGAGCTAGCTATGACTGCCCTCTTCCTTCTTTTAAATTCATCAAATAGGCGAATTCACTCCACCTGAGTGTTTGAGTGTTAAGGGCGGAACAAGAAACTGGTGCTTAGAAAAACCAGAGGAGTGGAGCATTGTTTCTACTTAAGGGTCTTTTAACACATCTTGGCTTAAAATATGTTTACATATTCATCTTCTTCCCAAACTCAGGATGGCAAGCAGAGTACATATTTTCCCTCTTTTTACAGTTAAGAAATGGAGATGCAGAAAAAAATGTGTCATAGTCACTTGAAACTCATTGTATCAATATGAATCTGTAATCCGACCACCCCCACCTCCAACACCCAGCTGGTTGTTCTCTCAATAGATAGTGAAGAGTGATCCTTGATGATTATTCTTAGGCTGTAATCCTTTCACCCAGCATTATTTCAACAGCATCTATCTATCTATCTATCTATCTATCTATCTATCTATCTATCTATCTATCATCTATCTGTATCTATCATCTATCTATCTGTCTATCTATCATCTCTGTGTGTGTCTGTCATTCGTCTGTCTGTTCATCCATCCATTCATCTAAGAAACAAGAGGTGCAGGGAGGGAATTTGTAGTGAGAGGCTTCTGACAGAACTGGCCTTAGTCCGAGCCTAAGTAACCTAAATAAGTTTTTCATCCCCTTAGCTGGGCGTCAGTGGTGTCATTTTGTGGTGGGAAGTGAAAGAAGACTTTCTAAATCGATGAACAAATCAGAAGCCTATCCCTCAATTAATTGTCATAAAGAAATCTCACCCATCACAACCAAATAACATAATTTAAATTTTTTAATAGAAGTATGAAATAAACACAGAAAAGCGTATATATCATAAGTGTACAGCTCAGTTAATTTTCAAAAATTGAACATGTGTAGCCAACACTAGATCGAAAAACAGAACATTACCATTTCTTCTGATCTATATTATTCTCTTCTGGTCACCCTCACCCAAGGGTAAGTTTACCTGAATTTCTAAGATAATACATTAATTTTGCCTGCATTGTACTTTTTATGAATGGAGTAATACAGTATGTACTCTGGTGTCCAGCTTCTTTTGCTTAACATTATTTTTTTGAGGAGTATCCATATTATTGTGTATATTTGCAGATCATTTATTCTCATTAGTGTGTTGTACTGCAGTGTGTAACTAAACCACAGTGTAGTTATCCATTCTACTTTTGATAGCCTGTGAGAAGTTGACAGTTTAGAGCTATTATAAATAGTAGTGATGTGAACATTCTTGTTCGTACCTCTGGTGCACATATATCTATGTACTTCTGTTGACTCTATGCCTACAGTGGTATTGCTGGGTCAGAGGGTATGTATTTGTTTGGCTTTTGTGGATGTTAGCAGTTTTCCAAAGTGTTTACTAGTTTATACACCCACCAGCAGTGTACAAAAATTCCAGTTGCTTTACATCCTCACAAGCCTAGTCCCCCACGAAAATGCACACGAACCAATCCCTGCAATCTGTGAATATGATACCTTGCATGGCAAAAGGAACTTTCAGAGCCACAGTGGAGATCCACTAGTAATTTTGTTGCTCTCTGAGGATCTCCTCAGTTTTTCACTGTTGAACCCTGAACAACCATCTACATTTTAAGTGTGAAGGTTACAGAAGAAATTATTGGAACAACTGCAGAGGGGAGACATCAGAGGGAGTTCAGTTCCAGATAGTGGAAATCATGCTGAAGTTTGTATAGTGTGTATGGAACAAATGATTCCGTTTAAGGTTAAAAAAACAAACCTTAAAATACCCTCAAAACCTCAGTAGTTTAATTAAGTTCATTACATCTGATGTGATTAGCAGTAAGATTCATAAACTATCAGTTTCTCCTACATCAGTCATGTTTTTGACTGTCCACAGTTATCTAAAACATATTTTACAAACTTCATGGCAGAAAGTCAGATGTGTCTGTTGAAGTAGAATGACTTCAAGACAGTATATCTTTACATTATATGGGAGGCTAACAAAACAGTAAAATTTGTTATGATACAGAGCTGAGTCATGTCAAAAAAATCATATTTTAGAATTTGATGTCAGTGAGATTAGCTAGCACACTAAAGTTCTTTGTTTAATTTGCTAGGCCATAAATTCAGTTTTCTTATAGTCATATAGATGAGATTTAAACACATTACTGAGTAAACAAAGTACTTTTAGAGGTTTGCTCATGGTTGTATTTTAAAGTTGACACTATTCTTTTAGGAGGCTGATATTTCTAATTTTATATTGTCCTTTTTGATAAATTGGCTTCTCTCTCTCTGCATATGTTTTAGTTTTTTCTTTGTAGTATCTCTATTTTTTATTATTTCATCTTACTAATACCTCCTCATGTCTTATGAAATTCATCATCTTTTCCTCCTTCTCTCGAGGACATACAGAAGTACAATACATAAATACATATACATACATATGTGTGGATGAGTGGATAGATAGATGTATGTCTGGGGCCCAAGCTAGACCAATCAGCTGTGGAGAAAATGGGGGTCAAAGCAAGCTAAGCATGGCCACTTTCTCCCTTAAGAAAAGCAACTTTCCTTAGAAAGGATTGTGTATGCGGCAGGTAGCATGACCAATGTTCTTAACACATTCTTTGGCTTCATTTTAATCTCTTTTCCTGAGTTGTTCCTTAAATTACTGTTGCTTTCACACCCAACTCCCTTCTCCTCTCATTCACGCTTAAAAATTTCCCAGGTGATCTTATTTATTCAGTGGCTTTTACAGCACTTGCTTTATCTCCAGCCCAAATGACTTTCAGGTACTCCAGGTTCTGGCTATCACACAGGCACTAAACTCAAAACATTTCAAAATAAATCCATTATTTTATATATCCAGGCTGCAAATGCTTTTCTTCCTGTATATCTTATGTCAGAACCATAAATGCATATAAATACTCATTTTCTTTATATATAATATTGGACATAATATAAGACACATATAGTAATTTTTTACTGTATTTTCTCACTATAACGAAAATCTCCCTTACTTTAACATAAGTAGAATTCATTCATAAGGATATTTTAAAGTAAGACAATACACAGAAGTATATAGGGATAAGCAAGTCTTCCTCTCATTTCTGACCTCTGTATTCTAGTCCTCTTCCTCACAGGCATCGACTCTTCTCAACATCAGCTACATCCTTGCAGGGATACCCTTTGTATAAATATATATGCATGTGTATTTTTCTTAAAATTTATATTCTGCTGTGGATACATTTCTTTCCTTGTTTTTCCACTAACAGTATAACTTGAATACTTACTATAAAAACAAAATAAATGTTTTTAGTAAGAAATGTTTATAGTAAGAAATGTTTATAGTAAGAATTTACATAAGGAAAACTTCTTATAGTTTCTGATTTGGGTTCTTAAAACTAACTATACTGTAATCCTGTTAGATTACGTCCTTTCAAGGAGGGAATGCTTAAAGTTACTGTTGATGATTGTAATTTGTTTTATATACTTTTGTCTTGTTAAAATCACATGTTTTTATTAAAGGTATTTTTGTACTTTCCTCACCTGCTGTCTAGAGGCCACACAATTTTAGCTTTTTTTCTGACATTGCCACTGTATTTCAAAACAATGTGCTCATCTTTAAAAATGTGCTTTATCTTCACCAATTCTAGACATCGTCTATTGATATTTTTGTTCAAAAATGATTCAGCTCATTTATAAAATCTCTCCTACTAATTCCCCTAGTCAATTTTTCAATATAATTATATCAGAATTTTGGTTTAATTAAGGCTAAATTTTACATTATGAATATTTGTAAGAATTCTCTCCGTAGTCAAGGAGACTAAGTCCATGATTATCATTTGGGTTTTCCTGCAGTAAATAAGTATTAGGTTCAGGGGTCTGGGTCCAGCCTATGCTGCCGTCCAAGGGGAGGAGTGGGTCGATGGGCAGAAAGATCACTCAGGGGGCCATAGGCAGGTGAAATGCAGTTTTATTCAGCAGCTTTTTCATCAGCAGCTTACCCACATTAGCTCTCTTACACTGTCCACCTTTATCTTGGATGTCTGCTCCAGCTCTGTGGCTTCTACTACCCCCACACCTGCAGCTGCACAGCTGGCTCTCCCTTGCCTTCAGGGTCAGCAGCTTAACTCTTTCTCTCTCTGGGCAAGAGCACGAGCAGTGTTGTGCCATGCCGTGCCATGCCAAGCTGTGTCCTGCCTCCCCTCTGTTCACCTGCAAGATGAACAGCTTTGCTTGCTCTCTCTCTTTCTCTGGGTACCAATGCCTGAACAAAAGCCATGACCAGTCGAGCTGAGCCAAGCCCCTGTGCACAGTGTCAGCAGGGCAATTACACCTTTTACAGACAATAGTGGCTCAGAGCCAAGTATGAACTTACACAAATAGGTTATATAACAAGTGGAGGTGTGCGTCTGCCTGCCAAACTTGCTGAGTCATGCAGGCCTGGATATCTGCCTTGGCCTATTCCTTGATCAAAGCATATCCATGTACCTTACAATAAGTATCTGTTTAGTTTTCTATGTAGCTATTGATAATTTCCCCCAACTCCCTACCCCTAAGTGCTCAAACAGATCTGTCAAATGTCTTTTCTTTTATTGAGACGGAGTTTTACTCTGTCACCCAGGCTGGAGTGCAGTGGCACAATCTTGGCTCACTGCAACCTCTGCCTCCCAGGTTCAAGCAATTCTCCTGCCTCAGCCTCCCAAGTAGCTGGGACTACAGGCACATGCCACCACGCCTGGCTAATTTTGTATTTTTAGTAGAGAAGGGGTTTCCCCATATTGCCCAGGCTGGTCTTGAACTCCTGACCTCAAGTGATCCACCTGCCTCAGCCTCCCAAAGTGCTGGGATTACAGGCATGAGCCACCACACCTGGCCTGTCAAATGTCTTTTAATATTTCCAGTGTACTCAAACACATCAGGACTGGGTTTGCCTAGGAGAACATTCTGCAGGGGCCCTCTGACTGGCTCTAATTGCTCCTGGTGGCTCTCCAGGCTGCTGCAACACAGCAGTCTTTCTGGGGTTTTCTCTGCTCTCACCTCCATAGGATTTCCTGTTTTCTCTACCTCACATCTTTCTTTTGGTATAGCAACCTCTAAAGCTTTTCAAGAAAGAATGCATGGAATGTTTGAAAATATATATCCAGCTTCCATGTTTGAATGACAGTTTGATGGCTTAAAAATTCTAAATTGGAGAGCATTTTCACTGAGAATTTTAAAGACACTGCTCTATATTTCATTCCCTACCCACCTACCCACCCTGTTTTAGTTTTGCTGCTGAAAGTCTAATGCTATTTGATTTCCAAATCCTCTGTTCAATGACCTGTTTTCTCTTTCTAAAAGTATTTAAGATTTTCTCTCTTTTTTTTTTTTTTCAATGCCCTGGGGTTTGAAATGCATTGTGATGTCCTTTGCTGTGTTTTATTTATTGTATTATGCATGCGATAGGCCCTTCAATCTGAAGATTTTTGTGTTTTGGTTTTGGAAATTGTCTTATTTTACTTCTATGATGATTCTTCTCTCCTTTGTTTTCTCTGTTTTCTACTCTGGAACTGTTATTAGTTTAGCTATTGGGTCTTCTATACTGATTCTCTAACTTTCTTAATTTTTAAATTTTCCATCTGTCTCTTGGTTTCTGAGACATTTTCACAACTTTATCTTTCATATCTGTTGAATTTTCTATTTTAGTTATTCTACATTTAAGTGTTTTAAAATTCTTACTTGGATCCTTCTTAATAGCCTTTTGTTATTGTTTCACAACTGTAATATATCCTTTAATCTTTTTGAGCATATTAGTTACATAATTTTGAAAGTTTTTTTATGCTTCTTGCATATTCTCTTTTTTTCTGGGCTTGATTTTCTATTATTGTGGGCCTGTTTTCACATTAGAGACTTTTCTCAAACACCTGGCAATGCTTGGCTCCCCACTTGTAGTTAAAAGGAGGCCCTGAGAAGCAAATGGAATCACTGAGTGCAGTTTGGCAGAATTCACTGTAGGGTAATAAGGCAGCAAGGTGCTCTTCTCATGTAGGAGATACTAAGAGATTTTTCTCTTGAGCTGCTCAGTTTCACAGTGAAGAATTCTATAATCCTCTGCCTTGCAGCTTTGGAGGATGAAGCAAGGCCTTTGCTCTGAGTGCTAAATAATAGGCTTTCTATCACTTCCATTGTTTTTGGTCTTATGGTTTAGCCCAATTTCTGTGGTACTTTTGACCATCAAGTCCTGAAGTTCTCTAAGTTTCCATAGGGAAAATTGGCTCAATTCAAGCTGCAATCCCTCTGCAGGTGTCTGCACTTTAGCATTCCTGCACTTTGCTTTGTCAAGAACCGGCCTTCCATCTGTTTGTTATTTATTTATATTTTCCAATTATTTATTGGCATTCCTCATCTGCTGTCATCTCCTCACCTTTCTCAGCTTTGTCCTTGAATTTGTACTTTAAAAATCATTTGTCAATTTGATAACATTTTTGGATGGAAAGAAAATAAACGTGGTGAATATTTGTTAATTGAAATTGTCATGAATCAGGAAGAAGCAAAAGGGTGCTGAAGGGTAACTGGTTAGGAATCTGTAGTGCAGGGGTTAACAAATTACTGCTCCCTATCCAAATGTTGCTCGCAGCAGATGAGCTTAGCCTGGTTTTTACATTTTTAAAGGGTTGTAAAACAAAACAAATCAAAACAAAACATTAGATTAGAGATCATATGTGGCCACAAAAAAAAAAAAAAGCCTAGCATAATTGTTACCTAGCTCTGTACAGAAAGATATTGCTGAACCCAGCTTTAGTGCAGTGGTTCTCAACCTGGGAGCATCAAAAACAGATCTATGACCAGGTCTCACTCTGGACCATTAAGCAAAAATCTCTGTTGGCAAGGCTCAGGGGGTGATATTAGCATGCAGCGAGACTATTATGAAAACCCTCTCCTACCAAAATACAGCATTATCTACACCACCAAGATACCACCACCATCCCACCAACAAGAGCAACTGATAAATTTCTATGCTTGTTATTTACTATTTATGTTTATTTACTTTTTGAGACAGGGTTTTGCTCTGTTGCCTTGGCTTCAGTGCAGTGGTGTAATTATGGCTCACCATAGCCTTGACCCTCAGGGCTCAAGCGATCCTCCCACCTCAGCCTCCTGGGTAGCTGGGAGTACAGGTGTCCACAACCATGCCTGGCTAATTTTTTTTTTTTTTTAATATTTAGTCGAGATAAAGCCTCAGTATGTCGCCCAGCCTGGTCTCAAACTCCTGAGCTCAAATCCCTCCTTGGCTTCCCAAAGTAAGCCATCATGCCTGGCGTATGTTTATTTTTGGCAACATTATATACACATAAATTGCTTGTACAAGCCTGATGATTAAAGTCAAAGTCCTCTGTGTCCCTCTTCCCCATTCTATAAGTATAGCCTCTTTACATTTTTTAAATTAATTCTTTTCTCCATATTTCTTTTTTTTGAGACGAAGTTTTTGCTCTTGTTGCCCAGGCTGAAGCGCAATGGTGCAATCTCGGCTCATTGCAACCTCCGCCTCCCGGGTTCAAGCAATTATCCTGCCTCAGCCTCCTGAGTAGCTGGTATTACAGGCAACTGCCACCACGCCCGGCTAATTTTTATATAATTAGTAGAGATGGGGTTTCACCATGTGGACCAGGCTGGTCTTGAACTTCTGACCTCCGGCGATCCACCCCCCCCTTGGCCTCCCAAAGTGCTGGGATTACAGGCGTGAACCACCGTGCCCGGCCTCTTTTCTCCATATTTCTAAATAATATGTTTATATTGCTTCTTCAGGATTTTTCAGTTTTAGACATTTTCTATTAACTTTCTACCATGAAAAATAAGGATTTAGTTCCCTTTCACAACCACACCGTCCCACACACATGCAAGCTTCCAAGATCCACTCCATCCTTTTTAATAGTTTTCATTAGAACAATATTCATTTTGTTAAATATGTTCATCAGTATGTAAATGCTTTTCACAGCTGAGCAATGCCATAGCCAGTGATTATGTTCTTGCACAATTATGTTCTTCCTGAAGTTAGTAATTAATCTTACTTTTGACTCCTCTCCTTAGTTTTCCATATATTATATAAATATATATATACACACACACACACACACACACACACACACGTTATTCAAAACTAAACTGTTGCCAATTGTCTAGGTCTTCTCTCAGTATAGACATCATGTATTCTATTAATATCATGTTTGTGAAACAGCTTCTCCTAGAGCCTGGACTGGAGGCTTACTGTACCTGGTGCATATTTGTCATTGGACTCTGGTTTTCCTCTTTCAGAGATGTTCTTTGCCTCTGGGTTGTATGGAGTACTCTGGTTTCTAGAGCCCAGATATTCTTCTTTCTTGGTTTAAGTCTTCATCTTGGAGCAAATCCATCAGTAACTTTATGAGAAAGAGTGCATGGGAGACAAATGCTCCTGATATTGCATGTCTGAAAATGTAAAGAATCCGCCGGCATGTTATTTACAGTTAGCTTGCAAATGGAATTCTAGGTTTAAATGTATTTTCCTTCATATTTTAATGGCATCAATCCCTCACTATACAACTTCCAGTTTTACTGTTTGAGCAACCTGAAGTCATTCTAGTTTTATATGTTTGTGGTGTGGAAGATTGTATTTCCAAAAATGGTTGCAAAATATCTTTGTCTCACATGCTTTTCTACAATGTGACCTTTCTACTCTCCCATTGAGATGTGTGTACCTTCCCTTTGAATCTGCATGGCCAGTAATTTGCTTATATCCAACACATTATAGTGGAAGTGATGTTGGGGTAATTTCGAGGCTAGTTTAAAAGAAGCAGTATGCCTTTTGCCTTGTTCATGGGGACACTTGTTTGCGGAACCCTAAGTGGCAATATAAGAAGTCTGACTACCCTAAACATTATGCTCTAAGGAAACCCATGGCAAATAGAGAGGCCTCATGGGGTTCCTCTGTCAACAGCCCCAGCTAAGGTTCAAGCTGACAGCCAGCATCAAATGCTAAATATATGAGTGAATGAGACTTCAGATGATTTAAGCCATCTGTCCGTCATCTCTAGTTGTCTTCCCAGCTGAAGTCACAGACATTGTGGAGAAGAGATAAGCCATTCCTACTGCGCTCTGCCTAAATTACTGACCCACAAAACCCAAGAGCATAATAAAATTGTTGTTTTAACCCACTAAGTGTTGGGAGAATTTGTTGCATGACACTAATGACTGGAACAGTATGTGACTTTTAAAAACATTTTTGAAAGCTCTTAGGATTTCATTTTTGTTTTTCAGTGTCCTGAAAGTTTATGATGGCTATTTCACTCATTGTAAGTCAACCCTTTCAATGTGAAAATATTCATATCTTTCAGTTCTTAGAAATTTTATCAAATTGTTTTGGCAGTGATAGTTTTTCCTTTTTTTAATTTAATTTTTATTTTTAGAGTTTCTCTTATTTAGAGGCCAGACCTCTTGGACTAATAATCTTCTAATTTTCTCATTTCTTCTTCTTTTTTTCTTTTATTTTCCAGCTCTTTTTAAATTTTAATTTCTGAAAAAATTTCCAAACATTATTTTTCTAATTCTTGTCATAGTTTTAATTTTCAACACTTTTATTAAGGGCATTTTGTTCTTTTTCTCTTTTCTAAAATGTATGCAATTTTTCTTCTTGTCTATACTAGGATGTTAGTAATCATTTTTGTTCACTTTTCTTTCTTTTTTAAAGTTTTCTTCTACTTGCATAGCCTCTGTTGCATAAAAGCTGCTTTTATCTATTTGTTTGTTTTTGTCTCTTTCTTTGATGCTTTGTGACCCTTGGTTGTTTTCTCATAGTTAAGAATAGGACACTAAAAATGGAGAGGAGTAGTTGGTTGGTGGCTTTACCGCTTGATATTCTGTCTGGGCCATTTCATTGGGGGAAGTCCTGGTGTCAATATTTTTATCTTTTTTTGGAGGGAAGTGGCAGGAACTGATGTGATTCCTTACCTCGATCTGTGCCTGCTGTCTACCAGCCCAGAGATCCTCTATTTTACACTCCAGAGAATAAACCTGTAGCCTCCAGCAGGAGAGGACAGTTGTTTAGCTGCATGGACTTGGCATATAACATGAAGATACTTTCAACCAATCTTCCAGTTTTTGTCCTATCTTCTTCTTTATATCCAGAGCTGTCTGATATCCTCAATTCCTATGCATTTAAGGGTTTGCAGCATGAATTCAAATATTTACTTATTTCTTCTGCCCAGTCTTGAGATTTAACTTTCAGAATTTAGCTTTGCTTCTGCTAAGTCAGTATCACTCATTCATATTACAGCTTCCAAAATTTTGCAACTGTCATTTTCTTTCCTTTTCCCTTTGTCTTTGGTTGATATGCTTTTTTAGATGGCTCTTTGCTATGATTTTAATGGAAACCAGAGAGGCAGAGAGAGTAAATATATGTACTCAATCTACCTTCTTTACTGTTAAATTAAAATATGTACATCAAAGGAATCTCTACATTAAAATTTAGAATTTGTTAACTAATCTAGATATGTCTCATTGAATTCCTTTTCTTATAAGAGTATTGTAATTTTTAACGTTATAATTTCTTCATTCATTTCTGAGTGGCATATTGAAATTAATAACAGCCTCTGAAAAAAGAGACTATTTCCAATAAATATACATGTTGATTGTAAGAGAGACCTTGGTTTAAGAAAAATTAAAGGGTAAAATCCTGGAAATATTTGGGCTGAGAAACTATAGTAATTAAATATAAAAAATAAAATTGAGAACTTTTAGCAACAAAGCAAAGGGAGAAAATGACTTGTAGTAGTTCATTAATAATTTGTCTTATATTTTGACTCTGCTAATAGTAAGAGAAAAATGAATCATCATGGAATTGTACACAATTTCACAATTTTACCTGAGGCAAAAGAAAATCTTATTCCATTTTGGCATATCTCCGGAGTAGTGAGTTTGACATTTTCATCCTGATTTCCCTCTGGTCAAACATTTGAATTTTTTTACTTGTTATCAAGGAAATGTTGTGAAATCTTCTAGATTGTCTTTTATAATCTTTAATTGAGAATTTATTTTTAAGTGTTCTTGTGTCCGGGCCAATAGAAAAGAACATATTCCAAGAGCTTTCTCGGACAAGAGAAAGGGCATTTGAGGTTTCTGCACATATCCTCTGGATACAGTGAGGCAAAGAATCCAACTTGGCAAAATTAATTCATGAAGAATTTAATTACACAAATGGCTATTTAAAATGTTTCTTTTCGGGGGTGTTTTGGGATAGGGATGGCACATATGGCTACCAACTAGATCTTTTTTTTAGGTGTATTTAGAGACCTGATTTTTAAAAAAGAAGTTGGTCATTACGATTTTTTTCTCGTTTTTTACATTTCTACTGTCTGACCATGCCCTGAGCCATGAACTCAGCTGATCTGACCATCTCTGGCTTCATGTGGCCAGCACCAAATTAGATTGTGTCCATGTACCCTGGAGTTGATCCTATCATTTCTTGCTGTCTGTTGGCCCTTCATATCCTGGTCTGTTCCTGTTCTTGATTCCTGACATCTGGCCTACGCTCCTGCCTGCGATTGTATGCTTGCCCGATAAATCTGAGGCTGATGTTGCTCCCTTGGTGCTGTCATTTGGCTCTGCTCCTTGTCCCCATTGGCTCTCACTCCTTGTAATGGACTTACCTGGGCCAGTCCTGCTAACAACCCAGCATGGTTCAGTGTGGCCCCTGAAAACCCATCTCAAGATTAACTTGCCTGTGTGTCTACAAGGTTTGACCTTGTCCTGCCAAGCAAACTCAGACCATACTGGCAACCAGAGGTGAAGAGTGGTTTCTTGGCTTGCAGAGAAATTTGCTGTGTACTGAATAAAAACCTTTTTGTTCCCTTAAACACAGATGTTAACTCCCTTTGATGCATACTTATAAGCTTTCAATGAGTTCAGTGGTTTCCTATTTAATTTATTATTATTTTTTAAATAACTTATAGTCATCCCTCAATATGTGGGGGATTGGTTCCAAGACCCCACTCCACAGTATACCAAAATCCACACATCCTCAGGTATCACAGTCAGCCCTGCAGAATCTATGTACACAAAAAGTTGGCCTTCTATTTTTCATGTGTTTTGCATCACCTCAATAACGCATTTTTGATCTGAGTTCAATTGAACACAATCCAAAAACAAAAAAGAAAGAAAAAATCCATCTATAAGTGGATCCATACAGTTCAAACTCATGTTGTTCAAGGGTCAACTGCACTTTAATTTGAGGAAAGGTTAATCAGATGTCAAATACAAGAAATAATTTTCAAGATATAAAATTTTTAAGATATAAAATGCCTTGGAACATGGGCATTACACACACACACACACACACACACACACACACACACACATCTGAAGGCATATTTGTTGAGGTTTCAATTTTTCATTAAAATATTTTAATTAATTTAAGGCATTCTATTCTTGCAATTTAAATATTAATTGAGGATCCTTCTTTTAATTTCAAGAATTTTAAGTTACAAAATCTAGAGCCTATATTCAAACATTATATGGAAAAAACTAGGAATTCTAGTCTTAGCTGTGATTCAAACAAGTTGTGATCATTTTGAACAGGACAATAATGCCATTGTAATCAAATCCAATGCTCATAATCACTCACTGCATGATGTGGTTTGGCTCTATGTCCCCATCCAAATCTCATGTTGAATTGTAATCCCCAGTGTTTGCGGAGGGATCTGGTGGGAGGTGATTGGGTCACGGGGACAGATTTCCTTCCCCCTTGCTGTTCTTGTGATAGTCAGTTCTCATAAGACCTTGTTGTTAAAAAGTGTGTAGCATTTCCCCCTTTGCTCTCACTCTGTCTCCTGCCAGCCATGTGAAGGTGTGCTTACTTCCCCTATGCCTTCCACTGTGATTGTAACTTTCCTGAGGCCTCCCCAGCCATGCAGAAACTGTGAGTCAATTAAACCTCTTTTCTTCATAAATTATCCAGTCTCAGGTACTTCTTTATAGCAATGTGAGAATGAACTAATACACCGCATGACAGCCAATACGTACAGAGACAAGGTGTTGGGGCAAGGAAGGCAACTTTATTTGGAGAGCCAGCAAACCGAGAAGATGACAAACTAGTGTCCTTAAGCAACATCTTAAGTAAATATGAATTTCAGGAATTTTATTTTCCTTTTATGTTAGGGGAAGAGGGAGGGCATTAAGATCAATAGACCTATGACCACGGACATCTGGGTGGCAGTGAGGGTCCGAGGAGGTTCTCAATCTTCTTTCTTCTCAATCAGTTGGCTTTGGATGATGTAAGTCAGGTCACAATGTTCCTATAAATCTTTAGCATAACATTGTTAGTCACATGCATCCTCTCTTATCTCCTCAGGGGGTTAGTGCTGGGAAAGAAACTATTATTATTCTTGCTTTAAACTATAAATGAAATACCTCTCATAGTTCGCTTTGCCTACATGCAGAGATAAGCAAAAGCAGTTAACCTAAAAGAAATGACTGCAGTGATGGGGTTAGGAGCAAAATGAAATTAGTCATGATAGGCCTTCTTTTTACTGTTAAACCATCTGGCATAATATCTAAGAGGAAGTGGTTATATTACATAATTTTTAAGGACCCCATTAGTTTTACGGCTCATCCATGTCTATGAATCCAAGTGATGACTCCAATACCTTTATCTCTAGCTCCTGCCCAACCCTAATAAAATTAAAAAATACATGCAAAGCTATATTTTCATATAACTGAAAATATAATAAATGTAGCTTTATAATATAAATATACCTTTCTAATACAAAGTAGAAACTCATGTATACATCTATGATTATAGAGATGCCTGTAACAATTACGGTTATACATCTGAGTGTTCTGCTGAAGGGTTAGCAATTTTGGATAGATGGTAATATAAAGACAAATTATCTTAAATATTTTGTGAAATTTACTTTCCTTTATTTCAGCAAAATCACATATCATTGTTGTAATCAAAATTTTCACATAATCTGCATTCTAATGAAGCTAATGAGAAGATAATCTTTCTTGAGTTTTCATTAAATAACATTTTTATTTATTTTAAGTTGGAAAACTATTCTTTTGAGTCAGTAGCTATTAAAATTGTCAATAAAAGTTCTTAAAGCAATACTTAGATTCAGAAATGAACCAAAAATGTTTCATACCATGTTAAAACATTAGAATGTGATCAGTTATGACAAATCACTATCACAGATTCTTAAAACTAGTTTAAATTTTCTTATAATGTATATCATGACTTCCACTTTCTTTCAGAGCTCTCTCTCTCTCTGTGTCTCTGTCTCTCTCTCTTTCTATATATATACAATATATATTTACAATATATATGGTATTTCTTAATTTTTTCATCTTCTGAGTTTTTCAATACTAGCATATTATAAAGCAAACCAAAAACAATGATACATTCCTCAAGTTTTTCAAAAGTCTCCTCAGTCAAACCCTATGTTGAAAAACACTGGGCAGAAAATATTTTCATTAGAATTTGCTTTTGAGGCCAGGCATGGTGGCTCATGCCTGCAATCCCAGCACTTTGAGTGACCAAGTTGGGAGGAGCACTTGAAGACAGAAGGTGGAGATCAGCTTGGGTAACAAGCTAGACCTTGTCTCTAAAACAACAGCAACAATAACAACAACAAAAAAAAAACAAAAGAAAAATAGTAGCCAGACACAGTGGCGTACTCCTGTAGTTCCAGCTACTCCAGAGGCTGAGGCAGGAGGATTGCTTAAGCTCCCAAGTTTGAAGCTGCAGCGAGCTGTGATTGCACCACTCTAGCCTTGGTGACAGAGTGAGATCACACACACACACACACACACACACACACACGCAAAGTTGTTTTTGAGATTCTTAGACATGAACTTCTTCTTCCTAGTCAAAATTACAAAAGTTTTTGCTTTTCCCTTAAATTCCAAAGATTTTATTGGAATAGCACTTTGCTGCATTGTTTGAATGTATTTTAACTCTAAAAATAAAAATAAAAAAATTATATACTTTAAAAAAGTCAATAGCCCATCTTAGATCAGCCTGTTTTTTTTTCCTTTTTGTAAATTTTGCTAACATCTTTAGTACCAAACAACTTCATAATAAATAACTAAGGCTAGCAAAATATTTCAATTTTTGCCAAAGCGATTTTCTCCATGTTTGGGTACCTTCTGTGATTTTGCCTAACTCTCATAGTTCATTACCTATTTTATCTATTATAAATCAATTTGCATTTTGTTCATATAAAATCTTGTCTAGTTTCATTTCTATATTGCATCTGAAGTGGTTATAAAGTCACATTAAACATGTATTTTTATCAGGATGTTCCATATTTTGTCAGATCCAGAAAATATTTCATACAATCTTTGAATTGTACCAAAAACTATCATCACTATTGACACGGTTGAGACCTTATTTCCTCAGAACAAATTTAAACCATGTACTATACAAAGCCTAAAGAATGCCTCTGGAGTTTCAGTGAAATATTTAGCTCTAACAATTTTTTTATTTAATAAATATGTTAGTGCCATTTTCATAGCTTGCAAGGGTTCGAGGCTATCCAGAGATCTGTGGGAAATACTAAATGGTTTCCATTTTAACCACTAAGTTTTGGGGTGATTTGTTATGCAGCACTACATTGTGGTAATAAATAATTGATATGGAATTTGGTATCCTGAAGCAGAATTCTGGCATAACAAACCCTTGAAGTACGTGGCACCAGCTTCTGATTCAGGTGACAAGCATAGGCTTTAAAGTGGCAAGGAAACTTAGCAAAGGCTGGAAGAGAACTAAGGAAACTGCCATAGCAAACTGGAAAAATTGTGTCCCATTAATAGTGACAAAACGTGTAAAACTGTCACCTGTGGTAACTGCAAAAACGAAAAATGTATTTAAATAAACTTTTTGGATTTGAGCAAGAAGATTTCTACACAAAATATTAAAATGGTCAACTATCTTTTATTAGCTGCAGATGATAAAATGCTACATAAAACAGATGAGACAGACAAAACACTGGCCACTTTGCAAGCAGAATTTAGAGGGAATAGAGAGGAACTAGGACTTACACGGTTGGAAAAATAAAGCTATTTATCATCTTCATCTAGTTGAGTCAGTTAAAAATTCATCAAAGTAATATTGGGATTAAGGAAATGATCAAATCAAGCGTGTGGATGAAAGAACTCTTGTTAAGACCTCTGAAGGAATTAAAGTGGTCCATGGTATACCTCTGAGCCTACAAAAGTCTGCTAGGAATCATAAGGGTCTCATCTCCCAGCTGCCTGACCTAATCAAAGTAGCACTGATTGAGTCTAGAGAACAGGGCCTGTTTCAAAAGAATTATGGGTGTTGTGAGATAAAGGAACAAATGTAAGAAGACATGTTTACTCATTTCTGCTTGCCAGCATGATTTCACAAAGCCCCTGCCTCTGTAACAATGTGCAGCTCTCTGCAGAAATGCTTTGAACACAAAACAGGATAGAGCACGCAGCCCCCCATGTCTCTGGCCTGTGTCACTATATTCCTTAAAAGATAAATGACTCTAGTCCTTGCCTTTCCCTGCAAATAAAAAACATCTCAAGGGGTTAGTAATTACGCCTCTGTAATCTATAACCAGATATGCTCTTACACTCAAACCTTGATATGATTCTGCCTCAGTGTAACTTCTGAGCAAGTTTAATGTGATTTCACACATACTGAACCCTCACTACTTGTATATGAGCAGTGGGATGAAATACTGGGCTGCAGCAGTCTGACGGAACTGCTCTAGGGCTACAGAGGCCCCGCTGGTTAGTCCTCAGTAAGAATTCTGAGTAAAACTAACTTTCATTCTTTAAAAGCTTGATCTTTATTTTTCTGTAGCCAGTGGTGTGAATTTTGCCAAATGACATGTATGCTAATCAGATTCACAGGAAAATTACAAAAAAATATTTAGAGACTTCCATGGGTAAAAGTACCACTAACACAGACTAAAACGATGTGAGACTACCCAAAATGTATGAAAGTCTTTGGAATCATAACTTTCTTTGTGGAAAACTAAGCTGAAGAATGCACTCAATGAGCACACTTTCCCTTGCTCTCTCATGGGAGTTTTGATGAAACAGACCAGTTATGCTAAGGAAAAGGTTATGTTATGGAACAGGTTTTCTGCTTGCATATTGAAGTCATGCAAAAAATGGAGAGAAAAACTGAACAAGATGTAAGAAGCTTTAGTAAACAGTAGCCAAATTTGTTAAAGAAATACAGTAGAAGGGAAAAGAAGAGAGTAAGGAAGAGAGAGAGAGAGAAAGGAGCAGACAGAGTCATGGAATGTGTTTCAAAGAAAAAAGATTTCAGTACATAGCACTGGAGAGTAAGAAGAATGCTGACACAATCTCCTCTCCAGCCTTTGAGAGGATGGTAGGGGAAATGGTAGGTAAGTTTCAGATTAAAGATGTAGAGAAGCTTGATTGTTAAGTAGTTGTGCATAGGGAGGATAAGTTCCTGTTTTCATAGAAGTCATGTTTTATTGCTTAATGCCTTGGGATCCTGTCTGGCTGACCATTCGTTCTGTCTATAACATGCCAGTTTGGATAACCATTTCTCTGGTCATCTTACACAAATGATCGTTGTAAAGTCTTTTAGAAGGAGAGGAAGAGTGGGAATTTCGGTTTGTGAGGAAAATGTTTATTTGTTCAATGTATGAATGAAGGAGAATAACAAAAGGTGCGGTAAGGGGAGAAGGAGGATGAAGAGAGTTTTAGGTTTGTTGGAAAGTTCAAACATTTCCTCTGAAGGTTCAATAACTGAGTCTGCTGAAATAAACTGACAATAGACAGGTTAACAGGAAAAAAGCTATACATATTTATTATGTGCACTTGTGCATGGGAGTCACACAAAATATGTGACTCAAACAAAGGCCAGATGGTTGAAGCTCAAACACCCTTCCTCTTCATAGGAGAGCTGTAGGCAATGTTAGGGGAAGAGTAAATAAATTTAAGAGAGGTGAATGGGCCTGAAGAACAGACAGTTGTCCAGGACAAAGTTCTCCTGGCCTCTGGTGTGGTGCCAACTCCAGTCTTCCTTCCTGTGATATGCATCAATTTCCTTTAGTTGATGAGAATATGTGGGGAAGAAATTTACAGAAGTTGACTATCTTCTGAAAGATCTGGCCTTTAGTTAGACGGAGGAGCCTCAGAAAAAGCCCTTCCCTTCCCTGCATTTGCTACTTCCCAGATGCTCTCAGTTTGCATACAAAGGGGCATATTATGCAATGATGTTTTCTGAGCCCCCAACAAGTTATGTGAGTGACCCAAGATCCTTAGCATGTAAGATAAAGTAGCATTAGCTGGCTTTAAGGATTCCATTAGTATCTTTGTGGATAGACTTCCAATCTCTCTGGAAAGAAGAGATTCTGCTTCTAATACAAGAAGAGTGAGTGGACTGCTTAGTTTCCCTGTGTGCAAATAGTGGCACTCTCCTAGTCTGGGATCGTTATTTGCTACAAATGATCTCTTTGTTTATTACTAAGCTTAACATTTCCCCTAAGTTTAATGTTAACTCATCTTCAGTATATTGTCTACATTTTAGAGACATCTTCACAAGTTGGGGTATAGTTTTTCTTTCTTATTAAAAAAACTCCGTGAGCTGTATTTCATGCCTTGCTGCTTAATCAATTTTAACAGATGCAAAGCAAATATAAAGTATATATAATATATATATATAATATATATATTGGTACAATATGTTTGTCAGAATGATTCTGTTAGGAAGAGCTTTGGAGAATTCTAGTGGATAGATTCTATTTTTCATGTATAATCTTTACGTACAGTCACAGGTTTCCACCTCCTGAATTTTAGGAGTGTAACACTGAAGCCAAAGTTGGCAAAGTTTCATTTAAAAGACATGAGATATGAGAAAGGCCTTAAGTGTCCAGTTACAGTAACCCAACAAAAAGAAATCATTTCCATTTCACTGAGCAGAATAAGTCAGGTAGATTTAGAAGATGCAATTGCCAAGTTCTTCGGGTTAATTCTAGTCACACTCTCGCTTCAGGTTGGCTTTACTATCACAGAAATTACCCAGGCTTGATGGGAATAAATGGAATGAAAGACCACAAATGTAGGTCATGCCCATTCAAGACACTGCCAAGCACATACTCTTGCTATACTATTGGGGTTTAATAATTGCTGTCACATGACTTCAGAAGTATGCCCCATGAATACATTTTTTTTTTTTTGAGACCGAGTCTTGCTCTGTTGCCAGGCTGGAGTGCAGTGGCGTGATCTCAGCTCACTGCAACCTCAGCCTCCCAGATTCAAGTGATTCTCCTGCCTCAGCCTCCCGAGTAGCTGGGACTATAGTGAATACATATTTTTCCTACTACTTGATGCAGAAGTTGGCCTAAGGAGGTCACACACTGAAATCCCAGAGCTTGCCAATGAAAATGTTTGGCATAGTATGGCAGAACTCAGATTTGTCATCTCTGGAGGGGTCACCTTTTGACTCATGGTACATGTGATTTCATTTTTGAGCCAGAATGAGTCTGTTAGGAGGAGTTTTGGAGAATTCTAGTGGATAGATTCCATTTTTCATGCACAATCTTCATATACAGTCACATGTTTCCACCTAGTAAATTTTAGAAATGTAATGCTGAAGCCAAAGTTGGCCAAGCTTCATTTAAAAGACATGAGACATGAGAAAGGCCTTAAGGGTTCAGTTACAGTAACCCAACAAAAAGAAATCATTTGCATTTACACTGAGGAAAATAAATCAAGTAGATTTAGATGATTTAACTTCCAAGTTCTTTGGGCTAATTATAGTCACAAGACAAAAGGAACATTCTAGCCAGGCTAGAAGAATAATTCAAGGGAGTAAAAAACAAACAAACAATGAAGCCTCTCAACAGCTATTGATCATGGTATTTTGCCAATATATGTGAAAGCACAGGCACGTACCTGAAGGCAGAGTGTTTTCTAATAATTGGTGACTGGAAATTCCCTAGCAGTACCACACCTCAAGGTCTGGCTTCACATGCACAGTGAGAATTCACCAAACAAAACATTTGATTACTGAGAGAGTTTAGAATAAAGATGCTCTAAGAATCTGGAGTACACACGTACTTGCAAAAATGTAATAAACACTATACAAAAATTGATATACTAGGAAACAACTATTGGGAGAGTAATTGACATGAATGTTTTAAAAATTTGGAGGTTCTAGAAGAAAATTATTTTGGTTGTATTGATAATTTTGTATATCTAGGAAAATTTCTTAATTTATTGCTGAAAGGTATTAACACTACTTTGTAGGATCAAGGTAATTATTAATCAGAGTCAAATAAAAGAATTTTCTGATGTATAATGTGGTTGTTGAAAAGGTAGGGTTGGGAGCGTTGGAGAGGAGTAGAGGATAGGGGAGGGTATGGGAGAGTAAGAGAGTGGTCCTCGCCTATCCTGAATTATTTTGAATAGGTTTCAGACTACTTCGAATAGGTTCGATGAATTGTTATTAGCAAGAGGACACCTGCTGGAGAAAAAGACTTTACATGGGTTCTTAGGGGGTGGAGCAGTTCCAACGTGATGAAGACAGCCTGGTATCTGTCTGAAATATGGGATTCCCCAGTTGGTCCTTGGGTCATCTGAGTCACGGAAAAGAGGACTCCAGGCAAATGTCAGATCTGTGTTTATGAGGAGATGGTGTAGTGCTTAGAAGACCAAATCCAATCCAGAGCTAGATGCAAGTTTTGCAGGGAAAACCCCAACATATGACTGCAGAAGACCAGGATAGGCCACCCCAAAATATGCCTTTTTGGTATATTGATTATTTTGAGCTTGTTACTTTGAGAAACTGTGGACACAAGAGTGGCTCTTAATAGTTGCCCTTTTGTAAAGAAAATTTTTATCTATAAAGGAAATTTTCATTAATATAGGTATTTGTACCAGGAAGAAAGCTGTTCCTATGACAACTTTTATCACCTCGGGGCTCTTATTTGCATAACAAGACAACTTTTATTCACCATACATTTCCTCCTCTCACACTCCCATAATTTGTGGCTACCATCACCCCAGCAGCCCCAAACTCCTATTCCGTCTAACTCAGGGAGCTTTAATCATCTGTTCCTTCTTACAGTCTCATATTTTTGTGGGTATCCCTGGCATATGTGCATAATTAAAATTATTTTTCTCCCAATGATTTGATTTATGTTAACTTAATTCATAGCCCAGCCAAAGAACCTAAGAAGGTAGCGATAAGTCATTTTTCCCACCCCTATAACGTCTTAGGCAAGATGAATTAGAGCCAATGAAGTGTAAGTTATGATGTTAATTTAATCCCATTTATAAACACAAACTAATAAGGTCTGGGACTACTCATGTTACAGATCTATAACAAATTATGCATTGCCATAGCCCCCCCCTCCGTCCCACAATCTCTTAAGCAAAGGGATTAAACTAGGGTGTATATTTCTTCAAATCCACACCAGTTCTTGGAATTTTAGACTCTGTGGTGTGTTGTTTGT
This sequence comes from Homo sapiens, assembly GCF_000001405.40. Lineage (NCBI taxonomy): Eukaryota > Metazoa > Chordata > Mammalia > Primates > Hominidae > Homo > Homo sapiens. The sequence continues at coordinate 151,560,813 of NC_000003.12, forward strand.
TTAAGCTACAAGATGTGTGAGCAAATTAATCAAAGAAAAAAGTGACCCACATGAGTGCTTTCTTAACAACGTTGACTTCTTGACCAAACATAATTTTAAATTGGATAGCCTCTGAGTCTTCGTTTACTTGTTGGAAAGTTAAGAGTAACAAAGCTATTTATTGTATTTGTTCCAAGGAAGAAAATGATGAAATTCTTCTTTTCTTTCTAAATTGAGCCAACATATTTCAGAGAGTATACATTCTTTGATAAAATCTGGTTAGCATTTTTGGAAGAATCTGTTTGTTATTTGTTTTCTGTCAAACATATTAGTGCAATTTTGCTGAAAAACAGCCCACTAATGACAGCCTCGAATCAGAACAACAAGCAGCTTCCCAAGGAGAGTCTTGAAATCATCTTATTACCCCTAAAAGTTTTTGATAATTTTTTCTTTAAAACAAAAAACTAAATGTTGTTTCTTGCTAAAGTAAAGGGAGAAAAATCTAATTGTCTGAGGCACATGGGTTAAATAGTTCTCTAAATGAGAACTTAGTCTACTTCCTTAGGCAGAAACATACTATTTCCTCTTTTTAATCTCTATTATGAAGAATCTAAGAATCCCTAGAAAACCAAATACTCTTCCCTTTCATCAGGTTCATCTGTACAAAGAGGTGTATAAAGGGATTTATTTAGAATTGCTCATCGATGCAAAATGCTGGTGACTCTTTTGTAAATATAAATATTATTTAATAGGGAAACAGTTTTATTCATCTCTATGTAATATGTATATCTATGTAATGAAATAAAATGTGGCTTTAAAAAGAGTAAACAAGATGCATATGTACTGACATGGAACGTCCTCTAAGATATCCTGATAAAGAAAGAAACAAGAAGCAAAATAATATATACATCTGTTACCATTTGTAGTTTAAAAATAGGAAGGGGAGTGGGGAGAGGTATACATATCTCTGGTAACCTGGGGAAGCAGAACCAAAGTATGTGGAAGGCAGAGGAGGAGAAATAATTTTTTCCTTATTATACAATCTTTTGTGCTGTTTAAATAGTGAAGCATGCTGCAATATTTCTTATTTAAATTACACAAATAAATCATTGAAAATGTAACCCATGTGTATAGCCTTGACGTTCTTCTGGTCCAAACACATACTTTCAAGACTTATCTTTTTCTTTTATCAGAGGCGTTTGAACCAGAGCAACTCCATCTTGAAAAGGGGCTGAGTACAATAAGGCTGAGCCCTACTGGGCTGCATTCCCAGGAGGATAAGGCATTCTTAGTCACAGAGATAGGAAGTTAGCACAAGATACAAGTCATAAAGACCTTGCTGATAAAACAGGTTTGCAGTAAAAAAGCCAGCCCAAACCCACCAAAGCCAAGGTGGGAATGAGAGTGACCTCTGGTCTTCCTCACTGCTGCAGTCCCGCCAGTGCCTGACAGTTTACAAATGCCACAGCAATGTCAGGAAGTTACCATATATGGTCTAAAAAAGGGGAATATTAATAATCCACCCCTTGTTTAGCATGTCATCAAGAAATAACCATAAAAATGGGAAACCAGCAGCCCTCGGAGCTGCTCTGCCTATGGAGTAGCCATTCTTTATTCCTTCACTTTCCTAATAAACTTGCTTTCACTTAACCCTATGGATTCACCTCAAATTCTTTCTTGCACAAGATCCAAGAACCCTCTCTTGGGTTCTGGATTGGGACCCCTTTCCGGTAACAGTTTTACTCTAGTATAAAGATGACACATACTGTTCAAAGCATCTTAAAGATCACCTGGTCAAACCACCTCATTTTAAGGAAGTACCTTCTAAAGGTACTTCCTCCAAGAGTGGAAGGTACTTGGCCAGGATTACACAACTTGTTAGTACCAATGTCCAGACTAGAGCCTCAAGCTTCTTAATTCTACAGAAGTGCTCTACTGTGGTGCCAGACCCCTATTGACTCCAGTAGGGAAGGCACCAATGCACCATGTCCAAGAGCCCAAAGAAGAGACCCAAGTGAATAAGATATAGACTTTATCAAGGACGTACATACAGGGCAGTCAGGGAGTGGTCGGATGGACAGGAAAAGTGCTACCACTTGTAAAGATCATGGAGTTTATATAAAAATGTTCATTTAACCCCCTCCACCTAGCAACCTCCACCTAGCAAACTCCATTTAACCCAAAACATAGGGCCTCAATCCTCTGCATGACCTGCATTCTAAGGGATGGGCCAGGGATTCATATGTTCTTCATAGAGAAGGAGTGAATCTCTGGGTTGGCCACTCCCGGATTCCTTAGCTCAGAACTCCTAACACACATTTTTCTTAGACGGTAGGTCATTCATAGGGTATGCTTGAGTTAATGCTCTCAGGTGTGTCTGCCATATATCTTCTCACCCTGCGGCCCTCTAGGAGAGGGAATAAACAGCCTTGACCGTGAGAGTGACTTTCTTCCCATTTCTCCTACCTGGTACTGCTTGCTAAGGCCCGTACCTCTGCACCTCATGTCCCAGGGCATCCTGCCTACACTTTAGGCATCAACTAACTAGAATAACAAAATAATAAAATGTCCTAACTTGGGCCTTCTTAATTTGAGGTATGTGAATGGGCTTCAGGAAATCCTGAATCTAATAAAAAGCTAAGGACTCTAGGGAGAGAGTTCAGTTTTCCATGAGCTTCACTGCCAAGTAAGACAAATAACACGTTTATGGATATATAAAAGAGACCTCAGAAGCCATCAAGCCATCAGATACTCAATTGTCCCTGACAACAACTTGCATTTTTTCCTTCTGTTAGAATTATATCCAAGTGCTGGAGAGTTGTCACCAACAACAGTAATATTCACTTGGACATTTAGCTCTAGTTTAAAGCACTGGAGAGAATTTGGTTTCCTGTAGTTGAATTTGCAGCGTTTAAAAAAAATATTAGCCTGCCTTATGATATTTTATAAGTATTTAGGAAGTAAAATTTTGGTTGAACAAAAGCCATAATTTATTTAACAAATATTTATATAGGGCTTACTATATGCTAGGCACTGTTTTAAATGCTTTATAATAATTAAGTCATTGAATTGTCAGAGAACTACCTATGAGGTAAGTGCTGTTCTTATATCCATTTCACAGGTGAGGAAACTGAGGCACAGACAGGTTGGGGAAGCAATCCAAATGAAGACATCAGAGGGTATTCACCCAGCAAGAGGCAGAACTAAGATCTAAATTCAGGCAGTCTGGATCCAGCATTTATGTTCCTAAACACATCTTTGCTCGCTTCCTGTTATGAGTGTGAAAAGAATATTCTGTTTCATAGAAGATGATCATCATCAGGTTTTACCACAAACCTTGCATTGGCTTTAGGAGTAAAACATAAATAGCTATATTTTTTCTAATTTCTTTATGTTAGTTCTAATAAACAATGTATTAAATACATATTTTTAGGGCATTACATGCATATTTAATTTGACCAAGCTGATATTATCGGGTTTCATACTCCTTTTTTGCATCAGTACACACATTCAATTTTATATTTGACTTTTTTTTTAATTGCACAGGGAGCCAATTGGCAGCTTTGGATCAAATTGGCTTACATATATGTTTTGGCCAGCATGACGTTTAAGAATTTATTTCCTTCCTTCCTTCCTTCCTTCCTCTCTTTGTTTCCTCCTTTCTTTCTTTTTTTCTTTGACAACATTTACAAATTGGGAAATTGACCATGAAAGTCTAAATTTCTGGCTTCTTTTTGAAAAGACAGAAGGAAGCATTGGGTTTGCATTCAGGCATGGAAATATTAGGCTGGACTGAGAAGTGGCTGACCTTTTAGATGAAGTTTGTGTTCCCCAGTTGGCCATAGTTTTTACCAGTTTGCTTTGCTTGATATCTGCATGCATTTGGGTTACGGCAGTTGAATGAGGTATGCATGTCCTTAGAGGCCAAGAAACAATTTACTTACTGACTGAGCTTTAGCATGAGAGAGCATAATGACATGTGAGTTACCGGTGAATCAATTACAAGAGGTACCCAAAGGTAAGCGTGCAGTTGAAAGTTTCATATACAAGTGGTTGTAAATAAATAGCCTATAACTAAAAAGTAAGAATCATGGTAATGGTTAAATGTTCATTGAATACATACTAAGCACAAGATTTCTTATAGGTATCAGTCCCTTTAACTCTTGTAACAAGCCTAGGAAGTAGAAAACTGAGACAGAGGCAAGCTAAGTAACTTGTGCAAGATCACCAGCTAATAAACAGCGCAGTTAGGACTTCAGTCAGGCAATCTGGTTCTGGAATCTGTGGCTTATATTATGCTATACTTTCTCTCTAAAAACTCTGAAAGAACTCTCTAGTACTGGCAGAGAATGGGATTTACTGGTTAATTCATATGATGGTTTGACAATTGCTGTGTGAATTATCAATTGTTAGGAGGTAAGACCAGTTGAGAACTTTAAGCAGTACTTCACTGGGGTTTGGCAAATTGGTAGAGAGACCTTGAATCTAGAATCTAGTGCTTGACTTTATAGGCCCAGAAACCATATTTCACCCATTTGTAAAAATCATAATATAAAATCACCAGTATGTTTGTAACCCAGAAGTACAAAAAGTGAATAAGGAATTTGAGATGCCATTATATACAGAGGTGAGTGGTAAGGTCTGGTTTACTGGCATCCTGGGAGCTCCTGGCCAGAGCAGAAGGTGAACATTGTCAAAATTGAAACAAGGGATCAAGAAAGCCAGGCCTGCCTCCAGGTTGAGGTAAATAGTTCAAATTATGAAGTTCAAGCAGCTACAGAATGATCTGTTCCAGGGGTTCAAAACTTTTTTGTGCATCAGACTCACCTGGGGGAAGTTATAAAAACAAACAAACATAGAAATGTTCTGCTTTATATTTTTAGACCTACTAAAGCACCTACCCTGGAGTTCTAGTGAGTTACTGAGCTAATTCTGTTGCTTCTGGCCCACTGATTGGTATTTGAGAAACACTGTTCTAGTTGGAATTTGCCTTTTGAGAACGTTAATGCATAGTATCAGATAGATACGAGAGTGATAGATTAAGATGATAGCTATGATTCCTGTATTAATTAATGCATGAAAGTGTTAGCCAGCTTATGGCATGACCCTCTCACCTGATTTCTACCAATCTCTCCCCAGAAAGAAATCAGCTGAGGAAAGGTTGGTAGAAATCAGGTGAGAGGGTCAAGTCATAAGCTGGCTGAGTTGGGGAGTAGGCAGGGGTCCAGTCCTGGGAGAATCAGTGCAGAAAGCAACTGAGGCAGTGCCAATGTTTAATGAGAGGCTTATAAAATTGCCACAAAGTGAGGCCCTAGCTACATGTCATGAGAACTCCCTGGCAGAGGGGAGAAAGCAAATTTGGATTAGAATGGGAGGTATCAGCTAGAAAATCAGAAATCTGACCAAATAATGATAAACATGATAGTTTATGAATTAGGAAGCAGGGAAGTGAAACCCTACCCCACAAATGATAGATTAGGAAAGATTTGAGATGAATAGTAGAAAAGATAGTGCATAAGGTCTCCTCTGCTCTCCCCAGAACTGAGGGATGATTAAAGTTAATAGCATTTGTTGGGTTCTACTTAATAAGTACAACTTTTTGGATTTATTAAACCAGTTGGCATTGGTTGTGTTATGCTATAACAAACTCCAAATCTCAGTGGCTAACAAGGAAGTTGACTTCTTGTTCTTCTGACAACCCATGTGTTGTCCCTGCTTTGGGTCCCAGGCTGATAGAATAGTCGCTATCAGGAGGATGCTACCATGGCAGGGACAAAGAGAGCTCAGAGGAAATCATGCCAAGAGATAAACATTCAACAGGAAAGTGGCATACATTGTTTGTGCTTTCAGTTCATTGGCCAGAATAGTTACATGGCCTCCACCAACCACTGGGAGCCATAGAGTGCTATGTGCCGGAGGGCAGAGAGCTGGGAATATTTAGTGAGCAGCATTCGGTACTACCATCTTTCCCTCTGAATAGGTTAACAGCCACAAGTCCTGTCACAATTTTTAGCAATTTCTTCAATGTCAAGAAGAATTATATTTCTTAGCTAACAGAGGTGGTGTAGTTTCAGGGTGCCTGCCTGGCCTATCTACAGCACTGTCAGCTCCATGCTCACCCTTGCTGAAGAGATGAGTCTCTCTGTTCAAGTTCGTCTAATGTCATAGCCTTTTCCCTGATTGGACCAGGGACCAACACCTATCCAGGTGGCTGTCAATCTGTTGGCTAGCCTGTAGGCAAATGTATTTTCTGAGACACAGAGTCTCTAGTCAAATGGATGTGGGCCTATGAAGTAAATGGGTCTGTAGACTTGGGCCCTGGGCATTTTGATCCTGTCTGTGGACAGTAGCCAATGATCATAGATGAGGAAGATTATATGCAGTTGAGACAAAGAGAGAGAAACTTCTATCTTCAGTGGTTCCCTGGATCTCAGCTCCTATTCCTGGGAGATTCACCTCTGCTTCATTTTTTGTGAAATGGCTTTATGGCCTTATAATAAATATTCATTTTATTTGAGCCACTTTATTATCCATATGAATAAATTGAGAAGCCTAGTCACTCTGCCTCTGCTGAGAGTATCATCTGTAAACCAGGACTGTAGAAATTCTGGGACTCGTGCTAGGGTGTATAGTTGGGAACTAACAAGAAAAACTTTCACTGTAAACCTACTTGAACTTTATTTTCTTATTTTCTGTATTCCTGATGCTCTGGCATCTTGGGCCTCACAGATCTGGAGGGATGGCCTCTCCCAGCATTAGTTAATTCCTGCAGATATCAAACAGTGTTACCTGGGAGGGTCTCTTTTATATGCAAACTAAGCAATTCAAAGCCTACTGTAACTAGCCCCCTACCTCTGTGGGACCCTTCCACTCCAGGCCAATAGTTTCTTGCCCTAATCAGCCCAGGGCGAGGTGCTAGACAATTCCAAACAGCTCCTACACCCCAGAGCCTGCTGAAATGATTCAACAAGACAATTCTAAACCTGCTTAGCCTATTTTCCTGCCTTGCCCATTCCTTTCCACAAAACTGCAGTAAAGGCGCTGACCCCTGCTTTTCCCCTGTGCCCCCTGCCTGGCTTCCACAAGCGACTTCCCTGCATTGCTGTGCCTCCTATTTCTAGGGAACTGTGAGTGCAAACACCTTCTTCCTTCATGACAGTCATTGTCAGGCTCACGTCTTACTATAAGTGATCAAAACAAACCCCAGTACATTTTAAAACAAAGCCTCTCTCTCTGTTTTCTTCTGGGCCTCAATCTTTGGGTACCTACTAGTTTATTTGTCAGAAGAGTAAAGACCCTCTGTTCTGGTAGGTGGTCCTCTCAGATGTCTAAATTATTAGCTGTCTAGTCTACTGCCACAGAACATATACAATAGAACAAAAAAAGTACTTTTTCCTCTTTAATCCTGTATTTATGATTATTATAATAAATTATCCTTATTTCTAAGCATATGTTTGGTAAAAAGTCAGTACTAATTGTCACAGGCACACTGTTTTACTGGACAAAGCTTGAAAACACATGGACACGTGCCTCCTCCAGACACTGTGCAAACCAAAATCCTTTTATTATGACAACAAAACAATGACCTCATTTCTTTCAGAATTTAATTATCGGTATTACAATTCTCTTGTTAGGACTTTAAATGGGGTCTGGGACACTACTAGATAGTGTTTGGCTTGAGGACACAGAAATGCCTGAATCACGATTTGATTTATAATATCTCCCTAGGGACGGCTCACACAGAGTTCTCTTTCTTTATAAAACCCTGCTTCACCCCTGTGTGTAATAAGCTGACATTCAAGCACATAGCATGTCTGTCAGAAATATCCACCTCCCTTTAGTCTTTGAACATCATGGTGGGGGAGGATTTAGTTTTAGTATAGCAACACTACCCTCCAACCCTCCCATGCAATAGAAAAAGTGTATCCTAGCAATTTTGACTTCCAGACACTGGATTGTCTCTTTTCTGGTAAAGGAAGAATGGGCTGCTGAAGCTCCATTTACTAGGTAAGACACCCTTATGACTGTTCTCAGGTGTATTTGTCAGAGTGTGTAGTCATGAAACCAAACTATGTTAAATATTTCCAGCAGAAAGAAACTTAATATAGGGAATCAATAGATTACAGCAAAGTGCAGAATGCTACTGTTGACGTCACAGTCATTGCACAGCCCCCGAAAAGAAGAATAACGGAGGAGTATGAAGTCTGAGGTAGCCGAACCTAGCAACTGCTGCTAGTCTGCCACCAGCATTTCTATTGCAACAATACATTCTGCCTCCTTTCCACCTGTATTTAATTTGAGACCGAATCTTGCTCTGTTGTGCAGGCTGGAGGGCAGTGGCAAGATCTTGACTCACTGCAACCTCCATCCACTGGATTCAAGCAATTCTCCTGCCTCAGCCTCCCTAGTAGCTGGGATTACAGGTATGCGCTACCACATCCGGCAAAGTTTTGTAGTTTTAGTAGAGACGGGGTGTCGCCATGTTGGCCAGGCTGGTCTTGAACCCCTGATCTTAAGAGATCCACCCACCTCAGCCTTCTATAGTGCCAGAATTACAGGCATGAGCCACTGTGCCCGGCCTTTCCATCTTTTGAATATCACTTGTGTGCCTCTCATTTGTTATCTCTACTATAACTGATGGGGTGGGATTGTAGGAAATGTAGTTCCCAGGCTTCCTGCCCCATGATACCAGAAAAGAGTGTAAAAGGGGCAAAAGTGATGCTAAGTGCTGAGATAATCTGTCACACCATTTAAGTAGGGGTATTGCAATGCCTTGGCTTTCAGGGACAAATGTGTTCTACAGGCTAGAGATTTAAAATGCAGCCACAAAGTCCTGCCCTGGTTCAAGGGCAGGAAATACAGACTCCATCTCTAGATAATAGAAATATTAAAGAATTTGTGAATATATTTTCAATTGATCATGGCATTATAACTATTTTTTAATCTTTTTTTTAAATTATACTTTAAGTTCTAGAGTACAGGTGCACAGCGTGCAGGTTTGTTACGTATGTATACATGCGCCATGTTGGTTTGCTGCACCCATTAACTCATCATTTACATTAGGTATTTCTCCTAATGCTATCCCTCCCCCATCCCCCCACCCCATGACAAGCCCCAGTGTGTCACGTTCCCCTCCCTGTGTCCAAGTGTTCTCATTGTTCAATTCCCACCTATGAGTGAGAACATGTGGTGTTTGGTTTTCTGTCCTTGTGATAAGTTTGCTGAGAATGATGGTTTCTAGCTTCATCCGTGTCCCTACAAAGGACATGAAAGAATCCTTTCTTATGGCTGCATAGTATTCCATGGTGTATATGTGCCACATTTTCTTAATCCAGTCTATCATTGTTGGACATTTGGGTTGGTTCCAAGTCTTTGCTATTGTGAATAGTGCCGCAATAAACATTTGTGTGCATGTGTCTTCATAGTAGCATGATTTATAATCCTTTGGGTATATACCCAGTAATGGGATTGCTGGGTCAAATGGTATTTCTAGTTCTAGATCCCTGAGGAATCGCCACACTGTCTTCCACAATGGTTGAACTAGTTTACAGTCCCACCAACAGTGTAAAAGTGTTCCTATTTCTCCACATCCCCTCCAGCACCTGTTGTTTCCTGTCTTTTTAATGATCGCCATTCTAACCGGTGTGAGATGGTATCTCATTGTGGTTTTGATTTGCATTTCTCTGATGGCCAGTGATGATGAGCATTTTTTCATGTGTCTGTTGGCTGTATAAATGTCTTCTTTTGAAAAGTGTCTGTTCATATCCTTTGCTCACTTTTTGATGGGGTTGTTTGATCTTTTCTTGTAAATTTGTTTAAGTTTTTGTAGATTCTGGATATGAGCCCTTTGTCAGATGAGTAGATTGCAAAAATTTTCTCCCATTCTGTATGTTGCCTGTTCACTCTGATGGCAGTTTCTTTTGCTGTGCAGAAGCTCTTTAGTTTAATTAGATCCCATTTGTCAATTTTGGCTTTCATTGCCATTGCTTTTGGTGTTTTAGTCATTGAGTCCTTGCCCATGCCTGTGTCCTGAATAGTATTGCCTAGGTTTTCTTCTAGGGCTTTTATGGTTTTAGGTCTAACATTTAAGTCTTTAATCCATCTTGAATTAATTTTTGTATAAGGTGTAAGGAAGGGATCCAGTTTCAGCTTTCTACATATGGCTAGCCAGTTTTCCCAGCACCATTTATTAAATAGGGAATCCTTTCCCCATTGCTTGTTTTTGTCAGGTTTGTCAATGATCAGATGGTTGTAGATGTGTGGTGTTATTTCTGAGGCCTCTGTTCTGTTCCATTGGTCCATTGGTTTTGGTACCAGTACCATGCTGTTTTGGTTACTGTAGGCTTGTAGTATAGTTTGAAGTCAGGTAGCGTGATGCCTCCAGCTTTGTTCTTTTGGTTTAAGATTGTCTTGGCAATGAAGGCTCTTTTTTGGTTCCATATGAACTTTAAGGTGGTTTTTTCCAATTCTGTGAAGAAAGTCATTGGTAGCTTGATGGGGATGGCATTGAATCTATAAATTACCTTGGACAGTATGGCCATTTTCACGATATTGATTCCATAAGCATGGAATGTTCTTCCATTTGTTTGTGTCCTCTTTTATTTCGTTGAGCGGTGGTTTGCAGTTCTTGAAGAGGTCCTTCACATCCCTTGTAAGTTGGATTCCTAGGTATTTTATTCTCTTTGTTGCAATTGTGAATGGGAGTTCACTCATGATTTGGCTCTCTCTTTGTCTGTTATTGGTGTATAGGAATGCTTGTGATTTTTGCACATTGATTTTGTATCCTGAGACTTTGCTGAAGTTGCTTATCAGCTTAAGGAGATTTTGGGCTGAGACGATGGGGTTTTCTAAATATGCAATCATGTCATCTGCAAACAGGGACAATTTGACTTCCTCTTTTCCTAATTGAATATGCTTTATTTCTTTCTCTTGCCTGATTGCCCTGGCCAGAACTTCCAACACTATGTTGAATAGGAGTGGTGAGAGAGGGCATCCCTGTCTTGTGCCAGTTTTCAAAGGGAATGCTTCCAGTTTTTGCCCATTCAGTATGATATTGGCTGTGGGTTTGTCATAAATAGCTCTTATTATTTTGAGATATGTTCCATCAATACCTAACATATTGAGAGTTTTTAGCATGAAGGGCTGTTGAATTTGTCGAAGGCCTTTTCTGCATCTATTGAGATAATCATGTGGTTTTTGTCTTTGGTTCTGTTTATGTGACGGATTACGTTTATTGGTTTGCGTATGTTGCACCAGCCTTGCATCCCAGGGATGAAGGCGACTTGATCGTGGTGGATAAGCCTTTTGATGTGCTGCTGGATTCGGTTTGCCGGTATTTTATTGAGGATTTTCCCATTGATGATCATCAGGGATATTGGTCTAAAATACTCTTTTTTTGTTGTGCCTCTGCCAGGTTTTGGTATCAGGATGATGCTGGCCTCATAAAATGAGTTAGGGAGGATTCTCTCTTTTTCTATTGATTGGAATAGTTTCAGAAGGAATGGTACCATCTCCTCTTTGTACCTCTGGTAGAATTCGGCTGTGAATCCATCTGGACCTGGACTTTTTTTAGTTGGTAGGCTATTAATTATTGCCTCATTTTTAGAGCCTGTTATTGGTCTATTCAGGGATTCAACTTCTTCTTGGTTTAGTCTTGGGAAGGTGTATGTGTCCAGGAATTTATTCATTTCTTCTTGATTTTCTAGTTTATTTGCGTAGAGGTGTTTATAGTATTCTCTGATGATAGTTTGTATTTCTGTGGGATCAGTGGTGATATCCCCTTTATCATTTTTTATCGCATCTATTTGATTCTTCTCTCTTCTCCTTTATTAGTCTTGCTAGTGTACTATCTATTTTGTTGAGCTTTTCAAAAAAACAGCTTCTGGATTCATTAAATTTTTGAAGGGTTTTTTTGTGTCTCTATCTCCTTCAGTTCTGCTCTCATCTTAGTTATTTCTTGCCTTCTGCAGGCTTTTGAATGTGTTTGCTCTTGCTTCTCTAGTTCTTTTAATTATGATGTTAGGGTATTGATTTTAGATCTTTCCTGCTTTCTCTTGTGGGCATTTAGTGCTATAAGTTTCCCTGTACACACTGCTTTAAATGTGTCCCAGAGATTCTGGTATGTTGTGTCGTTGTGTCTTTGTTCTCATTGGTTTCAAAAAACATCTTTTTTTCTGTCTTCATTTCATTATTTACCCAGTAAATAATGCAGGAGCAGGTTGTTCAGTTTCCATGTAGTTGTGCAGTTTTGAGTGAGTTTCTTAATCCTGAGTTCTAGTTTGATTGCACTGTGGTCTGAGAGACAGTTTGTTGTGATTTCTGTTCTTTTATATTTGCTGAGGAGTGCCTTACTTCCAACTATGTGGTCAATTTTGCAATAAGTGCGATGTGGTGCTGAGAAGAATGTATATTCTGTTGATTTGGGGTGGAGAGATCTGTAGATGTCTAGTAGGTCTGCTTGGTGCAGAGTGAGTTCAGGTCCTGGATATCCGTGTTAACCTTCTGGCTCGTTGATCTGTCTAATATTGACAGTGGGGTATTAAAGTCTCGCATTATTATTGTGTGGGAGTCTAAGTTTCTTTGTAGGTCTCTAAGGTCTTGCTTTATGAATCTGGATTCTCCTGCATTGGGTGCATATATATTTAGGATAGTTAGCTCTTCTTGTTGAATTGATCCCTTTACAATTATGTAGTGGCCTTCTTTGTCTCTTTTGATCTTTGTTGGTTTAAAGTGTGTTTTATCAGAGACTAGGATTGCAACCTCTGCTTTTTTTTGATTTACATTTGCTTGGTAGATCTTCCTCCATTCCTTAATTTTGAGCCTATGTGTGTCTCTGCACATGAGACGGGTCTCCTGAACACAGCACATGGATGGGTCTTGACTCTTTATCCAATTTGCCAGTCTGTGTCTTTTAATTGGGGCATTTAGCCCATTTACATTTAAGGTTAATGTTGTTATGTGTGAATTTGATCCTGTCATTATGATATTAGCTGGTTATTTTGCCTGTTAGTTGATGCAGTTTCTTTCTAGCATCGATGGTCTTTACAATTTGGCATGTTTTTGCAGTGGCTGGTACCAGTTGTTCCTTTCCATGTTTAGTGCTTCCTTCAGGAGCTCTTGTAAGGGAGGCCTAGTGGTGACAAAAATCTCTCAGCATTTCCTTGTCTGTAAAGGATTTTATTTCTCCTTCACTTATGAAGCTTAGTTTGGCTGGATATGAAAATTCTTTTCTTTAAGAATGTTGAATATTGGCTCCCACTCTCTTCTGGCGTGTAGAGTTTCTGCTGAGAGATCTGCTTTTAGTCTGATGGGCTTCCTTTTGTGGGTAACCCGACCTTTCTCTCTGGCTGCCCTTAACATTTTTTCCTTCATTTGAACCTTGTTGCACCTGACAATTATGTGTCTTGGGGTTGCTCTTCTCGAGGAGTATCTTTGTAGTGTTCTCTGTATTTCCTGAATTTCAATGTTGGCCTGCCTTGCTAGGTTGGGGAAGTTCTCCTGGATAACATCCTGAAGAGTGTTTTCCAGCTTGGTTCCATTCTCCCTGTCACATTCAGGTACACCAATCAAACGTAGATTTGGTCTTTTCACATAGTCCCATAATTTTTGGAGGCTTTGTCTATTTCTCTTTACTCTTTTTTCTCTAAACTTCTCTTCTAACTTCATTTCATTCATTTGATCTTCAATCACTGACACCCTTTCTTCCACTGGATTGAATCAGCTACTGGAGCTTGTGTATGCATCACATAGTTCTCATGCCATGGTTTTCAGCTCCATTAGGTCATTTAAAGTCTTCTCTCCACTGTTTATTCTAGTTAGCCATTCATCTAATCTTTTTTCAAGGTTTTTAGCTTCCTTGTGATGGGTTCGAACATCCTCCTTTAGCTCAGAGAAGTTTGTTATTACTGACTTTCTGAAGCCTACTTCTGTCAGCTCGTCAAAGTCATTCCCTGTCCAGCTTTGTTCCATTGCTGGTGAGGAGCTGCAATCCTTTGGAGGAGAAAAGGTGCTTGGTTTTTAGAATTTTCAGCTTTTCTGCTCTAGTTTCTCCCCATCTTTGTGGTTTTATCTACCTTTGGTCTTTGATGATGTGACCTACAGATGGGGTTTTCGTGTGGGTGTCCTTTTTGTTGATGTTGATGCTATTCCTTTCTGTTTGTTAGTTTTCCTTCTCACAGTCAGGTCCCTCAGCTGCAGGTCTGTTGGTGTTTGCTGGAGGTCCACTCAAGACCCTGTTTGCCTGGGTATTGCCAGTGGAGGCTGCAGAACAGCAGATATTGCAGAAAAGCAATTATTGCTGCCTGATCCTTCCTCTGGAAGCTTTGTCTCAGAGGGGCACCTGCCTGTATGAGGTGTCAGTCAGCCCCTACTGGAAGGTGTCTCCCAGTTAGGCTACACGGGGATCAGGGACCCACTTGAGGAGGCAGTCTGTCCACCATCCTGGGATAACTACTGCTTTCTTCAGGGCTGTCAGACAGGGACGTTTAAGTCTGCAGAAGTTTCTGGTGCCTTTTGTTCAGCTATGCCCTGCCCCTAGAAGTGGAGTCTACAGAGGCAGGCAGGCCTCATTGAGCTGCGGTGGGCTCCATCTAGTTCGAGCTTCCCGGTCGCTTTTTTTACCTAGTCAAGCCTCAGCAATGGTGGATGCCCCTCCCCCAGCCTGGCTGCTGCCTTGCAGTTCGATCTGGGACTGCTGCACTAGCAGTGAGCAAGGCTCCATGGGCATAGGACCCACTGAGCCAGGTGCAGGATATAATCTCCTGGTGTACCATTTGCTAAGACCATTGGAAAAGCACAGTATTAAGGTGAGAGTGTCTCGATTTTCCCGGTACAGTCTGTCATGTCTTCCCTTGGCTAGGAAAGGGAATTCCCAGACCCCTTGTGCTTCCTGGGTGAGGCGATGCCCTACCGTGCTTCGGCTCACCCTCTGTGGGCTACACCCACTGTCCAACCAGTCCCAATGAGATGAACCAGGTACCTCAGTTGGAAATGCAGAAATCAGCCATCTTCTGCGTTGATCACACTGGGAGCTGCAGACCAGAGCTGTTCCTATTCGGCCATCTTGGAACAGACCCCTATTTTTTCATCTTTATCAAGGCTTTCTTTGTGGACTTACGTATAGGCAATTTTCACAAATATTCCATGTCCATTTGAAAATAAGGCAAGTTCTCATATACTGTGCTAGAGAGTTTAATATAATTTTATATGATCTAATTTATTGATTATGTTATTTTGAACTTTGACATCTTTTCTAATTTTTCCCATTTGATTTTTCTAGGTTTGATGTGTGCGTGTTGGTCTATTATTATTAGTTTATGTCTGTTATCTTTTTCTTAATTTACCTCTTCCAGTTTCTGCTATATCAAGTAGCTGCTATATTATTTTATCTATTTATATTTTATTTCATGTTATATATTATTTTAAATATATTAGCACCATTTTCATTATACATTTTAGACTTTAGCATTACAAAATATCCGTTTTTTGGTCTTAATTTAGGTCTTTTGGCCTAAATTATGCCTTGTCTGAAGTCAAAATTGTGATTCCTGCTATTTATTTATTCACTTATTTACATTTTTATTTGCCATCATCTTCTCTGAATCATCATCTTTCTGAGTCTCCTTGTTTTGAATATTTTCATAAACACAGACCAGAGTTTTATTTTGCTTTGCAAGCCAATCTGAATTTTTCAAAGGCATGAAATTCTCCTTACATTTAATCAAACAGACAATTCGTTTGGTCTCAGTGAGATAGGAGTTTGGCAGGACTTCTTTTAGAAGATCACAGTCACAAAGACCCTGCTGATAAAACGATGTGGTAAAGAAGCTGGCCATAACTTCCCCAAATCAAAATGACTATGAAAGCACCTCTGGTCATCCTCACTGCTCATAATACACTAATTATAATATATTAGCATACTAAAGGAAATTGCCACCAGTACCACGAGAGTTTACAAATGCCATGCTCATGTGGGAAGTTACCCTATATGGTCTAAAAGAGGAGAGGCGGGAGAAACCCTCAGTTCTGGGAATTCCCAGCCCCTTTCCCAGAAAACTCATGAATAATCCACTTCTTGTTTAGTGTGTGATCAAGAAATAACCATAAAAATAGCCAGCTACCAGCCCTTGGGGCTGCTCTACCTATGGAGAAGCCCCTTTTTTCCTTTACTTTCTTAGTAAACTTTCAATTTACTCTGTCGGCTTGCTCTTGAATTCCTTCCTGCACAAAGCCAAGGCCTCCTGGGCTGAACCTCAGCTTTGGAGTCTGCCCTATGACATCGGGTCTGTCATGTGGTTTTACGTTATATTTATTCTGTCCATATATTTATGTATATACAAGCATATTTATATGCACACTTTCTCTAGGTAGAATTGTTTTCTTTGGCATTTCTTTTGGTATTTAGGAAGATTTTTATTTCTGGTAGTTACCTTTTTTGAGCATAGTCTTATAATCTTTACAACATCCTCATGAAAAAGAAGATGCTTTATAACATGGCTAGGAAAGTAAAGTGGAAGAACCCGGATTTGGGATTATAGCCCATGTCCGCCCATATTAAGGGGTCTGTCCTTTAATCCAGTAGTCTACTAAGCTTACAATGCTATATAATCCTTTTTTCCCTCAAAGACTAAATCTTCTCCATTTTTACATGAGCTTTATGTTGTGTCACATTCTAGACTTGTCCTCAAATTTTAGAGATACTTCCCATGGTATACCTAATTATGACTTATCTGTACTAAATATTGGTTACCAAATTTCTAATGATTAAAGTTTTAAAAACTACATATCATATTAAATGCATATTGAGGGGCTTCTCTGAGAATGTTGAAAATTGGAAAAAGCATCACTCCTAAACCAACACCAATAAAAAAAAAATCCACAAATGCCAGCAACTATACAGAATCGTAACTCTTTCTTTTTTTTTCCTGACCTCTGAGAACTATAGATATAGTAACTTTTCTTGAATGCATCAGAGAGTTGAGTTAATAAGGGCAACAAACTACCTGAAAACTAAGAAGAGACAGGTGGCTTCATTAAGAGATGAGTAAGTGAGCTCACCTGGGGTAAAGCATGGGAAAACAAGGAGACCACCAGACAAGTGGGCAATGCGTATGCCTGAAAACCCAAGCATTTGTGCTCTTTGTTTCTTTTAATGTTGCTTTGAAGTAAAATAGCCCATCCTCTGCAAGTCCATCTATGTTGTCCCTAAGGTATTCTATCTTTGCTCAAATTTTTAAGGATGGTGGTTTGTTTCACAGTTTTTGTATTTGAGTCTAATGAACATTCTAACATGATAGAGGCAATGCATTACTGTGTAGCCATAATTTTCTGGAAAAGTTGACATCTTAGGAATTGTATTTCATATCTTCAATAAAATTTGTTTCTAAATTAAAAAAATGAAAGAAATTACCTAAATTTTTAATAAATTCCTAGAGCCTAACTGTAGGGTAAGTGTAAGACAAGGATTGGCAAACTTATTCCTGAAAGGCCAGATAGTAATAGTAAATATTTTAGGCTTTGTGGGCTATGGGGTATCTTATGGCAAGTACTCAACTCTGTGGTTACAATACAAAAGCAGCTATAGCCATTATGCAAATAACTAGGTGTAGCTGTCATAAGTTTTCACTGAAAATTTATTTGCAAAAACAGATGATTGGTCTAACAAGCCATAGTTTACTGACTTCTAACATAGAATACCTAAGAATAGCAAATAGAAAGGCAGTTTGTACTCACTGGCAGGCTCTTCTCTATGGACCTCATTGATTGCTCATGAGAATGACTGAGATCAAGGCAGTAGACCAAAGAGAACTCCTTTGCAATGCGATACTGAGTAGAGTAACAGCAATGGGAGATAAAGAAAGCCCTGCCTGCATCCTTCTTCCTATCTTTTCTGTGAAACAAACACTTTAAGCCACTAGGGGCAGGACAACAAATACTGTCTCAGATGTAGGTGAAGACCCATTGGAGCTAGGAGAAGAAATAGAAAAAAAGATCTTCTATCTTTGAGGGAAGGACAGAAAATTGCTTTTAGCCAAGACCATTAGCAGTTTACTACTGCTGGTCAAGAGGCAGAATCATTGAGGAAGACATACCTGTGAGACACAAAAAGACAGGTCTTGACCAAGACTGAGGATAAAGAAAGAAACAGAATGTTTCCACCTACTACTACCACGCTAGCTAGCACTGAATAAGTTGTGTCAGTCTATCAATGGGAAAGAGTAAAGAAGATGAAGGGAAACCTTCTCTGAGGTTTAGACTCACAGAAAAAGACTAAAGTCAAGGGTTGAAAAGAACATTAAAAACATTCTCCGAAAACCCAATCCCTACCCAAAGCACAAGATAATGCTAGAGAAATCTGAGGCCAGTGGTGTGCTAGGGGTAAATATAGCACTAACACAACCCAAACCCCATTATCTGAGTCAATTCCTTGCATTAAATGTGTAGTATAAAAGGAGTGTGCCTAATTCTGGATATAAATACTATATACCTCAGTATTCAACCAAAAATTATGAGACATACAAAAATGCAAGACAAAGCAACTTTCTGTCAAAAAACAATGCAATCAAGAGAACCAGACTCACATGTGCCCAAGACATTAGAGCCTTCAGGTAGAGAATTTAAAAACAAACAAACTATAAAAATATAGTTAAAGATTCTAGTGTAAAAGGTGGATAACATTCAAGAAAATATAGGGATTTTTGTCAGAGAAATGGAAACTGTAAGAGAGAATGATATAGAAATGGCCAGAAACAAAAAATATGTAGTAACAAAAGTAAAGATCAATCAAAAGAAATGATTCAAACAAAAAGTAAAGAAAAAAAAAACTGCCAGAGAATTCAAAAACTGTGGGGCAATGTCATATGGTCTAATATATGAGCAACTGGAATCCCAGAAGGAGAAAAGAGAGAGAATGGAGAGAACAAATAAATATTTGAAAAGATAATGGCTGAGTGTTTCCCCCAAGTCACAAAAGACTTCAAATAACAGATCCAAGAAGCTCAGAGCATTCAGAAGAATAAATATTACGAAGGAAAGAAGAAAGGAAGGAAGGAAAGAAGGAAGGGAGGAGGGAGGAAGGGAGGAAGGAAAGGAAGGAAGGAAGGAAGGAAGGAAGGAAGGAAGGAAGGAAGGGCCTAGTGACATTGTATTCAAACTGTTGAAAACCAAAGATAAAGATAAAATCTTGAAGCAGCCAGAAGTAAAAAGACATACACATGGAGAAACAAAAATAAGAATTGCAACAGACTTCTTATTAGAAGCTATCCAAGCCACAACCAAGCACCACGGCTCACACCCTTAATCGCAGCACTGTGAGAGGCTGAGGTGGGAGGATTGCTTAAGCCCCAGGAGTTTGAGATCAGTCTAGGCAATATAGCAAGATCCAGTCTCTACAAAAAATTGAAAAAAATTAGCCAGATGTGGTCATCTCCAGAAATCAATGCCCAGTTAATATACTACTGAAAAAATAAAGAATGAGGACTTTACACGTAAGAAAAACAAAGAGAATTTATTATCAGCCAACTTTCACTATAAGAGAACTTAAAGGAAGTTCTTTAGGCAAAAGAAATACATCAGACAGAAACCTGGATCTACACACAGAAAGAAATGTTGAAAATGGTAAAAATGAAGGTAAATATAAGATACATCTTTTCTTATTCTAATCACTCTAGAAGATAATTCACTATTTACAAAATTAGTAGCAATGTATTTCATGTATACAATGCATAAATGTTTGTTGAAGCATTTTAATATTTGATTATTGATTACTGGGAAAGCCTGTCAAAGTTTGTTGTGACTCAAGATCATTATTTAGCATATAACTCACTTAATCACCCACCAACCATCTGACAAACTAACTAACAAAAGACCTTCAGCAGTTTTAACGTTAAAAAAAAAATCTGTCTATAAGGGAGCTTACTGTGTGTACACTTACGGAGGAATTCTACTGTGGTTCAGTTTCCAAGGATGATTTATTGCCTTTGTAATTCTAACATTCTTTGTGCCTTACAGAAGAAAGAACTAAATTGCCCAACTTGATTCCTAGCAGAATTCTTCACTTGTTTATAACCAGACATTTTTTCAAGTGCCCTTAAATTTATGGTATCTATTGTCTTCTTTCTTCTCATGACACCCAAATTCCAGATCTGTTTTTTATAAAATCAGATTTTTTTTTTTTTAAATAGAGAGAGAGGAGAGAAGAAAAGAGCGGGGGAGGGAAAAGCTTTTATCATAGCAGAAAAAGCTATTTTGTTGTATAATCTTTCTTGTTTGGGGACAGAAATGATTTGTAAAAAAGCAAGCAGTTTATATTTTCTTACACATGTTCATGGATCTTTTTCTCAGTTTTCATGTTGCTGTGTTAGACTGTGGGTGAAAGTAGTCTGCCACGAAATTTTTGTGGTGCTTAGTAAATATAAATTTGATACAACCAGAAGTGACGTAATGTGGTAGTTCAGCAACCCCATTCAACTTAGACCCCAACAGCTTTAACAGAAATCAGCAGTTCTCACACTTTCTATTCATACCACAAGCCTCTAGAGACTTCTTATAACCTGCAGTGATCTTGATCAAAATGGAAATGAAGAGACAAATTATAGTTTTTTTTTAAACTCTGTATTTCTTTTTGTGCTCACTGTCACTACCAAACCGTATCTAGAGGACTGTTATTCCTTTGTGTTGTTTGGTACCTCAAACAAAAATGAGATTACTGAAAGAGTCTTGGAGTTCTTATTAGTGGAATGACAGCTCACCTTATTCATAGCACAAAGATTTCTGAAGCTTCCACCATGTAATGGGTCCAAAGTTTGCACTTTTTCTTCCCACTGCTAGAAGAGATTCTTTCCTGTACTTGTTGAAGACCAGATCCCTGATGTGACAAATAATGAAGCAGATTTAGAAGGTGATATCTAAAGCCATTTATGAATAAGTTTATAGCTTCTTTCAATTCTCCATATTTTAGTTATTCAACGGTGACTGCATTTGTAGAATATAGCCATTATTGGCTGGGCATGGTGGCTCAAGCCTGTATTCCTAGTACTTTGGGAGGCCGAGGTGGGCGGATCGCTTGAGGCCAGGAGTTTGAGACCAGGCAGGCCAATATGGTGAAAGTCTGTCTCCACTAAAAATACAAAAATTAGCATGGTGGTGCACACCTGTAATCCCAGCTACTTTGGAGGCTGAGGCATGAGAATCGCTTGAACCCGGGAGGCAGAGGTTGCAGTGTGCCTACATCACACCACTGCACTCCAGCCTGGGTGACAGAGTGAGGCTCTGTCTCAAAAAACAAACAAAACAAAAATATACCATTATTTACTTTGAACAACACAAAATGCTGTCCCTGAAATATATTTCTAAACTGTAAATAGAACAAATAATAGATTGTCTTTAAAGAATTGAACCGGTTTTCCATAACAGATATTTTCATTGGCTTCCCCAAATACCCAAATGCAACTATGAGGTATTATATATTTTTATTTTTAAATAAATATTTTATTAAAAATATCCGGGGGGGGGGGCGGGAAGCACAAATTCTAAGTGAAAACCCATTTAACTAATACTCAGATCAAGAAATAGAGCAAGAATCCAGCAACCCAGAAGTCCCACTTTTTTCCCTTCCAGTGATTATTTTCACCAAGTTTAACACTATCCTGATTTCTATCACTAATTTATTTCGCACCAGATTTTGACTTTTATGTAAATGGAATAATATAATATATACCATTTTGTGGCTGGCTTCTTTAGCTCATTATCATTTGTGAGATTGATTTATGCTATTGTATTTAGCTACGGTTTGTTCATTTTCACCGCAGATAGTATGCCATTGTATGAACATATTGTTATTTTTTCACCCATTCAACTATTGATACTAGCTACCTATCATCCATCTATCTATTGTCTGTCTATCTATCTATCTATCTATCCATCTCTATCAAACTGCATCTATTGTCATATATCTTAAACAGAATAGGACTTGCAGTGCAATGTTAAATACAAATGGTGATAGTGAGCAACATTTTCTCATTCATTCTCAAAATCAGGGGAATTTTTCAGCACTTCACATTTATGTATGATTTTTACTAATTTTTTCTAAATATTCTTTATCAGTTTAATAAAATTCCCTTATTTTACTAAATGTCATTTTTTGGTAAATATTCTTTATTCCAGAAAATATCTTTTATTCCTAGCTTGCCTAGAGGTTTATTTTCTTACCCGTGGTCTTGCATGTTATCAGTTTTTCTTGCATCTACTGAGATCTGTGGTAATGCTCTCTGCTTCATTCCTGATATATGTTGTTGGCTTCCTCAGCTAATAACTTTTTGATATTGATTTTTTATTGCATGTATGTTTTCTAGTTAACTAATTTTTTTGTTCTTTTCTTTATTATTTATTCTCTTTATTATTTGTTCTTTCTTATTCTTATATTTATTTTTTCTTCTTACTCTTTCTTGGGTTTAATTTGTTATCTTTTCTTTACTTCTAGAGATGAATACCCATACAATTGCATTTCAGGCTTTCCTCTTTCCTAATATGTGAATTTAAGTTATAGATTTTCCACTAAGCATAGTAATAGCCAAATTATACATTTCAAATATTACATTTCATTATAATTCAGTTCAAGGTATTTTAGTACACATTTTTATTAACTTTCACCCAGTTATTTAAAAATGTTTGCTTAACTATCACAAGGATAGAAAACCAAACACCGCATGTTCTCACTCATAGGTGGGAATTGAGCAATGAGAACACTTGGGCACAGGGTGGGGAACATCACACACCAGGGCCTGTCGTGGAGTGGGGCGAGAGGGGAGGGATAGCATTAGGAGATATACCTAATGTAAATGACGAGTTAATAGGTGCAGCACACTAACATGGCACACGTATACATATGTAACAAACCTGCACGTTGTGCACATGTATCCTAGAACTTAAAGTATAATAATAAATAAATAATAAGTCTGCTTAATTTCCAGACATTTGAAAATTTTATTTTAATCTTTTAGTTATTTATTTCTACCTTTATTTCACTATAATCAAATAATATATTTGAATCATTGGAGTCCTTGTAGATTTGTCAAGTCTGACTTTTTGGCCCAACATATGGACTATTTTTGTAAATGTACACTTGTCAAAATTGTATATTCTGTCATTCGATGGTATATTTTAGCAAGTGTTTTTGTTTTATTAATTGTGTTACTTAGATTATAAATAGCCTTACTAATTTTCTGGATGCTTGTTTTATCAGTTATCAAAGAGTGTCATATTCTCTCACTTTAGTTGTGGATTTGTGTATTCCAGTTTTTAAATTGATCAATTTTTGTTTTTACATATTGTGAAACTATATTATTAGGTCCACACAAATTTAGAATTTTTATATCTTCCTGGTGGATTGATCCTTTTATTATTATGAAAGAATTCTTCTCATCTTTAGGAATGTTTCTTGCCTTATAGTAGATCTTATCTGACATCAGTATATCAAAACCAGACTTCTCTTGGCATTTGCATAGTACATCTTTCCGTACCCTTTTTATAAGCAACACATAGGTTTTCTTAATGTTTTTTGTCAATTCTGACAATCTTTATCTTTTAATGAGGCCATTTAGACCATTTGCATTTTAATATACTTGCTGATTTATTTAGGTTTATGCTCACCATATTAATAATGCTTGTGTTTTATTTGTCTTACTTATTTTATGTTGCTTTTTCTCTCTCCCTCTTGCTTTCTCTTTTATAAACCCAGGGGCTTAGATCAGGTTCCCTAGAAACAGCCTGATACAGTGATGTGGATGCACATGATTTATCAAAGGAGTGCTTTAAGAAGAAAGCGAAGGAAGCAGAATAAGGCAGGGAAAAGAGTTGAGCTAAGATGTGGTCCCAGGTGGAGGCTGGTTTTAGCTTTACCCCCTGGGGATCTCCAGAGCATAAATTGTACCATGAAGTCAGTCCAACATTTTGACAAGGTTGACAGCCATGTGTCAGTTATTCATTGTTGGGGTTGGGAGCATAACCTCCTAGGGAAGCTGGTTCCTCTTTGGCTAAGGGGATTTCTCCAGATAGGGGAAGCTGTGAGTCATTAGCAGCTAACAAAGCAGATGGGGTGCAGGTGTGCTGACCAAGTAACGGGCAATAGGGCAGGGCACTGTCTGTGTTCATTATATCCAGCAACTTTATTTAAAATTACATTCTTTTGTATTTACAAATTTTCTGATTATATGTCCTTTTACATTTAGTCCTTTTAATGATTACTGTAAAGATTGCAAGCTACTTCCTTGGCTTATTAGAGTTTAATACTGCTTTGTCCAATATGATAGCCGCTAGCCACATGTGGCTGTAGAGCACTTGTAATATGGCTGGTTTGGGTTGAGATTTGCTGTTAATATAATTTGAAAGATTTAGTACAAAAAAGTATGCAAAATATCTCATTAATAATTTTTATATTGATTATATGTTGAAATGATCATAATTTGGGTTAAATAATATATATCAAAATTGACTGTGTTTATTTCATTTTACTCTTTCTAATGTCACTACTGGAAAATTTAAAATGACATATGTGTCTTGCATTATATTTTAATGGGACAAAGCTGTTTAATATAAACTGATGTTTTTACTACTTCTCAACCAAAGCTAAAACCTTACAATTTCTTTTACTCTGTCTCATATTTTGCTATTGTTGCATGCATTTGTACTTATATATGTATTTTAAACTATGTACATGTCACTGTGTTTTCATGTGGTCAGTTATCATTTATATTTGCTGATATTTTTATTTACCTTTTTATTGGGTTCCATTCCTTTCTGTATTTTCTTATTCTTTCTGGGATTATTCTCTTCTGCCTGTAAGACTACCTTTAGTATTTGCTTTATTTTGTAACTACTGTTGATGAATTCCCTCAGTTTTTGTTTAACTGGAAATAGCTTCACTTATTTTTTTCTAATAAGATATAATATATTTTATTTGTTTTTACTTCCATGCATGTGGAAGAAGAAAGTGTCAATTAACCTCTTGTGCCTTGGTGAACTTAAAAACCTTTACACATTTTAGAAAATAATGATGCCAATTTAAATACCATTACCTGGACAACAAATTATTAAATAAGGCAATTCAGAATTACAAGCATTTTAGAGATTAAACGTTATATTTATGGGATAAACCATTTCTGAAATATTATGAAGTTGCTTTGCTCACATTAACCATTTTTTTTTTTTTTTGAGACAGGGTCTCACTCTGTTGCCAAGGCTGGAGTGCAGTGTTGTGATCACAGCTCACTGCAATCTCCACCTCCCGAGCTCAAGCAATCCTCCCACCTCAGACTCCCGAGTTGCCACCACGCCAGGCTAATGTTTGTATTTTTGTAGAAATGAGGTATCACCACATTGCCCAGGCTGGTCTCAAACTCCTGGGCTCAAGCGATCCGCCCACCTCAGCCTTCCAAAATGCTGGGATTATAGGCATGAGCGAAGGCACCTGGCCCATATTAACTTTTTCATGGACAACATATACATTATGATGCCAAAAAATTAGCTTTTTTTCTATAGTTTCAATGAAAAAGAATATTTCTTTCTTTCCTTTTTACCTTGCTAGTATTTCATCACCAACATTAGAAGAACCTACAGTTTCAAAGTTAAGTGCTATAATTTTATTAATTAGCACCAAGAAATATCAATGCTTATCTGAGGAATAAAAACTGGCAATAAGAAAAGAAAAACAGTATAGTATTATAACCAGAGAATATGAAGCATGTAATTAGATCAGAAATAGTACTTAATTAGGGCCAATGAAATATGGTGATAAGCCTGCTGTCATTGATTTGGGAAGTTTCTTCAGAGTATTCTTTATCTCCCCTTGAAATTGTCATTTCTGCATATGACTTTTGTAACTGCTCCGGATGCCTTGCTAAGCTGTTTCATTGTGAAGAGATGCAAATACCTGGGTCCTTGATTCCAAATGTTTTCTGACCAGTAAAGTGCTTATTAATCAACTGGTGAAATAAAAGGTGTCCTTGTTCTTTAAAGTCAACCTAAGAAATTCTTGTTACTAGCTCAAATATACAATGGAATGGCATTATAAGAAAATGGAGAGGGGGGGAAAACACAAAAAAAGAAAACCCAGTAAAACTATTAGCAAAGGAAATGCAATAACATGAATAAATGAGGCCCTGTTCTGACTTGAGCATGGGTTCAGTGTATACTGAGGCATTTTGTAATTTAAAGTAGGAATTAATAAAGTAAATAAAACTTGATATCCTGTTTTATAGCATTTGTTTTGGTAAGAAAAATTTTTGAGGGAATTTGTTCTGACAGTGTGTTGGAACAAAAAAAAACCTCACAACTTATGGCAATTCATTAATTAATTCAACATCCATGCAGCCTCTCTATATCTTAGACACCATAGTTCTTAGAAGATGAGTGAAGCATGGTTCCTGCATTCAGGGAGCTCCAGACCCACATTTAGGATCTGAATCAGAGTATCACGTCAGAATTTTCTCCTAACACAGAGAATTCACCTCTGAAAACCATACTGTTTGGTGGTTTTCTTGGATTAATGTCATCTTGTATTGTGAATTAATATGTAAGTTTGGCTCAGACATATTAGTCTGTTGAGAATGTGTAATTTTTGTTCTGGATAGAACTAAGGTGATGTTTTGATTTATTTTTAAAAAGAGTAGCTAACTTTTACTACTTGCAGTACTTGAATGAATAATTTGTTTTCTGGGCATTGAATCAGATTTTTTTTTCAGTTTTTATTGCTTGTATAGGATTACAAATTTGTTTTCAAAATGACACTATGAATTATTTTTCTTGTTAACACTTGCCAAAATTCCTACAGCAGCATATTGGCCAAAACACATTTCAATATTGATATGGTTTGGCTGTGTCCCCACCCAAATCTCATTTTGAATTGTAACTCCCATAATTCCCACATGTCATGGGAGTAACCCAGTGGGAGGTGATTGAATTATGGGGGCAGGTCTTTCCTGCACTGTTCTCATGATAATGAATGAGACTCATGAGATCTGATGGTTTTAAGAAACAGGAGTTTGCCTGCACAAGCTCTCTCTTTGCCTGCTGCCATCCATGTAAGACATGACTTGCTACTCCTTGCCTTCTGCCATGATTGTGGGGCTTCCCCAGCCACATGGAACTGTAAGTCCAATTAAACCTCTTTCTTTTGTAAATTGCCCAGTCTCAGGTATATCTTTATCAGCAGCGTGAAAATGGACTAATAAAACATTTGAAGAAGTAAAGTCAAAAGTTCCAGAGGACACTAAATGAATTAAGTGAGGTATGAAATAAATAAATAGTCAATATAAGCTAATTTTTGAGATACCTAAAGATTAGGATTTGGGGCTTCAAATAATAGTGTATCAATTATTTTCAGTGTTTCAGTTAGATTCATGTGTCAGAGACAGATGCATGAAAAGGACCTTATCTGAGCACATAAAACTAGTTTTAGAAATTTTGAATTCACTTCTTCTGCTGGGTCTCATCATGATGGCCTTTCTTGTTCTGGTCCTGAATCCCCAGAAAAATGTAACTGGGGAATATTCAGAAGAGAACACAATAGTACACTCTCCTATGTCCAGCAGCCCCTCTAGCTGATTGTCTGCCATAACTGAATTCCAAATGTTTTCTGACATAGCTGATACTTATTTTTTTCCCTATAGCAAAACTTCTCTGGGGGTTTATGTGCATACAGAGAATCTTAGAAAAATTGGGAAATGCATATACACACTAATATTTTTGTATAATTTCAGGGGCATGCAGTTATGAGCTCCTATTAGGTGGTTACAGCCCAGTTTCTGATACGGTGTATACAATTTATGACAACTAGGACTTAAAAATTAAGTAGATCATCTTTGCATTTGGTAAATATTAACTGAGGTCCTATATGCCCTGTTCCAGCAAGGAATGTCATGGTGAGGAAGACAAAATCTCTGCCCTAATGGGGCTTACATCCTAGTGAGGGACACAGACAGACTGACCACAAGCAAATAGAACAAGAGAATATACAATAGAATATCAAGTAAGTAAAATGCAGAAGCAACAAAGTAGAGTAAGAGAATAGGGAGTGCCAGGGCTTGCTATGAATGCATAGTCAAAATAAAACAAGTACAAAAGTAGGAGTTTCCTTAAGAATTTTTAAACTATGGTTTCTAAATTTTAGTATTTCTTTATAGCAATATAAAGAAGAAGTATTATAGCAATAATCTTAGGAAGATATAATTTAGAAATCATAACAAAACTTTTCATTAAAACTATTTCTATAGTTATATAAAATAAATGACATATAAATTAACACATTTTCTTTGGAAATTGATAAGTAAAAATTTTTGCTAAATTTTCTTCAGTAAAATTTTATGGAAAATGCAGTGAGCTCTTTCTGAGTTCTTTCTAGAAGCCTTGTTAGCTTGTTAGCTTGTTGTCCTTCTGTAGAGTTAGAGATCATTTAAAAGTTGGAAGAGACATGGTTTCTACAAATAGAACCAAATGGAAACTGTTGGGAGAAGAATATTATCTTCCCTCAGCCATTCTGAGAGCGGCAATGAAGTTAGGTTTTATTTAATGCAGATGTGCCATCACTAATTTTCCATCTGAAGATGTACTTGACAATGATCTTACATGCACAATCTTGCAACATTAGTGTATTTCACCCAGCTGACCACGGAATCCTTGTGTGGCCAGGGAGACCAGAGACCATGTTGCCTTTGGAAGTGAGAGAAACTCTGAGGAAATCCATGGTAAATCCTTCCATAGTAAACCTCTTCACTGTTCTTTGGCCACAGAAGAAGGATTTGCAACTACACTTGTCTGCGACTTGAGGAAGCAGAGTGTGCTCTCTTATTTCATAGTCTTTGAAATATTACAAAATTTTTCACTTTTTATGTCATGCCAACTAGAAAAAAGGGTTTTTGATGGGAAAACCACTGCCTAAGCCATTGCCAAAAGTGATGCAAATGAACCCTAAATGACTCTGCAGGGTGATTTAAATTTCTTACTGAAGTAAATGGCTATAGACTTTATCCTAGTCATTCTTTTACTAATTAATCCAAAGGAAAGGTTTTCTTTTTCAGTCACAGCTAGGAATATATTGCTTTGAAAACTTATGATGTGTTTTTTAGAATGTCTTCAGTGGTGACCAACTTTTGCCCTTTGAAAGAAAGAGTTTACTTTTTTTTTAAGAATAAAATAAAAAATTATTGGAAACTGGTTTTGGGAAAAAGAGTGAATGATCAAGTTGGGTATTTTTTTATTTTTTAGGTTTTGTTTTCTTTAGAGTCTCACTCTATGGCCCAGGCTGGAGTGCAGTGGTGCAGTCATGGCTCACTGCAGCCTCTATCTTCTGGGCTCAAGTGATCCTCCTATCTCAGCCTCCCAAGTAGCTGTGACTACAGACGCGTGCCACCACATTTGGCTAATTTTAAAAAATTTTTTGTAGAGACAGGTTCTTGCTATATTGCCCAGGCTGTTCTTAAACTCCTGAGCTCAAGCAATCTTCTGCCTTAGCCTTCCAAAGTGCTGGGATTAAAGGCATGAGCCACCGTGCCCAGCCAAGTTGAGTAATTTAAAAAAAAATGAAAACAAGAAAAGATTATAAAATAAAATGGATGACTTTATAGTGCAGCTGGTGTTTTGATTACCAGAGGAAGAGCCCTTGAAATATTTCAAACAATGCAAGCATTATTGGAATGGTCCCTGATGAAAATCTGTTAAAGATAACATTTAGTGGAGTGCAAACATTTTGATATATATCACAATAATACCTCAAGTAAAAAAGATGACATGGAGTAAGATAAATTTACCATGGTTGCACAGGAAAAAAATGTGAGAGTGGAGGCAGTATTCATGACCAAGGTGTTAGGAAAAGCATCATGCAGAGATGGCTCAGATTTTGATCTTAAAGAATGGGTAAGATTTAGATGTGTAGAAAAGAAACTATTTCATCCCATGGACAGAAACAGAAGGAGGGTAATGCAACATATATGTGTGAGATAGAAAGCAGATAAATTTGACTGAAGTAACGTTTTCATATAAAGAAGAAGTAAGCAATAGGGATCACTAAGAATATTGTGGTAAATTTAGATTTGGGTGCTTGGCTAGGGAGCTCTAATTTATATTATGATCAATGGCAAGTCACTGAAGGTTTTTGAGTACAGTGATGGTGTAGGGAAAAGACATTAGGAAAGTTGATCTGGTAGCAGAATGGATTAGAGAGAGGAGTGAACTGGAGAAAGGGAGGCTACGTGTAGATTCTAATGGTGGAAGAGATGTGAAATGAATCTGCCTTGTGATGGCCATCATGTACTGTTGGATGGGAAAACATGATGCAAATGCACATTTCTCATTCCCAAAATGTCAGAACATTCGGCTAAAAGAAAAGATACATGTTGGCATAATGCATCAAGAAATATGCAATATTTCTGTATTTTTTTCTATAATTTATTTATGCAATAGGAAAAAAAGTGGGAAAACATTAATTCTGCTATTAGGCAACCAGAGTAGAGATTCAAAAATATAAACATCTTAGTATGCTACAAATATTCTTTGTAAAAAGCATTAAAATTTTGTTGTATTTGATGATTATAATTATTTTACATATATAAAAAATATATAAATATAAATATATAATATATTTATATAAAAATATATAAATATATATATTATATATATATTTACCAGATACTAAAGATAGTTCCTTAACTATCTTTAACTAGTACTTATTACTAGTTGCAAGGCACCATGCTGAAAGTTGTGAAGGAGAAAAAGGGAATCATAAATAGAAATTACCTTTAGGGAGTTAACGATCTAGAAGTGGGAGTTGAACTACACCTGGATAAGAAGAATGCAAGGGCTAAAGTGCAAAGTTCCTTCTAGAGAAAAAATGCTAAATAGGTTGGAGAGATAATATTTAGCTCTTTAGGGAAGGCTTGCTGGAGAAATGGCACTTAAGCCTGGCCTGGAAAAATATATAAGATTGGCTATGAAGTCCTGGAAAGAGGAAGAATTTTGCTGTGCATTATTCTTTTTTGTTTAGACTGTTTTATGAAAGATGCAAAAATCCTGGAAATATTTTGGCAAATAAAAACACATCTTTCTCTTTTTTTAGCTTGCATAAATGTGCTATTATGTTTTATTACACTGGGAATGATGTTTTAATAAAGACAAAAATTTAGCAAATTTTAAATGCAGTTTGTACCATCAAAAGAAGGAATTGAGTCTTTAAAAATATTTTTTAATGAAATTATATGTCTCCTGAAGTAGTAACAAAGTATAGTGGTTAAAAGCATGAACTCTGGAGACTACTAGGTTCAAATCTTGGCTCAAAATTTTACCAGTTGTATGACTTTGGGTCAATGACAGAACTTTTTTTCTTGCCTCAGTTTCCTTACCTATTAAAAGGGGGTTAGAGAAGTGTTTATTGTTTTGAGATTAATACACACACACACACACACACACACACACACACACTCCACATACAAACGCACACACACATGTAAGGGGCTGGGATTTGATTTCACCTTACTTATAAGCTAAATAAGACCTTTACTATTTCATGGATGTTGGCAAATTAGACCCTTATTGTTTCATGGAAAGCTCCTGACAGAGACAAAGGACTTTGTTGTTGAAGGCACAGCAGGCAGCATGTGCATCAGGTTTGCATCAGTTCCCTTGTCCTCCAAGTTCTAGGGGGATGATTCAGAGGATCCAGATAGCTATTATGCACTTGGTAAATTAGTGTTGCAGTCAAGGGACCCTGAGTTGGGGAATCCACCTCTTTTACAGCAGGCAGTATGCAGGTCTGCTCTTTGTCTCAATGGGAGATATCACCTCATTCCCCAGGGTTACCTACTGCAAATACAACCCTGAGAATTGGTTTGGGTAAAGAGTGCTCAAAACCTTGAATTATTGATATATCTAGGGAGACTTATAATATTATGAGAGACCTATAAATTTAAAGTACTTAGAAACAATGTTGTGCACATTTTAAGTGCTCTCAGTGACACTATTATCATTACTGTTGACTAGTCTACATACTGTGTAATGCAGTGCTTTGAAAGAACAATTATCATGAAATAGTCACATCTAAACTTAATATAATGTTTGGGTATTGCAATATTTATCATATATTTAAGTGAAAAGAATTACAAAGAAATGTATTTTATGTAAATACATTTCTCAGATATATACTTGAACAAATCTGAAATCTTGTTTATAATCAGTAGCACATAACTGCTTTGGTTCCATTAGTCAATTTGACAGACGTTTAAACACTCTGTCAACATTTTATTAATTAAACCTAAGTATAACAATTAGCATGTAAAAAATGGTTCTAATTAATTATTTTTTAATTTTTTCCTTTTAAGACAGGTGCTCGCGCTGACATCCAGGCTAGAGTGTAGGGACATGATGATAGCTCACTGCAGCCTTGATTCTCCCACCTCAGCCTTCTGAGTAGCTGGGAACACAGGCACAGACAACCATACCTGGCTAATTTTTGTATTTTTTGTAGAGACGAGGTTTCACCATGTTGCCCAGGCTGGTCCAAACTCCTGAGCGCAAGCGATCATCCTGCCTTCACCTCCCAAAGTGCTGGGATTACAGGCATAAGCCACCATGCCTGGCTTCTAATTAACCTCATGATGGCTTTCTGTGAGATAGGTAGAGGCTGCTACCACCATTTATGCATGGCAAATTATGTCTTTTTTTTTTTCTTTTGATTACCATGTTGTTTAAGACTTCGGGTTTTTGGGATATTTCACCAATGGTTGTACCTATGTAAAAATGAAAAGTCATCAGAAAAAAGATTTTTTCTGAAGACAAAGGCATATTTCTGACAAATATTTGAAAAAGAAAAGTATTAGGGACCATTTAGGAAGGAGGAAGACAAAGAAAAAAATAGCAAAAGTAGATAATACAGTACTGATAGAGAAAAAGATTTTGAAATGTTGAGTGTTTTGGCCATTAAATCTCAGAAAGAACTAGCATTAGGGAGATTCCTGACAGAAAAGGCAACTCAAAATTAAGAGCTGTGACTAAGAAAACCTTTTTTTAATAAATTTGATTTTATTGTAGGGGATTTTGAGAGAAAAGGGAAAGACTGCACAAACTTTCATGAAAAATGATAATATGAGAAACAAATATAAATTCTGGTTAGGATTTCATCTCAGAAAAAAAGATTGAGGAATGGGCTGAGGGAATGAATACGGCAGATCAGAAGAGACTGTTTGACCACAGGTGTAACTTAAGCTGCCTCAGCTACATTTTGCCTCTGGTCTGCTCTGGGTTTCAGCTCTTTCCAGTAGTTAAATTCAAGTAGTTTCTATGTGGTCTGTACCACACATTTAAAACTGACTCATCATTAATAACACTCTTTGGAAGCCTTGTCCTGGAACTCCAAATTCCAAGAAATGTGCCCAGATTCAAAGTTTAAGTCTTAATGGCTGAGCTATGGGAGATACTGTCTGTGAATGTAATAGCAGCAGAGATTTTTTTTTTAAGAGAGCTGTGAATAAAGATTCCATTATGTAACTGAATAAAAACTGCTTTTTTTTTTTTTTTTTTTTTAGACGGAGTCTTGCTCTGTCGCCCAGGCTGGAGTGCAGTGGCGCAATCTTGGCTCACTGCAAGCTCCGCCTCCCGGGTTCACGCCATTCTCCTGCCTCAGCTTCCTGAGTAGCTGGGACTACAGGCACCCGCCACCACGCCCAGCTAATTTTTTGTACTTTTAGTAGAGACGGGGTTTCACCGTGGTCTCTATCTCCTGACCTCGTGATCCGCCTGCCTCGGCCTCCCAAAGTGCTGGGGATTACAGGCTTGAGCCACCGCGCCCGGCCCTTTTTTTTTTTTTTTTTATCAACTCTTAGAATGTATGATAAACTATAGAACTGTGTAACATGTCTACCAAATTTGAGTTTTAGTAGCATAGTAGGGTGACTATAGTTAACAACAATATATTGAATATTTCAAAATAGCTAAAAGAGAAGATTTTAAAATATTCCCAACACAAAGAAATGATGAACATTCCAGGTGATATCCTAAATACCCTGATTTGATCATTACACATTGTACTCATTTATCAAAGTATTGCATATACCCCCAAAAGATGTACAATTATTATGTACCAATAAAGATTTTTTAAGCAAAAATAAACAAGCAGAACGACAAGGACCTAAACAGACATTTCTCTTAAAAAGACATAAAAATGACCACTAGGTATATGAAAATGTACTCAACATCAGTAATCATCAGAGAAATGCAAATCAAAACCACAATGAGATAACGCCTCACACCTGTTAGAATGGTTATTATAAAAAAGACAATGGATAACAATTGTTGGCAAGGGTGTGGATAAATAGGAATCCTTGCACACTGTTGGTAGGACTGTAAATTAGTACGGACATTATGGAAAACAGTATGGAGGTTACTCAAAAAATTAGAAATAGAACTACCGAATGACCCAGTAATCCCCCTCTTCTGGGTATATACCCAAGGGAAATGAAATCAGCCCCCCACAGAGATATCTTCACTACCACCCTGCTCACTGCAATATTATTCACAATAGCCAAGACATGAAAGCAACCTAAGTGTCCATTGATGGCTGACTGGATAAAGAAAATGTGGTATAGACCAAACATTCTTAAAATTAAAATATATCATATATTTCACATACATAACATAATGGAATAATATAGTGTTATATAATATTATATATTTATAATAGCATCAATACTCTAATATATTATTATATTCTATTATAGAATAAAAATGATCTATATATTATATACATAAATATAATGGAATCTTATTTGGCCTTAAGAAAGAAGGAAATCCTGTCATTCGTGACAACATGAATGAACATGGAGGACATTATGCTAAGTGAAATTAGCCCCAGAAACAGAAGAAAATATACTGAGTGATCTCACTGATATCT
Organism: Homo sapiens; assembly: GCF_000001405.40. Taxonomy (NCBI): domain Eukaryota; kingdom Metazoa; phylum Chordata; class Mammalia; order Primates; family Hominidae; genus Homo; species Homo sapiens. The sequence goes on from NC_000003.12 coordinate 151,595,719, forward strand.
GGAATCTGAAAAAAAAAAAAAAGGTGAAGTACATAGAAACAGAGAATAGAAAGGTGGTTACTAGGGGAAGGAGAAGGAGAAGGAGGAGGAAATGGAAAGAAATAGATTAAAGGGTACAAAGTTGCAGTTACGTAGTGGAATGAATAAGTCTAGAGATCCAATGTACAACATGAGGAATACAGTTAATAATATTGTATTGTATTGTATATTAGAAATTTACTGAGAGTAGATTTTAGGTGCTCTTACCACACACACACACAAAAGAGGGTAGCTATTTGAGATGATGGGTGTGTTAATTTTCTTGACTGTTGTTACCATTTCACTATGTACAAATGTATTAAAAAATCACATATACCTTAAATATATGTAATTTTTGAAAAGACAAAAACCAAAAAGCCAAATGTGGTCATATGAATGGTTCAATGGGCTTTGCTGAGCCATGGGTGACAATTAGATTGCTACTGTCACTATTGTAAATTTTTAAAAACAGTAACATAAAGCAATAGACAAAACAATGTTTTCATGGGAGCAGGCATATCACTGAATGCCCATTTACTAGATGCCTAGGAGACCCTGTGTGAGATGCTTCCTATAAAGTTTGTTTATAATTAGATGCGTCAGACATAATGTATTTTTAAATGTTTATTTGCATGCTTGACAAAGGATAAACAAAACAAAAGGCAAAATGACAAACCAAAAATGCTTTCCATATAAGGAAGTCCATTCTAGTGAATTCAAAACAAAGATATTATGGTGTTTATGTGTGTGTGTGTGTGTGTATTGTGTATGTGTTTTCTATGCATGTTCTTATGCGCTTTGGCCTTGCTACAATTGCCTATGTGTATCTTGTGTATCTACATCTTCCCTGACACCAGCGTCTTAGAGACGCCTTCTTTCTATTCCCAATCCCTAAGGTATCTTGTAATGCACTCCTTCCTTAGGTCCCAGTTACCTAGACCAGCATTGAACAATGGGCCCAATTTATGCTGGTCAGGTTTTCTCTCCCTCACCAGAACTGAAATTAGGTCACTGAGAAATGGGCACTAAGATGATGGGTGAGCATGTAAACTAAATGGATGTTATTAGGTGTCATATTGAGCCAAAGCTATGATATGCTAGCCAAAGTCGTGGTGGGAGTTTGAAATCGCAAGCAAGGTTTGAGACCTCACAGAAAGGTAAATGGTATGGCGAGCTGCCACTAACTGAATGGTGGAGATGGGCCTTCCACACTCTGCCAGTAGTTCCTATGAGACTCCAGGCAAGTTGTGTAACTTCTCTGAGTTTCCGGGGTTTTTTTTTTTCAGTAAATAAATAGATTGAAGCTGGCAGTTTCCACAGTTCCTTTATGATGTTAATTCTATCCTCCAAACACACGATTGTCTCAGATATAAACTACTTCAGAATAGTGAAGTAGTACCAAATGAACCATTGACCTCACTCTACAAGTGTTCGACAGTATTTCAGAGCATGCATCTTTAGGCACTGTGTAGGTGTTGTGGACACAGTGAGGAAATGGACACAGATTCTACTTCACGGGTCTTATGAATAACACACATTGATTAAATAATCACCCAAATGTCTAATCATGAACTTTGGTTAGTGCTACGAAGGACAAATATAGAGAGCTAGAACAGCACTAAAAAGGGGCTTGGTTGCTCTGGGATGAGATCAGAGCCAGCTTTTCTGAGGAAGCCCAGAGAGCTGGAGGATAAGTAAATAAAGATGAGGAAGAAGAACATCCCTGGCATAAGGCCTGGTTTTGGCAAAAGCCATAGAATTACCTAACAGTCATCATCAAAAATACACTCACATAGAAACTTTAATGGTGTGCTCTTTTATTTTAGGTTGGCACATAGAAACCCATAAATGAAGGGAAATACCCTGGCATGCTCCAGTCCTAAAAACTACACAACACAGGCTGCTTGAGGTGGCCCACGCCTGTAATCCCAGCACTTTGGGAGGCTGAGGCGGGTGGATCACCTGAGGTCAGGAGTTCAAGACCAGCCTGGCCAATATGGTGAAACCTCGTCTCTACTAAAAGTACAAAAATTAGCCAGGTGTGGTGGCAGGCACCTGTAATCCCAGCTACTCAGGAGGCTGAGGCAGAAGAATCCCTTGAACCCGGGAGGCGGAGGTTGCAGTGAGCCGAGGTCGCACCACTGCCCTCCAGCCTGGGTGACAGGAGCAAGACTCTGTCTAAAAAAAAAAAAAACACAACAACAACCCTACACAACACAGAGTTGTTTAGTTTGTGGAGGCACAAATTGAAATATTTTGGTGGAAAATTCTTCCTGGAACCCATGGAGAGAGCAATAGCAATAACAGAAATGTTACCTGCACAAATGAGTACTGGTGTGTGTGTGTGTGTGTGTGTGTGTGTGTGTGTGTGTGTGAATACTTCAGTACTTGAAAAATATTCATTTTTTTGCTTCTTCCCCCCACCGCCATCCCCTATTCCTGCCCTGGGTTTGTAGTGGATTGTATACCAGTGTTGGGATACTTAAGCCAACTTTTCCTGCAAATATTGTATGTACATCTGTATGAGCAAATTCTCATCAAGAAGAGCTGGCCTTTGGGCAATGTTTGTGAGCAAGTTTTAGCCTTTAGCTATAATTGTGCTTCCAAAAGTCTAAGCATCTCAGACAAAAGAGAAAACTCTTGATTGTTTGAATATGATTGAAATATGGTAGTACTGAAATGTTTGCTTAATTATTTGACCCCCAAATGCAGTCATCTGTGAGTATCCATGGGGGATTGGTTCCAGAACCCTCTGAGGATACCAAAATCCATGGATACTCAAGGCTGTTATATAGAATGGTATAACATTTGCATATAATCTATGTACATCATCCCATGTACTTTAAATAACCTCTAGATAGTTTACAATACCTAATACAAGGTAAATGCTATGTAAATTGTTGTTACACAGTATTTAGGGAATAATGACAAGGGAAAAATATGTGTACATTCAGTATAGACACAACCATCTATTTTTTTTAAAATATTTTTGATCTTCAGTTGGTTGAATCCACGAATGTGGAACCCACAGATACGGAGTGCCAACTGTACAAGTTTGGGACATTGTTAATACCATAGGTATCTAGTGAGTGGGTGATGGGCTCATTTGTATTTAACATCAAAGCTGCCATTTAATTGAAAAAGTTTAGCTTAACAATAAGTGAGTTCCTACTGTGTTCCAGGCATATTCTAGGGGCCAGGGAAAGAGGAACTAGATACAAGAAAGGCAACAGACTTCCAATGGTAGTAAATATAATCAAATGTTATCCATTCAAGAATAGAAGTGCTGAGAGAAGTGGTGAAATGGTGATTCCATGTGGATAGGGTGTGTGGAGAAGCAGCCAGGCTTCTCAGAAGGGATGAGTGCTGAGCAGTTTGCTGGCTGGCTGGGAGCCGTCGAGTGGAAAAGGAAGGGAAGGGCTCCAGGAAAGGGCAGCAGCAGCTATAAGGGGGTAAAACAGCTTGTGGTGTGTCAAGAAGTTGTTCAGAGTTGTTAGAGCAAAAAGTGCCTGTGCGTCTGGGGTGGGCGGGGCTGAGGGTTGGAGAGGAGGGAAAGGAGGCTGAGGATAGGCCAGCACCACACTAGGAGGAACTGGCCTGCGGGTTAAGGAGCCTAGCTTTTATTCTCTAGTCTAAGCAATAAAAATTTTTTGCAGGAAACCTTAAGCAGGGGAGTGACTGGTAACATTAGAGCTTAGCAATATCTTTGAGGCAGAATGGATTTGGTTGTCAAGATAACAGAGGCAAGAAGGTGGGGAGGATACTGGTCTTGAAATCAGGGGTGGAAAATTACAGCCCATGGGCCACATTTGACTTTATTGCGTCTTTTTTGTGGACCCAGAAGATAAAAGCTTTTACAAATTTTCAATGGACTTAATGATAGGAAAATCGAACTTTAAACACTAATTAAGCAAAATATTCCTTCTGACAAAATAATTCTTCTTGTTAGTAGACATTTTTTTCTCAATTATTATTGCATTTTAAATTTTGTCAATTAAAGAATGTGGATATTTGTATTTTTTTTAAATATAAACACATAGATAATAAGTTTGATTTTGCCTCATGGCCCTCAAAGCCTAAAATAGTTACTACCTGACTCTTTACAGAATAAGCTGGCCCACCTCTGGTCTAAATGAAAGATGATTAGGACAGCATGGGAAAGTTGGAAACAGATCAAATAGAACCATCCAAGTATGAGTGGCTGTCCAAGGATATTAATGGGCTGGATATGTATTGATTGGTTTGGAGAATGCAGGAGTGTAATAAATGTGTTTTTGCTATGTGGACAAAGTAGTAAGTTGTCTGTATCATTTTCAGTTAATTGTAGTATCATGAAGTTGTAACTTAAGATCAATAACATTAATGCATTGTAAATGCATTTTTGTTTTCTATTTTTATCAGGTTTAAAGTTTTAAAGTTCATTCATATTGGCATTTTTTACTCATTTTCAGGTAGCTAAAACACAATTTCTTACTCTTTCATTTTAAAATGTTATTTTTAAGAAGATAAGTAATAGTGCAGATGGTTTGAAAAAAATCTCAACAGTATAAAAAGATACACAGTAAAAAGTGAATTTCCATTTCACTTTGGTCTCCTAGTCCTGCTTACCAATTCTCTCCAGAGGCAAATTATTTTGCCAGTTTCTTATACTTCATGTCTACACGTATTATTTTTGTAATTCACAAAGTAATGTACTCTGCAAACTATACTGTATATTCCCTTAGTCAATTAATATGATTTGCAGTTACTTTCATATCACTTTCTATAGCTTTTTCTTATTCTTATTAAAAGCTGTGGAGTAGTCCAATGCATGGCTGCTGCAAAAAATAACAGTATACCTACATTTTTATGCATTTGTTATAGGATTTCTTCAAGAAAAATTTCTAGAAGTAAAATTTCAGTGCAGGGCATTTGTGTATTTTAACTTTGAAAATATTGTCGAATTGACCTCCAAAATTTAAATCAATTTATAACATCACCAATTATGTATTATAGTGTATATTTTCTTACCTTTTTGTCAAAATGATATAATAGTCAACTTTCAAATCTTTGCAAGACTGATAGATGAAAAAATAAGGCATTTTCTTGTAGTCTTAATAAGTGCATTTCTCTTATTGCCTGAAGTTGGACATTGTTTCATATGTTTAAAGGTCATTTCCTTTTCTTTGAATTGTCTGTTCATGTTCTTGGCTCATTCTTCTTTTGGGTTAAGATTCTGTTTTAAAAATAAAACAATTCTTGAAAGTATTATGTCAAGGAAAGAAATCTTATTCAAGTCAAACTTTGTAGACAGGAAAAAAAAAAAAAGAAACAAACTGGTGTTGATCAAAGGTTTTGATGACTTTACCAGAAACAAGAATTTTCCCCACTTAGCTTCCTTTGATACCATATCCTGAGAGATTCACACAAGTCTATGTGATCTATAATTAATATTTTGGTGACACATCTTCCCTATTGAATAATCAATTACTGGCTCAAACTCTAAATTAAAAACTTTGGAAGTTCAGATCCAGGGTAGAGGGAAAAATAAAATAAAATCTCTTTTACACGACAGTGCTAGTCCGAAAATGATTAGAATAATAGCAAAAACAGAAAGAAAACTAGCAAATTTTAATTCATGCAGAACAATTGAAAATTATGCAAAAATATACATTTGAAACAAAAATGGAATTTGGAATTAAAAATAAAGTACACACGCACACACACATGCTTATTTGAGTAAATTTTAAAGTCAAGTCTCATACTGCCTTGGAAAAACACACTTAACAAATAAGAAACTCTTGCTTTGGCTCAAAGAACATGTTTTAAATGAGACATATGCTTGATGACTAGACTGCTTTACTTGGGGCCTGTGTTCTTTGCCTATGCATAAAGTTTCATGAGGTTTAAAACATAGGCTAAAATCCAAAGTAAAGTTCCTCAGAGGTGTGAGTCTGAGCTCAGCACCTTTGTGATTCTTTCTGTCAATAAGTTGTTGAAAAATTACAAAGATCTACACATGCACTTTGGTAAATACAACTGGTAATAGACACCCCAGGAACATGAGGGCATTAAACGAAATGAACTCTAAAATTCTGTGCTTATATGAGTAGGACCGTTAAGAGAAGCTCAATCCAAGCTCTGACATGTCTCCATGGGGCAGTTAGTGACAACCTTCAGAATCTTGTCTTTCCTGTATAGAAAAGGCTACCAAATGTCCTCACAAGTATGCTTTTTGGGAAATCTGAGATGTCAAACAGATGTCATCACTTAAGAAGCATTGCTATCAATCAAGTTAGCATCTTAAGATTTTTTTTTTTTGCTTTTATCAGTGTTATTTAACTAGCAGCTCTTAAAAGGAAAACAAAGCTGGAAGCAGCCTAGAGGAATATTTACTGTGATAGTCTCTGCTAAGGAAAGCCTTTGTTGTGGATTCAAGAATCTGAGACATAAAGGGATTCTAAGACTAGAACTGGTTATTTTGGTTTTCTTCATAATAGAGCATTCGATATCATTACATATGGAGAATTTATTGAATTGGATAATCCTTTATGCATTTAAAAATATATATATCTTTTCAGCTTTTAATAGTTTGTACTTTCATGCTCACGCAAAATTTGGCCTCAACCCACTATTTGATTTCCTGTGCTCAATCTTTATATTCTGAATCTAAGAAGCTAAACTTTTCCTTGGCAAATTATTATTCCAAGTGGCCCAATGCTACATGTGTGGCCTTCAAAACACTTTCTGGGTCAGCTTAGACAATAGTGACATGGTAATTTTTAAATTTTCAGTAAGAGATTGGTTTTGATTGGCTTATCACATTTGTAAAAATGGTTTATCATATTTACACTACAATTTCATTTTTTGATCTCCTTTCTCTCCTTTCCACCTCTCACCATCTACTTTGTCCCTCATCATCGGCTGATCAGCTGCCTGACCACTGAGACTCCTTAGCCCAAGGAGTTCCCTGCCACCCTCCTGCAGATGTCTTGCCCTCTCCATGCACCTTCATACTTCATTTTCCCATCTTTGCTCTTTTAAGTGGCCAGGAACCTTTCTGAACATTATTGGGACAAGATGACAAGATAACTGAAGGGAATAGGTTCATGATTATCCAGTTGAGAAGAGATTTTCTTAAAGGTGTTTATATTGTTTGGAGTTTTTCTTTTCGTATTTTCTGGAGTGACTAAACTGTTCTTAGGTGCTCAGGTAAAGCGGTTGAAGGACAAATCTTGTATCAAAGCAAAACTCACTTGTCTTGTTTTCTGTTGTTCTATTTTCTTCCCTGCAATTATTTCATATCTTTTTTAAAACAAAAATCAAATCTAGTCAATCCTGTGCTTTAAACCTTCCTCTGGTTCTTGCTCTTATTGTAAGAAAAAGCTTGAATTTGCTTAACAGGGCTTTCAGGTTGTCTGTGATCTGGTATTTCTCCTTACCATTTACTTACTCTTCTCACCAGTCCTAAGGAGGAGTGAAGGCCTTTCTGAAAACAGAAGGCCTCACTGTGGAACTCAGTTCTTTCTGTTCTGTAGGCCTGATCTTAAGCAAGTGACTCAACCTTTCTGTGCCTCAATGTTTTCATCTGCTCTTTGGAATAATAACCGAACCTATTCATGGGGTGGTTGTGAGGATTAGATGAGAAAACATATGAAAAGATCTTAGAACAAGTCTGACATACAAGAAGTGCTAAGAAAGTGTTTGCTGTTGTAAATTTTATTTCAGTTCTTCTAAGAGGCTAGCTCCTTTTCCTCCAGGTCTTTCTACCAGCTCTTCTTTCTTTCTAGAACTTTCTCCCTTTATCACCATTATCTGTATAATTTTAATACCTTCTTTGTATTAGGGATCTCAAGAGAAGCTGAACCAATCAGACGTATATATAGATAAACAGATCTATTATAAGAAATTGGCTCATACAATTATGGGGATAGGCAAGTTCCAAGATCTACAGTGTGAGTTGGCAAAGCTGTAGACCAAGGAGAGCTGATGGTTACTTTCAATCTAAGTCTGAAGGCCTGGGAGCCAGGAGAGCTCATGATGTGGTTCTCATTCAATGGCTGATAGGTTTGAGACCTAGAAAGAACTGATGTTTCAGTTCAAGCCTGATGGCAGGAAAGAAGCTGATGTCCCAGTTCAAAAACAGTCAGGCAGAAAAAATACTTTCCTCCTGGGGGATGGTCAGCCTTGCCTTTGTTCCGAGACTGTCCTTTTTTCCTGGCCTGCGAGCTCTCTGAGCACAAGGATGTGTTTATCTTATTTTCCACTGTATATTTAATATCTAGTACAGTGCCTGGCACATGATAGGCATTCAATAAATATTTGTTACATAATTAGTCAACTAATTGAAAATTATAAACCTTTTCCATTTCTGATAATGTAGATATTCAAAAATATCCAAAATACTATATAGAATACTTTAAAGTATAGTAAGTAAACTATCTAAACACAAAGATGATTCTAATTATATTTATGAGAACTATTTAATAGTAATCACAGATTCTGAGTCTGATACTAAATCTGTCTTGGTGATAAGCATCTGGCAGAATGTGCTGATGTTTATTGGCAGAAAGCATTATGCATTTTAAATTCAATCTAGTATTTATATCCTATGGTAAAATGAACATAAATAAGCTAATTTTAGTTTACCTTGGCAAATACGTGATTCATTCAATATATTTACATATGTAAATCAACTAGGAAGTTTAAGACAGTTTAAAAATAAGCATCATAATATAATCTTAAACTTGATAAGCCTTTCTACCTTCAGCAAGAATCCTTTCTTTAATAATTCTTGAAAGATTGTATTTGTATCATCTTTCCCCCAGTACATGTTGGGAGATATATTAGGATTATATATATATTTGTACCAATATAACACACACACACACACACACACACACACACACACATATATATATATAGTTTAAAAATATCTATATATATTTTTACTGTCCTCAAAACCTTCCAGCTGCCAAAGGCTTGTTTGGTAAGCTTTGATTTTATGCTCCTCTTGGCTTTAGACTTTAAAAATATGGACAATTCTTGTTATTTGCAGTAGTTATATTCTATAAAGTCACTGTGAGCATTTAATTAGTGAATACTGAACCAGCACTCCTAGCAGAAAAACAGGATCAGGTTCCTGCATGTCTTTGATTATAATATTTTTGTCATACAATCAATACATAACTTTGTTTTATGTGTGTTTCTGTTTGAAGACAACTTCTTGAATATACATTGTTGATTCATTAACATTAAACTCATGGCTAACAGTGTGGCAACTCATGCCTAATTCATCTAACACATGTATTTTCTCAATAAAACACATCATATCTTTCTGCACTTAGTAATACTAGACAGCATTCAGCCTACGCTTAGGGGCCATTTAAAAGGGCAAAATCACCAACAGAGAGTTTAAACAAGAAGGAAGAGTGTTACTTTATTTGACCTCAGTTGGGAATGTATGTGTCAAGCAACTCAAATTTTTTTCAGCTCATCACATGCATGTGAATGACCACAAAATCTCTGTATTGCTATGGTGGTTACAAATAAATTTAATGTGTAGGCAAATTTGCAAATATAGAATCTGTGGGGATCAATTGTACCCATATCTGTGGATGTTTCTTAAGGAGTTTTAGAAGGGATTTTTAATCAATATTACAAAGTTAGCCTTACAGTCAGCTGTTACAGCAAATAGTTTCCACACACTGTTATATATGATATATATATGCAGGTATGTCGGGCTTGTTAAAATTCCCCTTTACTGTGAAACTGAATTCTGCTTTTCTTCTTCAGTACTGGGGATAGGTGTAGACTATGGCTACGAAAATTCTAGTGCGATTAATTTAAACATTCTGATGAAAAAGCTATCACACATTATTCTAAATTTGATTTTCAAAAACTTAAGTCATTTTCCTTATTTTCTATTTTAAAGATGAAAAACACTAAGGGTTAGACAGGCTAGGTGACTTGATCAAGGCCATTCTTCTAGCGAAGACAATTCCAGGACAAAGCTAGGTTTTTCCATAGTCTATTCTATGCTCATTTTCTTCACCTTGCCACTCTGTGGACAGATAACCAGCTTATTCCAAGTCAAAGCAGTGGCCCCAATCTCAGTAGCTTTCTATTGTAGTGGTTTCCAAAGCTTAGACTATATCAGAATCAACTGGAGGGCTGTTTAAAATACAGATTTTTGGGCCTCACCCCCAGAGTTTCTGATTCTGTAGATCTCAGCTGGAGCTTCAGGACTTGTTTCTATAAGTTCCCAGGTGATAGTGATGCTGCTGGTCCAGAGACCACTATTGGGAATCACTATTCTATCTGAACCAATTTCACTGGGTGACATTTCCCAGTGAGGCTGGTGGAAGAAGAGAGGGTGGGCTCCTTATTCTGCTGTGTTGTCACTAAGTTCTGCCACCTGTCTAAACATGCACGTGCAAACGCTTTCTCTATGATTGCATATTTGATTCATTGAGCTTTGAGATATTTATTTAATTCCTTTAAATCACCTGAGAGTAATTTTAAAAATTAATGTTTCTGGAATGTAGCTTTCAATATGGGACTGGCCAGGAACTCCTAATTAATGAAGCTATTAATCTCATGATATAATATAGGTCAAAGACAAACCGGTAAGCTTTTCGTTATGCAAATTTCAGAAGTTTAATTGTCTTACTAAGTGAGGGTAAGATCATTGTTTAGGATTGTACATGACCCACTTCTGAGAATGTCTCTCCAGAACTCTCCCCAATGGTAACATAAGCCTGTACCCATATTTCTACAACATGACTTTGCTCCCTGCTCATTTTTGGGAGGAGAATGAGTGGACACCTGACCAAAGGGCTGATCAGGTCCCTGCTCCCAAAACTTTGAAATGGAGACAGAGGTATTTGTTGGATTCATTAGTTTCAGAAACTGACATTTATTTGCAGGAGCAGGGGTGCCAGTCATTTACCTTTAGGTGCAAGGTAAAGCTGAGAAAGTAGCATGGAGATAGACACACACACATACACACAGACGAACTGGGCCCCCAGTGCTTTTCCAATTGCTGGTTCCAATTCCTAATGCCTCCTGACTGGAGATCTGCAAGATACTACTGATACTTTTTAAGTTTCTCTCTGTGATTTTTTGCTAGGTTGAATGGGTTTTTCTTTTTGTACTCTAAAAGCACCTTGACTAAGACAGTTTGTTAAACACGTACTCTTACTGACTTTATAGCACCACTTTTCCACAGGGACAGTATTGTAATTGTCAATGGATGGAGAATTTGTAGTGCCATCTCTTCTGGGAACTAGTTTACTGGACCTCAGGCACACTACTTCCCTGTCTCAAATCTCTCATCTCTAAATAGAGGAGAGTTGGATTAGATTATTTGTGAAGAGCCCTTTCAACTCTAATATTCTTGAGCTTAAAGAGAACAAAGTTAATGGAGTTTGTCTGTTCTTGGGGTGGAATCGTAAATGAAAGCTTTATAATCTTAGAGGCTGAGTATTGGCAGAGGCAGCAGTAATCAAGTGAGGGATACTAAGGAGAGACTGAATTAAGGAAAGAGTCAAGGCTACTTGAACATTATCCCTAAAAATAGGGAAAACTTCTGGATAATTCCAAATTTATTCTTTGCTAAACCTCTGTGCATTTTAGCACGAGGTACATATTAGAATCACCTGGGGATAAAAAAAGTATAAAATTTTAAAAAAAAACCACTAATAACAACTAGTGCCCTGTCCACACCTTGGGCGTTTAAATGATAAATTCTAGGGGCTGAAGAAGGGCAGACATAGGTAGATTATAAAACTCTCCAGGGGATTACAATTTTAGGTAAAATTGGGAATCACTATTTGTGTTTGTTTTAAAAAGTATGTAATTAACTTTAAAAGCTCACAGCTTAATAAAAGCATGATTAAGAAGTGGGAACATGGGCCAGGCGCGGTGGCTCATGCCTGTAATCCCAGCACTTTGGGAGGCTGAGGCGGGCGGATCACGAGGTCAGGAGATAGAGACCATCCTGGCTAATACGGTGAAACCCCGTCTCTACTAAAAATACAAAAAATTAGCCGGGTGTGGTGGCAGGCGCCTGTAGTCCCAGCTACTCAGGAGGCTGAGGCAGGAGAATGGAGTGAACCTGGGAGGCAGATCTTGCAGTGAGCTGAGATTGCGCCACTGCACTCCAGCCTGGGCGACAGAGTGAGACTCCATCTCGGAAAAAAAAAAAAAAAAAAAAAAAAAGAAATGGGAACATGCTAGTAAAAGTAGAGTTCCTATAGACATAAAAAAGAAAACTTAAAACATAAAAAAGAGAAAAAAGTTGAGAACTATAAATGTCCTGTGGTCTGAAGACTTTTATAATAGTGGTCTATGTTTTAAAATTTCTTAAAAATACCAGGGTAATATAAGATAATGAAATATTTGACTCTCAAAAATCCTGGAGTTACCAAGATAATGTGAAATATGCTTTAGCATATCCTTTTGAAGAATGTAAGTAAATTAGCATATCTGTAAAAAGGTTTCTATTAAAAATGGTTTGAATAAAAAAGAGAAAGCCTCTGTGTCTAAGGTAAGGCTTCTCTATGCTAAAATTCAGTAATGAAATAGTCTTAATCTCAATGTGTCAGCAAAGCGGTTTGCATGGAGCTGAGCATGGTTTTGCATGGAACTGAGTTTGCATAAAACTGAGATAATGTAGGACATCTTAAGGACTCACAAAAAAGGACTCAATTTTAGCCTTTGGACGTTCAGGTTTCATTGGAAGAGACCAATGACCTAAGAGCAAATGTTGTTGTCCATAGTTTATGCTTTTCTTCATTCTCATGATTCAGCTTCTCTCTGGTTTCTTCATATCTTTCCACCACTTACTCTCTTTCACTTTTGGTATCCCCTTTACTTAATAGATTCTCCATATTGTTTCTCGGATGCTTAACACTTCTTTGTTTGTTTGTCTATTGACCTAAAGGTCCTTCAGTCCTTCTTTTATTGACCTACTATATTTTGGACATTAGGGGCACAGCAGTGAATAAGGAGAATATTTCCCTTCTCTCATATAATTGACATTTTTGTCAAAGAAAAAGACAATATGAAAATGATAAGTAAATAAGGTGATTATAGAATATGATACACACTAAGGGACACTAAAAGGTGGATATAATGGAGAAAGAAAATGGTGAGTTTCTTTAGATCACTGATTCAAAATTTGGCTGCAATTACAACCACCTGTAGAGGGTTTTGTTTTGTTCTGATTTAATACTGATGCCAGAGTCCTAGTCTGAATTACTTCTCAGGGTTGGGAAGTAATCAAGTCAGCTGAAGTTTTTATTAGCTTCCTAGGACATTCTGATAAACAGTGAAGACTGAGAACGACTGCTTTAGAGGAAAACCTCTTGAAGAAGATATTTGAGCTGAGTTCTGAAGGTAAAATAAGCCAGCCATGTAATACATGGGGGAAAGGGGAGGAGATGTTTCCAGAGATAGGAAACAGCAATAGCAAAGGACCTGAGGTGGAAGAGAATTTGACATGCATGAGGAACAGGAAGGAGGTCAGCATATCTGGGGCACAATGAGTGAGGTTGGAGAATGGAGATGCAAAGAGGCAGGCAGAAAGTAGCTTATGCTAGAGTTGGAATTTTAGTTTATAAGGAATGAGAAATCATTGAAGAATTTTAATCAGGTAAGTTACCCGATCTTCTGTACTTTTAAAAAGAACACTCTGAGAAGCCGGATGGTTCCCTTTGTAAGTGATCTGACCTTTTTCTCTAGCTGCCTTTTGACTTAGCATTCCCATTACTCAGTATATACCCAAAGGAAAGCCAATTGTTCCACAAAAAAAAAACACATGCACTCATATGCTCAGCACAGCACTATTCACAATAGCAAAGAAATCAATCTAGATGCCTATCAACAGTGTACGGATAAAGAAAATGTGGTACATATACACCATTAAATACTGTGCGGCAATAAAGAGACTGAAATCATGTTCTTTGCAGCAACATGAATGCAGCTGGAGGCAATTACCCTAAGTGAATTAATGCAGAAACAGAAAACCAAATACCACATGTTCTCACTTATAAGTGGGAGCAAAACATTGGATATACATGTACACAAAGATGGAAACAGTAGATGCTGGGGACTGCTGGTGGGGAGAGAGAGAGGGAGCAGGAGCTGATAACTGTCTATTGGGTACTATGCTCATTACCTGGGTAATGGAATCAATCATATCCCAAAACTCAGCATCATGCAGTACACCCATGTAACAAATCTCTACATGTACCCCCTTGAATCTAAAATAAAAATTGAAATGACTTTAAAAAATCTTTTAAAATAAAAGAACACTCTGGCTGCTATAAGGAAAGTGGATTTTGACAGGGCAACAGTGGTGATGGAGAGACTGGGTAAGTAGGCTATGGTCTCAGTCCAATAGAGAGATGATGGTAGTTTGGATAGGATGGTGGCAGTTGGGTGGAAGGAGAGCATTGGTAAAGGAAATATTGTGAAAGAGGAACTGATAGGACTTGCTACATATCTGATATCTAACTTCCTAAGAAAGAGAATCAGAGTAGTGAATCTGTCATTCAAATATTGATAGAACATTTCCTATTCCCAATACAGAGCATGATGCCATCTTATAGGCCACCGGTTTTCCTTGTGTCTAGTCAATAAATGAGTACTCTAGGATCTGGAGCTCAAATGAGTCATGGATCAAGCTGTAGCTCACATGGGACAAAGCAAATTAATTGATACAAAATGAAAAACTTTATATGGAGGCAGTTTATAGGTGTGATAGCTAGTCAGACTTTCTTAGATTCTTTTTTAATGATCATTTTTGTAATAACAATTGTTTTATTAAATGACAGAACTCAGATGAAGGTGTGTGCAAATAAGTTTTAATTACATTCAGATAAAACATGCATATTTCTAAGGAGGCCAAGTGTCTTTGTCCATTTCCTGCTGATGCAATGAAATGCTACAGACTGGGTAATTTATAAATAGTAGAAATTTATTTGGCATATGGTTCTGGAGGCTGGGAAGTTCAAAAGCATGGCACCAGCATCTGCTGAGGGTCAGTCTATGGCAGAAGGCATTACATGGAGAGTGAGCATGTGAGACACAGAGAAAATGGGAGCAAACTTATCCTTGTATAGGACCCACTCCTGAGATAACTAATCTACTCTCTAGATAATGGCATTAATAATAATCACCTCATAAAGGTCCCACCACTTAATACCATCACAAGGACAATTAAACTTCAGCATGCATTTTAGAGGATACATTCAAACCATAGCACCAAGGTTTAGTTGACTGGGTATATGTTTGACAGGCCTTAGGCTGTCCAGCTAATCTATAACTTTGTAAAGTGCACATAGTAGGTTGGTTCAAAAGGAAGAAGAAAATATTAAATGATTGTTGTTGGATTGTTATAAATCAAGTTGGGAAGAAACAACTGAGAATACACATTTTCTAATTTAGCTTGTCATATGCAAAAATTCACATATGTTCAAAGAAACCTTACAAATGATAATATCCCACCTTATAAATGATATCCCTATAAAATAACACCTGGAAAACATATTTTAATGTTTTCACTGAAAACTCACCAAATGTTTATTTTCAGTTTCCAAATCTTAAAGTACTAATCTATGGCCATTTATTATTTGTACAATTTGAATGTGAAGGCCAGCTACTTTTGCCTGAGGCCACATGGGCAGTGCATACAGTTGTGAGTGTGCAGAGATTCAGTATCTTGATTCATTGACCTATGAAGTAAGAAATCCTTGATTTTCTTTCTGTAAGTAGAGGCAAAGGGGAGAAAGAGAAAACACGAGAGCCAGAACAAAAATAATGTCTTTCGGAATTTCTTTTTCCCCATGGATTTCTAAATTCTCTGAAATGGATATCTTCCATGTGTTCTTAAAAAAGGATTTTTGTTAGCCAGAGAAACTTTCCATCAGCTTTCTTGCTTGCCAGCATTATTAAGACCTCCTGACATGATGTGTGTTAGCCCAATAAAAACAAACTCTACTTCTAAAAGTTTAGCTGTATGTAGAAAAGCAGCTTAAATCATATATTTATTTTGCTGCTTGTATTTTAACCTGACTTCTTTCCTTCCGTTTTCAAGAATTATTAAGATTTATTACTTGGAAACTATACTAAGCACTGAACTAAAAAAGAAATATTAACAAGTTGACCAAGAACTATGTACGAATTTCCTTCTAGGTTGAGCCACTGACTCACCTTCAGTCTTAAGTCATTTTGCCAATAAATAGGAAAATCAATTACATGTGGAAAGTTGTAGAGCTCAGATAATTTGACCAGCAATAGAGAAGCCAACAAAATGGATAATAGGACTATTTCCTTTCTCTTTGGTCTTCCCCTTTCCCTGTCCCCAAATGAATGTTTCAAGTTTCTTTTGTGGCAGTATCCATCTTGCAGTTTCTTTTCTTTTGCTCTTGCATGTGGCATTGCACTTCGTGTCAAGTTCTCATAGCATTTCCTTCTTCTCCTTCCCAAACTTGCTGAAATCTCAGTACACCAAGAAAACTCTTGAAAATGAATTGAAAAACATTTCCTGTCTTATTCAAGCCCCTTGGATGTGGTTCACACAGAGTGTGAATAAGATGATTTCATAGTACAATCCTAGGCTGTTCTAATCATAAAGGACGTCTCATTGTGTGACACACACATACCACAGAACCAGTAATTTCAGCATCATGGAAAATACTTTTACAGGTGGTGATTAGCCTCCAAGTTTTCTTTAATAGCAAAAGGTCAGAATGGCCTGTATAATTGTTTCCCTTCAAAGAAGTCAGAGGGATAGAGCAATAAGAGTATAGAAGTAGAAAAGAAGATGCTCTCCACTCCCTAAAGAACCCATTCCCAGGTAATAGATATCTGCAGCCAACTTATAGCTGATAATTCAATTAAAAGAGAGTGATTTCCTTATATGATACGAACAAAGGTAAAACAATTAGCGATATGGGCATACAGACTGTAATAAGTTTATATTTAAATTTGGACTTTAAGCTATCAGATAAAGACCAAAAATTCTCAATGAGTGTTGAAGACCTGGCATCAAGACATAGAAATTTGTAGGCAAAGGACAGATACTTTTGAAAAGAAGACACACACTCTGCCAACAAGCATATGAAAAAAAGCTCAACACAACTGATCATTAGAGAAATGCAAATCAAAACAACAGTCAGATACTATCATCTGCTTTTATACTGTTGGTAGAAGTGTAAATTAGTTCAACTTTTGTGTAAAGCTGTGTGGCAATTCTTCAAATAGCTAAGTCTCAGGATACAAAATCAATGTACAAAAATCACAAGTATTCTTATACACCAATAACAGACAAACAGAGAGCCAAATCATGAGTGAACTCCCATTCATAATTGCTTCAAAGAGAATAAAATACCTAAGAATCCAACTTACAAGGGATGTGAAGGACCTCTTCAAGGAGAACTATAAACCACTGCTCAATGAACAAATGGAAGAACATTCCATGCTCATGGGTAGGAAGAATCAATATCGTGAAAATGGCCATACTGCCAAAGGTAATTTATAGATTCAATGCCATCCCCATCAAGCTACCAATGACTTTCTTCACAGAATTGGAAAAAACTACTTTAAAGTTCATATGGAACCAAAAAAAGAGCCCGCATCGCCAAGTCAATCCTAAGCCAAAAGAACAAAGCTGGAGGCATCACGCTACCTGACTTCAAACTATACTACAAGGCTACAGTAACCAAAACAGCATGGTACTGGTACCAAAACAGAGATATAGACCAATGGAACAGAACAGAGCCCTGAGAAATAATGACACATATCTACAACTATCTGATCTTTGACAAACCTGACAAAAACAAGCAATGGGGAAAGGATTCCCTATTTAATAAATGGTGCTGGGAAAACTGGCTAGCCATATGTAGAAAGCTGAAACTGGATCCCTTCCTTACACCTTATACAAAAATTAATTCAAGATGGATTAAAGACTTAAGTGTTAGACCTACAACCATAAAAACCCTAGAAGAAAACTTAGGCAATACCATTCAGGACATAGGCATGGGCAAGGACTTCATGTCTAAAACACCAAAAGCAATGGCAACAAAAGCCAAAATTGACAAATGGGATCTAATTAAACTAAAGAGCTTCTGCACAGCAAAAGAAACTACCATCAGAATGAACAGGCAACCTACAGAATGGGAGAAAATTTTTGCAACCTACTCATCTGACAAAGGGCTAATATCCAGAATCTACAATGAACTCAAACAAATTTACAAGAAAAAACAACCCCATCAAAAAGTGGGCAAAGGATATGAATAGACACTTCTCAAAAGAAGACATTTATGCAGGCAAAAAACACATGAAAAAATGCTCATCATCACTGGCCATCAGATAAATGCAAATCAAAACCACAATGAGATACCATCTCACACCAGTTAGAATGGCGATCACTAAAAAGTCAGGAAACAACAGGTGCTGGAGGGGATGTGGAGAAATAGGAACACTTTTACACTGTTGGTGGGACTGTAACCTAGTTCAATCACTGTGGAAGTCAGTGTGGCGATTCCTCAGGGATCTAGAACTAGAAATACCATTTGACCCAGCCATCCCATTACTGGGTATATACCCAAAGGACTATAAATCATGCTGCTATAAAGACACATGCACACGTATGTTTATAGCGGCACTATTCACACTAGCAAAGACTTGGAACCAACCTAAATGTCCAACAACGATAGACTGGATTAAGAAAATGTGGCACATATATACCATGGGATACTATGCAGCCATAAAATATGATGAGTTCATGTCCTTTGTAGGGACATGGATGAAACTGGAAACCATCATTCTCAGCAAACTATCGCAAGGACAAAAAACCAAACACCGCATGCTGTCACTCATAGGTGGGAATTGAACAATGAGAACACATGGACACAGGAAGGGGAACATCACACACCGGGGACTGTTGTGGGGTGGGGAGAGGGGGGAGGGATAGCATTAGGCGACATACCTAATGCTAAATGACAAGTTAATGGGTGCAGCACACCAACATGGCACATGTATATATATGTAACAAACCTGCACGTTGTGCACATGTACCCTAAAACTTAAAGTGTAATAATAATAAAATAAAAAAATAAGAAAAGGTAAAGTGAAGTATAGGAATTGGAAGTGAGGTAACAGAAACAGTAAAAAAAAAAAAAAAGAAGCCTGTAATGTAATAATTATGGTGATATCAATGAAAATTGAAACTTTTACTAAAAGCAATGACAGCTATTCTTGTAATGATAGATGACTTTGGAAAGCCTATGAACTTCTAAAATATGTTTAAAAGCATTTGCTAAGGTCAGAAAAATTTTAATGCCACATTTTTTGGTAAGTTTTGTTTACATATTTACATTTGAAAAAATATGCATGAAACCTCTATTTTGGGTCAGACAATGTTCTACCCTCTAATGTTACATTTGATTAAAATGCATATGTTAACTGAAAGCTACTTCATTTATAAGATTGAATGTCAAGGTTTTTTTGTGAGTTATAGCTATGAAAAGTAATTTACCCAAAATGATGGTGTGTTTTTTCACCTTTAATGTCTATATCACTATTTTTAATTTATAATTTTCTTAAACAATTTTTATATTTATTTCACCATATAAATACAGACTTAATTTTCATTTTAAATTTCTCTTATTACATATTAAAAGCTAGTACCTAAAAAGAACTACTTTTCTCCTATATTGTTCCATGTATGCTGTGTCTTAATTACTTTACTCTTCTTTTACTTAAAATAAATTAGAGAACTCTGAATATGTGAAGAAATTTGCAGTAATGGGAAATAAGACATTCAAATTATGCTGGGCATATGAAATAAGCTTAATGAGAACCTAACAGTGCGGAAGTAGGAAAAATTTTAAGTACGCTCTTTATGGATCAAATAAACTACAAAGGGAAGGAAATATGAAGCGCTGAAAGGAAACTATAAAAAGCAAGGGCAGATAAAAATTATGAGCTTTAAGGGAGTGATTAAATAGAGCTTTAAGGGAGTGATTAAAATAGCATACAAAGGTCGAGAAGAATCCTTTTTAGGATAAAGATAGAAAAATATTAACAGTAATTCTTAAAATGGCAAAATATTCAGTTAAGCATTTAACTATCAACTGTGACAACTTGGAGTTATGTTAATTTATAGGGATTCGTTTATTTATCCACTTACCAAATATTTATTTTGTTTTTGTTTGTTTGGTTGGTTTTGTTTTTTGAGGTTTTTTTTTTTTTTTTTGAGATTAAGTTTCACTCTTGTTGCCCAGGCTGGAGTGCAATGGCGTGATCTCGGCTCACCACAACCTCCGCCTCCTGGGTTCAAGTGATTCTCCTGCCTCAGCCTCCCAAGTAGCTGGGATTACAGGCATGCGCCACCACACCCAGCTAATTTTGTATTTTTAGTAGAGACAGGGTTTCTCCATGTTGGTCAGGCTGGTCTCGAACTCCCGACCTCAGGAAGTGATCCTCCCGCCTCAGCCTCCCAAAGGCCTGGGATTACAGGCATGAGCCACCGTGCCTGGCACTAAATATTTATTTTGTTATTACTCTTTTATTTTCTATTTTGTTTCATTCATCCAACATATATTTCAGTCTTCAAAAATAATGCCAATTAAGTGTAACTTAATGTATAGAATTAACTAAAATCTAACATATAAAAACATAGAATGGTGTTATTATATCCTTTTCTTTTTTATGGACATTCATTAAGTAAAAACATCTCTTAAAGGAGAGAGTGGTTTTGTATCTTGGAGAATTCTTTCATAGAAAACACACACTTCCAAAATAAATACTTAGGCCCCTTTAAAGGATATTTTAAACATAGAAAAGGCAGAATATCAATGCAAAAGACTAATATATTTGGGCACATAAAAGTTAAACAAAAACCTTTTCTACATTAAAATATTTAAATTCATTATTGACAAGCTGAGTAAAAATGCTTTCCACAAATAAGTTAACTGATTGATTAATATTCTAATTTATAAAGAGCATCTATCCATTCATGCATCTATGTATCATCTATAGAAACCTCTACGAAATGCGTCTTATTCTGTTTTCTGTTGCTATAACTGAATATCTGAGACTGGGTAAGTTATAAAGAAAAAAAATATTTTTTACAATTCTGGAGACTGGGAAGTTCAAGGTTGAGGGGTGGCATCTGGTAAGGGCCTTTTTACAGGTAAGGACCCTCTGTAGAGTTTCAGGGTGGCACAGGACATCACATAGTGAGAAGGCAAGGCTGCCTGAAGCCTTTAGGGCCCAATGCCTGCACTGGTGAGCCCAGGATGCTGGAAATGGAGTCAAAGGAGATTATTCTCCAGCTGTAAGATTTAAAGTAGTTTTCCCTGTTGGGGTTTAGACTTACTTGGGACTTGATACTACTTTCTTCTTCTCCTCTTCTTCTTCTCCCCCTCCCCCTCCCCTCTCTTCCTCCTCCTCTGCCTCCTCCTCCTTCTTTCCTCCTCCTCCTCCTCTTCTTCCCCCTCTTCTTCTTCTTCCTCCTCCTCTTCTTCTCCTTCTCTTCTTCTTCTTCTTCTTCTTCTTCTTCTTCTTCTTCTTCTTCTTCTTCTTCTTCTTCCCCTCCTCCTCCTCCCCCTCCTCCTCCTCCTCCTCCTCCTTCTCCTTCTTCTCCCTTTTCTTCTCTTTCTTCATCTTCTTTTTTTTTTGTTGGGGGGATGGCTATTTCTCCCTGAAGGAATGGGAATGCTTGTTCTATTCCTGTCTCACAATTGTATTTTTGGAAGTAGATAACTTGTTTAATTTCAAAGGTTCATAACCGAAGGAGAATTTACTTCAAGATGAATTGTCACTTGAGTATCACCCATATCTGATGCAGATGAAACTCTGGACTTTGAACTTTTGAGTTGGTGCTGAAGTGAATTAAGACTTTGGGGATGTGAGGGTAGAATGAATCTACTTGTATGGGAGAAGAATATGAGTTTTGGGGGGCCAGGAGCAAAGTGTTATAGTGTGAATATTTGTCTCCTTTGAAACTTATGTTGAAACTTAATCCCCAGTGTAACAGTATTAAGAGGTGGGCCTTTTAAAAGTGATTGGGTCATGAGGGTTCTGCCCTCATGAATGGATAAATAGGTTAATGAATTAATAGGTTATCATGGGAGAGGGTTAGTTATCACAAGAGTGATTATGTTATAAAAGCCAGATTAGCATGCTCTAGCCCCCTCATCATGAAGCATCCTGCATCGAATAAATGGTCAAGAACAAGTATAAACAATTCAGAAAATAAATAGACATGTCTGTTATAGACTGAATGTTCATGTTCCCTCACATTCAAAGATTTAAACCTAATCCCCAGTGTGATGAGGAGGTGGGGCCTTTGGGAGTTAATTAGGTTAACTAGGTAATGAAACCCTTATTAATGGGATCAGTGACCTTGTAAGAAGAGACACAAGAGAGATGATCTCTCTCTCTCACTGTGGGAGGATACAGCAAGATGTTGGCCATCAGCAAACCAGGAAGAGAGTCGTCACCAGTAACTGAAGCGCTGGCACCTTGCTCTTGGACATCTGTCTCCAGAATGTTAGGAAATACATTTCTATTGTTTTAACCACCCAGTCTATGTTATATTTGTTACAGCCACCCAAACTGATTAAGATGCTAAAATGTTTTAAAATTTCTTTGAAACAACTTTCCCATGAAACTATTTAGTAATGGACATAAAGAAGTTTTAAAATGTCTATACTGTTTGCCGGGCGCGGTGGCTCACGCCTGTAATCCCAACACTTTGGGAGGCCGAGGCGGGTGGATCATGAGGTCAGGAGATCAAGACCATCCTGGCTAACACAGTGAAACCCCGTCTCTACTAAAAATACAAAAAATTAGCCGGGCGTGGTGGTGGGTGCCTGTAGTCCCAGCTACTCAGGAGGCTGAGGCAGGAGAATGGCGTGAACCCAGGAGGCGGAGCTTACAGTGAATCGAGATCACACCACTGCACTCCAGCCCGGGCAACAGAGTGAGACTCCATCTCAAAAAAAAATAAAAAATAAAAAATAAATAAATAAAAAATTAAAAAATTAAAAATAAAAATAAAATAAATAAAAAATAAAAATAAAAATGTTTATACTGTTTTACTATGTATGCCAGGAGGCAAGTACAAGAGCAGGCTTTTTTTCATATATTTTGTAAATAAATAAACAGAGATGTGAAGTTTTCCGAACTTTCAGCTATCACTGAAAGTCTCATACAAAGAAATACAAATATTTATGTACAAAGACCCTATCACGGTGTTTTCAATAGTAAGAAACTATAAATAATCTAAATCTCTAATGAAAATTAATAAATAGAATAGTTACATAAAATGAAGTAAATATGTAAATAAAATATAATGTAAATACTAAAAATAAAGATTTTAAATTTTTTATAGAAAATACCAAACATACAAAAGTATGGAGAATAAACATATAAAGATCTCACATGTAGTCATCATTCAGCTTGAACAGATATCAACTAAACACTAGCTTATTTTTATTATTCGCTTATCCATTGGCCTCCCCCTGCTTCCACCTTGATTATTTTGAAGGAAATCTCAAGCATCGTATTACTTCACCATAAATATGAATGTAAAGTTTTTGAAGTATTTATGATAAAAGCAGAACATTTTTTATAATATAACAAGAGAAAAAGCAAATTATAAAATGGCATATGAAATAGTATTTCAATTACTTTTAATGTGTGTGTGTGTGTGTGTGTGTGTGTGTGTGTGTGTGTGTGTATGTAGTGGAAAAACAAATTTGTGGTAATAGACCAAAATTTTAAGATGGATTTATCAGACAGTTGAGAATTTATATTTGTTTGTATTTTTTCCAGTTTTTAATAATGAATATGCATTTTATGATTAACCCCAAATATTACTATAAAAATAAGTGGGTATGTAAATTTGATATGGTTTAAATGTATCCTGGAAAAGCTTATTTGTTAGAGGCTTGATCCCCACTGCGGCAGGGTTGAGAGGTGGAATATTTGGGAGGTGATTGGGTTATTGGGACTCTGCCCTCATGAATTTATTCATCCATTCATGGATTACTATATTAATGGGTTGATAGGTTAATGGGTTAATAGGTTAATGGGTTATAACAGGAGTGGGTGAGTTATGAGAGTGAGTCTGTTGTATAGTCAGTTTGGCTGTCTCTCTAAGTTCCCTCACCATGGGATGCATTGTGCCATCTCAGGACTCTCCAGAGAGTCGCCACTGGCAGAAGATTCTCCAGAGACAGTCATGTGACATTGGAACTCTCAGCCTCCAGAACTGTAAGAAATAAATTTCTTTTCTTTATAAATTATCCAATCTCTGGCATTCAGTTATAGCAGCAGCAAACAAGCTAAGACAAAATTATACTTTAATAAAACTGTTAAAAATAAAATAAGTGGTTATCTTTTAGGTAATGCCATTCAATGAAGTTATAAATATGAGGAAATATTGTTAAAAGAGGAAGTGAGTTAAAAAATGTATAACTTTAGCTGTCATTTAAAAAGTGAATAAAAAATACTTTGTGTTTTTATAAATTAGCTCATGCTTCCTCCTTTTGGGGGATAACAGAATCTAAGGTAAATAACACAAAATCAGCTTCCCCATTATAGATAAACTGTTCTTCAAAACTGGGGAATATATATATAAATTCATTTTAAGGCTACTATTGGCCCTTAATGCCATCAAAGACCACTAGATAAACATATTGATCAAGTAAAGCTCAGTTAATTAGACTTACTACACTAAAGGAGAACATCAACATGTTTGAGATTGTCAATAAATTCTCTAAAGAAGGAAGTTACAGGAAGAAAAATATACAGGGCATTGGGTGGTTTTAAGGCAGATTTTGCAAGATGGAGCTGTTTGGGATTGGTCAGGGTTTGGAGCATAATAACTTTGGTTTGGTGGGCATGGCAAGGAAAGGGTCCAGAAATACGCTATTAGTCTTAAACACTAAGCTATTTTTGTTGTTTCATAGTTTTATCTTCTAGAGCATGTATTTACTGCAGCAAGTAGCTAAGTGACTTTTGCCTAGCTCCAGTTTTGTGTAGCACAGAAACAGGAAAATATCTTTGGTCCTTGAACTTTCTATCCCAGGAGCAGTAAAGTAAATTGGGTTCATTTCTTATTTTAAGAAGTTCAAAACGAATCCAAGGACAACACAATTGTGCTCCTCTAGTTTTTTTGTTCCATAAAACATTATAGTCTATCTCCTTTTAATTTTGTTTTAAAAATTTTATTAATAAAGACAGGGTATTTTTATGTTGCCCAAGCTGGTCTTGAACTCCTGGCCTCAAGTGATGCTCCCACCTTAGCCTCCTAAAGTGCTGAGATTACAGGTATAAGCCACCATGCCCAGACTCTATTTCCTTTTTTAATAGTCAAACTCCCATCATTTTATTCACTTAATCAATTGATCTCTTATGTTTGCAGCATTGTGCCAGGTGACAGGTACAAAAAGTTGAATGAGCATGATCTTGGATAAGACAAGCATGCAAAGAAATACGCGCAAGAATTTGTAAGATGCTGTTGAAATATTATGCAGAGGGTACATAAAGCACAAGGAGGAAATAGTGAATTCTATTAGGATATGGGGTGGTTGGACAAGATTTTATACAGAAGCTAACCCTTGATCTGAGTTTCAAAGAATAAGGAGAAAGGGAAGGAGAGAACAGAATGGAATTGTAAATTAAAAAAAAACAAGTGTGAACGTTTGGGAAACTGCTAGCTAATCAGAACTACAATTTAAAAAATCTATAAGTATTACTTAGGAATATTTCACTCTTGCTTATGTTATGTTTTCTTTTCAGAATGTAGGTCTTATTTCTCTAATTAAACCGAAAGGATCTTGTGTATATAAAATGTCTTTTTATATACCTCATGTCACTTAGATCTGTGTCTACAGAATGTGGAAAAAATACTTTGATTGGTAAATGATAACTGAGAAGAGTAGGAGAAAAAATATTGTGATCTGGACTACTTATTTTAACCAGTTTAACAAATGACTGTTATTTATGAAAGATTTTCACTGGACAGAATATACTTAGGTGATTCCCACAGGAGTTCAATCAAGTATTTTCTCGTCAACTCTACAATTTATAATTGTTTCCAACATTCAGGGTCAGATTATTAATAACATTATTATTAATAACCAAACTCATAACAAGAGTACTTGCCTGATATTGATGCTCAGTAATTTTGTGTAAAAGAAATGGATGCGTATGCAAATCACATTCATATTACCAAGGGTGAAGAGAAGTCAGCTAGGCATTTTGGGGAAAGCTTTATTTTTTACATTAATAAAACAGAACTCTGTGAGCTTTCCTCTCCTTCTTTCCAGTTTGTGATTCTGGTTTGTGATTTATAATGATAAATCTTATCCAAGAGCAAGGTAGGCTTTCCTTTTGAGCAAGTATGTTTCTGTCTTTCAGAAGCATTCTAAAACATTTCTTCACTTTCTTGCTAATTATTCTGTAGTTATACTACCTTTGCCTAGAAATACTACATATGATCTCTTATATAATGTTTGAAAAATGGTTATTGCTTTTATTGAAGCATGTTTATGTTTATACCAGATCTCTTATAGTTTGTAGTGGTTTTGACTTTGAGTCTCTTTTACTTGAGTGTCTTGTTTTTTCAATCTCTACAATCCTATCATTTGAAAATAATGTTAATTTTGCTTCTTTTTCTGCAAGTTCGGTAACATACTTTTCTTTCTTTCTCTTATCCTTCCCCCACCCCTCCTCCTTCCCATCTTTCTTCTTCTCCTCCTTTCTCCTTCACTGCCTTTCTCCCCTTCTGTTTTTGTCTTAGAGTGTTAAAGTTAATTAGAAGCTGTTTATCATCTGTATCACCTGTATTCTTAAGCTTGATGCTAGATCTTTTAGTTATAAATGTATTTATAAATAACCAGAAAATGTCCATCTTTTGCTATTTTATGAATGATTTTAATCCATAATGATTATTAACTTTTACCAAATGCTGTTTCAGCAACTACAGCAGTTATGTATCAATATGGGTTCAGGCCTTATGCTGGTCTCTCCATGCTCTAAGGAAGAGAAACAACTCTAGTTTTAACTCTGTGTGAATGAGTAGATCTATTTCAAATTGGGGGTAGGGGGATATTTAGAAATAGCATTGCTAGTCATAGGTTAGAAATTTACTTCTGACACATTTTATTTATTTGGATAATATCCTTTACTATGCTTTTTGAATAGAAGGCTTAATTCAATTTAATTTCCTTTGTGGGATGTGGGGATGTTACTGTAAGATATCTGACTTGGAAGAGTAGTAATAGAATCATCGTATCCAACAGATATAGGCACTTTAGCATTGGTTTCTTCTATAACACAAAGGAGTTAGACAAAACAATCCCCAAAGCTCCTTTAGTCCTAACATTCTGTGATGCTCCCGTGATAATTTAATTCAATTACCTCCTTTCACAGAGAAGGAAACTGAGTCCCAGAGAATAAACATTGGTCAAGACTATACATGGTACTTAACTGGCAGCATAAACAAACTGGAAGGCACAATGCTAAATTCACAGCTCGTTTCGTTGTTTCTTAGAGTGTGTTTCAGAGCCAGCCACTTAACTGAAGACAGGAATTCCAAAATATTTATCTACCAAAGAGTTGGCTCAACTTTTCACCATAGCATGACTGAGTGAACATATTTGAGTTATCAGTTCTCCTATTTCATGACACAGGTATGCTACAATTTACAATTTTAATTTTTTTATTTAGGAAATTATAGATAAATAAGTAAATGTAGATCTTACTATTATTTCAAAATGTTCACATAAAAATCTGTGGAACTTGATTACTCTATTGCCAAATTAATAGACAACTAAATCTTAAATTAATTCCTAAGTTTACTATTCATTTCAATGGCGCATATAATATGTTCTTTTTATATCTGTAGACTAGATAACTTGTTTTCATAAAATCAAA
Source organism: Homo sapiens (assembly GCF_000001405.40). Classification (NCBI taxonomy): domain Eukaryota; kingdom Metazoa; phylum Chordata; class Mammalia; order Primates; family Hominidae; genus Homo; species Homo sapiens. Next base: position 151,623,679 of record NC_000003.12, read on the forward strand.
CCATAGGAAAGTCAAGATTTCCTTTTCCCATCTTCTCTTTATGGCACAGTCAAGGAAGCATATCTATCTTTGATATATTTGCAAACATTTTGTGTTCAATATGGTCCAACATTTTCCTAAATTTAAAGTTAAGTATAACATAGTGCCAAAGCATACATCTTTATTATCAGTAAATATATGTCAATAAATATTATCAATATTTGGCAATAATAACATTGTATTTATATTTTTCAAATTGATTTTACTTTACCATTTTACTGTCACAGTATATTCTTTCCTTAGAAAGGGTGAAAGGGCTTTATAGCCTGGGAAACTGAGGCACAGAACTTTGGAGTCACTTTCCATCCCACACGTTTTGTTGTTGCTGTTGCTTTTTTTTTTTTTTTTTTTTTTGAGACGGAGTCTTGCTCTGTCACCAGGCTGGAGTGCAGTGGCGCGATCTTGGCTCACTGCAAGCTCCGCCTCCCGGGTTCAGGCCATTCTCCTGCCTCAGCCTCCCGAGTAGCTGGGACTACAGGCGCCCGCCACCACGCCCGGCTAATTTTTTGTATTTTTAGTAGAGACGGGGTTTCACCGTGTTAGCCAGGATGGTCTCCATCTCCTGACCTCGTGATCCACCCGCCTTGGCCTCCAAAAGTGCTGGGATGCTGGTATTACAGGTGTGAGCCACCGCGCCTGGCCACACTTTTTTTTTTTTTAATGCAAGTAGAGAAACAGCTCTCTAGTAATAGTAACACACACACACACACACACACACACACACACACACTCAAAACCCCACTCGTCTTGGTTCTTAGCTTGGTGCTTCTTTCCTTTAGCCTCAGTGCAGAAAGCGCCATGTATTTGAATATTCAAGTCATTCACCTTTTGTAACTGCTTGAGAGACAATACTAATGAAAAAATATGTTTCACGAGCCATGTTTTCACTCCTGAAACATTCAGTGTCATTTATTGCTTTCCAAGTGTGTGGTTTGAAGACACACACATATTTTCTTTAAAAATCTGTAGCTTTGCTGAAAATAAATCTGGCTCATAAAAATAAAGAAAAAACTATTATTTCTTGGCAGCTCTGAATGTATGGCTTTAATTTCAATAAGAGTACTATCTTAGATTATTTATTTATTGATTATCTTGGTCGTTTAGTAAGAATTTTCTGAGCACCTGTATCTGCCTATTTTAGGTGAAGGGGATATGGCAGGAAAACAATTTCTGTTTTCATGGAGTTTACATTTTAGTTGAAGAAGATAGGCGATATATAAATAAAATAGTAGAATATATAGTTTGTCACCTGGTAATAAGTGCTTTGGAGAAAAGCAAATAGGAAAGGAAGGTAGAAAATTGTTAGGAGGAGAGTTAACAGCTTTAAAAAGGGTTGTGGGGAAGGCCTCATTGGGAAGGTGATTTCAGAAAAGACTTGGAGAATGTGAGGAAGCTAGCTCTTCAGATTTCTTCAGAGGGTTCTGTTCAGTTGAACAAAGCAGCAACAACATAAATGTTTCTCTAAACCTTCAGGCTGATTCACTTTGACAGATACGCCTTTCAGATGATTACCAAACCATTTGAAACTAATTTCCTTCTCTCCCAGAAAATTCCCCAAGTGACTGAGAGCTTATATTTTCCTGGAACTGAAGACGTGAATAAGGATTGATGTAATTTTCATCTGTAATATTTCCAGAGAGGAATTGGGCACATCTTGACATTTAGGGAACAGTAGTTAGTAGTAAATGTTTCTCCAGAGTTTTTAGACTCCATCGTCACTATTTATTATAGATTGGAAATTCATTTTGGTGGTCTGCTGGTCCAAGACAGTGAATCACAACCCAAATATCAGCCCCTCCCCATCAAAAGAAGAGATTATTCTGTTTCTGGTGTCTAAGGATTATTAAATATTTGAGATGAATTTATATTAATATGTTACCTTAAATACAAACAATCAACAAAAGATTAAGCTGTCTGTTTTGTGATCTTATTTATTTCTTCAAGAAACAATGAAAACTTCTCATTTGGTTTTGGAACTTACTATTTGGAACTTTATGATACAGGATATTGTATGTTAGCCTGAGTCCACCTCCCCCCTTGAAAAAGGATAGTCAAATAATAAACTTTGCCAACTCTGAGGCTCTGTGTATTCCTGTTCCTGCTCTGAGTGTCCAGGAAGAACAGCAGACTCCTAAGAACATTAATGAAAACAACAACAACAACAACAGCAACACGTGAAGGTTACATTCACAGAGAGATCTGCCATAACCAGCACAGCAGCTGGTTGAAAGCTACAGAAGAGACTGAACTGATTCAATGCATGTCAAGAGTTTTTTGTTTGTTTGTTTGTTTTATTTTAAGTTCTGGGATACATGTGCAGATGTGCAGGATGTGCAGGTTTGTTACATCGGTAAACATGTGCCATGGTTTGATAGGTGGTTTGCTGCACCTATCAACCCATCACCTAGGTATTAAGCCCAGTGTGCATTAGCTATTTTTCTTGATGTTCTCCCAACCCTCACCCCCTGACTGGCCCCAGTCTGTGTTGTTCCCCTCCCTGTGTCCATGTGTTCTTATTGTTCAGCTCCCACTTATAAGTGAGAACGCAGTATTTAGTTTTATGTTCCTGCAACCCAAAGGAATATATATCCTTCTATTATAAAGATACATGAACCTGTATGTTCATTGCAGCACTATTCACAATAGCAAAGAGTTTTTAACTATGAGTTCCTTTAAACTTCTTTATCAAATAATTAGCATTGGAAAATATCATCATCTAGAAGTTTCTGCGGATGTCTACTCACAGTAGACTGTGTCTTCGTAAATGGATGGGCCACCTCAAAGATTTTGGTAAGAGTGGGCATAAATGGGCATGTAAGTGATCACATTTTTTACTTCACTGGCAAATAAAAATGGGGTTACTTATTTGCCTCCTATGGAAATTTAAGATTCTACTAATTTGTATGCTTTCTCTTAATTATTTACTACTTTTCAATAGGAGTGAAGTACCTGGAGTCACAGGCCTAGCTTTGGTTTCTTTGGGACAGCTTTTCAAAAATGGTGTTAATCACTTAAAAATATGTCTAAGCTCTTACAGTGCTAGGCATTGTAGGAAAAATACAGCAAGTCATTTATTGGTCATAAAGACCTTACAGTGAAATGGTGAGTGGAGAAGGGAAGAAGTTTGCAGACTTCCTTCTAAATAAGACTCAGACAGAAAGCAATGGAAGTTCAATGGAAAGGAAGGTTGCAGTGACATTAGTTTTTTATTTTTTCTTATTTTGCAGTGACATTGATTTGAAAAAGACATTTGGGAAATATGTAGAATGTGCCTGGGTTTGCACTTTGCTTCTGGAATTCACTAACGATGTGATTTAAGGCAAATTTCTCTCACTGGAGTGCAGTGGTATGATCATGACTCCCTGAAGCCTCAAACTCTTGGGCTCAAGCAATCCTCCCTACTCAGCCTCTCAAGTAGATGGGACTTACAGGCACACCATCATGCCTGGCTAATTTTTTAAATTTATTTTTTGTAGAGGGTCTCACTGTGTTGCCTGGGCTAGTCTCAAACTCCTGGCCTCAAACTCCTGGCCTCAAGCTATCCTTCTGCCTTGGCTTCCCCAAATGCTGGGATTACAGGCATAAGCCATCACACCCAATCTAAGGTGAGTTTCTTAACCGATCTGAGCCTCATCATTTCTTCATCTGTAAAGCAAGCACAGTCTTTCCTAATGTGCATTGAGGTTACAGGTAATCAAGAGTGCATGCTAAGCACTTGGCATTTTGTCTGGGACAAGGTAGGTGATATTGTCATTATTAAGAAAGATCAGGAAGGGCACCCCACAAGCTTGAGGTCAGAATGCCTAGCAATTGGAATTACTCAACATCTGAGTTAAGGCTGGGCTCTAACACTAGTTAGCTGGGCACCAAGGAAAACTCAGCGTAGGATGGATATTGTGTGCTGATGAAATGCTACATGGGGTGGTGATATTTACTGCCCCAGGTTCGTCATGGTGTGGAGAAGGTAAGGTGTGATCCTAAATATGAAGCCCCTTTAAAAGGCAATTATCAGCCATACAAATCAGGAACACTAGCATATAGAGAGCAATTTGAAATTTGTATTTGGCAGGTGTGTCTTGGAGAATCTCTAGGGAAAATATGTCCTCTTAAAAACCTTAGAGGATCTGTGAAAAATGTACCTTGCTGCCCCATCTGAAGGCTTCCATACCTCCTCTTCTTTCCTCAAACCCTCAGATGGGACATGGATTGCTTCCTTCTGTCTCTTCATTACCGGGGATAGTATTAATTCTTTGGTGTTCTTTATTATCCTTATTTTTATTATTATGTGAGAAATTTATTAGTAAAATTTTCAGTAAGTAGGATTACAAGCTAGTCTACCTGTGGATAGAATTGCAGCATATATAATACAATGAGAGAGTAGGGAGGGGAGATAAGGAAGCAAGGAAGAGAGAAAGGGAGAGAGTGATTTGTTTAAATTTTTAAATTATTTTATTTTATTTTATTTTGAGACAAGATCTCGTGTCTCCCAGGCTGGAGTACAGTGCTGTAATCGGCTCACTGCAGCCTCGACCTGCTGAACTCTAGCAATCCTCCCACGTCAGCCTCCCTAGTAGCTGGTACTACAGGTACATGCCACCACTCCCGCTAATTTTTTGTTTTTTTTGTAGAGACAGGATCCCACTATGTTGCCCAGGCTGGTCTTGAACTCCTGGGCTCAAGCAGTCCTCCCGCCTTAGCCTTCCAAAGGTTGGCATCAGACACCACAATTCAAGAAAATGAAATAAATTAACAAAATTATTAGGCTAAACCGTGATTTTTTTTCAGACACTGAATTTAAGTTTCTAGGTGTGTGCATTAGTAAGATCTAAAAACATTTCTCTTTTATAGGAAAAGAATTGAAAACTTTGAGAAAAAGATAAAGTGCCCAAATCAAAGCATGCAGAGCTAACAAATGGTAGAGCCGGCAATTGAACATAGGTCTCTCCATAGGCAAAGCCTATGTATGCCCTTTCCAGGGCACCAGGCTGCCTCCCTTAGCCTTGGCACTTGACTTTGATACTGGATACTCTTTTTAAAGACGATGTTATGTAAGTATACAAGGGTTACTTGTTTATTGCTTTTTAATTCACTCTCTACCCAGTATTTAACTGAAACTCTGACTTTCAAGGAAGTGTTATCTGTTATTAACAGACGTCAGGGTATAACAAAAATAAATTATTTTTATTTAGTAGTTTAGGTAACTTCCTGCCTTCAACATTTAATGCTTTGTTCAAACTTCTATGTAGAGAAGAATCTAGTTCATAGATATTTTTCATAATGATCATTCAAAGAAGTGGTGTTCACAAATCGGTGGTTATCTCAATTAGCTACCATCTTCCTCCTTTATGAGCATTTCCCTTCTCCTTTCAGACAGAAATAATATCTCTCTCCTTGGTGCTCCAACAGCGCTCTGTGCCTCTTCAATGGCAAAGCTGCATTTGCTTTGTCTTCTTCCTTGGCGGCTATAGTTTTGATCTAGACTGTAAATTCCCCACTAGACCATAAGTTCCTGTATCCTTCATTTGTAATATCTTAACAATATTCCAAGTATTTATTAGCCTAATTAAATTTTATGTGCCGTATTTTTAAACCGTTTCAGAGGAATTAATTTTAACAATGACTGGGTTATTTTGGTCAGATAATTCGTGAATAATAAGGAACATTAAAGCACTAACTAGTCCTGGTAATGGAGAGGCAGAAGGAAAGAATTTGGTGCTGGACCTAATGGCTGGAAGAAAGGATGAGCTGTGGAAAGGTTTTAGAAAGGGCTGCATAGTACATTTTCAGGTTTTTATTTGCTAACTCTTTTTCAGCTATTAGGTTGGTGCAAAAGTAATCGCGGTTTTTGCCATTGAAAGTAATGGCAAAAACCGCGATTACTTTTCTGTTAACATAATATTACAAATATGAAAGTGTGGATAATCAAAATAGAGCTATAAACAATTTGATAGAAATTAATTTCTGAATCATACCTTCCTTCTCTGCTGCGGATACATAACAGTTGGTAGAATTTATTTCTGTGGGAAAACTTGTACCTATGTTCAGCCTGTGACATGAAAATCTCAGGTACTGCATCAGCAATGCATCATCATCTTTTTCTTTCTCCCATTTTTATTGCTTTTGTGATCCTGTCCTGAATTACTGGCAATGCCTCGAACAACTTTAAGTCTCTTGCCGTAACTTGGACTTACGTGCTACAGTTAATAAAAAAGTCTTTAAAGAGCATTAAGGTCTTAAATAGCAAAAGCATTTTGATATTTCAGGACTATTGCTAACCAGGGGAATCAAAGAACATATGGCAAAAAGCTGTGCTTTTTCACATTCTGAGTAGGACGGGGCAGGGGAAATTGTGAAGAAAATGAGATAGGCCTGAAGACGTCCTGTGATTCCCTCCCTCCTGGCAGCCCAAGTGGGCCCTGGAACTCCCAGTTACTCCCCAACCCCCACCCTCACAACAGCATCCTCCCCAATGTCTTTTGGTCTTAGAAATAGATCTGACAAATATTTCCACTCTGAGGTATCCATGTTAAGGTCATGATGTATAAACACGATGAGGGAGTGAAAAGTAAACAAGCAAAGCTACAGAAGTTTTAAACCAACAAATGAGCATCTAATTGTGGAATGTGGGGCACTAAGAAGCTGGTTGAGGGAGAATTTGGAGAGTGTCAGTTCTTCCTATAAAAGGTTACCCTAATCCTAGAGGATAATATTCTGATCTTCTCTGAAGAAAGTATACAACTTACAAGAAAATTCAGAGGGCATCAACTCCACCTGGAAGAAAATCCAGCTGTTTTTAAGTTCTGATGTTTTGTTTTGATTTATCATTTTTTCCTTGCCAGTGATTTATAGTTGTAGAATGTTTAGAATTGGGTTAATGGGTACAAAAATTCAGTTAGATAGAAGGAATACGTTCTAGTATTTAATAGTACAGAAGGGAAATTATAGTTAATAATAACTTATTTATATTTCAAAATAGCTAAAAGAGAAGAAGTGTAATGTTCCCAACACAAAGAAAAGATAAAAGATAAATGTTTGAGATGACAGATATCCAATTACCATGATTTAATCATTGCATGTTGTATACATGTATCAAAATATAACATGTAACTCCAAATACATACAAGTATGATATATCAATTAAAGAAATCCAAGAAAGGGGTGTCTCCATTTTTAGGACAGTTCAAACCAAAATGTTCTTCAGCTGAAGTTGTCTGCTGTGGTGGGGCTTGGGGAGAGACTAGACTGCAGGGAGGAATGAGCCAGTGGTGGAGGTGGGGGGATAGACAGGAAGCTATCACAGGAGTTCTCAGCTGGGAAGATGGAAGTCAGCACTAGGAAAAGTCACAGGAGGATCAAATTATTCTCTTCACCTATCTCTGGCTCCTCCAGCTGCCCCCTTCCATCAGCTGGTTTCCACAAATAACTGGCCCTCTAGAATCTTACTTAAAAAATGTTCTCAACAAAGGGTTCCTACTCCCACTCACATTACTTTGAAGAGATAAGCTGGAATGTTTTACAAACAACCAGCTGAACAGGTTGAAAGAGCAGATGTTAAGCTGAAATGTTGCAATGACTAGTTTTGGTTCTTGGAACACCAAACACTAGATGACATCAAGTGTGTATTTTTAGCCTTATTTATAATGTGACAAGTCACATTTCACTCTCTCCTCATTGTCAAAGGCTATTTCCAAAGGATTACGAAGGAAGATCTGACTTGCATTAAAGCTTCTTTGACTTTGAACACAGCACATGTTTTCCATAAGGAAATCAATAAAATCTGAGAGTAGAACTTGAATAATATATTTCATTTCTAATGCAGCACTCACCTAGATAATTTATAGTGTCTCATTTTAAACTTTGCAAAATCACTTGGATGGGTTCTTGTTCTTCTAGTTTTTTATAGTTCATTAATTCAACAACTATTTATTGTGCACTTGCCATATAGCATAGGGACACATATATTCATAAATTGTTGGAGATAAACAGATAGCTCTGATGAACTTCATACTTTGAAGGAGGAGACAGCCCCATGAAGAAACAATGAGAAATACAGTCTGATCATTAATATAAAGAGAGGTGTGAACAACATGTGAACCTGGCTTTTGAAAGGAGAGGCAGGAGGAGCCAGGGAAGGCTTCATGGAGAAATCTGGTTTTGAAAGACATAGAAATGAGATAAGTGAGCAAAAGAGGTTCCAGGTTGAAGGGCAATGTGTGCAAGCCTGTACCTCATATTCTAACATCACAGCATATGTACGACACTGTATCTAGCACAGTTGTACATTGTGTCATCAGTCTGTACAATATGCTTTTGTACTTGACTCTATAAATCATGAAGCTTGACAACAGTGGTGCAATTTTTTTGTTGTTATTGTTTTGTTTTTCTTTTTTCCTTGTGGTTAAGTTGGTGATCTCAAGCTTTAGCCTGTGAATGAATCAACCTGATTGATTAAACATGGGTGACCCGGGCCATATTCCCAAAGACATGATTCAGTTGATCTAGGTGGGGCCTGGGAACCTGTATAGTGTTTTTAAAAGCCCTCTAGTGATTTTAATTAAGAGCATCAGAAGATCATGCATTGAGAAACACTAGATTAGGGAGGATAGAAAGTAAGGAATTTCTGTTTCTTTTTTAGGTTTTTATTTGCAGAAGGAGAAAATGAGGAAGAGAAAGGGTTGGTAAACAGTGTAGGACAAAGGAAAACAAAAGTAGCTGAGAGAGGAATTGAGAGGTGTTGGCCAGTAGGAATCTAGGTATCAAGAAGATAAGCTGCTGATTGTCAGCGTTTGGGAGGGAGATTTGCACAGGAAGGTACACAGTGTGAGAAAATAGCAATAATACTATGTAATGTAAAAATCTTAACACAGAAATGGGCTGCAGCTATGCCAAGATAAAGCATCCTTTTACAAATATAGTAGAGAACTGTGACTGATGACAAAAATAAAAGTTGGATAGATTGTGCTGATAGTTTATTTGGATATTAAATAGAAGGTTGGCCTCAGAAAGTTTTTTGTTGTGTTCTGGCACCATCTCTGCCAATTGTGTTCTGGAAAATATCTCTTCGTGTTTATTTTCTCATCACAATGAAAAGAGAGCAATGATGTTACGGACAATGCCATGGCTCACTGGAACCTGTTTGTGTTGAAGCAACAGAGATTATCTTGATTTTGCAGTTTCCTAATATCATTTATTTAATTGCTGGTTACACCATTACTCGTGATGCTGCATTATTCATTGTGACCCCATGAATACTGGCTTCCAATGACACTCAAAGGTTATTATTGTGCCGAGTTAAGTGCCACATATGTACTTGTGATGACTACAAATGCAAGTTTTATGCAGAGTATTCAGAAAAAATGGAGAACAATAATTCATTTGCTATTCATGTTAAGTTTACAGACTGGAATGTTAGAGCATAAACTAGAGCAATGCAACAACCAGCCATGTTTTCTCTTTAACTTGTTAAATTGTAATGATGGATTCTGAGAATGTGATCCCTTTCTATGTGGCTCCCACCTGTGCCTTCCATTCACTGCCGCTCTTGGGGAGAAGATGTGAGAGCCCAAGGGCAGAGCAAAAAGAGCAGTCCCATTTGCACAAGAAATGACCATTTCTCATCTGTCATGGATTAAAACTGACCCAGGAGAGACCTCTATCATTGTACCAATCAGCCAAGAGAAGACAATGATGAGAAAGGTCCATTGGCTTTGCAGAGCAACAGATTCTCCAGAGCACTGCTGGATGCAGGGTATGGACCCTGAAGATAGGTGGAATGACTGCTTTGAGTGCCAGTGGGTGAGGGACACATAAGCTGAGAGATCACTGTTCCCACCATCCTTAGGTGCTATAGACAGTATGTGGCATCAGGGTTGAGATACAGATAGGCAAGAGCTGATGCATGGGACCACACATCTGGCTCAAACCCAAGTACCAGCAATGGTCCTCAGTAGCTTGGAGCCCAGAACTTATCTTTTCACTGGGGTAAGAGCCACCCAAGTTAGCCATTCTGATGGTCCCATCTCACATAATCCCATGAAAGAAATACTGCAAGAGTCAGCAGGAGTGATCCACTTGTCAGGCCACTGTCCTGGAACCTGCATCTGAACCATTCTCCTGGAGCCTATTAGCATGAGTTCTGATGCTCTTCAGGATCTTGTGCAGAGGAGAGGGTTGCAGAGCATTTGGAAGAGAAGAAATGGGGTTTAAGATCAGGACATCATGCCCAGACAGCATTGGTAGACCTGATTGAGTTCAGGCAACTGAGGGTACTTAGAAAATGCTGAGGAAGTCATACAAAAATACGAAGTCTCAAACAGGGGCCCTCCTTACCCAGATCTCAGGGCAGTACTGCTGTCTGGATTCATAATCACAATTCCAGTTATAAACTTTGTGATCTTGAAAAAGTTATTTAACTGAACCTCAGTTTCTTTATAGATAAAATGGGGGTTATGTCTTACAAAGTTGCAAAAATTATATGAGCTAATTTATAAAGTGTCCAGCATAGTAATGCTTAGTAAGTTTAGCTATTGCTAGCTACTCATACCTCAGCCAGGGACGTGGGTGGGGTCTGCCTGAGTTGTTTGGGTCTATAAACAACTTGTTGCATTTGGGCAAATTCTTCTATATAGAAAGTATTAGGTTGGTGCAAAAGTAATTGTGGTTTTTGCCATTAAAAGTAATGCCACTAAAAGTAACCTTATACTATTTGTTTCCGATTATAAAAATGATGTTTGTTTTAGGAAACTTGAAAACTATACAAAAACATTAACTCATTCAACTTATTGAACAAATATATATATATATGTATATATATTTTTTTCAGACAAAGTCTCGCTCTTGTTCCCCAGGCTGGAGTGCAATGGTGAGATCTCGGCTCACTGCAACCTCCGTCTCCCGGGTTCAAGCAATTCTCCTGCCTCAGCATCCTGAGTAGCTGGGATTACAGGCACCTGCCACCACACCCGGCTAATTTTTGTACTTTTAGTGAAGACGGGGTTTCACCATGTTGGCCAGCCTGGTCTCAAACTCCTGACCTCAGGTGATCTGGCCACCTCGGCCTCCCAAAGTGCTGGGTTTACAAGTGTGAGCCACCACACCCAGCCTCAACAAGTATTTTTTTGAGTACCTGCTATGTACTGTAGGACTGGTTTTAGACACTGATGATCCAGTAGTGAACAAAACCAATAAAGTCCCTGTCCTCTTGGAGGAGAGACATACAATAAATTATACACATATCTAATATAGTATATCATATATATATTTACACATATATGCATATACCTCTGTGTGTGTGTATATGTTTGTGTGTGTATATATGTGTGTGTGTGTGTGTGTGTATATATATATAACATAGGTGTTCATATGGTATGTCAGATGGTGATAAGTACAAACAGAAAAATAAGTCAGGGCATGGGGCATATGGAGTGCCAGAAGGTTTAGAGATAGGAGTTTTAAATATAGTGGCCAGAAGAGACCTCACAGAAAAGGTGACATTTGAACACGTTCTTGAAGGAAATAAGGGAATAAATCATGTGTCTTCATTCAGGCTGCTTTTTCAAAAATACTGTAAACGGAATGGCTTATAAACCAGAAAGATTTATTTCTCACAGTTCTGGAGGCTGAGAAGCCCATGATTATGGCACCAGCAGATTTGGTGTCTGGTGAAGACATGTTTCCTCACAGAGAGCACCTCTGGCTGTGTCCTCACATGGTGGAAGGGGAGGGCTAGTTTTGTGGGATCTCTTTTATAAGGGCACTAATTTCAGTCATGAGGGGTCTGCCCTCATAACCTAATCACCTCCCCAAAAACCCACCTTCTAATACTATCCATCACCCTGGGGGTTAGGATTTAAATGTATTAATTTTGGGGGGACATAAGTGTTCAATCTATAATGCTATGAGTATAACTGGAGGAAGAGCATTCCAGGCAGAAGAATGTAACACCAAGAGTTCTGAGGCAGGATCATGACTCACATATGTGAGGAACAGCATGGCAGCCAGTATGGCTAAAGCAGAGTGGTGATCAATAGAGTGATGAGTGATAGAAAGAAAAGGCAGTGAAGGAAAGCAGATAGTGTGGGGCCTTGTAGATCATTATAAAGACCATTGCTTTTATTCTAATTAACATGGGAAGTCATTGTTGGAGTAGATTGTCCTCCATGGACGTCTTACGCACCTTCATACTTCATTGCTAAGTATGCCAAGAATGCAAGTCCCTGAGCACTCTTTATCCAGACCATTTCTCCGAGTCGTGTTTGTAATGAGCAACCTTGAGGGATGCCTTCTTCCAGAACAAAGAGCAGGCTTGCTTAGTGCTTGCTATAAAATGATGCATTCCATGAACTCATTGTCCCTCTCTTATAATGTACCCCACTGCATATGCACATATTTATTTTGGCCCATTGCCTTGCTGTCAAGGGACCTGGAGAGTATGGAGAACTGATGTTTGCAGCTGATGCTCATGCTGCCTGCTGGGCTCTGAGTAACAAAATCCTTCATGTTGGACCTAGGAGTCTTTTTGTCTTTGCTAGCATCCCTGAAACACTAATAGGCTAATTTATTAACTTCGAAGTAGGGTAATATAAATCTCATACTCTTCACAGTTCTTGACAGCCATTGTAAAATTTTGATCAATAAAATGACATGATTTGCCTCATGTTTTAAAAGGGTCACTCTGGCAACTCTGTGGAGAATAGACCTAGAGGGAGATGGTGGAAACATGAAGACCAGCAAGGAAAGAACTACAATAATTCAGGTGAGAAATGGTGGTAGTTTAGATCAGGGTGGTTTTGTGATGTTGGTAAAAAATAGTCCCTTCTGGATGTAGTTAGTCAAACAGAATTTCTGACAAATTAGATATAATTTGTATAATTTGTGAACGAAAAAGAATAAAGATTGACTACAAGATTTGGTTCAAGAACTTGTATGAATTTTTTCTTAACTGAGATGAAAAAAAGGGGAAGGATTTTATTGGGAGAATGGTAGAAATTAAGCTGCTATTTCTTTACATGTTAAGTTTCAGTTGCATATCAAGCATTTAAATGAGTGTTGAGTTAGCAGTTCAGGTGGAGTTTAGAGTTCAGGGCAGAGGTCAAGCCATGAGATATAAAAGTGTAAGAAGAAAAAATACTTTCATAATCCCTATTTCTAGAGACAGACACTTAACTTGCTGATTTACTTCCTACCAGTCTTTTTATGTAGGTGTATTCTTTGAGCATGGGAATATTCAAAAAATGTATGACCTTAGGTAGAGGCAATGACATTTTATCTCTTAATTTGATTAAAAAGGCATTGCTGAAACTTGAGAATGATGGAGAGTCACTTTTTCATAGTAATAGACATGCAGAATTTTAAATGATCTGGCAGAGTGTCACCTGGAGTTGTGTTGCAGATGTTCTGCCACACAGATTTGGCTGTGTCTACAGGTGCCACTCTGAAGAAGTTGGATGACTTTTTAACTTGGACCAGACTCAGTGATTCAAAACAGTTTCTTGGCCACATCCTTTCCAATTGAAGCTGAAAATGGGCAGATGTGTAAACAACCCTGGACAAAGAGGTAGCATACTTTTTCTACCCTAACCAGCATGTTGACAACTTGTGCCATGTTCATTACCCTGTTGTGGGTTCTCAAGTAAATTCCTTTTAGTAGAATTCAAATCGTGATTGTAAAAATTCAATCTAGAAATTCTAAAACAGCAGTTATTCTGAGCTCCCAATGTGGGTAGAGAAATGATCCATGTGGTCTCTTGACGCTGAGGCCAGCTTTGTTACTACGTGGCTGCTTTGGGCAATGTGGTGTATTGCTGTGTTTCTCAAACTTGAGACAACATCAGACTTCTGGGAGAGCTCATTAAAACACACAAATCCCTAACACCACCTCCAAAGTTTCTGATTCCACAGGCTTGGTGTGGAGCTCAGGGCTATGCATTTCTAACAAGCTCCCAAATGCTGCTGGTACTGCTGCTGGCCTGGTGACCAGCCCTGGAAAGCCACGGGTTTAGTTGTTAAGAACACTGGCCCTGGAGCCAGACTACCCAGGTTCAAATTAAGCCTTCATCCTGGGCAAGTTTCTTAACCTCTCTGTGCCTGGTTTCCAAATAGATAGAATAAGGATAATTATAATATGTATCTCATGAGTTTATTGTGAGGATTAGGTAAATGAATGAATATAAAGTACTTAGAACAGAGGTTGGTGCATAGTGTGTGTGTATATATGTATATATATATATGTTTATATATATGTTTACTGTTCTTATTAATTTTTCTTGAAAGTAGTTACAATGATTCTCAGTTTCTGGAAAAAAAGCCTCATTTTAATGTCTGCAATTTGGGTTAAGGTTTATATAGAGGGCATAATGGGAAATATGAACAAATTGCATGAAACAAGATGAGTGGTAGAAAACTTAAGGAGAAGTCAGCTATATGGACAACCAGTCATAGTCAGGGAAAAAGTTGGGAGAGCAAAGTTCAAGTAGAGACAATTTGCTTCCCTTCCCCACTCCCTAGCTCCCCAGCTCATGTTAACAATGGTAGAACAACACACACACACACACACACACACACACACACACACACACACACACTCTCTCTCTCTCTCCCCCTCTCTCAATCTCTCTCGCTCATGAAATATTCTGCCTTTTGCATCCAAGCTGTTCTCACGGTGATCATTCAGTCATTTCTTCCATAAACTTGCCTTTTATCCTATAGTTGAAGTGACCGGCTTCACTTCAAGATCAGGTTTGTTGATATTTAAGCAGCTTAGAAATTCTTCAGCTATGGTATCCCTGAGGCCTTTGCTCAATCATCCCAAAGCCAAGAAAGCTTCCGCATTGTGTTGTAGTAATTTTTTCAGAATTTAGGATATGAATGCAGTTTTCTGAGCACTACATTACTGTAATATGATTTGAACCCAAATTTAGGTTCCCTGTACAAATCTGTCTGTTACTTCCCCAAATAGAAAACAAAGGGTTGCTCTGATAAGAGCTGTGAACCACAGTGAGGATATGTGGCATGGATAGGCCTGTCTTAACGGGCTCTCCCAATCCCATGGGGCTCCCCATGGCTCATTGCAACTCATGACATAATTCTGGGCAAACTTCAGTGTCCACATTGACCTATCCAGCCCTCTAGGAATTCCTTCAGTCATTCATTTCAAGGACATTTTCTTCACCTCATTTTAGCAACCCACTTTTATGCCAATACTCTGGACCTTCAATTAACTGTAATTGTTTTATCTCTGAAATCTTGAACTTTGACATTCCATCCTTTGATCATAACTTTTGACCCACTTTACTTGCTCTTTCATCTCATTGTAGCTTTGATTGTTATCTGCACTCCCATTTTCTTGGCTCTCTCCTGTCTTTCTCTATCCACCCAGAACTCTCTAGTTAATCATTTTAACCTCCTTCTCAGTAACTCCTCAAGCACTTTCTCACAACTACCGCCAACCCTCAAACCAGGGCCCACAGAACAACCCTTTCTCCCTGGATTGCCACGTGCTGAAGAAAGCACACAAGTGAGTTAATTAGTGTCATCACACATTTGTGATTTACAGTTATGGCTGAGCCCTTGACAGTGAATAAACAGGTGCATGGACTTCAGTCACTCATGTGAGTTGCTCCACATCGTGTGCCACAGGAGAGTAGCAGCAGGACTTCCTTTATTTAATGATGGCTAATACTTCTCCAGAGGAGAATTCTAGAAAAGCAGCTAATGGAACAATAAAATTAGTCACACGAGCCATGATATTTTTGGACAATTCAATAAAGCTCACTGTTTTCATTGCCAGACTTTCCCCTGCTACCACACAGGAATGTGACAGCTGGCTTTCTGGACCCTGATCAGAGAACTGTAGCCTTCTCTAGTTCCTTATGTCATTGTTGCTTCTTTTGAGCAACAGGATCCTACTTACAAAGCTACTTAGAAATCAAGTAATCATTTTACTGTAGGTATGAGGCTTCTCAGGGCCCGAATTGCCTACCAGTGGTAAAGGGCTCAGTAAGGTTACAGATTACTGCCACCTTGGTGTTTCTGATCATTTACCCACACCTCAACTCTCCGCAACCTGTATTCTTGATTGTTTTCCAGATGCAGTGCCCAAACGATAGTTAGAATCCTATCTTTAGGACCCCCTTCACTGAGGAATCTTGGAGGAATTGTGGTTCCTTCCCTAGGTGACCAACCATTCTCATTTTCCCAGAATTGAGGAGTTTTCCAGGATGCAGAACTCTCAGTGCTAAAACCTGGGGAATCCTGGGAAAACCAGGATGATTAAGTCACCTTGTTTATGGCTCCTTCCATGTTACCCCTAAACTTGCTTACATCAGAAAAATATCACTTAACAGCCTTGAGAAGCAGCATTCTCCAGAGGCTACTTGTAAGTCAGCCAGTTCTCAATTACAGCAGTTAATTCTAAACTAAGTCTTTTTATGTACTTAATAAAAATTATAAAAATAGTTCTTAGTTTAATACTCAGATGTGTAGTTGCAAATACTCTCACCAAATGTTTTACTTCCTTTATGCTGGGAGTAGCCCCCTATTTAGGAGGTTGGTGTATGTACACAACAAAACCTTTCTAAGGCACAGGCTGTCCATTCTCTCCCCTTTTTCCCACTCCACCCCACCCTGCTTTCCCTCTGCTCATCTTCGTCAGCTGAGAGGCCCACTGAGAAAAAAAACAAAATGGCGGGTCAGCAAGGTTGCTTCTTTGGCTCTGTTCCACCATTTTGCAATGTCAATCTGTGACTCTTTTTGTCTTCATGGCTTGCCCATGCCCTTATAGCTTATTTTCCTAATCAAAGAATTGTTGGATATGCCATATGGGGCCATGACGCTCCTTTTGGGAGAGAAATGTATCTTTCTTCCAGTCTGATGTAGCATCTATTTTCTTTCGTGGTCCTTCACTATTCAGCAGGTGTGTGTCCCAAGACAGACATAGAAAACATGGTCATTTCTCTAAATTACTGAAGATGGTGTTCCCTCCCCTATAAAAAAAAATTATTTTGATGTTTTCAGTGGGCCCCAAGGAAAAGAGTAGAGAAAAACCACCTTTATTTACTGTGTTCACTAGAATTGTTACTTTGGGGAAAAATATCAATTACACATTTCTCTATTTCCTCATGAATATTTATTCTTTCTCTTCTCTTGGGCACAGGTAGTGTATTGGGAACCCACACAGGGATTGGCTTCTTAAGGACTCTGGGCTCACACCTCAACCTGACAATCTGGGGATCAACTAAGCACAGCTTCCATCTATTTCCTTTCATCACTGTCATCATTCTGCCACTTCCTTTTTCCCATAGGAAAAAAAGGGCATAAAATTTTATGAAAATATAAATGACAGTTTAAAATTATTTAAACATCAGTGGAGAGTTTTGAAAAATTTTTAGTGTTTTTTTTTTTTCTTTGAGATGAAGTCTTGCTCTTGTCCCCCAGGCTAGAGTGCAATGGCATGATCTTGGCTCACTGCAACCTCTGCCTCCTGTGTTCTAGTGATTCTCCTGCCTCAGCCTCCCAAGTAGCTGGGATTACAGGCACCCGCCACCACGCCCTGCTAATTTTTGTATTGTTAGTAGAGATGGGGTTTCACCATGTTGGCCAGGCTGGTCTCGCACTCCTGACCTCAGGTGATCTACCTGCCTCAGCCTCCTGAAGTGCTGGAATTATAGGCGGGAGCCACTGCGCCTGGCCTTTAGTGGTCTTACATTAAACATTTTCCCCACCACTTAAAAAAAAAGACAGATGAGAAATCCAAGTTTCTCTTTACCCTAATGAAAACATTTTGTGGAAAATCAGTAAAATTTTTCTGTATTTAAGAAAGTTAAGAGATGGCATTCTCTCTCTTTTAGAGACTTAAAATTTCCATTTAAAGAAGATTGTGATAATTTCTACTTGTTTCTTTGTGATTGCCAAATAAATTTTTTGTAAAAAAGCCTTCTTTCTATGTAGCTGAATATACATCTTGGATTTAATTAAGTTGTTATAATTTAAAAATCGAATTTGTCCCTTAGAAGTCTGAATTTTACAGGTCTAAACACTAGCTTCCTAAATGTCAACTACTACTGCACATTTATTACTGCATGATGTAGTAGTAATTCTCTTTCGAGCTTTCAAAGGCTCAACTCTGCTCTGTAACTAATGAGACCTAAACCCAGTGTTTCATGCTGCATTATCAAAACTGAAGGTTGATTTTATTTGATGGGGAAAAAACAAATGAGGAAAACTTTGTAAGACTAGTCTAACTCTGAGACTGCAAACTTAGCAAACCTAGTGACATTGAAAATAAGAGTAAAATCATATCTTTTCCTCAAAATTACTTATCATCAAAAAATTTTTCTATGCTATGTTTAATATATTTAACCCTTTTTGAGTGCATTCCAGGAAATAGAAATGAAAGGTGAAATGCAGAGCCCTTCCTTTAAGGAGCTCAATACATTATTTCCTATGTGACAATGGCCACTCAGTGCTCTGAAGTTTTTGGAATACTCTTCAACTCAGTTGTCCCCATAAGTTCAACCATAATTTGGAAAATATGATCACTGGATTTATGATAGACATACAGCTTTTCATGTGAAAAATAATCAAAACTCCAACTCATTACTTGACACTTTGCAGAGGGCTGTCTTCTTGTTGTATCCTCACATGGTGGAGAGCAAACAATGAGGGCAAACTCTCATGTCTCTTTTTTTAAGGGCACACTAATCTCATTCACGAGGGCTCCATCCTCAACACTTAATCACCTCCCAAAGGTCTCACCTTCTCGTGCCATCACATTGGGAGTTGGGATTTCAACATATAAATTTTTCATTGGGGGGGAAACATTCAGTCCATAATAATATAAAGCTCTTAGATCTGGGATACGGTGAGTCATCAATAAACTATTAGCTTGTATACCAAAATGCCTAGGCTGCATCTTTGCCAGTTTATATCAAAGCATCTTAAAATTCTTACTGTTCTTCTACCCTTTTGTGTTTTACTCTTTTCCATATCAGGAAAGCACCAACCTCCATGTACTTATTCAAACCAGAAGCCAAGGATAATCCTTTAGCAGTGTTGATCATAATCCTGAAAATGGGGAGAAGTAAAAGACATAGAGCTCATTTGGGGAACATTTCAAGTCAAGTGAGAGAGAATTATGACCAAGGGACAGTTGAAATGAAGGTAAGTTGTTTGGCATACAATTAGAGGTAGAATCAACAGGATTTTGGAAAGGGAAAGGAAAGAATTTTGGACTTAAGGTATAATAGATAAGGTATTAAAAATCAAGACAGGCCAGGTGTGGTAGCTCACACCTGTAGTCCCAGCACTTTGGGAGGCCGAGACGGGCAGATCACTTGATCACTTGAGATCAGGAGTTCAAGACCAGCCTGGTCAAGATGATGTAACTGCTTATCTACTAAAAATACAAAAATTAGCCAGGCATGGTGGTTGGCGCCTGTAATTCCAGCTACTTGGGAGGCTGAGGCAGAAGAATCGCTTGAACTCAGGAGGCGGAGGTTGCAGTGAGCTGAGATTACACCACTGCACTCCAGACTGGGCAATAGAGCGAGACTCAGCCTCAAAAAAAAAAAAAAAAAAAAAAAACCAAGACAGAGAAAATAGATTAGGAAGTAAATTATGGGTAAATTAAATGTTTGGGGGACCTACTGAGTTTACAGTATTTGTGATACATCCAGTAAGCCGTTAGACAAGTCAGATTGTTGGAGTGAAGTGGGCTAGAAATACTGGCGTCAAAATCCTATGTACGTAACCAGTGGTTAAAAGACATGAATAAATGATATTGATGAGGAAACCGGAGTAAAAAGAAAAGTGAACTAAATGTAGGACTCAGGAGAAGATTAGTGCCTAAACCCTATCCTAGTTAAAGAATATCGGAAAGATAAAAAATAGGGCATTTAATGGTATAAATCAGTTTTCTTTTTATAAAGATATAATCCCAAAGTCATCTTGTAGTTGAGCAGATAATACAAATATAGCATAATTTTCAAATTCAAGAGGTACTTTATTTTATCAGATGGAAAATATGACTTTGATTTTTTTTTTTTTTGAGACAGAGTCTCGCTCTGTCACCCAGACTGGAGTGCAGTGGCACGATCTCAGCTCACTGCAACCTCTACCTCCTGGGTTCAAGCAATTCTCTGCCTCAGCCTCCTGAGTAGCTGGGATTACAGGCACCCAACACCATGCCTGGCTAATTTTTGTATTTTTAGTAGAGATGGGGTTTCACCATCTTGGCCAGGCTGGTCTTGAACTCCTGACATCGTGATCCACCCACCTTGGGCTCCCAAAGTGGACTTTGATATTTTTGAGAACTATAAAAATATCTTTTAATACAACCTTTCCTGAAGAGGCATTATTTTGTGTCTACCTCCTTGAGAAATCTCACATGCCCAGAAAAATCAGTATTTAATTCCCAATTTTTGGTAATATTATTATGCAATATAATTGGCAAATTCTTTGCAGTAGCTTGGGTAAAATTTCCCTTACATAAGCAAATAACTCTTAAAAATTTACTGGCAATGGTTTTTAAACATATGTTAAGAATTAGCATTTATTTCTTTTCTGTTTTTTCTCCCCCCTTTTAACAAGTAGTCTAGTAATAATGGTATTGTTTCAACAACTTTAAAAACAAATGGGAAATAAAAATTTAAAGCCATTAAGAGACTTCATATAATTTTGCGTATCATTTTGGAATGTGGAAGACATCAAGGCAGGTTTGGAGAACAGGATCTGAAACTGGCTATCCCCTTAATGGGAGACATCTGTCCCATCCACAGATGTAGGGCAAAAGTCAAGTTCACTAGGTGGACAGAGGCACAAGTAGGCAAAAACTCCAGAGCATTAAAGGCCCAGTCACAAATAGCATTGACAAAAAGCAAAAATGAAGATTGAGTTGTATTATATGTATATTACCCTATATATATTAATTGTTCTTCATTTCTTTTATGTTTTTTGATATATGTGGAAAAGCAGAGGCATTTAAAAGTGGGATTCATTCATTCATTTCTTCATTTACTATTTACCTAGGTACATAATATTAATTGAATAGCCTGTTTAAAGGCACTTGGGATATTAAGATGAATGCCAAAATATCTGCTTTTAAGAGACGACATACAAAATATTTTTTGTAGATTCCTACTCTTTCTTAAATCCAAATAGAAACTAAAATTTAAAAAGTGAAATAATCCTAGATACAGAAAGTATCTAGGACTATATAACAGACACTTAAGTGCTTACCTCTCAGAATGTACAAAAAATATCATTGTACTGTATTTGTTGCAGGTTGTTCTGCTTAAATACAATAAAGATTCAGTATGACCTTTCCTATCCCATTTTCCTCCCTCCATCCCCAGAGACTGGCACTGTCTTGAAGTTGGTGTATATCCCTCTAGTCCATGTTTTTATACTTTTACACTCATATGCATGTGCCCATAAAGAATACACAAGGTCTTTTGTTTTGTTTTGCATTTGTAAGCTGTAGAAAGATAGTATTACATTATACACATCTTCTTTGATACTTGTGTTTTCACTCTCAACAGTCCATAATTTCAACACATAATCAGTTCATTTGTTTTCTCTATTATTTAGTGTTCTGTTATAGTCATGTAACATAACTGATTTTGTCATTCATTCTCAGTTAGACATTTACTTTGTTTCTAGTTTTTGTTTATTATGAACTTGACCACATAGATATCCCATACATGTCTTCTTATAGAGACAAGAAAATTTCTAAGATTTATACTGAGAAGTGGATTTTTTGGGTTTCAGACTACATTCGGTGTCAAGAGTACTAGATATCATAAAAAACATTGTCACAGAAGTGGCTGAGAGTTCCTGTTTCCCAGTTACCTCTCTATACTTGCTGTTATCACATTTTAAAATTTTGGCTTATCTATTGCTAAGCCAAAGTGTCTGGTTATTTTATTTCTCATTTATCTGATTAATAATGATTTTATACATATTTGTACAAATTTGCATATGTTTATTAGCATTTCAGTTTTGTCTCCTTTTTGTAGACTGTCTTAAAGAATATTAGGAGTTCCATATGTATTTCCAATACTATTCTTGTTGCATGCTATGTGTATTGCAAAAATCTTCTCTCAGTCCATAATATATGTTTGAATTTGGATAAAGGCTATAAGAGGAGTTTGATAAACCAAAAAATAAATGATTCCAAGGTATTTTGGCCTGAGAAATCATCCATTGTCAGGGGTGAAGAGAGAGCCTGATATATCCACCAACTAGTCCCTATTCCCTCTGTTCACAGAGTCTCCAAAACTATCTGCCTTGAGTCCACTAAGACTAATCTCATTATGCCTCTTATTATTGTTTTTGTCAGTTATCACAAGAAGCACCAGATACCAGGGTCAGTCTTTATTTTCACACCGTGCCAAGCTCTGCAGATCCCCTATTCTCTATTGTCCACCTTCCCAACCCTGAAGTCTTTACACTTTGCTCTTTGGAATTGATGGTTCATCATTAGCAAGATTCATAGCCTCAAACATTTTGGGAAGCCCCACTCACCTCCTCTGGATCTTACCTCAATCTCACTAATTCCTGTATGCCCCCTGAAGTCGTGGCTGTTGGAGTCCTCTCACAACCCTGGCATTAGCATCTTTCTTATTTTCCTCTGAACTTTCTATGTGTTCAAGTCTGCTTTTGGTCTCTCGGTAGCACTGTAAAGTTTTCTACAAATATTTCTTCAATTTATTCCTTGATATTTTATATCATAATGTAATATAAATTTTATAGTCTATTTAATTCTAATTTTCACACTTTCTTGTTTGAAATATAAGGTCCATTGATTTGTGTATAGTTATTTTGTATCCTGCCACCATACTTAATTCTTTTATTTTTTGAAATAGTTTTTCAGCTTTTCTGTTGAGTTGAAGTCTCATGAAGATGAAAGTCTAGGCCCCCCACTTGGCCATGGATAGGTGTGGACCACAGTTTGTTTGCTCTGTTGGTACCTCTTGACTTTTCTACATTGCTGGCTTTTTCAGATCCAAGTGTGGGATATATGAGACAAAAAGAAAACTCAGGGGACTCACCACCATGTTGTTCCTCAGGTCTTTAGCTCCCTAGCTGGTCTGCTGCCTTCTTTACCACCTTTATTATGTTCATTTTACATATAGCATTCAGAATTTTTTGGCCAGGCATGGTGGCTCACGCCTGTAATCCCAGCACTTTGGGAGGCTGAGGCAGGTAGATCATGAGGTCAAGAGATTGAGACCATCTGGGCCAACATGGTGAAACCCTGTGATTACTAAAAATACAAAAAATTAGCCAGGCGTGGTGGCACATGCCTGTAGTCACAGCTACTAGGGAGGCTGAGGCAGGAGAATCACTTGAATGAGGGAGGCAGAGGTTGCAGTGAGCCAAGACTGTGCCACTGCACTCCAGCCTGGCGACAGAGCAAGACTCCATCTCAAAAAACAAACAAACAAACAAAACAAAACAAAACAAAACATTCAGAATTTTAATTTATACTGAATGAAAGAAATAGGGTAAAGTATCCATTCTTTTAGTTTTAACCTCTTTGAATTACTTTGCTTTCAAATTGCCTTTTCTTTAATGCGTATATTTGGGTCTTGTTTTGTTAACCAAATTGAAAATTGATTTCTTTAAATGGGAAGTTGAGCATATTCACATTTATCGATATAACTAATATGCTTTGTCCTGATACTTTGTAATTATGTGTATTTTGTATTTGTTTTTTTCTGTATGAGATGTACATTCTTT
The DNA here is from genome assembly GCF_000001405.40 of Homo sapiens. Taxonomy (NCBI): domain Eukaryota; kingdom Metazoa; phylum Chordata; class Mammalia; order Primates; family Hominidae; genus Homo; species Homo sapiens. The sequence continues at coordinate 151,647,457 of NC_000003.12, forward strand.
GTGCTATTTATTATTTGTACAGTCTAGGAAGGTTTGTGTTTTTATTCTAGTGGTTACCTTTGTATTTATTATTTTTATAAGTGTCTTTAGTCTATTTTCTTATCTGCCCTTTAACTATCTGGTTGATACCATTTTTTTCCCCAGTATCCTTTAGTGCGCATATGTTGCTTATATAGCACCAAGCTTTTCCTATTTTTTGCTTTCCTTAGTTGTTGTACTTGGTTGTTTTTTAGTTGCTTCATTTCTACTTTTCACAGGATATAATATTTATACCTTAATTTTCTACCCTTATCCTACATTTTTTTCAGTCTTATGTGTACATTTATATATTTTAAAATGCAGCTGGGTGTGGTGGTTCATGCCTGTAAGGCTAGTACTTTGGGAGGCTAAAGAGGGAGGATTGCTTGAGGCCAGGAGTTTGAGACCAGCCTTGGCAACATAGCAAGAACCTGTCTCTACAAAAATGTTTTTTAATTAACCAGGCTTGGTGGCTTATGCCTGTAGTCCCAGCTACTTGGGAGACTGAGGTGGGAGGATCCCTTGAGCCCAGGAGTTCAAGGCTGCAGTGAGCTATGATTGTGCCACTACACTCCAACCTGGGCAATAGAGCAAGATTCTGTCTAAAAAAAAAAAAAAAAAAAAAGCTCATTATCAGTTCTTCTAGTAGAGCTTTCCCAGTCATCACTTATGTGAAGTTCATGCTCTAGCAAATTCCTCAAGAAGGGATGCCATGTGTAGAATCTCCTATGTTCTTGTATGTTGAAAATATTTCTACTATTCTTGCTATTTGAAGAACAACTTGATTGGACATAAAATCCTTGTTTCACATTTTCTTTCATTGAGTATTTTTATAAAGATTGATTCATAGTTGTCTTGTTTGGTATTTGGTTTTGAAAAGTGTAATGGCATTCTAATTCTTTTGACTTTTTAAGTTATTTTAGATTTTTGCTTGGTGGTCTTGAGAGTCTTGTCTTTATTTTTGAAATATAATAATTTTACTAAAATAATGTCAAAGAGTTAATCATTTTGGGTTAATTTTTGCCAGGTACCAGGAGAAACTTTTCAACGTGTAGATTCAGATGATTTTTTTTTCTGGAAATTTTTCTTGGACCATAATTTATTGCTTAGTGTAGTAACCGATAGGTGGCCTTCTAACCCATGCTCCCCTCACACCCTCCCCACCTAAGGTAGTCCCTACTGGCCCTTGTTCCCATCTTTGTTTTCAATGTTTAGCTCCCGCTTATGAGTGAGAACATTCAGTATTTGGTTTTCTGTTCCTGAATTAATTTGCTTAGGATAATGGCCTCCAGCTGCATCCACGTTGCTGCAAAGGATGCAAGATTTCATTCTTTTTTAATGGCTGTGTACTATTGATGAATATGTACAACATTTTCTTTATCCAGTCCACCATTGGTGGGCATCTTCGTTGATTCCATATCTTAGTTATTGTAAATAGTGCTGTGAGGAAAGCTCCTAGAGCTGATAAACAACTTCAGTAAGGTTTCAGGATACAAAGTCAACGTACAAAAATCAGCGACATTTCCAAACACCCATAAGGTCCAAGCTGAGAGTCAAATCAACAAGTGCTATTCTTTAGAGCCTTTGGGAACCTGCAATTCATTCTCTTCAGAAAGGGCAGGACATTTCTATGTGTGTGTAGAGCACCTTTCCACATTTTCCAGTATTTCTTCTTTTATTCTTGTAAGCAGTAAAGGCTCCCTGTAAGCGATCATCACAATTATCAGGGAAGCTAATTTGGTATAGGCAAAGGTAAGAAAATGTAACACACTGACTCTTTTCCTGAGGTTTATAACACCTAAGAAAAGATAAGGTTCATGAACTATCTTGGTTTCTTCTCTTTTTGCAAGAATGTAGTATATTAATTTGAAAAAAATCCAGAGTAATTCCACGACCAATTTTCTCCATGTTGTCAGTTATAAATGAATCAGTCAACTAGTCCCTTCTTGATGAATCATGTTGTTTTCTTGGCTTTTGGGACCCCACCCTCTCCTGGCTCCCCTTCCTGCCACTCCCTCTCATCCCCTATACTGGGTCCTCTTCATCTGTTTATTCTTTAAATGTTGGACCTGCCCAAAACAGGTCCTAGGAGCCTTCTCTCTCTCTGTCAGACATTTATCTCATGACTTCATGTAATTATCCATATATCAATGAATTCTAAACTTAACATTTTCTACTCTGATCTTTCACCTGAACTCTAGACATGTGCATTCTGTTCCCTATCTAGCATATCCATTCTATTAAGTATCTCAAATTCAACATGTCTGAAACAGGTATTTTCCTCCTTTCTGCTACTCCACCCAGTAGCACCACTCTAGCAGCTTACCCCTTCCAGTATTTCCCACTTACCCAGTGTTGTTCAAGCCAAAAATATTGAAGCCTTTCTAGTCTTTCAGTCTTTTTTCAGAGATATGGATTTTAAGATGTGTCTGACTACCAAATTGACAGAATGAACTTGTGATGGTTAATTGTATGCCAGCTTGGCTAGGCCATGATACCCAGATACTTGGTCAAACATCAGTCTAGATGTTGCTGTGAAGGTATATTATTCAGATGAGATTAACATTTAAATTGGTAGACTTTGAGTAAAGCAGATTATCTTTCGTAACGTGACTGAGCCTCATCTAATCAATTGAAGGCTTTAAGAGGAAAATAGATTGAGGTGTCCTGAAGAAGAGGGAATTTCTGCCTCAGACAACCTTCAGACTCAAGATTGTAACACCAGCTCTTCCCTGGGTCTCCGGCCTGCTGGCCTGTCCCACAAATTTTGAATTGCCAGCCCCTACAATTACAGGAACTAATTCCTTAAAATTAATCCATCAGTCTCTCTCTCTCTTACTCTGCAGACACACACACACACACACACACACACACACACACACACAATTGGTTCTTTTTCTTTGGAGAATCCCAATATGGATTTTAGCAGGTTGGTGGGACTGCCCATTCTCTCTACTCCTCCTGGCACTAGAGATTTCAGGTCAATGGATATCTCACTGAGGGTTGGTGGTTGATAGAAATTTCAGCCCTGACACCACTTGCACTTCACTCATTGTTCTTGGGGAAAAACATTTTCCTTGTTATCTTTCTGGTTGTTTTTGTCGTTGTTGATTTTTTTTTTCTTTTCTTTTTGGGTCATTCTGCTACCTCCTTTTTCCTCTCATATAGTCCCAGTTGTTTATGTATTCTTAAAAACTCGCACTGTTAGTATGCTTCTGAAATTTCTTAGTTTCTTTTTGAAGTCTATGTTTTTGCTTCTATGTGAACTAAAAAAAAGTAAGAATAAGATGATAGAATAAAAAAGAACAAGTCCTGGGTTGCCAGAGACAAACCAGGGAAAAAGGAAATAAATATGAAAACACAAAAGATGTAACTCCTTCACAGTTGTAAACATATAGCAAAATAATAATTATGCCCAAAATACGTCCAAAGTCTTATTTTTAAGTTCTCATAAAGTTGATCGTAGTTATTAATCAAATTGCTGCTGTGAAGTATTGCTGTTGGGAAATATTTTTTACTATCTCCCTCTGTGTGTTGGTCTTCAGCAGTTTGAAGCTCATTTGGTGCTATGTTCAAATAAACTTGAGAAGAAAGATTCCTTCCTGGGAACTTATGAATGGGACTTGTTTTGACTGAATTAACTTAGATCATGTGTTGGTCTTTTAGCCAATACTAAGTCTAGACTGGTAGCAGCAGCCCAGAGTGGAGCCTTACTTGAACTAGCTGGACTGAGAGTGAAGGAGAAATAAGTATCCCGGTGAAATTTGGGATGCCATTCTCAGAAGAGAGAAGGAAAGGATCGATCGTTATGGGAAGATAACACACACACATACACGCACACACACGTATAAATATAATAACTTACTAAATGGTGTTCTCTGGGTATTTCCAACTTTCTGATGAAGATAATCATATTTTTGAAGGTATAACGCTTTCATTTTTCTTTTATATTTCTTGTAACATTTAGCATATGTTAACCTTACCCTAGACTCTCAATATATAGAACACTTTTCTATAGTTTTTAATACATAGATTTAGTATCTCAAATAATTATTTATTGTGAAATGTTTAATAGTCTAATCCAAACTGCAGCTTATGGAAAGAAGTAAATGCTGATCACATTGCTGTGAACGTTTGTGACTAAAATATTCCTTAGTTTGTTATCTATATGATTCTGTCCATCTACCCATTAAACAAAGTGAAAGGGTATCTATCTAGTGTAGAATTTTTCGACTTCAACGTGCTTATGACTTACCTGAATTATCTGGGATCTTGTTTAAATGTAGAATCTGATTCAGCAGATCTGGGATGCTCTGTAATCTGGATTTCTACTAGGCAATGCCTATCCTACTAGTTTGAGGACCACACTTTGAGTAGCAAAGTCAAGGTGCCATATGCCTCAAACTTTTATTGTGCAATTAAAATGGTCACTCATGGCTGGGCGCGATGGCTCACGCCTGTAATCCCAGCACTTTGGGAGGCTGAGGCAGGCAGAAAACCTGAGGTCAGGAGTTCAAGACCAGCCTGGCCAACATGGTGAATGGACCCTGTAATATCTATTGTTCTTCCAGGTACGAGACTAGATAATTAAGAGAGTCTTAGAAAGATTTTCAATATCAATGTTGATCAGAGAACTTCAGTGTCTGAAAGTCTTCTGTGTCCACTCTGATTGAAGAGTACAACAGCCTTGGACCCAGGCATCCTAGGTTAAAATCTAGTGCTGTGTCTGTAAGTTTTGCATGTATCATTAAGTTTTATATGCAATTCTAAGGATAATCTAACAGTGTGAGAGAAGACGGCTTTCATCATCCTTGTGTTCATAGTGGACAATATACCCTTCTAATATGGTGAATTAATATTTTTATAAATCTTCTAATCATCTTGGGAATAGCAAAATTATATTAAAAATTTGGTGTTAGATTTAAACATTTGTATATAATTCAGTTTTCATAGACTTGTTTGGGCAGGTCTTCATGTTTCAAAATTTTGGCAGACTCAAAAAAAGGAAACAGGCTGTGTCTCAAATTTTGAGAGGTTCTGCCTAAAATGCAGTTGCTATATATTTATCCTTTTTTTCCTTTTTGTGCAGATAGGGTCTTGCTGTGTTGCCCAGCTGGTCTTGAACTCCTGGGCTCAAGCAGTCCTCCTGTGTGTGGGGATTATATGTATGAGTCACTATGCCCAGCCATATTTATTTTTAATAATATACATTGACTGGCTGTAGTCACCCACACCTGTAATCCCAGCACTTTGGGAGGTTGAGGTGGGTGGATCACCTGAGGTCAGCAGTTTGAGACCAGCTTGGCCAACATAGCGAAACCCTGGGTGTGGTGGCATGTGTCTGTAATCCCAGCTACTTGGGAGGCTGAGGCAGGAGAATGGCTTGAACTCTGGAGGCGGACGTTGCAGTGAGCCCAGATTGCACCACTGCACTCCAGCCTGGGCGACAGAGTGAGACTCCATCTCCTAATAATAATAATGATAATAATACACATATACCAATGTAGCTAGTAGCACTTCTACTTTTTTTTACTTTAATCTTTGACTTGGCTTTCCCATTGAAGTAAATAAGATTGAATAATGAAAGTTATGCTTAGAGAGGGAGTTTCTCAGCTCTAAATCAAATTCTTCATAACTAGGAGATAGCAAGTAAAGTGTTACTTTGAAATGATATAACAATTCTAAGAGAAAAATACAAGCTCATGAAAGAGACTTAAAGTTTCTAAATTACCAAATCTCTCTTAAAAGTGGAAATAATGTGATGTAAGTGTAAATGAATCAATGACATTTGGACTTGATTTCACTTAAATTGCATGTGATTGCCCAGAAATGAAATTTTGCCTAGAATAATATTTTGAATTTTTGTAATAACTTTTGGACTTATGCCTAAGAATTATGCACATATCTTTAGTGATCATATTTGAAGAATAGAGTTTACTTCCTGATGTTTTCAAAATTATAAATTTAAGGTCACTTTGAGCATAAACTTGTAAAGATTAACTTGGGAAAAATGTGTATACATTTACTCAACTGGCAGATCAAACATAAATATTAGTTAAGGAAATGTCTTTTTTTTTTTTTTGAGACGGAATCTCGTCGCTGTGTCGCCCAGGCTGGAGTGCAGTGGCGCGATCTCTGCTCACTGCAACCTCCGCCTCCCGGGTTCACGCCATTCGCCTGCCTCAGCCTCTAGAGTAGCTGGGATTACAAGTGCCCGCCACCACGCCCAGCTAATTTTTTTTTTTGTATTTTTAGTAGAGACGGGGTTTCACCGTGTTAGACAGGATGGTCTGGATCTCCTGACCTTGTGATCCGCCCGCCTCGGCCTCCTAAAGTGCTGGGATTACAGGCGTGAGCCACCGCGCCCGGCCAAGGAAATTTCATCTTAAAAAGCACTGCCTGTTATCTGATTTAGCAGGTTATTTTTCACGAGTTAATTGTTATCTTTAAAATTAGCTTTCTTAAAACTAAGAGCTAATAATATATAGTTGTTATATGAAAATGTTTTTATTGGAAAGAAGAAAACCTGATCACTTGGGTCTCTTCCTGTCTTCCACAAGATAACCATTATCAATAATTTGATTAACATTTTTTCTATACACTGAGATTCTGTAAATATATTTTTATTCAGATTATTTTCACTTAACTTTTTAACCTAAACATTTTCCATGTTACTAAACATTTTTTGATGATAGTTGCTTTGTAGATGGCTATATAAAATTGTGTCCTGTAGTTGTATCATATTTTATTTTGGCAGTCTCTACTATTGAATTGTTTCCAATTTTATCATTTTATAAATATGGCTATGAAAAATATTGTGCACTGTAATATTTTTGTATATAAAAACCTTCTCTGTATTTAGAAGACCCAGAAGAACATTTAAATTACTGGATCAAAGAATAAAATATTAATCAATTTCTTGATTCAAGCAATCATTTTTTTCCCCAATTAATTACACTCCTATTAGCAGTGATTCTTAAATTAAAACAAGTCTTTATGACAGGCAAAATGCTTTATCTCATTATTTTAATTTTTGTTTATAAATCTGAGATCTTAAAAATTTTTATTTGCAGGCACTCAGAAGGAATTAACTCTTATTTTTATATTTTCTCTCTTATATTTAAAAAAGTTCTCAAAGATAAAGAACGAAACTGAACTTTCTTGGTTAGGCTGTAGGGAAGAAGAGATCTATGAATTTGTGTGTGTGTGTGTGTGTGTGTGTGTGTGTGTGTGTGTGAGACAGGGTCTTGCTCTCTCACCCAGGCTGGATTGCAGTGGCGCGATCTTGGCTCACTGCAGCCTCCGCCTCCTGAGTTCAAGCGATTCTCATGCCTGAGCCTCCAGAGTAGCTGGGATCACAGGCACACGTCATCACGCCTGGCTAATTTTTGTATTTTTGGTAGAGAAGGGGTTTCGTCAGGTTGGCCAGGCTGGTCTCCAACTCCTGACCTCAAGTGATCCGCCCACCTCAGCCTCCCAAAGTGCTGGGATTATATGCATGAGCCACTGTGCCCAGCCAGATCTATGAATATTTAATGTGTCTTCTTTTATTTAGATCTTCTTTAATTCCTTTCAATAATGTTTTGTAATTTTCAGAGAATATGTTTCATATTCCTTTTGTTACTAGTGTGCAGAAATACCATTGCTTTTTATATATTTGTCTTGCACATTCATAATGAAGTTCAACATGTACCTCTGTCTTCTGTATTTGCTGCAAATTGGTAGCAGGCTTAAATGTCTTGCAGCCTCAGGTTGTCAATTTGTTCAGACTGGAGGGTATTGTGTTCTTTCATCAGATCACCATACTATTTAGTTTTGTTCCTTTTTGTTAGCAGTTATTGATGCTCAGTGCCTTGACCCATTAACTTCAGTTGGGGTTGAAAATGGTGATATTCTAATTGTATTATGTCTTTTTTATTTTTTAGGTGTAATGATGTTATAAAGAGCCTTTTCCTCTCATCTACTAGGTTGCCCAGTGGTACAGTTCATGTGAAAAAGTCAGGATAGACTCTTGAGTCTTTACCTTTATAAACAATTTTCAGTATAATGAATTGCTAGCTTAAAGATGACTACTTTGTTGGTTTACTTTTAAATACCATTATGAACCCATTGATTTAAACATTTTTCATAGGCTTTGATCTGTTGCAATTCTTCACCATATTAAAGCTTAAGCTGTTTCATCTTTAATCAGTGTGAACCTCTTTAAGTTGGCTCCTGAGTCTTTTTGACATAACCCTTGTAGTATTTAATATTTTCCTTACTGTCTAGTAAGACAAGGTGTTCTAGGCTCAACTAATACATTACTTGGATTGGAAACAGCCATTTTTCAAGAACTTATGGTTTTGAAATGATATTTCAAGATCACAGTTAAGATACCAGGGATGTTCATTTGTTCATGAGTTAGTTAAATCACTTTTAGACTTTTTAAGTTGACAAAGCTAGAAAGTTTTATGTGTGGGCACACACAGAGTTATATTTAAGGATTAAATACATTATACTTTTATAACAGCTTTTTTTTTCTTGAGAGCAGAACAGTTAACACTATTTATTTCCTATGATGAAGTTCTGTTGAGATCATCTGAGCATCCTCTGACCCCCTGTTTTTATTCATGCTCCTGAAAGTCCCATATTAAGATTTTTCTTGGGTTCCCAACTAGCCTAAACTGAAAGTATAAAATCATAAAGATAGATGTTTGCAAGTTTTGCTATTTGTATAACAGCAAAACAACATTTACTTAAATTAGAATTTAATTAAGACTACTACAAGTTAAGATTACGATTGTTTAAAGTCCAGATACTTTGAGATAAACTCACTTTATTACAGAATATTTACCTGTTTTGTTCAAAGGAATCCAGCTTTGTTTGTATCCTATAGGGTCCCTCTGATTTAGGGGTGTCTTACAAACAGCTATGCAACTTTGAAAACACTACTTTATCAATGTACAATAATGTAACATACAAAGAAATTGGATAATTTGGGGGGCCACAGAGATTATTACTTTCTACCTAGTACATAGTTTTTGCTTTTGTAAGTAAAGCTCTTTTGGTGAAAGATAGTTTGGCTTAGGCCTATCTCAAAATCATGAGATATTTAACCTGGGTTTATTTTTCTGTTTTGGAGTTGTGTGTTTATTCAAAAGATGGTTTATGAAATAAAGCCATTTGTTTCCAATTGTGCAAGTCTTAATCCTGTAATTAATAACAGATTTTTTTTCAAAAAAGAAAAGAAACCATTCTCTTTTGCATTAAAACTTTTTGGGTAGCCTTTCAAATATTTTGGTGCCATTTAAATATTCTCTATTAAAACAAGTCACATTAAAAGGGCTTTTCTGCAGAATAACCATCCTTTCAACAAATCTATGGTTAAGATCCCACTCCCTCATTGTTTTCTCCTAAGGAATAGAATGTTGTTTATATCCTAAAAATTACCATGAAATGGTGATATATGTACCTTAATTTCTGACACAACCTAGGTTATTCTGAATGATTTGCCGGAACTTCCAGGGATATTTTTTATATTAAAATATATACTTGTGGTGTTGCAGATAGGCAGGAATCTAAATGTATAGGGCATGCCCAACTGCATCAGACAAATCAGTTATGTTTTTCTCCTGTTTTTCTTTTCAACCTCAGCAGTTAAAAAAATTATGGTAAAGATGTTTTTAAGAGAAAGTATGGCTAGTCAACAAAGTATACAGCCTGTAAATAGCAAGTTTGAAACTTCCACTCTTAAAGTTCTTTTAATTCTTCTTAAACTTACTTGCTAATTTCAGTTTTTTCTACCTCTTAGGATTTCAAAGGACCCAATGCTTATGTGATTTGATGTATAAGAACTGTTCTAAATGATTGTTCTTCATCTTTTCCTGGAGATATTTAAGTAGATCATTAATTCCTTAACTGTCAGCTCATTAAACAGTGGGTTATTACTAGGCACATGTATGTAACCTTTGATTCTCGCCATTTTAAAACAGGATGAATTTTTTTTTAAAAATTGGTCTATGTGGCACTTATCTTCTTCAGGCCACAGTTTTTTCATCTGATCGATTAAACAAATGTAAGCCTGCTGTATTCATTTTGGAAGGGGGAGTTACATTTACCCAGGAACTTTAAGTTTTATCTTTCCAGGACAAAAAATTATATTGGATTCCCTCTGTGATAGCTCTTTCTTTTCTGTCTCTAGGTTGAGAAGAAAAACCTGGCCCTTGTTCTTAGCCACTTTAATGAAGCATCACTTGCCACAGAGAGGGGAAAATAGCAATTTGCATTCTGAGATAATTTAAGACTAACCTTTAACTATATGTGCATTAATGTATGGCTAAAAATATGTATCAAGATTTTAAAATTATTAAAGGAAGCTTACAGATGATAAAGAAGATAAATATTTGAAAGAAAAATTAATCTTTGAATATATAGTCTGCTCTTAACAAGAAGCACTATGTGATTTTATTCTTTGATAGCAAAGATTGTTATAATTATTAAAACACTCTCACTCAAGAGCCCGTTTGTGTGTGTATGTGTTTGTGTGTGGGTGTGTGTGATTTTTTTCATGCTTTTGAATCCATTTCTAACGAAATTTGAAGTCTCAAAAGGCTAGAGTTTCTAATATTTATTACTTACTGCTGAGTTGGATTTTCAACCTAAGTCAAAATTACAACTGTTTCCTATAACTGTTTATTATCTTTAAAACTGTTAGAACTTATATACGGCCTCCTTTTGAGCAACAAATTCGCCTCCAAACCAGAATAATAAAAACTATCAATATGTTTTTTACCCCAAAAGACTACTAGACACCACCAATACTTTGCCCTTTCTCTTCATGAGGAGGGATAAGAAAAATGATTGCATATGTATATATGATTGTGCCATAATTTTAATTAGCTTAACACTACTGTCAAAACTGTCCTGTTTGCCAAACTCAAGATAAAAGAAGCGCTGACAAATCAAAAAGGAAAGCTGATCTCTCTTATGGTAATTATATACAAAATGAATATATTTCAATAAATGTGTACTTTTGGACAAATGAATAGGAACAGTTAAGGTAATGCATAAAGACTGCCAGAATAACTAAGTTGATTTGAAACAGAGTTACTTTTTAAGTTTAAAATCGCTTGCCAATTGTGACAATCATAACACACATTTTATAGGATAAATTAAAGGACCTTACAAACTCATCAGTAACTTCATCAATAATATATTCTTATTTTTAGAGTAATCATTTACTAAATTCTTAAAATATTTATTCATGTGAAACTTCAGTGCAGGACTTCACTGTTCCCCATTCTGATTTTGTTCATTATTGTAATAAAATCACCAAGAGTATTTTAGTCCTGTAAGTAAAAAGTGGTTCTGCTTTTCCTTCACACTTGCATAAAGTCCTCTGCTACAAGATTCAGAGTATTCTAGAAGAAATATCAAAAGAATGATGACTTCAGTAAAGGATTTTACTGCATGCTCTTAACAATGGGTTCTGCATGGAATAGCCTAAGGTGCACATGCTTCCTCCTCCCGTGAGCAGACTGAGGATTTCTAACACTCTTGGTGCAAATACAGATGATGTTGTGAAATAATTCAAGATAAAATGAATAAGAAGTAATGACCTCAGTCTGAATGACACTGATGAGAAAATTAAGTTGTGGTTGATGTTTTAGTTTTTAATTGAAATATAACAACGCCCATCTTTCTTTCTTCTTGATCTATCGATGTTAACAGACTAAGTATACTTCTACAAACTGGAAAAACTCTTTAAATGTTATCTTTTTCAATTGACACGTTAGAATTCAAAGAAGTTTAAAAAAATCTAATATACAAAATAACTAATAAATCATCGGAAAAATTTAAGGAAGATGATTTTGCCAAACTAAAAAACACATTATTGTTGTGTTGACCAAACTGCTCAGAACAATAGTTAAACATTAGGCATAATGCCTCCAAAGTGTCCTGTTGCTTTTTATTACAATGTGGTTATTTACATAGTTTCAACATAAATCTTTCTTCTTTACAGGATATAATTGAACAAATCAAATTTATAACCATGAGTGTTACAGAAATGCCACAGCTACAGATAAATTTTATTAAATCAAGCATGCTAAGTCCAATATTGAAGAACAGGGGATATTCTTCTTGAGGCTACTGTGTACTCCCTGGTGCCTGCTCTATGATTTATAGGTCCCAGACTTACCAGCTTGGAAAGAATATCACTTCTGGTAGGATAGGAACATTGACACTATGGGAATCTTGAAAGAAGAAAAATATCTCTACATTTATAAGTACTTCAGGCAAAACTTAGTAGGAGTGTATTGGATGTTGTCTAAATACTAGCCTTGGAATACATATGTTTATAAGGGTAATGAAAGTCCTTCTGGCAAGAAGACTATGACCTCGGGAGCTTCACAGATCCTCCAGGGAGAAATAAAATACGAAATTATAGTTTCCTATGGATTTAGTTTGTTAACCATATCAACCAGTACATTTTTAAATAAATAAAACCAACTAAATAAAGAAAACATCAAATTAGTGATACTGAATTAGAAAATAGCTAAACAAATTTGTGTGGTTAAATCTTCACTTTGGAGATGAAATGACCAGAAACAGACACTGAGTGGGCAAAATGGACACCTTGCTCTGCTGCCATTGTGGTTACACACCTCAGATAACAGTTGGGAAGAAAGATACTTTATATCCTCAGATAAACTTTAAAGAGCAAAACATCCCACAGAGCACTAATTCCTCAGTAGTGAAGCCTTGAGCCCTTTCTTAAGTTGCTACCTCTCTGACTTTTGAAATACTGATAACTAGAGATATATGATGACCTTTGACCCTTGCAGATATAAAAATCAAGTGAATGAATTTTTATTTTCCAACCTTGAACAGACTAACTTTGGTAACATTTTTTGTTTCTTTATGGGTTTTTACTTTAAGTACCTTCTATATATATATTTTTAAATAGACAGTTATTCTGAAACCTGGACATTTTTTGCAAAATATTGCAAGAGAAAAATATTTATTTTTGTAAAATGCTTCATGTGTCCTGTTTTTTTTTTTGTGTGTGGTTGTTGTTGTTGTTTTCCACAGAGGCCACATGATGTGTGGCACAGTGAGGGACTAGTATCATCTGCAGATGGAGCAGGAACCAAAAAAGTTCTGTCGGTTCAACTGAAATATTTTACTATGAGTTTGCTTTTGTTTAGTTTTACAAATCTGTCTTATACCTTCACAGTGGATCATTTAACCCTTGCTTCTGAATTTTTCCATTGAATTTGTTTTAGTAAAATTACTTACCAAAAATAGACACTTGGTTAAAATAAGATCCCTAACAAATGGATCTTTAGATTCATTCCTTACTGTTCCCTTAAAAATATAAACACACTTTATGATCTTGCTGTGAAACCATTTTTTCTTAATACTGTAGTTTTCAATTTTCTAGTTTTCAAGTTTCTGTTTCTAAAATGGCTAGTTTTCTGGTTGGTTAAAACAAGTCAGAAGAATGAGATACGGCTGGTGATTTTCTCTTCTCTTATGTACATTAAAATATTTGACAGCAATATTGGTACGCTTTGGTTTCAAAGTATGCCTGTCTTTTCATGAGAAGAAAAAATAATTTTGGGGACTATACTGCCTCTCAGTGGTTCGTTTAATATTTATTTCAATCACAAAATATTTTATGAGATGAAAAACCTAAAATTTTCAATAATAGATTTCTCAGTGTTTTTACTTCGATTAGCTCATAAGAAAAACAGTAATGTGAGTTATCTTGCAATATATGTTTGTCTACCCCCATTGATTGGACACCAATAGCCATGATGTGTTACAAAGAGTTTCAAGGTCTACTTTCCCCAAAGAAGGAATGAATTAGTCTATATGCAAAGGAGGCATTGATGTATTCTGAAAGAGAAGGTGCCAAACCAGGCTGAGTAAAGGGCATAATCAGCTTGGAAAAGTTCATTGTTATGAGTTATGAAAATTCATAAGTCCAGATATTACCAAGTGGCCTTTTTTTTTTTTTTTTTTTTTTTTTTTTTTTTTTTTTTGAGACGGAGCCTTTCTCTGCCACCCAGGCTGGAGAGCAGTGGTGTGATCTCGGCTCACTGCAACCTTCACCTCCTGTGTTCAAGCAATTCTCCTGCCCCAGCCTCCCAAGTAGCCCGGATCACAGGCATGCGCCACCACACCAAGTTAATTTTTTTTATTTTTAGTAGAGACAGGGTTTCACCACGTTGGTCAGGCTGGTCTGGAACTCCTGACCTCAGGTGATTGACCTGCCTCCGCCTCCCAGGGTGCTGGGATTACAGGCGTGAGCCACCTTGCCCAGCCACCAAGTGGCTTTTTGATCTGTATTTTGGTATCCTAAGAATAAATCTTACAAATTAGAGAGTTTAAAGTTTACTTTAACCTCTCTACCTGTTAAGTTGGCTTAGTTCAACTTGTGTGTGTGTGTGTGTGTGTGTGTGTTTCTATAAACACGGGGCTATTCCAAGAACCTGCAGAAGGACAGAGTTGAGTACAATTTGGTTTCAATCATCAAAAAAATTATTATTCATTATAACAAAAAGGGAATACTCCACTTTTGTCCCCTTGACATTACTCAGCATTTGTTGATGAATTGAATAATCAAAGCTGTCAACTATTTCTCCTTTTAGTAGTAGTATCTTTATAATTTGCTGTAAGATGTTATGCCAAAAACAGTGATGAAAAGAGTGGAAAAACAGGTTTCTGAAATCTATGAGTTTGCTGTATATAGGGTGAGGACCCACAATTTGGTGTCTACAGTTTTTCAGAAATGCCTCAGTTTTTAAATTGATTTATAATATTAATAGGCATATTGATTTATGATCTTGTAGGCTAATTTATTCAAGACTGTCAATGACTAGAAGTTTTAAAACAAACTAAACTGGAAGCTTGTAATAGTGTTGAATAGATAATCTTATTTAAGTTTTTACAATCTCACTTTCATACAAGTTCTAGACTTTTCAAGAAATAGGAAGCTTTGAAGAAAAGGAGTAGGAAAGAGGAAATGCACTGATTATTTTAGCAGATATATTTCTTGGCACTAGGGATCAATATGTTAGGCATAAGTAAGTCTTGGCAGAGGCTGCCAGAGAGCAGATGTTAATACCTTGTCTACTAACCCAGAACATAGAGTATCGCTTGATGATAAGGCAAGGAAAATTCAGCGAAGGAACATCCTAATTTGACTGAGTGGTTACCCAAAAGATGATGAATTTTAAGCTGCCAGTAACTCAGTTTACTCTGAATTAACAGGAATGAAACTTCCCCTCATGGGCACTTAAGACAAAATAAGGGCTATGTGAAGTTTCACTATAGCAAGCAAATAGACTTGCATTTTTCAAGATTTGCCTGTTGTGACAATAAATTTACATCTGCCATAAAATATTTGGAGTTTTAGAAGATGGATCAGCATATAGATAATCTCTGAAAACAAAAAAAGCTAGACAACATCATGCAGAAAGGTCTAAGCAGAAGAAGTGAGTAGGAGACAGAATTCCAGGGCTTCTAACATGTATAGTACAGAACTAAGAGAGTTATATGAACCTATATGAAGGGGGAGGAAGTGGGGAGGCGCATGGACCTTCTAAGGCATCAGCAATGCTTTCTCCTTTTATCCTGGGTGGTAAGTATGTAGTGTTTGCTTTATTATTAGTAGTATTATTTTTAAATGAGTACACATTTTACATAATCTTCTGAATGTTAATCATCTTTCATAATAAAATGAAAAAATGCCAAAACAGTAGAAACATTAGGAAAAAATTAAGTTTTACAAAAAAATGTTTAAAACCAGGGTAGCAGCAACAGCTTATTGAGAAGGTAGATTGTCCTAAGAAGTCAGCTTTATTAAGGTGTAATTCACCTACAAGAAAATGCACCCATTTTAAGTTCTATGAATTTGGCAAATATACAAAGCAGTGTAACCACCACCACATTTAACAGAACATTTCTATTACTTCAGACGGTTTCCTTGTGCCCCTGTCCAGCTAATCCTTACCCCTCTTCCCTGACCCTAGGCACCCACTGATCTGCTATTGTACTGTAGGAATTATCTAGAATTTTATATAAATGGTGTCATGTTATATAAATGGTGTCATGCACTCTTTTGTATCTGACCTCTTTGGCACAACATAATCTTTTTGAGACCTATTCAGGTGGTTGTGTAGATTAGAGTTTCATTCCTTTTATTGTTAAAAAGTATCTCACTATGTGGCAGCTATGGAAATGTACCACTCAGACCTCCTTAACAGAACCAGCTACAGCAGTTGCCCCTCTGCATCTACCACCATATTCTAGTTATGACTACACTTCTCTAGGAATGTTCCCAGCAGAGGACTAAGAATAGTGGAGGATTACTGTTGTCCCATTTCTGCAGAATGTAGGATTCCTTTAATGAGCATTTTTGGCTCAGAGAATCCCTATTTGTCACCCTGAGAGAGAGAGAGAAAGGAAGGAGAAGGAAGGGAGGAAGGGAGAAAAGGAGGGAGGGAGGGAAAGTGTAGACCAGTTCTAGAGAAAACATTTTCAGACAATGGTACCAAAGTCAGAAGTCAGAATAATCGTCATGTTAGGGACTATAGAGATTAATAGAACAGCAAATTCATTTACTTTCCTGAAATTTTGTGGAAAGCTATATAGACATCAACCATCTTTATCAAATTTACCTGACTTCTTTAATGGAAGTATGGGGGTATCACAGGATTAGTGCCCTTTGTAATTATCCCTTATTGTTTTGATTCTTTCATAACTGGTTTTATCCATTTTATTTGAGCTCTAAGGCCAAGCAATGCATGGATCTGTTTCAGCTCAGTGTGTTTTTCCACTGTGGTCTGGGACTGGCCCCCTCTGCCATACCCTTTTTCTTTCAAAGGCATATAGTATGGAGCCCCACATACACTCTGTCTGGAGGTACAGAATATGGTAGTTTAAAAATTGCACAGCGGGTCTCTCCCCAGGGGATACAGGAAATCAGAAAAAAAGTAAGAAAATATGCTCTTCAGTTATATAGCCAATCTGTAGGGGAACCATACAGGAATAGGAACAAGATGGATCCCAAATACCAACACCCTATCTTTATCACCAAATAGAAGCAAGAAATGCCCTAGGAAATTGCAGAATAAGTAACACCAGTTCCTACTTCCAAGATTCCCTAAGCCGGTTCATTTTAAGCCCTTTGACAATTATTTCCTAGTCTCCGGACTTTCATGCTTCCTGTATTCCTACTGAGAGGTGACGTGAAAAGGAGTCAGAGAGAAAGAAGGACAGACACAGAAAGTCTAATTGGGATTGTAAAGTAAGGATAGATTTTGTTATTTCTTGCAAACTGAGAAATCCTTTGAGAGTGTGTGGTAGTAGGATAATGCATGTTACACTGTTAACTTTTAGCAAACTTTACTTTTTCTGTATAGATAGCTCCTTCCTGATTCTGTAAGTACTTTAAGATTTGGCTGAGTGCAAACAGCTCGCATGTTTAAGCAGACCAACTATTAGGCAATTTTCCTAATTCTGCTTCTGTTAGCGTTTCCTTATCACTTACAGAATACCCATTGTGTCTTTTTCCCTTAATCACCTAGGAGGAAACATCTATCATCCTGTCCTGAAGGGAGTTCCTCCTTGGTCTGGTTGGACCTTTGTATGGTAATTAATTAAGATTTAGATCACCTATTAGGAAACCTTCTGAGTTAAGGATTTTTGATAGAAAGGCTACGGATTGTCAGTGACCTCAGTGCTTTTGGGCTATGCCCTTGTTTACACTGACAACAAGGTGGTAATGGAGTGTTATAGGGTTACAGAGAAGACCTTCAATTATCAATGATAGGTCTTAAATTTACCCTGGCTTTTAAAGGAATAGGGTACACTGTTTTTTCTTTACTACTTCCATCTCTCTTTCTTTCTCTTTGACTTCTTGTCTCTTTCTCTCTCTTCCTCTCTCTGTCTCTCTCTTTGACTCCTTCTTTGTCTCTTCCTCTCTCTCTTTCTGTGTCTCTCTTTCTTTCCCTCTCTGACTCCCTCTCTTTGTGTCTCTGTTTCTTCCTCTTTCTCTTTCTCTGACTTCCTGTCTCTTTCTCTCTTTCCTTTCTGCTGCCTCTGCCAGCTGTTATGCTGCTGTTCTCCCTTCTCCTTCCCTTTTTGATGGCTTCAGCAGTGTCAGACTGTCACCTCCTTGGGTTTTTGCACTGCATGCAATAACTCCATAATTTCCTTGTGTATTTATTGGGAGTACCCCCAGAGATTAGGGGGAACCCTAACCCTTTCTTTCCATATTGCAGCATGGGCATGTAGGATTAGATAAGCATACTTGCTATGTGTATACACATTTATTCTTTTTCCCTTTCCCAGTTCTAAGTCTTGGGTAAGTGCCACTAGTTCTGCTAACTGGGTGCTGGTCCCTGGGGGAAGAGGCTTACTTTCAAGTACAGCTACATCAGTAACTATGGCATAACCTGACCTTCGTATCCCATTCTCCACAAATGAACTTCCATCGGCATATAGGTTAAGGTCAGGATTAGCTAAGGGGACTTCTAAGAGATCATCTCGGGTGGCATAAGTCTGGACTATAATTTGTTGGCTGTCATGCTCGATTGGTTCCTCATCCTCTGGGAGAAAAGTGGCAGGGTTGAGGGCCATGCATGTTTGTATTTGAAGCACCAGTCCCTTAAGGAGTAGTGCCTGGTATCTAAGTAGGTGATTGTCTGATAGCCATAAACTTCCTTTGGCACCTAGTATGCCATTTACATCATGAGTAATCCAGACAGTGAGATCCTTTCCTTGTATTATTTTGATAGCCTCTTACACTAAGACAGCCACCACTGCAACTACCTGTAAACAGTGAGGCCAGCCTTTTGCTACCACATCAATTTCCTTAGGTTGTCCCACTAGTCTGAGTAAGGTCTCCAAGAGCTATCCCTGCTCTCTCTGTGATGTATAAAGAGAAGTGTCCTGTGGGAAGGCTTAAAGCTGGAGCTTGTACTAGGGCCTGCTTTAAGGTTTTGAAGGCTGTTTCTGTCCCTGGTTCCCATTCTACTAGATGAGTATTTGCTCTCTGGGTCTCCTTGATTAGAATATATAGGGGCCTGGCTATCTCACTGTATCTGGGGATCCATAGTCGGCAAAAGCCGGTGATTTCAAGGAACACCCACAACTGTTTTAATGTCTTAGGGCAAGGATAGGCTGTATTTGTTCCTTGCTAAGGGCCCTGGTCCCTCTGGCTAAGATTAGGCCTAGATATTTAACCTGCTGTAAACAAAGCTGGGCCTTCAACCTAGATGCGTAGTACCCTTGATTAGCTAGAAAGTTCAAGAGATCTAGAGTAGCCTGCTGGCATGAGGCTTCTGAACTGGTAGCCAAAAGTAAATCATCCACATACTGAAGGACCAGAGTGCCTGAACTTGAGAAGTGGCCTAGATCTTGGGCCAGTACCTGACCAAACAGGTGAGGGCTATCCCTAAACCCCTGGGGCAAGACCATCCACTTAAGTTGGGATGTGTGGTCTGTGGGATCCTCAAAGGCAAATAGAAACTGGGAGTCATAGTGAAGGGGAATACAGAAGAAGGCATCCTTGAGGTCCAGAACCGTGAACCATTCTGCTTCCTCTGGTATTTGAGAGAGAAGGGTATAAGGGTTGGGTACAACTGGATACTGAGGAAATACAGCCTCATTGATGAGTCTAAGATCTAGCACTAGTCTCCATTGACCATTCAGCTTTTGTACTCCTAGAATTGGGGTGTTGCAGGGACTGCTGCATTTCCTTCCTAAGCCTTGAGCTTTTAAATATTTAACAATATCCTGTATTCCTTTATGAGCTTCAGGCCTTAAGGGATATTGCCTTTGATAAGGAAAAGTGGTGGGGTCTTTTAGCCTGATTTGGACTGGGTGGGCATTTTTTGCCCTTTCAAATTGTCTTTCCAATGCCCAGACTTCAGGGTTGATTCCCTCCTCAAGTAGAGGACAACAAATGGGTAACTTGTTCCCCGTATTCATGTAGATAATAGCTCCAGCTTTGGCTAATATGTCCCTCCCTAATAAGGGTGTGGGACTTTCAGGCATAACAAGAAAGGCATGTGAAAAGAGCAAAGTCTCCCAATTACAACTGAGGAGGTGGGAGAAATACCTGGTTATAGGCTGTCCCAGGATTCCTTGGATGGTAATGGACCTTGAGGATAGTCATCCAGGATAGGAGATTTACACTGAGAAGGCTGCACCAGTGTCCAGAAGGAAGTCAATTTCCTGGCCCTCAATAGTTAAACATACCCAGGGCTCAGTGAGGGTGATGACATGAGCTGGCACTTGCCCCAGGCACCCTCAATCCTGTTGTTGGATCATCTGGTTGGGGGCTTCTGACCCAGGGAACCTTTGTCTTCTGGGGCAGTGCACCTTCCAGTGATTGCCTCAGCATAGCAGACATGGATGAGGGGATGGCTTGTTTCTCGTTGGACAATCTTTTTTAAAGTGTCCTTGTAAGCCACACTGATAACAAGCCCTACCGGGTGACTGGCCTGCTCCATTTTCTGTCCTCTCTGAACCACCAAGGTTTGTTTGTCTGAGGGCCATGACTAAGGCTGCGGCCTTTCTCTGATCTTGCTTTTCCTTTTGAGCTTGTTCCTCTTGGTCCCTATTGTAGAACACCAAGGTTGCCAGGTTTAATAATGCCTCCAAATTTTGTTCAGGGCCCAGGACCTGCTTTTGAAGCTTTCTCCTGATATCTGTGGCTGATTGGGTAATAAACTTATCTTTTAGAATCAATTGACCCTCAAGTGATTCGGGTGACAGGGGAGTATATTTTCTTAAGGTCTCCCATATCAGCTCGAGGAAGGCAGAAGGATTTTCTTCCTTTCTCTGAGTTATGGTGGACATTATTATTCAATGATGATGGGCTTTTTCCTAATTCAATTATTCAATTAATGGGCTTTTTCCTAATTCTCCTTAGTCCTTCTAGAACACAGGTCAACAGATGTTTATGACTCCAGTCCCCATGATCTGAGTCAAGGTCCCAGTGGGGATCTGTACTGGAGATGGCTTGCTGACCAGTAGGGAATTTGTCCCTTTCTTCAGCTGTCATTCTATCATTTACTTGACTAAGATACCAAGTATCTCCAAACTCTCAGGCTGCAGCTAAAGCTGCATTCTTTTCATTAAAGGCCAGGGTTTTATCTACCAATAGCATGACATCTCTCCAAGTGAGATCGAAGGTTTGCCCTAGACCCTGTAGGACATCTATGTACCTATCAGGATCATCTGAAAACTTCCCCAGGTCTGCCTTGATCTGCTTTTAATCAGAGAGGAAGAAAGAGACGTGTACCCGGGTTGGACCAAATTCCCCTCCCCCTATAGCTTGAAGGGGACATAACCGATAGCCCGGGGTTTTTGTGGTCCTTTGGAGATTTCCTTGCTTATTTCCTTCTGGGCAGGGGAGATTAGAGGAGGCTTATCATTAATAGGAAGGGGAGCTATAGGGAGGCTAGGATATGGGGGTAAGCTGTGTGGTCCTCCTGTAGGGTGTAAATTTCAAGCTTTGCATAGTTGTGTATTCCCCTTCAATGAAAAGAAAGCTTGGACATAAGATATTACACTCCATTTGCCTTCCTTCTTACAGAAAAGGTCAAGCTGCAGGATAGTATTGTAATTTGTACTTCCCTCAGGTGGCAATTTTTCCCCATCAGAAAGAGAATATTGGGGCCAAGCCATAGTGCAGAAAAAAATGAGCCACCTCTTTTTCAGGATTTGGGGGTCAAATTGGTCCCAATGGCTTAGAATGTATTTCAAGGTTGAGCCTGTTGATGCCTGAGTGTTTCCCATCTGAAAGACAAAACCACCCATGGTTTTAGTTTTTTTGTATCCCCCCCTGCCCAAAAACCTGCAATGGTCCCTGGACCCTGCTGATCGGAATAGTTGCACTCACTGACACAGCAGCAGAAACCCAAGAACCCGCAATGGTCCCTGGACCCTGCTGATTGGAACAGTTGCGCTCACCAACGTGCAGCAGAAACACTAGTTTTCCTCCAAGACCACAAGGAGGACCGAGGAAGGTCGGATTTACTGGCCCTTACTGATGCATTCTCAAAAACCTGTTAGAGTCCTAAGCATTCTCCTGTTAGTATTGGAACCTTACCCCTGTCCTATAAAGATGTTATGCCCCCAAAATCAAGTGGAGGGCCATACCCTGAGGGAGGGGAGGGATCTCCAGAGTTGGAAGAGTGATGCCTTTTGGAAGAGTGATGCCTTTTATATGAATAGGAAGGATATAATTTCTGAGGCTCCTCATATCCTAGCTTCAGGAATAGCGTTTGCTAGGTCTGCTTATCTGAGGAGGGATCTTAAAATTCCACATAGTCCCCCCTACTTTGGGCAAAATTTATGTCTTTCTGATTGGTGAGCCCGGGTGTCTAAAGAAGGTAACAGAGTCCTGAAGTTTATACTAGAAATCATTCTTACAGGAGAAATTAGAAAAGCACCAGAGACAGGGAGTGGTTTTTAGGAGCATGACTAGCCTTGGAGAACAGAGGCGAGAGGAAGTTTGTCTGGTAGGCATTAGGACCCACGGGGCAAGGGTCAGGATAGGTAGGATAGATGGGCAAGTCTTGCTTTGGCAACATGCCTTTAAGAGTTCCGCTCATGGTCGCAGGTCAACCAACTTGTTGTCGGGATCCTGGAGCTGAATGGCTTTCCTCTCTGCTGACCCACAGCTCAGCCCAGAAGTACAGGAAAAGTGGAAGCTGGTTCCAGGCAAACCAACGCTCCCGACTCCGAAGAGTCAGGGTTTGTTAGCGAGCCCTTTCCCAAAAAGCCTGACACCCATGTCTTTAGTCCGGCGGCCGCGCTAGTCGCTTTTAACTGGCTGACAGTTGCCCAGTATTTAGCCCCCGAATTCTAAGGAAAAATAGGACAGAATAGAAAGCGAAAGGAGTCCAGTGGTACTCAACTCTTGGCAATAGGCGATGGACTCACCGCTTGGCGATAGGCGATAGTCCCTTCATGGTCTTCAAAATGTGTCCGGAATTGGTGGGTTCTTGGTCTCACTGACTTCAAGAATGAAGCCACAGACCCTCGCAGTGAGTATTACAGTTCTTAAAGATGTTGTGTCTGGAGTTTTTCCCTTCTGATGTTCGGACATATCCAGAGTTTCTTCCTTCTGGTGGGTTCGTAGTCTCGCTGACTTCAGGAGTGAAGCTGCAGACCTTCGCAGTGAGTGTTACAGCTCTTAAAGGTGGTGTGTCTGGAGTTATGCGTTCCTCCTGGTGGGTTCGTGGTCTCGCTGACTTCAGGAGTAAAGCTGCAGACCTTTGCGGTGAGTGTTACAGCTCATAAAGGTGGTGTGGACCCAAAAAGTGAGCAGCAGCAAGATTTATTGCAAAGAGCGAAAGAACAAAGCTTCCACAGTGTGGAAGGGGACCTGAACAGGTAGCCACTGCTGGCTCGGGTGGCCTGCTTTTATTCCCTTATTTGACCCCACTCACATCCTGCTGATTGGTTCATTTTATAGAAAGCTGATTGGTCCATTTTACAGAGTGCTGACTGATCCATTTTACAGAGTGCTGATTGGTCCGTTTTGACAGAGTGCTGATCGGTGCATTTACAAACCTTTAGCTAGACAGAGTGCTGATTGGTGCATTTACAATCCTTTAGCTAGACACAAAAGTTCTCCAAGTCCCCTACCCAATTAGCTAGACACAGAGCACTGATTAGTGTGTTTACAAACCTTTAGCTAGACACAGAGCACTGATTGGTGCATTTACAATCCTTTAGCTAGACAGAAAAGTTTTCCAAGTCCCCACCTGACCCAGAAGCCCAGCTGGCTTCACCTCTCAGTATCTCATCTGATTTTCATTTTTCTGATGATTTATGGTGTTGTAAATTTTTCATATGATCAGTGGACACTGTTTAGAATTGTCTGTTCATATCCTTTGCCCATTTTTTAATGTGGTTATTTGTTTTTTGCTTGTCAATCATTTCAATTCCTTATAGATTCTAGATATTAGACCTTTGTTTTATGCATAGTTTGTATTGTCTCCCATTGTGTAGGTTGTCTGTTTACTCTGTTTACACTTTCCTTTGCTATGCAGAAGCTCTTGAGTTTATTAGGTCCCACTTGTCAATTTTTGTTTTTGTTGCAATTGCTTTTGAGGATAATCATAAATTCTTTCTCAAGGCCTGTGTCAAGAATGATATTTCTGAGGTTTTCTTCTAGGATTCTTATAGTTGAGGTCTTTCATTTAAATCTTTAGTCCTTCTTGAGTTAACTTTGTATATGCTGAAAGGTCGAGATCATGTTTCATTCTTCTGCATATGGCTAGCAGCTATCCTAGCACCAATTATTAAATGGGGAGTCCTTTCCCCGTTGCACATTTTTTGTCTCCTCTGTCCAAGATCAGATGGATATACATGTGTATCTTTATTTCTGGGTTCTCTATTCTGTTCCACTGGTGTATGCATCTAGTTTTTGTAACAATATTATGCTGTTTTGGTTACTGTAGTCTTTTTTTTGGTTGGGTGGGGGGATGGAGTTTCGCTCTTGTTGCCCAGGCTGGAGTGCAGTGGCTCCATCTCAGCTCATCACAACCTCTGCCTCCCGGGTTCAAGTGATTTTCCTGCCTCAGCCTCCTGGTAGCTGGAATTACAGGCATGTGCCACCACACCTGGCTAATTTTGTATTTTTAGTAGAGACAGGGTTTTTCCATGTTGGTCAGGCTGGTCACAAACTCCCTACCTCAGGTGATCCACCCACCTCAGCCTCCCAAAGTGCTGGGATTACAGGCATGAGCCACCGCACCTGGCCGGTTACTGTAGTCTCATAGTGTACTTTGAAGTCAGATAATCTGATGGATGCCTCAGGCTTTGTTCTTTTTGCTTAAGATTGCTATTTGGGCTCTTTTTTGATTCTATATGAATGTTAGAATAGTTTATTTCTATTTCATCTTCTGTGAAAAATGACATTAGTATCTTGATAGGAATTATGTTAAATTTGTAGATTGCTTTGGGCAGTATGGCCATTTTAACAATATTGATTCTTCCAATCTATGAGCATGGAATGTTTTTCCATTTGCTTGTGTTATCTGTGATTTCTTTTAGTGGTGATTTGCAGTTCTGCTTGTAGAGATCTTTCCCTTTCTTAGTTAGCTGTATTCCTAGGATTTTGGTGGTGGTTGTTGTTGCAGCTATTATAAATGGAATTGCATTCTTGTTTTGGCTCTCAGCTTGAACATTATTGGTGTATAAAAATGCTACTGATTTGTGTACATTGATTTTGTTTCCTGAAACTTCATTGAAGTCATTCAACAGTTCCAGAAACCTTTGTCACATTCTTTAGGGTGTTCTTGGTATAAAATCATATTGTCTGTGAAGAGGGATAATTTGAACTTTTCTTTTTTTATTTGGATGGCTTTCATTTCTTTCTCTTGCCTGATTGCTTTGGCCAGCACTGCCAGTACTATGTTAAAGAGGAGTGGTAACAGTGGGCACCTTTGTGTTGTTCCAGTTCTCAAGGGAAATGCTTCCAGTTTTTGCCCATTCAGTATGATGTAAGCTGTGGGTTTGTCAGAGATGGCTTTTTATTTTGAGGTATGTTCCTTCAGTGCCTAGTTTCTTGAGGGTTTTGATCATGAAAGGATGTTGGATTTTATGCAGCTTTTTCTGCATCTATTGAAATGATCATACATTTTTTGTTTTTAATTATATTTATGCAGTTCAGGCCAGGCATGGTGGCTCATGCCTGTAATCCCAGCACTTTGGGAGGCTGAGACGGGTGGATCACGAGGTCAGGAGATCCAGATCATCCTGGCTAACACAGTGAAACCCCGTCTCCACTAAAAATACAAAAAAATTAGCCGGGCCTTGTGGTGGGCTCCTCTAGTCCCAGCTACTCAGGAGGCTGAGGCAGGAGAATGGCATAAACCCAGGAGGCAGAGCTTGCAGTGAGCTGAAATTGCGCCACTGCACTCCAGCCTGGGTGACAGAGTGAGACTCCATCTCCAAAAAAAAAAAAAAAAAAGAAGTTAGAGTTTTCTCACTGTTGTAATTTTTGCAGAGGTGGTTTCAGGCATTTTTCAAGGTAAAAGTTGTGGGAGCCAAGGGCCTTCTAAACATTTGCTGAAAATCACTGTCATGAGAGAGATTGATTAATAAGAGAAAAGACATACAAATTTATGTAAAATGTTTACATGGGAGCCTTCAAAATGTAGATTCAGCTTCACAATGGGGTATAGAAGTTTATAGTTTATATACTTTCTTGAGGTTACAGAAAGAATGGGGACTTCGATCCTGGTAGAACAGGTTATGGGATGGGGGAGAAGAGGAATTCTATTGAGGAACAATGAATGATTACTAGGGGGAAATGACTGGATTGAGGAACAGAAATAAACTTGTAAATAGTTGTCAGTTTTTTTTTTTTTTTTTTTTTTTTTTTTTTTTTTTTTTTGAGACTGAATCTCACTCTGTCACCCAGGCTGGAGTGCAATGGCACGATCTTGGCTCACTGCAACCTCCGCCTCCCTGGTTCAAGTGATTCTCCTGCCTCAGCCTCCCAAGTAGCTGGTATTACAGGCACCCACCATCATGCTTGGCTAATTTTTGTATTTTTAGTAGAGATGGGATTTTACCATATTGGCCAGGGTGGTCTAGAACTCCTGACCACAAGTGATCTGCCTGCCTTGGCCTCCCAAAGTGCTGGAATAATAGACATAAGTCACCATGCTCGGGCTTCTCTTTGGAATTTAAATGATTCTTGGAAACAGTTATTATCTTGAAAAAAGGTCTGTTACAATGTGGTTACATTTTTGGTCTTCTCTCCTGTAATGGATAATGAGATAACAGGGAGAGGAACAAAAACAATTGTTCTCATTGGTGAGTCAGTCCTATCTTTATGTGGATAGGGGAAGTCTCTGCCACTTGTTGATCTCTAAAGATTTTTGTTGATCTTTAAAGAGTTTTAATTAAGAATACTGATTATACCAGGGAGCCATATTTTGGAATAAAATAGTTTTATTTCCTTCAAAGTTAAGCTCTCTTTTCTTTCAAAAGCTTCTTCTAATTTCTCTAGTCCTCATTAATCTCTCTTTGAATTCCTACAAGCTCTTTCCAGAATTTAGTAATTATTTATATATATTTTCAGGGCAAATAGAACAATACTTAGAAAAACGTGATTAATCCAAATTTATCATTTTCTAGCTGTGTAAATTTGTTCAGAGTTTCTGGACTTAGTCTCCTTACCTTTAAAGTTGAGGAGTTACATAATTTCTGATGCTTGGGAAAATCTTAGCAAAGTATTATACAATAAAATGTATAATAATAGATATGGTGTAACTTGCTACTGCTACAGAATCTTTTAAAAATTTCCTTTGTGAGGGATTCTCCAGTGACTTGTCAGAAAATGCTAAAAGCCTGGAGAGAAATAGTAAATAGTATTTTGTATCAGTGATAAGAGGTATAGAAATAGTGCTCTTTTTCTAGTTTTTCTCTTAAGGAAGGAAATGAACCTATTTGTATGTGAAAATCAGCCTTTTAGTAATGTGGTAATACAATGATTTTTTAAAGTTTGAATCAAATTATAGGAGTAATGAAAAAAAATGAAATTATTGGTAAGACATCTACCAAGAAAATATAGCAGATTTTAGTCTGTATAGTTACTTAAAATTAATGTTTATAAGCCAAAATATTTCCTTGTTTGCTTATTATTCTTATTTCTTTTTTATATGCATTTACCATGTTAAATTTTGGTTTATTTATTTTTCTCTGACAGGCTATTTAAAAAAAAAAAACCAACACAGGTCTTATAACATAAAGACAAAAATATTTCTTCTAGATACTTTAAGCTCTACACATAAACTTATGATTCATTTTGAGTTAACTTTGTGTAAGAAAATTGAACAATGTGTTGTTCATGAATGTTTAATTTTTTTAGCACCATTTATTGAAAAAACCATGCATGTTCTCACTGAATTGCCTGTGTACCTTTGTTGAAAATCTATTGACCATATATGTGTGGATTTCTAATCAGTTATAATAATTATGCTTATTCTGATAGTACTCTCTTGATCACTGAAGCTTTATATTATAAGTATTGAATTCAAGTAGAGTGAATCCTTTAACTTTGTTCTTTTTTTCAAAATTGTTTTTGCTCTTCTAGATCCTTTGAATTTCTAAATTATTTTTAGAGTAGTCATTATCTACAGATAGGCATGCTATGATTTTGACTGGGATTGCACTGAACCTATAGATCAATTTTTGGAGACCTAACGTCTTAACGGTACTGAGTCTTCTGATCAATGAACATCATTGTTAATCTCAGTAACAAACAGAGAGAAAGACTGTCCAAAAGAAAATGATATTTATTTGGGAATAGCCATTGCAATGGGAATATGTATGCCATAATAAACTATGTCTATATTAAGAAAGGTAAAGGAAGACAAAGGTTTTAAAGGAAAAGTGAGAAGGATTACACAATTATTTTGACATAATTATTCTCGGCTACAAGGGTGGTTTCAGTCCAAGGTTGTGAAACCACCATTGCAAGATTGTAACTGAGACAGTGAAAGAGATCTGACCTAACTAACTCCATCTTGCTTCTAGCCTCCAAGCTGTCCTAGTTCATTCCTGGGTGTGGGCTGAACTGACTTTGGGAGGAACTTAGTTTACGGTTTGAAACAAAAATGATAACAGCCCTTTCCCAAGGCAAACCTCCTTCTTGCCTGGGGACTAGACTGACTTTGTAGGAATAACGGATTTGCCACAAGATTAGAAATTATGGTTTAGGAGTCATGCAGCTGGATGCTACAAGATTCTGATCCTCCCTAAGCTGCTGCTAAGATCAGTGCTTCAGATATTTTGCAGACCCTGCACTTGATGGATCAGCTGGCACCACCCAGATCAATAAACTGGCTCATCTGATCTTGTGGCCCACCCCCACCCAGAAACTGACTCAGCCAAGAAGGCAGCTTCAACTCCCTATGATTTCATCTCTGACTTGAACAATCAGTACTCTCGGCTCACTGGCTTCCTTCCACCCACCAAGTTGTCCTTAAAAACTCTGATCCCCAGTCATACTGATTTGAGTAATAATAAAACTCCGGTCTCCCAAAGAGCTGGCTCTGCGTGAATTACTCTTTCTCTATTGCAATTCCCCTGTCTCGAGACATCGGCTCTGTCTAGGTGGTGGGCAAGGTGAACCCACTGGGTGGTTACAGTGGGACAAGCAGTTGCTGGGTACATGTCCTGATGAAGTATTTGTGGGTATAAGATTGTGATGGTCTTTGTGCAAGGTTGTGGTTTTTGAAATCTTTTGTGATAATGTGATAGTTGTTATTAGGCATTTCTGCATAAGGACCTTCCCTTTGTGACCTTCTCCGGCTCTGTTTTACAGGGTTTTAAACCAAGTACCACAATTTTAATTCTGACAACAACTCTTTTTTTTTTTTTTTTTTTTTTTTTTGAGACAGAGTCTCACTCTGTCACCCAGGCTGGAGTGCAGTGGCAGGATCACGACTCACTGCAGCCTCAACCTCCTGGGCTCAAGCGATTCTCCCACTTCAGCCTCCTGAGTAGCTGGGACTACAGGCACGTGCCACCACGCCCAGCTAATTTTTGTATATTTTGTAAAAACAGGGTTTTGCCATGTTGCCCAGGCTGGAATTCTGACAACTTTAACGTAGTATTCTTTTGATGTAGTTAGGTCTTTTTAATTAGTCTCAATAAATTTGTGTAGTTGTAAGCATAAATATATATATTGAATTATTTTGTTAAACTTATTCTTAAGTATTTCATATGCTTTGATGCAATTGTAAACAGTATTAAAATACCTAATTATTAATTACTAGTAAATAGAAAAATTGATTTTGTATATTCTACCTTTTAAAACTCTTTTTTTTGTTTGTTTTTTGTTTGTTTGTTTGTTTTGAGACAGGATTTTACTCTGTCACCCAGGCGGACTCGAGTGCAGTGGTGTGATCACAGTTCTCTGCAGCCTCTACCTCACAGGCTCAAGTGATCATCCCATTTCAGCCTCCTGAGTAGCTTGGACTACAGATGTGCACCACCATGGTTAGCTATTTTTATTTTTTGTAGTGACAGGGCTTTGACATGTTGCCGAGGCTGGTCCCAAACCTCTGGGCTCAAGCAATCCACTTGACTCAGCCTCCCAAAGTGCTGGTGTTACAGGTGTGAGCCACTGTGCCAGTCTATTCTGTCTTTTATTCTGTATTCTTGCAAAACTTACTTGTCAGTTCTAGTAGGTTTTTCATACATTCCTTTTGCATTTCTACATAGATAATCACTCTGAGAATAAAGTTTTGTTTCTTTATTTTTAATCTACATGCTTTTATTGGTCATTTTTCTTTATTCATTGCATTGGATAGAATGTCCAGTTCAATGTTGGATAGAAGTGATGAGCAAGAACTTATCTCAAAAAAAATTTTTTTTAAGTGTGCCCACACAGAAAACTTACAGTGACCAGTAGCATCAGCAGGGCTTCCAGTTGCTGCCTGGTGTGGAGTAAGGGGATGGTTTGGTATTTCAGGTTGCAGCCCAGTCTTGGATATACGGGAGATAAAATGAAAACCTCATAAAGAGAAATACAGCAAGATCTAGGAATAACTGTTTTACACTATGTAATGCTATTGTTTTTAGGTAAATTATAATGCCTGCAAAGTTTTAGAATTATTGTGAACAATATGTTAATACTCTATATTGTGTCATATAATATTTGTGATATAGATTATTATTTTAAGATGAGTAGATTCCGTGTTACTGGCCTCATGTTTAAAGCCTTTTTTTTTTTTTTTTTTTGAGATGGAGTCTCACTCTGTTGCCCAGGCTGAAGTGCAGTGGCACGATCTTGGCTCACTGCAACCTCTGCCTCCTAGATTCAAGCAATTCTCATGTCTCAGCCTCCTGAGTAGCTAGGATTATAGGCGTGCACCACCACACCCAGCTAACTTTTGTATTTTTAGAAGAGATGGGGTTTTGCCATGTTGGCCAGGCTGGTCTCGAACTCCTGACCTCAGGTGATCTGCCCACCTCGGCCTCCCAAAATGCTGGGATTACAGGTGTGAGACCGCGCCTGGCCTTGTTTAAAGCCTTTCTATGTGAAGGCATTGACTGCAGTTTAATTAAATAATAATTATGTCCATTACAGGTTTTTTTTCCTGTGGCACTGTATTTTTCTTATAGGACAAAAGAAGTATAAGTAGAGAGAAAACCATTTCAATATAAAGTACAACCTTAACATATAGAACATGTGTCGTTTTTGTTTTTATTTTTTTGAGACAGTGTTTTACTTTGTTGCATATGCTGGAGTCCAGTGGCACAATCACACCTTACTGCAGCCTTGATCCTCCTAGGCTCAAGTTATCTTCCTGCCTCAGCCTCCTGAATAGCTGGGACTACAGGTGCACATCACCATACCTAGCTAATTTCTTTTTATTTTTAGTAGAGACAAGGTCTTGCTATGTTGCCCAGGCTGGTCTTGAACTCCTTGCCTCAAGTAAACCTCAGGCCTCGGCCTCCCAAAGTATTGGGATTACAGATGTGAACCACTGTGCCAGGCCGGAACATGTGTTCTAAAAAACTAATTTACAATCATTGTATGTACCTTTCGGTAAAAATATTAGTCATTAATAGGGCCAACTGTTGGCATCTTATTTAGCATCTGACTAGAATAAAATGGCCTTCATCACGTCCCTCTGTTCAGAGTCTTGAACAATCTCTGAGCCCATCTAGATCCTGAGATTTGAGCGTTTCTGATTCTTCAAGTTTATGGGTGTTTGTGGAATCAGTGGTGATTGAAGGGTCCCTAGACACATGTGGGAAAATCTTCAGCATCAACAGAGTTAAGAGGGTATTAGGAGCTTTGATGTGTCCCATAAAAACGATGGGGAGATCCTGGAAGGGAAATGGTCTCAACCCTGGGGAGAAAGCACATCAAGTCTAGGAGGGTAAGAAAGAAAAGAAACTTTTTATCTGAGGAATCTGAGCCTCCTTTACTTATAAGGCCCAGAGATACATTGAAATGTGACGCATGTGACAACAGTCATGTATCACTCTCCCCTTGGGCTAAATAATTAACTCTTGATGCCACTTGTTATATGGGTTCTAGACTGACGTCAGTTAGCCAT
The DNA here is from genome assembly GCF_000001405.40 of Homo sapiens. Lineage (NCBI taxonomy): Eukaryota > Metazoa > Chordata > Mammalia > Primates > Hominidae > Homo > Homo sapiens. The sequence continues at coordinate 151,679,577 of NC_000003.12, forward strand.
AAAATGCCATACACTGCCCAGCACTTTGGGAGGCCAAGACAGGCAGATCACGAGGTCAGGAGATTGAGACCATCCTGGCTAACACGGTGAAACCTGGTCTCTACTAAAAATACAAAAAAAAAAAAATTAGACGGGGATGGTGTCAGGCGCCTGTAGTCCCAGCTACTCAGTAGGCTGAGGCAGGAGAATGGCGTGAACCCGGGAGGCGAAGTTTGCAGTGAGCCGAGATTGCGCCACCACACTCCAGCCTGGGCGACAGAGCATGACTCTGTTCCCCCCCAAAAAAAAAAAAAAAAAAGCCATACGCTAGATGCCATAACACATACACCCTACTTCAACAATGTGTAGTCAACCACTAATCAATGTTACTTTTGCAAACCAGTAAGAATTCCTGTCAGACAACTTTGTATCAGACTACTGTTTGTCCCCTTTTGCCTTTAAAAACCTGATTTTAACAAAAGCCACACAAAGCACTCCCCAAGGCAACTTGGAATTGCTTCCTGCACAGCTGTCCCTAATCTTGGCTCAAAGAAACTCCCTATATTAATCTTGCCTCAGTTTCTTTCTTTAGGTCAGTATTTCCAGTGCTGTGAGCAGGATTCAGACTGACTCCTCCCGAGCCATCTAACACTCCTCCCAGACCTGGTACTTGGCCAGCTCTGAACCCCTTGTTGTCTTCTGTCTCCAAGAGAATTACTGAATGTAAGCGGTGAGACCTGCTGAAATCCAGACCTTTTCCACCCTTTGGATGAAGGTCTTAAATTTATTTGGGCTATTCTTTGCAAACCTCCTTTTCAGAATGGGGATTCCATTTTGGCCTAGAGGGTAAGATATTTGAATTTCAGGGGAAAAAAAGAAAAACTGCCTTTCTCTGCCTCTGCCATGCAGCACGAAAGTTTGGGTCAAGATATTGGCAGTCTAGCATCAATGGTTTGTTTTGTGTGTGTGTGTGTGTGTGTGTGTGTGTGTGTGTGTGTGTGTGTGTGTGTGTGTGTGTGTATGCATGTGTTGCCTAAAATTACATAGCATGTTTTTAAAATTTCAGCTGCTTTCTATTGTTTATAATTTGAACATTAAAAAATATTGTGACCAATTCCTGTTTTAAACTGAAAAGTGCATGAAAGCAAGTTCTCTTGCCCAGAAGATAAGAGATTTGAAAATATTAGTTTTTTAGAGAGCTCTTTAACCCCCAGAAAGGCCAGTAAATGCCCAAACGGCCTGCAGGCTTTTCTTGGTCTCTTGGAGATATAAATCTTTATTTTATTTTTCAAATTTATTTATTTATTAATTTCTTTATTTAATTTATTTTTAATTTTTCTCCCTCTCTATCATCTTGTAGTACCATGTCTTTAAAATGTTAACATCCAGAGAATTAACTAAGCAGCATTCTAGCTGAGATCAGATTTGAAATAGAGTTAAAATTCTTTAAAACTACCACAAAATTCCTTTCCTCACTGGATACCTTTAGGTAGGAAACAAACATTTATAAGAAATGAATTTGAATTATTAAACTAATTTGTTTGTATGACTCTTTATCTTTTGGGGGGTACCCATTTGTAATCTTTTCTACTGAAGGAAACCAAATTATTCCTCTCTAAAGTAATGAGGATTGGTAATCTGAAGACAATTAAAAAGGAGGGGAACTCTCTCTGCCTTTCCTCTGTTTGCCTAAAGGCAGGACATAAATTATTCTTTATTGGTGATAGCTACTTATCAACCCATGAACCCTGCTGGTGATGCCAGCAGGGCCAGGGAATCTGGAAGCAAACTATACTCCTCCCATAAATTTACTCTCCCACATTTTTCCACCTTTTGGCATTACCTCCATGGGCAGCTTTTGTTTTCCTGTTTTACCAATTGTCTTATTAAATCTGCTGTCAGGACTTTGTGTGTAGATGAACAGCTGAGAACCTGAGACCTTAGAGAATATGGCCAGCTAGCTAGACTAATGAAGAAAAGAGAGAAGATCCAAACGAACACGATTAGAAATAACGAAGAGGATATTACCACTAACCCTATGGAAATAAAAATAATGATCAGAAACTACTATGAATACCTCTATACATACAAACTAGAAAACCTAGAAAAGATAAATAAATTCCTGGACACATACACCCTCCCAAGACTGAACCAGGAGAAATTGATTCCCTGAACCATCCAATAATGAGCTCTGAATTTGAATCAGTAATAAACAGCTTACCAATAACAACAACAAAAAAGCCCATGACCACATGGATTCATAGCCATATTCTACCAGAGGTATACAAAAGAGCTGATACCATTCCTACAGAAGGAATTTCAAAAATTGAGGAGGAGGGACTCCTCCCTAACTCATTCTATGAGGCCAGCATCATCCTGATACCAAAACCTGGCAGAGATACAACAAAAGAAAGAAAACTTCAGGCCAATATCCTTGATCAACATTGATGCAAAAATTCTCAACAAAACACTTGCAAACCAAATCTAGCAGCACATCAAAAAGCTAATCCACCATGATCAAGAAGGCTTCATCCCTGGAATGCAAGGTTAGTTCACATATGCAAATCAATAATTGTCATTCATCATATAAATAGAAATAAAGACAAAAACCAGATGATTATCTCAATAGAACCGGAAAAGGCTTTTGATAAAACCCAAAATGTTAAAATAATTCATGTTATAATTCCATCTTAAAAACTCTCAATTAACTAGGTATTGAAGGAAAACACCTCAAAATAATAAGAGCCATCTATGTCAAACCCCCAGCCAACATCATACTAAATGGGCAAAAGCTGAAAGCATTGCCCTTTTAGACTGGCACAAGACAAGGATGCCCTCTCTCACCATTCCTGTTCAACGTAGTATTGGAAGCCATGGCTACAACAATAAGGCAAGAGAAAAAAATAAAGGGCATCCAAATAGGAAGAGAGGAAATCAAACTATCCCTGTTGGCAGATGACATGATTCTGTATCTAGATAACCCAAAAGCTCGGCCCAAAAGCTCCTTCAGCTGACAACTTCAGCAAAGTTTCAGGATACAAAATCAATGTACAAAAATCACTAGCATTCCTATACAACAACAACAGTCAAGCTGAGAACCAAATAAGGAATGCAATCTCATTCACAATGGCCACAAAAAGGATAAAATACCTAGGAATACAGCTAATCAAGGAGATGAAATATCTCTACAATGAGAATAACAAAACACTGCTCAAATAAATCAGAGATGATACAAACAAATGAAAAACATTCCATGCTCATGGATAGAAAGAATCAAATTGTTAAAAGGCCATTCTGCCCAAAGCAATTTAGAGATTCAGTGCTATTCCTATCAAACTACCAATGACATTCTTCATAACACTAGAAAAAAACTATTTTAAAATTCATATGAAATCAAAAAATAGCCCAAATAGCCAAGGCAATCCTAAGCAAAAAGAACAAAGCTGGAAGCATCACATTACCTAACTTCAAACTATACTACATGGCTACATGATGCAAATCAGCATGATATTGTTACAAAAATGAACACATAGACCATGGAACAGAATGCAGAGCCCAGAAATAAGGCCATATACCTACAACTATCTGATCTTCAACAAAGTCAGCAAAAACAAGCAATGGGGAAATGACTCCTTATTCAATAAATGGTGCTGGGATAACTGACTAGCCAAATGCAGAAGATAGAAACTGAACCCCTTTCTTATACTATACATAAAAATCAACTCACGGTGGACTACAGACTTAAATATAATACCCCAAACTATAAAAACCCTGGAAGACAACCTAGGCAATACCATTTTGGACATAGGAACAGGCAAAGATTTCACGACAAAGATGCCAAAAGCAATGTCAACAAAAGCAAAAATTGACAAATGGGATCTAATTAAACTTAAGAGCTTCTGCACAGCAAGAGAAATGACTATCAACAGAATAAACAGACAACCTACAGAATGGGAGAAAATATTTGCAAACTATTCATCGGACAAAGGTCCAATATCCAGCATGTATAAGGAACTTAAACAAATTTACAAGAAAAAAATAACAAACAACCCCATTAAAAAGTGGGCAAAGTACATGAACAGACACTTTTCAAAAGAAGACATACATGTGGCCAACAAGCATATGAAAAATAGCTCAGTATCACTGATTATTATAGAAATGCAAATCAAAACCATAATGAGACACCATCTCACACCAGTCAGAATGGTTATTATTGAAAAGTAAAAAATAACATGCTGGTGAGGTTGTGGAGAAAAGGGAATGCTTATACACTGTTGGAGGGAATGTAAATTAGTTCAACCATTGTAGAAAGCAGTGTGGTGGTTTCTCAAAGCGCTAAAAACAGAACTACCATTTGACCCAACAATACCATTACTGAGTATGTACCCAAAGGAATATAAATCAATCTACCATAAAGACACGTGCACACGTATGTTCACTGCAGCACTATTCACAATAGCAAAGACATGGAATCAACCTAAATGCCCGTCAATGGCAGATTGGATAAAGAAAATGTGGTACATATACATCATGGAATACTATGCAGCAATAAAAAACCCAAGTTCATGTCTTTTGCAGGACCATGGATGGAGCTGGAGGCTATTATCCTTAGCAAACTGAACAGAAAACCAAATATCACATGTTCTCACTTATAAGTAGGAGCTAAATAATGAGAACTCATTGCCACAAAATGGGGAACAACACACACTGGGGCCTACTTGAGGGTGGAGGGTGGGAGGAGGGAGAGGATCAGAAAAAATGTGTACTAGGCTTAGTATCTGAGTGATGAAATACTCTGTACCACAGAACCCCATGACACAAATTTACCTATATAAAAAACCTGCACATGCACCCTGTACCAAAAATAAATGTTAAAACAACAACAAAATGAGAGAATATGGTGGGTCAGATATGGGAAGTACACCATTTGTGGCTACTGAAACTTTCCTTTTTTGGAGCTGTCCTGGGGGTGGTTCTGGATCTTCTGAGGACTGAGTTACACCTCTTTAGAGACACCTCATGTGCCCTTGGTTAACTCATAACATTTTGTGGTGTTACTATATATATATATATCTCACATATATAGTAACATTATATATACAATATATATAAAACTCATAACATTTTTGTGGCACTATAGATAGATAGATAGGTATAATGTTTTCATCCACAGTTCTTTGCTCATAGCCCTTGTAAGTCTTTTGTTGTTTTTTTGTTTTTGTTTTTGTGGGTTTTTTTTTTTGTATTTTTGTTTTGAGATGGAGTCTCACTCTATCACCCAGAATGGAGTACAGTGGCGTGACCTCAGCCCACTGCAACCTCCACCTGCCAGGTTCAAGCAATTCTTCTGCCTTAGCCTCCCAAGTAGCTGGGACCACAGGTGCGCAACACCATGCCTGGCTAATTTTTGTATTTTTAGTAGAGACAGGATTTTGCCACGTTGGCCAGGCTTGTCTCAAACTCCTGGCCTCAGCTGACCATATGCCTTGGCCTCCCAAAGTGCTGGATTACAGGCATGAGCCACCCCTCCTGGCCTGTTACAATGTTGAGTGTCTTAGCCTAAGGGGCAAGGCCTCAGGAAACAAAATCTCTGGACCTTCTCCTGCCTTCCTTTTACCTGCCCCAAGGCAGGACACTAATCTTCTGCCACCTTTCTGACTGTGGGTCTTAAGACCTTCCCCAGAAAGGGTCCCACCCTACACCCTGGGGAAAGGAATGCTGACATTGTGAAGCTTCCATAAAAACCTAAGGGGACTGGGTACAAGGAGCTTCTGGATAGCTGAACCCACAGAGGTTCCTGTAGGGTGGTGTGCCAAGGAGGAGCATGGAAGGTCTGCACCCCTTCCCCCATGCCTTGCCCTACACCTGCCTTCATCTGTATCCTTTGAAATATTCTTTACAATAAACAGGTAAACATAAGTGTTTCCTTGAGTTCTATGCACAACTTTAGCAAATTAATGGAACCCAAAGAGGGAGTCATGGAAACCCCAGTTTGAAACCAGTTGGTCAGAAATTCCAGAATTGGAGGACACCCAACTGGTGTCCACTGCTTGGTGTGTGGGGAAAGTCTCCCACGCATTTGGTCATAGAAGGCTTCTCTTGTGTTGATGATTGTTGTTGTGGTGGTCTGAGAACAGATCAAAAATTGTTTTTCCAAAACAACTTGGTTAAGGCTTACTGATTTTAGTGAATCACTTGGAAAGTTACTTTTGGTTTAATAGAGGGGGAAAACAGTACAAAAGCAGGAATATTGGCTATTTGTCCTGGCTAAAATAATCTGATCAGAGATTTTGGAAAGATATTTTTTAAGAGCTCCACAGTTAAAGGCTAACTTAATTAAAAGATATGTAGAATATGTATGTACACACACACACACACACATATTTGAGGCCTCTGTTCTCATTCTCTCTATAAAACCTTCTCAAAAGACTGAATTTCTTTCTTCTTAATCTCTTGCTAACTATATGCATACCTTCAGTCTGCCTCTCTTTTGCTGACATGATTTTTGCCAAAAATAATGTAAAACTTCATTGGCTTTTTGGAAAGCTTAAATTCTTCCTCTGTGTTTTGAAATGTAAATTTGCTACCTTGCCCTCTAAAACTTGGTAAAGGCTTCAGTCATGTGAGACACATAAACCTTAACTTGTTCTGTTTACAAAGGCATAGTTTGAATACAGCTGTCCTTTTAAACTAATGAGTTTTACTTTTCTCATGGCTAAAATTTAAAAATCAAAGCTATAAAACCTTTTTATTTTATGTATACATGTGTACAGGTCTATGTTTGCATATTGTCTTCATGGTACTAGTCTGAGGGACCCAGAGGCAGACAACAGCGGAAGCTTGGGGCACAGTGTAGGTGAGCATGACTAATTCCTGCTGATTAGGCTCTCCCACTTTGTGGTTGGAGGTCTCACTCATATGCATGGCATAGATGAGGTCTAGGGAACTCAAAGGTTAATGACAGTGGGAGGCTTTGGCACTATGTAGGAGAGTGAATATTCCTGCCAGCTATGCCTTCCCGCTTCGTGAGTGAAGGTTGCATTTTCACCCATGGTCAGCATCTGCAATGGTTTATTACCAGTATGGTACTAAATTGACTTATAAATAAATAAGCACTCATAAATTAATATGCCCAAATGCTTTTCAGGTTCACGTGAGTTGAATAACTCTTTTGGTAAATACGGTTGCTATTAAACTAAAGTAGTTTAGTATTGTTATTTTAATAAAACAACTACGTCCTCTGAGTTATCCAGAAAATATACATATTTAACTTCAAAGTTCTCGCTTTTTTCATACTTGCCTAACAAACAGTAACATAAAAATGGCAAATAGGAAATTTAACTTGAGATAATGGCTGTATTTGTCTAACATGAAAATTTCCAAACAACTGTCAAGAATGAATAAAAGTTATAAATTAACTTTTAACAATAATTATGTTTTATAATACGTTTGCTTAAAATGGTTTTTCAAATATTTTTAATAACTATACCCTCAGAATTTTGCTAAGCTATATTAAATGATGAATATTTGTTGTTTTAGCAGTGGTGAATCTGTACAGGTCTGCAGCAACTCGATTTTTGCCTTCTCAGAAGGAAGAGTTCAGCCAAGGAGCATAAGGCAGGGTGAGAGACAGACAAGGTTTAGAGCAAGAGTGAAAGTTTATTAAAAACTTTTAGAGCAGGAACAAAAGGAAGTAAAGTACACTTGGAAAAGGGCCAAGCAGGAGACTAGCGAGATCCAAGTGCTCTGTCCAACCTTCGACTTGGGGTTTTATACATTGGCAAGATTCTGGGCTTTGCATTTCTTCTCCCTGATTCTTCTCTTGAGATGGGCTGTCCGCATGTGCAGTGGCCTGCTAGCACTTAGGAGGAGCTGCATGTGCAGTACGTTTACTGAAGTTGTGTGCATGCTCATCTAAGGCATTTTTCCCTTACTAGTTGAGTATTCCCAAAGGAGGGTTAGACACCAGTTAAACTCCATCATTTTACCTCTTAATGTGCATGCATACGCCCACTTGCCCAACTCCTGAGATTTTACCAGGAAGCTGGTAATCACCAGCTTCAGGTGCTTTCTATCTATTGGGAGACTGCCTTTCCCTAGTACCAACTTGACCAATTATTTTAGAGAGACAGTTTAACAACCACCTGACCATCACATGATGGTCTCTTGCCATTCCTGGCATGATGGGTGGGCTCTCCTGCCCTGCTCATGTCTGCCTAAGCTACCTACTCTAACAGTTGAATATCTAAATCACTTCCATATAAGATATAATTCCAAGACATTAATAATTAATTATGAGCTTAAGTATTTATGCTTTTGACTTATTATTTCAGAGAAACAAAAGTTATTTTGATCTATTAGTAAAAAGTCCTTTTCCACATTAAAAAAATTGTTAAATTAGAAAGCCTGTGTTTTCAAATATTATAAAATTTTTATTCATAAATTCTTGGCATGTGACCGACAGTTAAAAATTGCTTATTTCTTAGGTTTTCACTATGAATTGAGTTATTAAGAGTTAAAATTCTGGCTATTACATGTTAACTGCAACTAGATGTAAAAAGAGAAATAATTCCATATACAGAAAGTATGAGAAAATAAGATGTGTCTTTGGTAAGGAAGATTATAAGAAAGACATGAAGATGTGTTTTTTGTTAAACAAAAAGTAAGTTTGCCCTTTTAAAGGTTATGTAAAGGTTGTATTATATTCAAGGAATAAAAGAATAGAATGATAACTGAATATAGAAATATAGAAAGTAGTGAAAAGGAATAGAAAAATTATAATAAGTTATAAAAGATTTATGAAAATCTTATCTTGTATATTCAAAGCTGATTGAGATTGGATGGATCTGTTTATAACATTTTATTAAAATTAGCTTTAGCATTAATTATACAAAATTTCAATAGTATTAATAAGAAATAATAAAGGATTTTTAATTTACCTTTTCAGTAAACCGTAAAAACAAAAGAGAAAGGAAGAGACAGATTCTGTTGGTCTGATACTGTCTTTATTACGTCTTTTGATTGTTTGGAAAACTGAATTCCCTCTCTATTAAAAGGTAAACGTTTTGGCTTTTGGAATTTTTGAATTATCACTTTGACTAAATGAATGACTGTTATTTCATAGTAATCAGTCTACTTTGAAATCAAGTCTTTTTTAAACCTTTGACACATTTGGAAGGCTTTCCAAAATCAAATTTCAAAGTCTAAAATTAGGTTTGTTGATCTTGAACTAACTATTGGACATTCAAAAAAAGGAAGTCCAAGAGGGACACATTAGGCTTACTGGGATGTTAAAATTATATGGGAAGCATTGTCAAATATGAAATAGTGTTTGAAATACTTTGAATTATATTTGTATGAATATGTAATTAATATGTGTTCCAAAATTGCATGAGATTTCAAACAAAAATTCTGCTGTGTCTTGGTAAGCACAGTAAATTACTTTATTCTGATGCTTTATTTTCCTTTAAAAGTTCTTTGCAAATCCTAAAGTGTTGTGTCTTCAAGAAAATTTATGAAAAGAACCACGACAAGAACTCTTGAATATAGATTTCTGATAACTTTGGAGATCATACCATTGGACTAGATTTAAAAATTCAGACCTCTAATGAAAAACTGGTGGGTTTATGAAGATTATTAATCCAACATCAATCAGAACAATAATTAATTACATGGGACTGAACTGATGAAGGACTGACATTTCTAATGACATGACATTATTTCAAACACTGCTGGTTCTTTGATTGTTTTGTTTTCCAGACCTAAAAAAACTTTTTTTTCTTTTAAGCTGTTCATAGCTTACAGCAACTTGGTAAAGTTTACTTTAGTAAACAAAAATGGAAACATTTACTTCTTCTTCCCACCTCATCCCTCCAGAATTCGGAAACTATTAGTGAGTATTCTTGTTTTATGGCAATATAGTTATTTCTATAAGTTCAACAATAATCTGTTTTCCTTTTATAACAGGACGCATTGGAAACATTGGCTATTTTTACCAACGCTTTGACTGGAATGGCATCTTTTCAGATATGGCCAGATTGCTTTGAGGGATTGAAGTTGACTTTATAGAGCCAGTAGAGTTTGAAAAGACTGGCCTCCTAACCTGTATACATGGTTCCCTTATGAGGTTCTCAACCTTGCAGTAAGTAATGTCACTTCCTGACAGGCCCAGGAAATTCAAGATGTTTTGGGACCTCAAGAAAATAGAAATTCATCCAACTTGTACAGATATGACAGGCACAATCTGATGGTAAACCTTGGCTTGGCTTCTGAGCCACAAGAGGCTTTTAAAAGTCTAATCTGAAATTCCTTATGAAAAAGTTCCAGCAAAGCCAACTTAGAAGGAGCGTATGTGGCTGATCACTCTTATTGCTGCTCTTTATGCAAATAAACAGGCCAAGTATAATGAGACTAACATTTATTTAACAAATAAATTAGTTCGATTATAATTATTTTTGTTAGAAGTAAGGGTGACTATAGAGAGAAAAATTAGGTTTCAGAAGAAAACTGTAATGTATTCAATATGTATTCAATATTAGTTTCTAGCCCAGTTCATTTTCTGTGTGGTTTTATTATCTATTTGAAATCTGGACTGAATCCTGAGTTGATTTTGGCTACAAGAAGTCTCTAAAGAAAAACCTGAATTTAATTTTCTTCATGATGTTTTAAGTTGGCTCTCTAATAGAACAGGTTTTTTCTTTGTCTTTTTGTCACCCTGGCATACAAATTATCTTTTTGATTATAATCCTTAAATGCGTATATTTCTATCATTCAAATTATTAAGGCTAGGTATCTCTCATTGTTTTACTTCTTCTAGGAAAACTAAAAGCATGCCATTTCAAAGACTAGAGATGATTCAACAGGTGACGGCAACTGAACTATATAAATCAATGCCTTGACTGAGATCTCGTTTTTTTTTGGTTTTTTTTGTTTGTTTTTTGCCGCCCTATGATGCCATTTCAATTTGGCTTTTGGGTACTCTCAAATTTTGTCACTGAGATGCCTTCTTCTTTCCCCTCAACACGGGGCAGGACTATTCAGGAATGGGCCTTCCCAGCAATGAGGGACACCTTGACACTCAGACTTTGATCATCAGTGCTTTCAATAAGAAAGATTTTTGATCAAAAGTGGGAAATAAGAAAGAAAAGAAACTTCATTTGAGAAATGCTAGCCCCCTTTAATTGTCAGACCCAGAGAACCTTTGAAATGTGACAGCATATGACAGAAGTCATGCCTTGCCCCCTCCTCCTGAGCTAAATAATTATCTCTTGAAGCCACTAGCTATGTGGGTTTTAGACTGACACCAAGTAGTCATAAAATGTTACATGCTGGTCACCATATAGTTCAACAATATATATCCACTCACTAACGTTACTTCTGTAGCCCAACAAGAATTCCTGTCAAACACCTTGTATGAGCCCATTCCTTGTCCCCTTTTGCCTTTAAAAATCTACTTTTAATGAAGATGAAACAGAGTACTCCCCAAGACAATGTGGAAGTATGTCCTAGGCCAGTGTCCTCAATCTTGATCCAAATAAACTCTCTGTATTAATTTTGTCTCAGTTTCTTTCTTTAGGTCAATAAGGGCATGTGGAGAGCAAAGTTTTCAGTGGGAGGGCAGCAATTTCCATGTACAAGTATTCTTAAGACAAATGTCTGTTTGGGGGACTGTGCGTATAATATTTTTTAGTGAATTATGGTTTTCCTCTTGGTTTTCATGAAAATAATACATTGTTTCTTATTACAGTATTTCTCTCACATTTAGTAATAGCTCCTACTCTCACATGTATAATTATTACTAACCTTTTAAAAATATAAATTACTGATTAAATTTATCTCAACAGTTCTTAAAATACCAGCCCATAGGAGTTGGTTATTAGATTACAAGTCACTAGAAGGGGGACATCATGTTTGTTTCATCTTAAGTATCCACAGACACTAGCAACTATGTTTGCATATATTAGCTAATGAATAGATTTTGGCATTAATATCTTATTGTTCTCATTGATGGGAATATCACCACTCAGAGGCTCTGAGAACAATATCATGAAAAGTTGTTATTCCTCTCTAGATTCTTAAGAAAAAAGAAGTATAGATAAGAGTAAAACATATGTTCGCTCGAGTTTTATGTAAAGACAAAAACATTTTACTAACGAATTTTCTTGAGCCATACTCTACTGAACATTTGTGGGGGTGTCACTTTTTCTATAGTAGGCTTATTGTGGTAAGATAGATTTTTTTAAAGGAACAGCTGCATAAAAAGAATGAACATGTTTAAGTATGTGATGCATTCTGCGTTGGAAATATTTTACACCAACTACCATAGACACTGGAAAGATAGACACTTACCTGCTTCACTTCATTCTTACATGAAGTGGGGTATTATTTATAATAACAATCGTGTTTTATTTCTTTGTTTGTTTGTTTCAGGTTTCTTCTTTTTTAGTTTTGTTTTCTTTTTTTCCCCATAAGTAAGGAAACAAGATCCTACTTTATGATTTTTCCTGTGTTGCATTAATAGGTAATATTTCTTTGATTTCTAGATAGAACATTATGCTTACTTCTTTTCATCTGCATTTTACTAGTCTTCCTGGTTACAACTGAATTATAAGCGGAACAACAATATCAACTGATTATTTCTTCTATTTTTTCATAATATCTTTTGATAATTCCACCATCTTGCTCCCAGAGAGCAATACAGGGATGACTAATAAATTACGTCAGGGTTAATCAAATTCAGAAGAAAAACCATGGAAATTGGCTTTAAATTTGGGAGTGTATAAAAGAGAGTCATGAGATCATATATTTACATGCACAATTTTATACCTATATGATAAAAATTATATATTAAATGTGTTTTTAAAAATCAGGAAAAATTTTTCCACAGTGACACAACTGGAAGGTTAGGTCTGCGGAGAAGTAATCAACCTTGGAGTGTCTGGGTACCTGTTTCTCTTATACTTTTTTTTTTTTTTTTTTTTTTTGAGACAGAGTTTCTCTCTTGTTGCCTAGGCTGGAATGTAATGGCGCGATCTGGGCTCACTGCAACCTCCGCCTCCCACGTTCAAGCAATTCCCCTGCCTCAGCCTCCTGAATAGAGGGGATTACAGGACCTGCCACCACTCCTGGCTGATTTTTGTATTTTTAGTAGAGATGGGGTTTCACCATGTTACCAGTCTGGTCTCAAACTCCTGACTTCAGGTGATCCACCTGCCTTGGTCTCCCAAAGTGCTGGGATTACAGGCATGAGCCACCGTGCCTGAATCTCTTATACTTTCTTGAAGGAGGTTAATTTTGACCAGAATCGTAAAGAATGGCAGAGAAATAGGAAAAGTCATTGTGTGATAAGATATTGGACAATATAATTAGAAAAAAATGAAGTCATATTGGGAAAAGAAAAATACATTTAGCTTCTCAGAAGGCGAGATTTGAGCCAGATATTAGATGGCTAAAAATATTAAGGGCAATGTTCATATTAAGGGAAGCATCATATCAGGACTGTCACCATCTGCTGGCAGACCTTCTCCTTTCAGCATCCCTTTCCTGTGAGAGATTCCTGGGTCTTGGCTGATGCCTTGTATGTTGTACCAGTGACATTAAATTGTGACCAGGCTAAAGGGTTGCTATTGCCTCTTCACACTACCTGGTCCTTCCTCCTTCTGGTTACCATTAGTGGAATAAAACTGAAATGTACTTTCTATGCTGCATAGATGATTTAAAACTACTTTTAATTAGTGATATGGTTATTGTAGACTAGTTGTTCGTACTGGTCTCTCCAAGTTCTGAAAATTTTTCTCTTAAGGAAGTAACAGTTCATGTGGTCATAAGCAACTTGAGTTCTTCTCTTTTGAGGTTCTGATACCAGGCTAGTCTTAGACAAAACGTTACCTGAATTACTGGAAGAATTTTACTGTAGTGCCAGTTGTAAAGAGTACAACTGCTTCCTCTCCAAATGACTCGGATGTGGGGTATTCTTGAAATATTACAGATTTCACTGGCAGTTCTCCTTGTCTAATCCTCTAGAGACTATCACAGGACTCCAGCTAAGTTCAATGCCACAGTTGTCTGACTTGTCTGTCTTGGCCTGTTACGGTAACCAGGCAGTGACTTCCATTGCTGTTCCACAGGCCGCAAATACCTCAGAGTAATCTAGGCAATTTGAAGCCTCCTTGAATAGCTCTCCCATGTGAACAACGGCCAGTCATAGTTTCCCAGGTATCTCTGTGGGGTTTGGTAAATGACCCTTAAATAACCCCACACGCTAGGCAGGACCTTTTTGAGACTGTCATAAACAGGTGTGATTTAGGTGTGTGTCCAGAGACAGGGAAGGGAATGCTTGCCATCTCTGCAAGCTGGCTTCAGCAGAGTGGGTTTTGGCACAGGAAGTGACAATAGCAGTCCCAGACAACATGATAACAAAGCCATTTAATTCTGCTCGTTTCCTTTCCTGCCATTTGCTAATCTAATATTGCTTCTAGGTTCTTACATATTAAACTTTGGGGTTTTCTTCCACCCCCAGTATGATAAATTCTTTTTTTTTTTTTGAGACGGAGTCTCGCTCTGTCGCCCAGGCTGGAGTGCAGTGGCGCGATCTCGGCTCACTACAAGCTCCACCTCCCGGGTTCACGCCATTCTCCTGCCTCAGCCTCCCAAGTAACTGGGACTACAGGCGCCCGCCACCACGCCCGGCTAATTTTTTGTATTTTTCTTAGAGACGGGGTTTCAGCGTGTTAGCCAGGATGGTCTCGATCTCCTGACCTCGTGATCCACCCGCCTTGGCCTCCCAAAGTGTTGGGATTACAGGCGTGAGCCACAGCGCCAGGCCCCCAGTAGGACAAAATTCTACTCACTTCTTTGCAGCACTGCCATGAATTAGATCAAATACCTAACCTTTGTCTTATTTCAATACGATTTGACAAATGAAGAAACTGAAAACATAGGCTCTGAATATCTCCTGAACCAGCAGCATTTGCCTAGGAAGGGTGTGAGTAGAGTCTCTTTGGCCTCTACCACATTATGTGGTCTCTGTGAGTTACTTCTGATAGTTTTTGAAATTGAAGTTGATGGTTAATTCTCTTTGTTCAGTAAAACATCTACCTTAGGATGCTGGGGAGAGAGGAGGGACCTTGGGAGACCTTCTGTCTAAAAACTTTGTATGTGCTCGTTTTCATTATAAACTTGTGGAAACTCTATCATCTTGAGAGTACATTACGGAGGTAGTTGGAGTCTATTTCCTCTTGCCAGGTGCCTCCTGGATTTCAATTAATTCTCCCTTTTGGAATTGACCAGCAGCCGTGGTGAGAGATTGCTTAGAGGCATAGCCTTCAGATCCCAAGCTTTTCATTTGAAACAGGTCAAATTATATTCATTTGTCTAGATGCTGTTGTTGCAGATGCCACTCTATAGCTGAGAAAATTGCTCCTGGGAGATTAAGTTCCAATTTCTCCCATAGTCTGCAAGGCCAGAAGAAAACAAAAGGAAAATGTACGGAGCTATCCTTGCCCAATGGCAGAAGATAAACCTTTCTTCTCTGGAAAGAAAAAGAGTCTCTAAATACAATTTCCTGCCTTTTACACTCATGGGTATTAGCAAAGATTTTTTTACAATTTCCTCCACTAATTTTCGACAACACTACAGCCTCCCTCCAGAAGGAAAGTTATTATCTGTTATTTTTATTGGTATTTTTCTGCATGAAATTGCATTTGCCTTTGGATAATATATTCAATTAGGAATTCTTCCTTAGCTACTGCGGTCATGATATTTTATTCTTTTATTTTTATATATCATTAATATATATACTTTGAAATATTCCTCATTATATATGTATTCATAATTTTTGTTAAAATACTTTAAAATTAGACTAGCATTAAAGTTCTCATATTTTTCATGTACCTGAAAGATAGGAAAACTGTTAAAATATTTATTAACTCATGACATTAATTTTTATAGCTTTATGTCATAGCTTGTTTATGTTTAGAATAAAATTTCTCAATTTTGTATTTTGGAATCCTTTGACTCACATCAAAGGATTCAAAGATTAAAAGAACAAAAATATATTGTCTTACAGTTTTACAGGTAGAGTGATTTTTGAAACAAAAAAATGAAATTGAGCTTTAATTTACTTTCGTTTATATACAGCTGGTACCTAAGTCATGCCATCTTACCTAGAAAATGAACATGTTCCATTTCTGCCAAGCAAGTTGGCAATAAAACTCATTGATTGAGAAGAAACATTTCCTCAAAGAATGTGGAAAATTCCAACATATGCCTATGAAATCGAAACTCTGTTGTTTGCTGGAGTACCTTACTTCTAGAAAAATGTAGAAAGGACTATATTTATAATGAAACAACTCATGGAAAATGGAGTATGAACTTTAGTTAATATTAAAGTTCATGTTTTAATGTTGGCCATCAATTTTGAAAAATATACAGTATTAATATGTTAATAGAAGTTGTTATTGGGTACAGGGTATAGGGGAACTCTGTGTACCACCTTTGCAATTTTTCTGTAAATCTAAAATTGTTCAAGAAATGTATACAAACAGTTTTTAAAAGGAAAAAGTTAGAACTTTGGGAATGACAGAATGAGAACCTTGGCAAATACTCAGCTCCTTGCAAACTATAAAACTTCAATATTATCAAAAACATCTGCAAGCCAAATGTCAAAGGGTGGCATATAAAGTGTCCAACTTCTGAAAGTTTTATTCTTCTCTCTTTTCATTGAGTAAAACAAGATAAAGTTTAAAGCCAGCCATAGAACAATGCTGATGGCTTCTGGAAAACAATCTGACAGATGATGGGGTCAGTTTCATTGTTTTCTCATTTCATACAACTGATATTTTCTCCCCACTAAACTTAAGACTGATGATCCGAGGAACATGTGTCACTACCAGAATGAGAAAATCTTCAGAGACAAACACTAGTGTCCAGCAATAAAAGGACAAAGTCTTAGGGTGCTCTTTTTTGAGCCACATCTAGCTCTCCAGGTGCTTGTGATCCTAGACTGCCCTCTCCCACTGATCATCAACAAACAGCTGTGTCTCATGAAAAGCCTCATGCTCCAAAATTACCTCTTTTCTTGTTATCATCTATAAAAATGATAACAGCCAGTAATGGTGGCATATGACTGTGGTCCCAGCTACTCGGGAGGCTGGAGTGAGTGGATCAGCTGAGCCCAGGAGGTCAAGGCTGCAGTGAGCTATGATCATGTGACTGCACTCCTACTTGGGCAACAGAGTGAGACCCTATGTCATATACGTATATATGTATATCTATATATATATTCTATATATATCTATATATATTCTATATGTATATATATTCTATATATATCTATATATATATCTAGATATTATCTAGATACATATATATATAGATATACATGTATATGTAGAATTGTAGAATTGTAGAAAATGAGTTTTTGAAACTAAGAAATAGATTTACTGACCTACTTTTCTTTACCTTATACCTTCTTGGGTAATAATGTATCCATAGCTGTATGAGTATTCAATGAGAGTTAATTTTTAACATTTGGACCTCCTGTTAGAATTCAGAGTATTATAATGATATAATGAAACTCTTTAAAGTACTAGAGTTAATTGCAAAATTAAATATAAAATATAATCATATGCATGAGATACATATATATGTATATGTGTATATATAAATGATAATGTATATAATAGTGACAATAAATAACAGTCTCTGAGTGCTTACTATGTGCCAGGCAAACACCTATGATCTGATTAGTTTAACTTAGTTATCATGTCACATATATTTTACCTTTCTAAATAAAAAAGTATTAGGATTTTCTCTAACTTTCTTGGGAAAGAAATGAGAATATATTACAGTGATAATGGCTGTTATAACTTCTCATGGGTATATTAGTTTCCTGTCACTGCTGTAACAAATTGCCACAAACTTAGTGGCTTTAAAAAAATAAAAATGTATTACCTTACCGTTGTATAGGTCAGAAGTCTAAAATGGGTCCCAAAGTGTCAGCAGAGTTCTGTTTTCTTCTGGAGTTTCTAAGGGAGAGTTTGTTTTATTTCTTTTCCGGATTCTAGAGATTGCCAGCATTCCTTGCCTTCTAACCTTCCTTAATCTTCAAAGCTAACGGGCTAGTCAACTTTCTCATATTGCAACACTCTGATATTATTCTTTTCTCTCTCCTCCATCTTCTGGCGATCCTTGTGAT
Organism: Homo sapiens; assembly: GCF_000001405.40. Lineage (NCBI taxonomy): Eukaryota > Metazoa > Chordata > Mammalia > Primates > Hominidae > Homo > Homo sapiens. The sequence goes on from NC_000003.12 coordinate 151,697,752, forward strand.
TACATTGAAACCACCCGGATATTCTGTCAGAATCTCCTTGTTCTAAGTGAGCTGATTAGCAATCTTAATTTCATCTGCATCCTCAATTTCCTTTTACCATGTAATAGAAAATATTCACAGGTTTGGGAAATTAGGATGTGGACATCTTTGTGCTTTGTGGGACCATTATTCTGCCTACCACAATGGATATTTCCACATTTGAGAGAATAAACCCCAACCACTTGATGTCCAAGTTTTGAAAAGTTTCCAGACACCTACATTTAACTTCTTTGATTATATTAATTGGCCCCTTCTTCTCTACATAACTACCATACAGTTTAATTTCATAAAATTCCTCTCTTTTCCTCTCCTTTATATTTGTGGTTTGAAGACAGGAAATCTTGTTTATCGTAAACTTTATGCCACCTCTTGTCTTGGCCTTTCCTATCACTGGCCTCTCTCAGAATTCTAATCACTATTACAGTTAACGGATTTGATATTTTCCATTCCTTAGACCTTTTAGGCACTAATGAATGAATTAAGCCATTATTTAATTTATTAAAATATTTATTAAGTACATACTATATGCTAAGTACTACATATTTAGGAGTCAGAAGGCAAAAATCTTATAGTGTCTTCCATCAGTGAATTTACTATTTGGAAAGACAGATACACAAATAAAACATGATTAAAGGGTTGCCATTTCATAAGCTGCAGGAATGTCAATTAGCCAGAACCATAGATTATGAATGCTGTTATTAATAGTGCCTCTTTCACTCTCTGAAGTGTTTTTGTTTAAATGATAAATTATATTGCCTGTGTCAATTGAAACACTTGACAACAATGTATGACTGTCTCATTTTCATTCTTATCATGAATTATGTTACCAGAAGTTTTGTTCTTTGTCAACGTGACAAGTGATATGTGGTTTTTATTGTAAACTTAATATACATTTCACTTATAATTTAGTGTGGGCGGTCTTCATATATTATAAACCCAGATGGATTTCTTGTATTTCTCATTTTTTGATCTGCCCAAATCTTCTATGAATTTTTAAAAATGATTTTTTTCTTATTATTGATTTTTGGTAGCTAAATATTATGTGGATAATTATTTTGTTTATGATGTAAATAGCAATTCTCATTTTTTACTTCTTTTGGTTTTTTTCGGGTTGAATTAAAAATTGTATTCATGTACATGCATTGATTTCTGTTAGGCTCAGTTGTGATTGACGGGAAATTTGTCATCATGAAATCATTTCCCTAACCATATATTCAAATTTCAAGCCCTAGAAACCAAACACCACATGTTCTCACTCATAAGTGGGAGTTGAACAATGAGAACACGTGGACACAGGGAGGGGAACATCACACACTGGGGCCTATCAGGGGGTCAGGGGCTAGGGAAGGGATAGCATTAGGAGAAACACCTAATGTAGATGACAGGTTGATGGGTACAGCAAACCACCATGGCATGTGTATGTTCTGCACATGTATTCCAGAACTTAAAGTATCATTAAAAAAAAAAAGGAAAAAAAAGCAGAAAAAAAAATTTCTAGCCCTAGAAGAAGTTCCCAAGGTCGAGTTTTAGGAATTTGAGTCAGAAAAGCTTTAAAGAAAAGACTAATAATCACCACATGGTTTATGCAGAGAAATGGTGGTTGATCAGGTTAATTAACTATAATTTTACAATGTACCAAAGATAAAAATCTGTTTCATATTTAGGTCTTTGAAACGTCACAAGAAATTAATTAGTTCATTTGTATAACAAAGACACAGTTTATCTTTATGAGAAAATCATGGTTAAAAGTTTGAAGAAGAACAATTGTGCTTAGCAAAAGGGGTCCAGTTCTTTCCTTATGATCCATATTATGTTGCTGAGTGTCTGGAGTCAATTACAGATCATCTCTCTGGTACTGCCCTGAGTTCAGAAGGACTCAGAACTAAGTGTGGGAGAAACCAATCTTGTTTCTGAGAGTATCACATATTGACTTTGTTCACCTGGGTTAGACATAAAACTTAAAAATGAATGTGCATTTTGATGTTGACTTAAAAGGAAAGACATCAAGTCTTAATGTGAGACTTGTTCCCACTGCAATCAGAGAGAGACGCTTCCCCCAGAGTTGATTACCTGAAGTTCATTTAGATTCACAGCCATTGGTTGAATTCCAACTGTAGAAAATGAGTTTTTGAAACTAAGAAATACATTTACTGACCTAGTAATTTTTTTACCTTATATCTTCTTGGGTAATAATGTATTCATAGCTGTATGAGTATTCAAAGAGGGTTAATTTTTAGCATTTGTACCTCCTGTTAGAATTCAGAGTATTATAATAATATAATGAACCTCTTTAAAGTATTTGAGTTAATTGCAAAAATTAAATATTAAAATATAATAAAAACACTAAAGCTGTAAAGATCAAAAACCAACATGTTAATGTGTAAATGTACCAGCTATCAATTAACCAAGTGCTGAATTAATTAATTAATTAATTAATTTATTTATTTATTTATGATGGAGTCCCACTCTGTTGCCCAGGCTGGAGTGCACTGGCACCATCTCGGCTCACTGCAACCTCCGTCTCCTGGGTTCAAGTGATTCTCCTGCCTCAGCCTCCCAAGTAGCTGGGACTACAGGTGCACACCAGCACACCTGGATAATTTTTGTAGTTTTAGTAGAGATGGGGTTTCACCATATTGGTCAGGCTGGTCTTGAACTCCTGACCTCAAGTGGTCCACCTGCCTCAGCCTCCCAAAGTGCTGGGATCACAGGTGTGAGCCACTGCCCCTGGCCACTGAATTTATTTATTTGTTATGAAAAGAAACACTTGCTAGATAATTAACAAGAAAAGTCCAGGAATCTTAAAGGGAGGGAGTCTCCTGTGGTTACATAAATTATATGTGAAACTTGCACCCTGAATAGGATGACAGGAGTCCATAAATTGATTTTGGATTGGTTATAATGAATTTTATTGTTTATTGCTCAGTATAAAGTGTTCTGTTATGTTCTGTGGTGGACCAGCATCTTAGATTTGCTCACGTCATATCTGTTTATCACCCTAGTTGGTTAGATCTAGTTAGAGTGAAATATATCATCCTACTTAGACATAGTTCAAGTTGTAAGTGAAAGACTTTTCTTTTATATTGGTGTATAGAAAGGTAGAGACAGTGTATGGCTTAGCTGAACTGAGGTGGTGAAAGTGTGCTGCACTGTGAACGCAGAGTGGTGCTTCTCAGTGGCCCTCTTTTGCCTTTTCAGATGTCAGGCCCTCTGACTGGCTTTAATCAACTAGTAAAACATCATGAACATGATCCAACTAATTTGTGATGTGCTTTATATACATCTTGATTTGGATTGATAACCATTTGTTTAACATTTTTGCATCACTATTCATGAGTGATGATGTCCTGTGATATTCCTTGGAATGTTCTTGTCAGAATTTGATATTAACTCCATACTGAACTCATAAAATAAACTGAGAAGTATTTCTTATATTTTTTGGATAATTCATGGTAATATTGTTGTTTCTGTTGAGAACAGGCCCCCAAATCTGGCCATAAACTGGCCCCAAAACTGGCCATAAACAAAATCTCTGCAGCACTGTGACATGTTCGTGATGGCCATGACACCCACGCTGAAGTTGTGGGTTTATCAAAATGAGGGCAAGGAACATCTGGCCCACCCAGGGTGGAAAACTGCTTAAAGGTGTTCCTGAGTCACAAAAAATAGCATGAGCGATCTGTGCCTTAAGGATGTGTTCCTGCTGCAGATAACTAGCCAGAGCCCATCCCTTTGTTTAGGCCCATCCCTTTGTTTCCCGTAAGGAATACTTTTAGTTAATCTATAATCTATAGAAACAATACCTATCACTGGCTTGATGTCAATAAATATGTCAATAAACATATGCTGTCAATAAATATCTCTGTTAGTGGCTCTCAGGTCTGAAGGCTGTGAGTCCCCTGATTTCCCAGTCCACATTCTATATTTCTGTGCATGTGTCTTTAATTCCTCTAGCGCTGCTGGATTAGGGTCTCCATGATCGAGCTGGTCTTGTCAAGTGGTGCCCATACATGGGGCTTGAACCCAGGTCGAAGGGTCGCCAGAGCAATGGTTGGAGAACATGGAACTAAGCTGGAGGACACCCGAGTACTCTTAAGCAATTCCCGTGGTGAGTAAGAAGGGGAGCTCAGAAGCATCAGGGTAACAATGGGACAAGTGCAGGCTCTGGTTCATTCCACCTTGGAACCTTTTCACACTGTTGATGAGGAGGAAGGAGAGTATAATGAAGTAATATAGCAAGTTTGTTTACCAGCTAAAGCTAAAGCAGCAAAGGAGGAAGAGGTTTGTCCCTACCCTTCTGCGTCCCCTCATTATTTTGAAGAAATAGAGTGGCCTGACCCTACAGATCTTTCTTTTTTGGAGGAAGCTGGGTGAAAAGTAGTTGCCCCAGTGACTGTTCGAGCAGCTCCTCAAGAGACTGCTCTCAGTTATATTCAGGCAGGAATCCAGCAAGCTAGAAGAGAGGGTGATATAGAGGCTTGGCAGTTCCCTGTTAGGATACACCCCCCAGATCAACAGGGAAATCTTATAGCCACATTTGAGCCTTTTCCTTTCAAATTACTCGAAGAATTTAAACAAGCTATTAATCAATATGGACCAGGTTCTCCTTTTGTAATGGGGCTGTTAAAGAATGTTGCTGTCTCCGGTCAGATGTTGCCAGCAGAGATGGTAGGATTACTTGTAGGTAGGTCTAGTTTAAATGTAAAAGGACAACAAGTACAAACAGGAGTCATTGATTCAGATTACAATGGGGAAATTCCAATTGTTATGTCTACTTCTGTTCCCTGGAAAGCAGAGCCAGGAGAGCATATAGCACAGCTCCTGATTGTGCCATATGTGGAAATGGGGAAAAATGAAATTAAATGAACAGGAGGATTTGGAAGCACAAATAAACAAGGCAAAGCAGCTTACTGGGCAAATCAAATTACTGATAAATAACCTACCTGTGAAATAACTATTCAGGGAAAGAAGTATAAAGGTTTGGTATATACAGGAGCAGACATTTCAATAATTTCTCTGCAGCACTGGCTGTCAGCGTGGCCAATTCAACCCACTAAATTTAACATAGTTGGAGTTGGTAAAGCCCCTGAAGTATATCAAAGTAGTTATATTTTGCATTGTGAAGGGCCCAATGGACAGCCTGGGACTATTCAACCAATTATAACTTCTGTACCTATAAATTTATGGGGAAGAGATTTATTACAGCAATGGGGAGCACAGGTTCTAATTCCAGAACAATTATATAGCCCTCAAAGTCAACATATGATGCATGAAATGGGGCATGTCCCTGGTATGGGACTAGGAAAAAATTTGCAAGGTTTGAAAGAACCGCTTAAAGCAGAAAGACAAAGTTCTTGCCAAGGTTTAGGATATCATTTTTTATGGTGGCCATTGTTAAGCCTCCAGAACCTATACCTTTAAAATGGTTAACAGATAAACCAATTTGGATAGAACAATGGCTGCTAGGCAAAGAGAAACTGGAGGCTTTAGAGGACTTACTTATTAAACAATTAGAAAAAGGACATATAGCGCCAACATTTTCCCCTTGGAATTCTCCAGTTTTTGTAATTAAGAAAAAATCAGGTAAATGGAGAATGTTGACATATCTTAGAGCCATTAATTCAGTTATACAACCTATGGGAGCATTGTAGCCAGGACTGCCTTCTCCTGCTTTGATTCCAAAAAATTGGCCTTTAATCATCATAGATTTAAAAGACTGTTTCTTTACTATCCCTTTAGCTGAGCAAGACTGTGAATGGTTTGCACTTACAATTCCTGCAGTAAACAACCTTCAGCCTGCTAAGCATTTTCACTGCAAAGTGTTGCTACAAGGCATGCTAAACAGTCCAACAATTTGCCAGACTTACGTAGGGCAAGCAATTGAACCTACTCATAAAAAGTTATCACAGTGTTACATTATTCATTATATGGATGGTATACTTTGTGCTGCTCCCACTTGAGAAATATTACTCAAATGTTATGATCACTTGCAAAATTTGATTTCTCGTGTTGGTTTAATTATAGCTCCTGACAAAAGTCAGACTACTACTCCTTACTCCTACTTGGGGACTTCAGTAAATGACACTACTATTGTGCCACAGAAAGTAACCATATGTAGGGATCAATTGAAAACATCAAATGACTTTCAAAAATTACTAGGGGACATTAATTGGATATGATCTGCTCTAGGCATTCCTACCTATGCCATGAGTAATCTATTTTCTATCCTTAGAGGAGATTCTAATCTCACTAGCCCTCAACAATTAACAAAGGAGGCTGAGACAGAGTTACAGCTGATTGAGAAGCAAGTGCATAAGACTCAAATAAATAGAACAGAACCAGAGAAGACTCTAGATTTGCTGATTTTTCCAACTCAGCATTAACCTACTGGTGTTATTGTCTAAGAGCAGGACTTAGTAGAATGGCTTTTTCTTCCACATACTAATTCATGGACTCTAACTCCTTATTTAAATCAAATCGCTACTATGATAGGAAATGGGAGAACTTGGATTGTTAATTTACATGGATATGATCCTGGAAAAATTGTCGTCCCTCTCACGAAGGCACAAATACAGCAAGCCTTTATAAATAGTCTTACTTGGCAAACCCATTTAGCTGATTTCACGGGTGTTCTTGAAAATCACTTTCCGAAAACAAAATTATTTCAATTTTTGAAATTAACTAATTGGATTCTCCCTAAAATTAAATTTAAACCAATTGAAGGTGCTGAAAATGTTTTTACAGATGGGTCTAGTAATGGTAAATCTTCTTATTCTGGCTTGAAAGGTAAGGTTTTTCAGACTCCCTATACTTCAGCTCAAAAAGCCGAGCTTGTAGCTGTAATTGAGGTATTGACTGCTTTTATTATGCCTATTAATGTGATTTCTGATTCTTCATATGTGGTTCATTCCACACAATTAATTGAAAATGCTCAGTTATGATTTGATACAGATGAACAACTGATGACTTTATTTACCCAATTGCAAACAGCAGTTAGGACTAGAATGCACTCTTTTTAATATCACTCACATTAGGGCTCATACACCTCTTCCAGGACCTTTAACTGAAGGGAATCAAATGGCTGATCACCTAGTTGCTACTGCAATATCTAATGCCAGACACTTTCACAATTTAACCCATATTAATGCCTCTGGTCTCAAACGCAGATACAGCATTACCTGGAAAGAAGCTAAAGCTATTATCCAGCGATGCCCAACTTGCCAAATGGTGCGTTCCTTATCTTTTACAGGAGGAGTTAATCCTCGAGGACTGGAACCTAATTCTCTTTGGCAAATGGATGTCACACATGTTCCCTCGTTTGGGAGACTAGCTTATGTACATGTATGTGTGGACACCTTTTCTCATTTTGTCTGGGCTACATGCCAATCAGGAGAGTCTTCTGTCTGTGTTAAGTGTCACCTTTTGCAGTGATGGGCATTCCAGCTTCTATTAAACAGATAATGCCCCAGGCTACACTAGCCAAGCTCTAGGTACATTTTTCTCTATATGGAATATTAAACACATTACTGGCATCCCATATAATTCTCAAGGACAAGCCACAGTAGAAAGAATGAATCTCTCCCTAAAATGACAATTGCAAAAGCAGAAAGGGGGAAACTAGGACCATGGGACACCACATATACAATTGAATCTAACATTATTAACTCTAAGTTTTTTTAGCCTGCCTAAAGGCCAGATGCTATCAGCAGCTGAACAGCATCTACAGAAACCAGCTACAAAAACAGAAGCAGAACAACTGGTTTGGTGGAGAGATCCAACAACAAAAAGTTGGGAAATAGGTAAAATAATAACTAAGGGTAGAGGTTATGCTTGTGTTTCTCCAGGCCAGAACCAGCAGTCGATTTGGATACCATCAAGACACCTGAAAACTTTATCATGAGCCAGATACCCAGGAAGAGGTTTCGGGAGGATCCCAAAGACCCACCGGTGGCAGCATTGTCCAAATTGACACTGAGGAGGACCCCAACTGTCATGAGCAACACCCGTCGAATGCAGCCACCTACCTGGGGACAGATCAAGAAGCTGTCACAGATGGCGGAAGAAAACCTGAGAAAAGCGGGACAACCAGTCACAATGAGTAATTTAATGATAGCTATGATAGCAGTGATCACCATTGCTGTGAGTATTCCTTTAGCAAGGGCTGACACAGAAAACAATTATACTTATTGGGCATATTTGTCAATGTTGGCTGGCAATAATGCCTGGATGTAATCACTGTATGGTACAGTTACACATGCTTTCTGATCTCAGTATTTACCATAATAAATCTGCTCCTTTAATTGAGGCATATCACCCTCAAAAACCTATTTGTAAACAGAATTGGACCTGGCCAGAAATAATGAACATACTTGTTTGGGAAGATTGCATTGCAGAACAGGCAGAGGGGCTGTGCAACGATTCCTATGGAATCATTATTGATTGGTCCCCTAAGGGGATGTTTAGCTTGAATTGCACCTCTCAGTCTGTGTGCCATGGCCACACTATGTTCAGCTGGTCTAAACAAAATGGTCATATGGTAGAAATAGTAAGAAATATGGCAAGAGTTCCTATTATTTGGAAACCTGATGGTATAGTGGCACCTCAATCTCAAATGATATGGACCACTGTAGGAGTTAAACTAAAGATTTGTGGCAACTATTAATGGCTCTTAAATAAGATCAAAATCTGGGAAAGAATAAAAAAGCGTCTAGAAGGACACTCTACAAACTTGTCTTTGGATATTGCAAAATTAAAAGAACAAATGTTCAAAGCATCCCAGGCACACATGACCTTAATGCCAGGAACTGGAGTGCTTGAAGGAGCTGCAGACAGATTAGTAGCTATTAACCCATTAAAATGGATAAAGACACTTGGAGGCTCTGTGATTTCAATGATGATTGTGCTTTTAGTCTGTGTTGTTTGTCTTTGTATAGGAAAAAATAGTTATGATAGTGGCATTGTTTTCCATTATTACTCTTTTTAATGTCTTTATGGAAGATAGCTGGATTCTCACATTTAGTCTGTTGTGATATCGTGTGTCATGTAGCTCCTGGAAAATTCAACTGTATACTCATGGGTGAATTAGATTTTTTTAAAAAGTCAGAAAGAATCATTATATTATGTGCACTTCCTGAATGTGTCTCAGAGACCCATAAGCATTGCAAGATCACACTTTGAGATCTGCTGCTCTTATCTACCTCAATCTTAAATTGCTAGATTTTAGAATTTTTTTTATGACCATGCCAGAATTTGAACTCAAATCTGCCACGTTGAAGATACCACACTCACTCCTTCTCTCAAAACATGCTGGTATCTGGAAACCTCATAGATAATAGTGATAACAGGAAACTAGGGAGAAAGCAGCAACAGACAATAAAAGATCACAGAAAACAGAGCAATGCATGGGATATGAGGAAGAGGCTGACTGCTATGTTACCTAGAAAAGATGACAGATTTCTCAAACTAAATACCTGAGGCATATTCTATTCAAAGTCCAAAATTTGCTGAATGACCTCAACTTCCCATTTTTTAATATTAATTGCTAATGTCTTGTCTTATTCACTGGACAACAGAGGGAAAGGTGTATGAGCAAGGGCCAGCCCTACAGTGACTGCTGTTATCTTCCCTGAATAGCTCACATATGTTTAGACTTTAGAGTGACTAATGCTTATTTTCTCAATGTAAGCACATTCTGCAACTGTAAGAATTTGACTTGTACTTTCTCAAATAAAAAATAGAATTAAGACATTGTACATCTAAAATAGAATTGGCATTATGCATTTCTTTATATATATGTATTGTATATACACACAATTAGAAAGAAAATATTGAGAAAGAATTATTTTGATGATTATTCTAGTGATTGATCAACTTCCACTTGCTCAAGGGGTAACTGTTCTGTTATTGTCATGACTAAATTACAATAACTCAAGTGATTCTTGGAGAGATGCTAATTTTTAAATATATGTCAGGGAAACCAATATTATGGTTCTTGATAAAAATGGTGTAGAAAAAAATAATACTCTGCAGTCACACATTCAAATTATATAGTTTAAAGTAGGAGACAAACATGAGCTTTAAAGACAATAAGATCTTAGAAAGTTTATCTAATTCTTCAGTGGCTCAGTTTTTTCAACTGCAAAATGAGAAAGCTAATCAACAAGCTACAGTGTTACTATGAGAATAGGAGGGCATCTATCCCATAATACCATTTAATAATGTCTAGAATAGTTGCTGATTATTATTTAATAGAGAGGTAGTCAGCATCTATTCCATGAGAGAAGCTGTGAGAGATGAGGAAACAAAAATTAAACTTAATTTAATTTAATAAAATAAAACTAAAATAAAACTAGCTATAGAAGTTAATTTTAAAATGACACATTTGCTAAATTGAAAAAATCTTTCATTGTAATTATCATTGACCAGGAATGAATATTTTATTCAAGAATATTTTTAATATGCAAATGTGGGTCACCATAATGTTCTGAGCATGATATTATCTGAAGGTGGTCATGACACTTGGCACACCTGGTGATAAGGAGAAGGTGGGACTAGCCATACTGGCCATGCCAGATGGGCCTAGTTTTTAATTGCCTGCCTTTGCATATTAAAGGTTGCCAGCCTGGCTCTTTAAGCTGCCTTTCTGTTAGAAAAGAAATGACTCACAGGTTGTTTCTATTAAAAGAAAAGTTTCCACCTAGAATCTTTACCTTATCTAGCTGCCTAAAATTAATTCTTAATAACTCCTGTATTATCGCCATCATGGGCTATACTGTTCTGAGGTCCTAGGTAAACTTGAAAGGCAGTCTAGGCAACAAGGACTGCAATTCTTGAGCAAGTCCTGGTGCTATGCTGGATTTGTAGCCTGTGGACTTGGGGTGCACATGACCCAGTGAAACACCAGCTGGGGTGGCCAAAGGAGTGTTTGAAACACTTCTCCCTCAACCCTAGGCAGTGCAGCTTGCAGCTCCAGGAGAGACTAGTTCCTTGCACTTGAGAGGAGAGGGGAAAGAAAAGAAGACTTTTCTTACAACTTGGATACCCGCTCAGCCACAGTAGAATAAAGCACTAGGCAGAGTACTGAGGCATCCATTCCAGGCCCTAGCTCCACTCTGGGCCAGAAGGGAACCCACTGCCTTGAAGGGAAGGATCAGTCCTGACAGAATTCATCACCACTGACTAAAAAGTTCTTAGGCCCTGAATAATCAGCAGTGGTAGTCAGGCAGTACTTGCAGTGGATCTTAGGTGAGACTCAGAACTGTGTTCTGGCTTCAGGTGTGACCCAGCACATTCCCAGCTGTGGTGACTACAGGGAGGAATGCTTTCTGCTTGAAAAAGCGTGAAAGAAGAGAAGGGGACTTTATCTTGCAGTTTATGTACCAGCTAGGTTACAGTGTGGTAGAACACCAAGAGGGTTCCTGGGGTCCCTGATTCTAGGCTGTGGCTGCTGGATGACATTTCTGGACCTGCTCTGTGCCAGAGAGTAGCCCACTGACCTGAACAGAGAGTCTTGGGGCTGGAAGCATTCACCACAAGCTGAGACTCTTTTGCCTGTGGAAAGAATAGGGAAGAATGGGAAGGACTTTGCCTTGTAGCTTGGGTGCGAGCACAGTGACAGTAGATTAGGACACCTGTAGACAGTAGACTCCTAAAGCCCTGCCTCCCAGACAGCATCTCTGGACCCACCTGGAGCCGAGGGTATCTCACTGCCGTGAAAGGATAGACACAAGCCTGGCTGGATTTGCCACCTGCTGATTGTAGAGTCCTAGGGCCTTGAGCGAACATAGGTGGTAGCCAGGCATGTTTACCACAGGCTTTGGGTGAGAACCAGTGATTTGCTGGCTTTGGGTTTGACCCAGTGCAGTCTCTGTGGTGGTGGCCACAGGGGTGCTTGTATCACCACTACCCTAGCTCCAGGAGGCTCAGCACAGATGGAGACTTTGTTTGTCTGGGAGAAAGTAAGGGAAGAGAACATGAGTCTCTTGCCTTAGAGAATTCTTCAGGATCTTATTCAAGACCACTGAGGTTGTATGTCTACAAGTCTGTAAGAGAAACAGTGTTAGAGGGTTTGGGGTGCTCTCTAATGCATGTATGGCTGCAGTGACCAAAACCTTATATCATAATACCCAAGTTCCTTCAAATACCTGGAAAGCCTCCCCAAGAGGGTTGGGTACTGATAAGTGCAAATTGTGAAGACTACCTAACTTTTCAATTGCTAGACACCACGAACATCCACAAGCATGAAGACCACAAGGAAAACATGACCTCACCACATGAACTAAACAAGACATAGTGACTAATCCTGGAGAGTTGGAGATATGTGACTTTATAGACAAAGAATTAGAAATAGCTATATGTGGAAGCTAAATTAAATGCATGATAGATAACACAGAGAAGAAATTCAGAATCTGAACAGATAAATTTAATGGACAGATTAAAATAATTAAATAGAGTCAAGCAGAAAATGTGTAGCTGAAAGATGCAATTGAAATATCAAAAAATGCATTAGAGTCTCAACAGCAGAACTGATCAAACAAATGAAAAAATTAGTGAGCTGGAAGATAGCCTATTGGAAAAACCACAGTCAGATAAGACAAACAACAACAACAACAAACAATAAAAAGAATAAAGCAGTCCAGCCAGAGCAATCAGAGAAGAGAAAGAAATAAAGGGCATCTAAATCAGTAAAGAGAAAGTCAAACTGTCACTGTTCACCAATGATATGATTATACACCTAGTAAACTGTAAAGACTCATTCAGAAAACTTCTAGAACTGATAAATGAATTCAGTAAAGTTTCAGGATACAAAATCAATGTACACAAATCAGTAGCACTGCTATACACCAACAGTGAAACAGCTGCAGAAAAAGTAAAATGTTTAGGAATATATCTAACCAAGGAGGTGAAAGGCCTCTACAAGAAAAACTACAAAACACTGCTGCAAGACATTATAGACGACACAAATGGAAACACATCCCATGGTCATGGAATATGGAATCAATATTGTGAAAATGACCAGACTGAAAAAAGCAATCTACAAATTCAATGCAATTCCCATCAAAATACCACCATCACTCTTCACACAACAAGAAGAAGCAATCCTAAAATTCATATGGAACCAAAAAAGAGCCCATGTAGCCAAAGCAAGACTAAGCAAAAAGAACAAATCTAGAGACCTCACATTACCTGACTTCAAACTATACTATAATACTATAGTCACCAAAACAGCATGGTACTGGTATAAAAATAGGCACATAGACTAATGGAACACAATAGAGAATGGAGAAATAAAGCCAAATACTTACAGTCAACTGATCTTCATCAAAGCAAACAAAAACATAAAGTGAGGAAAGGACACCCTATTTAACAAATGGTGCTGGGATAATTGGCAAGACACATGGAGAAGAATGAAATTGGATCCTTGTTTTCCATCTTACACAAAAATCAACTAAAGATGGATCAAATACTTCGATCTAAGACTTGAAACAATACAAATTCTAGAAGATAACATTAGAAAAATCCTTCTAGACAAATTGACTTAGGCAAAGGCTTTATGACCAAGAACCCAAAAGCAAATGCAACAAAAATAAAGATAAATAGATGGAACTTAATTAAACTAAAAAGCTTCTGGACAGCAAAAGAAATAATCAGCAGAGTAAAGAGACAACCCATAGAGTGGGAGAAAATCTTTGTAATCTACATATCTGACAAAGGACTAATATCCAGAATATACAAGGAACTCAAACAAATCAGCAAGAAAAAAGCAATCTCATCAGAAAGTGGGCTTTGTTAAGGACATGGTTAGACAATTCTCAAAAAAAAAAGATATAAAAATGGCCAAAAAACATATAAAAAATGCTCAGCCTCACTAATTATCAGGGAAATGCAAATAAAAACAACAATGCAATGCCATCTTACTCCTATAAGAATGGCCATAATCAAAAAGTCAAAAAATAATAGATGTTGGCATGAATGTGATGAAAAGGGAACACTTTTACAGTGTTGGTGGAAATGTAAACCAGTACAACCACTATGGAAAACAGTGTGGGGATTCCTTAAAGAACTAAAAGTCTATTTACTGTTTTATCCAGCAATCCCATTACTAGGTATCTACCCAGAGGAAAAAGAAGTCATTATACGAAATAGATACTTGCACACGCATCTTTATGGCAGCACAATTTGCCATTGCAAAAACATGGTATCAGCCCAAATGCCCATCAATCAATGAGTGGATAAAGACAAAATGTATATATATATTTATATATATATATACTATTCAGCCATAAAAGGAATAAAATAATAGCATTGGCAGCAACCTAAATCAAATTGAAGACCATTATTCTAAGTGAAGTAACTCAGGAATGGAAACTGAAACATTGTATGTTCTCACACGTAAGCGGGAGCTAAGCTATGAGGATGCAAAGTCATGAGAATAATACAATGGACTTTGGGAACTCAGAGGGAAGGGTGGGAGTGGGTTGATGGATAAGACTACATTTTGGGTACCATGTACACTGCTTGAGTGATGGGTGCCCCAAAATGTCAGAAATCACCACTGAAGAACTTATCCATGTAACAAATCTGGATAAGGATCTGGGGAACAAACGGCACCTGTTCCCCCCCAAATCTGTTGAAATAAAAAAAAAGATCATTGGGAAAAAACAAGGATAAAGCACACTTAAGAATCTCTAGAAAACCGTTCCAATCATGCAAATCTATGTTATTGGTCTTAAACAGGAGGGAGAGACATAGGGAAAGAAAATTTATTCAAAGGTTTAATAACAGAAAAAGTTCCAAACCTAGAGAAAGACATCAACATTCAATATAAGAAGATTGTAGAAAAACAAGCAATTTTAACCCAAAGTAGGCTACCTGAAAACAGAATAATCAAACTCTCAAATGTCAAGGATAAATAAATAATTTTAAAAGCAGCAAGAGAAAAGAAACAAATAATGCACAATGGAGCTCCAATATGTCTGGCAGCAGAACTCTCAGTGGAAACCTTACAGGCCAGGAGAGAGTGGCATGACATATAAGGGGCTGAAAGAGAAAAACTTATCCTAGAATCATATATCCAGTGAAAATATCCTCCAAACATGAAGGAGTTATAAAGACTTTTCCAGACAAACAAAAGCTGAGGGATTTCATCAATACCAGACCTGTTCTACAAGAAATGCTAAAGGGAGTTCTTCAATCTGATTGAAAAAGATGTTAACAAACAACAGCAAATCATCTGAATGTTCAAAACTCACTAGTAGTGGTATATAAACAAAAATCCATAGAATATTACAACACTGTAATGATAGTGTGTAAACTATGCATATCTTGAGTAGAAAGACTAAAAAATAAACCTATCAAAAATAATAACTACAACAACTTTTCAAGACATGGGCAGTACAATAAGATATAATACAAACAGCTAAATGTTACAAAGCATAGAGATGAAGTCAAAATCTAGAGTTTTTATCAGTGGTTTTTTTTTTTTTTTGGCCTATTAGTTTGTGTGTTTCTTTATGTAATCATTGTTAAGTTGTCATCGATTTAAAACAATGGGTTATATTATTTGCAAACCTCATAGTAACCTCAAATCAAAATGCATTCAACAGACCCACAAAAAATAAGAAGCAAGAAATTAAAACATACCATCAGAGACATTACCTTCACTAAAAGATAGATAGGATGGAAGAAATGAAGGAAAACAAGACCAAAAAACAACCAGAAAACAAATAACAAAATGGCAGGTGTAAGTTATTGCTTATCAATAATAACATTGAATGTAAATGAAGTAAACTGACCAATCAAAATACAGAATGGCTGAATGCATTAAAAAAAAAACAAAAAAAGATGATCCCAATGATCTGTTGCCTACAAGAAACATACTTAACCTATAAAGAAACACATAGACTGACAATAAAAGGATGGAAAAGATATTCCATGCTAATGGAAACCCAAAAAGAGCAGGAGTAGTTACACTTATATCAAACAAAATAGATTTCAAAAGAAAAGCTATATAAAGAGACAAAGAAGGTCACTATATAAAGATAAAAGGGTCAATTCAGCAAGAGGATATAACAATTGTAAATATATATGCACTCAACACTGGAGCACCTAGATAAAAAGGAAATATTATTAGAGCTAAAGAGCGAGATAAGCCCCAATAGTAGCTGGAGACATCAGCACCCCACTTTTGTCATTGGACATTATCATCCAGACAGAAAATTAACAAAGAAACATTGGACTTGATCTGCACTATAGATCAAATGGACCTAATAGACATTTAGAGAACATTTCATGCAATGCTGCAGAATACACACTCTTCTCCTCAGCACATAGATCATTATTAAAAATAGACCATTTGTTAGCTCATGAAACAATTGTTAAAAATTCAAAACAACTGAAATTATATTATGTATTTTCTCTAACCACAATGGAATAAAACTAGAAATCAATAACAGAGGAATTTTGGAAACTATACAAGCACACAGAAATTAGATAATATGCTTCTAAATTACCAGTGAGTCAATGAGGATATTAAGAAGGAAATTGAAAATTTTTTTGAAACAAATGAAAATGGAAACATAGCATACCAAATCTTAAGGAATATGGTGAAAGTAGTACTAAGAAAAAGGTTATATTTATAAGTGTCTATATAAAAAATGTAGAAAAACTTCAGGTAAAAAAAACCCCTAATGATACATCTTAATGAACCAGAAAGTAACAGTCAACCAAATGTAAAGCTAGTACAAGAAAATAAATAATAAAGATCAGAGCAGAAATAAATGAAACTGAAATAAAAAATAGAAATGATCAGTAAAATGAAAAATTAGCATTTTGAAAAGATAAAATTGACAAACCTTTAGCCTGACAACTAAGAAAAAAAAAGCAAGATACCTAAATAAATAAAATCAGAGATGAAAAAGGAGATATAGCCAATACTGCAGAAATTCAATGGATCACTAGAGAATACCATGAGCAACTACATGTCAATAAATTGGATTATCTAAAATAAATTAATAAATTCCTAGACACATGCAACTTACTAAGACTGAATCGTGAAAAAAATCCAAAAGCAGAACAGACCAAAGTCACTAATGAGATCAAAGCCATAATAAGACGTCTCCCAGCACAGAAAATTCTTGGGACCCAATGGCTTCACTGCAAAATTTTACCAAACATTTAAAGAACTAATATAAATCCTACTCAAACTATCCCAAAAAATAGAAGAGGAAGGAATACTTCCAAACTTATTCTATGAGGTCAGTATTACACTGCTACTAAAACCAGAAGAACACACCTTAAAAAAAAGAAAACTATCAGGCAATATTTCTGATTAATACTGCTGAAAAATCCTCAACAAATTACTAGCAAACCAAATTTATCAACACATTAAAAAGATCATCATAATCAAGTAGGGTTTATGCCAGGGATGTAACGATGTTTCAACATACACGAGTGAATCAATGTGACACAACATATCAGCAGAATGAAGGACACAAACCATATGGTCACTTTAATTGACTCTGAAAAAGCATTTGATAAAATGCAATGTCCCTTCATAATTTAAAATAAAACCCTCAAAAAAACAGTGCAAGAAGGAGCATACCTCAACACAATAAAAGCAATATTCAACAGAATCACAGCCAGTATCATACTGAATGGGGAAAAACTAAAAGCCTTTTATTTAAGATTTGGAACACAACAAGTATGCCCACTTTTACCACTTTTATTTGATATAGTACTGGAAGTCCTAAGTTAAACAGTCAGACAAGAAAAATACACAAATTGCATCCAAATTGAAAAGGAAAAACTCAAATTATCCTTGTTTGCAGATGATATAATCTTATATTTGAAAAAATACTAAATACTACACAAAAACCTGTTAGAACTGTTAAACAAATTCAGTAAAGTTGCAAGATACAAAACCAACATACAGAAATTAGTAGCATTTCCATATGCCAATAGCTAAAAATCTAAAAAAGACATCAAGAAAGTAATCTCATTCACAATAGCTACCAATAAAATAAAATACTTAGGAATTAACTTAACCAAAGAAGTGAAAGATCTCTGCAATGAAAATTATAAAACATTGATGAAATAAATTTAAGAAGACATTTAAAAAATGGCAAGATATTCCATGTTCATGGGTTGGAAGAATCAATGTTGTTAAAAAACGTCCATATTACACAAAGCAATTTATAGATTCAATGCAATCTCTATCAAAATACCAATTTC
Organism: Homo sapiens; assembly: GCF_000001405.40. Taxonomy (NCBI): domain Eukaryota; kingdom Metazoa; phylum Chordata; class Mammalia; order Primates; family Hominidae; genus Homo; species Homo sapiens. Next base: position 151,716,022 of record NC_000003.12, read on the forward strand.
TATTTCACAGAAATAGAAAAAAGAATCCTAAAATTTATATGGAACTACAAAAGTCTCAGCATAGCCAAAGATATCCTGAGCACCCCCATTATCCAATCACCTCCTACCAGGTCCCTCCCTGAACACATGGGGATTATAATTGAGATAACGATTCAAAATAAGATTTGAGTGGGAACACAAAGCCAAACCATATCATTTCACCCCTGGCCCCTCCCAAATCTCATGTCCTTCTCATATTTCAAAACACAATCATGCCTTCCCAACAGTCCCCCAAAGTCTTAACTCATTCCAGCATTAACCCAAAAGTCCAAGTCCAAAGTTTCATCTGAGACAAGGCAAGTCTCTCTCACCTATGAGTCTAAAAATAAAAAGCTATTTAGTTACTTCTAAGATACAATGGGGGTACAGGCATTTGGTGTATGTTCCCATTCCAATGGGAGAAATTGGCCAAAACAAAGGGGCCACAGGCTGCATGCAAGTTCAAAACCCAATGGGGTAGTCATTAAATCTTAAAGGTCTAAAATAATCTCCCTGACTCCATGTCTCACATCCAGGGCATGCTGATGCAAGGGATGGGCTCCCACAGCTCTGTGGCTTGAAGGGTACAGCCCCTGTGGCTGCTTTCATGCACTGGCATCGAGTGCCTGCAACTTTTCCAGGTGCTTGGTGCAAGCTGTTGGTGGATTTACCATTATGGGGTCTGGAGGATGGTGGCCCTCTTCTCACAGCTCCACCAGGGAGTTCCCCAGGAGGGACTCTGCATAGGGACTCTGACCTCACATTTCCCTTCCTCACTGCCCTAGCAGAGGTTCTCCAGGAGGACTCTGCCCCTGCAGCAGACTTCTGCCTAGACATCCAGGCATTTCCATACATCCTCTGAAATCTAGGTGGAGGTTCTCAAACCTCAACTCTTGCCTTCTGTGCACTCACAGGCCCAACATCACATGTAAGCCACAAAGGCTTGGGGCTTGCACCCTCTGAAGCCATGGCTTAAGCTGCCCCTTTTAGCCACAGTTGGAGCTGGAGCAGCGGGGATACAGGGCATCAAGTCCTGAGGCTGCAAGGAGCAGCAGGGCCCTGGGCTCAGCCCAGGAAACCATTTTTTACCATTAAGCCTCCAGGCCTCTGATGCTGTAAAGATCTCTGACATGCCCTGGAGACATTTTTCACATTGTCTTGGCTATTAACATTTGGCTCCTAGTTAGTTATGCAAATTTCAAATTTCCTGAATTTCTCCCCAGAAAAACGGGTTTTTATTTTTGACTGCATGGTCAGGCTGCAAATTTTCCAAACTTTTCTTTTCTGCTTTCCTTTTAAACTTAAGTTCAAATTTCAGATCATCTCTCTCAATTTTAAAGTTCCACAGATCTCTAGGGCAGAGACAAAATACTGCCAGTCTCTTTGCTAAAGCATAACAAGAATGACCTTTGCTCCAGTTCCCAATAAGTTCCTCATCTCCATCTGAGACCACCTCAGCCTGGACTTCATTGTCCCTATTACTATCAGCATTTTGGTCAAGACCATTCAACAAGTCCTTAGGGTTCCAAACTTTCCCTCATTTCCCTGTCTTCTGAGCCCTCCAAGATGTTCCAACCTCTGCCCGTTACCCAGTTCCAAAGTTTTTGCTTCCATATTTTTTGCTGTCTTTATAGCACCTAACTCTCAGTATCAATTTTCTGTATTAGTCTGTTTTCACACGCTATAAAGAACTGCCCGAGACTCGGCAACTTACAAAGGAAACAGGTTTAATTGACTCACAGTTCTGCATGGCTGGGGAAGCCTTAGGAAACTTACAATAATGGCAGAAGGCAAAGGGAAAGTAAGGCACATTTTACATGGTGGCACGCAAGAGAGAGAGGACAGAGAAAACTGCCAAACATTTTTCAAACATCAGATCATGTGAGAACTCACTCTATCACGAGAACAGCTTGAGACAAACTACCTCCGTGATCCAATACCTCCCACCAAGTTGTGCCCTCAACACGTGGGGATTACAATTCAGATTACAATTCAAGACGAAATTTGGGTAGGGACACGGAGCCAAACCATATCAGAGGGTGATTTTAGTTAGTGTGTAAAGGTAAGAGAAGAGATCCTTATCATCTCGGCATACAGCTTTAAAACAGTAGGACTTGGCAGAAGAAGAGATGCCAGTGGCCCAGAATAACACAGTAGATGTGGTACTTGTTAGCCACTTTCATCCTATCTATGCATTCTTCCCTTTCCCCCTTTTCCTTTATGCTAATATCTTAATATCATGGTGTTGCTTCTAGCTTCCTCTGATTTAAAGCATGGGGGTTTTGCAACTCCTACTGGGAAAGCCAGTGTTGTTACTTTAAAAAAAACCTACTAGATGTAATTTCATTTTAAGTTTCTTCTGTATTTCAATATAATTTAGCAAGGGAAGAGATTGAGTGATGGGCTCCGTATAACTCTAGAACAAGTAGTACCTGCTAGTTCATCTCTCGGATCAGGTTTATCTATTTCTGCCACCACTCTGAGAAGAGTGTGGTGAAGTCTTCGGCTCCTTTTCTGTTTGTGAGGGTTTAGGTTGTCGTCATTGGTTTCTTCCTTTTGCCTTCTTTAGGCTGAGAGGTTAATGAGTTATCTATTTTTTATAGTAAATCATCTGTCCTAGGTCACTCAGGAGGATTCCAGGGCCTGGGAGAGGGAATGCTGGATCATATTTCTAATCTCATGAGAATCCTCCATACTGTTTTCCATAATGGCTGTACCATCTTACAATCTCATCAACCATGCACAAGAGTTCCAATTTTTCTACATCCTTGTTAACATTTGTTAATTCTATTCTTTTGATAGTGGCCATCTTAGGTGATATTTTGTTGTGGATTTTGATTTGCATTCCTCTTATGGTTAGCGATGTTGACTATCTTTCCATATGCCTGTTGGCCATTTGTATATCTTCTTTGGAGAATTACCTATTCAAGTCCTTTGCTCATCAGATTATTTGTGTTGTTCTTGTTGAGGTTTTGAAGTTCCTTATACATTTTGGATATTAATCTTTTATCATCAGATATACGACTTCCAAATATTTTCTCCCATTTTGTTGGTTGGCTTTTCCTGTTGGTGATTGTTTCCTTTGTTGTGCAAATTTGGTAAAGTTTGATGTAGTCCCATTTGTCCGTTTTGCTTTTGTTACTTGTGCTTTTAGTGCCATATCCAAAGAAATCATTGACAAATCCAGTGTCCCAATATTTGCCCTATGCTTTCTGCTAGGAGTTTTATAGTTTTAGGTCTTACAATTAAGTATTTAATCTGTTTTGGGTTAATTTTTCTATATGATGTCAGAGTATTTTTTAAATTTTTTCATTGTAAAATCAAATGATATAGTAGATTACATGAAACAAATTTATAGTTAATGAATTATCATGATATGAAGACCCTTGTAAACCACCACCCTGGTTAAGAAATAGAACTTTGCCAGCCACCCATGTGCCCACCCTTGTGCTACAATCAAATCATAGTTACTCTGTTCTTCCATGTGTAACCCTATCCGTAATTTCGTGGTAGTAATTTTACTGCATTTCCATATAGTATTATCACCAACCTATGAATCATTAGAAACTCTAATTTATTCTTGCACATTTTAAAACATGGTATGTCTTTTAAATCTGTTTAATCTACAGGTACACTGTATTTCTAATTTATCTGTTGAAGGACATGAGCCATTTAAGGACATGAACCATTTGACCTGTAGCTTCCTAAAATCTGGATTTTGCTGATTGCATTTTTTTTTTGCAGTTTACCATGTTCCATTGTCTCTGTATTTTCTGTGAATTGCCAGTTGGAATCCAAAGGCTTGATCAGATTCAAATTTAATCACTTTGGCAAGAGTATACACAGTGGGGTTTTCTTTCCTTAGAAAGGATATAATTGTCACTTTTTGTTTATGTTAGAAACCATTGAGACTCAAAGTATAGATTTATTCACTGGAGATTGCAAAATATTTTAATTCTATTATTTTGTTTTTATACATTACCTGGATGATTTATACAAAATGGTTACCTTTATATATTATTTAGTTATCCAGTGGCACACATCTTATAAGAAAGGCAGGATAAATTGTCAATCATTTCCTTTTCTTTACCTACTTTTCAAGATAATGAATGGATTCCCTGCTATCTTCATAGTGCAACCAATTAATTTAAAATAATATGTTAGTATATACTCAAGGATTTCAGCCCCTTATATTGGTTAATTCCTTATTAAAGTAGTTCAAATTTTCCCATTTAGGGCCAATGGACACTCTTTTCAGTCATCTTGATATGAGCCTGGAAATCTTTGACCACTTCCTTGCTGTCTGGTATGTTGGTATTTTCCTGGCTCACATTATGTATTCCCAGCACAGGTCTGGGATTAGCTATTTATCCCCAAGTACCAAATTTCCATTTACTATCTGGCTTACTTTGATGAAAATGATGTTTCAAAGCTATTATCTGAGCACAAGTTCTTTTCAGTGAACACAAATAGGAATGTTATATAAATATTTAAAGTAATTCTTAACTTTACTCTTTTTTTTAGCTTAAATGCAGGAACAAGGTTTTTACCTGATCTCTTTTGTATCACATCTCTCTTTTTTTCACAAAAAGAATTTAAGAATATAGAGACTTAACAGACATACAATGAGAAAATTAAAAGAGCCACAATTTCGAATACTTTCAAGTTTGCTTTTTCTCACTTAAAAATTAAGCAGTCTCAGAACAACAATATGAATACTATCACCACTAATTTTGATTACAGAAAATAGTTAATTTTGTCTTTTACTATTTTCTTTTTCCCCTACTTAATCTAGTTGCACTTTGTCTACACTGTCAGATAAAAAATGCCCTTACATGCTATTCTCTCTCCTTTAACAATGATTCTCCTTTATAAATGTATTAAATAACAATATATTTAATGATGTCAATCAATACCTATGTTGATATCTCTTTATTAATTTTGGTTGTATGAAGGTTATTCTCTACTAGATTCCTTTTGAAACGGAAAAGGTTCCCTTTCCCCCTCACAGGGTGTGCGATGGGGGTGTGGCTTGCTTCTTCAGTGCCCCACTGCTCAAACCCCTAGGGGAGCATACAGACATGCAGGCTGTGGGGCTCTGACCCCATGGCAGTGTCTAGGAGAATGTCTACAGCTGAAGCTCCAGTGAACGTGTGTTACAGAATGCTCTTTTAATTTGCAGGCTATAGGCAGCTTGTATTAACCAGCTCAATTAGACCGTCTACCTTGTTGCAAGGACAGAGGACTTTCTGTATCCTGGGTTCTTGCCTTGGTGTACTGGAAGAATTGGATCATGAGTGCAGAGTTTTATTGAGTGGAAGTAGCTCTCAGTCAATGGGGGAGCCGGAAGGGAGATGGTTTTCCCCTGGAATTGGGCCACTCAGCAGCCCCGGCTCTGCTCCAACTGGCCCAGCCAAACTCTGCCTTTTTCCGCCAGTCAATGGCCTCCCATCCTGCCAGTGCCTGTCAGCATGCTCTTCCGCCAGCGTGCTCTCACCAACCTGCCAGTTGTGTCTTCTTCCGCCAATGTGTTCCTCTCAAACTCCAGCCGCTTCTGTCTGCCCTAGGGTCTTGAGGATTTTTATAGGCACAGGACTGGGGCATGGCAGGCCAGGGTGATCTTGGGAAATGCAACATTTGGGTGCAAAGGCGGAAGTGTCTGTTTTCATTTAGGTCCGTGGGGGTGGAGCCCTAGCCAGGGACTGTGCCCTCCTCTACTCAGCACTTCCCTTCCTCACTTCTGTATCATCTAAAGGGACCACACTCTTCCCTTCCCACCACTTTTGGATTACGTTGGAAGTGCTCCTGAGTACAATATTTACTGAGTTCTTATATGTTGAAAAATTGTGAATATTGAATTCTTACCTCACATTTACTTTTATTACATATATAGATACACTATATTTTCTTCTGGCATAAAGAATGGCTATTAAATTACAATGATAATCTAATTAGTTACCTTATAAGCCAAGTGATCTTTTTGTCTGGATACATATTTATTTCCCTTTTCTTTAGAGTACAGTAATTTTATAAGAATATGTCTTGGTGTTGACCATTCTGGTTCATATTCTCAGGTACATGGTGTGGTCTTCAATTATGTATTTCCAGGTCTTTTTTATTTTAGCAAAGTTTCTTGAATTGTAGTTAATATTTTTTTCTGCTGCCTTCTGTTTTTGTTTGTTAGTTTATTTTGTTTTTTCTTGAGGCAGGGTTTTGCTCTGTCATCCAGGCTGGAGTGCAGTGGCATGATCATGGCTCACTGCAGCCTCAACCTCCCGGGCTCAATCAATTCTCCCTCTTCAGCCTCCTGGGTGGCTGGGACTACAGGCATGTGGCACCATGCCTGGCTAATTTTTTTATGTTTTAGTGGAAACAGGGGTCTCACTATGTTGCCTAGGCTGGACTTGAACTCTTGGACTCAAGTGATCCTCCAGCCTCAGTCTCCCAAAGTGCTGGAATTACAGGTGTGACCACACCTGGCCAATTTTTTTTTTTTTTTAGTGACTGCTTTATCCATGAGGTGGCTCTTCTTTGCTTATCTTCAAAATTTGTCACTTTCTCTTGAATACCATTTATCTCTTCTTTTTTGATATTTAAAATTTTATTCCTTTTCATACTGCATTTTTTGTTGTGATTTGTTGTGTTTTTCTCCATTCCTTCTATTTCGGTTTTTATGTCTATGTTTTATTTTATAGTTACTTTGTATGAGATTTGACTTTGATACTTTTCGATTTGGATTTCATTTGGTTCTGAACTTGTAGAAGGAAACAGTTCAGACGTCTTCTCTGATATCAGAGTTCCCTCTTCGGTTTTTGGAAAGTGTTAAAATAAAAAAGTAGAGTGGCTTGCTTTCAGATGTTTTTCAATTCAGTAGCCTTTCCCCACTTTTATCTGGACCTCTGCTTATGGCCTCTTTGTTGTTCACGTCCTCCTCAGCTTGTATTTCACTCCCATCAATTTCTGCTCTGTGGGGTTCTATCCTTCATGGAAGCCAGGGCTGGGCAGATCCAGGCTTTATTGGAGCCAGATGGTTCCATTGTTTCAGACTGGGCCTCTTGAAGGCAGCTGCTATTGGAATGGACAAAACCCGTCCCAATTTACCTACTATTCTCAACTTGGCCTCCTGTGTTTTTCAGTGAATACTTGTTAACCAATTTTTGATAGCCTTGTTATTTGATCTGTCAGACAGCCTCTGCTTTCCTCTGTATTCTCCTGCCTAGATGTTGATAACACGCCAGTTTTATGCCTATTAATACACTTTGTTTCCATTCTTATGTTTTGAGATTTGTGGGAATACTTTGTCAACAAGTTTTGTTGTACACATTGTCAATTTCATTTTAGTTTTGATATGTAGTGCTCCATTTGTTTCTATGTAGATGTCAATAAGTCCTAAAAACTGCCTGCTACTTGTTACCTCCATTTTTCCAAAATTTCTAATCTTAACCTTTTAACTGAAAACTGTATTTCACAAAAATTACTAGTATAATTGTATTGATATAGATGGTTTTATTGTTTTTATATCTATATAAATGTTCTGTTTTCTAATTTTAAATTTATTTTCAACACTTAGCTGATTTATACAGTTCAAGAATCAAATTTATACAAAAAAGAAAACATGGAAAAGTGGTGGTCACATTCTTGTTACTCTTCACACTTTTTCCTGCACCCCCACAACTATATGTAACTTTTATTAATTTTATGACATTTGACCTTGCTATTTTTCTGTTGCTCATTTTCCCAGTATTTCTTTATAAGAAAATACAATTATATATTCTTGTTTTTCTTATTTATTTCTTATAAGTAAGCTATTATCTGCATAATTCTCCACATTTTATTTTTTACCTAATTATATACTCTGAAGAAATTTTTAAATAACTACCTAGCTTCCACTTTGTTTGAATATCTGCACAATATCCTATTGCGTGGAGGTGCTGTAGTTTCTTTAACCAGTCACCCATAGGTGGGCATTTGAGTTACTTATTACGTTTTTCTACTAAAAAGAATGTCACGAAGTAAAATTTAGTTATATATACATAATTTCATAATTTAGATTTGTATAACAAATTCTCGGAAATGTGTTGTTTGTATCAAAGTGGAATATATATTTACATTATTAGGTGTTACAATTGTCTTTCCTATGGTTTGACCATTTTGCACTACTGTATTAGTGCAAAACTAATGCTGCCTTTAGAATGAGTTGTCAATCTTTTTTATTTTTCACAATTAATTTGGAAAAAATTACATTTCACTGAAATATTATGAGCCTATTATACATGATATTAAACTTCTTTTAACATGTTTAAAGGCCATTTGTGTTTCCCTTTGCTTTGAATGTGCATTCATAAACCTCATTGATTTCCTGTTGCATTGTTGGTAGTATTATTCTTAATATACAGAACATCTATATATTAGGGAACTATCTGTTCTTCTGTAGTACACATTCCACACATTTTAAATGTTTTTACATTTGTCTTTTTCTTACTGGGAATTTTGCGTTTGGATGAACTCTTTAACTGAGGAGGTCAACAGACCTGAAGCTCTGGACCAGCAATCTCGGCTCATGTGATAGTGAGCAAAGAATTGCAAACTAACACCAAAATGCAAGCTCAAAGCAAAGTTTATTGAAGCACAGTAATACATTCTCAGAGGGAGAGCAGACTAATTTCTGCAAAGTGAAATTAGCCCCTCCTTACAAAACTCAACGGGCTTTCATGAGAGTTTTTTGGAGAGGAGTTGAGGTTTGGGCTATGTCAGTGACAGAATGATGTTATTTGATTAGCAGTTTATGGTTACATAGCTAAAATTAAACTGCATATGTTCTTACCCATAGTTTATTAGGAAAAACCCACTGGAGGGATAAAACCACATGTAAATTTTATTATAATTATGGTATAAAGAGCTTGGGGTGAACTTGAGGACACAGTTCCGTGCTACTGGGTATGCACCACTTTAGGGGATTTCCAACTCTTCCCTAGTTTCTCCTTCTCCAGGATGTGCTGGCCACAGACTTTACCAGTAACTCGATCCCTTAGGGTGGAGTTAGGGCAGTTCTGGGGCTGAACTTAGGTGGACCATAGGCTGCTGTCTTAGTGACAGCCTTTTTGTTCTCTTCTTTTACCGCCTCCTAGCTGTTAATGTCTATCTACCTAACATTTTAAATATATGTTGTATTAGTCCATTTTCCCACTGCTGTAAAAATACTACATGAGGCTGGGTAATTTAAAAAGGAAAGAGGTTTAGTTGACTCTCAGTTTCACATGGCTGGGGAGGCCTCAGGAAACTTACAATTGTGGTGGAAGGCAAAGGGGAAGGAAGGCATGTCTTACACGGTGGCAGGCAAGAGAGCATGAGAGTGAAGGAGGAACTGCCAAGCACTTCTAAAACCATCAGATCTTGTGAGAACTCACTCACTGTCATGAGAACAGCATGGGGGAAACCACCCTCATGATCCAATAACCTCCCACCAGGTCTCTCCCTCCACAGCTGAGGATTACAATTTAATAGGGGATTTGGGTGGGGACACAGAGCCAAACCATATCATATGTAGAACTTGCTTACTGTGAGTTTAAGGTTTTTTTTTATTTTCTTGTAAAATGTGTCAATCTTTTTAATAATCACTTCCAGGTCTTTAAATAACCGTTAAAACAAACTTCTCCTTTGTTATAACAGAGTTTACTCATATTTTTTCAAGTACTTGCCTGGCTTGCTTTTGGTTTGTTTATTTCTATTGTGATAAAATATACCTAATATTTATCATTTTAACCACTCATAAATGTTCAATTCAGAGACATTAAATACGTTTACAATGTTTTGCAACCATGACCACTATCTATACTCAAAACTTTTTTTTATCATTCCCAATAAAATTCTGTGCCCATTAATCAATAACTCACTTTCCCAACCTCTCCCCAGGCCCTGGTAACCTCGATTTTATGTTGTGTCTGTAAATTTATCTATTCTAGGTAGCTCAGTTAAGTGAAATTATGAAATATTTAACCTTCTGTGCCTAGCTTATCCACTAGGCATAATATTTCCAAGGTCCATGTTGTAGGAAAAGAATTTCATTCCTTTGTATGACTGAATATTGCAAATACATACTACTCTATTGCAAATATATGCCATTTATGTTTATGCATTCCTCAGTTGATGGACACTTGGATTGTTTCCAGCTCTGTGGCTGGCTTTTGTGGATAATGCTGCAATGGACATTTGAGGTTTCAAGGAATTTGTCCCTTGGTTCGAGGTTATCTAATTTTTAGGCCTACAGCTGTTTATTGTATTCTCTTATAATCCTTTTCATCTCTGTAAGACAAGTTAGTTTTGTCCCCACTCTCTCTTCTGGTTTTAGTTATTTGTGTATTCTTGTTTTTTGGATTTGTTGTTCCAACTAAAGGTTTGTCAATTTTGTTGGTTTTTTTCAGACATCCAACTTTTGGTTTCTCTGTTTTTCTCTATTTTTTTTATTCTTTCTTTTGTTTATTCACATTCTAATCTTTACTACTTGTTATTTCTGCTAGCTTTGAGCTTAATTTGCTTTTTTCTCCCCAGTTCCTTAAGGTATAAATTTAGGTTGCTGACTTGAGATTTTTCTCCTTTCTTTCTTTGTCTTTTTCTTTCTCTTTCTTTCTTTCCTTTCTTTCTTCTTTCTTCTTTCTTTTTTTTTTTTTTTTTTTTTTTGCATTTCCAGCTATAAATTTCCCTCTTAGCACTGCTTTGCTGCAACTCATAAGTTTTGGTGTGTTGTGGTTTTGTTTTCATTCATCTCTTTGTATTCTCTAATTTTCCTTATAATTTTTTTTTTCTCTGAACTATTGGTTGTTTAAAAGTGTGTTGTTTAGTCTGGGTGCAGTGGCTCATGCCTGTACTTTGAGAGGCCAAGAGGGAGGATTGCTTGAGACCAGGAGTTTGCAACCAGCCTGGACAATATAGGTATACTCTGCCTGTACAGAAAATTAAAACATTAATTGAGTGTAGTAGCACACACCTGTAGTCTTAGCTACTCAGGAGGTTGAGGCAGGAGGCTGAGGCAGGAGGATTGCTTGAGCCCAGAAGTTTGAGGCTGCAGTGAGCTATGATTGCACTACAGCACTCCAGGCTGGGCAATAAAGCAAGACCTTGTCTATAAAAAATAAATAATAAATAATAAATAGAAACAAAAGTTGTTTAATTTCTACATATTTGTGAATTTTCCAGTTTTCTTTTTGTTATTAAGTTCTAACTATACCATTCTGATCATAGGAAAATACTTTTTATGATAAGCTACTATATTTTAAAAAATCTATTAAGACCTATTATGTGGCCTAATATATAGTTTATCTTAGAGAATATCCCATGTGCACTTGAAGTAATGTATATTTTGCTGTTGTTGAGTGGAGTGTTCTATATATATGTCTGTTAGGTCTAGTCAGTTTATTGTGTAGTTAAAGTTCTCTATTCCTTCATGGATCTTCTATCTGGTTGTTTTATTCATTCTTGAAAGTGGTTAGGATTTCAACATATAACTTCTGGCGGGGGGCAAAAACATTCAATGTATAGCAACGTTTAAAAGAAATATTTGTATGTATGTGTCCTGCACATATCATTAAAAGAAGAAGATTCATACCCACTATGTAAGTTCAGTTTGGTGTTACTTATATTATAATTTGCATTTCTTTAGGAGGAGATAAAGATAAATTGATCAACCCTACCTGTTAGGGATCACAAAAAGCAACATAGAAGGAATTGAACAGAAAATTAAAAGGAAAAATGAATGTTTGACAAGGAGATGGGATCAGAGAAATTGAGTGGTTCATTCTAAGAGGAGACATGTGACAAGAGCTCTAGAAGCCTTATTGGTTTGTTGTTGTTGTTCTTATACAATCATTTCCAGCAATTGAGGTCAACCCAAATTATAGGGTAAAAGAAGAGACACTGTGAAGATGATCAGAAACATACACCATCCTATTGAGGAATTTGGATTTTATCTCAGAGGAAATGAAAAAAATACTACTTGCTATAAAAGTGTTTGAGATTGTCTGAACTTAATAGAACTAAGTTGTGGGAAGGGGCATCCAAGACTCCATAGATATTAGTCATATATTATGACACTGTGTGGTGAAAATTTGTGAAGCTTAAATAAGCACACTGTCCTGAACTGTTTGCATGGTGCCTCAGAACTTCACACACCAAAAGCCACAAATGGGCAAATCAAACATTATTTCTCTTTCTTCCACAATGTCTCTTTCTGTTCATTTATGTGTGTGCATGTGTGGTGTGTGTGAAGGCAGATGTCTTGCTATCTTTACCTTAACTCTATTCCTCCCTTAGTTTTTGCCATAACTGACCACTCCTAAAGTTACTTTCCAGATACCATTGCTGTTGGTGGATTTGAGAATTTCCCTTTCCTAGTATCTTTAGGCATTAATTAACCAATTAACTAGGCCATCCATTAATTTATTTTAAATGTTTATTAAGCACTGCTACATGCACAGCTTTGAGCACTTAGGGGTTGCAAGGATAAAAAAATTAGGGTGTCTTCCTTTAATAATCTTACTGTCTACTTAAAAAGGGAGGCACACAAATGAGTTAAATTTAAGTTTTATAATTGGGCTAAGATGATAAGTCTCATTTTATCCAGGACAGTTCCAATATATGCACATTATTATTAATAGTAGTGTCTCTTTTATTTAATAGTGTTCTTCTTTATTTATTTATTTTTTTAGCATGTAGCTTTTTTTCTTATTATACTTTAAGTTCTAGGGTACATGCGCACAACGTGCAGGTTTGTTACATATGTATACATGCGCCATGTTGGTGTGCTGCACCCATTAACTCGTCATTTACATTAGGTATATCTCCTAATGCTATCCCTCCCCCCTCCCCCCACTCCATGACAGGCCCCGGTATGTGATGTTCCCCTTCCTGTGTCCAAGTGTTCTTATTGTTCAATTCCCACCTATGAGTGAGAACATGCGGTGTTCGGTTTTCTGTCCTTGCAATAGTTTGCTGAGAATGATGGTTTCCAGCTTCATCCATGTCCCTACAAAGGACACGAAATCATCCTTTTTTATGGCTGCATAGTATTCCATGGTGTATATGTGCCATATTTTCTTAATCCAGTCTATCATTGATGGACATTTGGGTTGGTTCCAAGTCTTTGCTATTCTGAATGGTGTGCAATAAACATACATGTGCATGTGTCTTTATAGCAGCATGATTTATAATCCTTTGGGTATATACCCAGTAATGGGATGGCTGGGTCAAACGGTATTTCTAGTTCTTGATCCCTGAGGAATTGCCATACTGTATTCCACAATGGTTGAACTAGTTTACAGTCCCACCAACAGTGTAAAAGTGTTCCTATTTCTCCACATCCTCTCCAGCACCTGTTGTTTCCTGAGTTTTTAATGATCACCATTCTAGCTGGTGTGAGATGGTATCTCACTGTGGTTTTGATTTGCATTTCTCTGATGGCCAGTGATGATGAGCATTTTTTCATGTGTCTGTTGGCTGCATAAATGTCTTCTTTTGAGAAGTGTCTGTTCATATCCTTTGCCCACTTTTTGATGGGGTTGTTTGTTTTTTTCTGGTAAATTTGCTTGAGTTCATTGTAGATTCTGGCTATTAGCCCTTTGTCAGATGAGTAGATCACAAAAATTTTCTCCCATTCTGTAGGTTGCCTGTTCACTCTGATGGTAGCTTCTTTTGCTGTGCAGTAGCTCTTCAGTTTAATTAGATCCCATTCGTCAATTTTGGCTTTTGTTGCCATTGCTTTCGGTGTTTTAGACATGAAGTCCTTGCCCATGCCTATGTCCTGAATGATATTGCCTAGGTTTTCTTCTAGGGTTTTTATGGTTTTAGGTCTAACGTTTAAGTCTTTAATACATCTTGAATTAATATTTATACAAGGTATAAGGAAGGGATCCAGTTTCAGCTTTCTACATATGGCCAGCCAGTTTTCCCAGCACCATTTATTAAATAGGGAATCCTTTCCCCATTTCTTGTTTTTGTCAGGTTTGTCAAAGATCAGATGGTTGTAGATGTGTGGTATTATTTCTGAGGGCTCTGTTCTGTTCCATTGGTCCATATCTCTGTTTTGGTACCAGTACCATGCTGTTTTGGTTACTATAGCCTTGTAGTATAGTTTGAAGTCAGGTAGCATGATGCCTCCAGCTTTGTTCTTTTGGCTTAGGATTGTCTTGGCAATGCAGGCCCTTTTCTGGTTCCATAATGCTCCAATTAAAAGTCGCAAACTGGCAAATTGGATAAAGAGTCAAGACTCTTCAGTGTGCTGTATTCAGGAGACCCATCTCACGTGCAGAGACACACATATGCTCAAAATAAATGGATGGAGGAAGATCTACCAAGCAAATGGAAAACAGAAAAAGGCAGATGTTGCAATCCTAGTCTCTGATAAAACAGACTTTAAACCAACAAAGATCAAAAGAGACAAAGAAGGCCATTACATAATGGTAAAGGGATCAATTCAACAAGAACAGCTAACTATCCTAAATATATATGCACCTAATACAAGAGGACCCAGATTCATAAAGCAAGTCCTTAGAGACCTACAAAGAGACTTAGACTTCCACACAATAATAATGGGAGACTTGAACACCCTACCGTCAATATTAGACAGATCAACGAGACAGAAAGTTAACAAGGATATCCAGGAATTGAACTCAGCTCTGCACCAAGCAGACCTAATAGACATCTACAGAACTCTCCACCCCAAATCAATAGAATATACATTCTTCTCAGCACCACATCACACTTATTCCAAAATTGACCACATTGTTGGAAGTAAAGCACTCCTCAGCAAATGTAAAAGAACAAAAATTCTTTCTTTTTTTTAGGCAATCAAACTAGAACTCAGGATTAAGGAACTCACTGAAAACGGCTCAACTACATGGAAACTGAACAACCTGCTCCTGAATGACTACTGGGTACATAAAGAAATGAAGGCAGGAATAAAGATGTTCTTTGAAACCAATGAGAACAAAGACACAACATACCAGAATCTCTGGGACACATTTAAAGCAGTGTGTAGAGGGAAATTTATAGCACTAAATGCCCACAAGAGAAAGCAGAAAAGATCTAAAATTGAATCCCTAACATCACAATTAAAAGAACTAGAGAAGCAAGAGCAAACATATTCAAAAGCTAGAAGAAGGCAAGAAATAACTAAGATCAGAGCAGAACTGAAGGAGATAGAAACAGAAAAAGCCCTTCAAAAAAATCAACGAATCCAGGAGCTGTTTTTTTTAAAAGATCAACAAAATTGATAGACTGCTAGCAAGACTAATAAAGAAGAAAAGAGAGGAGAATCAAATAGATGCAATAGTGTTCTTCTTTTAAGTGATAGACTATATTAAGTTATAACTAAAGAATTCAGAGAAGCCTGAAATATAGGTGAATAAAAATAAATGTTTAAATAATTCAATTTTGATTGACTTTGGAGTTAATACTCATGCACTAAAGAGGTCCAATATATACCTTTAATGATACATATGATAGATATACTTATGACATTTACTTATGTCAGTATAATGATATATATACTTATATCATTAAAAGTATATATTGGACCTCTGATATGAGTGTATTCTATTACTAAAAATTACTTCCCATAAGTACCAATCCTGTACTTACTATTTACTATGTCCTGACACATCACAGAGAAAATCTCTAGTAGTCCTTGTATCTCTGAAAAATTTTCAGGTGATCAGCTGTAATGTGGCAGGGTCTCTCTCAGCCTGTCAGGTTGCAGCAGGCAAAGTCCAACATTTGTATTTTATGTTCTCTGCCACCCTAGGCTAAATTATTCATGTGAATTAGTCCTAAAGATTTACCACTGAAACACATGAACAAAGTCACTATATGTATTAGTCAGGGTTCTCTAAAGGAATAGAACCAACAGGAGATAGATAGATAGATAGATAGATAGATAGACACATCCACACACACACAAACACGGGTATATCTATATACCTATATATAGATATCGATCATACATTATATTTATATATCCATATCTATATATACATCTATATATCTATATACATCTATATATCTATATCTATATATCTATTATCTATTGTATTATATATAACATATGGATAGATACATATATTTATATATAGTTATAATATATAAATTTCTATATATAATTATATATACATATATAATATATAAAGATATATAAATTTATATGTTATATACACACATATTTATATATATTTATAATATATAAATTTATATATAATTTATTATATATACATATATAATATATAACTATACAATATATAAATTTATATATTGTATAGTTATAATATATAAATGTGTGTCTCTATCCATATATTAGCATGTATATATGCATATGTGTGTGTGTGTGTGTGTGTGTATATATATATAAAAAAGTGTAAATTGGCCCATGCAATTATCTAGGCAAAGAAGTCCCACAGTATGCTGTATATAAGGTGGAGAACCAGAACCAGGAAAGTTAATGTTCTATAAAACCAGTCTGAGTCTGAAGACCTGAGAACTGGGAGCAGGGAGGTGGTGTCTGGTGTGAGTTTCAGAGTCTAAGGGCATAGGAACTAGGAGCTCTGATATCCAAGGGCAGGAGAAGATGGATGTCTGTTGTGGTTTGTTAAGTGAAGAAGAATTTAAGTTAGGTTTGGTGTAGTCAGGTACAGCACAATTAGACTACAATTACTTGCAGATTCCAGAAAGAGGAGTGTAAAATGCCTTGCAGAGCCAATGGAAAGGGTGAGGCAGTCAAGGACACTGTCTCTCACCCAGCAGATGAAAAGCAAGTGAGAGATGGAGGGACCTATGGGTAGAACCCTTTATTGGGGTTCAGGATTACCTAGATGGGTTTTCCACAACAGAGTTGGATTGGTTAATTTGAAGGAAGCATGAGTTTAAGTGTGAGAACTTGGGTTACATGATTGTGTTCACCAGACTTAAAGCAAAAATAAGGCAGCAAATGGGACCACATCTATGTTGAAACAGAAACTGGGTGGAGACTGTCTCAAAATATGTAGGACATTTGTGACAAGCTGGGGACGGACCAAGAAGGTGGTGCTGAGGCAGCACTAATATGAATTAGCGTTACAACAATGTCCCAGCCCAAGAAGAGAGTGAATTTACCTTTCCTTCACATTTTTGTTCTGTTCAGTCCATCAATGGATTGGATTCTGCCCACCCACACTGGGGAAGGTGATTTTCTTCATTCACTCTACCAGTTCAAATGCTGATTTTTTCCAGAAACACTCTCAAAGACATACCTAGAAATACTTTTTTACAAGCTATTTACTGTTCACAAGCATCCCTTAGCTCAGTCAAATTGACACATAAAGTTCATCATCATACTATGTAATCCTCTAAGAAAACAGATAATTGCACTGAGCTTCCAGGCTTAGTCTATGGAAAAATTCTAGTTTGATGCTTAATAGAACTCGGACAAGTTGCCTCATTCCTTGTTTTTTAATCCAAAACTTGTTTCACCACAAGAAAGTTTTGTTAACATGTTTAATAATCCATGATAATGGCATTAGCCTGGATTTTGACTTAATATCAGCAAGCTAAAAAAAAAAAACCTGTTCTTAAAATATGTTGCAACCACCACCCAATCACAAAAATTTACTTCATGACTTATTCAGTGCTGTCATTTAGGTTCATTTAGGTTTCATTTAGGTTTAAGTCTCAATAATAAAGTTGTTTTGGGCTGATGATGGTATCACAGGGTGAAGAAACACTGTAAGAGTATTACATTGCATGATAATAATGCATGCACGCCCTCATGAATTATGAGATCTGTTCCAGTCTGTGTGCTTGCAAAACAAGTTACTACTGACACTGTAACATTTGAATTGAAAATTAGCTTCATGTTGTTAAGATGATCATATCACCTGAGAGAGTTCCCAAGTCTACAATTGCTCTACTAGTTACTATTCAGTGTTTGTGAAAAATTTTAATCTCAGTACTGTGAAGAAGCTGGAAAAAGGGATATTATGGGGCTAAAAGCTCTCTGTTTGGGGCTGCTTTGTGTTCTTTTTGTCTCTCATTTTTACACACCCATGCCAGACAACATTGAAGAAAGCTGGAAAATAATGGCCTTGGATGCCATCGCTAAAACTTGTACATTTACGGTAAGGTTAACATTTATTTTTTCTGTTGGAAATTGGGATGACTTATTGACTAAAAATGGGTGCTTATGAACTCTTTTATTAATAGTATTAATATCACCATTTTGAAAGAACCATTGCTTGTTTGAGTAAATTAATTAAACAACATTAAGTAAATAAAACTCCCTATATCTGTGAGTAACAGTGAGACAGAATTCTCAATTCTAAGACTTTATGTCTAAACGTGACATGTATAAAATAAATTTATTGTGACATGTATAAAATAAATGGTATTGCTAAAGGAAAAGGCTTTGAGGTTTATTTGAGAACTTGACTTAAATTTGAACTTTCAGGGACAACCTAGTCCTGTAATTATCTTTTAGTTGTTTAGATACACATTATTGATATTTGTAACTCTTTGATATTAATTTAAGGCTCTTATTATTTAATGGCTTTCATTGTCCATCTTCAATTCTAAATTGCTGGTTTTCAGGCATTATCTGACTTGGCATGTGCAGAATGAATTATAAATTCATGCAAAAATAGCTCCTTTAAAAGGGAGAGATAGGGTTAGAAACTAATATTTTTGAGTTCTTAAGTTGTATAGGCTTTGTATAATATGTACTTCCATTGATTCCCCGCTATCCTGCAATTATTTTTATCAGGTTATGGGGTTGGGGAAGAGATTGAGAAGAACATATGCAGGTAAAAAGTAACAACTCCATAATTTGAACTATAAACTGTCTCATTTTGAAACCCATACTCTTTCTGCCAAGCCAGACAGCTTCCAGAAAGGGTAACAATAAGAGGCTCAAAGGAGAAGGCCACAGAAGATGATCAGAAAAAAAGAGAGCAACCCATGGTATAAAAAGAAGAGGCTGTCTTATGATGCTTTGTACAGCAAACAGTATATTTGCTTTGTGAAACCACAGTCAACTCCTTCTGATGTCTGCTAATAGTTTCCCCTGTAATCACTTCTAGAGGCTTACCTTCTCCATAAATTTTCTCCAATGCTCTTACTTCTTGAGTAAGCATAAGTGGGTAAGCAAGTGTCACTTCCACAGAGAAAATACTATGCTCCCTTTCTTGATTATCTAATTTGTATCTCAGGGCATTAACTTGTTTAAACCCTACTACAACCCACTGAAGTATTATTATTACTGTCATATAGACAAGGAAATTGAGCTACAGAGAGTAATTTTCTCAATGTCTATCAGCTAGTAAGTAGTAGCATAAGATGCTGGTTTAAATGGATGCAGACTTGGCTTTGACATTTACTGGCTACAACTTAGAGTTTCTGCATACTTCCTCGTCTTTAAATTATAAGGGTTAGCATGGTGGCTCACGATTGTAATTTCAGTACTTTGGGAGGCCAAGGCAGGTAGATCACCTGAGGCTAGGAGTTCAGGACCTGCCTGGCCAACATGGGGAAACCCCATCTCTACTAAAAATACAAAAATTAGCCAGCTGTTGTGGTGCACGCCTGTAATCCCAGCTACTGGGGAGGCTGAGGCAGGAGAATCACTTGAATCCAGGAGGCGGAGGTTGCAGTGAGCTGAGATCGTGCCATTGCACTCTAGCCTGGATGACAGAGCAAGACTCCTTCTCAAAAAATAAAAAAATTAAATTAAAATTAAGAAAATAAAGTATAGTGGCTAGATGTTCTCAATTGCCCTGCAAATACCTTAATTTCCTTGGAATAATTATAATAATAAAGATTGTTTAATGTGTTATTAACCATGTAATATTTAAGTTTTTTTATGAGTAAACTGTCCAGTGACATAACACAAAAGTCCTCGAGAAGCTGGTCAGGAATACCAAAGGCAGCTTTTTTCAGTGACATCAAATATGGAATTTAAAGGTGAGGAAAGTGCCCTAATCTTTTTGGAGTTGAAAGCCAAAAAATTTGGATTATTACTAGTGTGTTCATATGAAGATATTTAAAACTTTGGATTAAATAAAATGAACAATGAAAAAAGAAAACATGACAGCATGCCTACAAAATTTATTTTTCTGAAAAAAATTTACAAATCAAAAATAATTACAGCGGCATAAAAAAACTGCTAGTAAATTAGTGGGTTTTGAATAGGACAGCTCTCAGTCTAAAATACTAAATATTTGAGATTTTCCTTTTTTATATACAAGGATTTATCTTTTTTTTTTTTTTTGTCTTTTACTTCAAGTTCTGGGATACATGTGCAGAACGTGCAGGTTTGTTGCATAGGTATACATGTGCCATGGTGGTTTGCTGCACCTATCAACTCGTCATCTAGGTTTTAAGCCCTGCATGCATTAAGTATTTGTCCTAAGGCTCTCACTCCCCTTTCCCCCTGCCTCCCGACAGGCCCTGGTGCATGATGTTCCCCTCCCTGTGTCCATGTGTTCTCATTGTTAGACTCCCATTTATGAGTGAGAACATGTGGTGTTTGGTTTTCTGTTCCTGTGTTAGTTTGCTGAGAATGATGGCTTCCAGCTCCATCTATGTACCTGCAAAGGACATGAACTCATTCCTTTTTATGGTTGTATAGTATTTCATGGCTTATATGTGCCATATTTTCTTTATCTATTCTATCATTGATGTGCATTTGGGTTGGTTCCAAGTCTTTGTTATTGTAAATAGTGCTGCAATAAACATATGTATGCATGTGTCATTACAGTAGAAATATTCATAATCCTTTGGGTATATACCCAGTAATGGGATTGCTGGGTCAAATGATATTTCTGATTAAAGATCATTGAGGAATTGCCACACTGTATTTCACAATGGTCGAACTAATTTACGCTCCCACCAACAGTGTAAAAGCCTTCCTATTTCTCTGCATCCATGGCAGCATCTGTTGTTTCCTGACTTTTTAATGATCGCCATTCTAAACACTTCTCTAGTTCTTTTAATTGCGATGTTCGAGTGTCAATTTCAGATCTATTCAGCTTTCTGATATGGCCATTTAGTGGTATAAATTTCCCTCTTAACACTGCTTTAGCTGTGTCCCAGAGATTCTGCTATGTTGTCTCTTCATTCTCATTGGTTTGAAAGAACTTCGTTATTTCTGCCTTAATTTAGTTATTTACCCAGTAGTCATTCAGGAGCAAGTTGTTCAACTTCCATGTAGTTCTGAGATTTTGAGTGAGTTTCTTAATCCTGAGTTCTAATTTGATTGTGCTGTGGTCCGAGAGACTTTTTTTTTTTAATTTTCATTCTTTTGTATTTTCTGAGGAGTGTTTTTTCTTCCAATTATGTGGTCAATGTTAGAATAAGTGCTATATGGTGCTGAGAAGAATGTATATTCTGTTGATTTGTGGTGGAGAGTTCTGTAGATGACTATTAGGTCCCCTTGGTCCAGAGCTGAGTGCAAGTCCTGAGTATCCTTGTTAATTTTCTGTCTCGTTGATCTGTCTAATATTGACAGTGGGTGTTAAGGTCTCCCACTAGTAGTTTGTGGGAGTCTAAGTCTCTTTGAAGGTCTCTAAGAACTTGTTTTATGAAACCTGGTGCTCCCGTATTGGATGCATATATATTTAGGATAGTTAGCTCTTCTTGTTGCCTTGGTACCTTTACCATTGTGTAATGTCCTTCTTTGTCTTTGATCTTTGTTGGTATAAAGTCTGTTTTATCAGAGACTAGATTTGCAACCCTTGCTTTTTTTTTCCATTTGCTTGGTGAATCTTCCTCAATCCCTTTATTTTGAGCCTATGTGTGTCTTTCAATGTGAGATGGGTCTCCTGAATACAGCACACTGATGAGTCTTGACTTCTTATCCAATTTGCTAGCCTGTGTCTTTTAATAGGGGCATTAACCCATTTACATTTAAAGTAAACATTGTTATGTATGAATTTGATCCTGTCATCATGATGCTAGCTAGTTATTTTGCACAATAGTCAATGCAGTTTCTTCAGAGTGTCATTGGTCTTTATATTTTGGTGTGTTTTTTCAGTGGCTGGTACCAGTTTTTCTTTTCCATATTTATTTCCTTTCCATGTTTCTTTCCATATTTATTTCCTTTCCATGTTTTCTCCTTATTTCCTTTTGTAAGGCAGGCCTGGTGGTGACAAAATCCCTCAGCATTTGCATGTCTGGAAAAGATTTCATTTCTCCTTTGCTTACGAAGCTTAGTTTGGCTGGATACGAAATTCTGGGTTGAAAATTCTTTTCTTTAAGAATGTTGAATATTTGTCCCCACTCTCTTCTGGCTTGTAGAGTTTCTGCAGAGAAATCCAGTGTTAGTCTGATGGGTCTCCCTTTGTAGGTAACCTGACCTGTCTCTCCAGCTGCCTTTACATTTTTCCTTTGTTTTAACCTTGGAGAATCTGATGATTATGTGTCATGGGGTTGCTCTTCTCAAGGAGTATCTTAGTGGTGTTCTCTGTATTTCCTGAATTTGAATGTTGGCCTGTCTTGCTATGTTGGAGAAGTTCTCCTGGATAATATCCTGAGGTGTGTTTTCCAGCTTGATTCCATTCTCCTTGTCACTTTCAGGTACACCAATCTAACGTAGGTTTGGTCTTTTCACATAGTTCCATATTTCTTGGAGGCTTTGTTTGTTTCTTTTCTTTCTGTTTTTCTCTAATCTTATCTTCACACCTTATTTCATTAAGTTGATCTTCAATCCCTGATATCCTTTCTTCCACTCGATTGATTGAGCTATTGATACTTGTATATGCCTCACGAAGTTCTTGTGCTGTGTTTTTCAGCTCCATCTGGTCATTTATGTTCTTCTCTAAACTGGTTATTTTAGTTAGCAGTTCCTGTAACCTTTTATCAAGGTTCTTAGCTTCCTTGCATTGGGGTAGAACATGCTCCTTTAGCTCAGAGGAGCTTGTTATTACCCATCTTCTGAGTCCTACTTCTGTCAATTCGTCAATCTCATTCTCCATCCAGGTTTGTGCCCTTGCTGGAGAGGAGTTGCAATCATTTGGAGAAGAGTCATTCTGGTCTTTGGAATTTTCAGCATTTCTGGGCTGGTTTTTCCTCATTTTCATGGATTTATCTACCTTTGATCTTTGAGGCTGATAACCTTTGGATGGAGTTTTTGTGTGGGGGTCCTTTTTGTTGATGTTGATGTGGTTGCTTTTTGTTTGTTAGTTTTTCTTCTAACAGTTAGGCTCCTCTTCTGCAGGTCTGTTGCAGTTTGCTGGAGGTCCACTCCAGACCCTGTTTGCCTGGGTATCACCAGTGGAGGCTGCAGAACAGCAAAGATTGCTGCTTGCTCCTTCCTCTGGAAGCTTCATCCCAGAGGGGCACCAGCTTGATGCCAGCCAGAGCTCTCCTGTATGAGGTGTCTGTTGACCCTTGCTGGGAGATGTCTCCCTGTCAGGAGGCACAGGGGTCAGCGAACCATTTGAGGAGACAGTCTGTCCCTTAGCAGAGCTCAAGCACTGTGCTGGGAGAATTCTCCTTCTCAGGATCAGCTGCTCTCTTCAGAGCCAGCAGGCAGGAAAGTTTAGGTCCGCTGAAGCTGCACCCACAGCTTCCCCTTCCCCCAGGTGCTCTGTCTCAGGAAGATGGGAGTTTTATCTGTAAGCCTCTGACTAGGGCTGCTGCCTTTCTTTCAGAGATGCCCTGTCAAGTGAGGAGGAATCTAGAGAGGCAGTCTGGCCACAGCCACTTTGCTACATGGTGCTGAATTCCAACCAGTCCAAACCTCCCGGCCTCCTTAGCACTGTCAGGGGAAAACCACCTACTCAAGCCTCAGTAATGATAGACCCCTCTCCCCCCACCAAGCTAGATCATCCCAGGTTGACTTCAGACTGCTGTGCTGGCAGTGAGGATTTCAAGGCAGTGGATCTTAGCTTGCTGGGATCCTCGGGAGTGGAACCCTCTGATCAAAACCTCTTGGCTCCCTGACTTCAGCCCCCTTTCCAGGGGAGTGAACGGTTCTGTCTCACTGGAGTTCCAAGCACCACTGGGGTACAAAAGAAACTCCTGCAGCTAGCTCCATGTCTGCCCAAACAGCCATCCAGTTTTGTGCTTGAAACCCAGGGCCCTGCTGTAGGCACATGAGAGCATCTCCTGATCTGCAGATTGCAAAAACCATGGAAAAGCGTAGTATATGGGCTGGGTAGCACAGTCCCTCAACGGCTTCCCTTGGGTGGGGGAGGGAGGTCCCCTGGCTCCTTGCACTTCCTGGGTGAAGCAATGCCCCACCCTGCTTCTGTTCGCCCTCTGTGGGCTGCACCCACTGCCTAACAATCCCAATGAGGTGAACTGGGTACCTCAGTTGGAAATGCAGAAATCACCTGCCTTCTGCATTGCCCTCACTGGGAGCTGCAGACCGGAGCTGTTCCTATTCGGCCAGCTTGCCAGATATTTGAGATTTTCAAGGGCAAGAAGGTTATGCAATAAGATCTTTACAGTATTATTTGGAAATAATATTTTTAAATAGTCTATTTCTTTTTGTTTACCTTGCTTATTTTTTCTTCCTTTTTAACTTTCTTTTTAAATATATTTGGTGTTATTTAAATATCTAAATATTTAATTTTGTTTGTTTTGTTCTTACAGGCTATGTGTTTTGAAAATATGCGTATTATGAGATATGAAGAGTTTATATCCATGATATTCAGGCTGGATTATACCCAACCACTTTCAGATGAATACATCACAGTGACTGATACAACATTTGTTGACATTCCAGTACGATTGTACTTGCCAAAAAGAAAGTCAGAAACCCGAAGGCGAGCTGTGATATATTTTCATGGTGGTGGTTTTTGTTTTGGAAGTTCCAGTAAGTTCATTGTATAAGGAAAAAGTGTAGCTAGCTCTACATTTTTGATATAAGAACTATTTTATATAAATATACACACTTATACTGATACATACATCTATATATATACTTGTCTGGATATGGATAAGTATAGATATAAATATGAGACATCTAATAAAGAGACATAGACATATGTTTGGCAACTAATATTATGGGGATTTTAAATTCAGTTTTTGTTTTGTTTTTTTATTATCCTTAGCTTTCATATTGAATGAACATATATCAAAGGAAAATAGGATATAAAGTCAGTTATTAAACTTTTTTCTTGGGATCTGAATTCAGGAGCAGAAACATTGAGGGGATGCAGATGTTTTAATTAACAAGTCAAAAGCATTTGCTATTGGTTGCTACAAGATCAAGTTTGCAGTTACTGATAACATAATAGAAATACTGGTAAGGCTTAGAATGCAGTTGTTAGTATTGACTCTAAAAAGAAAACACAAAATAGTACTATGTAATAATAAACTCTTCCCATAAAATCTCGGTTCCCTACTTGTCTTTTTAGGCATTTTTCTTACAGTGATTATTCAATAAATGTTTTTGTGAAGAAAAAAGACACACACATAGTGAATGAGAGGGACATCTGATGATCTCTAGAGGGATTATTATCCAAAATGTTCTAATCCATTTCTTTTATGTATTTTTTACCTTCTTAATGTTTTCAATACATTGGATTTCATCTATATTTCATCTATAATTTAATTTATATCATGTGTTAAAATGGTCGAATAACCTGCTTTCTTGATAAGATAAATACCAAGTTTGCCTCATTTCTCTCCAAAGAAATGCATTCATTCCACTGAAGTTTTTACGAGGTGTATGAAATATCCAAGTGTTCATATACATATTACCTAGGACTTGAGTAAGCACAAAAGAAATGGCCACTGACAGGAAAATATCACTTTGATTGAAAAATACTAAGAAGTATTCCTGATTATTAGGGTTATATCTCTTTTTACTGACATAGGCAATGATTGTGATCAGTAATTTCTAAAACTGTGAGAATTATTATTCAGGATATGACATTCCAACATTCTGCTTAGCTAAATTCTAGATGTCTTTTGTCAATATTTTGGTTTTATATTTACACATTATTTGTTTTCAGATCTCCCAAACATATGTGAATACACTGGAAAAGACTTAGATACTTTCTAATTTTCACCAAGAAAAAATAGACATTATAACTATTTTCTAGTATTTGCAAATTTTAATTTTCTTTCTTTTCCCCCTAGGCTTCCTCTTTTGTCTTCTCTAAAACATACATAAGTTGCTTTGAGAACCAAGAAATATAGGAAAATGTTGCTCTAGTAGACTTTTTATATACTTTTGTGATCTTTGTTTTTCAACATTTATCCTCATATCTTTTTGTTTTTCAACATTTATCCTCATATCTTTTTGTTTCTATACGCATTCTACAGACACTATAACAATAAAAAGGCATGGAATAAAAGAAACAAGACCAGAGAGATTATATCAGCAAATATTCTATGAGTACAGACAGTTTGAGATAAAAATGGGAAACAAACAAGCAAACAAAAATATGGCTTTAATTCTAAGACAAAAAGGATTGGGAGATAAAAATGAAGACATAGATTTGAAATACATCACTGAGTGGCTTTAAAGGTTATGAAATGAAACTGGAAATAAGACCTCAAGGTCTCTGGATGAAACGGATTTCTTGTGGCTGATAAAGAAACCCAAATTATGACACTAAGAGCTCAGTGTCCATAATGAGTGAGAAAAGGGTGGTCACACATCACTTTGTTCCCAGAGAAGGCAGCTCCAAACATCCTGTTTGCGCCCCTGAGCTAAGATGTTTCCAAGCTGAAACACCCTGATTAGAAAACTCATCCCACCAGTTGCTTGAAAGCGGTATCTAACAGACTTTTGGTTTGGGGCTTGGAAACTACCCAATCAGGAATCAGCTGTTTTAAACTATTTGAATAAGTTTGAATCCTTTATTTACATATATATACCTGATTGTGATTGAGGGATGCCAGCTGATTCTCCATATTTAAGCCACAGACCCTCTTTTTGGTCTCTGGAGCACACTTTTGTTTTACATGGAAGGCTATGTCTCCCTAATCTGCAGATTTTTTTTTTAATAGAAATTAAAGCTCTCCCATTTTCTTCTGAAGATCTCATGCTCTTTCGTTAACAAGGTGAAGTTCAGAGAGTTCTTAGGTCTTGTACATTTTGGTCTTCATCTATGCATGGCCTTTTCTTGAAAATTAACTTAATCTTTAATAAAACATTATTTTTTTCTATTTAAAAGACTAGGTGACTTACTTTCCTGTTTTCCAGGTTATATATACACCCTGTGGTTAGTTTTCACTTTGCAGTTTTGTTAATGTGCAAGAGAAGGTCCAGAGAAGTCTGGAATTTGATCACAACTCTAGAATTCTTTGGATTTCTAGGATCTTGTGGTAAATAAAGCAGCAGCAGATGTTACAGAATTTGCCAAGGTGCTTGGCCAGGGCCCTGGTAAATAGGATATGTGGGGACCTGGGGAAAGATGTGTGTGTGTGTGTTATGTGTCTGGGGAAAGTCAATAGCTTGTACATCAAGCATGTCAAAACTCATATGTATATCAAGTCTTCACACTGACCTGCCAGAGGCTCTCTCATATCTAGTTATTATTCCTTAGACTCTGTCTTAATGCCAATGTTATTGGACTATTTTATTATGTGGCATCTTCAAAGAAGACAAGAGGTTTTGAAGAACGATGTTTAGAGACTCAATACATACTATTACTTTCTTTTTCCTCCGACTTCTGAACCAGTTAAAAAATTACACCCAGAGTTCACATAAATGCAAGTCAAACCATTACCATTATTTCAGATGAAGTAAAATGCACCAGGATACAAAGGGTCCTGGGAAGGGTCATTGTGTACAGACAGCAGATGTCAAGACGATATTACAATAGGCTGAGCCTATTCTAGTTGATCCTCCCCAAAATAATCAATTGGTGAAGTCATCCTTTTCCTCCTGGAAAGAGTGGCTGAAAAGACTAGGAAGGGGAGAGTGTGCCACGTGGATTCAGGTCCATCTGCTTGGAAATGGGGGGTGGAAATAAAAGCTATGTGATATTCACAAACCACAGTTATTTCCACATTCATATCTGTAACTGTTTCTATAGCTTTTTAATTACAGGAAATACTTTGATGTTTATTTCTTCATTTCAGAACAGAGGGCTTTTGACTTCCTGAATAGATGGACGGCAAACACGCTTGATGCTGTTGTTGTAGGCGTGGAGTAAGAATGATTTTTTTCTGGCTACTATGATTTTTGCCTTTACCATGTAGAGGTTTGATTTCCACATCAAGTCAGCTATGCTTCAAATATAATTTTTTAAATTAATATATTTTACTTGTCACCATTGCAACATAGACTGCTCCTCAAAGAGGTTCAGTGTCCCATTATTTTTCTGTGATTGTGAGAATATCTGAATTATACCCCAGAGTAAGCAGTTTTGGAAACACTTGCTCTAGACACGTAAGACTCAGGTCCTATAAGGCCCTAGTAGTGTCCCAAGTAACACAGCTGGACAGAAGGAAGTATATTAACTATTACACATTTGGGATACTGGATTGTATTTGAGCAGGCAAGAAAAGTTTAATTTCATAGCTTTTGAAGTAATCTAAATACTATTTTATATCTGTTTTGATATAATAATATGTTTGTGCCTGGCTTATACATTCTATCAAATCCCTAAAATTTGTGTTGTTCTTTGTCCAAAAAGTATAAATCCACTGCATTTTAAATAAAGATACCAACATCTTTTTGGTACACATCTATGTCTAAGCTACAAATTACTTAGAGTTTTCTAGATAGTTTATAATAAAATTCTAAGAACCCTATTACCAACATTTCATATTGGCTATAGAAATATACATGTTTTAGCATTCTGAAGATCAAAAAGAAAAAGCTCTATGAATTGACTGCTAGATGTATTTTCCTGTCTTACTGTTCTACACACACTGGGGAAAAAATAATTTGTGCCCATGAAAAGAAGAGTGTGATAATTTGCCTTACAAATGAATTTACCAGAAATAAGCAAGCTCTCTGGCATATTTAAATTTTATTTATATATCAAAATTTTTATCTAGTAATAACTACTGGGTATTATCCATGATGAAGTATATGCACCGTCAGCTTATAAAATTTTTACCTAAATGTCCTTGATAAAATAGGACACTGCCTACAATATGCTCTCAGATCTGCAGCCTATTGTGCTTTTTAAACAAGCATTTTTAAAAAAATGTTTGGATTACAAGTTACATTGAGAATATGATGTAAGCTATACACCATCTCCATTCTAAAATACACTTGGACTAAAATTTTTGCTTACAATTCCTAGGAAGTTCATAACACTCCCCTGACTCCTCACAAATAATTCCATTCATGGATTTTAGGTACAAGATTGAAAACCTTATACTTTATTAAAATAATTTTCATTTTAATCAAGAGTTAGTAGAAAACTTAGGCTTGATTTTTAGAAGACTGAACAATAAAGACTGGCATTAAATTGCATCTATTTGGTATTTGAGAATTAGATGGACAGATACAACCATAAATGCTTTATTATTCTTTCTTTAAAGCTATAGGCTGGCTCCTCAACACCACTTTCCTGCTCAGTTTGAAGATGGCCTTGCTGCAGTCAAATTTTTTCTTTTGGAAAAAATTCTTACAAAATATGGAGTGGATCCCACCCGAATCTGCATTGCGGGAGACAGTTCTGGGGGCAATTTAGCAACAGCGGTCACTCAACAGGTACATTATATTTGTTTTTATGATAGGAGGCAGAAATTGAGGCTCATTTTTTTTCTATAGATAATTCAGTTCTTCCCCCACCATTTGTTGAAAAGACCATTCTTTCCCATTGAATTACAGTAGCACTTGAGTAAACATTTATTTAACCTTAATGTGACTATTTCTGGATTATTTTGTTCCATTGATCTACATGTCTATCCTACTGCCAATACTACACTGACTTCAACTGTTCTTCTTTAAAAAAAAATCTAGTATTCCATATCTTTCCCATTAAAATATTAGATTATCTTATCAATTTTTAAAAAGAAAGACTAACTGAATTTTTATTAGGATTGCATTGAATCTATAACTTTGGGGAGGATTGACGTGTCAACAATATTGAGATTTCCAATTAATGTACATGGCATGTCTCATACTTTATTAGATCCTCTTCAATTTCTCAGCAATATTTTACTATTTTCAGTGTAGAAATCATGGAAATCTTTTCTCAAATTTTACCCTGAGGTATTTTTTAAAATTTTTATTAAAATACTATTTTCTGAATGTTTATTTGGAACATATTGGAATTTGTAATTTGTAATTTATTTCTATGCTATATAGAAATACAATTGATTTTGATATTGGCCTTTTCCCATCATATCCTCAATAAACTCACTTATAACGCTAGTGTTCTGTGTTTTTTTTGTTTTTTTTTTTTTTAGTTTCCTAGGATTTTCTATATTTTCAATGACGAGAGACAGTTTTAGTTCTTGCTTCCCAGTACTTGTTCCTTTTAATTTTTCTTTTATTATTGCACTGTCTGGGGCCTCTAGTAAAATATTTAATATAACTCTCTTGCTTTGTATTTTTGGAGGAAATTTTTCAATATTTCATCAATAAATATAGTATTAACTGAAGGTTTTCATAGTTAGCTTTTGTCAGATTGAGGAACTTATTTCTACTCCTAGTTTGCTGATAGTTTTTGCATAAATGGGTCTTGAATTAGTCAAATGTTTTTACTCCAACTATTGAGATGATCATGTAATTTTTCTTATTTATTATTTTAGTGTGGTAAATTATGCCAATTGACTTTTAAATGTTAAATTATGCTTACATTCTAGGCATGAGCCTTACTTGGTCTTGATGAATTAAAATTTTTATATGTTGCTGCTTTCCATTTGCTTTAGTTCATTAAATGTTTTGTATTTTTGAGATTAATCTTTAATTTTTAACACTTTTTGTCAGGTTTTTTTTTTTTCTTTGAGATGGAGTTTTGCTCCATCACCCAAGCTGGAGTGCAGTGGCGCGATCTCAGCTCACTGCAACCTCTGCCACCTGTCTTTGTCAGGTTTTGAGAGAAAAATTACACTAGCCTCATTAAATAATTTGGGAAGAATTCCAACTCTCTTATTTTCTGTTTTTTTCTCTTTTGTGAGGTTGTATTGAGGTACAGTTGAAAAGGAAAAATCATATGTATTTAAGATGTACAACATGATGTTTTGATATATGTATGCATTTTTAAACAATTAACAAAAGCTAAGTAACGTAATCATTACCTCACATAGTTACCATTTATTTTTTCTCTATGGTGAGCATGTTTAAGATCTGTCTTAGCAAATTTCGAGTACGCAGTATTATTAACTATAGTCACCGCACTTAATATTAGATCTCCAGAACTTATTCATCCTGCATAACTGAAACTTTGTAACCTTTCACCAATATCTCCCTGTTCTCCCCATCTCCATCCCCTTTCATCTATATCCCCAGCTCCTCATAACCACCACTCTACTATCCACTTCTAGGGGTTTAACTTTCTTAGGTTCTACATAAAAGCAAGATTATGCAATATTTGTCTGACTTATTTCATTCAGTGTAAGGACCTCCAGGTTCATCAATGTTGTCACCAATGACAGGATTTTCTTCTTTCTGGAGGCTGAATAATATTCCATTGTGTGTGTTTGTGTGTGTGTGTGTGTGTGTAGATACACACACACACACACCAAATTTTCTTTATCCATTTATCCGGCTGACAAACAGTTTGATTCCATATCTTGGCTATTGTGAATACTGCTTCAATGAATATGCGAGTACAGATATCTCTTCACATTACTGACTTTGTTTCCTTTGGATAGATACCTAGAAGTGGTATTGCTGAATCATCTGGTAGTTCCATTTTTAATTTTTTGAGGAAACTCCATACTGTTTTCCATAATGGATATACTAACTGACATTTCCAACAACAATGTACAAGGGGTCCTTGTACATATGTCTACTCAGTTCTATTTCCCATTTTTTAAATTGGGTTATTTGTTTTCTTGCCATTTAGTTGAATTCTTTATACATTTTGAATATTAACCCCTTATTGAACCCATGATTTGAAATATTTTCTCCTACTTTGTAGAGTGTCTCTTCACTCTGTTGATTGTTTCTTTTTTCGTGCAGATGCTTTTTAGTTTGAGGCAATCCCATATATCTATTTTTGCTTTTGTTGCCTGTACTTTTGGAGTCATACCTCCCAAATTAGTGCTTAGACTAATATAAAGTCATTTTTCTCTAAGCCTTCTTCCAGTAGCTATACAGTTTTATATTAAGTGTTAGACCTTTGATTCATCATTTTGAGTTGATTTTTGTATATGAAATGAAATGAGTGTCCAATTTCATTCTTCTGCATGTGGATATATGAGAATTCTCAACATTATTTATTGAAAAGACTGTCTTTTCCTTTTGTGTGTTCTTGGCACCTTTGTCAAAGATCAATTGACCATTGCTATAGCTTGGTCTTTCCCAGTCAAAGCTCATGTTGAAATTTGATCCCCAATGTGGCAGCATTGAAAGACTGAGCCTAGTGAGAGGTGTTTGGGACAGGAGGGTGGATCCTTCGTGAATAGATTAATGCCCTTCAGAGGGAATGAATGAGTGAATTCTTGCTCTCCAGGGAATGAAATAGTTTGTCAGAGAGCAGATTATTAAAAACAATCTGGCTTCCTTGGTTTCTCTCTCTTGCTTCCTTTCTTGCCATGTGATTTCTTTGCACATGCAGATACCCGGTTCTCTTTCATGAGTTAAAGCAGCCAGAGGCCATTATCAGATGCAGATACCCAATCTTGAAACTTTCAGCCACTAGAATTGTGAGATAAAAATTTTTTAATAAATTACCCAGTCTCAGGCATTCTATTGTAGTAGTGCTAACTGAACTAAGACAACAATTTATTTCTTAGCTCTTTATTCTGTTCCATTGGTCTATATGTTTGTTTATATGCCAGTACCATACTGTTTTGATTATTGTAGCTTTGCAGTTTATTTTGAAATCAGGCATTATGATGCCTCCAGGTTTGTTCTTTTTACTCAAGATTATATTGACTATTCAGTCTTTTGTGGTTCCATATTAATTTTCTATTTCTGTAAAAAATACCATTGAAATTTTGATTGGAATTGCATTGAATCTGTACATTGCTTTGTGTAGTATAGACATTTTAACAGTATTAATTCTTTGGATCCAGAAACATGGTTAATCTTTTCATTTACTTGTGTCTTCTTCTATTTCTTTCATTAATATTTTATAGCTTTCTGTGTATAGATCTTTCTACCTCCTTGGTTAAATTTATTCCTGGTGTTTTTTATGTACTTATTTTTGATGCTATTGAAATGGGATTTTTTAAAATTTCTTTTTAAGATAGTTTGTTGTTGGTATATAGAAATGCAAGTGATTTTTCTATGTTGATTTTGTATCCTGCAACTTTACTGAATTTATTTACTTGTACTAACAGATTTTTGGTAGAGTCTTAGGGTTTTCTGTATCTAATATCATGTAATATGAAAATAGACTTTTTTTTTGGTTTTTGAAACAGAGTCTCCCTCTGTTGCCCAGGCTGGAGTGCAGTGGCATGATCTCTGCTCACTGCACGCTCTGCCTCCCGGGTTCATGCCATTCTCCTGCCTCAGCCTCCCGAGTAGCTGGGACTACAGGCACCCGCCATCATGCCTGGCTAATTTTTGTATTTTTAGTAGAGACAAGGTTTCACCATGTTAACCAGGATGGTCTCGATCTCCTGACCTTGTGATCTGCCAGCCTCAGCCTCCCAAAGTGCTGGAATTACAGGCGTGAGCCACTGCACCCGGCCCAGACTTTTTTTACTTCTTTCTCATTTGGATGCTTTTTATTTCTGTTTTTGTTTGTTTTTTTGTTTTCTTAATTTCTCTGACTAGGTCTTCTAGTATTTTATTAAATAGGTATAGTGAGAATGGGTATCTTTGTCTTGTTCCTGATGTCAGAGGAAAAGCTTTCAGCTTTTTATCACTGAGTATGATGTTAGCCTTGAGCTTGTCTATATGGCCTTTATTATGTTGAGGTACTTTACATATAATTTGTTGAGAGTTTGTATAATGAAAAGATATTGCATTTTGTCAAGTCATTTTTGCATCTGTTGAGATGTTCATGTAAGTTTTATTCTTCATTCTCTTACTATGGCATATCACCTTGATAGATTTGTGTGTATTGAAACATCCTTGGGATAAATCCCACTTGAACATGGTGTATGATCCTTTTAATGTGCTGTTGAATTCGGTTTGCTAGTATTTTGCTTATAATTTTTGCACCTATGTTCATAACGGAAAATTAGCCAGAATATCTTTGCCTTTCATGACCTCAACATTTTTTAACAGTGCTGGGGATTTTTCTGTGATGCTTACTCATTACGTCAGCTTCCGCCACCTGTGCATCCAGGTTCCTAAGTTCACCTATGAGTCTCTGTTCATCACTTCCTCCACCTACGCATCTATGTTCCTAACGAATAGTTTGCCAGCCTTTTCTTATCTTTCATGATCTTGCCACTTTTCAAGAGTGCTGGTTTTTTCCTGATGTCTACTCCTTATGTCAACTTGTCTACCTTTCTATTTAAAAAAAAAAGATGAAACTAGTCTTCTTCAGACTTCTTTTTGAGAAACACTGCTCTGTACTTTTTAAAATATGACTTTAGTTATAAAAACTTGAGCCAAAAGCTTACTCTAGGTGCCTCTCTATTTATTTTTTAAAATTTCTTTCCTTTTAAGTATTATAAGATTCAGGATTAGAGCACTAGAAGAAGTTTATATACATACATATTTTTATATACATATACACTTGAAATACACGTTATACATACATAAGTATATATGCACATACATACATATACATGTACATGTACATATGCCTATACGTATATATTAATCTATGACATCATACACACAAAACCCTATTGTGAAACCAAAATTGTAGTGATAACAAAGCTTCACCTTTGGTTCTATACCTGGGCCTCCCTTCAACCCAACCTGTTACACTTTAGTTGCCCTTCATGTTTAGAGCTCTAAGTAAATTTTCTTAGGAGAAAAATAAAAGAGGACTTCATTGCCAAGAAGAAAGTTTGCAAACCATTAGACATGTTGATTCCTTAGGACTCTTCCAGACAGAACTTATTTGCTATTTACTTGAAATAATGTCATTTATTTGAAAGATCTTACTGGAGTAAAATGAGGAGTATGATGGAGGGTAAAAATTGGAGAATGCCCTGCTTAGAGATTATTATACTAATTACTATGTAAAATTGCATAGCAGTCTGGTCTAAAATTTCATCTGAAACCGGTTTGGGGAATGTAGAGATTCTGAAAGCTGTCCAACAATTACCCAATAGTGATTAAGCAACATCTTACCATACCTCTAATTTCTTGCACATTTGTAACATTTGCTTGGCTTTGCAAGTGTAGCAAGCATAACTGAAACAACAATTGGGCTTGATGTATTGGCTCACCTCTGTAGTCCCAGCACTTTGGGAAGCCCAGTGGGGAGGATTACTTGAGGCCAGGAGTTCAAGACCACTCTAGGAAAAATAAAAATAAAAATAGTCAGAGGTAGTGGTACACTCCTGTAGTCCCAGCAACTCAATAGACTGAGGCAGGAGGATTGCTTGGGCCCAGGAGTTCGGGGTTTGCAGTGAGCTAGGATCACACCACTGCAATGCAACATGGGTGACAGAGGAAGACCCTAATTCTAAAAAACAAAAAAGAAAAGAAAGAAAGAAAAAAGAAATAACAATTGGATGTAGCCATACAGATTCGTGAATATGTGATACCCTACCTTATAACTTTTCAGCAGGACAATACTTAATAACACAGGCACCAAACAGAGACGTGATTCTTAGTAAAATCTGTAGGGCAGCACAAAAGTGCACAAAAATCTAACACCATTCTATTTCTTAATTAATTATATAAGAACTTAGTATCTATTTAGACATTCTGATTTATCTGTTCAAAGGGAACATAGTGTAGTATGCAGATGAACAGGCTGCAGAAGAACTCAGTGTACTTAATGAGCATTTAAAAAGGTGATTTTCTTTATCCTTTCCTATTTACTTTTGTGATTATACTTTAAGTTATTTGTTCTTCATGGACTGCTAAACTTTCTATATGAATTACATATTCATTGAAAAGCTTTATTACCTGTACTGTGTTTATTTTGGGTCATAAGAATCAACTTTTACTTTGAAATTATTATAGAGCTCATTTTTTCCAATGTCTCATGATCCTGTGATTGATAATATGTTATAGATTATGGCTTTAAAAATTCGGTATCAATAATCACCACTGAGGGATATATTTTAAAAAATGACTCATCTGTTTCAATTCACATTATAAAAGGATTTTCTCATGGATTAGGACACATACATTACCCTGTCATTTTCTCTTGTGGACTTGGTCCACTTTTCAATTGTATTCTTATTATTGAGAAGAAATGAATATATTTAACCTATTATTGCTAGATTTCCTGGCAACATCACATGATGTGTCCTAAAATCACTGATGTGGCTTGCTGGTCACAACGATCTGGATGATCACTATAGCTTAGAAAACTCTTGTGGACATGGTGCCTTAATCTTTAATTAAGAGGAAAAACTATTTCTAAACTTTAATCATATCACTTAAATCCAATTTCATGGCCACATTTTATTTTAAAAGAATGTATGCATTGCTCTTATTTAGGATCAGAGATATTCTTTTTACTTTCATAAAACAATGGGAATTGATTTGATATTTTGAAGTAATTAGTAAGTCCTACTCTCTTAGATATTCTAAAAAATAAGTATTTCAATGTAGGTAATTTAAAGAGGAAGCTGTGATATGCAATAGCTCTACTTATTTAGGTTTATAGCTTTGGTCTTTCTAAATACACTTTTGTTTCTAATTTGTATCATTTGTCATAAGGTGGTAATAAAGCCGTATGATCTTATTTATAATAATATTTCTATGGCATCCCATATTTCTATGGCTGTATATATTACATATGTGACACTTCTTTAAAAATATAAAAAACTCTTTAAAAACAGTTTAATAGCAAATATTAATCAGAAATTATAATTAATGGTGATGATTTTTAGAAAAACATGATTGACATGCAGCATTCTTGGACATGGGATGATGTCCCATACATAGATAGTATGTATGTTAGTTTCTGTTATTTTGTTTGTTTACCTCTGTGTAATCACTGCATATCAGTGTTATAGAGGTCACCTGAAGTCCATCAGAAGCAGAAATATCTGTCTTCTTTTACTTGCACCTGGAAGTGGTATCACTGTGAGTCCTGCACTTCTGAGTGATATAATCTGTTTTACTGTCACACTTTTAGGACATAAAGTGGGAAGTGGGATTTTAGGGGAAGAATAAAGATCAGGAAAGGACAGGATTAATCTGCAAGGAGGAGAGCAGGTTGATTATCTTGGACTCTAGCCCATGTGGGAGTTTTGCAGTTTCCAGCATGGTTGGAACATGCGTGCTAGGATGAGGCCAAAAAATCCTCCCATTTGGAATTTCTTCATGGTGGTTCATAGTTTATCCAGATACTCATTGGCTAGTTGTGTATTGTTGGAATCAAGTTTGGAGTTGTTAGGGGTAGTTCATAGAAAGGAAAATTAGTGGGGATAGCAATCACAGTTTCTATGAAGTTGAGTGCTCTGGGTTGAAAATGACAGATATGAAGTTTGGTGAACAATACTTACCATTAGCAATGTAGGAACTCCTCAAATAACAAGTTAATATTTTGTCTACATCCATCCTTCCATGGATGACAGGCTATGGATAAGTTGGTGTGGGCATGCAGGAATTTGAATAACACACACTCAAACCAGGGAGCTAGATGGTAGGGTATCTTGTGAACAAGTAACTGGATTGAGAAGGGTAGTAGATGATGGGGGGCAAAGTGCAAGGGCCGTAATATGTTCCCTTGGCAGCGGAAACCATTATTCTCTAGGAAAGTGCCATGCCCTTTGAATGGTCACAGGGCACTTGGGAAATGGGAGAGGATTCAGTAATGCCTCAGACTGTCTGGAGTTGACTTTATGCCAAGTGCAGGTGTCCATGGCAGATTACTGCTTTGAATGGGCTTTGAAGCAGTTGAGTCATAAAATGACACAGGGCATGAAGTCATGGATCATCCCTTCTCTGACTTTGTTACCAGCTTCCTTTCAGCCACCACTCCCAATTCATGCTGTCCAGGAGGGATGTTTGCGAATGAAAAAAACTGATGTAGGAGTGAAAATCGTGCTGGTCCACATGTTTACTCCAAGCATTTTAGCATGGCATAGAAGCTTTTCATGAACTGGGTCCCAAATTTTGCTCTCAAAAGTATAAACTTAGGAGACCAGTCTTCATCATGGTATAAATAAGTTACTTTCTTGATGACAATAATACCAGTGGCATGGCCTATAACTTGAAAAACACGGCCTATAACTTGAACCAATTAGAGATTCAAACTGGGGGACTTAATAAGGGAGGGGCAGAGCAAATAATTTATATGAGACAATTTTACTGTAAATACCATAAGTTTAGGATTAATGATATTTAATTATAAAAGGAAAGTTCAAATGCATACTATCCATTGTGTTTTCATGAAAATAAAGTTCATTGTTGAAAAAGATTAAGAATAAGGATGGGCTTTATTGAAGCTCTTCCACAACCTTTAAGTTACTTAGCTATCCAAAGGTCTTTATTATATTGGAAATATAATAAAAAGGTAAATAGAAGTTTGAAATACAGTTACCAGTGTCTAAACTCTAAGGACATTACCGTGAGCCAGATATGTTCTCTCAAATTTTGACCTTTTACTTTTTCATTCTTGTTCTTTACAAAGTAATAACATCCTGAGATGAATGTCACATTTTTTTGCACTCAAGTACATATCAGTTACCCACAAAATCAGAAATACATATCCATTCCTTCATGTCCATTTTATAGAATGCTCCATTCTAGGCTTGTTTTGGTTTAGTATTAATGTTTATGTGCACTTTTGAACTTTGCTTAGCTGGCTATCTTCGAGACCATATAGGTCTAGGAGGAAAGAACTAAGCTATAGATAGGTCAATAATTCAGCATTACTGTTGGGACCTACTTGTTTTATACTTGTTACTGTTTCTCGGATCCTATTATTCCTGGCTCCAGATATAGTGTCCTGTTAAAAGAATTATACATCAGATATTATAGTTTTTAATATTATGGTTTCCATATTATTAAAATATTCATTTTTCTATTTTCCCATATGATATTAATGACTTTATTATCTTAGGCCCAGTAAGGGGTACAATGACAACTTAGGTATCATGTCAGTGTTTGTGAAATTCAAAACCAAGTAGAAAGATTAATCATGTACATTTTTGTATAATAAAGGAAAAGTGACGACTGGCCTTAAAGAGGTAATAGAGATTTGGGAATTTAAAAAAGAAGAGTTTCCTTTGATCAGGTATTTACATGCAGAATCACACATATATGCTTGTGAGTATATATAAAATGTGTAGAAAATATCTGAAACACACCTGATAAATAACATAGTTGTTAAGACTATGGCAAAATTGCCAACCTCGGAGAATCTGACTCAGGTGCTTTTCCAATATCTTGAAGAGAACTGACTTTAGCATGGGTTTTGAAGAATGTTAGAGGAAAAAAGCCTTGAATGGCAAAGTAACAAATGACATAATGGGGAACATAGAGATGGGAAATACTGACACATTTGTTGAAGTGACTTATTTCATATGGCATTCCAGAAAGGAAAGTTAGGGTCAGG
Organism: Homo sapiens; assembly: GCF_000001405.40. NCBI lineage: Eukaryota > Metazoa > Chordata > Mammalia > Primates > Hominidae > Homo > Homo sapiens. Next base: position 151,755,741 of record NC_000003.12, read on the forward strand.
CAAGGTTATTGATGGACACTTTTTGACCTGTCCCTGTTTATGTGTTCTCTGTTTGTTTTTTTCCTAGATTAGCGAGATTGAGAGTAGGATGACTGAGGGTGGGCTATTGATAGCAATCTTTGATTAGTAAATTATCTACCTAAGGGCATGGCAGAGAGATTTGGGATCTAGGAAAGTTTCTGTAAGATAACTTTGTTTTGGCTCATTTTCATTCTACACTTATTAAACCTCTAGCATCTTGGAAGTACACTGTAGAGATGGTAGGATACCATTTCCCTTTCTGAGGTACCTCTTGGATTTCAATTTAGTTTTTCCTTTCAGTTCAGCCAGCCACTGTGGTGACTGGGTGACTTAGAGGTACATCCTGTGGTCCTGAGCTTTTCACTTGTAGCAGCAGCAGGTATTTTCATTTGTCCAGATCCCAGACTCTAGCCAAGGCAATAGCTCTTGGGAGATTAATTCAACGTTATCTCCTGCAGTCTGCAGGGTCATAGGTGAGACCTCAAATGCCTTTCTCTTTGAAAAAGAAAAGGCACTCCTTATCAAGTACTTCACATTTTATCCTTGCATATCAGACTTGTGCACATCGATTTTTTCATAATTTTCTCCCTTTGTTTCTCCAACACTGCATCATTCTCATAAGATACCTGTTGATTGGCCTTTTTTTTCTTCACCTTGGTCCACGTGCTTTTGCATTGGGATAATGTTTCTTAAAAATTATGGTATGATGTTGGTAATGTCCACCTTGTTTCCAAAGAATATATTCTAAAAATGTTTAAGATTTTTTTTTAGATTCTATAATGAAATAATATGATTTAATAGCTATATTTATTTCTTCCACTCACTCTGGTTACTTTATTTAAGAAGGATTTTTACAAAACTATATGTACTGCCAATTTCCACTAGAAATATCTTTAGAATTGGATCATTTTCATTTGTGATTTTTGACCAAAAAATCCTGTGTATCTCTCTCGCCTTGTACATTCTCTTTCTGTCTCTTTCCCTCTCCTCTCTTATACTTTCTCCTTTTTTCCTCACACAAAAAATCAATATTTTTTAAAACCTTAAATTTAAATTGGTTTGAATTTTTTTATGCCATGGTAATATATTATAAATATTATAAAAATAATTATGATACATCACATCAATTTATGTAGATTTGTTTATCTTATGACTGCTAGATAATTAAATTTTTTTTCTCCTGGTATTTTGGAAATGTTTGCATTACAGAATATTACCATATATTTTCAGGTGCAGAATGATGCTGAAATAAAACATAAAATCAAGATGCAAGTCTTACTTTACCCTGGCTTACAGATAACAGATTCTTATTTGCCATCTCACCGAGAAAATGAGCATGGTATAGTTTTGACCAGGGATGTAGCCATAAAACTCGTGAGCTTATATTTCACCAAGGATGAAGCACTTCCCTGGGCAATGAGAAGAAACCAACACATGCCTCTGGAGTCAAGACATCTGTTTAAGTTTGTTAACTGGAGTATTCTTCTTCCTGAGAAGTATAGAAAAGACTATGTATATACTGAACCAATTCTTGGAGGACTTAGTTATTCATTGCCAGGACTTACAGACAGCAGAGCATTACCCTTGTTGGCCAATGATTCTCAGTTACAGAATTTGCCACTAACCTATATTCTTACTTGTCAACATGATCTCTTAAGAGATGATGGACTTATGTATGTTACAAGACTTCGAAATGTTGGAGTCCAAGTTGTTCATGAACATATTGAGGATGGAATTCATGGAGCTTTATCATTCATGACTTCACCATTTTATTTACGTCTAGGTCTTAGGATAAGAGATATGTATGTAAGTTGGCTGGATAAGAATTTATAAATATGTGATGTGTATGTATAGCCCTTACATAGTGGATTGTAATTTGTGATATTTTGTGGTTTTGGAGCAAAGAACAATGTCATTTGAGTTATCTAAATCTACATTTGCAACATTTGTAGCAGTTAATGTGTGTCCTTGAAGAGTTATTAAATTTTCTGACTTGCAGACCCTGAATATGTAAAATGTATGTAATCCTGCCTATTTTCTCCTTACTTATAATTTATTATAATTATGTTGGTTCTAATAAGAACCAATGCTTATTAAAGTTGAGAAATAAGAGTGGTTATTGGCAAATTAAGCAAGATACTTTCCAGATAGGCACAGAAATTGTTGTAGTGAGTGGGAAGAGGAAAAAACATGGAACAAACTTGCTGCTAAAAATATATGGAAACCACTGGACTAAATAAACCCTAAGGACCCTATATTAGTTTCCTGTGACTATTGTAGCAAATTACTACAAATTCAGTCGCTTTAAACAACAGATATTTATTCTTTTACAGTTCTGGGGTCCTAAAGCATGAAATTAGTATTAACTAGGCCCAAACCAAGTCACAGGCAAGAGACATGACTCCCTTGGAGACTCTCTAGAAGGTGCTCTTTGCCTCTTTTAACCTCTGGTGGCTGCCAGTATTCTTTGACTATTCTTAGATCAGTTTAATCTTGAAGGCCAGCATCTTCCAATCTCTTTCTGCTTCATCTTCACATTGCCTTCTTCTCTGCCTGTGTCTAATCTCCCTATGGGCTTCTCTTAGAAAAACACATGTGTTTACATTTAGGAGGGTCCACCTGAATAGTCTAGGATAATCTCTGCATCTCACGATCCTCAATTTAATTGTATTTGCAGATTTCCCCACCCTTTTCTATATAAAGTAACCTTCAGAGATTAGGATGTAGTTATCTTTTGGGAGGCCATTTTTAAAAATATTTTTTAAAGGAGGCAGCAGATCAATATTATAATTCAAGAATCTGATCTAAATATGCATTCAATAATGAAGAACATTTGAGTATGGACTAGAAAAGCTTCTCCAAAAAACTTTCAAATATATCATCTCAAATTACCTAAAGAATAAATCACTTCTGTAGCCCTTTTGTTGAGTGGAATCATAAACAAAAAACTGAAAATTTATTGCTATGAAAACAGATCCATGGTACAATGTTATAAATTTTGAGTATTAAGCATAGTCAGTTGAATCCAACTAAGAAGTTAAAAATGTAGTAAGAAATGTGTATATGTATGAGTATGTGCATGTGTGTGGGAAAAATCTACCATCCAATTGACCCAAAAACAACTTACTCAGTTGGGACCAGACATTTTTCTCAATTCTCCATGATTCAGAAGGCAATTAAGAATTACAATTTCAACAGTCCACAAACAAAATAAGATTTTTTTAATGTAGAGAGAAATTAATTATGTTCAAAGAGCCCTTTTTCTTTCACTCAATTTCAGTACCCCAAAGCTAAAAACGCAAACATGACTATGACAAATGAAAATAAGTATCATGGGAATCTGTTTTTTTCCTCTGAGAAATAAAATCTAAATGGAGATTTGATACTATATGCTATACTACATACACTAAGAATATTGTATTTTTCATAATTCTGATTTAATCTCCTGTAAACTTGATATATTTTAAAATTTGTAATTTGTTTTTCATGATACTGAATCTGGTTCCAGTTCTTTTTCATCATTTAATATACTGGCTACCCGTTCTAATTAGGAAAACAAGTCCTAGAAATCTCTTCATTTTGACAGCAAGTGCTGATTTGTAAGAAAATCATTAAAAATGCAGCTCTCTAGGAAGCACATTTTGTTGATTGTCCTATTGTCTGAACATTTTCACAGTGATTCCTGACTAAAAATCCTTTTAATTTTGTAAGCACTACACTAGTGTGTCATGTCACTAGTATGTACTTTCAAGCCTTTAAACAGAAAGGATGGCTCACAGCTAGATAATAACTAAGTTTGTTTTCGTTTTGAAAAAGTTTGTATCTTGCAGAGCAGAAAAGCACTTCTTTTTTTGCTACATAAGTATGTGGTAGAAATGTATGCTAAGGTAGGCCAGTCAATCCTTTTTTATTTATTTTGTAAATTTGGTCCCAGAATATTTCTGGAAGGAACCACAGGTAGACTAGCTTCCATTGCAGTCCCTTACCTCACTAACTTCTTTTGTGGCTTTATCCAGGCACTGTTACTGTTTGTATGCTAAAGGGTTCATTTCACTGGGTCTTACTTTCAAAGTTTGTTCCATTTTGTGTGGTGGCATGAGCATTGTGATCAAGCCATTAAGTTTGGAAACAACTGAATGAAAGTCGTCTGTTATAATGTATTTTACTTTATTTTTAAATTTCATTTTAAATTGACAATAATTGTACATATTCATGGGATACATAGTGACGTTTCAATACATATCATGTATAGTGATTATATCAGGGTAATCGGCACATCATCTCAAACATTTATCATTTCTTTGTGTTGGGAATTTCAATATCTTTTTTTTAGCTGTTTGAGATTATGTAATATATTATTGTTAACTATAGTCATCCTACAGTGGTATAGAAACTACCTAGCTGTAATGATGTATCTTTTAACAAATCTAATTTATTTCTTGACAGTATAGGGGAAGACTTGATTACACCCCATGGCATTACAGCTAAAAATTCCAACGTTTTCAGTCTCTTTGTAGCTATGTTATCCAGACATTGATTTGTATTTACATCTCATCTTCCTTTCTAAGAGAAACAGTGATGCAGAACCTGAGAGTCAAATTTAATATTCTCTAGGTACCAAGGCAAGGGTTTATGTTACAGTTTGTGTACTAGTCCAAGTCCCAAGTTGTGACGATACAGCTCCATAACCTACCTTTATACCACCCAGGGAAAGTATACAGAAGAAATTCTTGACTTCATCTATCCGAATTTCTACAAGTCATCTGTTATTTTTCTGATAATCTGCCTGTGTCTCCTGGAAACATAAGGTGTAGGTTTCTGACACATATATCTAACATGTAAAGAAGTAACAATTTCCAAAATACCTCCAAACAGCGCCACATCCTAAAGGAAATTTCTAGGTTTTTCTGCTGAAATATCCATTCCAGCATTGTGTTTGTTTGCTAGAGCTGCTATAACAAAGTATCACAAACTGAGTGCCTTAAATAAACAAAAGGAATTTATTACTTTGTGGTTCAGAAGGCTAGAAGTTGGAGATCAAGGTGTCATCACACCATGGTCCCTCTGAAGGCACCAAGGATGGATCTGTTTCAGGACTCCTGGCCTGTAGCAGCATAACTCCAATCTTCACATGATATTCTCCCGTTGTATGTGTTCTTCCCCAATTTTCCCTTTTTATAAAGATAGCAGTCAGATTAGATTAGGGCCTATCCTAATAATTTCATTTTAACCTGACTGTCTTTGTAAAGACCCTATCTGCAAATAAAATCACATGTAAAGTATTGGGGCTTAGGACTCCAACATATAGATATGTTTTATATATATGGTGAGATATATATATATTTTTTTATATATGGTGAGATATATATTTATATATGGTGAGATATATATATATATGGTGAGATATATATTTATATATATGGTGAGATATATACATATTGTGATATATATATATATATATATATATATATATATATATATGAATTTGGTGGAACACAAAAGAACACCTAGCAAGTATCATATGTTCCAATTTCTTAAAAGTAAATAAAGGCCTTGTGCCATTGGTGGTGTTCTGAAAGGAAGAGTCCATCAATTTTCCTTCTGTGCATTTCTCTCTGGGGAACAGGATACCAGCAAAAACTGAGCTGCTAGCTGAATACAGCATAGGTCATATCAGAGCCTGCCGTGAGCTCAGAAGTACCCTCATGGATCATATCAATGGTAGAACATAACCCTCTTCTCCTGTCATGTTTGAGCCTATTGTACACTCACCATCTACGAAGAAAATCACTTGCCTTGAGACACAGCAGCTCCTTTTAAATCTAGTTCCGATTAATGCAGAAAATTGTTCCATTTGGATTATGTGAATCCATTTGGATTATGTGTAATTTTTTCACATAGCTCTCTAGAGTCTTTTCAAACAGTCTCTCACTGATAGAACTTACCAGAATAATTTTTCCTAGCATGGGCCTTGGTGAGACATTAATGACACTAATGACACCATGGACAGTTCACAGAAGTCTACTCCAAGCCTCACTGTGGACAGAAATATCTGCATTTGTAGGAAGATTATCTGGGTACACCTTTGTTTGACTCCAACCCCAGCAGGAGTTCCTCTCTCCTTTTTATTTATTTTTTTAAATCACATTTGTTGTATTTACAGAAGTAACACAGCAGAAGCATATCCAAGATTACACACATCAAATAGATGGCTAGGCCCACCGTGCAATAGGTAAAATTTCTCATGACACTTTAAGGCCAATGCAAAATTTATACATATATATGTATATATCTGTGTGTGAGACAGCATGTGTGTAAAGAAGCATTTAAAACATATGCAAATCACGAAATCCATTTCAATCTGTTATCAGAAACGACATCCGTAACCTAGGTTTTGTGTGGCAGTGGCGGGGCGCTGGACTGCCATCTACCATGCCAGCTCCTCCTCCTCTGCCACTGTTCATGGCTCCCCAAACAACTGGGGGAATGGGGTCAGCCTCACCTAGGCCTTCGTGGGGTCCACATGCTACTCCCCTGGCTGCGATGGACCACCCTACTGGCTCCCATGGGGTCCTCAGTGAGCTAGAGGCTGGGCAGCAGCCTTTGCAGCTGTGTGCAGCTGCCCACTTTTTCAGCCTGCTTATAATTATAATAAAGAAATACATATATAAAAATAAGTATAATGTAAATTTCGCATACCTTCGAGCCTGTTAATGAATGTGGAGAATTCAAGTTCACTGCCATGTGATATACTTTCAGCTTTGATGTGAACTCAAAGAGAAGACTGCTTTCAATTGTAGGCCTATGATCTTTGCTTGATTATTTTACTTCATCTCCAACCAAATTCTTTTCACTAATTTTTGTGCAGCTTGCACCGAATAAGGCAATCTTCAGTCTCAGTACTGAGCTACTGCAGTGGTTCAAAAAGATCTGTGTCCTCCATGTGTACTGTTTTCCCTATCAGTTGTCACAGGCAGTGATGTGCATGACAGGGTGAATTGTATAGGATTTTATATTCCATCAGTTTGGTGTATATATATATTTGGATATATATGTATATAAATGTCTGTTAGAATGAATGTGATAATGGACAAAAATAAATGTCTATTAGAGTGTTTCCCTAAAATTAAAATATGGCTTATACTTTTCCACTTAAATAAAATGAAAGGTAAGTAAATAAAAAGCTGATAATTTTTGAAGATGAATAAGACAAATAACACCACACACCCGTCCCCAGACTCAGAGAGAGAATTAAAAAAAAATATTGGGAATGAAAAAGAAGACAGAAGGTATGGAAATAATTGTGTGACTGCCATGTGCTATTGGGGGCACATATATAAAACCTAGAGGGCGTGGGTGAGATATAAATAGGGGGAAAAAATGACACTCCCTATAGTATAGTTTGAAGTCAGGTAACTTGATACCTCTAGCTTTGTTCCTTTTGCCTAGGATTGCCTTGGCTATTCAGACTCTTTTTTGGTTTCAAATGAATTTTAAAATTGTTTTTTCTACTTCTGCAGAGAATGTTATTGGTAGTTTGATAGGAATAGCATTCAATCTATACAATGCTTTAGGCAGTAGGGCCATTTTAATGATATTGATTCTTCCTATCCTTGAGCATGGGCTGTTTTTCCATTTGTTTGTGTCATCTCTGATTTCTTTGAGCAGTGTTTTGTAACTCCCATTGTAGAGATCTTTCACCTCCCTTGTTAGCTGTGTTCCAAGGTATTTTATTCTTTTTGTGGCAATTGTGAATGGGATTGTATTCCTGATTTGGCTCTTAGCTTTGCTGTTGTTGGTGTATAGGAATGCTAGTGATTTTTGTACATTGATTCTGTATCCTATAACTTTGCTGAAGTTGTTTATCAACTGAAGGAGCTTTGGGCCAAGATTATGGGGTTTTCTAGATATAGAATTATGTCATCTGCAAACAGGAATAATTTGACTTCCTCTCTTCCTATTTGTATGCCCTTTATTTCTTTCTCTTGCCTGATTGCTCTGGCCAGGACTTCCAATACTCTGCTGAATAGGTAGTGAGAGAGGGCATCCTTTTCTTCTGCCAGTTTTCAAGGGGAATGCTTCCAGCTTTTGCCCTTTCAGTATGGTGTTGAGTGTGGGTTTGTCACAGATGGCTCAAACGGCATGGTACTGGTACAAAAACAGACACACAGACCAATGAAACAGAATAGAGAGCCCAGAAATAAGGTTTCACACTTGTGACCAACTGATCTTCAACAAAGCTGACAGAAACAAGCAATGGGGAAATGACTCCCTATTTAATAAAATGGTGCTGAAATAACTGGCTAACCATATCCAGAAGATTGAAACTGAACCCCTTTCTTACACCATATATAAACATCAGGTCAAGATTGATTAAAGACTTAAATGTTAAACCCAAAACTATAAAAACCCTTGAAGACAACCTAGTCAATACCATTCTGGACATAGGAACAGGCAAAAATTTCACGATGAAGATGCCAACAGCAAACGTGACAAAAGCAAAAATTGACAAATGGCATCTAATTAAACTTAAGAGTTTCTGCACAGCAAAAGAAACTATCAACAGAGTAAACAGACAATCTACAGAATGAGAGAAAATATTTGCAAACTATGCATCTGACAAAGGTCTAATATCCAGCATCTATAAGAAACTTAAATTTACAAGAGGAAAACAAATAACCCCATTAAAAAGTGGGCAAAGGATATGAACAGATACCACTTTTCAAAAGAAGACATACATGTGGCCAAAAAGCATATAAAAAAAGCTTAATATCACTGATCATTAGAGAAATGCAAATCAAAACCACAATGAAATATCATCTCATGCCAGTAAGAATGGCTATTATTAAGAAGTCAAAAAAAAAAAAATAACAGATGCTGGTGAGGTTGCAGAAAAAAGGGAATGCTTCTACATTGTTGGGAGTATACATTAGTTCAACCATTGTGGAAATCAGTGTGGAGATTCCTTAACGAGCTAAAAACAGAACTATTATTTGACCCAGCAATCCCATAACTGGGTATACACCCAGAGGAATATAAACCATTCTACCATAAAGACATATGCATGTGAATGTTCATTGCAGCACTATTCACAATAGCAAAGTCATGGAATCAACCTAAATGTCCACCAGTGACAGAATGGATACAGAAAATGTGGTACATATATACCATGGAATACTATGCAGCCATAAAAAAGAATGAGATCATGTCTTTTGTGGGAACATGGATAGAGCTGGAGGCCATTATACTCAGCTAATTAATGCAGAAACAGAAAACCAAATGCTGTGTGTACTCACTTATAAGTGAGAGCTAAATGATGAGAACTCATGGACACAAAGAAGGAAATAACAGACACTGGAGCCTACTTAAGGGTGGAGGGTGGAAGTAGAGAGAGAAGCAGAAAAATAACAATTGAGTACTAGGCTTAGTACCTGACTGATGAAATAATCTGTACAACAGACCCTTGTGACATGAGTTTAGCTATGTAACAAACCTGCACATGTACCCTTGAACCTAAAATAAAAGTTAAAAAAAAAAAACAAGTAATTACTGGAAAAAAAATCACCATAGCTGCAAAAAAAAAAAACGACCTTCCCTTAATTTATAAAGCTGAGAAAAATTGGAAAATTAATTAGTAATAATCACTGGAGAAGGCATCAGCAACAGATGGATTCATAGTAATATGAGTTTTATCACAATAGCATGAGTTATTTAAAACTGATTAATTCTACTGTAATTGAAATTATTCCAAGTGACAGAAAAACAATAAAAACATTCCAATTCTTTTTAGGAAGCAATCCAGCAATGTATCAAAAGAAAATACAATTTGAGCAGGCAGGCATGCCATAGTGACTCAGTACCAGAATATATATCAATATAGTTTATTACATCAAAAAATTTATAGATTTAGCAGAGCACAAACAAAAAAAAAAAAAGAAAAGGAATTAATGGAGAAGAACCATATGAATGAACCAATTAAGGAAAAGGCATGATAAAATTAATAGCTGGTCCTAATGTATGTAAATCTGAGGAAACATGAATAGATTCCTTAACATGATGAAGGTGAAATGACCAAGCACAATGGAAAGGGTTATCATAAATAATGAATCACAAAACAATTTCCTGTTGAAATTGTAAATAGGAAGTGATGACTATTATCACTCATATCTCTTGAATTCATACTATTTCCAATTCAAATGAGTTTATCAACCTTTTTATCTTATATCTATATCTTCTTTTCTTCACACTAAGATTCCTGCTTCTCATATACACTGGAGACAACAGAATTGTATTGTTTTTTCACCTGCTTTATCACACATTACACAGAAGACATTTTTAGAATTACATACCAATACATCCAGCAGTGTGAGTATTGAAAACAGTTTAAAATGTTTTGCATGCGTTCTCTCCATTTGCTCCCCATTTTGTAAAAATAAACTTTTTATTTTGAAATAATATTTAGATTTTCAGAAAAATTGCACAGATGGTATAGAGAATTTCTGTATTACTTTCACCCATTTCCCCTATTGTTAACATATTGCATAACCATAATACATTTGCCAAAAATAAGAAACCAACATTAGTATATTACTGTTAACTAAACTCCAGACTTTTTCAAAAATTTCAATATTTTTTCCAGTCATGGCCTTGTTCAATTCTAGAATTTAATCTAGGATGACCCATTGTTTCTATTTGTCACATCTGTTTAGACTTCTCTGGTCTATGACAATTTCTCAGTGTTTGCTTATTTTTCATGACTTCATAGTTTTGAGGAGTACTCATCAGGTATTTTGTGAAATGTCCCTCAATTTGTATTTGTCTTATGTTTTCTCATAATCAGTCTGGATCATGGGTTTGAACGGAAGACCCCACAGGAGCAATGACCTTTTCATATCACATCAGGGAAAACAATGCTATCACCATGACTCATAGCTGATGATATTAACCTTATTCATTTGGCCAAGGCAGTTTTTCCCAGGAGTCTCTACTATAAAATTACTTTTTCCTCCATCTTTCCGTATTCCTTAGAAGCAACTCATTAAGTTCAGCCCACACTCAAGGAGCAGGGAAAATTGAACTTTATCTCCTATAGGGTAAGAGCTACATAAATTATTAGGAATTCTTCCGTAAGGAAGACTTGTCTCTTCTCTTTCATTTGTTTATTTATTCAATTATTTATTTATATCAATGTGTCGAGATGTATTTATATATAAAATTTCCTTTTGGTCTAAAAATTGCTATATAATATCTGAAGACAATCAGATTTTTCTTTCTTCTATTATATAAGTTATTCGGTTTTTTTTTTTATGTGCAAGGGATTTTTTTTTTTTTTTAAAGACAGAGTCTCGCTCTGTCCTAGGGTGGAGCGCAGTGGCACGATCTCGGCTCACTGCAACCTCCGCCTCCCGGGTTCAAATGATTCTCCTGTCTCAGCCTTCTAAGTAGCTGGGATTACAGGCGTGTGCCACCACACTTGGCTAATTTTTATATTTTTAGTAGAGACAGGGCTTCACCATGTTGGCCCGGTTGGTCTCCAACTCCTGACCTCGTGATTCATTGGCTTCAGCCCCCGAAAGTGTTGGGATTACAGGTGTGAGCCACTGAGCCTGGCCTGTGCAAGGGATTTTTTAAGTCTAATAATCTTACTATTAATAGAATATGTCAGTATTGGCTACTATGCTTTAAATTTTTTCCCAGTTATGTTGTTTACCTCATTAATACGCAGTTTCAAATCTTAATTTTTTTAAGATTTCAGGAATATCTTGAAATATAGTTTTTAATAATTGTTCCATTCCCTTGCTTTGGTTTTTCTTTCATGTAAAATATCATTCTATCTATGTTGGATGTTCTTTCCCTGTCTTCATCATTTGCTGTTTTTTTAAAAGTCATTCTAATTTTGATCCTAATTTCTTTTTGCATTCACTTACATGTTTATATACTATAAAGTTCACCATATTTGGTATACAATCCTGTGTGTCTTGAAGAATGTATACCATCATGTAAATTTCACCATAACTGAGGCACAGAAAAGCTTCATAGCTTGAAAACGTTTTCTCCTATTTCTCCCTTGTAGTCAAACCCTTTTTTTGCCCTCAGCCCCACAGAAACTACTGATCCATTTTTTCTGTAAATTTACCTTTTTCCGGATTTCATAAAAATGAATCATAGAGCATGTAGCCGTTAACTTCCTTTTATTTGAAACTTCTATCTCATTTTCACGCTGTATTTCCCCTATGACATTTTCTGTATTCCTTGTAGCTTTATATAATTTTTATTCTCCTTTGTGCCCATTTTGGTCTAGTCTTTATTTTTGAAATGGTGTTGTTTGTTTGTTCTTTCATTTGTTCAGGGGGTTATTTATTGTGTTATTGACTAATTTCTGAGTTTTCATAATTCTGGTTTATGATGTTCTTTCACATGGCAGGTTATTGTGTTAATGACTTTGGCTAATTTTAAAACATTAGGATATAGTTTTCCTCTGCTTTGTGGGCTTTAATTGTCTATAAAGAGGTTATTTTGCTTATTATTTTGCTATTATAATAACTCTGAATGATATTTAACCTCAGTTATTTCTGAGGCTCATTTTCACAGGAAATTCATTAGCTTAGAAGTTAGTTCCTTAGAAAGGAACCATGATTTTGTATATTTTCTATTAATAACTTCCTCTTCTGTTGTTCTTATGAAATATTCCATTTTATTCCCACAATTTAATCCACTTCTTTCCCCATTTCCTGCTTAATTTAGATTCTTAGTTTCTTCTCAGTGTGGGGTTCTTCCCTGGAAGAACCTTTGGTTGATTAGTGTTGAGGGACAGTAGGGCCCAGCCTGTTCCAACCCCTTCAGGTCACACTGCAGATAGCTTACACAGCATAAGACTATGCAAACCCCAGCCAGTTTCAACTGTTTTCTCAGATTTGTAACCACAATTTCAGGTGAATATTTGTTGGTTAATTCTTATTCTGTCAAATACTTCATCGCTTTCCTCTGCTTCCACCTGCACATAGGGAAGATTATACCACACAGGCCTTGTAGTTGTTGGTAAATTATTTCCAACATAGATACTTGGAAGTTGGTTTGTTGTTATATTTTTGCCTCATATTTTTCTTCATATTATGTTGTCCATAGGTTTTTGGTTTTGTTTTATTTCTCTGTGAGTTCTTCTAAGGAGATTTGGGGATTTTCAAAAGCTGAGAACCTGTGTAGAAGATTTTAACTCATTTTTTCAGTAACCGATAGAAAAACACAAAAATTAAGTAAAAAAAAAAAAGTTTCAATAACACAGTTAATACTACTGACTTAATTTACACAAATTGAACCCATACCAAATAATGTCATAATACACATTCTTTTAAAGTAAAGTACACATTAAACTTTTTTTTTTTTAATTCTTGGCCATAAAGCAATTATCCTCAAATTTAAAAAGATAGAAATGCAGAGGTTAATAACAACTTCAGACTTAGGTTGGGAGTTACAGCATTGGTTCTCAGGCCTCAGACTCAGGCTGAATTACATTATCGGCTTTCCTGGTTCTCCAGCTTGAAGATGACAGATAGTGGAACTACTACACCTCTCCAATCACAAGAGCCAATTTCCACAATATGTTTCCTGTTTTATACATACATATATCTGCATCTACATTCAGTCGTACACCCATAGCAATGTTTTGGTCAGTGAAAGACTGCACATATTGATGGTGGTCTCAAAGGATTGTAATATTGTATTTTTATTATACAGTTTCTAGGTTTAGATGTTGATATGGTTTGGCTCTGTGTCCCCACTGAAATCTCATATTAAAGGAGGGTCCTGGTGGGAAGTGATTGTATCATGAGGCAGACTTACCCCATGCTGTTCTTGTGATAGAGTTCTCATGAGATCTTGTTGTCTGAAAGTGTGTAGCACCTCTCCCTTCACTTGCTCTCTCTCCTGCTCCACCATGTGAAGTTGTGCCGGTTTCCCCTTCCACCATGATTGTAAGTTTTAAAATATTCTGTTTGGGCCAGGTGCGGTGGCTCACACCTGTAATCCCAGGAGTTTTAGAGGCCTAGGCGCATGGATCACCTGAGGTCAGGAGTTCGAGACCAGCCTGGCCAACATGGTGAAACCCCATCTCTATTAGAAATACAAAAATTAGCCAGGCGTGGTGGTGTGCACCTGTAATCTCAGCTACTTGAGAGGCTGAGGCAGGAGAATTGCTTGAACCCTTGAGGCGGAGGTAGCAGTGAGTGGAGATCGTGCCACTGCACTCCAGCCTGGGCGACAGAGTGAGATTCTCATCTCAAAAAAACAAAACAAAACATAACAACAACGAAAAAATTCTGTTTGTTCTTCCTTACTCGAAGGTTTGTTATTTGAGACATACACTGCGTTTCTTGCACTGTCACATGGCCTTTTTAAAAATAAGGTATTCAGCTCTTAGTAATTGTGCATTAAATGTTTGTTTACTAACTGCCTAGCAACGTAATAAGGCTGTTGGATTTGACAGAACTTGCAGAAAATAAGTGCTGATTGTTTCTCAGAGCTCGCCTTTGTATTTCTGCTAAGTATATTTATTTAGGGTCTGCCCATGAAATGAAAACTGAACAGTGGAATTTGTACTCAGGAAGTTATGTAACACTTTATGGCAGGGCTTAAAACAATGAAAATTCAGCCACTGCATGTTTCAAACAAGTATTTGCTGTGTTGCCAAAGTAGAAAGAGCAGAAGGGAAACATCATGGGAAGAAAGACTATTTTGTTTCTGATTGCAGGGGTCCTTGGGGCATATTATGTTTATACTCCTCTCTCAGATAATATTGAGGAACTCTGGTGACTGGTGTGGATAGCTACACCTGTGAAAATGGTAACAAATTTGGTAAGTTCAGAATTTCATTGTCTCTGTGAATATTTAAGTTTAATCAGGAGAAAATAATTACCAGCTATATTATTTTTAAAACTTTCTGCTGTCTTGGAAATTTTGCTCTTAAAGTTTGCTTGACGATTTTCAAACCTTAAAAAAAAAAACAAACTTCATTCTTTAACACAAATCCCTAACAGAATAAGTATGAAGGAAGTATTCAAGTAATTTTAATTTTAAATATTAGAAAACAAAATATGCTGGCTGAGAAAAACAATCTTACTGTGATTTTCATGGCATGAATACTGACAGAATGAAGCATTTATGAAGTATAAACTTCAGAAAAGGTAGAATTGAGCAGCACTGTGATTAGTTATAGAAAATTCTACACAACAATCTTGGATTCAGGCATGAAAATGCATTCTCACTGAAATATTCTGTCAAAAGGTCAACTGGTAAAAGGTCAAGGGAAATTGAACACACGGCATGATTCTCAGTTGAAGGAGAGTGAGCCGCTGAGGCGACAGGGCAGCTCCCTGGCTGGCTGCCCCCAGTGTCCACACTGGCCCTCGGAGACCTGTGGTTTTTTTCTAGTGAGGCTAACTACTTGGATATGAAGCCATTCATGATTTCCTGGAAACTTCTCTGTAGCAAACTGCCTTCTTGTAGCAAAAGAAAAAGATAATTCAAGGACACTTAGCCTGGATATTTAACACTTGGCTCACACTCTGTTTCCTTGCATATATTTTTTAGGTGTTTCAACATTCTCTACTGGCATTTAATGCAGCTCTGAATAAGTGTGATACATGCCTTATTCTCAAGGTTTTTGTTTGTTTGTTTTTCTATTTTTATGTTTTTTTTAGAGACAGAGTCTTGCTCTATTGCCCAGGCTGGAGTGCAGTGGTCCAATCTCAGCTCATTGCAACCTCTGTCTCCTGGGTTCAAGTGATTCTCCTGCCTCAGCCTCCCAAGTAGCTGGGATTACAGGCATGCGCCACCGCACCCAGTGCATTTTTCTATTTTTAGTAGAGACGGAGTTTCGCCATGTTGGCCATGCTGGTCTCGAACCCCCCGACCTCAGGTGACCCGCCCACCTCGACCTCCCAAAGTGCTGGGATTACAGGCATGAGCCACCACGCCCAGCCCTCTTTGTGGTTTTTTGTTTGTTTGTTTGTTTTAAAGACGGGTTCTTGATCTCTCTGTTGCCCAGGATGGAGTGCAGTGGTGATCATAGCTTCTTGCAGCCTGGAACTCCTGGGCTCAAGTGATCCTCCCACTACTTGGCCTCCTGAGCAGTTAGGGCTATAGGCACATGCCACCATGCTTAGTTATTTTTTTAAACATTTTTTGTAGAGATGGGGTCTTGTTCTGTTTCCCAGGCTGGTTTTAAACTCCTGGCCTCAAGCAATCCCCCAAACCTTTGCCTCCAACACGCTGGGACTAGAGGCATCAGCCACTACATTCAGCCCCACATTTTCATTTTCTATTAGTTACTTAATTTTCTAGTCATTTTATTAGCATATAGAGTTGGTCCTCTGTATATACGGGTTTTGCATACCACATATATTATATTTTTCATCCTCAAGTTTAATTTTTAAAAATCTGTGTGTAAGTAGACTCACTCAGTTCAAACTTGCTAAATGGTCCAGTGTATGTTGTTACTGGACTTGGGTCAGTTTCACTGGAATATAGCTTCAAGTCTTATTTTTAAAAAGTTATTCTGGAATTATTTATAAAAATATTTATTTTGGGTCATTGTTTTGCTTTATTATTTGTATTTATTATGTGTATATATATATATTTATACGCTAAAATAATGTCATTTCTCTTGAAAGTGCTTAGTCTCTTTTTACATTTCACTTCCTTGTGTTTGCTTTTTCGTTTCTATCTTATATAATACCTTGAGTTTCTTTACCTTGGTTTTATTTCTGAAGTTATTTGTCTTTTTTGCCTTATTCCTTTTCTGAGTTCTACCAAGGAGTTCTGGGAACTGCTATTTCCTGACTTCCTCTTCAGGAATAGGGTGGGGACAATTTAGTATTGAAAATAGACAATTTTGTTATTTCTTTTGTACTTATTTAATTTGCATTAATAGGAAAGAGGTTCAGCTAGTTGTTTGATCACCCAGCCCTTTAATCCACATGTTTCCAACTTAAGATAGGAAAGCAAGTTTTTCTCATCCTTGGAATCCCAACATTATAGGTCCATTAGGATTTGGCTCATATTCACCTCCGGAGGTCCCTTTTCTTTCATGGATCCTTGTACAGACATCTTTATTGCTTTACCAAACTACATGCATTTCTCTGATTACAATAGAAGTGTCCTTGTGGCGATTGCTTTGGCCTAGCATGAGATTTTCCCCTTTGGCCAAACTCTACTCCCCTTTCAGTACTCATATCAGAGCTCACCCACTCCTTTTCACTTCTCATCCAGGCAGCTAGTTGGCCCACTGACCACTGCCAAAGTTCTTTGTACATATCTATGAGATATGCAGTGATGTTGTTTTGTAATTGCTAATACATCTATTTTTCCTTCTTGAATCTGAGCTTCTTTAGAAAAGAGAACTTGTCTTACTTATCTTTGTAATTCAAACTGTCTAGCATGGAATCCATCAAGTTGTAATTCCTCAGTAATTCTTTACTTTTTTTTTTAACCTAAGGCAACTATGTGGCAACACCACTAAACCTCCAGTATTTCCAGTTGTGCCATTCAGATTCACCTGTGAGACTACCAGACAGGACCATTGGGAATACCTATGCATAGTTCTGTGTTCATAAGCAACGCTGGCATTTGATATTTGTAAACTAGTACTTTTTTTTCCTATATCTCCTTTTAGGCTTTGTTAGTTGAACTCTTGGGAATCAATCATTTCATGAATACTGCAACGTTCTTTGTGAGCTTTCAAGAAGTCCCACCTACATCTGATGAAAATGTCACCATGATAGAGACAACTTTCAGTAACATTCCTGTCCGTGTATACATGCCAACACTAAAGTCAGAGATACTAAGAACGGGCTTAGTTTATATTCATGGTGGTGGTTGGTGTATGGGGGATGCTGGTATGTGTTCCATATTAAAAGTTTTAGTTTATCATATAACATACATTTTACTGAAATGTTGACTCCATCATATCAAGACAAACATGTTAGATAACAAAACACTTCAGCTGTCCAAAATTTATTTCTTTGGAGCTATGTAGATTTAAAAGAACTATTTTAAATCTCATTCTGAAAGAGGGCATAATAAATACCAAAAGCTGTAGCAAATCTCAGGTAAGAAGAGAATGTGTTTCACGCACTTAGACATTTATTATTAATTGCAGATTTGATAGAAAGTTGCAGTAGAAAACAATGAGGTGAGTTGAACAGTGGATTAAATATGAGGAAATAGAAATGGTAACTATAGTCTTCTCATAAGCTTAAATATTAAGGAAATGAGAAAGAAGGCGCTAGATTTAAAAAATAGAGTTGAATAGGGGTATTTTATTTTGATTTCATATTATATCATATATATTTTGTTTAATGCACTCATGTATTTATATAAATATTTATATTTTATATATAATTTTATTTGCTATAGAATCTAAAATTATTTTATTTGTATATAAATATATTTTATATTATATGTTTTCTATTATACATATTTTATAATTATGTATGGGAGGTCTATGAACATGATTATAAGCTGAAGTTAAGATGGTGGTAAATTGAGGTACATTGGAGAAACGCAGGGAGTGGTAGGTAGAAGAAGGGATGGGGGTTTATCTGACCTAGAGAATGTGGAAGCAAATTGGATTCAATGCAGATGGGAAGAATTGGCAAAACACAGGAGAAGGGACATATCTTCATTTGTGACAGAAGAAAAATAGGTGCTGATGGGTATTGATGTAGATTGGGAATGTAAATTGGAGCAGTAAATGGAGTGATTCTATCATTTTCTCTAAATTCAGATAGTAAAGTCATCATTTAACAATGCAGTGATGTTTCTAACACAAAACCTGAGTATGACATACCAGTTTCCATGAGTCTCTTCTGCCCAAAGCATTTCTTTGAAAACTTTTACATCAAAGTATCTGTGAAGAATGAAAATATGTTTACTAAAGTAAAGGAATTAAATAAGAATAAACCTAGAAAAAAATAACATTTGTCTGATACTTTCTATTTCAATATTAAAGAAAACATAAAAATATGTATTCCAATCAAAAATATGAGCATGACTTTTTATAGTAAAGGTTAAATAAGAACTTAAGACTTAGTGTGTATTTGACATGTCAATAATACTCGGCACCTAGTTTTGGAAACATCACAAGATAATAATATCTACTCCTCTTTCCATGGCCCCCAAGAGATAGGTTTTGTAAGAACCTCATATCCTGTTACTTCTCCTTCACTACTGTATGATTTCTCCTGACACTTGTTACTACCAAATTCTATTTATCTTTTAACAATTTTCTTATCTGCAAAAGGAAGCATTTGCCCAAGCCCCATAGCAAACAAGTGTGACCCATCCCCAATCCATACACATACCAAAACAAAACAAACAACAAAACAGAAGAAAACACATTCTTTCTTGTCTGCCAAGAAAATATGAATACCTAATTCAAGTCTTAGCTCTCTCTACTTCCTGTTTACTCTTCTCTATCTTTCTCTGGGAGTTTCTGTGAAGTCTAATTTGATTTCCAAAGAGCATTTTCTGTACTCCATTAAAGAAACTATTATTTTGCATTATTGCTTTTGGTTTGTATGCCTGTCCTCCCTACCCCTGTCTCCAGTAGACTGTGACTTCCTTAAAGTTGGAGTTAATATATATGTGTTTGTACTTTCAAGACCTAAGACCTGTTAAATGAAGGAGACAGAGATTAATCTTGAGGAGAGAAAATTGGCTTAAATGATCCAGTGTAAAAATGTACGAATGGATGAAAAAGCTGACAATGCACATGTAAAAGGAACACTGGGAAGAATTCATGTTCTATAATTAAGATAAAATATTAGAAATATTTTCTCTAGAGTATATCAGTGAGGAACAAGGTGTACTAGTAGGTTTTCTCTTGAAAAAAAACACTCATCAATTCATTTGGCTGCCTTTTTTTTTTTAATTTCAGCTTTGTTTAATTATGACTTTCTGTCAAGATGAACAGCTGATAGACTTAATGCTGTTGTTGTATCAACCAAGTAAGAGCACTCATGGTTTGTTTGGGTTTTGGCCAGATGCTTTATATAGGAAAATGCTCTCAGCTTTTTTGGTCTTTCTTTGGTTATGCCAAGAAATTGAGAAAGTGAGCACAGAGAAAATGAGGTTGAGCGTTACAGGAACAGACACGGGAAATAACAAATCAGATCAAACAGGAATCAGAAACAGGAAGTTTAGAAATAATTAGAATACAATTAAACTATTGGATCTTATGGACAAATTACTTCTGCTGGATTTCCAGCCTAGTTTTCACTAGCAGAGTTAATAAGAATGAGGGCTTTGAAATCAGAGAATCAGGTTCAAATCTGGGTTCTAAAATTGATTCTGCGACTTTGTACAAGTTGAATGTGATCTCTTTAGCTTAGTTTCCTCATCTTTAAACTGGGAATCATATAATATTTTCTACATAATAGGGTTGTTTTGAGGATTAGATGATAAAGCAAAGGTACTACAAGGTATGTCAGAGTAAAATCCTTCACTAAAAGCAATTAGCCACCAAATTGCACATGGGAACACAAGCAAAATCTATTCTCAAAAAGCATGCTAGATCAATAATTACTGGAAAATGCACCCAATAAAAATGAGTAGAAAAATGAAGAACCCATATGAAAAAACACAGTAGTGACCATATGCCATCTGAACATTAGATTAAAGTAGAATCTAACAGTTCTGAAAATTTGCTTACCATTTATTGGTTACCACCAAAGTGTAATGATCACAGAAAAAAAACATTCTGGAAGAAATTTATCTAGGGAAACGTAACACCTGCTTGTGTTTGTTTTTTCCTTAAACCTAATCCAAGTTTTGTATTAATGAATTTACTTGTGTAAATGACCTTTGTAAAAGTTTTCATATAGGGCATCATCATAAGGATGAAACCTGTTTTTGGATTTCTGATGACCCAAAGTATCAGGTTTGCTAAAGCAAAAATTACTTTTGATTTTAGGGTTAGAGTGAGCAGAAAATCATATACTTTTTAATTAAAAATAGTTGACTTAAAAATTGTTATTCTGCCCACAGCTACAGAATAGCACCTAAATATCATTTTCCAGATCAATTTGAAGATGTATATAATGCACTAAGATGGTTGTTATGCCAAGATATTCTTGAAAAATATCGTAGAGAGCCTAAAAGAATTGGCATTTCTGGAGACACTGCTGGTGGAAATTTAGCTGCAGCAGTGACCCAACTGGTATGATGCTCGGATTTGTTTTATTTCTTAAATATCCTATGCTTAAATATATTTATTTCAGATAAAATTTTTAGAAAAAAATGTTAGCAGATTCATAGATACCATATACTTGCAGAAGGAATTATACTTTTCATATATTATTCACACTATTTATATGATATTTAGCTAAAATTGCACACCTATGAGTTGTCAATTTAAAGTATTCCATAATTATAACTAGCCTACTATATTATGGATAAAATTGTTTTTGTTACTGTTTTTTTTTTTGACATAATAAACCAGGCAGTGATGTCTTAGAAGCAATGTTTCTATAGGGAAAAATAATTACATAAACTTTGCAAATTAATGTCTATAGTTTAATAACTGATTCTGCACTTGAATAACTGACTTTGATAATAAATGTCACATCTAAATTTACTGTGCAAAAAATATTGTTTTTGCTGCTTTTATTATTTATTTTATATACTTTGGAAATGTATAAATTTTGGTTATTGGTACATTCACGATAACCTTTTTCTGATTTCTAGCCAAAGGAAAAATACAAATTTTGTGATTCATTCTAATATACTATAGAAGAGATACATGCAACTTCCCCAAAATTGAACCCTATATTGCCTACACATTGTTGCTCCGAGAGGCCCCCTAGTGCAGTACAATTAATCCGTCAGGAGACACAGATTATTGGAGCTGAAGCAATGTCCAGCTGTGACCTTAGACAAGCCACCTAATCTCTTCAAACATCAATTTCTTTTTATTATATTACATAATAAGTCTTTCCTCTTACAGAGTTTAGACTTCTGAAATGATGAACCAGTTAATTCTGACCCATAATTATTAAAAATCTAGCTAAAATATCTTGTAAAGGGCTAATAAGATATAGAAAACTTCTAGGCCAAAAATTTTAAAAGACTAAAAAAGAGAAAACTTCACAAAAAATAATTCTAGCACTCAACATCCTCTCTGCCCTAAAGGCATATGGTAGTCAAAAGGAAACAATTAAACCAAGGTGAGCTTTGGGAGTTTCTCACGGTTATACATTCAAATCCTTGCAGATATGAGTACACCCATAAATCACTCCTCCCTTTAAGTGATGCTCTGTAGAAATACACTCTCAGAGTCAAAGTGAACCTGATGTAAAACAAAACGCACTTCCATTTAAAGCCTTGCTGCACATCATCCAGATGGCTAGAGGAACCTCAAGCTTTGAATTTAAATTAAATTAAGGTAGTATGAGTGGTAACTACTACTGTGTGATTGACTGAAATACATAAAAGGCATTGCTGGAGAAATACAGTACCATCATAGTCTTTAAATTATTCTTGCAAATACCTTGTGAAATTGAATGCCCCAAACACTATAAAATATACTTGGGCAAACAAGTAAGCAAGAAACAATGAAGGAAAGCAAGTTGAATCAGCAGACAATAGAAATGCTCTACAAAATTTAGATATTAGAGCTATCAGCCATACAACATGAAAAAACTGTCCTACTTTGTTCAATGAATTCAAAATGAGGGTTACGAATTTCAGCAGAAAATTTGAGGTTTTTTTAAAAAAATTCTAAAACAAAGTAATAACCTTATAAAAATTAAAACCTTAAAAATGGCATAAGTAATTTTACACAGCTGAAGAGATCATTTGTAAATTGATAGATGGGAAAGATGGGTCATATCAACTCAGGTAACAGGCAAAATGAAGCTTGAAGAGCCAAAAAGATAAATAACACAAAAAAGAAGATTAAAGATATAGTAGATACAGTCTGAAAATCCAATAGTGCTTTAAATGTTATACCAAAAAGAGAGGTAAGAGAATGGGAGAAAGAGATACTGAAAAATATAACAGTAGGCTGGGTGCGGTGGCTCACGCCTGTAATCCCAGCACTTTGGGAGGCCAAGGTGGGTGGATCACCTGAGGTCAGGAGTTCAAGACCTGCCTGACCAACATGGTGAAACCATGTCTCTACGAAAAATACAAAAAAATAGCTGGGCGTGGTGGTGGGCGCCTGTAATCTCAGCTACTTGGGAGGCTGAGGCAGAAGACTCTCTTAAACTCGGGAGGCAGAGGTTGCAGTGAGCCAAGATCATGCCACTGCACTCCAACCTGGGTGACAAGAGCAAAACTCCATCTCAAAAAAACCAAAAATTTATATATACATATAGTACCTTTACAGAAGTACCAGTTATACTAAAAGCTTACTTCTCAACAGCAACAATGTAAGCTCTAGGACAGTGGAACGATAATATTAATGTACAGAACAAAAATGACGGCCAACCTAATTTTATGCCTCAGAAAGATATTATTTAAGAATAAAGGAGAAACAGAGACATATTTAGATAAATGAGAATGAAGACAGTTTGCTGTCCTTAATAGGACAAATTGAAAGATACTTTAAGTAAAGCATTTTAGACAAAATGAAAACACAGATAAAAGGTTAAGATGTAGGAAGAAGCAAAAGGCAAGAATGTGATAAGATGTAGAGAAACCTTAATAAGCTTGGATAGTTTAAAATAACATATATAACATTAAAATATAAGAAAAAAAGGAGCTATAAGAGAAGTGGGAAGGACTTTAAGTGTTATAAACTCTTTTTATTACCCTAAAGGAGATAGAAAGTTAGAATTGGCATTTGATATGTTCATTACCCTTTGAGAAGTTAATAAATAACACATTGTAACACTGAGGACAACAATTTAAAGTATAGAAACTGTATAATTTCTAAACTGTTAGAGGAAAAAATACAATAATTGAAAGGTTAATACGAAAGTAGGCAAAAATAGAAAAAAAAGGATAATAAAATGAGGTAGTAGGTTGAAACCAAACACTTTAATAATTAGATTAAATATAACTGACCTAAATGATCTGGTTGTAAAACCAAGTTTGTCAGAGTAGCTGAATAAACAGTTTCTGATCATATGTAGTTTATAAATGGCACATTAAAGACATAAGCAGAAAATTAGAAAGTAAATGGGTGGAAAATACATACCATAAAAACACATTTAAAGATATTGCTAGGTTAAAAAAGAAGGTTACATCATTACAGAAAAAGTTTAAATTACCAAGAAAATACAACACCCTAAATCTGCGTGGATTTAATAATATGGCCTTAAAATAAATGAAGAAAATATTAACAGAAGTGCAGGGAAAAATACACAAGTCCACAATGATAGCGAGAAATTTAAGGATACCTCCTTCAAAAATTAAAATAAGAAGCAGACAACAATAATAGTAAGCTGAAAGACTGCTGGAATAACAACACATTTCGTGTAATGGATGTATAAAGAACAGAGGAACAAGCAAGCACACAAGGATTTTTTTTTTTAAATGGATGATGTACTGGGCTATGATGCTTTTATTATCTTTTAAACACCTTTTAAATGTTCTCCACATTTAGAGCAATATTTATAGGAATTTGTATATCCTTAAAAGCATATATTAGAAAATAAGAAAGGCTAAAATTATGTATCTGACTCAATAATTCTTTTTAAAAAAGAACAGACGTCCCTAAAAATACAAAGGAGATAATAATAGTGATAATATCAGAAATTATGATATTCCTAACAAGCTTCAGTAGTATGAATGAAAAGTAAAAACTTAATACTTTGAAAAGATGAATAAAATTGTAAAATCTCTAGAAAGACAAGCAGAGAGAAACAGATTAATGACAGAATTGAAAAAGGGGTAAGATTGTATGTAGATCCTTCAGAAATAAAAAAGAATTAGCCTTTAATAAGTTAATAATGCACACTGTAAGTCTTAAAAGAGATATTTTGAAAAACTTTTCAATTAAAACAAAATGGAAAAATATGTAAATAATCAAATTCCAAGAAAAATATAACTCACCAGATAGACACGAGAAATAAAAATCTGAGTCATTTAATAACTACTAAAATAATTAAATCAGTACAGGTTGAATATCCCTAATTTGAAAATTCAAAATTCAAAATGCTCCAGAATGTAAAATGTTATGAGCACCAATATGACACTCAAAGAAAATGCTAACTAGAGCATTTTGGATATTAATTTTTTGGATTGGGGATGCTGAACTAGTAGGTATGATACAAATATTCCAAAATAAAATTAAAAAAAAAAAACAGAAATCTGAAACATTTTTGTCCCACGCATTTTGAATAAGAGATACTCAAAATACAGTACCAGTAGAAAACCTCATTGGTAATACACGTTAAACATTCAAAGATGAAATAATTCCAAATAAACATGAAGTATGCCAGAGGATAGGAAAACTGTGTATATTCTCTGATTTATTTTCAGAGAAGCATATTTTTTATAACCAATCAAGCAAGAGCAGATTGTTGTCAGGAAACAAGAGCAAATTAATTTCAGGAATAAAACAATGAACCAATAACACGCATAAAACTAAGATATTAGCAACATGAACAAAATATACCATTATCAAGTTGCTAATAATGGAAGGAAACTGTATTTTATAAAAATCAGTTAATTTCCCTCATATTAGTAAATTACAGAAGCAAAATGATATAGCATCTCACTAGATGCAGAAAAAGAATTTGGGAAAAGTCACAATAATTGTTATCATTATTGGTTAACTAGGAATAGATAGAATTTCCTTAACCAGATAACCTACGTGGATTAAAAATGCGCACAGGTGGTATAATTCTAAAGAAACTTGCAATGTTAAATACCATAAAATAAAGAGTGATGATTTCTGGGAGGGAAGAAAGGTAAATGATCAATTCAGGGCATATGGTGAACTCCCTGAACCTTACAAATATTTGTTCTATTTTGCATTTCTGTTTTATGAAGCTATGTGCTTTCTTTTCTTTTCTTTTTTTTTTTTTTGACGGAGTCTCGCTCTGTCGCCAAGCTGGAGTGCTGTGGTGCCATCTCGGCTCACTGCAACCTCCGCCTCCCGGGTTCAAGCAATTCTCCTGCCTCAGCCTCACAAGTAGCTGGGACTACAGGCGTGCGCCACTATGCCCAGCTAACTTTTGTATTTTTAGTGGAGACGGGGTTTCACCATGTTGGCCAGGATGGTCTCGATCTCTTGACCTCGTGATCCGCCTGCCTTGGCCTGCCAAAGTACTGGGATTACAGGCGTGAGCCACCGTGCCCAGCCTATGTGCTTGATTTTCTATGTTTATTTTATTTAATAATAAAGGATTAATAAAATAACTGCACATTCAAAGATTTAGTTACCTGTAAAATTGAATTTATTGGTAAAACATAAAATATTTTTGTGTTTTTCCTTATCTAAAATCAGCCACCTATTAGCTACCTACTTAATTATTTACCACACCTCTACTAATGTAAACAGCATCTTTCATACTAGATATTGAGCTAAATGGAATGTGTGTGGCAATCTTACTTCAGCTATAACACTAAACTGATTATTTAAATTCAGAAATTATTTTTACATAAAAAATATTCTAATGGACTTATAAATATTTTATTTTGCTAAGTGGTTCCCGTTATTAACTTTGTTTTAAATGTAATAAAATAAAATTTGCTGCTATTTGGTTTTACTGCTGTATGTGCATATTTTATTTTATTTTTTATTTTTAGAAAGTGTTATATTTATGTTAAAGGAAGAATGTCAGCATGCTGTACTTTCTTCAACACTATATAGAAAATGCTGTTGCGAGTTTTCAGAAATAGACTTCCAATTTACCCATTAAACTTCGGTCTGAGAAGCACCCAAATGCATGTAGCTTCAATAATCACTATTTATGACCTATACCAGTGGATCCCAAATTTTAACTTGCATCAGAATCACCTGAAGTCCTTCTTAAAACTCAAATTGCTGGTCTCTACTCCCCTAATTTAGTACCCCATTAACAAGAAACATTTAGCACACCCTGAAAATATGCATGTTGATTTATAGATAATATTTCTCTTAACACCACTATAATTTGAATATTTAAAACATGAAAATTAAAATGAATTAGATTTTTATAGCAGGAATGAGAATCCTAATATGTTCTTGCTCAACTTTAATAAATATTTTTGTATTTATGGCTCCCAATCTCCCACAAAACACCTGAGAGAGTTATTTTCTAATTAGGATACCACTGCCCTATAGAAATTAAAAAAGATAATTATACAGATGATTGCAGCATGAAGAGAAAGAACACACTTGGAATACTCCCATTTAGAAAACAAATCAATCTGACCCACCTGTTTCACAGAGGGACTATAGGACTTACTCAGAACTAATTCGTTCAGTGTTAAAGCCAAATTAGAATTCTTAGTTATTTGATCCTTTTCTTTTTCTTTTTTTTTTTTTTTGTTTTTTGTTTTTTGTTTTTTGTTTTTGAGACGGAGTCTTGCTTTGTCACCCAGGCTGGAGTGCAGTTGGCCAGGCTGGAGTGCAGTGGCACAATCTCGGCTCACTGCAACCTCTGCCTCCCAGGTCCAAGCGATTCTCCTGCCTCAGCCTCCCCAGTAGCTGGGATTACAGGCGTGTGCCACCATGCTGGCTAATTTTTCTATTTTTAGTAGAGACGGGGTTTTACCATGTTGGCCAAGGCTGGTATCGAGCTCCTGACCTCAGGTGATCCACCCACCTTGGCCTCCCAAAGTGCTGGGATTACAGGCATGAGCCACCGTGTCCAGACTGAGATTTTGCTTTTTAATCACAGATTAGATGGTCTCTTTCCCCACCAATGAAAAAAATAGCACAAATCATTTTGCTTATATTAATAGTATTAAATTATAGATTCCTATAATATTGAAAATGGGAAAGTTCCTGAGATACATTTTTGTTGTTTCTGATTATCTTGTTGAGAATCTTAATTAATGGCACATCAATATATTGTTTTTAAATAAAAATGTTTTCAAATGAAAATTATTCAAGAAACTTATTTTTAATTGTTTTTCAGCTCATAGAAGACCCAGATGTCAAGATCAAACTCAAGCTTCAGTCTTTAATATATCCTGCCCTTCAGACGCTTGACATGGATTTACTATCACATCAGAAAAAACTAGACTCTCTAGTTCTGTCCAAACCATTCATGGTCAGGTTCTGTAGGGAATACTTTACCACAGACAGATCACTTGAAAAAGTCATGTTCTTCAACATGTACCAATGGAATCAAACCATCTGTTCAGATTTGTTAATTGGAGTTCCTTGCTCACTGAGAAGTTTAAGAAAGGCCACTTTTGTTATATTCCAACTCGTGGTAGTTCTGAGCTAGCTAAAAAATATCCAGGGTTCCTAGATGTGAGGGCAGCCCCTTTGTTGGCCAATGACAAGTTACATGGTTTACCCCTGTCCTATATCATCACCTGTCAATATGACATCTTAAGAGATGATGGACTCATGTACATCACGCGACTTTAGAACTCTGGAGTTCAAGTGACACATAACCACAGTGAAGATGGATTCCATGGAGCACTTTCCTATAATGGGCTTAAAATTGAGTATGGAATAGAAAATCAGTATATGAGTTGGCTAAGTGAAAATCTATAGTAAAAATGTAAGCAATGGTTTATTTAAAATGTATAAGGCTCAGAACAGGAAACAAATTAGTGAAAATCAAAGGGTTGATGTTTGAATTGGTCTTTATCATCTGTGACCTTTCTAAGGTCCTCATAGCCATAGTGGGTTTTGGTTTTGTTTTTATTTATTGGCCGCTAGCAAATTCTTCTCCATTTTATTTATTATCCTGTTATTCACTCACTTCTGTGAAGATACTTTAGTATTTTCTTCTGCTACCATTACTCACTTGTTAAATCTCTAGTTTACAGCTATAGTTTTTTGATTGCCGAATAGTATTACAGATGAGAAGAAAGTTTTAAACAAACACGTCTGATTTGTAAAATGCCAGTTTTAGTCAACATGAATTTAGAGACTTAAAATGTTTCCCTGTGAGAACTGATATGAAATATGTGCCATCTCTTTTAAAAAGCATTTGCCTCAATATAATGCTGTTTGCCTGTCACTGTAAAATTTGCTTCTTAATACAGATCTCTTCCAGTACTAGGATACCAACATTAATGCAAATGATCTTTCAGTTACTTTAGGGAAAGGCAGCTCTAATTGTGTGAGAAATTAGGGAGGTTGAGGTAGGCACGAAGCCAGCATAAGGCAGTAGCTCCACATGTGGCAGTGGCTTATAGTCGTGAGCGAAGCTTAAGACACGGAAGAAATTATACAACCAAATTGAAACACTTAAATCTCTGAAACTTCTTATGTCCATATAGGCACCGTATGGGGGAAAGACCACAAAGAATAAGCCATAGTGATCATATGGTATGTAAGGTTTGATCGTTTTGGAGCTGCATTGAGGAAGGCAGCTGAGGGCCAGCATAGAATTTCCTCACAGCCACTGGAAACCAAGCTTTCTTTATTTTCCTGCTCAGCTGTTGACAGGCAGGAAGCACTGGTGGGGACAGTGGGGCAAATCACACACTTCCATTTTTGTCTATTATATCAGGAAAAACAATAGCATTCCTGGAAGCCCCACTCAATACATATACATATACATATACATATACATATACATATACATATACATATACATATACATATACATATACATATACATATACATTTTTATATGTCATTCTACAGAATTATATCTCATGTGATCAGCCTTAGCTGTTAAGGTTGCCTGAGGAGTCATTTTTTTTAATCTGAGCACATCATTCTGAGTAAAACTAATATTCAGTAAAATCATGTAAGTAGTAGATAGGCAGTAAGAAGTAGGCCACAAATTCTTTAGGGTAAGTGATTAAAATTATGTGTGAATAATATATAGAAATATCTGGGGTCATATAATGCATGGAATGGATGTATAAATGAATTACACCTACAGCTCCCAATGGAGCATCACAGTAATATTTGTGTACTCAATTAGTTGAAGAAGGCATTTGTCTGTTTTTTTTTTTTTAATTTGGATCTCTATGCCCTATTCCTTTACCTCCCTCAAACCAGGTGCCCATAAATCAAAATAATCTATGTTCCCTGGTGGGAACATAGTCTTAATTTGGGTTAGGAAGATACATTTAAATATAGACATAAGTTATGATACAAAAAACCTTATTAAAGCAACATAAACAATAATGATGAAATGAATTGGTATTAGTTATACCATGTTTTCCCAAGACTCCTGCCAAAACGAAGACGCAGTAGAGTGAGGGAATGATAGCAACAGCAACATAACATTCTTTAATTATTTACCTGCAGATTCATTTTCTGGTACAAATATCCATCTTGGTGCCTATCTTTGGTTTCCTCAAAGTAAAATAGGATAAATAATTGAGTGTCCCCTACCTTACCAACTGGCTTTTTGTATTCTAAGTCACCAGGCCTGGCTCTTACTAATTGCTTTTATCCCTCTCTACATCTATCATCACTCCCAAGTCACCCTCATCTCCCAAACCCTAATACCTGTAAAGTCATTCCCTGTACCTTATTCTGTCTTTTCCATAGTCCCTCCCCAATTCCTATAAATTTCACTGAGCTGTCTGGGACTCATGATTCATTTATGAGTGACACCCTCAAGCTTTTGTCAGTGTTTTCCATCAGTTTTCAACTGAGATTCAGTACTTAATTTAGGATCATGCTTCTTCTATTTTTTTCTTCCACATTATTCATATTACAGGATTTTAATGTGCAGTAGATGTCTTCCTTGCTCATTGCTGCTCCCAGACTGTTACCTCTCCTACAGCCTTCTGAATTATTGTAGCAGGCTAGATCACCAATCTCCCTTCCATTTTGTAGTCATCTGCTTACCTCTGAGTCACTGGTACTCCTGTCTCAAGCATTTTAGATTTAAGCTCATTGTCACTCTAATACCCAAATCCATTATTGTTGTCATTCCAATATCCACAATGTAATATCTCCAATATTACAATTGAGGATTTCAAAATCTGTACAGATAATACAGCCAGCAACATGGACTCTGATTTTTATGACTTGTTCTTTTCCAATCATCTGTCCTCTATTCCTTTATTCTGCACAAATCATTTGTCCTTATAATCATGCCTTAGACCTTGTTACTAACAAAAACTATACCTCTCTAAAATCTCAGCATTAAATAGACTACTGTCGGATTATAACCTGCTGTATTTGTAGGCCACTGCCACTAATACTTCAATAGCCACAATGCTTGAGAATTTTACCAGGATTTCATATTTCCTCTCTATGCTCATATACATTTTTTTTATTTTCTTCATTACTCAGATTAAGTTGTATAGTCAGTCATTATCACTTCTTTGCATATATACCCCCAGGTTTTCTCTCTCTCTCCCCCATCTCTTTCTCCTTCCCCTATCACCCTTTATCCTTCACAGATGAGCATGATAGAATAAAATAATCCTGCTTCAATGTTCTCATTGTAAATTCAATACGGCAAGCTTCCCGTGTGCCCTTAGTGCTGTCCATCAATCATATTATTTTCCCCAAGTCAATCTCTCCTATTATTATAACTAAACTGTGCTCTTATATGAGGCCAAATTCTCTTAAGTGTATACTAGATTCATCCCCTTTTGCTTTCTCAAGGACAATATTCTAGAAATTATCTTTTTTTCTTCTGCTTTATTGCTAACTGCTGGATCATTTCCACCAGAATACAAATATGATAAAATTTCACTCTCTTTAAAAAAATCTCTCATGACTCTATTTCCCCTTCCAGTTCCACCATATTTCTCTATTTTCCTTTATAGCAAAACAAAAAGAAAAACTGAGTAGAGCTGTCTATATTTGCTGCCTCCATACACTTTCTTCCAAATCTTTCTTACATATCTTCTCCAATCAACCTTTTATCCAAAATTGCTCTAACCACCAAAATCCTTCTTGTCAGTGTTAATGATGTAGCAGGCTAGATCACCAACCTCCCTTCTGTTTTGCAGTCTTCTGCTTACCTCTGAGTCACTGGCTCTCATGTTACTATATCTATTGTTTTCTGATCTATTTTGAGTAGGGTGCTTCTGATCTTGGAACTCAGGCCTCTTCTCTATCTGCAGTTTATTCTCTGAGATGCCATTCAGTCTCATGGCCTTAAATGACAGAGAAGGCAACCCCCCCAGGTCATATCTTCAGTCTGGAGCTTCTCAAATCCAGCTTAATATATATCCAATGGCTTACTTGGCAAGCTCACTTGGATTTAAATAAAAATCCCAAACAAATTTCTGATCTCCCTCAAATAACCTCTGATCTTTGTCTTTCTTATTTCAGCAAGTAGCAATTGCATATTTCAGTTGTTCAGAACAAAAGCAAAACAAAGGAGCAAACAAAATTAGCTATTTTTTATTTTCTTTTTATTCATTCTGTCACACATATCGTTATCAAATCCTCTTGGCCAAAATATGTCCGATATTCAACCCCCTTTTTCTTCTAAACTCCATTGCTAATACCCTCCTCTAATCTACTACCAATTTTTGCTTAGAATAGTCCAATAGCATTCTAACCAATATCTCCCCTTCCACCCTGTACCCTTAGAGTCAATTTGCAACATGTCAGAAAATGATCTTTTTTAAATGGAAGTCAAATGATGTCACACTCCTCTGTTCAAGATCCTCCAGTGGCTTCTCAGCTATGTCAGACTGAAAGCTCTCTAACTAGTCTTACTTGCCTCCTAAGTGTTATTTGAACATCCCTGGAATGCTCCAGCCTTATCATTGAGACTTTCCAATTGACATCTCCCTATCTTCCATGCTCCTTCCTCAGATACCCACGTGGCTCACTCCCTTATCTCCTCAAATATGACCTTCTGAACTCCAGAGCAGCCAATAAAAATAATAAAACAGACATATTGGTAACAAACCTCAGGTGAAGGTAAAAGAGAATTATAAGAAATACTCAATTCGAAATAAGGCTTAAAAAGAGGAAAATGGTAGAAAGAAAACACGGGATACATAGAAACCAAATAGTAACGTTTAAGACAAACCATATCAATGATTACATGAAATGCAAGTGGTCAGAGCATCAAATTAGAAATCAAAGATTAACAAATTGGATTAAAATGGAAGGTCCAACTGTTTTAAGAAAAGCAAAAAAAAAAAACCTCGTAAATGTAAAAATGTAGATATACAGGCCGGGTGCAGTGGCTCGCGCCTGTAATCTCAGCACCTTGGGAGGCCGAGGCGGGCAGATCACGAGGTCAGCAGATTGAGACCATCCTGGCTAACACGGTGAAACCCCGTCTCTACTAAAAATACAAAAATTAGCCGGGCGTGGTGGCGGGTGCCTGTAGTCCCAGCTATTCAGGAGGCTGAGGCAGGAGAGTGGCGTGAACCTGGGAGGCGGAGCTTGCAGTGAGCGGAGATCATGCCACTGCACTCCAGCCTGGGCAAGAGAGCGAGACTGTCTCAAAAAAAAAAAAAAAAAAGTAGATATATAAGTAAAATGATTGGATAAGACATACTATGCATATTCTATTCATAAGAAATCTGGATTGGCTATATTAATATCAAAGTAACTTTCAGAACAAAACAAAATTATGGATAAAGAGAGGCATTTCAAAGATACAGCAGAGAAAGACAAAACGATCTGAAATGCGTGTACACCCAGTAGCAGAGATTCAAAGTATAGGAAGCAAAAAAAGACTAAACCGAAGACAGAATTGATAAACCCATAGTTATAGTTGAAGATTTCAAAACTCTTCTCTCATTTTATAGAACAAATAGGGGACAAATTTATAGGAACATAAAAGTCCTGAATAATATCATCATATAACTTAACCTAAATATAGAATAGATATTGCCTATCTCTTAATAAGTTGTTCTAGGTATTATTATTTTTGATAGATTTGTATTCTGGGCTTCATACTAGAGTTGTGAGTGGACTGCCCACCACAACTACAGTATTATCACGTTCTGAGTTTGTTCACGTACTTAATTTTACCAGTGGGTTTTATACCTTCAAATATTTTCTTTTTACATGTTAGTGTTTATATTTCATATAAAAACAGTTAGAAGAAAAGCTAGAAATTATTTACCAAGTTCTCTTTTTCCTTTTTCACTTTCCCACCTTGTCTCTAAAGGTCTCCACTCCCTCCCCTTTACCATCTTTTTCCCTGGTTCCCATCTTCTCCCCTAGTTACCACTCACAATGAGCTGTGCACACCTGTTATTAATTATCTTCACTAAGTTTTATGAGCTAGCACTCAGACTTTTGTACAAGCTTTTCATGCTTTGGGTTCACTTTCTCTTTCTGGGGGGATGATTTTAGCTCAGTCTTAGACCTTTCATTTCCCTTTCTTTTCTGTGTAACTTTCCCAGACAATTCTCTCCCAGGTCTCATTCTCTGTACAGTTTCAAGGCAAGAACTTGAGAAACAACTCTGTTGAAAGTTGCTGTTTACTTTTCTACTTAGAGATAATTTGAAGTTTGAGGCTTTGTAGCTTTATTTGTTCTTGTTGAACTATTTTGCTGGAGGGCGTTTCTTGAGATTTGAATTTATGTGGTCATGATTATTCTTGAGCACTTGGGAGATTAACAATTGAAAATTAAAACATAAAAGATGATTTAAAAAACATATTCAACTTAGCTGAAGTGAATACTAGTAAACTAGAAGATAGCTATCAAGAAGTAGATTACCTCAGAAAGAGAGAGCGATAAAGATATAAAAGATTTGAAAGAGTGACTAAATATATGGAGAATAAAGGTAATGAGTATAGGGGAATAATGTGCAGTCTTTGACGTAATAGGTGACATATGGTTAGGATATAGTTAAATTTATTTTTCCATAGCTGTTAGTACATAAATCCTCAATTTTTCTATTAAGCCATTTCTGTTTTATTATTAATATGTAGAAATGTTATGTGTAGTAAAGAAATTAATCCTTTGTTGCTGAATTGTCATTTTCTTTTGAGATAGCCATTTATCTTTTAACAAAATTTCTTTCTACATTTGTATTAGTCCATTTTCATACTTCTATAAAAATGCCTGAGACTGAGTAATTTATAAAGAAAAGAGGTTTAATTGACTCACAGTTCTGCATGACTGGGGAGGCCTCAGGAAACTTACAATCATGGCAGAAGGCAAAGGGGAAGCAAGGCACATCTTACATGGCAGCAGGCAAGAGAGAGAGAGACAGACAGAGAGGAGAGGGAGAAGCACCAGATATTTATCAAACAACCAGATATCATGAGAACTCACACACTATCATGAGATCAACATGGGGGAAACTGCCTCAATAATCCAATTACCTCCCACCAGGCCCTTCCCTCAACATGTGAGATTACGATTTGGATTACAAATCGAGGTGAATTTTGGATGGGGACACAGCCAAACCATATCAGCATTCTACAAAATGTGTTGTGCTATTATCTTAAAATTGATTTCTAATTTTATTGCACTGTGCTAATATATAATTTGACATATTAAGTCAAAATGCCTTAAAATAGTAAAATCTGGGTATGTAAATTATATTTTAATAAAGCTGTTATTTTTTAAATGGCATAAAACATGATATATTTAGAGAGAAATTTAACAAAATACATACAAGACAGGTCCAGAGACAAATGAAAGCTATTCTGGGAAAAATTAAAGATGTCCTAAATAAACAGAAAGAAATAAGACGTTAATTGCCCAAAAGACTCAAGATTACTTGGGTGTCAGTTCTCCTAATGATTTACTGTGATCCCAATCTAGATCCCAGAAGGATTCAGTTTGATTTTTAAAGAAAATATCATATTTATCCTAAAACATGTATGAAAATAAAAATGAATGTAGAATATTTTAAAAACTATTTTGGAAAACAAATTTATAGCATTTACAGTATGTGATTTTAAGATTGTATACAAAACTACTGTAATCAAGATATTTCAATAGAATAATATTCAAAAAGGATTTATTTCAATGACGTATTTCAATAAGGATAGACAGATAGATAATAAAAGACAATCTAGAAATAAATCCGTAACTTTGGGGTCAATTTTTAAAGACAAAATTGCCAAAGTAATTCAGTTCCAAAAGTGTAGTATATTTTTAAATGGTGCTTCAACATTTGAGTATCCATATAAAAAATCCTTAACCCTGACCTTTATTTCATTCCATATACAAAAATTATTAATAATCTCAAAATGAATCATGGATGTAAATACAAAAAAAAAACTTTAAAACTTCTGGGAGAAAACATAAGAGAAAAATCTTTGTAACTTTTTATTAGGCCAACATTTCTTAGATTAGACATGGGACAGAAAAAGCACTAGGCATAAAAGAAAAGTAGATAAATTGGACTTTATCAAAATTCAAACTTTGTTCCTATTATAAGAAGAGATACAAAAAAAGAAAGCAACATTTAAAAAGGGGTTTTAATTCTTTATTAGAGAGGTATCTTAATGCCCTCATAGTTAAAGAAAATTCATTTATTCAACAAATATGTATTTAAAGGCTCTGGATTTGGGACCGTGCATGTAGCCATGATGCAAGTTCTTGATGTCTCTTTCGAGAAAGAGAAAGAAAGGGAGTTATTAAAACATGATAAGTTCTTTGATAGAAATATATGTGTGAGTGTATGGGTACATAGATTAGAGTTCGGTCTGTTTTGATGCTCTCTTGAGTGGGCTGTATACACTAGTTCACATCCTAAACCTCATGGCATTTATGTTTTCTAAGCCACAAAGCTTGGCATATTGAGAGAATTAGAAAGAAAGGTGAAGACATCGGCTATTTCCTTAGCCTTGTGCAAACATTCAAAGTCATGACAACCAGAGGTAGCAGCATGACATAGCTAATTTTTTTGTGCTCCTTACTTACAGCTTTGGAGGCCAATCCATTAGGAAAGCAGCCAATTTGAACACTTCTTAGTCCACAATTTTCTCCTGCTTCCCATAGCACAACTGTGTTGTATATTGCTGTGTTGCAATATTAAGAATGGTCTTATTTTGCCTTATTTTGAATGTCTATATGTGCACATAACATGATTTATGTCAGTGTTAGCCTTGTGTTTTTCTATAGCAATAAAGATTGCTTTAGTTAAATCTTCTTTGGTCCATCAACAACTAATGAGAATTCATTTGGTAAACAGATTGTTTGAAGTCCCGCCACTTTTTCTAGATAAGGTGAGAAGATTAAAGGGAGTAAATGAAACCATTTTCAAAATGGTTTTCACTCTTTTATGTGATACTTTTCAATATCCACAGTGATAGTTCCAGTTCATAAACAAATTTCTGAGTTATTTGGAAAGAAAGATAGGTATTAATTAAAAAGCTTATATGAATTTGATAAGAATGATATACTCTCAAATTAAAACCACTTTCTAAGTTTTCTAACTTGAGAGAAGCCTTAATTTGCTATTGAAAACACACTTAAATCTTAACCTTTAATTGGGTCAAACAATAAGATCCTAGGGTTTACTTATTATTTAAATTCTGAAAGTATTTCTACAAACACTTTGGAAACTTATCTACAAATGTAAAATTGAAAGCTATACCATTTTCTGCCTTAGTAAAGTTTGTCTGAATATGAGTGAAACTAAATATCTGAAAAAAGTCAAGAATTTGGTACAGCAAGAAGCTCTGATGTCAGTATTTTTACATTGTTGTTGCATATGGTGTTCTGATATGCCATTATTTTACATAGTACATATTATCCACAAAGGAAAGTGTGATTCATGTGAACAAAGGGGAAAGAAAAACCACTGAAAACTTTCTCTTATCTGTGTAAAAGTTGCACTCCTTTAATCCGTAAAATTACACTTAGAACTGATGATTTATACATTATTTATTTTCTCCATTTTTAGTAGATTAATAATCTATAAGAAGTCAGGGAAAGGATTTTGACTTTCATTGGTCATTAGGCGTTAATATACTACACTTTTGCACCGTACAATCTTGGCCTTTTCTATGCTATCAAACTTTACTGCATTTCTACATATTTCAGGTCAGCAGTTTCAGCAGCATTTTTTAAAACAGGGGACAGATTAAGTCAGATCTATATCAGCATGAATCATGTTTGTGTCCCTTTCTCACTGTAATGATGATATTATGCAGTGATAAAATTAGTAACTATATTAGCATTTATTGTGGATCTCCTAGATGCCAAGTGCTATGCTTAATTCTTT
This sequence comes from Homo sapiens, assembly GCF_000001405.40. NCBI lineage: Eukaryota > Metazoa > Chordata > Mammalia > Primates > Hominidae > Homo > Homo sapiens. The sequence goes on from NC_000003.12 coordinate 151,793,965, forward strand.
GCATTCATTACTACCTTAACCCAAACAACACTCCTATTAGATATGAATTAACATATCTTTATTATAAATCAAATTATGAATCAAGAACATTCTAACAAACTTCCCTTTGATCACACAGCTGGTAATAATGTAAGTTGAAATCCTCATCTTGAAATGGTAAACACAATATATACTTATTATGGAGTATTGTTTAAACGGTAAATACCTTTATTATATGGGCTTTATGGAAAGGGGTTTATTTAGCTTTTTGTACCTTGTTCTTACTCAGAGCTCCATTTTCTTGATTTTAATCACAAAGTAAACTTTTGATTACATTGAACTTGGACTGGCCACAAAGTGACGAATGCAAAAGTGTTTCCTGCTAGAACTTCAGCTGAAGTCTATTGATTTTAGCATTCTTTCTTTGTATTGTTTTTTATTTTACTCTTCCTCCTTGGGATTCAGTAAATAAATATGGAGAGTAGTAAGATAGAATTCAATAGAGCATCTACTCAGACAGTGAAAATCATTAAGAAACAACCTGCTCAAAATTGTAATGTTTTGAAGAGAAATCTATCTGTGATATATATCTGCTATACAGATAGATTACATAGATTGATTACATAATAGTAGGAAGACAGATGATAGATAGATAGATAGACAGACATTACATAGATTTACACACACAAACACAAGATTGGGGAGACTCCTGAGAAAGCTTCCTTTATGGTGTGGGCCAGGGAGGGAAATGGCAGCTGCTGCAGAATGGTGGCAGAAGTCCATTGGGATCCTTGTCCTCTATCTCTCTTAAGAAATAAAACCCTAACATGCAGGAGTGAAGGACACCAATAAAGCTGTCCTACGGCACTGGTGAAAATACATCACAGTTGGCAGAAGGGAATAAAAAACAGCAACAACAATGACAACAACAAAACCTTCTATGCCATGAGGAGGAGCAGCATCTGAAATGAGAATATTATAGTTAAGAAAATAACCTTAAGCTGGGCACAGTGGCTCATGCCTGTAATCCCAGCACTTTGGGAGGCCGAGGCCAGTGGATCATCTGCGGTCAGGAGTTTGAGACCAACCCGGCCAACATGGTGAAACCCCGTCTCTACTAAAAATACAAAAATTAGCCAGGCATGGTGGCACATGCCTGGAATCCCAGCTACTGGGGAGGCTGAGGCAGGAGAATTGCTTGAACCCAGGAAGTGGAGGCTGCAGTGAGCCGAAATGGCACCATTGCACTCCAGCCTGGATGACAAGAGCAAAACTCCATCTCAAAAAACAAACAAAAAAACCCCCCAAAAAACCAAAAAACAAAATCTTAAAAGTTAGGCTTAATATTCACGTATCTGTTTTATGATTGATACATAGTATTTATGGGGTACATGTGATATATTGTGGCATGCGAGAAAGGTTTGCTTTTGGATGAGATTGAAATCATAGCTCACTATTTATCGCTTACTGAAAACTAGATGCCCTTGTAATACAGATGAGTCCAAATGACTACACACAATTGGTTTAAACAAGCCCCAAAGATCCTGATTCATCAGGAAAGAATCTTTGGTTGGATTCATGTCAGGATTAGCAGGATTACTTAAAGGTCCTGGTTCTTTAAGAGGATAGTGTCAGAAGAATTATAGTGAAACACAGCATTAAATTTTGATTCTCTCCTGGGCAAGTGCTGCTGTAAATTGAAATGTTTCCGTTTATATCATCCACTCTCCATGCAAAAATTTTCCTGACAACACAGAAAAAGGTGGTTATCCAAATTGTTTTCTTGCCTTTCTAGAACACAGAACCATGTTAAAGAAAGAGTAAGACTTGGCTGTGCGCAGTAGCTCACGTAATCCCAGCACTTTGGGAGGCCAAGGCAGGAGGATTGCTTGAACCCAGGAATTCAAGACCAACCTCAGCAACAAAGCAAGGCCTCATCACTACAGATAATTTCTTTAAAAAAATTAGCTGGGAATGATGGCACACACCTGTGGTCCCAGATACTCAGGAGGATGAGGTGGGAGGACCCCTGGAGCCTAGGCGGTAGAGGCTACAAAGAGGTATGATTCCACCACTGCACTCCAGTACTCCAGCCTGGGCAACAGAGAAACACCCCCTCTAATACAAAAGAAAAGAAAAGAAAAGGGGAGGGGAGGGGAGGGGAGAGAAACACCCCCTCTAAGAAAAGAAAAGAAAAGGGGGGGAAAGGGGAGGGGAGGGGAGGGGGGAGGGGAGGGGAGGAGAGGGGGAGGGGAGGGGAGGGGGGAGGGGAGGGGAGGGGAAGGGAAGGGAAGGGAAGGGAAGGGAAGGGAGAAAAGAAAAAGACGAGTGAATCTTACATTAAAGACAGCAGAATAGCAGAAGAAGCTTAAGGACACATCAAGGACTCCTTCATTTCTTATCAAGTACCTTGATATTCAACAACATATCAGGTGAGGTCATATATTAACTAAGATAGAATATGAAAGATCAAGAAGTTATATAGATTACAAGGTATATTTTTAAAGCCTACTTTAGTGCCTTTTATATTACAAAGTCCTTTATTTTTCTTATCTACCAGTCAGCCTTTCTAAGACATGACTCAAAGTTTCTTTTGCAACAAGGTTTTCCATTATTCACTACAAACCACTCCAATCAGTACTTAAGATACTCAATTTGCCCATAATTACTTGGCTTTTATTAAAGATGAAATAAAGTTAATTATTTAAAATATATCAGAACCTTTTAATGAATCAGTTTGTTTTTCTCTCCACTGGGGGGATGTGCTTCTACTATATTTTCCAGAATATCTGATAATTAACATGCTTTTCTTCAAGTCGGTGGGCAAGAGGCCTCTGTCTGGTGACGATCTGAAGATATGATAATGCTGGCAGTTTGGACAGAAGTTGCTAGAAGTGAGTATTTCTTTTTTCTCAGTGCTCACTGGAATTTGTACTGTTATTAGTAAAACTTGATACAACATGACAATCTGTTTTGCTAATAAGAACTCTCTGGGATAGAAAGTTAGATAATTGTTTTGGGTGGGAGTTTTCCAATGTCTATTTAATTTCAGGCATTGATATAAACTATAATGCTGTCTTATTGAAGAAACAGATTTACAAAAGGGGAAGAAATTCTTTTGCTTTCTGATATTGGGAGTCCTCATAGCATATTGTATCTATACACTCCTCTCAGATAATGTAGGAACCATGGAAAATACTGCTGCTAAATGCTGTTATGGAAAGTCGTCATATTCGGTAAGTGAAAAATTTTATTGATCAAGAAAGACAAGTTTTCTAGGATTCTAGTTGTTTTTCTTTTTACAAATTAAGTTTTATATGTACTTGGTTTCTTATTGCCAAATGTTACTGGCTTCTTTATTGTATCCCTGAATGATCCTAAAGTATACCACTAACAAGATGAACAAGGTGATATTTGGATTATATTTACAATAAAAATGACCTATTCTAATAGCAGTAAAGTCATAAAATATACAATAATTTTAAAACATTCTTCTACTTAGGTATGATTTTTAAATTTCATACAACACTCAGAAGTCATATGTTTGAGCTACTCTGTGACATTTAATCATTAATAGAAGATTTGGGGTATACACTACAGATGGGTAAGTTCTTATGAAAATATACTATAGCTTCACTGACTGGAAAATGCGTAGAAACTATGAGAGATGTGGTTAGTAGTTTTGGAAGAATGTTTCTCTCTCTACTATGACTATTTCATTGAGAACCTGACCCAGTCTATCTCCTCAAACCTTCTTGCTACAAAATTAACTCTCTATCTCAGTCTCTCTCTTTCTGTATGTGTATGTAAACACAGTTATATATATGTGTGTGTGTGTATATGCATGTGTGTATAAATATGTGTATGTGTGTGTACATATATGTATATATAGCAATGTATAGAGAGAGTAAAAAGTTTAACTGTAACAAGTAGGAATTGTTTGGTGGTAGACATTAGAAACTGCTGGATCTTCACAGGAAGAGGTCTTTGATCTTAACATCCACAATTCCAAGAATGGAGAGCGCATTACTTTCTTATGTACCCACTCCTTGTTTCCGAGATAATTTAAAGCAAATTTTATGTTTTAAATAGTAATACATTTAAATAGTTGAAAATCAAAGCAATATGAAAAAAAGTACACAATGACACATCCTGCTCCCATGTTCTAACTTTATTCATCCTATTCTCAACCCAGTCGTCTATAGATCATCAGTCTTATTAGCTTCTTGTGACCCATCCTGGGTATTCTGCATACAAGTAATACTAGTAATAATGAATACAGATAATAGAAAAATATATTCTTATCCTTCTTTCTTTCTTTCTTACATAAGAAACAACATCACATGTATGCTATTATGGTCTTTACATTTTCATTTAATTATACATCCTAGAGATGTTTCTACACCTTTACATACAAATTGTCCTCATTCTTTTACATAGTGGCATAGGAATCAATATCTGTATAAACCATAGTTTATTTAATCAGATCTGTTCAGATGAAAACTTTTGTTCTTTCCAATGTTTTGTCATTACAAACAATAAAATGGTATTTGATATGGTTTGGCTATGTTCCCACCCAAATCTCATTTTGAATTGTAGTTCCCACAATTCCCACGTGTTGTGCAAGGAACCCAGTGGGAGTTAATTGAATCATGGAGGTCTTTCCTATGCTGTTCTAATGATAGTGACTAAGTCTCACAAAATCTGATGGTTTTTATAAAGGGGAGTTCCCCTGCACAAACTCTATCTTTCCTGCTGCCACGTAAGACATCCCTTGCTCTTCTGCCATGATTGTGAGGCCTCCCCAGCCATGTGGAACTATGAGTCAGTTAAAACTCTTTCCTTTATAAATCACCCAGTCTCAGATATGTCTTTATTAGCAGCATGAGAACAGATGAATACAGTATTATATAATAACATTTAATTTGGAGGCTAGATTTTATCAATAAATAATCTATGAAGTGGGATTGTTGGGTCAATTGTAATTTTGCTACTCTTTGCAAAATTGTCCTTTAATAATTTCAACTCCTACAAACAAGGCATGAGTATGTCTTTGTCCTGTCAGCTTCTCAATGAAGTGTCTTATGATTTTTCTGGATTTCATTTCCCTAATATAAATGAGAAGTGGTATCTTAGTATAATTTAATTTTATACATCACTTATTAAGTTTTTTAATCTTTTATGTTTGAGACATTTGCATTTATTTTCCTTTGAACTCCAAGAAGCTTCTTTGTCCAATTTTAATCAGGTTTTTGTTTTTTTTTTAAATTTCTTTCTATATTAGGAAAATACAATTTTTTCCCAGTTTGTCTTCTGTCATTATTAAAATAATTGGCCATGATGAAGTAATTTTTTTACTACTCTTCATTTTTAAATCAAAATTTATTGGTCTTTTAAATTATGTCTTCTAAAATTTGATTCATAGCTGAGAAGTTTATCTCCACTCTAAGACTATAGAAGAATTCCCCTTTAGTCTCTTCTGGGGCTTTCCTGGCTTCTTTTTTATGTTCAAATCTTTGCTTCAGTTGGAATTTATGTTGATAAGTAGTGAGAAGTTTAGACTGAACTTTTACTTTTCTCCAATTTTCTATCCCAGTCCCATTTATTGGAAAGTCCCTTGTGATTTAAGATCATATAAAAGATTCATGCAAGTCAGGCATCTAAGAAAAAGCTGAAAGGAAATTCTTCCCCCATAATCTAGGAGACTTAATTAGATAAAGACAGGCATGGAGAGAATAGCATAGCATTTTCTTTCCAAGAAAAATGGTGGTGGTCCATTCAATATTAAGGAGCAGATTTCCCTTAAATGCACAAGTGGCCAAAAATGAGGGTGAAAATGGCATTTCTGAGCACTGTCCTCAAAATACTAGAAAACCACAGCAGCCTACCATGAACCTGGAGCTTGGATATTTTTTTCTTTTATTTAAAGTTTCACTTGCATTAAAAAAAAAGAATTCACCCAGTCAGGTAATGTCAATGACTTTCAAACTTTTAGCTGTGATAAAGTTTTCAAAATTGTTCAGGGAAATACTTTTGGAATTTAAATAGTAATCAAAATCTAGATTTTGGGTGGCCCTAATAAGTACTGATGATTAATTATGTTTTCAGTAGCAAGTCAAGACTCTTCTCAAGCATTTGGAAACTTATTTTGGTTTGGATTTATATTTTTATTGCCAAATTTGAGCTTCTCAGTACATATCTTTCTTTCTAGGAATACTGGAATCTGCTCACAAACTTGGAGTATCAGGTTTTGGTATATCTGACATTATGGTCACTGAATAGTTCTCACTGAATAGAGAGGCAAGAAATACGTTGTACCTCACCTAAGTAAAATAGCCTGACTCATAAAAGTACTATGTATGAAATGCACTGTTATGGGATATTGAGAATCAGAGGCCACCAAATAAACCTACCTTTATTGCTGCAGAAAAACACTAACCCTGCTAAGCCAGCACTAAAACTGCTGTAAATCAATACAGCATATTATCATAGCTATTTGAATTTAAAACAGTATTGACAGCACACACCACAGCACTTCTCACTAGCAGGGCTATCTATTATTGAAGAAGAGGAGAAAAGAGTTGTGGACCGGGAAAGGACCAATTTGCCTGCTAACTTCATAACAGGACACCAAAGCTATTAGTAAGGGTGCCCCTAGACTCTGCCTAAAGAGCTCAGAGAATAGAAACTTTCTCTTCCACATTTAATCCTTTAAGCTGAGTTACAATGCTACTACTGTGTGCTGTCTGGGAATGCTTACACAACACTAAGGAAATATCTGATGTCTTCGCCTTTGTAACTACTAGCTCTATTGCAGTTTTTTGAGTACACTGATATTCATGACATGGGCTCACATATTTGTTCTTTTAGGGAAGCATCATAATAGTCTAGCCTCCTCCTCTGTACAACCATATTATCCAATGTGCATATAAAAGTGCATATCAGAGTTGGCTACATAATTTGTGGAGGGCAGAGCAAAATAAAAATAAAGAAAACCTTATTCAAAAGGCAGATTTAAAGATGCAGTTAAAAATATTAAAACATAAAGACTTTTCTTTAAAAAGACATTTATTATTTATAAACTGTAATAGGAGTAATAGTGACATGAATATGACATAAAGTTACAAATTGCAAAAGCATGTTTATCATTTTATATAATACAATGAATAACAACAATTTATCAATGTGATATATGGATTGATCATAAGATTTTTCTGGCCCACTTTTTTGTAAATTTATCATTCAAATTAAATTTTTTAGCCTCATTTTCTTTTCTTTTTTTTTTTTTTTTCTTTGAGACAGAGTCTTGCTCTGTCGCCTAGGCTGGAGTGCAGTGGTGTGATATCGGCTCACTGCAACCTCCGCCTCCCGTGTTCAAGCAATTCTCCTGCCTCAGCCTCCCGAGTACCTGGGACTACAGGCGCACGCCACCACACCTGGCTAATTTTTTGTATTTTAGTAGAAATGAGGTTTCGCCACGTTGCCCAGGCTGGTCTCAAACTGCTGAGCTCAGGCAATGCGCCTGCCTCAGCCTCCCAAAGTGCTAGGATTACAGGCATGAGAGCTACCGCGCCCAGCTCATTTTCAATTGACATAATTGAAAGTGAAGTCAGCTGTTCTCCACAAATGCAAGACTGAAATTAAGTTTTGATGATTTTTAATTTTGAGAAGGCTCATTCTTCTGATACAACTGTTAGTAGAACTGGGAAGAGTATTTTATGGACTGTGACAACATTGGGATACATTTCTGATAACATTTAAAATATAAATTTCAGTACATCTGGAGTTGATTCCTTTGAAAGAATTCTTTAAAAAAGATTTAACTCTTGATGTAATGGGTTTTATAAAAGTTTGAATTAATTTTAAATGTACAATTTGTACCATGAAATGTTAATATTTGCTCTGATATTACCTATAACTTGTGGAGGCTGTACAAGAAACTGAATTTTCTATATGCCTACTGTTTTCTGCATACTTGCTCTAATTATAGAATAATAATTAAAAGGAGACTATTATTCTAATAATAATAACCTATTATTAGACCATGTAAGAATTAATGAGATAGGAGTGTTAATCGCCAACTAATAATTTTTTTTTTTTTGAGACAGAGTCTTGCACTGTCGCCCAGGCTGGAGTGCAGTGGCACGATCTTGGCTCACTGCAAGCTCTGCCTCCTGGGTTCACGCCATTCTCCTGCCTCAGCCTCCCGAGTAGCTGGGACTACAGACGCCTGCCACCACACCTGGCTAATTTTTTGTAATTTTGGTAGAGATGGCATTTCACCATGTTAGCCATGATGGTCTCGATCTCCTGACCAGGTGATCCACCCGCCTCTGCCTCCCAAAGTGCTGGGATTACAGGCATGAGCCATCACACCTGGCCTCATCATTTTAATAATATTTGGAGACTGGAGAGGATGCTAAAACAGTGCTTATTTTACCATCTTGTTTTATAGGTATTTCTTTTTGAAATATATACTTGAAAAATGAATAGGTTTTTTTCTTTGAAATCTCAATAACTAGACCTTCCATGAAAAAACTGTAGAAGTTTTTCATCTACTTTATTGAGTTTTTGGTCTATTCCTTCTTTGTATGAGTTTGTTATACATTCTATATACTAATATTTTCATATTTTCTTATTTGTATGTATTACAAATATCATTGTCCACATTGTAGCTTGTCTTTTCTTTCTTTTTTCTGTCTTTTTTTTTTTTTTTTTTTTTTGAGATGGAGTCTTGCTCTGTCGCCCAGGCTGGAGTGCAGTGATGCAATCTTGGCTCACTGGAACTTCTGCCTCCTGGGTTCAAGCGATTCTCCTGACTTAGCCTCCCAAATAGCTGGGATTATAGGTGCCCACCAACGCACTTGGCTAATTTTTGTATTTTTCGTAGAGACAGGGTTTCACCATGTTGGCCAGACTGGTCTAGAACTCCTGACCTCAACTGATCTGCCTAGACCTCCCAAAGTGCTGGAGTTACAGGCACGAGCCACCATACCCGGTCATAGCTTGTCTTTTCAATCACTTTATAGGATAGTTTGATTAACATAAATTCTTAATCTTAACTAACTCAATTTTTCAATATTTCTATCACGGCTTTTGATGGTTGCCTTTGTTTTTTCCTTAATGTGTGTGTGTTTTATTAAATTTTTCTTAAGGATTCTCTCTTCTTACCCACTGTCATACACCCAGAAGTATAGGGATAACAGAAGACCTGCACTTCTCACTTTCTATATTTTTGTTTTTCTCTAGGCTAAGCTCATTTAATCTGCCTGAGAGGCCTTCTGCTAAGTTTGTTGTCCAAACTCTACTTTCCTTTCAAGTTCCAGTTTAACTCCAAGTTGAAATTCTTTTCCTTCTCTTACGTCTTTATGATTATCCCAAATAACTTTGTCTATATCTATGGTAAGACCTTGTTTTGTCATTCATGTCTCTCATTTGGCTCTGACGTTTTTGTTGGTGGTGGTTTTGTTTTGTTTTAGGATGATGAATTTACCTGATTCTGCTTGGTCTTCACAGTATTTCGCACAGATTATAGACCCATATGGTATTCCTATTGAGTGATGCATAAATGAGGATTCATTTCACTTAGAATAATTCTTATTTTACAATATTTGAACTTCTGTATCTTCAGGTGATATCATTTTTCTGAGAGTATGTAATTTAAGACCATTGGGATCATAACAGATATTAATGTGCACTTCTTTATTCAAAAATATTTTTGACACTTAGAATGTGTGTGTATGTGTATGTGTTTTATTTTAGGCCCTGTTTGCTGAAATGTTGGGGCCAAACAACTTGATAGAGCCTATGATGTTCCTTTCAAGCTTTCTAAAGTTTCCACCAACCTCAGATGAAAATGTAACTGTGAGAAGTAAATTTAACAACATTGTTGTCTGCATATGTGTGCCAAAATGGAAGACAGAATCATGAAAAAGAAGCTTATTTTATAACCATGGTGGTGGCTCATGTTTGAGTAGTAATGGTAAGTATCAATTGGTGGAAAATTTATTTAATACAATTTTGATATTACTTTGACTACTCTTTTATCATAATCTACAAATTAAATATCATGTTCCTGCTTCCTAAGTTTATGAGTCAGGCTATTTTACTTAGGTGAGGTACAACGTATTTCTTGCCTCTCTATTCAGTGAGAACTATTCAGTGACCATAATGTCAGATATACCAAAACCTGATACTCCAAGTTTGTGAGCAGATTCCAGTATTCCTAGAAAGAAAGATATGTACTGAGAAGCAACATAAATTAATTGAATTTTTGAAATTTCAATCTAATATGTACTGAGAAGCTCAAATTTGGCAATAAAAATATAAATCCAAACCAAAATAAGTTTCCAAATGCTTGAGAAGAGTCTTGACTTGCTACTGAAAACATAATTAATCATCAGTACTTAATAAGTACTTTGAAATATTTTAATAGTTTTTTACCCTACCTAAGAGTTTCTGACCCTTCCATTCACTGACAGAACTTAGAAATTTCACAGATTTACCAAGCTCCTTTGTGAGCTTGCCAACATACTGTTGCATTGTGAGCTTGCCAACATACTGCTGGAAATGACTTATTTTTCCTTCACAGCTCAAATAAATAGTTCTTTTCCAAATATGCTTTTCTCGTGTCCCCAAATAGAGGTAGGAAAACTGCAGAGTTTCCATATACTAAAGTTAAATATTGGCTGGGTGTGATGGCTCATGTCTATAACCCCAGCACTTTGGGAGGCCAATGTGGAAGCATCACTTGAGGCCAGGAATTTGAGACCAATCTAGGCACAATAGTGAGACCCAGTCTATAAAATAAAGAAAAATAAACAATTGAATATTAAAGCATAGCTTGCTTTCTTTGAATTGTTTCATGCTTAACATTATAGGATTAAATAATGGGTTGTCTCTTCCTTTCAATTTTTTCTCCAACAATATTATTATCCTTTCCAAGATCAAAATGTACTCCAGGAAAAATGCTTCAGTTCTCATGTTTAATAAAGTAGCTAGTATTTTTTTTTTCATGTGGAATATTTCAATGAACAAGACAATAGATTAAATGTAGAAAGACTGTTCAAGGCTCAAGGTCCAGGGTGCTGGGAGTATGGCCTAGAAGGGAATGGACATGCCCCCTTGCTCTGCTAGTCCTACAGTGAAGCCAGCAATCAGAGGAAGACCAGACAGTCCTTTTAAGTGTAGGGGCTTGGGATGGAGGCCTCAATTGCCTAGATTTAAGGAGGGTTCTGATTGCCAGTGTTACAGGTTTGGGCTTAGAGAGTGCTGACGTGAAGCAACTTGCAAATGGTGAAGAGGGAGGGTACACTCTTAGGTGACTGAGAAGGGTTAGAGATCTATGTGAAGCCAAGAGAGGAGAATATCAGGAAAGAGGATGGACTTATTAATTTTCCTTTTTGCATATAAATGTTTTATAATTTTATACAACAGAACGTAAGATTTCAGTAATGTAAAATGAAAATGAAATGTTAACTTGAAAAACTATATAAACTTGCAAAAGTAATGAAATCAAGACAATCTTGTAGTATTAAATTTAAACATCATTTTAAACTCATATTTTCAAAATCTATCTTTTCTAGCTCTGCAAACTAAGATGGCTTAGTACCAATGAGTACATATAAAGCCAAGATTTTTTTCTCTAACATTTACCACTAAAGGAAACCATGACTCCTTGAAGAAATTATTTACTCTAGGATTCAGCTAGGAAAGATTTACATATGTATAAAAAAAGTTATGACAGTAAATATAGGAAGGTGTCAACATCAGTGAGCTTAGCAATGTAGGAATGTGATTTATTATTATTGTTAGGGTTCACCCAAGTGTACTGTTTCCCCCTCCCATAGACCTAAGCCCCAAAGGCCAAAAGTAAAACCTCCTACCCCAAACCCGCCTGTAACTGTCTGACCAGTTCCCGGATGCAGTCAAGACGTCTACCTTACACAACAGAACTGGCAAGAAAAACATCCCCAGGAAGCGGTCAGACACCTGGCACAAAGGACCCTACAACTCTTTTCTTTTTCCTTCACCTTGACCCAGTTCTACACCCTATAAAACCTTGCTATAGCCTGTAAGCGGGGCTGCCTCCTCTGCTTTTGTCAGGAGGTAGCCCGGCAGGACTGACAATAAATCAGCTTGCCTGAACTTAGGTCTATTGGCCTCATTCCTTTCTCGGCTGTCCTTCCAATTATCCCTTGTATCTTGGTGCCGAAACCCGGCAAGGTGGTAGAGCTCGGCCTCCCTTTCTCCCTCTCTCCTTTCCTCCCCGCTTCCCCCGGCCAAACTCCCCCTTCCAGAACGTGCTGGAGACCCAGAGGATTTCCTACTCCTTTCCATTGCTGGCAGACACATCCAACACCAGGGCCACCTCAGGGGTGAGTAAAGGAGACTTCTGCCTTCTGTCCGGAACCCTTGTCCACTCTTTCCTTCCCAAAAGATGCAGCACTGGGCCAAGAGTTTTCTCCTCCCAGCCTCCAGGCCCTTGGTATCTGCCTTTCACGGATGCTTGAATGGGGAATTATCGCACCTCTCCGACTCAGGGGACGCCTTCTCCTATCATTCTAGTCTCTGGCCACGTCTCTCATCTCCATCTGTTCCTCATTCATTCTATCATGGGAGCCTCTCAGTCCAGTCCCTCAAAGACATCTCCCCTCCGATGTCTCCTCCGGAATCTTAATGCCCTTGGCCTCCATTCCGAAATTCGACCACAAAGGCTCATCTTTCATTGTAACACAGCCTGGCCTCAGTATAAATTGGACAATGGCTCCCAGTGGCCTGAAAATGGCACATTCGATTTTAACATCCTCAGGGACCTAGACAACTTTTGCCATCGCAATGGAAAGTGGTCTGAAATCCCTTATGTTCAGGCCTTTTTTGCCCTCCATAGCTGCCCCTCCCTTTATCGGTCCTGTTTCACTTTCCAAATCCTCCTCGCCCGCTCCAAGCCAGGCTCACCCTCAGCTCCCCTTCCTTCTGGCGATTCCTCCTCCTTTGACCCTGCCGACGTCTCCCCCTGCCCCTCCCAGTCAACATAATAATGCTCCGCCCAATCACCACGACCCTCCGCCCTATGCTCCAGCTCCTGCCCTCCCTCTTCCCCCCCTCTCCAACCACCCAGCTTCTGACTCTGATTCATCCGCATCTCCACCTCATACTCCACCTCATACGCTCTCAAACTCAGCATGCCCAACAACCAGCCCCCATACTTCCCCTCCGAGAGGTGGCTGGAGCCGAAGACATCATTCGAGTCCACGTTCCCTTCTCCCTCTCTGACCTCTCCCAAATTGCAAAACGTCTCGGGTCGTTTTCCTCTGATCCCGACACTTATATCAAAGAATTTAAGTACCTTACCCAATCTTATGAACTCACTTGGCATGATCTCTACATTATCCTCTCTTCTACCCTCCTTCCAGAAAAGAAGGAAAGAGTGTGGCTTGCAGCACAGGCACATGCCAACGATCTTCATCGGCAAGACCCTACTAAGCCCATAGGGGCTGCTGCAGTTCCCCTGGAGGAACCCCCCTGGAAGTACCAACCCACAGACCCTGGCCGGGCATCTCGTAACCATATGATTACTTGCCTCATCGCAGGACTTAACAAAGCAGCCCATAAGGCCGTAAATTTTGAAAAGCTCAAAGAAATCTCCCAAAGAGCCGATGAAAATCCTGCTGAATTTCTTTCTCGTTTTACAGAGGCCCTCCAAAAATATACTCGTGTAGACCCCACCTCCCGGGAAGAAACTATCGTTCTTAATAACCATTTCATCTCTCAGTCTGCTCCTAACATACAGCACAAACTGAAAAAGGCCGAAGATGGCCCTCAAACTCCACAACAAGATCTCCTTAACCTGACTTTCAAAGTCTTCAATAACAGGGAGGAGCAGATTAAATTAGACAAGGCCCAAAGAGATTGTGCTAAATACCAGCTTCTGGCAGTGGCTATCCATCAACCTAGCCATAGTACCCAAGGGCACAAAAAACCCAATGGCAGTAACCCTCCTGGGCCTTGTTTTAAGTGCAGCAAAGAAGGTCACTGGGCGTGGGAATGTCCTAACCCAAGGACACCAAAAACTCCTTGCCCAGCCTGCCAACAGACCAGCCACTGGAAGTCTGATTGTCCTCTTAAAAACCAGGCTAACAGACCAACTCCTCAAAGCCCTGGCAAGGCAGAGAGTGAAAGATCACTCATCCTACCGCAGCTCCTTGGTCTGGCCACTGAAGAATGACAGAGCCCAGGGCCCCCGGTCCCATCTGCCATCACTGCTTTGGAGCCCAGGGTAACTCTGCCAGTAACAGGTAAGCTGATCTCCTTTTTAATTGATACCAGGGCCACCTACTTGGCTTTGCCTGAATTTTCAGGACCCATTCATCCCTCTCAGGTCTCTGTCATGGGGGTTGATGGATTCGTCTCTCATCCACACGCCACTGAGTCCCTTACTTGTTCCTTGTTTAATACTATTTTTTCACACTCCTTCCTTATCATGGCTCATTGTCCCACCCCCATTCTAGGCCGAGACCTTTTAGCTAAATTCAAAGATTCCATCACTTTCTCCTGTGTCTCTCAACCAGAGTCCTTTCTGCTCCTCTCTGCTAGTCCAGCCCCTGACCCTTCTCCCCACTACCCACTTCTCTCCTCTCTCATTAACCCAGTGGTGTGGGATACCACCACCTCTTCTATTGCAGGATCTGGCCAGCAGCCCACAATGCAACAGGGCTCTTTCTTTGTTCCCAGGCGGATTGGCATGTTGAGAAATAATAGACACACACAAGATAGTGAAAGCCAGGTCTAGGGGGGTCACCGCCTTCTGGTCCTGCAGTGCCAACAATGCACTGGATATACCAGCATTTATTATTAAGTTTAGTGAAGGTGGGGGTAGGTTACTGAGGGATTTAGGGGCATTTGATTATGAGATGAGATGGTCACATGGGGATGAAGTAATTCTTTAACATAACATCTGTATGCAGAAGTACAGTATACAGAGATAAGAATTTACAATATAGTGTGTGCATCAGTAATTCTTAACAGAGCCTTAAAACAGAAACATAGCCTTTCCATAACCTATGATTAGCCAGATATTAATCAGCAGTAACAGTTGCAGCAAAAGCTGGTTACAAACAATCCATAGAAACAGGACGTAAAGGTAGACAACCGGTTAGACCAGATATTCTCAGAAGGGAGTATGCCTTAACCCTAAAGAGGCCTAGAAGAGCTGTGGCAAGATGAGGGCAGTTATAGCCCTATCTTACCATATGGACAGGTGCCCCTCATGCATCCGTTTATAGGCTCTCCACAAGGCTCACATTCCATTCCCAGAGCTATGAACATCTGCTTTTCTGGAATAGGATTCTTGGTGATGTGAAACCTCCCTGACTGCAAGTCCGTTCATAGGCTTTCTGCATGGGGAAGCACATCACGCACTATTGGCTCATTCTGGCAGTCCAACCTGGCATTGTCTTTACACAATCCTGAATGCAATTTTGTATTTACAATAATCAGGGGCATTTCGTCTTTTATTCCATAGCAATAGTTTCAGGGGGTCTCCCTACACTCTTCCATAGCTGCACACCATAACCCCATCAAAATCCAGTTAAAGGACCCCTCCAAATTTCCTAACGTTCCCCAATACCCTATCTCCCTAACCCACCAAAAGGTCCTCCAACCCATTATAAACAAGCTGTACTCATGTGATCTTCTTAGACCAACACATTCTCCATATAACACCCCCTTCCTCCCTGTTAGAAAATCTGACAGCTCATACCGACTCGTTCAGGACCTCTGAGCCATCAATCAGGCTGTACTCCCTATTTACCCCTTGGTCCCTAACCCCTGTACACTTCTCTCCCTCATCCCTTCCAACACCACCCACTATACAGCAATCGACCTACAGGATGCTTTCTTCACCATTCCCTTACACTCTAATTCCCAAGACCTCTTCACCTTCACCTGGACAGATCCTGACACTCTTCAGTCACAACTCACATGGACTGTCCTCCCTCAAGGCTTCAGATACAGCCCTCACATCTTTGGACAAGCTCTAGCCCAAGACCACACCACCTTAAACCCCTCCCCCAGCTGCCTCCTCCAATACATTGATGACCTCCTTCTTTGCAGCCCCTCCCTAGAGGACTCCAAACTCACACCATCACCCTACTAAACTCTCTTTCTAGCAAAAGATATAGGGTCTCCCCCTCCAAAGCCCAACTATCTGCCCCAACAGTAACATACTTAGGAGTCCAACTCTCCCCTGGGGCCCAAGCCATGACCCCAGCACAAGCAACCTTAATAAACAGCTTGCCTCTGCCTTCCTCAAAAAATGAAATTCTCTCTTTCTTAAGACTAGAAGGTTTCTTTAGAATATGGATTCCCAACTTTGCCCTCCTGGCTCAACCCCTCTACGAAGCAGCCAAAGGCCCCCTCAATGAACCCCTAAGCCCCATACACAACATACTTCCCAGTTTCTGTAAACTCCAAACTGCTCTCATCACTGCACCTGCCCTGTCCTTACCCGACCTCTCCCAACCCTTTGTTCTCTATACCACCAAAAATCAAGGAATAGCTCTTGGGGTCTTAGGGCAACAAAAGGGAAATCCTCCTTCCTTTGACCCTGTAGCATATCTCTGTAAACAACTAGACAACACTGTCAAAGGGCAGCCAACCTGTCTTAAAGCATCATCAGCAGTGGCCGTTTTGCCTCTGGAAAGCAAAAAACTAACATTTGGCCAAAGCACCACCATTCACAGCCCTCACAACTTACAGGATCTCCTCTCCTCCTGGGCATTAAGCTCCCTCTCTCCTTCCCAAATTCAGTCGCTCTACGCCCTCTTTATCAAAAATCCTGAATTCAGCCTTGCCAAAAGTGCCCCCCTCAACCTGGCATCCCTACTTCCCATATCCTCTTCCCCTCCTACTCATTCTTGCACTGACATTCTGGATCACTTGCAGCCACAATTCCCTAACATCTCCTCCAAGCCTCTCACTAATCCAGATGACCAACTATTTATAGATGACTCCTCTTCCAGAGCCCCCGGCTCTCCCAAAATTGTTGGGTATGCAGTAGTTACCTTAAACCATGTAATTGAGGCTAAACCCCTACCCCCAGAAACCTCCTCCCAGAAAGCAGAACTCAGCTCTCACAAGAGCCCTAACCCTCTCCAAGGACAAACAGGTCAACATATACACAGACTCCAAGTATGCCTACCACATTCTTCATTCTCATGCCGCCATCTGGTAAGAGAAAAAATTCCTTACTGCCAAAGGAACCCTCATTACTAATGGCCCCCTTATTTACCAACTCCTTCAGGCTGCACACCTCCCAACTGAAGCAGGAGTCATACACTGTCGAGGACAGTAAGCAGGTTCAGATGAAATCTCAAGAGGAAATAGGCTGATGAGCACCGAAACAGGCCTCTCTTTCTCCTATCCCTGCCCCCATCCTCCTTGTCACCCCAGCAGTCCAACCCAGATACTCTCCCACCAAAAACTCTTCACTACTACAGCAAGGAGCCTCCCTTCAAGGGGACTGGATAATCAAAAACCAAAAGCTCATTCTTCCCCAAGAGCAAACCAAGGAAATTCCAACATCTCTTCACCAATCCTTCCATATCAGTGGGCGCCCCCTGTACCTACTCCTTCACCCTTATTTCTCCTCCCCCCATCTATTCACCTCACTAAAGGACATAACCTCAAACTGTCATATATGCTCTGTTACTTCCTCCCAAGGGGCCCTCCGCCCTCTCCTCATCCCTACACATCAGCTCAGAGGAACACTCCCAGGGGAGGACTGGCAAGTAGACTTCACCCACATGCCTCCTGTCAAAAAAACTAAATATTTTCTTACTCTCATAGACACTTTTTCAGGTTGGGTAGAAGCATTTCCTACCCCTTCAGAAAAATCTCTCAAATTCTCATAACAAAAATCATCCCTAGATTTGGTCTCCCTTGTTCCATACAATCAGATAATGGGCCTAGCTTCATCTCCCAAATTACCCAACAAGTCTCTCAATCCCTTGGTGTTCAGTGGTGCCTCCATATCCCATACCAGCCCCAGTCATCTGGAAAAGTCCAAAGGGCAAATGGAATTCTCAAAACTCAGTTAACCAAACTCACACTTGAGGTTAAAAAACCTTAGACCTCCATTTTACCCATAGCACTGGCTCATATCAGAGCCAGTCCAAAGGCCCCCTCCTTCCTCAGTCCATTCGACTTAATGTATGGATGCCCTTTCCTCTTACAAAACAGACCCCCTCCTGAGTATCAATTAGAATACCTCCCAACACTCTCCCTCATCCATCATCTCCTCTGCGAACAAGCTGACCAGGCCCCCACAAAACCCCACCAAGGCACCACTGACCAAACACTCCTTCCAGGAGAATATGTCTTCCTAAAAATCAACAAGTCTCATGCCAAAGTGCGAAATCCCTTTCCAAGTCCTTCTCGCTACCTCCACTGCAGCCAAACTTTGAGAACACAAGTCTTGGTACCATCTTTCCAGGTTAAAAAGAGCACCTGCAGCTGACCCATCACCAACTAACCAACCAGCTGTTCCCTGCAAATACTCCAGCACTCTTCTCAGACCAATTCGACTCCGCCTAACGCCCATGCCTGAAGACCCCACTCTTCCCTCATGAACCATAGCAGATAAGTTATCACCCCTTACCATTAAGTATCCAAACCCTTATTAATGGAAATCATCCATTACGCTGCCCTTGCAGGAATCACCCTACTTACTCTACTCTTTGCCATAGGAATATATACTGTCTTGCCTCCTGGGTGGAATTTCAGACAAAAAAAACTCAATATTCGTAACCTCTTGCCTCATAATCCTCCTCATAGCAGGTATAATAGCCACCACCAACAGATAGTGGCCCCTCCTAAATGTCCTGTCTTTGCCCATCCTGGCATTTCACACTCTTCCTTCACTGCATCACAGAAAACCTTTCATGGTCCTACCCAGAACATCCCACCCTCACAGCATTCCTTGATTGGATCACCAATCTTATATTTCAAGGGGATTTACAGGAATTCACTCCAGATGAAGCCGAATTCTTTACCTTTACACTTGCTCTCTGTCTATTTACTCCTTCTTCCCTCCTCCTTCTCGCTACCGCTCCACCTACAGCGCACCATTCCACAGGCACATATGATACTCAGTCAAACTAACCCCTCCCTGGCCAAGGCCTGCTGGTACACCCCTCAGAAACCGTATCAAAAGATGTCTTCCCAGCTCCCCTCAAAGACTGGGTTCTCAGCAATATGACCCTCCACCCCCGCTACCAAAGTTTTGGAGAAGTAAATGCACTCAAAAGTTACAAACTCAATCTTACCACACATACTGCAGAACACAAGGTTATCTTAGGAACACTTACCCCAGACTCAGAACTCAGTCAACCAGCATCCCTATGCATAAAGCGTGAACTTTCCAAAGGAGTGCCCCTAGGCACCCTCTCCTCTAGCTTATGCAACTGTACCCTAACACTCACTCCCCCGACAGGCATCCAAACAATAACAGAAAAAAACCCCACACAAACTCTCAAAATCTCCAACCCCCGTCAGACCCAAGTCACGGGAGAAACATCAGGATTCTGCAATAACTGACACAGGCCCTGCATAGAAATCGCAGGGTGGAACACTTGCCTAAACCCCGTCCCCACTTCCCAATGCATGGAAATCCCACTGCCTAACACACCCTCAAACAAACTACTTATTGACACAAAACGCTTCTTATGGACTCAGCCTGGGTGACAGAGGAAGATTCTGTATCAAAAAATATATATATATACACACACACATATATATGTATATATATGTGTGTGTGTATATATATAATTTGTTTTTTCCATGATAAGCTATTTTAAAACAAAGATTCTGAATTCTGTATGTTTTCTATGGATAATTTTGTTAGAGTTAAAGAATTTGTTCCCGAGTTATTACTCAATACATGCTGTTTATTGGAATACAGATAACAGCATGATCATTGACAAACTTTGCCCTAGTTTCCTATTACTCATTAAACCTTGAAGTTGCACTTAACATGACTGTATCTGGATAACAGATAAAATTTTGGCCTTATTATGCCAACCCTTAAACTAAGTGAGCAACTCTGTTTTCAAAGCTTTTGGGTGGAGCTGAAGCACACTGCTTATTAAAGTACACTATTCAGGCATATCATGTAGGTTTACTTTCTGTGTTTCTAGAGACCAAGAAGCGGGACGTTCACCATGGGAAGAAAATCGCTGTACCTTCTGATTGTGGGGATCCTCATAGCATATTATATTTATACGCCTCTCCCAGATAACGTTGAGGAGCCATGGAGAATGATGTGGATAAACGCACATCTGAAAACTATACAAAATTTGGTAAGTTTGGAATTTTATGAATTCAGATGTGCATACACCACCATTTGACCCAGAGAATTAAGTTTTTCAAGATTCTATTCTTTTGATTTATTGACTTATTCATCTTTTAAAATAACTGCTGTGGCCTTTGACAATGTGTTACTTAGAAATGTTGTTTGTTTTCTGTCTTATGTATTGGAATCATGTTAAAAAAATATCAAGAACAGCAAGCAAGGAGTCATTTGAATAGGTTTTGCTAAAAAGTACTTTGTTTAGGTAGCTTTAATATCACGATAGTGGCTCTCCTTTGAAATTCTTATCTTAGGTATGGTTTGTTCCTTAAATTTTATACTCAAATTAGAGATCATCTGATTATGCAGCACTGTGTTAGTTACAGATTTTTATGCACTTATCTTTGGGATTCAGAATATAGACTAAGGACACGTAAATAAGTTCTCAAGAAAAGATTCAATGGGCAGGCTGGTTGGCACATGCCTAGGGTTAACCACGAGACGGCACAATATGCACAAATGAGAGGGGGAGGGAGACCTGGGTGTCCTGGCAACTGGGCAGCTTGGATGCTGGCAAATTAAAAAGGTGTAGCTCTCTCTGGATCCTTGATGATATTTTACTATTACTTCTTTGGTTATTTTATTATCTTCATTAAAACAAATCTCTTTTCAGAACTTAAACCAGATAAATGTTGTAACTCCTGGATTAATCTTTTATTTTGCATTTATTCAACAATTCAACTGTCTCAAATCCTATTAGGCAAACAAGTAGTCTATCCCCACACAGTTGACATTCTAGTGGTGGAGAAAAAAATAAATTAGAATTAAATGAATAAATGATTTTAGTTCATGAGAAGTACCTTTAAGGAGGTAAGATGGAAGAAAAGAGAGTAATTTGGGCAGAAGGCAAGAGTGGGCTACTGTATGCATGGTGAGAAAAAGCCATTCTGAAGAGGAAACAGCTACTTAGGGACCAGAAGAATGAAAAGAAACCAACCATTCTAAGTGCTAAGAAAAATGTTTTCCAGCAGAGACACCAACAAGTAAAAACACCCCAGCTACAGAATATTGACAAGTCCAAGAAATCATATGAAACATTTGGGTTTAATGGGGAAATTGTTGCAATTAGTTTGGAGAGGTTAGAAGCCATATCATACAGTGCTTTGTGGGCACTGGTAGTAAGTTTTGATTTAATTCTGTATGTGATGCAGAGCTATTAAAGAGCTTTAAGAAAGGGACACATTTTTTTCCCTCATATTTGCTGTCTGTGCTACAATATGTGAGAGGTCTTTGATTTTTTTCTTGGAGTCTTTATATTAATTTTTATTTATTTAAGCAATTATATATATATTCTTCTCTGGTAGCCTTTTAATTAATTAATTCATTCATTTACTTACATTCTGTCCACAATTTATGAAAGTAATGTATTTTCAGAGCTCTCAGTCGATATACCTTTTAAAAGTTGTTTTAATGCCCTTTCTTATTCCTGAATTATCTGCTTGTTTGTTTGCTTGCTTTTTTGTGATCGTTTATGCTCCTGGTTTGTCCCTTTTTTCCTGATTAGTTTTGCTGGCTTCTCTGAAATGTCTGGCAATCTTTGAGTGTTCATACCCTTTATTAAAGGATTATGTTATGAACATTACATCAAGAATCAAACTACTGGATTGAGAATCCTGGTAAATATCATTTACTAGTTGTGTAGGCATGGACGACATATTTAACCTTCCTGGGCTCACTTTCCTCATATCTGACATGGATAAGAAAATGTTATCTTCCTCCCATATAAGCAAGTTGTTAATATTACTGAGATGACTACAATAGAGTGCTCAGAACACTGACTCATTCTACAGTGAAAGGATGGGCTGCAGGCAGGCAAGCTGCCCTCCCTTTTTCTCCCACTCATTCCTTCCCTCCCAACCCTGACTCCCAGCTCCCATGTGCAACCAGCTCCATAGCCACACCTCACTGCACCTCCCTATTTCTAAACTAAACCAGTTCCTCGACCTGCCAGGGTTTTTCCTTTTCTTATTTGGTTAGCAAAAGACTTAGGAAAAGGTATTTATTTCAAGCCTCAGACAAAATTGCTTTTCCAGTTTCTACTCCCAAGTAGCTTTTTGTAATCACCTGCTGTTCGCTCCCAAAGTACTTTGTACAGAGCTCTGTAATAGTATTTACATTGTTTTGTAACCATTTATTTGTCTTTCACACTTAACTCTGAGATTCTTGAGAAGAGCATTTGTCTGGTTCATCTCTGAAACCGTAAAGCTTGGTAGAGAGCCTGACACATTTTAGTGACATAGGAACTAAATTAGTAGCAGGGGTCACAATAAAACTTCATCTTTGCCCTCTGAAAGTTGCTGAAAGTCAACTGACAGGTCTGGTTAATAGAAGAAAAAGGCATATACATTTTTAGCATACATAATAGACTTACAAAATATAAAATCTCAAAGAAATGGCCAGATGGTTGACACTTTTTTTTTACTATCTTGAGGTTACAGAAAGAATGGTGGCTTGGCCAAAAAATGATATGGTGGCAAGACAGGTTATGGGAAGGAGAGAAGAGGAGACATGGTTAGCAAAAGTGGTCTTGTTATATAGATGGATCCTCACAGGTAGCAGCCCTCAGAGAGAACAGATGGTAAAAATTTCTTTCAGACTTTTAAAGGTGTCAGATTCTCAGTTGATTTTTCCTAGATCTGGACAAATGAAGGCTCTCAGAAGCCATCAATGCAGATTTTCTCTACAGATGCAAATCACCTCCACAAAAGAAAAGCTTTCCAGCTAATCTTGTATTTCCAGCCCTTCTGAAAAGCTACCTTGCATTATGTCAAGGAGATATATTTTGGGATGAAATATTTTTATTTCCTTCACAGTGTATTCCCTCTTTTTTAAGAACCACCCTAGGCATAACCTTTGCATTTCTGGTTTCTTTTAAAAGGACCAAGCAGGATTCATGCATGAAAATTTAGTTCATTCCATTTGAGTTTATTAAGGGTTAATGTCTACCTATAAGTCCATAGATCTCTTTGCCATTTGATACTTGAATTTCAGGAGGTTTGTGAATTTCATTTTTAGGCTACATTTGTGGAGCTCCTGGGACTTCACCATTTTATGGATTCCTTTAAGGTTGTCGGGAGCTTTGATGAAGTCCCACCAACCTCAGATGAAAATGTCACTGTGACTGAGACAAAATTCAACAACATTCTTGTTCGGGTATATGTGCCAAAGAGAAAGTCTGAAGCACTAAGAAGGGGGTTGTTTTACATCCATGGTGGAGGCTGGTGCGTGGGAAGTGCTGGTAAGTGAATGCTTTGAAAAATCTCTGTCACTGAGGTAGTTCGCAGACATTTTACTAAGTCTTCAGTAGGTACACATGCCCTTCGGCATGGACATTACTGCCTCTTTTATCTTCTCGTGCTTTGTTCTGGCAAAGTTTTACTTTTCCCTGAAGCTTTATATCACTCTTTTCCACATATGCATTTCCTCATCAACCCAGGTAGAGGTGAGAAGAAACTTTTTTTTTCTATTTATCACAATTACTCTAAGAAAGCCTTGTTATTTCTATCATTCTCCACTTGATATTACAGAACCATTTAATGTTTTCATCCATTTACTCATATTTACTATATGTCTGGTAATATTTTTATATCTTTGAATATATTTTTGAATTGACAAAATTTCCTCACGCCTGTAATCCCAGCACTTTGGGAGGCCAAGGCGGGTGGATAACTTGAGGTCAGGAGTTTGAGACCAGCCTGGCCAACATGGTGAAACCCTGTATCTACTAAAACAATACAAAAATTAGCCGGGTGTGGTGGCGGGCACACATTATCCCAGCTACTCGGGGGGCTGAGGCAGGATAATCACTTGAACCCAGGAGGCGGAGGTCGCAGTGAGCCAAGATTGCACCGTTGCACTCCAGCCTGGGCAACAGAGCAAGACTCTGCCTCAAAAAAAAAAAAAAAGAAAAAAATCCTGTCTTCCTGTATTCTTGGATCTTACATTCTAATGGAGACAATCTTTGATCGATAAATAAGTAAATAATACAGTGTGTTTTAAAGTGATAAATGTAGGAAATAATAGGCCAGAATGTTAGAAGAAAAACCTTAGACAAATTAAATTTAACAGAGTTTAATTGAGCAAAGAACTACTTGTGGATCAGGCACCCTCCTGAACCAGAATAGGTTCAGAGAGTCACCAGCGCTGCCTCCTGGTCGAAGAAGAGTTATAGGTAGAAAAAGGAAAGTGACATTCAGAAAACAGAAGTGAGGCACAGAAATAGGCGGATTGGTTACAGCTCAGCGTTTGCCTTATTTGAAACTGGTTCCACAAGTTGGTTACCTTTGGCTGAAACTCAGTGATTGGGACAAGAGTAGATTACACATCCAATTAAGTTACAACTCACTGTGTATCAAGAAACCTTTAAAATATGCAAAGAGGCAGCTTTAGGCTAAACTTAGTTTATTTGGCAAGAGTAATCAAGATTGGGTGTGAAGGTTGTATATTTCTTGATGTATAGAATTACAGCAGAAAGACAAAAACATTTAGAAGTGGAAGCACTGGGATAAAAGTCCCAATTATGTGAGAAAATCACCTAACCCACCTGAGTCCTAGGGCTCTTGAGATTCATCTGTTTACCTCCAATGAATACAGTATAGATTAACTGGAGGAGTGAAGATTGGACTGGACCTACTAAGTTAAGAACTCTGAACTCTAGAGAGGAAGAATAAATTAGTCCTGAAAAGAAAAGGTTACAGGCTTGAAATTAAGCAAATTTGTCCATTGATGTGGGAAGTTAGAGGAGAAAAAGACAGAAGATTAAAAAAATAGATCTGAATGAGTGCCTCATTTCTGACAGGATGACTGGGAGGGTGAGAACAGATTTCTGGGGAATGCAAACAAAATTGTTGGGTGAAGGAATAAGCAGACAGCAAAGCACTGAGGTGGTCAAAAATGTCAGAAAATGAAAAGAAAGCCGAAGAAGGTGAGAACCTCAAGAAAGAGGAAATAATAGAAGTCCTGCATCGTGTAGAGATGTCAAGTAAGTAGGATGGAAGTATGTCTCTTGGATGTTGAACTTTCTATGTTAATATTGTTGAGGAGAGACTTGCTGACATGATGGGATATTCACAGAGAAACACATTACAGCAAGCAAAAAGTGAGAGGGAAGAAAATAAAATGGTTAGAATAATTGCTGGCCTTAAAAGGACTTAGTTGTGAAATAAATAAGCAAGAAAATTATAGATTGAAATGAGAGTTAAGTAGGAGAATTTTCTTTTATTTTTGTGCAGGAGAAATATAAACAAGTTGGTAGACTGAAATAAATGAAGGCAATAAGTAGAAATATGTTAGCCAAGTAATGGGCTGGGAGTGTTGACTGATAGATACACATCCCAGAGGAAATGAAAGGGAAGAAGATTTAGAGCACTAGTAAAATAATTGGATATAGATAGGAAGGTTGGAAATGGAAAAAAAGAGCATTACGTCTTCCTCTTAGACAAGAGAAAAAGAGGCAAAGAGAGGCCTCAGCTAGATACATTCTTAAAGTAGTAGTACAGATGCAAGCAGTAAGTTCCAGTGTTTGTTTAAGGGGACCTAGTTCTATTCCACTTATATTCAGGTGCCTTTTCTATTGTCCCATGCAGACTTAGGTGATCCTTCTATATTGCAACAATTCTGTCTATATCTCCTTGGCTCACATATCTGACAACGTATTGATCAAGTTAGCGACTTGTCTTTTTATCTTTGTATACCCATCATCTAAAACAGAGCCAAATCAGTACCTCCTTCCAGTATACACAGTTGGGTTAATCTAGAGAATGAGTCTGACACAGAAGGATCAATGGCAAAATGTGCAAGACAAAAGATAAAAGGGAGGAAGAGCATTAGGAGGTTCACTGGGAAACTTGAATTCCACTGAGTCATGAATGGATGGCTTCTTATAAATACAGTGTTAAATTTGTCTCTCGTATTTTAAGGTAAAATAGAACTGCCAGAACGTGAAAGAAGTGCAGCAGGATTTTTGTGAAGGAAACAGCCTTGTCTTCATTTGTCTGTTTTACTAATATGTTGCTTTTATCCTTTTATTTCAGCTCTAAGTGGTTATGACTTGCTGTCAAGATGGACAGCAGACAGACTTGATGCTGTCGTCGTATCAACCAAGTAAGAGCTGTGCTGTTTGGTTTCCTGGCCAGATGTCTGACATGCCAAGATTTTCTCAGCTTTCTTTTTTTTTTTTTTTTTTTGTGATGGAGTCTCACCCTGTCACCCAGGCTGGAGTGCAGTGGCAGGATCTCGGCTCCCTGCAACCTCCTCCTCCCGGGTTCAAGTGATTCTCATACCTCAGCCTCCCGAGTAGCTGGGATTACAGGCACGAGTCACCACACCCGGCTAATTTTTTTATTTTCGGTAGAGATGGGGTTTCACCATGTTGGTCAGGCGTGTCTTAAACTCCTGACCTCAGATGATCCACCCTCCTTGGCTTCCCAAAGTGCTGGGATTACAGGCGTGAGCCACCGCGCTCAGCCGATTCTCTCAGCTTTCTCAGCCAATGCATGATCATGCCAAAAATAAATGTTTCTCAGATGACACTAAGTAGGCAACTGCAAGTGAGTGCTAGGCTTAACCTGATTAGAGTTGAGAAAAAAAAATCTGTATATGTGTGTACACGTGTTATTTTGGCAAAAAGAAACAGCAAAAAGTAAAAATTTTTTTCACATAAATTCAAACTGTATCATTTATGGATATAATTACCTGGACGGTATTTCCTTTCAACCCTTAATTCCCAGTCTTTAAAAATGAGTGCCCTGGAGTCACAGGATCATCTATAAAAGTGCATCATAAATAATTTCCATCTCAGATGGTCACTGTGAAGAGTAAGTGATAACATCCTTGAAACAGAGTCCAGCGTATATAGCACTTGGTGAGCCTAAAATGTAGGCTATATAATTTTAAATATTTAAAATATAGCGTATAGTTTAGGCTCAACAAGTGTTATACACTGCGCTAAGTATATTAAAAATGTATTATCAAATTAAACAAAATAGATGAGTTCATATAAAATTATGTTAGATAAATAATCCACCTATGGAAAGAGCACTTAGGGACAGCAAAATTAGGGGCGGATTGCTGGGTAGACTCATGCCAGAGCAGTATATATTTAAATTGAAATTTCAGAGAGTAAATGAACAGTTAAAAAAATAACATACTCATCACCATTTGTCAAGTTAAATCATTATTATAAAGTTGGGACATAATCTTGATCAATATTTGGTTGTATGTGATCACTCATAAATATAGTGGCTAGAATAATATTTTGTAAAATGCAATTAGAAAATCCAAGCTTATGCTGTTTTGCATTCCAACTTTATACTTAAAGAGAATTTTCTTAAACATGGCAAGTCAAATTATAGTATAAGACCGACATCTGTGTTTAATTCATTGCAATGACTAATAAATCACTAGTACATGAAAGATAAAATATACTTTAAAATATTTATGCAAATATATGCCTTGCCTTCAAATATTCTCATTTTATTTATATTAAAGATGAAGAACTCCAGTATTCAAAGATAGATAATTTTGGTTATATTTAAATTAAAATGGCCAATAAGCATCTTTCATGTACTTGAAAGATAAAATATACTTTAAAATATTTATGCAAATATATGCTTTGCCTTCAAATAATCTCATTTTATTTATATTAAAGATGAAGAACTCCAATATTAAAAGATAGATAATTTTGGTTATATTTAAATTAAAATGACCAATAAGCACATGAAAAGATGCTCAATATCATTAGTCATTAGAGAAATGCAAATCAAAACCACAATGAAATACCACTTCACACCCACTAGGATGGGTATAATATATATATTTAAAAAGATAATAACAAGCGTTAGTGGGGACATGGAAAAATCAGAATCCTCTATACTGCTGGTGGGAATAAACACTTCGGCAGCTCCTTAAAAGTTCAAACAGAGTTACCATATTGACCCAGTATTTCCATTTCTAGGTGTATACACAAGAGAAATGAAAACATGCCCATATAAAAACTTGTATGTTCACAGAAGCAGTATTCATAAACCTTAAAAGTGGAAGCAACCCAATGTTCATTAACTGATAAATGGATGAATAAAATGTGGTATATCTATACAATTGAATATTTGAAATTCAATTGAATATTTAAATAAAATGTGGCATATCTATACACATATTCAGTTGTGTAAATATACCACATTTTATTCATCCATTTATCAGTTAATTATTCATTTGTTAATAAAAGGACCACTACAGTATGGACAAATTTTGAAAATATTATGCTAGATGAAACAAGCCAGTCATAAATGGAAAGTTTTGTGATTCCATTTATATAAAATGTCCAAAATAGGGCAAATGCATAGAGATAGAATGTAGATTAATGGTTGCCTATGATTGGGTTTGGAGGATGGGGAGAAATGAGAAGTGACTACTAATGGGTATAGGATTTCCTTTTGGCATGAGGAAAATCTTCCAAAATTGATTGTGGCAATGGTTGCACAACTCTGAATATATTGAAAATCACTGAATTGCATACTTATAATGTGTTAATTTTATGGGTTATGAATATCTCGGTAAAATGGTTATATTAAAAATTAAGGGCATACTTTTAATGTGTTAATTTTATAGGTTATGAATATCTCAGTAAAATGGTTATATTAAAAATTCAGGCTGGGTGCAGTGGCTCATGCCTGTAATCCCAGCACTTTGGGAGGCCGAGGCAGGTGGATCATGAGATCAGGAGTTTGAGACCAGCCTGGCCAACGTGGTGAAACTCCATCTCTACTAAAAATACAAAAATTAGCCGGGTGTGGTGGTGGGCACCTGTAATCCCAGCTACGCGGGAGGCTGAGGCAGGAGAATTGCTTGAACCTGGGAGTGGGAGGTTGCGGTGAGCCGAGATTGTGCCACTGGACTCCAGCCTGGGCAACAGAACTAGACTCTGTCTCCCCGCAAAAAAAAAAAATTAAGAAATTATGTTCATCAAAAGACATTAATAGAAGTCTTAAAGTTTGTGTGTGTATATATATGTGGGTATAGACATATGTATACTATAAAAGTTTTTAAATACATATATACATTTTCAAATCCAAAATATAAAAACACCTACCAATTAATAGAAGTATAGGCGAAAGACTCAGAAAGACAATTTACAGAAAAGGATATTGAAATCATCAAACAATATATGAAAATGTACTGTATACATCAGGAAAATACAAATTAAGACTATTATAAGATACCTGCATATACTCGAGATTATAGATAAAATGAGAAAGACATAAGATACCAAGTGTTGGTAAGGTTTTGAATCAACAGCACTTCCATAAGCTCTAGTTTGAGAATAACTTGGTAAACTACTTAGCAAAACTCTTTGACATTATTAAGTAAAGCTAAGCATATATGCATACCTCTGTTATTATCAATAGCACAGGTATGTATCAACAGGAACACAGCCATAGGGCCCCAAAAAACATGTACTAGAATATTCATAGCAGCACTGTTTGTGCCCAAGACTGCAAGCAGCCTAAATCCCCATAACATTTTTTTACTTGGAAAAATATTTATTTAGTATTTATTGTTTGTTTAATTATTTATAAGAACATTTAATATGTGATCTACCCTCTTAGTGAATTTTTAAATTTGCATTATTTTTGACTGTAGGTACAATGTTGTACAGCAGATCTGTGGAGCTTATTCAACTTGTTTGACTGAAACTTTATGCCAGCTGATCAGTAACTCCCCATTTCCTCCTCCCCACAGCCCTTGCAACCATCTTTTCACTCTGATTCTATGAATTTGACTATTTTAGACACCTTATATAAGTGGAAACATACAGTATTTGTTCTTCCATGAGTGGCTTATTTCACTTAGCCCATCAACATGTTAATGGGTAAATGATTTGTGGTATATTCAAACAATAGAGTACTATACAGGAAGACAGAAGCAATGTGAATGAGGCTCAAAAACATAATGTTGAACAATTGAAACCAGATACATAGGAGTATATGCTATATGATTTTATTTATTTAAAGGCCAAAACTAGGCAAAATTAATTTATGCTGTTATGTCAAATTAGTGGATACGTCAGGAATTAAAGAGAGTAAACAAAAGGTTTCTGGGATGCGGGCAATGTTATATTTCATGATCTGAGTGCTGGTTATATGGCTGTGTTTAGTTTGAAAATTAAAGAAATTATATACTTATGTGCACCTCCAGCATGTATTAGGTTGGTGCAAAAGTTATTGCGGTTTTGTCATTACTTTTGCACCAATAATATATTACAGTCTAATCAAAACAAACAAAAAAATGTGTAAACTATGTTTTCTCTCTACAGCTACAGATTAGCACCTAAGTATCATTTCCCAATTCAATTTGAAGATGTATATAATGCCTTAAGGTGGTTCTTACGTAAAAAAGTTCTTGCAAAATATGGTGTGAACCCTGAGAGAATCGGTATTTCTGGAGATAGTGCAGGAGGGAATTTAGCTGCAGCAGTGACTCAACAGGTATGTTCATAATTTCTATGCTTTTTAAAAATAGCGTTTCTACGCTGTTTTAAAAACATATTTATAAACATATTGAATGCATGTATTAAAATATGAATGCAAATAGGAGATATTGATTTTTTGAAACTATTAAAGAGAATATTGAGAAGAAATGACTAAAACATTATAATATCAATCCCTGCTTCTGTCATAGATTTTTTTTTCTTCCTTAAGGGAATGTTAATTCTTTGGATAAATCATTCATTTAAAATTATAGCCTGCATGTGGTAGCTCAGCACTGCAATCCCAGCGCTCTGGGAGGCCAAGGCAAAGGGATCACTTGAGACCAGGAGTTTGATAGCAGCTTGGGAAACACAGTGAGACCCTGTCTCTACAAAAAAAAAAAAAGAAAAAAGAAAAATTAGCCTGGCATAATAGTGTAAGTTTGTAGTCCTAGCTACCTAGGAGGCTGAGGAGGCTGAGGCAGAAGGATCTCTTAAGCCCAGGAGTTCAAGGTTACAGTAAGGTGTAATCGTGCCACTGTACTCCAGCCTGGGTGACAGAATAAGGCCCTGTCTCTTAAAAGCATAAAAAATAAAATAATATGTGTCAGTAAAATATTATATTAAGTAGGTGAATGAGATCATGTAATTGTGAGACTAATGACCCTATTACGCTATTAGAGATTCAGACGAATTCATATAATCTTCGATGGTGTATTCCTTTATTACCATAATAATCATCCTATTTTAAGAAAATTATCAACACATTCAAAGATTCCCATGCTACTTACAAAGAAGAAATATGAAGAATTCAAAAGATTTTTGTATGTAGATGTAAAATCAGATCTTTTTATCTGTCATTTAATAATGGCAATATAATAATAATAATAATAACAAATGGCATTTTTGTCCCAGATTATATGTAGAATAGATTTTGTTTTTATGATGAAGGAGAAACACTGCTATTGATTGTTTAAACATCTAAACTCTTTTCTCATGTAGTAGTCGCAAAGGAACTATTTTCCCATGGAGTAGCAGTCAGGAGAAGAAGCTACCTAAGATCTTCTCTCTAATGTTAATTCTTTGGATAAATCATTCATTTAAAATTATAGGCTGCATCTGGTAGCTCAGAACTGCAATCCCAGCACTCTGGGATTATGTAGAAGTTAAGTAGAACATATGTAGAAGGTTAGATTTTTATTAGTTGACTTTAGTTACAAACGAGGGTTCTACAGCAATTTTAAAACATTGCTGTTATTTGTTTTGTTAATTATATTTATTTATAATTTTTCACACTAAAAGCATTTTGACTGCTAGAATCTGTTGGACAATATTCTCAAAAGTAAAGAATCATAGTTGCACTTTGTTTCAACCACAATATAGAACAAGTATTTGAAACTTCACAGATAGATTTCTAATCATTATTATGGATTTCATAATGTAGCAGCAAAAGCATTAGACTGGACATCAGGAAACTTGGAGATGCAGTAATTTCTAGATTTGATATTGGCTTAATCTCCCTAAATAAACATTCATTTCCTCACCTGTAAGAAAAATGAACTCTTTCAACTTTAAAGAGTTGTTTGAGAGTCATATGAATAAATTTATATAAAAATACCTGGCAACTTGTAACAATCTTTACAAATAGGCTCCACAATGGTCTATTTTGATAATTATAGTTAAAATGTGGATAAATACTACAATTTGCAAAATATTTGGGGTTACATCTAATAATATCTGTACTTTTATTTAGAAGTTCTATACATCTTTTATAGTATATTACACACTTCAAAAACACAAAATTATTTTTTAACCTATATGTTTTCACAATTTAAAACATATTTTGTAATATTTCATTCTTATAAGTCTCCTTTTTTCCTCCCTGGTATTGGTATATCCCTCTTTACAGACCACTGATTATTACAAATATTAGCACAACAGACTTGATATAAAAGATGATGTTAATAGACCATTTCACACAGAAGTCTTGCCCAAATCTCCTAAAGTAACATGTCGCTTTAGCATCAAAGCCATGTCAGAAACCTCTATTAAGTGATCCTTCTTCTTCATGGCAAAGCTTATTGATATACTGGTATATTTTAATAATATATTTTTTTGAGACAGTGTGTCACTCTGTCTCCCAGGCTGGAGTGCAGTGGTGTTTTCTCAGCTCACTGCAACCTCCACCTCATGGGTTCAAGCAATTCTTGTGTCTTAGCCTCCTGAGTAGCTTCAATGACAGGTGTGCGTTACCATACCTGGCTAATTTTTGTATTTTTAGTCAAGACGGGTTTTTGCCATGTTAGCCAGCTGGTCTCAAACTCCTGACCTCAAGCAATCCACACTTCAGCCTTGCAAAGTTCTGGGATTACAGGAATGAGCCACCATACCAGGCCTATTTTAATAAACTCTTACATGAACAGAAGATAATATTTATGCAATTCTTCTGGTTATCATTCCTAGCAGAAAGGAGATTAACTTTCTAATGATCACTTAGATCTTTTTGCATTATCCATAAAGCATATATGACAGATGATTTTCCTTAAGTTGAAAATATTGATGAACATCTAGTTCTAGAAACC
Source organism: Homo sapiens (assembly GCF_000001405.40). Lineage (NCBI taxonomy): Eukaryota > Metazoa > Chordata > Mammalia > Primates > Hominidae > Homo > Homo sapiens. The sequence continues at coordinate 151,827,398 of NC_000003.12, forward strand.
CATTTTGAATGTTAGAAAGTTTGCTGTGGTGGTATGTTTCATTTATTACTTAAGTCTTTTTGAGATCATGAATAGATAGATAGATAAAAACAAGATAGATAGACAGATAGATAATCTTATTAGGGATATTTTATTGTTTTAAATGAAAATGATTTGTGCAAATCATCTTGCTTCTCAGCTCCTTGATGACCCAGATGTCAAGATCAAACTCAAGATCCAGTCTTTAATTTATCCTGCCCTTCAGCCTCTTGATGTAGATTTACCGTCATATCAAGAAAATTCAAATTTTCTATTTCTATCCAAATCACTCATGGTCAGATTCTGGAGTGAATATTTTACCACTGATAGATCACTTGAAAAAGCCATGCTTTCCAGACAACATGTACCTGTGGAATCAAGTCATCTCTTCAAATTTGTTAATTGGAGTTCCCTGCTCCCTGAGAGGTTTATAAAAGGACATGTTTATAACAATCCAAATTATGGCAGTTCTGAGCTGGCTAAAAAATATCCAGGGTTCCTAGATGTGAGGGCAGCCCCTTTGTTGGCTGATGACAACAAATTACGTGGCTTACCCCTGACCTATGTCATCACCTGTCAATATGATCTCTTAAGAGATGATGGACTCATGTATGTCACCCGACTTCGCAACACTGGGGTTCAGGTGACTCATAACCATGTTGAGGATGGATTCCATGGAGCATTTTCATTTCTGGGACTTAAAATTAGTCACAGACTTATAAATCAGTATATTGAGTGGCTAAAGGAAAATCTATAGTAAAACATGTAGCTATAACATATTTTAAAAATAAAATCTGAAAACCTCAGAAAATTTGCATTAGAAATTGGTCTTTCTTAGAATGGTCTAGTTAAGTTCCACATGTAGCATAATTCTTAAATAGGCACTTTTCTGTTTTTTTTTTCTTACTGTGGGATTTCATTTCAATTTTCTACATTGTCTATCTGCTTTTTCTGAGATTTTCCTTCTTACACTGTTAATCTTATTTTAAAAAATATTACATTCTTGTATACTTTATTTTTGTGAGTTGGCTACTATTTACGATGCAAGAGAATAAATGTGAGCAAATATTGCCTGTCTGAGTAATGTCAAGATTTTATTCAATGTTCATTTATAACGTGAAACATCCCTAATCACAGATATGAATTAAGTGCCAATTCTTTTCAAAAGCAGTTGCCTCAGTGAAATGTCAATTTATTACCACTGTAAATTTCTTTATGAAACACTTTTAGAATTCAGATACCAAGTGTTAAACTAACCAATGCTAAAAAAAAAAAAAAATCACTGTGGTACTTTGGGGAATTAGCTGCTTTTTATTTGAGGAAAGGTAGAGAAACTGAAGTTTAGTAAAGACAGAAGAAATATTTGGGATGAACACTGACCTAACAGCCAAAGACTACAGATGTGGAAGTCACTGACCAATGATAGAAAAATCAGAGAAAATTTTAATCTCTGAAAAGCCCATCCCAATATTGCAGGGAGAAAAATAAAATGGAATATCTTTAAGGCTGAGCAGAATTACTTGTATTAACTATGAACTATGTAGTGTATTCTAATTATAAAGAAGCCCAACTACAGGCAGTCTTCAGATGGCGCAGAAGCTCCACACCGTTATCAGGGACTAAAGCTTTTTCTATCTTTGTACTCACTGATATGGTTTGACTGTGTCCCCACCCCAATCTCATCTTGAATTGTAACTCCCACAATTCCCATGTGTCATGGGAGGAACCCAGTGGGAGGTAATTGAATTATGGGGGTGACTCTTTCCCATGCTGTTCTCATGATAGTGAATAAGTCTCACAAGAGCTAACGGTTTTAAAAATGAGAGTTTCCCTGCACAAGCTCTCTGTCTCTTTGCCTGCCGCTATCTATGCAAGACATAACCTGCTCCTCCTTGCCTTCCACCATGATTGTGAGGCCTCCCTAGCCATGTGGAACTGTAAGTCCATTAAACCCCTTTTGCTTCCCAGTCTCAGGTATGTCTTTATCAGCAGCATGAAAACAGACTAATATACTCACCATCCTCAGTGTCTGTTTGTGTGTGCATACTTATAATTGTATTTTTGAGTACCGTCTAAATATTATATCTAGGCAGAGAAGGGATATGGCAGAAGAGCTGTATTTGAGGTAATTTTATTTTATCAGGAAAACAGTAGTAATCTCAGAAGATCCAACAAAGAGACTTCTTATATTTCATTTTCTAGGACGGTGTCACAAGGAATTTTGCAAAATAGAATTTTAGTAGTTGGGCAAATTGCACATTCTTATTTTAAGAAATAAGGCAATACCCTAGCCAGAGCAATCAGACAAGAGGAAGAAATAAAGGGCATCCAAATCAGTAAAGAGGAAGTCAAACTGTCACAGTTTGCCAGTGATATGATTATATGATTATATACCTAGAAAACCCTAAAGACTCATCAGATCATAGATCTGATAAATGAATTCAGTAAAGTTTCAGAATACAAAATAAAAGTACACAAATCAGTAGCTCTGCTATACACCAACAGTGACCAAGCTGAGAATCAAATCAAGAACTCAACCCCTTTTACAACAGTTGCAAAAAAATAAAATTAAATGAGATACTTAGGAATATACCTAACCAAGTAGGTGAAAGATCTCTACAAGGAAAACTACAAAACACTACTGAAAGAAATCATAGATGACACAAACAAATGGAAATACATCCCATTCTCATGGATAGGTAGAATCAGTATTGTGAAAATGACCATACTGCCAAAAGCAATCTATAAATTCAATGCAATTCCCATCAAAATACCATCATTATTCTTCACAGAACTAGAAAAAAAATTCTAAAATTCATGTGGAGCTGAAAAAGAGCCCACATAGCCAAAGCAAGACTAAGCAGAACACAAACAAACAAACAAACAAACAAAAAACAAATCTGGAGGCATCACATAACCTGACTTCAAACTATACTACAAGGCTATAGTTACCAAAACAGCATGGTACGGGTATAAAAACAGGCATGTAGACCAATGGAACAGAATAGAGAACCAAGAAATGAAGCCAAATACTTACAGCCAACAAAGCAAACAAAAACATAAAGTGGGGAAAAGACAACCTATTCAACAAATGATGCTGGGATAACTGGCAAGCCACATGGAGAAGAATGAAACTGGATCCTTATCTCTCATCTTACACAAAAATCAACTCAAGATGAATCAAAGACTTAAATCTAAGACCTGAAACCATAAAAATTCTAGAAGATAACGTTGGAAAAAACATCTTCTACCTATTGGCTTAGGCAAAGTGTTCATGATGAAGAACCCAAAAGCCAATGCAACAAAAACAAAAATAAATAGGTGGGACTTAATTAAGCTAACACACTTCTGCACAGCACAGCAAATGAAATAATCAGCAGAGTTAACAGACAACCCACAGAGTGGGAGAAAATCCTTGCAAATTATGCATCCAGCAAAGGACTAATATCCAGAATCCACAAGGAACTCAAACAAATCAGCAAGAAAAAAATAATCCAATCAAAAAATGGGCTAAGGACATGAATAGACAATTCTCAATAGAAGATATACAAGTGTCCAAGAAACATGAAAAAATGCTCAGCATCACTAATTATCAGAGAATGCGAATCAAACCACAATGCAATACCACCTTACTCCTGCAAGAAGGCCATAATTTAAAAATCAAAAAATAATAGATGTTGGCATGGATGTGGACAAAAGTGTAAAAGAAAACACTTTTACACTGTGGTGGAAATGTAAAGTAATACAACCACTATGGAAAACAGTACGGAACTTTCTTAAAGAACTAAAAGTAGAACTACCATTTGATCCAGTAATCCTGCTACTGGGTATCTTCCCAAAGGGAAAAGAAGTCATTATATGAAAAAGACACTTGCACACGCATGTTTACAGCAGCACAATTTGCAATTGCAAAAATATGGAATCAGCCTAAATGCCCATTAACCAACAAGTGGACAAAGAAAATGTTACACACACACACACACACACACACACACACACACCATGGAATACTACCCAGCCATAAAAAGAAATGAAATAATGGAATTTTCAGAAACCTGGATGGGTTTGGGGACCATCACTGTAAGTGAAATAACTCAGGAGTGGAAAACAAAATATCATATGTTCTCACTTATAAGTCAGAGCTGAGTCATGAGGACACAAAGGCATAAGAATGATATAATGAACACAGGGGACTTGGGGGGAAAGTTGAGAGGGCGGTGAGGGATAAAATACTACACACTGGGACAGTGTACACTGCTCAGGTGATGAGTGCAACAAAATCTCAGAAATTACCACTAAAGAACTTATCCATCTAACCAAATACCACCTGTTGCCCCAAAACTTTTAAAATAATGAAAAATGAAAAAAAAAAGTCCAGGGGATAAAAGTTGGAAAAAGATAAAAGCACTTAATCTGTAAAACAGGCAGAAAATAAAGAAAGAAAAGAAAAGAAAAGGAAAGGAAAGAAACCAATAATATAGGCAACTAGTAGAATATGCCACACATATCTACAGCAGGAATTTGTTAAAAAGCAATTGTGGAATGATGATTTTCTGAGTAAATAAGGAGAGTTGTAGGTTAATATTAAAGGTAATGAATAGAAACATAAGTTGGATTATGGTCCCAAATTGACCGTTTCTGTACCATGTACAAATAAAAAATGTGTTGGCTGCTTTGAAATAATCTCTAGAACTCATCCATGCCTGGCGTGTGCTATTGTTTTATCTGATCCTTCTTCAAGGGTAGAAAGCAGTGACACTAACATGGATACTAACAAGCAAACACCTTCTTGGCCAGAAAGTGGGGTTTTTAACTGTTATCTGTGATATTTGTACATTAAGCAAATATTTTCTTTGACACTTTGATATTCTGCTTTTTGTCCTAAAGGCAAAAAGCAGACAGGAGAAGCAGGTCAGAGTGTCAGCCTACTGAGATCTATGAAATTAACATTCTGAAAGTTGGAACTTTATCTTCATAAAGGTGATAATGTTTTTAGATTAGTTTAATTTTTAGTAAAATTGAGTGGCAGTGATACAATTTCAAAACAGGGGGATTACTTTGGGAGAAAATCCAAAAATTCCAATGATCTGGCAATTCTATTTCAGGTGTTTTTCTCAAAACAAATTGAAACATAGGTCTACAAGACAGACTGGTACACGTAAGTGTATTCTGGCTTTATTAGTATCAGCAAAAAATTGGGGGGGGGGTGGAATTCTCCAACATTTTCTATTTTCCTCCTCTTCAACTTCTAACAACTGAAATTTAGTACTTACTTGAGGACGCTGCTTTCTCTATATTCCTTACATCACAAGGGCTAGGAGTGAGGTACGGATTTGCCTTACTGCTCCTTGAAGAACATTCCTTCTACCGCCAGTTTTGTTCAGGGGTTAGCAACCCACAGCCTACTGGCCAAATTCAACCTCTTGCCTGTTTTTGAACAACTCTAAGCTAAAAATGGTTTATACATTATAAAGCACTGTGGAAAAAATAAGAAAAATAAGAAGCAGTGATGGTAGCAGTGGAGGAGGAGGAACAGGAGGAGCAACAGCAGGAGCAAGAAGAGCAGGAGGAGGGAGGAACAGGAGCAGGAAACAAAGACTATATGTGACTGGCAAAGCCTAAAATATTTATTATCTGACCCTTTACAGAAAAAGCTTGCAATAGACCTTACCACCACTATCAGTCCTTTTTGTAGTCAACTCCTGAGCCCTGTGTTACTCTCCCTCATATCTTAAAAGATTTTGAGCTCACTGACAATATCTCACAATTACATTGGTAATCTCAGTATTTATCTAGATGATCCGTCGAGCTACCTAGAATCCCAGCTGTTTGGAATTCTCTCCCCTAATAATCTTGTTCTTTTAGTGGATAAAAAACTCTCATGGTCAATCCTAGAATGTGTTATGATCAATTACTGTGCCTACTCTATAATATCAATACCAAACATTCCAGTTCACTCCAGTTGGGTCTCTAATTTTAATAACATTTAAGAAATAATAGAAGTTAAAATTCATTGACTATATCCAACACTTCACTCTTCCTCATTGCCCTAATGTAATTTTTTCTCTTCCTTACCCAGAATATGTTCTGTGGTCAGTTAGAGCAATGCCTCCCTTGCATAAGCCATCAACCATCAACCCCCGTGGATCTCTACTAATGTACTTGTTTATCAAAACTCCAACCTTGAAGACATTCACCTACTGCCTACTCTTCACATGTACCTATGCAGTTACACATGGTTGGAGAAAACCAAAAAAGTGCTGAAATTTCCCACTTAAATGAAGTCTGTAAACCTCGATTATGCCTTTAATAATGCCTAGCAATCATACTATAATTTTCCAGTCCCTTGAGACTTCTGTTCCTAACTCTCATCAGGTCTCCAATACCTCCTCTGCCATCTTTTATCACAGCTGATAACTGTGCTTCCTATTTCACCGAGGACACAGAAACAATTGAAGAAAATTTCCACAAGTTCTCACCCTATATCAACCTCTATCGTCTATTTCACCTTTTATTACTATAGATGAACTAAGCGTTTGTGCTTCTGTGTAAGGATTGTTCCTCTCAATATGTGCACACGTAAATGACTCTTGATTTTGATGTTTCTTCAAATTTGTTGTGTATTAAGAATCATCTCAAAGGGTTCTTTTAACAAATGAATTTTGAGATACCACTACCCAGAATTTTCCTTCATCAAGAAGCCCTTAGATGATTCCAAAAAAAGAACATTTGAAATAAAACCAATCTGGTGACAGAGAAAGATAAATATATTAACCACTTCAATTGATAGAAATAAGAATTTTGTTCTTCAGACTGGAAAGAAGGAAGGAAGCATACTGCCAAGAAAACCTTGACACTTGCCCTGAATTTGGAGGAACAAACAGGAGTCCCCAGTGAAGAGGATAGCTATGGGAAAGCATTTGCAACAGGAGAAACAATGCTTTGGAGATCCTGGAGGCAGTAAACCACATAGTTCACTTCATCCTTTGACATCTTTCCTAGAGAGTAGAAGGCAGGGAAGCTGGCTGGAGAAGTGAAGTTCTGAGGAGCCTGGGCTGCTGAGCCAAATACACTGAAGGTTGCTCTGATTGATGCAGTACGTGATATGATCTTTAGGAGAACAGTGTGGTAGGTGGACTGCAGAGACACTAAATGGAAACAGAATGAGGCCCTGGCTATACCTGCAGTGATTGTGTGGCCTGAGAAGCTGCAAAAAAACTAGGGGAGTGTCTCTGAGGAATTTGCAGGGACATAAGAATTTCAAGAGGAAGGGGGTAATTGGTTCTGTCAATGCTAAAAATAAGATGTGAAAAAGTGTCAGATAGTCTCCTAAAAACCTGTGGCTCATGCAGTTACTTTCTGTAACTTCCTTTTTCCTTCCCCAACCTTAAAATATAAGGGTGAAGTCAAGTCATTCCTTTATGACATAGGGCAGTGGTCTCATATTACTATCACACGAGAGTTTTAAAACATCATTTGCTGAAGCCACACCTTGAGCTATTATTATGTCTCAATCTCTGAAGGTATGGCCTAAGCATCAGTATTTTTTTGAAGCTCTTCACAAGATTTCAATGTACAGGAAGATCAAGAAACACTGACTTAGAGAGTGAGGAACATTTCTTTTCATGTACAGAGTTCCAACACCATTTAAGTGTTTCAATTTCCCAGTAGTAATATTTATCACCCACCAATAATATTCATCAGACTTTACTTTAGGAAATATATATCTTAGAAAATCCTACAGATAGATAGATAGATAGATAGATAGATAGATAGATAGACAGATAGATACAGATATACACATACATATATGTATATATGTATATATCATAGAACTAAATGAATATATAAATACGTGTGTGCACACATTTAGTTTTCACAATTTCATTAGGTAAACAATATATGTAGTATATATAAAAATATACATATATTTTTTGACATATATAAAATATATATATAAGTATACATATATATATATATATATATATATATATTTTTTTTTTTTTTTTTTTTTTTTTTTTTTTTTTGAGATGGAGTCTCACTCTGTTGCCCAGGCTGGAGTGCAGTGGCGCGATCTCGGCTCACTGTAACCTCCGCCTCCCGGGTTCAAGAGATTCTCCTGCCTCCGCTTCTGGAGCAGCTGGGATCACAGGCACCCACCACCACACCCGTCTAATTTTTGTATTTTTTAGTAGAGACGGGGTTTCGCCATGTTGGCCAGGCTGGTCTTGAACTCCTGACCTCAGGTGATCCGCCCTCCTCAGCCTCCCCAAGTGCTGGGATTACAGGCGTGAGCCACCGCTCCCGGCTGACAACAATATTAATAGGTATTTTGCAGAGAAGGAAAAGGAAGAAATTGAATTTACATGGGTTTCCAAGGTCCCATGGCTAATAAGTGGCAGAGCTGGAAGCCAACCCCCATAGGCCAGTTTCAAAGGCTTTGCCATCAATTGCTTAAGGATTTTGGAGACTACTTTTTGCTTTCTTAGAAAGGGTGGTAGGAAAACAAGGGAATCTGAATCATACAAATACCAGATTAAGTATAAAACCACTAACTAGGTAACCTCAGGAAAATCTCAAGATTCCTGAGACTGCCGCAAAGATCCACAGCTCTGTTGTTAATAGTGTGCAACGTGGATAATCAAGAGTTAATTATGCTTAGTTTCTTTACCATATAAACAAATCAATACCACTTCTGATGTACCTCAATAGTGGAAAAAGCATTTAACATTCTGCAATGAATCACTGCAAATTGGTATGTTGCTTTGGCCCTAAGTGTATGTGTTGGGGAGCGGCAGGAGGGAATTTGAGCTGCACAAATACCCAGTAAACCAAAAAGGTGCTCAGGCATTTAGAAACTCACCAGGTGCCAGAGGGGGCATGACACGCAGGATCCAGGAGAAGATTTTGATTTCCTCTGTGCTCTGAGCTCTTTAACCTGGACCTGAGGAATATCTGCCCAGCAACCCGTCAAAAGGAAGCAGTGGGAAAAAAAGCACACAGCTGTGGCTGGTGACCATTTTAACCTCAAAAAAACCACAGCTGCTGGTTGTTACCAAATGCCAAAAAATCACTAAACCTTGTTGATTGTTTCATGTAACTTATGTCTAGCCTTCTAGCCTTTAAAATTTTTCATTTACAGGAGGAGCAGTATTGAAAATAAATAAAATTAAATTAAAAAATAAAATAAAATAAACTTTTCATAGCTTTCCCGGAGTTTTTCAAGTTTATTTTATATTATATTATTGTTAAACGGGGTCTAATCTTGGTACCAGTACTTTAAATTATTCTCTTAGAATAAATATTCACAATTTCTTTCTCTTGATGCCAAAAAGAGATTAATTAGGGCTGGAATTATTTCCAATGGCATTTCAAAAATTCTTAGCTCCTCCTCTCCCTAGGCTTGAGCATTGTTATAAAATTAAAAATAGCCCATTTTGGAAAGTCCAAGATTCTTTAAAACTGAAGTCTCTTATAAAAAATCAAGAGGAGGCTGAGAGGAGGCTTCTCTCTCATTTGCCAATTTCTTTAAAACAAGAGGCACCGTTGTCAGTACTTTTAAAGTGCTGAAAAAGACTACAAGCCTGCAAAAGAAGGCTGAGTGTTTCATTCTAGAGCTGTTTTTTCTTAGTGAACATCCATTGACTTCATTTGGAGGTTGTATCTGAGTGAGCCCTCTTTCTTACAAGTAAAGTAAAACACCAGTCAGCTGAACTCTTTATCAAACATACTCTTCATTTATCTCTTGATGACACAATGTCACTCTTCCCTTTCAAGCTGAGCCTTCAGATTCTCCAAAGGTTTCGACCTCCCACAAAGTCTTCACGAGGTGACTCGCTCTTCAAGGAGCCCTGCTATTATGCCATATGGTGTTATGACTCAGCAAACCTGCAGTCCCTTCTACTTCCGAGACCTGGAAAGACATGTTCTAACTGCTTCTGGATGAACCAGGCATACCAGTATTAGTTCATGCCATCCAAAAAGAAACTTCATGTTCTTTTTAACTCTAAATTACTAAAGCTAAAAGTTACAGTCTTCTGATCTTCAAGAGTTCCCAGAATTATGCTCTCTGGTGATTAAACTCCCTTCCCTAAAAAGTGGCTCATCCTAATAGTGCAATGTTCACTATGTGTCAGCTTTAAAATTCTATGCCTGTAAAATACTCGAAGTTTAGAGAATGCATCTTTTTTCAAACGCTTCTTAACTTTCTGAGGGTGAGGACCAATTTAACAGGATTACATGTAAATTGGCCTTTCAGCTATGACCATTTCAAATCTTGGAAAATTTTTCTCCTGCATACGCTTTATCCTTAAGTAAAGATACATAGTATCTATTTAGAGATCTAATCACAACTTTATAACCTTTAAAATATTTATTCTATAAATTAAATACCAAATATGAACATATAGCGTGTACACATATGCATATATGTACATATGTATGTGTGTGTATATATAGGTATACACATATACATAAAATCTCAAACAAAGAAATTGTCAATAAGATTAAACTGTGGCTCCCTGGAGTATACGAGAAGTTATATACATGAGCTAGAACTCAATCAGTAATTTGGAATTGAAGATTGGCTTAGGAAATAAGAAACTTCATACTTTATACTAATTTAAGTAAAACACTTTGCTTGAATATATTTAAGTATATAGACTGTTAGATGAATTCTATTTTTAATCTAATTAAATTAGAAGTAACATGCATTAGTATATTAGCTAAATCTCATTTATTTACAGTGAATCGAAGTTGGACATATTCCTTGAAAATATTTTGAAAATTATTTTAATGATTAAGAATCAATTAAAAAGAGATTTTACTTTATTTGCTAAAGAATGACTTTCAATAGTTTAGTCTCAAAATTGTTACACATGATTACCAGTGTGAAATATATGAGCAAAGATAAAAATAATACCTCCCTGCCAAAAACAGCTCCTGTTAGAAAATATTTTATTAACTAATCAAATAATCTTCTGGTAAATACAGAGAGATGTTTAAAGGTTGCAATCGAATTACAAGGACACAATAAAACTAAAGGAAATGCAAGAATGCCAGAACCGTTTATTAATAAAATACTGATTTATACAATTGATATTAAAAATGACAGTTATTTTGTCGTTTTCTTTTGAAAATAAGCAAATTATGCCTGTAATCTCAGCACTTTGGGAAGCCGAGGTGGGCGGATCACGAGGTCAGGAGATGGAGACCATCCTGGCTAACATGGTGAAATCCTATCTCTACTAAAAATACAAAAAATTAGCCAGGCATGATGGAACGCGCCTGTAGTCCAGACTACTCGGGAGGCTGAGGCAGGAGAATCACTTGAACCCAGGAGGTGGAGGTGGCACTGAGCAGAGATTGCGCCGAGATTGCGCCACTGCACCTCAGCCTGGGCAACAGAGCGAGACTCTGTCTCAAAATAAACAAACAAACAAACAAACTATTATTTAAAAATTAATGTAAAATAATGGATTAGAAATTATTACAATTTACTTCTTCAGCTTAATCATGTATGATTTCCGTACAGTTTTCACTTAGAAGACAATAAGAGAGAAGATGCGTATCGTCAAATGAGTTTAGATTTTTAAGTGCTCAATTTTCCAATACAGTGCAAAGAAACTGAAATTGCTTTCGGTCAGAAGAAAATAAGATAAAATTCAGTAAAAAGGAAATAAAGCCAAATGCATTCAGTTGGAACGGAACTCCGCCAGTTAGTGACTACAGCGTAAGGATTGTTTTCTTTCATACGTTCTTAGTCTGCCCCCTTGTGGGCTCCAGAAAGCTGTTACCCAGCATAAGCTAACGTGATAAAGTTAGATATCCAATAAAATCATGTTTTAATAATTCCTTTAATGTGGTTTAGAAAAATGTCTAAACTTGCTTTAGTTTATCAAACAAAAGCATTTAAAATTATAAATAAATATCTCAAAACTTACACCTCTAAATAAATTGAAAGAAGATATTTCCTTTAATTCCTAAAATTCTTTTTAAGAATGAAATTACCCATCCTGGGCAACATAGCGAGAGTCTGTCTCTAAAACAATTAGCCAGGGATGGTGCCATAGTCCCAGCCTCTCAGCAGGCTGAGATGGCAGGATCCTTTGAGCCAAGGAGTTTCAAGTTTCAGTGAACTGCCATCATTATGCCACTGTGCTCCAGCCTGGGCTGAGAGAGGGAGGCTCCATCTCTCAAAAGAAAAGAAAAAGAAAATAAATTACTATATAAGCCTCATAGAAATTGGAACTATAAAGCAATTGTCAAAAAATGCTATCTGAAACAATCTAGCTGAGGTGGGTTTTTTTTGCATTTATTTAATGTTCCATGTATAGAATGGAAAGCATTTATGACTTCTTTGTAAAAATAAACTGCATTACTATTATTGGAGAGACGAAGAGGCACATTAACTACATTATCTTCTTGTAATTGAAAATTGCTCCGATGGAGATACTGCAAGTTTGAAGATCTGAACTTCATTGCCGATGTCATTGTCATTCCTTGATTTGCCTAAACTTAAAATTTCAACATTTGTAGATTAAAAGGTATCCTGTGATAACCATCTCCTGGCATATTTTATAACTAATAGATAAATATTGTTGATGTCTTTTAAATTAAATTCTTAAATTTTTAGTATTTAAATAGGCAATCACTAGGTAACTATAATCAATATGCTTGATTTTGTTTTTTATTACATATTCCATATGTTTCATTTTATCTTCTACATTACACACAGTCCTTCCATGAATTCAGGCATATGTTGTTTTTTCATTTTTGGCAGTACAATACACTTTTGGCTTTCCATGTTTAATTGGATGAGTAGATTCTTACAAAAAATAAGACAAAGAATAAACACTAATATTTCGATTAATTATAATACCATTTTCTCAAGTAGTGTTCCAGGATTCAGTATGACCATAACCTTTAAGTAAAGTTCAATACATTGTTTCAAGATAGAAAGCAAAGTAAAACCAGGTGGTACAAACTAAGTTACATGCTCATACAGGCCCACGCGCATGTGTGCACACACACACACATACACACACACTCACAATTTTCTTACCAACACATCTCTCTGTAACTCTTTGGTGATCCTGGACAAGGTTCCCACGCCTCTTTGGATTTAGTTTTCTCGCCTATGAAATGGTACTATATCAGCTGGTCAATATTTTTTTGAACTGAGGTCTACAGATCTGCTTATGTGTCCACAAGTGGTCCAGTAGAATTTTAAAGTACAGTTTTCCCTCAGTATCTCTAGGGAATTGATTCCAGGACCTCTCACAAATACCAAAATCCATTGATGCTCAAGTTCCTGTTATAAAATGGCATAGTATTTGCAAATACCAAAATCTATTGATGCTCAAGTTCCTGTTATAAAATGGCATAGTATTTGCATATAATCTAAGCAAATCCTCCTCTATAGATTATATGCAAATCCTCCTCTATTCAGTCATGAATCACTTAACCATAGGGATACATTCTGAGAAATGTTGTTAAGCAATTTTTTTGTTGCGTGAATTTCATAGAATGTACTTACACAAACCTAGATGATATAGCCGACTATACACCTAGGCTATATGGTACAGCCCTATCACTTCTAGGCTGCAAACCTGTACAGCATGTTAGGGTACTAAATACCACAGGCAATTGGAATACAACTGTATTAGTGTATCTAAACATATTTAAACATAGCAAAGGCAATGCCATGCACTATAATGTTAAAATGGCTGTGATATCACTAGACAGTAGAAAATTTTCAGCTTCATTAGAATGTTATGGGGCCACCATTGTATATGTGGTCTAAAACATCAATATGTAGCACATAACTGTACTTTAAATAAGCTCTAGGTTACTTATAATACCTCATCCAATGTAAATGATATGTAAATAGTTATTATACCATGTTGTTTAAGGAATATGACAAGAAAAAATGTCTGCATATGTTTAGTGCAGATGCGATTCAAAAAAATGTATTTTTGATCCAGGATTGGTTGAATCCACAGATGTATAACTCATGACTATGAAGGGATGACTGTGCTTTGTTTTTATAATTATGGTAATATAAACACATACACAAATTGTGGATCATTTAGATGACCACTTTATAACTGGGCACAGCCATGAAACCAAAACCTAAAGTCGAGGTTTTGAATTTTTAAAATTGAAAAATCTTTGTAGTCCTCATAGGTACTCTTGATAGTCCACAAGTGCCCAAATTTGAGAAACGTTTCTCAAATTCCTTTCAGCATTTAATATTGATTTAAAAATGTGATGCTCACTTGCTTTAAATGAAGCTACCAGCAGAAAGCAGCACACTGAAAAAAAAAAAGACAAAATTGCTTTTCCTCTATTAGGTTTGTGTGCTCAACTCCTATAAGCATCTTGAAAGAAGTAGAGCGATTTAGACGATAATGCATTTGACGTCTAAACCCAAGCAGTAACAGTGTTTGTGAAGGAAAACCTCCAGGAAGAGCTTGCTAAAATTTCTAACAAAATGATGTTAATCTATAGTGCTCTTTGTCAGCATGTAACAGAAGAGATGTCATAAACTCCGAGAGAAAAGAAAAGTCAAAACATTAAAAGGATTCGTGACATCAATGATACAGAAGCAAAGAATGTTAAACATTTCAAGGAAATACACTCCACAAACACAAAAGTCGCTCCCTTGTGGTTTCAAAATAATTGAACCTATGCAAAAATGAAGTTATTAATGAATGGACTGAACATTATTAAGAGCAATTTATCAAAAGAAAGATAGATTGCTGATCAGTTGCAGAATGAACATACTCCAAACGTAAAGATGGTTCAGAGTATTTGGACTAATCAATTGTAATAACTCAAAGCAGAAGGAAATAGATGGCAAGTAGAAAGACTAATATCTGTTGAGCTTCTAATGTGTGTTTATTTTAATCAAATAATTACTAAGATCATCTACTAATAACAATCATGGGTTCAAACTCTGTCTCTGCTAACAAATAGTTCAAAGCCCACAAATTTGTAAAGATCACTAAAAAAAAAAAGCAGAATTCAAAAATTGTCAAATACAGAATTCTTATTTTTGGGAGCCAATATAATTAGTTACCAATATTTATTTTTTGTTTGTTTTGGGGGTTTTTCATTTTATTTTTTGTTTTCTGGGTTTGTTTTTGTTTTGAGACAGGGTCTCACTCTGTCATCCTGGCTAGAGTGCAGCAGTGCAATTATGGCTCAGCCTTATCCTCCCCAGGCTCAGGTGATTCTCCCGTATCAGCCTCTGGAGTGGCTGGGACTACAGGCGTGTGCCACCATGCCAGGCTAACTTTGCTATTTTCTGTAGAGACCAGGGTTTTGCCATGTTCCCAGGCTGGTCTTGAACTCCTGGGCTCAAGGGATCCTCCCGACTCTGCCTCCCAAAGTAGAGGGATTACAGGCTTGAGTCACCAGGCACAGCCAGTTACCAACACTTAATTACTATATCGATGCTACTTTTGTGATCTAATTATTTGAGTTTTATTTAATTTGATCTGATATGTTGAGTATAATACAGACAATCATGAATTTGTTACCAAAATATTTAATGATTATACTTTTTCATTAAAAAAACTAATTTAAAATTCATAACTGAATAAGCATTTGTCATAAAATACATCATTATCCTATAATTAACTTCTTTCTTTTTAGCATATATGTGTTATTTCTAGACATATAACAGAGGGGATATGTTTTAATATTAAAATTATAACTTTAATTTTTTAAAAAAATCATATTTCTTTATGAATCAGTCCTTAAAAATTTTAGACTCTTTATGGCCCCATATATTCATTTCTGATCAAACACACCGAAAATAAAAACAAAAACCCAGATAAACACCAAAACTGCCCATCTAAGTTAGATCTGCCCCTTTCTCTCTTGCCAATAATGGAAAAATCACCAGCTTTCACAACTTTGCAGAAAAGGTCAAAAATAAACAAAAGAACAGGCCATGTGTTTTATTATGATGTTAACACAAATAAAAGAGAAAGCAAACATTTCTCCCTCTGCTTTCATAGTACACAAGATTAAAAGCAACAGCTGGCTTTGCCTTCCTAAAACTATCTATCATGTTCACAATTGCCTAACACTGACTTAGAGATAAACTGAGCTGAAGGTATACAGAGAGAAGGGTTCTATCATAATTGTGCCACGACTTCTGGCTGACTGAATTCTGTGAAACCTACAGCACACCCTCTGATATTCTCCCTCACCTCAGAGCAGTGTCTCAACACTTTACTAATTAGTGTACTAGCCTTGTGATTTTGCCATATCTAGGTGTCATCCATACTATTAATTTTCTTAATGTTTTCTATTAATTATTATAAAATTAAATACATTTGTTCTTAAGAAGCCAACTTTATGTTATATCATAAATAGGAAAGTAGTGTCTCCTGTCATGAATGTAATAGAAATAAAATACTAGTACATACTATCTGAATACTCTTGCCTATCAAAACTCTGAGCCTAAGGCCTCACATATCTTTTATAAAGGATAACAGCAAGTGTTACAGAATACTAAAAACTTGAAATAATCAAATAAGAGTTTCTTCTTGATGTATTTCACATTGGTTGAAAGGTAATTGTAAAAAGGAAATGCAAGATTCGAGTTTGGTAATAAAAAAGTCAGGATTGATAATGTTTTAGATTCGTACATTTCCAGGCACTTCAGAAAAATATCAATTTTATGTCAAGCTCCAAGACAACCCAGAATATCCCATCAGGCCTCCCCAAGGTTGGAGTGAAGTCTGCTGGAGGCATAATAGGTTTCATTATCCACAGACTCAGCTCTCCATCTGTCCGTATCATTCCTTTCTCCTGATATACAATTCTCTCACCATGTTTCCTTCAAGTTAAGAGGCTGTTAAATGTACACTGGCTACTATATTAGAGTAAGAGCAACTTATTGGGTATAAATAAAACTATGAAATTTGACAAAAATATAGTTTGGAATTTGCTGTTGTTTTCAGGTTTACTTCCATCCAATACTAGGCTGAGGTCAGTTATGTTTATTTTGTTTGCTTGTTTTCTTCCCAGTTGTATTAATTATTGAGCATTTAAGATCCAATTTTGTTTGCCTCCAAAGTTTGCCATTGATCAACATATAATTCAATTTCTACAAACAAATGATAAAACTTAACCGAACCAACTATGCCCAAACCACATCAGTTAACACCACTTGTCTGAATAGAATTCTTTTCATTCTCTAAGGCTCAACCCCAAAACATTTTCTCTTTACTTTCTCAATAAGAACTTTATTTCATTGTTGCAACACTCAATTTTTGTCCTTTTTTAAAAAATTATTTAAAAAATTATTTTTTATTTCATATTTCCCTGTAGTACCTATTATAATGTTTTGTATTAGAAACTAAATAATTGCTGAATTCATTTATGAATAAATAAATAGGAAGTGACTATATTTGAACCGAACACTATTAAAGACTTCCCAAACAATTATGTTGATTATATTAAAGAGAATATATATCTTGTTTTTTGCATAACAGTATATTGAATCTCTAATGAAAACAAGCTTTGAAAATATATTTAGGAGATTAACTTTACATTTTAAAATCCAATGTGTAGAATTTTTACAAATATGACAGTATTTTGTATAGAAATGTACTCCCTCCCTCAAAGGAAGAATGGAGAAAGTCATTGCTTTATCCTGATTCCATTTAATAAAATTTATATCGGTCCTCAGAGAATTTATTTATTTAATTAATTTATTTAATTTTATGTTAGTATTAAAACTAGCATAACTATGTCATATAATAGCAACTTATAGTCAATGTAGAGACTAAAGCTTTTAGAGTTGTTTTATAAAAGCAGATCTAACAAATACTTTTAAAATGTTTATCTTTTTAACTTAGCTATAATTTATTACTGAGTAAGATATAAATCAAAGTTAATCATTCTCTGTATTTTTATTGCTTTAAAAGGCATGTCTGAAATGGTGAATTATTTTCTCATTAGAATTTTAATCAATTACTAAAGTTCCATTTTATAATTTATTTATTTTTGTAGTCAATATTTAATCTGCTATTATGTGTTAAGCACTTCAAGTGAATAATGATTAATCAGTTTTCGTCCTTTCTGTTTAGTTGGGACTCTTGTTTTTAAGTAAAAGAAACACGTTTAATCATCTAAATAATAAAGCAGTTTAGTGGGGATTTGAAGGAATATGGGAGAGCAATTTCTAAAATATGGAAAAACAGCTCATAGAAAAACCAAAGGCAGAAACTGCCTAGAGCCACAGCTCATGGAAAAGTGAAGGTAACAGCTACCAGGGACCCAAGCTCCTATCTCCTAGAGGGTGATTCCTCTACCTTGCTCTGGATTTCTGATTTAAAATGGAATAAATGACACAGCAACACCCTTTACCTCACAGAAATCTTGATACATGCTTTGACTTCTGCTCTTGATGATGCCTCATTTTCTCAGTTACCCCGTTTGAAATTTCCAAAGAGAAATCTAATATCTAGGCTTACTTTTCCAAACCAGATTATTTAATTCAGAGGTCAAACCATGAGAGCCCACCCCTAAACATCCTGCACAATAAGGGCTTACTTGCTCAGCACACCCTGTGGGTTAGCAGGATCTCTTAAGTGTGACTGAGATTTCTTGAACATTTTCCTCCAAAAACTTCGGGTTTCTTGAGGTAGATAAGTACATCATCCAAAGTATTCTTTGCATATTCACAGGTAGAACCAAATTTCACTTTCTAGTTTTTTCAAATAGTATGTTAACATAATCATGTATGTTTTCTTATCTCACTTTACAAGTAAAATTCTTGTCAGATTACATACTGAATTCTATTCCTTAAGATATATTTCTTTTTTTCTTTTTTCTTTTACTTTAACTTCTGGGATACAAGTGCAGAACATGCAGGTTTGTTACATAGGTATACATGTGCCAGAGTGGTTTGCTGCACCTATCAAGCCATCATCTAGGTTTTAAGCCCCACGTGCATTAGCTATTTGTCCTAACGTTCTCCCTCCCTTCGCCCCCAAGCCCCTGACTGGCCCAAGTGTGTGTTGTTACCTTCCCTGTGTCCATGTGTTCTCATTGTTCGACTCCCACTTATGAGTGAGAACGTGTGGTGTTTGGTTTTCTGTTCCTGTGTTAGTTTGCTGAGGATGATGGCTTCTAGCTTCATCCTTGTCCCTGCAAAGGACATGAACTCATTCGTTTTTAGGGCTGCATAGTATTCCATGGTGTATATTACCACATTTTCTTTATCCAGTCTATCATTGATGGGCATTTGGGTTGGTTCCATGTCTTTGTTATTGTAAATAGTGCCGCAGTAAACATTCATGTGCATGTGTCTTTATAGTAGAATGATTTATAATCCTTTGGGTATATACCCAGGAATGGGATCGCCGGGTCAAATGGTATTTCTGGTTCTAGATCCTTGAGGAATCGCCCCACTGTCTTCAACAATGGTTGAACTAATTTACATCCCCACCAAGTGTAAAAGCGTCTCTATTTCTCCACAGCATCACCAGCATCTATTGTTTCTTGACCTTTTTAATAATCGCCATTCTGACTGGCATGAGATAGTATCTCATTGTGGTTTTGATTTGCACTTCTCTAATGATGAGTGATGTTGAGCTTTTTTTTATGTTTATTGGCTGTATAAATGTCTTCTTTTGAGAAGTGTCTATTCACATCCTTTGCCTACTTTTTGATGGGGTTGTTTTTTTTCCTGTAAATTTGTTTAAGTTCTTTGTAGATTC
This sequence comes from Homo sapiens, assembly GCF_000001405.40. Classification (NCBI taxonomy): domain Eukaryota; kingdom Metazoa; phylum Chordata; class Mammalia; order Primates; family Hominidae; genus Homo; species Homo sapiens. The sequence continues at coordinate 151,847,161 of NC_000003.12, forward strand.
TGAATATTAGACCTTTGTCAGGTGGGTAGATTGCAAAAATTTTCTCCTGTTCTTTAGGTTGTCATTCACTCTGATGATAGTTTATTTTGCTGTGCAGAAGTTCTTTAGTTTAGCTAGATCCCATTTGTCAATTTTGGCTTTTGTTGCCATTGCTTTTTGTCATGAAGTCTTTGCCCATGCATATGTCCTGAATGGTATTGCCTAGGTTTTCATCTAGGGTTTTCATGGTTTTGGGTTTTACATTTAAGTCTTTAATCCATCTTGAGTTAAGTTTTGTATAAGGTCTAAAGAAGGGATCCAGTTTCAGTTTTCTGCATATGGCTAGCCATGTTTCCCAGCACCATGTATTAAATAGGGAATCTTTTCCCCATTACTTGTTCTTGTCAGGTTTGTCGAAGATCAGACGGTTGTAGATGTGTGGTGTTATTTCTGAGGTCTCTGTTGTGTTCCATTGGTCTATATGTCTGTTTCGGTAGCAGTACCATGTTGTTTTGGTTACTGTAGCCTTGTAGTACAGTTTGAAGTCTGGTAGCATGAGGCCTTCAGCTTTGTTGTTTTTGCTTAGGATTGTCTGGGCTATACAGGCTCTTTTTTTTTTTTTTGGTTCCATTTAAATTTCAAAGTAGTTTTTTCTAATTCTGTGAAGAATGTTAAGGGTAGCTTGATGGGAATAGCATTGAATCTATAAATTACTTTGGGCAATATGGCCATTTTCATGATATTGATTCTTCCTATCCATGAGGATAGAAAGTTTTTCCATTTGTTTGTGTCCTCTCTTATTTCCTTGAGCAGTAGTTTGTAGTTCTCATTGAAGAGGTCCTTCACATCCTTTGTTAGCTATATTCCTAGATATTTTATTCTCTTTGTAGCAATTGTGATAGGGAATTCATTTACGATTTGGCTCTCTGCTTGTCTATTGTTGGTGTATAGGAATGCTTGTGATTTATGCACATTGATTCTGTATCCTGAGACTTTGCCTAAACTGCTCATCAGCTTAAGTAGTTTTTGGGCTGAATCAATGAGGTTTTCTAACTATAGAATCATGTCGGCAAACAGAAAATTTGACTTCCTCTCTTCCTATTTGAATATGCTTTCTTTCTTTCTCTGGCCTGATTGCCCTGGCTAGAACTTCCAATATTGTGTGGAATAGGAGTGGTGAGAGAGGGCCTCCTTTGTCTTGATCTGGTTTTCAAAAGGAGTGCTTCCAGCTTTGCCCATTTAGTATGATATTGGCTGTAGGTTTGTCATAAATAGCTCTTATCATTTTGAGATATGTTCCATCCATACCTAGTTTATTGAGAGTTTTTAACATGAAGGGATGTTGAATGTTATTGAAGGCCTTTTCTGCATCTATTGAGATAATCATGTGGTTTTTGTCATTGGTTCTAAGTGATGGATTATGTTTGTTGATTTGTGTATGTTGAACTAGCCTTGCATCCCAGGGATGAAGCCAACTTGATCATGTTGGATAAGCTTTTTGATGTGCTGCTGGATTTGGTTTGCCAGTATTTTATTGAGGATTTTCATATCAATGTTCATCAGGTATATTGGACTGAAGTTTTATTTTTTTGTTGTGTTTCTGCCAGGTTTTGGTATCAGGATGATGCAGGCCTCATAAAATGAGTTAGAGAGGAGTCCTTTTCAATTGTTTGGAATAGTTTCAGAAGGAAACTATTCTTTTTACCTCTAGTAGAATTCAGCTGTGAATCCGTCTTGTCCTGGGCTTTTTTTGGTTGGTAGGCTACTAATTACTGCCTCAATTTCAGAACTTATTATTGGTCTATTCATGGATTCAACTTCTTCCTGGTTTAGTCTTGGGAGGGTGTATGTGTCCAGGAATCTATCCATTTTCTAAATTTTCTAGTTTATTTGCATAGAAGTGTTTATAGTGTTCTTTGATGGTAGTTTGTATTTCTGTAGGGTCAGTGGTGATATCCACTTTACTATTTTTTGCTGTGTCTATTTGATTCTTCTCTCTTTTCTTCTTTATTAGTCTAGCTAGTGGTCTATCTATTTTGTTTTTTGTTTTCAATAAAAACAGTTCCCGGATTCATTGATTTTTTTGAACTTTTTTTTTGTGCGTGTGTATCTCTTTCAGTTCTGCTATGATCTTAGTTAATTCTTGTCTTCTGCTAGGTTTTGGATTTGTTTGCCTTGATTCTCTAGCTCTTTTAATTGTGATGTTAGGGTGTTGACTTGAGATTTTCTAGCTTTCTGATCTGGGTATTTAGTGCTATAAATTTCCCTCTTAACACTCTTTTAGCTGTGTCCCACAGATTCTGGTACGTTGTGTCTTTGTTCTCATTGGTTTCAAAGAACTTCTTAATTTCTGCCTAAATTTCATTATTTACCCATGATTCATTCAGGAGCAGGTTGTTCCATTTCCATGTAGTTGTGTGGTTTTGAGTGAGTTTCTTAATCCTGAGTTCTAATTTGATTGCACTGTGGTCTGCGAGACTGTTATGATTTCCATTCTTTTGCATTTGCTAAGGAGTGTTTTACTTCCAGGTACGTGGTTGATTTTAGAATCAGTGCCATGTCCACTGAAAAGAATGTATATTCTCTTGATTTGTGGTGGAGAATTCTGTCGATGTCTATTAGGTCCACTTGATTCAGAGCCTAGTTCAAGTCCTGAATATCCTTGTTAATTTTCAGTCTCGTTGTTCTGTCTAATATTGGCAGTGGGGTGTTGAAGTCTCCCACTATTATTGTGTGGGAGTCTAAGTCTCTTTTGTAGGTCTCTAAGAACATGTTTTATGAATCTGGGTACTCCCATATTGGGTGCATATATATTTAGGATAGTTACCTCTTCTTGCTGAATTGATCCCTTTACCATTATGTAATGCCCTTCTTTGTCTTTTTTGAACTTGGTTGGTTTAAAGTCTGTTTTGTCAGAGACTAGGATTGCAACCACTGTTGGTTTTTTTTTGTTGTTGTTGTTGTTTTTTGCTTTCCATTTGCTTGGTAAATTTTCCTTCATCCTTTTATTTTAAGCCTATGTGTGTCTTTGCACACGAGATGGGTCTCCTGAATACAGCATATCAATGGGTCTTGACTATCCAATTTGCCAGTCTGTGTCTTTTAATTTGGGTATTTAGCCCATTTACATTTAAGGTTAATATTTTATGTGTGAATTTGACCCTGTCATCAAGATGCTATCTGGTTATTTTGCATACTAGTTGATGCAGTTTCTTCATAGTGATATTGGCCTTTACATTTTGGTGTGTTTTTGCAGTAGCTGGTACTGGATTTTCTTTTCCAAATTTAGTGCTTCCTTCAGCAGCTTTTGTAAGGCGGGCCTGGTGGTGATGAAATCTCTCAGCATTTGCTTGTCTGTAAAGGATTTTAGTTCTTCTTCACTTATGAAGCTTAGTTTGGCTGGATATGAAATTCTGGGTTGAAAATTCTTTCCTTTAACAATGTTGAATATTGGCCCTCACTCTCTTCTGGTTTGTAGGGTTTCTGCTGAGAGGTCCACTGTTAGTCTGATGGGCTTCCCTTTGTAGGTGACCTGGTCTTTCTCTCTGGCTGCCCTTAACATTTTTTCCTATATTTCAACTGTGGACAATCTGATGATTATGTGTTGTGGGGTTGACATTCTCATGGAGTATCTTAGTGGTGTTCTCTGTATTTCCTGAATTTGCATGTTGCCCTGTCTTGCTAGGTTGGGGAAGTTCTCTTGGACAATATCCTGAAGTGTGTTTTCCAACTTGGTTCCCTATCTCTTTCAGGTACTCCAATCGATCATAGGCTTGATCTTTTAACATAGTTCCATATTTCTCTGAGGTTTTGTTCATTTCTTTTCATTCTTTTTTTCTTTAATCTTGTCTGCATGACTTATTTCAGCAAGATGGTCTTTAAACTCTGATATCCTTTCTTCTGCTTGGTCCATTCGGCTGTTGATACTTGTGTATGCTTCATGAAGTTCTCATGCTGTGTTTTTCAGTTCCAATAGGTCATTTATGTTCCTCTCTAAATTGGTTATTCTAGTTAGCAGCTCTTGTAACTTTTTATCAAGGTTCTTAGCTTCTTTGCATTGGGTTAGAACATGCTCCTTTAGCTCAGTAGAGCTTATTATTACCCACCTTCTGAAGCCTACTTCTGTCCATTTCTCCATTTCATCCACTGTTGAGTTCTGCACTGTTGCTGGAGAGGCATTGAGATCATTTGGAAGAGAAGATGCACTCTGACCTTTTGGGTTTTCAGTGTTTTCTCATAGATTCTTTCTCATCTTCATGAGTTTGCCTAATTTCAATCTTTGAGGCTGCTGACCCTTGGATGAGGTTTTTATGGGGACATTTTTTTTTTGTTGATGCTGTTGTTGTTGCTTTCTGTTTGCTTTTCTTTCCGTGGTCAGGTCCCTCTTCTGTAGGGCTACTGCAGTTTGCTGGGGTTCACTTCAGGCCCTATTCACCTGGTTTATTCTTGCGCCTGGAGATGCCACTTGAGGAGGCTGGAGAACAGCACAGATGGGTGCCGGCTCCTTCCTCTAGGATCTCTGATCTCAAGGGGCACTGACCTGATGCCAGTAGGATTGCTCCTGTATAGGGTGTCTAACAACCCCTGTTGGAGGGTCTCACCCAGTTGGGTGCCATGAGGAGCAGGACCCCTTTAACGAAGCACTTTGACTGTCCCTTGGTGGAGTGGGTGTGCTTCACTGGAGGAAAAACCATTCATCTGGGCTGCCCGGATTCCTCAGAACTAGCGGGAGGAAAGACTAAGTCTCCTGGTCTGTGGAGACTGTGGCCACCCCTACCCTAGGTGCTCAGGCCCAAGAAGATCAGGAGATCAGAGTTCTGTCCCAGAACCCCTGGCTGGAGTTGTTGGAATTCCTGCAGAGAGGCCCCACCCAGTGTGGAAGGAAGAGTCAGGGTAAGGCCCAAAGAGGCACTCTGGCCGCAGTCTGCCATAGCTGGTGTGTTGAGCTGTGGGGAATACTGCTTGGGACCAAGCCATCCAGCCCTCCCTGGCTCCACCAGGGGAAAAGCAAGGCCTGGAGCTATAGAGATGGCTGCTGCCCTTCCCCCACCCTGGAAGCTTAGTGTGTGAGGCAGCTATCAGTCCCAGTGTTGGCTGCTGCCCCTCCCACAAGGAGCACGAATGGCTTAGACATCAGGCAGCTGCAGCTGTGGTTCTGGCCGCCCCTCCCTCCAGGCTTAAGCAGATTGTAGCTGACTGGCTGTTGAGAATCTGAGTGGCTCTGTGGTTGGGACCCTAGGCCCCGGTGGCATGAGCTCACAAATTGGATCTTCTGATCCACAGGTTGCACAGTGCTGTGGAAAAAGCACAGTTTCCCAGGCTGGGTAGCATGCTCACTCACCACCTCCCTTGGCTGGGGGATGGGGACTCCCCTGCCCCGTGTGGCTCTCAGGTGGGCCGCTGCACCACACTGCTCTTCCTTCCTCTTTGTGGGTTATGCCAGCGTCCTAGTCAGTTCTGATGACAGAGCCTGGATACCTCCGTTGCCAGTGCAGGATTCGCACACTGCTATGGTTCTTTTCGAAGGGAGCCTCCATCATCACTGCTTCTAGTCGGCCATCTTGGCCTCGCCCTTCCTTAAGATATTTTTCTACACTTTGTTATGAAAAGGTTTAAACTGTTTTCTAAGATTTTATTTCAGTTTTATGTATCTACCTTTATGTATCTACCTTCATAATATACCAGTGCTTATGTTTTTCTTTCAGTTATGCTCTAGTTAAGACTGAGAGCTAAGACCAGATGGTTTTTTCTCAATAAAGAAAACCAAGCAATACACCATGATTTTTATATTTTGGAGAAATACTTGTAACATAAAAGTTATTCATCTCTAGAAAGTTTAGAAAAATTCCATGCAGTTTATTTTTGAGGTTTCTTTTTTATTGTTCTTGTCACGTCCTCTCTTTGATGCTGTCATTTTTGCTATGTTGGGTTTTTTTAAAGTAGTTTTCCATTTCCAGTTGGAAATAAACTTTGTATTTCTTAAGTATAGTATTTTGCCTGTCTATTGTATAACCTTTTTCTACCTCTTATTTAATGACATATCATATCCTATCTTTTATTAATTAGGTGATTTTTGTCTAACCAGAGATTTAAATAACCTGATTTCATTAGCTTTCAAATTATGTTTACTTCTGCTCTTTATTTATTGCCTCTTTCTGGGTTCCTTTTTTGCTCTTTATTATAGATAGAAATACAGTGGCAGTGTTTACATTTCATCTGTTTTACAAATGGAAACACCTTGGTCAATACGCTACTCCTTAAGGAAGATTTGGTGAAAAGGCCTACCTTCTGTGTAAGGTTATGTTTTTATTTTTATTTTTTATCATTTCTTTTCCAACATTTAATATGACAATTTTCAAACACTCAGAAGAGAAATTGAAAGAATTTAATATAAATACTCATATACCCACCACCTAGATTCAGCAATAAACATTTTATTGCACCTGCTTCATCAACTCTCTATTTGTCTATCTATTCTATCAATCAGTCCATCTTTTTTTTTTTTTGAGACGGAGTCTTGCTCTGTCACCCAGTCTGGAGTGCAGCGGTGGGATCTTGGCTCACTGCAACCTCTGCCTCCTGGGTTCAAGCGATTTTCCTGCCTTAGCCTCCCAAGTAGCTGGGATTATAGGCACCCAGCACCACACCTGGCTAACTTTTGTATTTTTAGTAGAGACGGGGTTTCACCATGTTGGCCAGGCTGGTCTAGAACTCCTGACCTCAGGTGATCCACCCGCCTCAGCCTCCCAAAGTGCTGGGATTATAGGCATGAGCCCCATCTTATTTTTTATACATTGCAGACATCAGTACATTTAATCCCTAAACATTTTAGCATGCATTTTAGTAAACAGAGTACGGTATTTATTTTTGCTCCTGCTCTTTTTGAGGTAAATTTATATACAATGAAAGATAAAAATATCATATATATAAGTATATATCATATATAAATATATCTATGATATATATAAATATATCTATGATATATATAAATATATCTATTAAATATATATCATATATAAATGTATATATCATACACACACACACACACACACACACATATATATATATATATATATATATATATATATATATATATATATATATATAAAGGGGAATTTATAAAGTATTAACTCACACAATCACAAGGTCCCACAATAGGTCATCTGCAGGCTGAGGAGCAAGGAGGGCCAGTTTGAGTTCCAAAACTGAAGAACTTGGACTCCAATGTTCAAAGGCAGGAAACATCCAGCTCAGGAGAAAGATGTAGGCTGGGAGGCTAGGCCAGTCTCTCTTTTCACATTTTTCTGCCTGCTTATATTCTAGCCATGCTGGCAGCTGACTAGATTGTGCCCACCCAGATTAAGGCCGTGTCTGCATTTCCCAGCCCACTGATTCAAATGTTAATCTCCTTTGGCAACACCCTCACAGACACACCCAGGATCAATACTTTGTATCCTTGAATCCAGTCAGATTGACATTCAGTATTAAGCATCACACTTAGGCAACCCCAACCCTATCTCTATCAAGTTTCAGAAAATTACTATCATCACCTCCCAAAAAGTTTTCTGGTGCCTCTTTCCAGTAAATCCCAGTGCCATGGCCACAGATCCAGCCTTTGCTCAAATGATTCCACAATAAATTTGTGTTTCTAGTAGTTAGTAGTTAGAAATCTTTTAATTTGCCCAGGTTTTCATCACAAATCAAAGTGTTGTTTGATAAAATACTGTTAAATTTCAATAATAGGAGCAATGTTGTAGTAGTTTATAGTCTAAAGCATTTCAAATGTCGTAAACTATCTGATTTGATACTCCCCTACCCCCACCAAGCAAATTTATTTTACAGATGAAGACCTGATTACAGATGAACATCTGAGGCTGGTAGAGGTGGAAAAACACATTTGAGTGCAGTCAGAACCTAATCCCAGATTTGAAGATTCTGAAGCCAATGCTCTTTTCTGTTATTTCATATAGTGTAGTGTTCTAATTTTATTTTATTATGAAATGAGAATGCACAGATTGGCCATAAAATATAGAAACATAGATAAAGTTTCTTTTTTTTTTAACAAAATGAACCTACTTATTTTTCTCCATAATGTGCCAAAAAAGAAATTTTACTCAGTAAAAATGAGACACATGACGTGAGCCAGCACATCGCAGACACATGTGCAGGTTTGATGGAAATACCGTGTGGATGGACGGTCTTCACGGTGGTTTTGCACAGCACCTTGACCTATGCATTGCTAGTGAGGCATAACGCACAGGACATGTCACTAATGTTATGAAACATGTCATGCATTACAAGGTGATATCAATAATGTATATATATATTTGAATCTGTTTCTAAGTTTCACAGAAATTCTATAGCATTTACACCTCTGACTATTAAGATTATATTAAGAGCAACTTTCCTTGCCATAATATAAATAATGTTTATAAGTGATTTTTATGAATACAAAATGATTTTACTTTACACGTATCAGTTATTTTCCTGTGTCAACCCAAATAAACCTCTAGAGATGTCTACCAGTGGCTAAATTTTGTATCTTTTGTAGAGCCAGGGTTTCGCCATGTTGCTGGGGCTGGTCTCCAACTCCTGGCCTCAAGCAATCCGCCCACCTCTGCCTTCCAAAGTGCTGAGATTACAGGCAAGAGCCACTGTGCCTGGCAAAATTTGATTAATACTGATTTTAGTTTAAAACATGGTAGAAATGAAGTATATAAATGTCGACTTTGGCTTACAAGTAAATTTAATAAGCTACTTCTCATTCAGCATCTGATTGGAAGAGGTGATGCACCTTCCCCATAGATCTGTGATTATTTTACTTTACACAGAGCATTGGGCAAATATAAATTTCTCTGCAACTTCAAGAAATACCACTAGATGAGGATGAAGAAATTGCATCATATAAATCCCCAAGAGAAGGATAACAGAAATGGAGAAAAAGAGATCTACATGGTTTTGGAATATAGTAAGACTTGAGAAAGCTGAAACAGCACATGCCTATTAACGGCTAGAAAACATGGCCATAGAAAAACCAGATTGTCTTAGGAGTTTGATATGCAAGGTTTTTTGAAACTCAGTGGTATTCAGACAGTGGGTAAGCTACTTAGGAAAAATCAATCAATGCTGTTAACTGTTGGCTTGGTTCCAATATTTTGCCGAAATGGGCATATCTGATGCCATGGTATTTAAAAGCAAGCAGTGCAAGTAGCCTGGAGCTGTGGTGATTCAGCACATACATTCTCAGTTAATTTTCTGTTATCTGTCTTTCATGGGCCTGTTGTCACCAAGACCGGTGACCACTTATTTATTTTAATTTATCCTGAAAATTCATATCCAGTCTTCTGTAAATTTAATACCTTATGAATGTTTTCATCAAATCCCTCTGTCTTTACACCCCGCCCCCTCCACCTAACCATTGTTTCTGTGTGTGTCCGTGTCCTGATCACCTCTTCTTATAAATACTACAGTCACATTGGATTAGGGCATACCCTAGTGACCTCATTTTAACTTAGTTTTTTCTTTAAAGATTCGCTCTCCAAATGCAATCACATTCTGATGTACTGGGGATTAAGAATTCAGCATGTGAATTTGGTGGTGGTGGTGAATTCAGCCCCTAAAAGGAAGAAAAGATAATCAATTCACCAATGAAAGTAGGTGTATTTCCACACATAAAGGCCCTACTAAGTGCCCAGCACATTCAATAAAAAATACTTACCCTAAGGTATATTAACACCAAACTTAAAACCAGTAGGGGAAGAGAAACTAGATGCAAGGTGCAAAAATTATTGCTTGTAAAAGACCGAATGGCACTGAATTTTTTTAATTATTATTAGAGATGAGGGTCTTACTATGTTGCCCAGGCTGTTGTCTTTTTTGTTTTGTTTTTTGACACAGAGTCTCCCTCTGACTCAAACTCCTAGGCTCAAGTGATACTACTGCCTCCCAAGTAGCTGAGACTATAGGCATGGACCACTGCACCCAACATGGCATTGAACTTAGCAAAGGTTTGAGAGCTTAAATACAATGGAAGTTGCTTTTTAAAATTCTGAAGTAGAATCATTTTCAATCAAACATTTACCTTCTGAGGTACGTGTATATATATCTATATATGTGTGTGTATATATGTATATACACACACACACATTGGTAGTTAGTTACAATACATTGGTAGATACTGAATGGAGATCCAACAAAAATTGCAATCTAATTTTGTAGGGATGATGAAAGAAGATGTTGTGTTTAAATATCTATAAGAGGTTATATACTTATCTTGAAAAGAAAGTCAAACAATAGCACCTAAAATTGAAAAATTAACCGAGGCAGGTGGATCACCTGAGGTCGAGTTCGAGACCAGCCTGACCAACGTGGCGAAACCCCGTCTCTACTAAAAATACAAAAGTTAGCCTGGCATGGTGGCGGGTACCTGTAAGCCCAGCTACTTGGGAGGCTGAGGCAGAAGACTCGCTTGCAGAGGTTGCAGTGAGTTGAAATCGTGCCATTGTACTCCAGCCTGGGCAACAAGAGTGAAACTCTGTCTCAAAAAAAAAATTTTTTTCAAATTTAGAATTAGGGAAATACATACTAGTGTTTTCTTATCTACACATACTGTATATATAATATATACAGACAGTCCTGTTCAAACATATTTTGAAATAGTATCTGTGCAAAGTACTCTTCTGGCCATGACCAGGGGTAGGGTACAATATAATATATGTGATATAATCCTTGGCATTAAAAATGTCTATTCACATATAGTTATCAATTGTCTTAAACTCAAAATTTTTGATTGTATAATTGTATTTAGATGTCTACATCAGTGGTACTAACATAAGTATTGGCATTTAGCAGCAGAAGATATTATTGCCAGCTAATATTCCAATGTAGGATTTGAAACTTGAAGAATAGACAGAATTTTGACTGGAAGTGAGGGAGAAAGAATTCCCCATTTGTGGGGGGAATTTTATCATGGATTAAAGAAAAAAAGAGTGTACCATCCAACATGTAGTTGAGACTAAGTATGCAAAAGAAGAAACATAGTTGGTTAGAAAGATGGAGTGTGATAGATTGGTTGGGCTTCTTGAAAGTTAAAGGATTTATACTTAATCCTCATATAGTAGGTAGCTGCTGAAAGTTTTTAAATAGGAGAATATATGATAAAAGGGGTTGCTTTAAGTTTCTTAAAATTTATTTTGAGGATAATTTGAGCTAGAAATGAGAATCTTACTAATTTTTTATTAATACATGATTGCCCATATTTGGGGGATACATGTGATATTTTGACACATGCTTATAATGTGCAGTGATATGAGAAAATCTAAATCAAAATGAGAAAGTGGAAAAAAGGTGTGTGTGAGTGTATTTGTGTGTATAAAAAGACAGATTCTTTCAGAATGCAAATATCATTCCATCCCATTTTTACTTAAAACATTTCTATTGTTTCCTCTGCCTTCATAATATGAATGTCTTTAACTGTTCCCACATGGTCTTGCACTAGGCAGCCCTGAATGTGAGAGCCCAGTCTCTCATAAATTGCTGTACTTTGAAGAGTGAATTTTAAAATGTTATTTCTAACCTATGTTATTTCTTATATTCAGCCAATAGAAAAGCAGCACCAACAGAAACAAATTTATTATTTAAGGAATTAAATAGTATATTTAATAAAGAGTTTAAATATATCAATTTTTGACTGTAGAGTTGAGAGTTTAACATAAAAGTTGTTTGGAATGTTATGTTGCAGTTGATATAAAAACATTGGTCAAAGTTTTTATTTTTGTCAAATAAATAAAAATACTCAATGCTTTAAATCAGTATGATTTGCTGAAGTTTATCATATGTCCTTTGGAACTTCTAATTAATGTATCCAAGAGTTTAATTCTGAAACTTACAGAACAAAGAAAAATGCTTTTAAAAATATGAAACAGAAAAGTAAACCTAAGATTCAGTTTAATAGCATTTCCATTTAATTCAAGTAACATTTATTGGGCTCTATGTGCCCATAATATGAGAGGTGCTCTAGAACTTTAACAATGACAAAATTAAACTTACTATATTCATACAGCAGAATGTGTTATTTGCCCTATTAAAAAGTGCTAAGAGAAGGCTAAGCTTTGAATTAGTTAAGAGGAGGAAAGGTTAAGAGCACAGTACAAAATAGTAGCCAATAAGACAATTATTAACACATTTCCTCTAGAAAATAAATAACAGAGTTCATAAATCAAGGTTCTGTAATGTTGAATGGAAAATAATTTGTATCTGCAATTCCGTCTGTGTGTGTAAATATATTGCTGCAAAATGAATCAGAAAAGTGGGACATTTTAAAACAGTTAATAGATTTCTCTATGAGTCTGGCCAAGAATCAACATCAAATAAATTATATCTTGGGCCATGAATGTCATAAGAACAAATATGCATGAATTATGCACTTGTTGCTCAAGTTGAGCTAACAGGAGCTCTACTCTAGCTAACATCTTCCATACTTCCCCACCCACACGCTCTGTATCCAAACATATGCATGAAGACTTGGGCCACACAATTATCATGAACAAATATTTATAGAGAAAAAAAGACTTTTCTTCTCTTGATATGGAGAAAGAGACTGCAATGATTAATCCAATTTGAAATAAGACCCAAGAGGGATAGGAAAAAATTGAGTTAACAGTATAAAACTAAAATTGTAAAAGAAAAACAATACAATGACCTGCCCCTACCTATAAAATATTTTTAAATACGGGAAAGATTAATCAGTTGTGCCTCTTTCTCTAGGTTTTATTTCTAGGTAGCAGTACTCATAAGTTTACTTTTTAAAAAGGTTAGATGTATTTGAATTCTCCTTTCAACAGCCCTTAAAGTATAGAGACCAAACAATGAAGAGAGCCAGACATTCTGGGTGTCAGGGATGGTAAGAAATCCTGTCTGGAAAAAGGAATGGAGGCAGGAAATAACACAGACATAGAATGGAGTAGGTGTTCATTTATCATTGTCCAGCTGGCTCCCTTGAAGTTAAGTAAGGTAAAATTAATCAGTAACTTGCCCATTAAAGAGTTAGCATTAGGATTAAAACAACTACAGCAAGTCCAGATGTCCTGAATCTCCTGGTTACAAATACTCCAATTTCCTGTTAGGCTAGGCAGAAACTATGGTAGTGATATTTCTGGAAGCAGAGTGCCTAGAACAAAAACCCAGTTCTATCTTTTACTGTCTCGGTCACTTTGAGTAAGTTACTTAAGCATGCTAAGTCTCTGTTTCCCTATCTATAAAACATGGATACTCTATTAAATTTGAACTTATTTTCAGAAATTAAAATATTGTAAATAAAGTGAACGGCACTTAAGTCATAAAATGAAGGAATCATAACAATTTCAGAACTGATTGAATGTGCAGGGGAGATAGGGAAGAGAAATCAATGATGTCTGCTATCCTCTTAGATTAGATAACCAGATAAATGATGATGCCATTCATCAATATAAGGGAAACAAAGAGTACAAGTATGGTGTGCACGTGAGCTGAGGAACGGTGTGGAGAAGAGAAAGATGATTCTAGCTTTAGGCATATTGTGATTAAGGTGCCTGTTTATAAGGTATACTTTTAACTACCTACTTCATCCATATCCCTTTCTAAGGAAAACTACATTCATATACCATACTACTCTATGCCCTGCCTACAACTTAGTCAGAGCCACAGAACTAGCTGGGAAATGTAAGCTTGAACAATTAGACCACTCATTCAAAAACTGGGAGTTAAGTCATTTAAGCTAAGAAGTGCTGAAGGAACATGCAATCCTATTGGCTAAGAGAACCATTTGAAGCCCTGCAGAAATGGGTAAGCTAAGAAAGCCACTAGAGAAAGAATAATGAAGTAAATATTGTGATGATAGACGAATGATAGATAGATGGGGCGAGGGAATATACAGACAGGTAGACTAGATAGATAGACACTAGTTTCCATTCATTAATTGCCAGCTTTTAAAATTCTAGCTTTTCAATGAAGTCTAAATGTACTTACATTTATGTTTTCATTCATACGATAAGCCTCTTTTGTGAATAGATATGTCCTGACTATAATACTGTGGGTGTATCTACCTATTTAGTTGGTATTTCTTATTTTCTATAATCCCAACACACTCTAATACAGTTATTACTACATATGGTCAACAAAAATCACAGATGATCAATTTTAGCAAGCTTGGGATGATGATATTGCAGAGAAGTTCACATCACAATTATGAACTTTGGGATGATGATATTGCAGAGAAGTTCATATCGCAATTATGAACTTTATACTTAGATATGTATGTTCCTCATATCAGCGTAGGCCTGACATGAAGGGCCATGTTTATTTCACAGATTAGAATTTTTTTTTTTTTTTAGACAGGGTCTCATTCTGTCACCCAGGCTGGAGTGCAGTGGTGCAATCTTGGCTCACTGCCACCTCTGACTCCCAGGCTCAAGAGATCCTCCCACCTCAGTGTCCTGAGTAACTGGGACTACAGGCATACACCACCTGACTAATTTTTGTATTTTTAGTAAGGACAGGCTTTGATCATGTTGACCAGGCTGGTTTCAAACTCCTGACTTCAAGTGATCCACCTGCCTCGGCCTCCCAAAGTGCTGGGATTATAGGTGTGAGCCACCGTGACCAGCCAACAGATTAGAAAATTATATGTCACTGAGTCTAATCCCCCTACCAGAAACCCAAGAAACTGCATCACTAAACAGACACTTTGCTTCTGAAAACACTTACAATATAATGCTATACAAAGTTTAATTAAAAAAACACATCAAAGATATAAACTATAATGTTCTTGGAAACCAAGAGTCACAGAATGATTTTACATTATTCTAAGTCCCATATTTAGTATTACCATGTCAATTAGTCTTTGAGAAAAGGTGAGAGTCTTCTATTAAAAGTCTAACTACATTTACACCCTCAGTTCAATTCCTCTGAGGGTGGAAACTGAGAGTTTCAGGTACACTATTAAGGAAATTTTTAAGGCAGAGACTTGTTTCACTCATCTATCTTTCCCTCACGACAACTGGCATAGTACTTAGCCATAACAAGGATAATTCAATGTATCATTAATTTTTTCATTAGTTATCAAATGCACACAAAAGGCAGTATCTTCCTATTTCCCAATTTACTGGAGGTGGTATGTAGTATGCTATAATTTACTAGAGAAATGTTAGTGTGTTTTGTAAATAACACTCACTTTTAAGAACTTTGCTGGGCCCAGCACGGTGGCTCACACCTGTAATCCCAGCACTTTGGGAGGCTGAGGCAGGTGGATCACAAGGTCAGGAGATCGAGACCATCCTGGCCAACATGGTTAAACCCCATCTCTACTAATAATACTATATATATTAGTCTGGCATGGTGGCACATGCCTGTAATCCCACCTACTAGCAAAGCTGAGGCAGTAGAATGGCTTGAACCCGGGAGGGGGAGGTTGCAGTGAGCCAAGATTGCGCCATTGCACTCCAGTCTGGGTGACAGAGCGAGACTCCATCTCAACAACGACAACAACAACAACAACAAGAACTTTACCAATCAAATACACATAGTCTACAATATACATCTTTGGTTCGCGTACTTAGGCAAGCCATTCCATCACTTGCCTTACTTGGAACTCAGATTTGTGAGAGTAACAGGAGTCCCAGCCTTCAAGGCCTTGAAAGGAGAATATCACAGGGTGTGAGCTTGGGAATTTAAAGATATAAGAAGTTAGAGAACAGCCTCTCACAGGACATGAAGACATAGCAACTGTGAAGTACAGGAAGATAAACTTTGTTAAAGGAAAAAGAAAGAACATGAAAATGCAAGTGAATAAAAGATCTTTGAAACTTTTATGCAAAATTTCAATTATTGATTGATAATATTACTATGTGAATGCTATTATTAAGAAAAACTCAAAAGGCTATTCTACCAGTAACGATGGATCTTTATCTTGGTCATTAACAAGAGTTGCAATTTTTAGCCTGTAATATTATATCTCAGAGATTTTTAAATCTCAGAGGAAGTCTGCAGGTCCAAAAAGAAACATCATATTAATAATTAAGTTCATTCTATTTAGTATAATTAACTCTAATCCAGACTTGAAAAACATTATGCCCATGGGACTCCACCACATAAGGCCTGACCTCTGGTACATGAGAACTGTGTAATGGCCTCTGTGCACAGACATGTAGATATTGTTTTAGATAAAGGTTAATTAGCTATTTTGAAATATATTGCTGATTTATTGTAGGTCTGATAACATCCTGTTTTATAACTAAATATGGCCGAATACAATTTTTGTAAGGAAAGGGCATTGAGAGGTTAGCTGGGTATGTGACCCATGTTCTTACCATTGGTCATTACATTACTGGCCTGAGCCACCCTGGTGACAGGGCAGAAAAAATCAAAGCATTTATCCCCTTTATGAATGAAAGAATGCCTGCAATATGACATAGAATAGTGGAATTTCTCTAGTTCAGGAAACACTTGGAATTAAACATGGGCTTAATTTAGTGCTTCAAGATAAAGACTACCAATTTTTCAAAATGAAACACCGGATAAGGCCACCATCATTTACTCCCTAAGATTTTGCCTGGACATACAGGGACAAAGAAGGATTTTTCTTTCTTACATGGGTACAACTGTAAGCACAACAATGCAACATCCCTTTTCTAGTTTGAGTCAGCCCTGTATAGCACTTATAACGCATTTGTGGCCAGAGTTATCAGGCCAGCTCATTTTACATTTCATTTCTTTTTCCTCACAATACTTTCACAGTTTGAAATGAAACACATTAAACTGGCAGACATTTAAGAACACAGCCATATAAATGATATTCAGTACATTAAACACTATTAAGATAATATTGTATTTGATATTATGATTACATCTAACAGCAATATGTAACTTTAAACTAAACTAAGGCAGGTGCGAATCTGAATGTACATAATTTTCCTTCCAAGGATGGTGCAGCAGTCATTTATGTCATGACATAAACAATACTCTTAAATTTCATGATTCAAATAGGCAACACAATTTCAAGTCATTTATCACTTAGTTCCTAAAAGGCAACAATAAGGCACTGAAACAGAATGATCACTTTAAACTTAGTGATCCCAATCATGAATCATGTTTTCTTACTTGACAGATATTTTATTAATCTATATTTAGCTTATAAATGTGCGAAGGAAACAAGGAATAAAATAAATCAATACTCAACACTTAATTAATATAGCTTTTTCTCCCTTTAGGCCTAGATAGGCAGTTTAAGTCTGTCTGCATTAAGAAATTTAAAAATTCATTGCAGCCTGGGATGAGGGAAAGGGTTGTCTTTGAATTTAATGAGCTGAAGGATTAAATAATATGATTTCCTTTGGCTTAAAAGGAAAGCCATTAAGAAGATTGAGGAGTGTGCTACGTTGAGATACTATAGAGAAGAGGAGGCAGGGTTCTCTTTAAAGATTCCCAAACCTTTAACATGACTCCTTCTAATGTCCACAGCCATAATTGCACAGATCCACCTGAATCGTCTATCCAAATAGGAGACATTACTTATTCCTTGCTCATGAGTGCATACCTGTGAGAAAAAGAGGACTTCTAGATACTTTTAGAACATATGCTATAGGGCTTAATATCACTATTATTGTTTCTAATTTACTGCAGGGAGAGAACTTGAGTGAACTCACCAAAGGAAATAAAGAATTTTTCAGCAATCATTTCTGCAAATACTTGTTTAATTACCAGTCGTTCTCAAGAAATATTTGTTTCATGACTCACAGGAAAAAATGAGGCAAAGATGAGGGGAAAATTTCACAATATTGTTTTTTTTTTTTTTCAACTAGATACTCCCTTGCAGATAAGGCAGGGTACCTCCTTAAGTCATGTTCGTGTCCTCTAATACTAGTACAGTTTCTGCCAAAGAGTAGTTTTAAAATGTGCACTTGTTGGAAAAGTAGTCTTTGAGTATGTGTGTGTGTGTGTGTGTGTGCACGCGCATTGGATGTGTTTGTCTTATATATATATTTCCCATAGGCAATAATAATGACAAATGCAAGGATTTATGGAGTGGTGTACTGATAAATGTTTAACAACCAAGTCTTTGTAAAAAGTAGGGTCTGAGGAGAGAATGTTGCTGTTTTATAGGGTTTTAAAACAAATTTGCTTCATATATGAGAAAATCAAGGCTTAGATAATGACATGAATTTTCAAGATGTCATATTACATTTTATTTGATTTAGCAAATCAATAAAAAGGGGAGACTGTCAGCCAGGAATTATGGAAAGAAAAAGGAGATGTTTCATGTGGTATGAGACCTTGTTGAGAATTGTTAAAAGTTTTGAGTATAAAAAGGTTGTAAGTTTTTTGAGGTCAGGTTTTAGCCTGCCTATTTATCCTTTTATTTCACATGTTGCCTTGAACATAGCAGGTGATCAATATGTGTTTTTTTTAATTGATTATTGAAAAGAAGGTAGGATGTGAGACAGATAATGAAATATTAATGTCTGAGTTAAAACTATGGAAGAGAAATTAGAAGAGAAATATCAGATATTGCTTTCTGAAGGGCTTTTTTAAAATTATACTTTAAGTTCTGGGGTACATGTGCAGAACATGCAGGTTTGTTACATAGGTATACATGTTCCATGGCGGTCTGCTGCACACATCAACCTGTCATCTACATTAGGTATTAACCTAATGCTATCCCTCCCCTTGCCCCCCACCCCACAACAGGCCCCAGTGTGTGATGTTCCCCTCCCTGTGTCCATGTGTTCTCATTGTTCAACTCCCACTTATGAGAACATGTGGTGTTTGGTTTTCTGTTCCTGTGTTAGTTTGCTGAGAATGATGGTTTCCAGCTTCATCCATGTCCCTGCAAAGGACATGAACTCATCCTTTTTTATGGCTGTGTAGTATTCCATGGTATATATGTGCCACATTTTCTTTATTCAGTCTAAAATTGATGCACATTTGGGCTGGTTCCAAGTCTTTGCTATTTTGAGTAGTGCCATAATAAACATACGTGTGCATGTGTCTTTATAGCAGCATGATTTATATTCCTTTGGGTATATACCCAATAATGGCATTGCTGGATCAAATGGTATTTCTGGTTCTAGATCCTTAAGGAATCACCACACTGTCTCCCACAATGGTTGAACTAATTTACACTCCCACCAACAGTGTAAAAGCGTTCCTATTTCTCCACATCCTCTCCAGCATCTGTTGTTTTCTGACTTTTAATGATTGCCATTCTAACTGGCATGAGATGGTATCTCATTGTGGTTTTGATTTGCATTTCTCTAATGATCAGTGACGATGAGATTTTTTTTCATATTTGTTGGCTGCATAAATGTCTTCTTTTGAGAAGTCCCTGTTCATATCCTTCACCCACTTTTTGAGGGGTTGTTTATTTCTTGTAAATTTGTTTAAGTTCCTTGTAGATTCTGGATATTAGTCTGTGAAGTGCTTTTCTAATCACTGCTTCTCTTCCTCCTCTCATAATGCTTGGTATTTTACATTCCAGAATCTAGTGCTATTGGAAACAGTTTTGTTTTATTTTCCCTGTATTCTAATCTCTGCTATAAATTAGTATTTCACCAGTTCCTGATAGATAAACGTACACGTCTTCAAAAAATGTTGAGTGAAAAGGGGGGAAATAGTAGAATAAAGGGAAGGGCCATTTTCACTCAAAAAGTATGCTTCAAGTTTGAGGATGACAGGCTTTTTCAGTGGCAAAACAAATTGATGCAGCTGTTGCATTTTACTGCCGTCACAGTGAACAAACACAGACTTTTGTTTAAAGTAAATGGTCTTTGGGTAGAAGTTTCTGTGTTTGGAGGTCCTTTGGCAGGGACAAGGCTTGTTATATCCCTTTCCCCAAGAAGGGTGCATGGTGGAAGGTCAAACTGCTGTATTCTCTCTCTCAAGCTTGCTATTGTTTTTCTTTCCTTCTTTTTTTTTTTTTTTTTTTCATGTTTTTTAGAATAGACATTGTTAGGTCCTAGCCTGGGGATGGGTAAGAGTGATTTTCTCCTTTAACATCAGGAAACAGTGTATACACACAGCTGTCAGGGAGGGTTCTCTGCCACTCTCTCTTCCCCTAGGGTGAGTCCTCCCATTTCCATTGTGCACAAGATATTCTTCATTTTTCCCAGAGTCAGCCTTCCCAGCCGTATCCCCTCTAACCACTCTGAGGCTGATGTCCTTGTTGTGATGATGAGGGATCTAGAGTGAATGACTTAGAAGCATTTTTCTAGATCTGACAGTCCACACATGGCATTTTGACTGGCAATAATTCTTTCAAGTAGTACAAATTATGTTAGGATTTAAAGTTAGATGAAAGTGAAAAAATACAACATATGGACACATAAATAATAAATATAGGATGGGGAGATATTTTTTAAAGCAGAGAATGAGGTATTTCCTTAACGCTTTACATTGCTTATAATTGTCAGACTGCTACATTCTGAAAATTCTTTATTTGCTTTATTACAATACTGACCTAATGGTAAAGCCAAATTTTATCAGCTTTACAGTTAACAAATCAGCATAAAATATAAGTTTAAATGTAGTCAGTACATTAATGATTATATTATAGCGATAAAGATACTAATACAAAGGAATCATGCCACTGAGTGTGTTATTAACAGGGGCAGGTAATTTTCTTTAATTCATAACACAGTCACAAACCACTTAGCTCACTTAATGAACACATACTCTTGTACTCCAGGGAATTTTGAAAACCTCTCAATTCAATTACTAGGATGCTCAATGAGATTCAATCAGACTGACTTCTTGTTCTTATTTCAAGGGCAAATAATATATTCAAGCAAGTAAAATGAAGAGTGGTTAATTAGTAGCCAATTGAAAAAGTACATCAAGACAATAAACTAGCTGCTTTTTTGTTTCTATAAATAATGTAAAATATTCCAGGAATCAAGCAAATTTGTACAAAATACAGTAAATGTGACTGGAAGAGACTGAGTAGTCAAGTAATCAATTAGCAAATTAATAAATTACTTTAATATTTTAGGCAAACTCTTTTCTTTAAATAAAAAAGATGCCTTGATCAGCAACAGTTAAGAATGAAATCTGGCCTGGTGTGATGCCTCATACCTGGATAGCAAAGTGCTATCCAGTACTTTGGGAGGCTGAGGTGGAAGGATTGCCTGAGCTCAGGAGTTCGAGATGAGCCTCGCTAACCTTTTCTCTACAAAAAACCTAAAAAAATAAATTAACCAGGCGTGGTGGTGTGCACATGTAGTGCCAGTTACTCAGGAGGCTGAGGGCAGGAGGATCGCTTGAGCCCAGGAGATCAGGGCTGCAGTGAGTTATGGTCATGCTACTGCACTCCAGCCTGGGTGACAGAACAAGACCCTGTCTCAAAAATAAATAAATAAGTAAATAAAAATAAAAAGATAAAGAGAGAGAAAGAGGAAATGAAATCTGTCTCTAATTGTACACAAATGCCTGAATTTCATATACCGCTATTTCTATTCAAGGAAACAAAACAACATTATTTGTATAGAGAAACACCTGTGATTAAGGTTCAGCACATATTATCAAAAATGAATTAGCTGTGGAATTTGCATATAAACTGAAAGATAAAAGGTGAATTTGCTGTGTTTCTAGGTTAATTGTTAGTACTTCAAGGAACTTAGAATATTTTAGCTGTAGTCAGATGCTTTTAACAAATAATGTGTTTTAATTTAGCAGAACAATTCCTTTGAGTTATGCCCAGTACCAATAGATATGACACATATTTTTCTTAACTGTATAATCAGAAAAAAGTCAGTAATGCAAAAATTTCCATTAATAATGTAGCTCTTAAATGACAAGGATTTTCATAGGAAAAGGAAGTAGATTGCTTGAGTGCCTATTTTGAATAGACCATTTTCCGTGGTAAAGTAAATTTGGTTAATATAATTTATTGATTTCTAGAAGCCGGAAGAATTTTGAGACATGCACAAATACCTTCTGCTGTGTTTTTCCTTTTGCTGTTTGTCCTTTATTATTTTGCTACATGAAACCATTCATTGAAAAAGGAAGTAACCATGTAATCTTGCTTATATCTATCCAGAAACACCAAAATATCCTCCCCAATAATCTTGATTTGTTTCAACTTCTGGGGGTTGTTATTATTATTATTGTTTCTCCTTACGGGTTTAGAAGAAAGTCCTCGAATTAGATTAATTGCCCTCTTCTTTCTCTGCTTGTGACCCTTGAAGATTAGCATGACCCTTAAACCAGTTTTGTTTTCCACACAGACTTTTTGGGCTGTTAAATGTGGCTTGTAAACATTCCCAGAGACGTTGCTAGGAGAATCTTTCTATAAATACTTTAACTATTTATTTTTAACATGTTTGATTTTTATCTAAAATGTTCTATTCTTTTTGGAAGTTGGAAGATTTAAATTATTAAATTTGATAATCAATAAGTTTTATAACTAATAATTAAATTTAGTGTTAGTTTTAAATTTATTTTACTAAACTATATAAAATTGCCATATATAAGGTAAAAATGTTCCAATATCAATAATTTTATGTTTCAATCTAATATTTTCATCTTTACCATGAGTGACTCAGGAGAATAATGGAGAAGAGTTTGGATTCAGGAGTCAAACAGATAAGGCTTCAAATTATACAGCCAAATCATGTATTAGCTGTGTATTTGTGGATCATTTATTTAATCTTTATTAGGCCTTGATTTCTTCAACTGAAAATGAGTGATATTAATAATATCCACTGCATTAAATTATTGTGAATATTAAAAGAATCACTGCATACACTGTGTTATTATAGAGTGAATGCTGAAAAAATGTTAGTAGAAGTTATTATTAATTTTTTTTAGACAGGATCCCACTCTGCCACCCAGGCTGGAGTAAAGTGATGCCATCATAATTCATTACAGTCTTGACATCCTGGGCTCAAGTGATCCTCCCACCTCAGCCACCTGAGTAGCTGGGACTACAGGTGTGTTCCACCACTCCCAGCCAATTTTTTCGATTTTTAGTAGAGGAGGTCTTGCTATGTTGCCCAGGTTGGTTTTGAATTCCTGAGCTCAAGTGACCCTCCTGCTTTGGCCTCCCAAAGTGCTGGGATTATAGGTGTGAGCCACCGGACCCAGCAGAAGTTATTACTAGCATTGGATTTAATTAATATTTATATTATATTTCCCACCATTTTCTTTTTCCTCTTGAATTTCCTGATTAGTTTGCCTGGTTTACATGAACTGCTCTTCAATTTCAAGCCCATTGCATTTTCAAACATTATATAATTTGATACTATGAACATTATGAGTTTGATGGGTAGGAATTATTATTCCCCTTTTCCAAACAAGGAAATCAGGTTATGTGATTTTTTTTCAAAGATCACACAAACTAGTAAAAGGCAAAGCCAGGATTAGAACTCACTAATCTTTTTATCATGTTGGCTTTTATAAGGACCTTTTAAATGGATATTTCTGGGCAGCAAGTATTCTAACATCAATGGCACTGAATTACCATTATTATTTTAGAGAAAGTCTTCTCTCATTCATTATAAATTTCTGTAATAGCCAACAATTATTTAGCAACTAATATGTACCTCATATTATACAGTGTACGTATATACTAGTACCTCATACTATGTAGCATATGTACTTCTGCTATATACATAACAATTCATAAGATTGGTAACTCTCATTATCCCTGTTTTACAAATACAAAAACTGAAAGCTAGTGAGTAGTGAAGCCAATATTTGAAACAAAGCAGTTTGCCTCCAGGACCTATGCTCTTAAACACTGTGTTATACTACCTCTTAGCAAACAGTACTACAAGCTTTTAAAAAATATATATTTTAAAAAGTGTTCATTGTTGTACTTAACTTTTTTTTTTTTTGAGACAGGGTCTCACTCTGTCTCCCAGGTTGGAGGGCAGTGGCACAATCATGGCTCACTGCAGCCTCGGCCTCCCCAGGTTCAGGCCATCCTCAAGCCTCCCGAGTAGCTGAAACTAAAGGCACGCACCACCATGCCCCAGCTAATTTTTGCATTTTTTGTAGAGACAGAGTTTTGCCACTTTGCCCAGGCTGGTCTCCAATTCTTGGACTCAAGTGATCCGCCTGCCTTGGTCTCCCAAAGTACTGAAATTACAGGTGTGAGTCACCATGCCCGGCCAGTACTGCAAACTTTCACTGCCTTTCAAACTTCCATTGATTCTCAAGCAGTGCATCTCAACATGTTATATGTAAAAAAAAAAAAAAGACAAAACAAAAAAACTTTGCCCCCTCAAAATTTGATGTGCTATACTGAATAGAAATAGTTTCTGAGGAGGTTTCTACTCTCACAGGCAGAACTGGCTACATATTTAGTAGAGCCCAGTGCAAAAGAAATATATGGGGTCCCTTGTTAAGAAGTTATGAAACATTTTAATTAAGAATGTGACAGTAGAGCATTAACTCAACTGTGTGATCTTTTTTGAGTGTGAAGCACTGTGAGACTACACAGTAGCATACCATGAAACCCACCCTGCTCACAGGGTCATAATTCTGAATCCAGCCTTGTTCCCGTGCAGCTATCATTTTGCAGACCTGCATAAAGCTTTGTAGCAGAAATACTCGTGACCTTTTAGTAAGTCTTTCCCAGTAACACTCTAGTATCTCAACTGAGAGCATTCGGAGGAAACAGGAAGTAGGACTTGGGAGGGAAACAAGGCTACCAGGCTACAGTCTAGATGACGTGTTCTATGAAAAAGGAGAAGCATAGACCAATTTTTGTCTTAGCAGCCAGAGTGAGATGGTAGTCAGGAAGTGGGACGAAGAAAGAGGAAGCTCTCGGGAACTCCCACCACCCCACAAAGGGGGAATTACTCTTTTCTTCCATCAGAATGGTGGCAGAAACCTGTGAAATACATCCATTTGTCTTTGTTTCTTGGAAGGGGTTCATGTTAATTTATGTCTAAAATTAACAAGCCTGGCATTGGTTATTCAAATGCTTTTTGCCCTTTTAAAAATATAGACAAAAATAATGTTTTAACCTTTCTTCCTTCTAAAAGTAGAAAAGAATTGCATTACTGAAAAATACCTGTTATTAATTCTTAGACTTTGTTGTGCACAAGGGTATTGTCATTCAATTCTGTAGGCAGTCAAGAATCAGAGTCGGTGCTTTTAGAATCCAAGTACATAGGCTTAAGCTCTGGTCCCTCCCGTTATTGATTCTGCAATCTTGAGAAAGTTAATTGACCTCTCTGAACCTTAGCTTTTTAATCTGCAAAATGAGAAAAATCTTAAATAATAACAACCTCAGAGGATTACTATATGCATTTGATGCATAAAGGTACTTAGTGTAATACCTGCCTGCCACATCACAAGAACTCAACAAATTATAGATATTTTTATTTCATGTAAATGCACATGTTTGTATACATAAATATTCATACATGTATAAATATATTTTACACATGTATATAAAGTGTGTAATATAGACACATATGTATGTATATATGTATGTGTATATATACATACATATATTTTGAGTTCCTGAGTTTTTAAGCTGTCAGATATTGGTGAGGAGAAATGCTTAGTTAGGAGGATGCCTGTAACAGAGCTTCTTTTTGGGCTTCTGCCTGTCATTGCTAACTCAATATTCAACTTACATAGCATTTAAATTGAATTACTGCTGCCTGCACAATTATGGGCTTTCTTAGTATAATCCCTATGCTTCACATCAAGAAGACTGAGTGTTTACTTGAATCTAAACCTAATATAATGCTTGGAAAAAGCCAGGTGTGCTTCCTGTCTGAAATGGTGGTAATGTACTTCCAGATGTTTTTCAGAGCATTGATTGGGATATATAAATTGCCATCTATTAAGGTTATTTTACTTAGCATCTCTCTCCCTAATCCCTAGCTATCTGATGTATCTTTTATGTGTTTCTTGATTTTAAGCACAGAAAATAAAATGGAAAATAACTTGAAGCTCTAGTATCTTTTTGCTAGTACACCAACATAGCATATATCCAGGTTTCCCTTTAAAATTTCAGTTTTATAGTTCCCTCAAAGTTATTGAAAACAGAGGTTTCGTTATTATATTCTCAATACAGAATTCACTAAGAAAATTAATTTTAAAAAAGAAGAAAAGCAGAGGCAACTGTATTCCCAATATAAGCAGTATTTACCACTTCTTATTGTGTAAATATGCAAATAAAATGAAAATAAGGAATGCTTCTCTGTTGCTTTGGTAGTGGATAAAATAAGTTCAACAGTGTTTTTCTAAAAATCTATTTGGTAAATGTGTTTCCTGTGAAATGAGTTACTTGTTTTTTGTCATTCAATTGCAAAACTGCATGTGAAAATAAAATAAATGTGAATGTGAAAATAAAAGCCTCACAAAAATTCCTCTGCATGAACATCTCTGACTGGGAGGTTTGACTGAATAAATTATTCCTGGGCTTTTGAATTATTAATCTTGGCTGCAGGATATGCAAATAGGATATGCAAATAGGACACTGTAATAACCATGTCCAGTGGCACAACACTGGGTCAGAAGCTATATCCAGCTGCTGGCAGAGTTCCTGTCAAGGGATCAAGTCTTCCAACAGAATGGTAAGCTACATGGCAAATTGTGCCTCTCAGTGTATAAAGTAAGGCCAGATTTCCTTCTAAAGGTGACCTGTGAGCAATTAAGGTTTTCAGTATTAAGTGTTTAAATTAATTCTTTATAAATAGATGTAAAACAGCAAAATAATTGAAAAAAAAAAGTCATTTTTATCTCTACGTTTATTTTTCAACAAATTAACTGTCTTCTTTTAGTTGTCAAATACTAATTTTATTTTATGTAAAAGGATTTATTATATTTGCTAACATCTCAACAACTTATATTTCAACAAAATAGTAATTGGATTTACCTAAATAAATATAACTACTTATGGGGAAAAATTAAAGTTCCTAAATGATTTGAAACAATCATGTATTTGATACATACACACACACACACACACACACACACACACACATATACATACATATATATATATATATATATATTTTTTTTTTTTTTTTTTTTTTTTAAGACAGAGTTTCACTCTTGTCACCCAGGCTAGAGTGTCTGAGTGCCAGAGTGACACATTTACAGCATGTGTTGGCTCACTGCAACCTCCGCCTCTGGGGTTCAAGCAATTCTCCTGCCTCAGCCTGCAGAGTAGCTAGGATTACAAGCGCCCACCACCACGCCCGGCTATTTTTTTTGGATTTTTTAGTAGAGATGGAGTTTCACCATGTTGGTCAGGTTGGTCTCAAACTCCTGACCTCAGGTGATCCACTCATCTCGGCCTCTCCAAGTGTTGGGATTCCAGGCATGAGCCACTGTGCTGGGGCATAATATTTTTATGTTTAGAAAATAATGTATTTGGGGGAATTTTCAGGCATCCTAAAAATTAAATTTAACATTTATGTGTGTAAAAATGATATTACCCAATAATTAATTTACTTAGGAAAAATGAAAAATTGCAGAAACCATTTCTATTCTACCTTCCATAACTTTTCAAAATGTGTGTGGTATTCTTAAAGAAGTTAATACACAATTTGTGCCATACTATTACTTTTTAATACCTTAATTTCTGGTGTAATGTATGGAATACATAAAAATAAAGTTACAAATGTTAAATTATTATATCTTTTCAGTGTGAATATATATTTTTGCTCAAATTATTTAGTAATCAAAAAAGTAATTTGTTAAAAAAAATTCTCATGTTACCATGTAAATTTGCCTTAAGGTAGCACTTAAAAGTAAACATTTTACAAATGTTATTTGTTTAATTGTGATGACTATAAAAACAAACAATTAAAAAGCTAAGAAACTATCACATATATATTTTAAAGTAAATTTCAAAAATGCAGATTTTCAAAAGGCTGAATATATTTAAAGTAAAAAACATTTTCAAGTTAAGTATTATTGGTCTGCTTATGTGAGTAAATTAGATATTGCTTCTAGTTCAATAATTCTAACAGTTTTAGATATATTTTTGGACTGGAAACTAAAGATTTCACTTTAATTTCTGCTCTTAAAAAATACCTATTCAAAATAATTCATCCAAATCAGTTACAATTTATTTATCACTATTTCCATTTCCTAAAAATTAAGAATATAGCCACTAGATAGCAGAAGAGAGAATATGAATTTTTCATGAGGGAATTTTCTCTTTAATTGGGAGTTTTGCTTAAAGGAGCAACTTACTTCATATGTTTATAGAATTGCGATGCCACACTAAAAACATACCCAACTATAAACATATCCAATTTGAAATATAGTATCTTCAAAATTTTGTATCCTAGTGAAGTTAAATTGGTCTGCAAATATTGCACAGCTCATATTTATAAAATCATAATCTATTAGAATTATGAACTTAGAAAAAATGAAACAAATGTATCAAAAAATTATAAAACATCATAAAAAAATCTCATTTTTATGAATAAAAATTCAGGTAAATATTAAAATGTAAAAGGGTACCCAAATATTAGGAGTGGTCTGTTTACAGACCATTTTTATTTCTTATTTTTGCCTATTTGATTTTATGAGTGTTACACCTTAACAATAATTTTACACATACATTTTTAAAAAGTTGTTTCAAAAAAATGAAGAAACAACTGTATGAGAAGAAAGACAAATATGATAATTTAGTCATTCATTTCTCTTATTTCAGCTCTACTCCTTCCCTACTACTCCTTCAATCCCCGACCTTCTGGGCTACTATAAAGCAGAATGCTCCTTGACTTTCATGTGACCCGTCACCTGCCTGAGTGATAGTTGCAGGAAATCAGGCTCTAGTTGCACAAGTCTTTGTGGCTATATTTTCCTTCCATTGCAGTCAAATCTTTCTGCTGTGCACAATACATAAGCTATTAACATTACCAGTGGTGACTAGGCAGAAAGATAAACGTTATGACCAGAAAAAAAGGAAATGCAAAAGTGAAACAAATTTCTTGTGTCAAGGAAACTTTCTATACCTTAATTTTCATTTGAATTTGTGCACCAGCTTTTTGAGTACCCACAAAATAACAAGAGCTCAGAAATAAGGCCTGAGAAGGTCCAACATTTAAAACTTGGGCAAAGAAGGATTAAGCCACAAAAGAGCATGAAAATGGAGAAAGGAGGAAAACAAGGAGATTGTTGTGTCATAGAAGATAGGAAGAGAGTGCTTCCAGAAAGTGTGGACTTAAAAGCTACTGAGAATAAATAATAATAGTAAAAACTGACCATTGAGCTAAAAAAAATAAAGTTTGTTAATATGTTAAAGCCTATTGACATTTTTGCTATATTTCTAGAAATTTAAAGTTTTTAATATTATCAAATAGATGCCAATTTTGAGAGAAAAAATGATAGGAAATTTAGATAAAAGGAGAAAGGAAATAATAAAAACTACCTGAAATCTCATCATTAGAGATAAAGCTATTAACATTTTGATGCACGTCTTTCTAGACTTCTTATGCTTATTAATTTCAGGTGTCATTTCTTAATTAAATGCTTCAGTTTTAAAATTTATCCTGGTAGATATTTAATTTTGCCTTATACAAATGTGTTTCTAAACTACAGCTACTACTACTACAATTACTAATTTTTAATACTTATCATATTATATTATATATAGTGTTGACTTTCACAGTGAAATAAGCAATGAGCTTAATCTGATGGTCTTGCTGCTTATCTGGCCTTGGAGAAAATATTTATAAAAATGCTTTGTAA
Organism: Homo sapiens; assembly: GCF_000001405.40. Taxonomy (NCBI): domain Eukaryota; kingdom Metazoa; phylum Chordata; class Mammalia; order Primates; family Hominidae; genus Homo; species Homo sapiens. The sequence goes on from NC_000003.12 coordinate 151,876,843, forward strand.
ATAGTCAGGTGTTCATATTCATCTCTTCACTCAACAAAGATTTATAGATCACCTACTATCTGCTGGTCACTGTGCCAGATGTGGACAATAAAAAATGAGTAAGACAAAGTTATACAAAATTCTAAGAAGTTTAGTATACAATGAAAGCATAAATGGGAGGACCTACTTTAGACTGAGGGTCAGACAGCCTACCTTGGGAAACCTACACTTGAACAGAGGCCTGAGAGAAGTATAGATATATGACAAATATGTGATGGGCCAGGAATCACAGGACAAAAACAGCAGTGAAAAGAGATTCAGATAGAGGGACTGCATGTTAAGAAGGCTCTCTGTGCATTCAAAGAGCAGGAAGAAAGGAAGATGAATTAGGAGGAGAGTAATGCCAAGCAAAATTGAAGTGGGTGCAGGGGCCAGATCATGCAGACCTTGATGTCCCCATTAAGGATTTTAGACTATATTCCTTGGATAGTGGAAAGTTAATTAAGGGTTTTGATCAAGGAAAGCTATATGATCTGATTTTGAGTTGTAGTTTTTCAAGACTGTTTAGCTATAATGGTAAAGATGAACTGATGAGGGCCAGAGAGGATGTGAGGAGACAATAGCAGAATATGACATAGAGCAAAATAGAGATAAGAGTAGCCTGGACGAGAATGATAATGAAAGCTATAGAGCAGTAATGATAGATTTGAGAAATACCCAGACATTACAGTAAACAGACTTGGTAGTTTATTCATTACTGGTGTTGAGTTTTAGATGACTTTGAGGATATTGCTTAGATTTTCGTGGTGAGCACCTGGATACATGGCAGAACCATTTACTGAAATTGGTGGATATGCTGCAGGCTTGGTAAGGAATTTGGAGAATTTGGTGTAGGATTTCTAGAGGCAGAGACATCTGAGAGAAATCAATCAATGGCAATAAACAATTATAGTTTGTAAGGCAGATACAAGCTGGGCTGGAAATCTGGGAGTTGTTGATGTATAGTTGGTCATTAAACCTCAAAAGTGAATGAGATCATTTAGGAAGAATCTATGAAAAGAAGGAGCCCAGAAATTAGCCTTGAGGAACTCAACATTTATTGCTTGAGCCAAGAAGACTTGAGCCCCAAAAGTGCCTGCAAAGAACAACCAGGGAGAAAGAAGGGAAACTAGGATATTGTCATGTCTCAGAAGGCAAAAGAAGAGTGTTTCCAGAAGACAGAGTATGAAAAACAACTGATAAATAAAATAAGATTAGTGAAAAATGATTATTGGAATGAGCAATGTGGAGGCTACTTGGAGGACTGGTAGGTCCGAAGCCAAATTGGAGTAAGTTGAAAGGGAATGGGGTGTCGAGATGTCAAAACACTTAATGAGATGGCTCTTTCCAGAAATCAAACTATGAAGAGGAGAGGAACACGTGAAACTAGGGAGAGTTGTTTATGTTGCTCCTTATTGTAAGATTGAAATGATGAGAGTGTTTAAATTCTAATGGAAAAGAGGACATGAAGACTGACGATGAGGAGAAGAATGCTGAAGAGTCAGAAAAGAAGAAATAATGGTACCATGGGAATACTGAGAATTTGGGAATGAGTTGGATCTAGAGTAAGCTCAACAAATGCTCTCTATCTCAATGAACTAGGAGGTAAAACCATTTGCTAATAATGAGTAAGGTAGAGTAAATGAAAAAAGTTTTAAGAGATAAAAAAATATGAAATTGAGAAATATAGGAATATGCTGGCAATATGAGAGAGCGGTAGAATTAGGTGACCTCAAAGACAGAGTGAAACCCATCTGCTTTATTCTTCAGCAGCATTCATGTGTCTGCTGCTTGAGAAAGTTTCCACTCAGCTTTGTCTGGAATTGGACTTAGTGGCAGGTTGCCATAGAGAGATTCGAGAGACTCCGAAAAATGTATAATGTTTTAAAGTAAGTGATTAAAAATAACTTTTCAAAATATTAAACTTATATCTACAATTCTGTGACTTATTTTCATAAATAAAACACTCTCAAAATAACAATGATCTTTAACTAAAGTAAACCACTTGAATTTGACAAAAATACATGAGTTTTCCAGATGCCTTATCATAGCAAATTCTACTGAATTTTGCATGCTTCTCATAAAAAGCAGTTTAGGTGCATTTATTCTTATTTTGTTCTATTTACCAAAATTCTAAATTGAAAGAATTGTTTGTTTGCAACTAATACTCAGAAGCCTACTTGACAAAGAGGTTTTTAGAACATTTTGTTTTCAACCTTGGTTTTCCTCACTAGAAATAAGTAACACTTAATGTTTAACAATGGCAATCCAGTACTTTTTTCAGATAATTAAAGTTCTTGAAATACCCTATCCAATCACAATCTGGCCTCTTGACAAGAGTTAAAAACAGTAGGTTAGCAAGACTCTTGAGGTTTGAGTGAGTCAGGTTGCTTATTTCCATGGTACATATTCAGAAGGCATTACAATAAAGGTCTTTCACTAAGCATATGACCTAGGCAAATGCCATGGTCTTAATATTGGTGTCTCCTCAAAATGTATGTTGGAACCTAATAGTATTAAGAGGCGGGGCCTTTTGGAAAGTGATGAAGCCATGAAGACTCTACCTTCATGAATGGGATTGGTACTCTTGTGAAAGAAGATTAACGGAGCTGCCTTGCCCCTTCTGAAATTGTTGTGAGGACACAGCAGCCACCATCTTTGGAGCACAAGGTGACTTTTCATCAGACACCAAATCTGCTGATACCTTGATCTTGGACTTTTCAGTCTATAGAACTGTGAGAAATAAATTTCTTTTTTTTATAAATTACTGAGTCTGAGGCATGGCATCTTTCAATAAATCATGACCAATGTTAATATTACTAAGATTTTCAGTTTCATATTTTGAATTTTTAAAAATTAAGTTTTAAAACTGAAGTTGTATCATAGTTTATGAATTTAATACAATAAGCAGAATTCTTTGGCAATATGGAAACAAGTAAAAGCTTAAAATAGTGAGACTGAAGTTCTAAAAATTCTTATTTCCTCTTCTAGGTTATGGTTTAACTCAGCAGAATTTGTTGAACAACTACGACATGCTGGGGATCATGGTATGTTTAGAGACACAAAAGTGAATTCAAAATCTTCTCTTCAATTATTTTATCATACGTTCCCTTTGTTTCTTTGCTATTTGCCAAGCCCTCTATTTGTGTTTCCACCTTAATGCCTTCACATGTGCTCTTTCTTATGCCTGGAACACTTCCTGCAAATATAGATATGTCTCTTTCACTTTCTTCATTGAGGTTTTTGTTTAAATGTCATCTTGTATAAAAGCCTCTCCCTTATCACCACATATAAAAATGAGTCACTGCCACCCTCCATCCCAAAACTTTCTAATATTTTTACCTTCCCATATGTTTTTATTCATAGCACTTATCATTATTGGTATCATTCATTGTTTACTTCCTGATTATTCTTCCCAAGAGAGTATAAATTGTTAGAGATTAGGAACTTTGATTTATTCACTGCTGTTATCTCCCGTGCCTGAAATTATATTCAGCACATAGTTGAAAGGTATTCAAAAAATTTGTTAAAATAATACATTAATGACATATATATATGTGTGTATGCTTTCCTTACTGATGTAACCTACTTTCTATAGTTCACCATTCAAGTGTTTTTCATTATTATTATGTTCTGCACAGTTTTGTCATTAGTCACAGTCTAGTGTTTAATCCTTATATTTTCTCTCTCTTCTTTAGGCATGGAATGCAACTTGCAAAAACTGGCTGGCAGCAGAGGCTGCCCTGGAAAAGTACTACCTTTCCATTTTTTATGGGATTGAGTTCGTTGTGGGAGTCCTTGGAAATACCATTGTTGTTTACGGCTACATCTTCTCTCTGAAGAACTGGAACAGCAGTAATATTTATCTCTTTAACCTCTCTGTCTCTGACTTAGCTTTTCTGTGCACCCTCCCCATGCTGATAAGGAGTTATGCCAATGGAAACTGGATATATGGAGACGTGCTCTGCATAAGCAACCGATATGTGCTTCATGCCAACCTCTATACCAGCATTCTCTTTCTCACTTTTATCAGCATAGATCGATACTTGATAATTAAGTATCCTTTCCGAGAACACCTTCTGCAAAAGAAAGAGTTTGCTATTTTAATCTCCTTGGCCATTTGGGTTTTAGTAACCTTAGAGTTACTACCCATACTTCCCCTTATAAATCCTGTTATAACTGACAATGGCACCACCTGTAATGATTTTGCAAGTTCTGGAGACCCCAACTACAACCTCATTTACAGCATGTGTCTAACACTGTTGGGGTTCCTTATTCCTCTTTTTGTGATGTGTTTCTTTTATTACAAGATTGCTCTCTTCCTAAAGCAGAGGAATAGGCAGGTTGCTACTGCTCTGCCCCTTGAAAAGCCTCTCAACTTGGTCATCATGGCAGTGGTAATCTTCTCTGTGCTTTTTACACCCTATCACGTCATGCGGAATGTGAGGATCGCTTCACGCCTGGGGAGTTGGAAGCAGTATCAGTGCACTCAGGTCGTCATCAACTCCTTTTACATTGTGACACGGCCTTTGGCCTTTCTGAACAGTGTCATCAACCCTGTCTTCTATTTTCTTTTGGGAGATCACTTCAGGGACATGCTGATGAATCAACTGAGACACAACTTCAAATCCCTTACATCCTTTAGCAGATGGGCTCATGAACTCCTACTTTCATTCAGAGAAAAGTGAGGGGCTTGTGAAACAGATTGTTCTACAGATGAATCTGTAAGCCAGTTACAGTTTGCCTTAACTCATAGACATCAATCAGAGAGTGTCACAGATTTAACCTTGATCTAAAGACAAGTTGTACCCAGAGTATGTGAAAAGAATGGGACGACAAGAATGTACTGGTTTCTTCCTCTAAGAATTGAAAGGAGTTGAACTGCCTTATGTTTGGGCATGTAACTCCAAAATACTAGGTAGTATAAGGCTTTCTCAATCAGTGCAAAAATGGAAGATATATAAAGCAACAAGTTGTCTGCATTTGATCACTGGTCAGATTGTAAAAAAAAAAAAAATTGTTTTGGCAACATTCTCTATGTTATTCTTATTCACATGATCCTAGAACTTTATGTGAGAACTGAATAGCAGAAGATATATTATTAAATAGTTTTTGGAAGTTGTGCTGTTAAGCAAATGTAAAGTCAACAGTAACAATGATTAAGAAAGGAATATAATGAGTTCAAAGATATCTATCTGATATATTTTTTATATTCATCATGAATCGGGGTAGTCTTGTAATTTATCTAACCTTTTTGTTGTATGGGTTTATAGTGGAAAGAATCTTAATTTAAATAAAAAGAACCTGAAGAGATAATTCAACAAAAGTAGAGAATATGTTTGAGCTTGTCAGAGAATTTAAGTATCAAAATACTAGAGAGATACACCAAGGATATTTGAATAAAAAAAAAATTTGTAGAACACAAAATGCCTATCAGGAAACCCAAAGCAAAACAGAACAAAAAGTGAATACATCGTTTTAAATGATGATTTTGCCATCTGGTATTTTATTATCATAATTTGACCACCAGTGCATGAAAATATATTAAAGTTCATTAGCCTTCTGCTCTTGATTTAATAGTGAACTTTAAAATATATTAATATCATAAACCAGCAAATAAGGAGAAATAAACTGATAATACTAGATTCATTGGGATAGTTTTCCCTTTTGGAGGGAAAGTCACAATTTTTCTCCATGATCCCCCATTTTTTGTAAACACTGGAATAATTTACAAGGATAACTTTATTGTAGCGAGAGCAAATCACATCTGGAGTGAGCCTTGTTTTCATGCAACATTACCATAAGACCATTGGAGTAAATGTTTCAAACAAAATGTACTTCATGAAATTATAGAACATAAAAATATTTATGTGCATATTAACCTGTATTATCCCAGGAGGGTTAATGAGGCCCCATTTCCTGCACAAAACAAATGTAGGGGAAAAAATGGGTGCTGCATTAGCTTTTTAAAGTCAAACAACTATCACATAATAATTCCTTGATATGCAACATAAAGTACCTATGGCCACATATCTAAGTTCCTTTCCTTGATGTCATTAGCTATAAGGAGTGAGTAATGTGAAGGACAAAATAAGCATTATGAATACAGAGACATAAAATTCCACTGTCCCTTCCTTTTCTGAAATACTCTGGGAGGTATTCTGATATTTTTAAATCCCCCAATTTTCCCAGTTGATATCTCTAGACTTCAAGCAACTGAAATATTATAAAAATGCATTAGTCACAAAAGATTTATTTTCTTACATCACACCAGGCTTTAAGATATTTTCTGCCATGCCTTGCCTTTAGTATCAATATTTTAAAAATTTCACTGTAATTTTATAACTGCCTAATAACAAACTGAAAACAGAACTTCTGAGTTTCCTTATCAGAAAGGGCCACAGAAAAGGCCTTAAGAAAGAAAGATTCACTTACTTCTGCAAACTTGGCAATCCGTAATTTAACTTTAATTTGTATTTTATGCATGAATTTTACTTGTAAAGACAAAATTAAATTTGCTTCCCCTACATCCCAACTCCAAGAAGTCACAGGAATAGACTCTTTCTAATAGTGCAGTGAAATATTTTTTCAAACCATAAACTCACATATATATATATATATATATATATATATATATATATATATGTACCTTGTAAACAAGAGGTTAAGAAATTTTATAGCACATTTTAAAATTATTTTCTTCCTCAAATCTATCATGTGGTAACTTAATCTTTAACAGACTTTAGGGCCCTAAACTAAAATTATAAGAGCTATTTCATTTGCTTGTTGTACTGGGTAATTGTAAGAATCACAAACAATAAATCATGAAAATCCTTTCTGGGTTTGTGGTTTCTAAAGGAAATAATATTGAGCTTTTGTATTTTGTCTTTTAATTGGCTCCCTGGTATCTTCAGAATGATGTCTAGATTCTTCAGTCTGGACCCACCTACTCTTCTCACATTATCTCCCATCACTGTTGTCACAAACCATACCCTATAGCTAAAGATTGCTACTTTAGTTTATTACATTCAGAACTTTCTTCACTTTGTTCACCTGTTGCCCATCTTTGTTCTATCATACCTGAATGGTATAATAATTCTAAACAACTTTCAAGGTTCATCTCATCTGTCATTCTTTGTTGAAGCTTGCCCTTATATCCTCTCTTCCCCAAACCTAAAAGTAAAACTTTCTACCACTGGGGCTTCAGATACTTTTAATACTACTTATTTGAATTTCATTATTTTTATTATAGTTTATTATTGTCTTCATAGCTGAGTACTCTTAAAATTACTGTTTATTATAAGTGAATGTCTTACAGAACAAACTCAAAGTCAATGCTTCTTTTGCATGTGAATAATCAAGCTATTTTTTTGTCATCATTACTTTAGTAAGTAACATTATTTTATATGAAGAATAGAGTGTATATACATAAACCCATGTGCCAGCTGCCATTGCACTGCCTCACATTTTCCTTTAGATGTTTGAGCATAGTTTTAATGACTGTTTGAAATCTCTGTCTCCTAGTTCCAAATATGGGTCATCTTGGAGTTGGTCTTCATTGGTGCCTTTTCTCTTCAGTATGAGTCATAATTTTCCTGTTTCTCTATATGCCTAGTAAATTAGAATTTTATTCTAGATGATGAATAATGTGTGGCAGAGATTCTGGATTCTGTTACATTCCATCAAAGAGTATTGATATTTTGTATATACATTTACAAATGTACATGTACACAATAATAAAAATAATTTTTTTCTCAGACCTGCCTGCAATCATGAAGGGTTTCTTCTTTATGTGCTTATAACAGTGTAGACAAGGGGACTCCCAGGCAAGATGGCCAAGTAAGAACAGCTCTGGTCTGCAGCTCCTAGCGAGACCAATGCAGAAGGCCAGTGATTTCTGCATTTCCAACTGAGGTACCCGGTTCATATAACTGGGACTGGTTAGACAGTGGGTGCAGCCCACGGAGGGTGAGCCGAAGCAGGGTAGGGTGTCACCTCACCCTAGAAGTGCAAGGGGTCAGGAACTCCCTCCCTAGCGAGACCAATGCAGAAGGCCAGTGATTTCTGCATTTCCAACTGAGGTACCCGGTTCATATAACTGGGACTGGTTAGACAGTGGGTGCAGCCCACGGAGGGTGAGCAGAAGCAGGGTAGGGTGTCACCTCACCCTAGAAGTGCAAGGGGTCAGGAACTCCCTCCCCTAAGGAAAGCTGTGAGGGAACTTGCCATGAGGGACGGTGCTATCTGGCCCATATACTACGCTTTTCCCAAGGTCTTTGAAACCAACAGAACAGGAGATTCCCTCAGGTGCCTACACCACAAGGGCCCTGGGTTTCACGCACAAAACCGGGCATTCGTTTGGGCAGACACTGAGCTAGCTGCAGGAGTTTTTTTTCATACCCCAGTGACGCCTGGGACACCACTGAGACAGAACTGTTCATGCCCCTGGAAAGGCGGCTGAAGCCAGGGAGCCAAGTGGTCTTGCTCGGCAGATCCCACCAGCACGGAGCCCAGCAAGCCAGGATCCACTGGCTTGAAATTCTCCCTGCCAGCACAGCAGTCAGATGTCAACCTGGGATGCTCAAGCTTAATGGGGAAGGGGCATCCACCATTAATGAGGCTTGAGTAGGCAGTTTTCCCCTCACAGTGTAAACAAAGCTGCCAGGAAGTTTGGACTGGGTGGAGCCCACCGCGGCGCCACAAAGCCACTGTAGCCAGACTGCCTCTCTAGATTCCTTCTCTCTGGGCATGGTATCTCTGAATGAAAGGCAGCAGCCCCAGTCAGGGGCTTGTAGATAAAACTCCCATCTCCTTGGGACAGACACCTGGGGGAAGGGGAAGCTGTGGGCATAGCTTCAGCAGACTTAAATATTCCTGCCTCCCATCTCTGAAGACAGCAGCAGATCTCCCAGCACAACACTGGAGCTCTACTAAGAGACAGACTACCTCTTCTAGTGGGCCCCTGACCCCGTGCCTCCGGAGGGCGTGAAACCTCCCAACAGGGGTTGACAGATTCCTCATACAGGAGAGCTCCAGCTGGCATCTGGCAGGTGTCCCTCTGGGATGAAGCTTCCAGAGGAAGGAGCAGGCAGCAATTTTCACTGTTCTGCAGCCTCTGCTGGTGATACCCAGGCAAACAGGGTCTGGAGTGGACCTCTAGCAAACTCCAGCAGACCTGCAGTAGAGGGGCTTGACTGTTAGAAGGAAAACTAACAAACAGAAAGGAATATCATCAACATCAACAAAAAGGACATCCACACAGAAATCCCATCTGAAGGTCACCAACATCAAAGACCAAAGGCAGATAAAGCCACAAAAGGGAGGAAAAACCAGCACAAAAAGGCTGAAAATTCCAAAAACCAGAGTGCCTCTTCTCCTCCAAAGGATCACAACTCCTTACCAGCAAGGGAACAAAACTAGACAGAGAATGAGTTTGACAAATTGACAGAAGTAGGCTTCAGAAGATGGGTAACAACAAATTCCTCCGAGCTAAAGGAGCATGTTCTAATCCAATGCAAGGAAACTAAGAACCTTGATAAAAAAATTACAGGAACTGCTAACTAGAATAACCAGTTTAGAGAAGAACATAAATGACCTGATGGAGCTGAAAAACACACCATGGGAACTTCGTGAAGCATAAACTAGTATCAATAGCCGAATCAATCAAGTGGGAGGAAGGATATCAGAGATTGAAGATCAACTTAATGAAATAAAGCATGAAGACTAGATTAGAGAAAAAAGAGTGAAAAGGAATGAGTAAAGCATCCAAGAAATATGGGACTATGTGAAAAGACCAAACCTACATTTGATTGGTGTACCTGAAAGTGACGGGGGAATGGAACCAAGTTGGAAAACAAACTTCAGGATATTAGCCAGGAAGGAGAACTTCCCCAACATAGCAAGACAGGCCAACATCCAAATTCAAGAAATACAGAGAACACCACAAAGATACTCTTTGAGGACAGCAACCCCAAAACACATAATCGTCAGATTCACCAAGGTTGAAATGAAGAAAAAAAACGTTAAGAGCAGCCAAAGAGAAAGGTCGAGTTACCCACAAAGAAAATCCCATCAGACTAACAGCGGATCTCTCTGCAGAAACCCTACAAGCCAGAAGAGAGTGGGGGCCAATATTCAACATTCTTAAAGAAAATAATTTTCAATCCAGAATTTCATGTCCAGCCAAACTAAGCTTCAGAAGTGAAGGAGAAATAAAATCCTTTACAGACAATACTGAGGGATTTTGTCACCACAAGGCCTGCCTTAGAAGAGCTCCTGAAGGAAGCACAAGGGAGCACTAAATATGGAAAGGAAAAATCTGTACCAGCCACTGCAAAAACAAAGCAAAATGTAAAGACCATTGACACTATGAAGAAACTGCATCAACGAATGGGCAAAATAACCAGCTAGCATCATAATGACAAGATCAAATTCAGACATAACATTAAATTTAATGGGCTAACAGAAAACCTAACACCACATATTTTCACTCATAAGTGGGAGTTGAACAATGAGAACATATGGGCACAGGGAGGGGAAAGTCACACACTGGGGCCTGTTGTGGGGTGGGGGGCAAGGGGAGGGATAGCATTAGGAGAAATACCTAATGTAGATGATGGGTTGATGTGTGCTGCAAACCACCATGGAACATGTATACCTATATAACAAACCTGCATGTTCTGCACACGTATCCCAGAACTTGAAGTGTTATCCCAGAACTTGAAGTGTAATTTAACACAAATTTAACTAAATTTTTCCCAAAGTCAGCTTGGTCTATGCCCAGGAATGACCAAGGATAGCTTGGTGGTTAGAAGCAAGATGGAGTCAACTATGTCAGATTTCTCTTACTGTCATAAGTCATCTATATCCCTACTTCACACCATTTTATTTCTCTCTTAAAAGCAGGTAGTGTTTGCCTTAGTATCCATATGAATCCTAAGGGCACAGGGCAAAGAAAAGAGACCTGAGTGCAGGAGCCAGGCTGTGGAGCGTGTGTGTGGGCCTGCATCTGGGTCTGGGTCTGAAGCTGGAGCTGGGGCTGGGTCTGAGGCTGGAACTGGGGCTTGTTCTGACGCTGGATCTGGGTCTTGGCCTGGGGCTGAGGCTGAGTGAGACATGATCCAGGCCTGAGTCTGGTCCTGGGTTTGGGCCTGGGCCTGGGACTTAGGCTGGGTGAGCCTGGGGCTGAGATGAGACTGAAGTTGGGACTTGGGCTGAGCTGGGCCTGGGGTGGTAAGTTTCCACTTGTAAGAGGAAGTCAGGGCTGCTGCTGAGCTCCAGAGGCCTTGACCCTCATCAAGTCAGCAGATATCAGGAGTCCTATCTATACTTTTTCTAATAAGGTCACTGAACTATCAGTGAACTATCAGTGACAGAGAATTCTGCTCCTTTCATATGCAGACTTTCCTTTAAATTCAGAAATCTTGATATCTGGATTAAAATAAAAGTTTATCAAGAGAAGAACAAAAGTGAAGATACAGCTTCAGTTTGGGCAGAGTCTTAACAATTAGTTTGTATACAGAACACATTTAGGTTTTTTAGTTTTTTTGAACCTTGAAAACTTTCAGTTACTAGGTCTTACAAGTTTTAAAGTAATATTTTTAACTAAATATTCCTTTTGTTTGTTACCGATATTTTTGGAATCGAGGGATTATTTCTGTAACTTTTGTTTCTAAAACTTTGTGGATCTATGATTCTATAAAAGTAGCTAATAGTTTTTAGTTATCCATGTTAGAGGCTGGGTAACATACCTTGAGAACAACTCCTTCAATTCCAGCTCTGCCTTTAACTTGATTTTCAGTGTATCAGTTAGCTCTCACAACCTCATTTTTGATATAATAGCATTGCCTCAGGGAATTGTGAGCAGTCCATCAGCTAATAAGAACAATATAGGAAATAGATAAGCTATAAAATATTCATTCCCTTCATAGGTCAAGGCATTCCTATCCTCCAGGTCTCACTATCAGAATTCTGTTCCCAGAAGACACGAGCTACTTTCAGCTGAGTTGCTTTCTGAGTTGAGTAAAAGTGGCTATGAGATTGTAAAATATCTCATGCTAACTTGTTGAAGTATAAGTTACTATTCCAATGTGGACTCATTTTGCTTCTTTGGTTTGTACTTGGTAAAAGTACAAAGAAAATAACCTTTATTTATTTATTTATTTATTTTATTATTTTTTTGTTTTGAGACAAGAGTCTCTCTCTGTCACCCAGGCTGGAGTGCAGTGGCACGATCTTGGCTCACTGCAAGCTCCTCTTCCTGAGTTCACACCACTCTCCTGCCTCAGCCTCCTGAGTAGCTGGGACTACAAGTGCCCGCCACCACGCCCAGCTAATTTTTTGTGTATTTAGTAGAGACAGGGTTTCACCATGGTCTGAATCTCCTGACCTTGTGATCCATCCGCCTCGGCCTCCCAAAGTGCTGGGATTACAGGTGTGAGCCACTGCACCCAGCTGAGAATATGTAAATTTTCAGAATAGAAATTTATCTAAATAATGCCCAGATGTACTATGTTTATAGGAAGCTGGCTGCTTCAGTGATGCAATAATAAATCTTACGGCACAGAACACTATATGTTACAGTAAGATTATCAGACAGAGACAATGAGTCTTGGTCATATTTTGTCTAAATATCAATAATATGGAGAATATTTTATCAGGAAATTTGCTCTTTCGTAACTTTCTATTGAAGTTAATAGTGTATTCAAATACAAACTTTGCTAGATTATTAATTCTAACTGTAAAAATAGTAATTTGATCAGATTTCTAAAGATAGCAAATTATTATCCTTTCCATGGCACATTTAAATCTATATAGACCAATACTTGAAAGATATAATGCTACATGGATATGTGTGTATAGTTCACATAAAGAAAAGGAAGAAGAAATGTGCTGTACAAAATTATTAGCCTTGTTACAGTAACTCAGGCCTGTCTCTTGGTTGTATTATTATCATCTCCAATGTACTGATGAGGAAACAAGCTTTAAGAGATCTAGTAGTTGGGTGCACTGGCTCATGGCTGTAATCCAAGCACTTTGGGAGGCTGAGGCAGGAGGATCACTCAAGCCCCGGAGTTCAACTCCAGCCTGGGCAAGAAAGCAAGACCCCATCTCTACAAAAATTACAATAAAAAGAGAGAGAGATGTAGTAAAGGAGTCCTCAAGGCAAGTGTCAGAGTTGGCTTTGAAATCTAGATCTATCTGGCTTTAAAGAAAAATGAACTCTCTGTAACAATCTCTTCTGAAATGAAATCCAAGTTATCATCTAAAAGTTTAAGCCACAGATATATAAACAAGAAACTATTTATAAACCATAGAGGAGTATCATTTTCTTTTCTTTTTTTTTTTTGAGACAGCCTTGCTCTGTCACCCAGGCTGGATGGAGTGCAGTGGCACCATCTCTGCTCACGGCAGCCTCTGCCTCCAGGGTTCAAGGGATTCTCCTGTCTCAGCCTCCTGAGTAGCTGGGATTACATGTGCTCGCCACCACTCCCAGCTAATTTTTGTATTTTTAGTAGAGACGGGGTTTCACCATGTTGATCAGGCTAGTCTTGAACTCCTGGCCTCAAGTGATCCTCCCACCTTGGCCTACCAAAGTGCTGAGATTACAGGTGTGAGCCACTGTGCTTGACCTGGAGCATCATTTTCAGTGGGAAAACACTGATATGGGGAGGAGAAATGTTTTTCCTTCTGAAAATGTTTTTTTTTCATTTAAGATTTAACTTTTTGACAATATAGTTTAAAATTAATTTAATGAATGCTAATTTCCGAGCTTTCCATCCAAAGTGTAGTAAGTCAAAATATATAAAAGTGCATATTTTAAAAACCCTCATTCAAGTTCGTTTGTGGTAAACTTCAAAATTATTATCATAGGGTGAAAGAATGAGAGGGCAGGTGTTGAAACAGATGATGTCTCAGCTTACATTGTACACACTTCCTGTGGTTTTTTAACGTGTCAAAACTAAGAAATAAATATGGTGTGTTTGAAAATTGGCACATCCTACCAGACTAATATGTGTACACAGTACACTATTACCTCACCTTTAATATTCATTGTGTCCACAGCTGGGATAAATACTTGCGTTGGGTGACCATGGGGCAGAGCAGCCTGTGCTTTGTGTATATGAAGAGTTTTCTAGAAGGTGAACTCATCCCAATAAAAAACTGAGTCAAACAGGCAAGTTCAGCCTTATCTTATCTAAGAATAAAGCCTCAGATAGAGGAGATGGGCAATTCTGAGTGTAGCACAATGGAGCAAAGCGATTGTTCAAAACGTTTATCTTTGGCAATCTCAGGAAAATGCCATGGAAAATAACCTGGAGCAGAAGAGGGGAAGGAAGCATGAGCATGTGATTGTAAATGAGACACATCCCAGTGGCCTTACATAAATATACACCTGGGTAGAACTGTAGACATGCTGAGGAGGTGGACTTGGAAAATTATTGACATACACAGAAAATTTTGCTGTTGTCTTTGTCCATGATCTATTACAACTGAACATCTGAGACAGGGTCAGTTAAAAAAATGAAGGCTTATTTAGTTCATGATTTTGAAGGCCAAGAAGTCTAGAATCATGGCACCAACATCTGTTGAGGGCCTTTTTGCTCCATCATAACCCGGCAGAAGGCATCACAAAGCAAGAGAGCAAGAGCATGTGTGTCACGTATGTCAGCTCGGATCTCTCTTCCTTTTCTTATGAAGCTGCCAGTGCTATCGTGGGGGTTCTGCCTTGATGACTTTATCTAATGCTGACTACTTCCCAAAGGTGCCACCTTCAATCAAGAATTTGGGGATTAAGTCTCCAAAGCATGATATTTAGAAAACATATTCAAACCAGAGCATTATGTATAGACAGAAATATACACATATTTAGTACATTTTAAAAGAAAGTAAGGCTCACTACATCAATCATACAATCATTTAGTTCCTACGTCACATTTGCTCATTAGACTTTGTCTATAACCAAGAGTAGTGAGAAGTAAATTAAGTTGCTGAGATGTCTTTTTGGTTCTAAACACATTCAAGATAAAATGATTTTAAATAAGTAGAATTGCTTGGCAGCTTGCCACTTCTGTAACAATTCTGCTTATTTAACAAATATTCTTTGGATGCTCCGTGTTTGCCAGAAATTTTGCTGTTGGTTAAACTATAAATAACAAATATTTTCCTCCATTAATTAACTCACGGTCTTTTAGGGAAATCAGGCGTGTAAATACACATACATAAAGTGGTCGGTGAAAAAACAGAGATGTGCCCAGGTTGCAAAAGAACAGGAAGAGAGGTTGCAATTCTTGCTTATTATGGCAGGGGACGATTTGGAGATGATACTAATTCTACTAGGGCTGGCATGGAGGGAGCGCAGCAACAGAGACAGAGCTGAAGCATAAAGGTGGAAGGTGGGCATTTGCAGGCAAACCAATGAGGGAGCAATTTTTGTGTCACTGTGCCTTTTCAGATGAGAAAATTGGTAGTTAGTAGAAAAGTAATACATACATGTAATACTGTTCAGTTTACAATGGAGCATACCTGGAACCATTCAAGCGTTTTCAAACGAGCCCTTTTTTTTTTTGTCATAAGGAAGGCTTAATCAAAGACAGAAAATAAAATTGGATAAACTTTTCAATAATTAATTTTACATACTTTGTCCTGCCAGCTTTCTTTGAATGCCCTGCCAGCTCTGTCATCCTTATTCCAATTCCAGCCATCTCTTAAATATTAGCGTTCTCAGCTCCATTTTCTTTTCACTCTTTTTTCCCTCAGAAAATTTTATTCTCATACATGGATTTACATCTCTGAGTTTGAATTGGTTTCTATGCTACCTGCACAGATTTTCACCTGCCTTTCTGTGCAACTCTATATGAAGATAAATTCATGGGTTCAAAAGAGGGAGCTCAGTGTCTCCCTCAACACATTTTGTACCTTCTGCACATTCTCTTAGGAACAAAAATGCCATTTCTTTTGCTCCCTCTCCCTCATGTCTACATCCCCTTATTTGTCTAGCCTCTAATTTAGTTTTTGTATTCTTATTTCAATCCCTCATCATGTTTCACCTGGATCATCTATTTTTTTAATCAAATAAACATTCATGTGCATTTATTTATCTAATATCTATCCATGGCTTAGGAATTGTGCTTAGAACTAGGGGAGCACATGAAGAAAAAAAAAAAAGGAACAAATAAGTGATCCAAAAAGTAAAAGAAACAAACAGAGAATTTAAAAAATATGAAAAATTCTTGGATGGGGCATAAGAACAGCTTCTATAGCCCATATGATGTCTTTGTAAGAATTAGTAAAAACATACCCTATGGAGAATGTAACCCCATGCATGATAGGTGCAAGGCTTGGCTTGCAGAGCAGTGACCCGTTTCCAGGCCCACTCTCCCCTCAGTTGGGCATGGACTGCACAACCTCTGTGAACCTTCAAGCATAGGTTATGATGGCAGCCCAGTGAAGGGATACTTTATGTAACTTCAGGATATGCAGAAGTTTATCTCTAAATCTCATTTCAACATTTTATAGATATTCTGTCAGTAAAAATAAATATTTTTAAAATATTTTTTATCATTCAAGTAGTGTACATTGTACCCAATAGGTAGCTTTTCATTCTTCCTACCCTGTCCCCAATGTTTATTATAACACTCTGTATGCCTTTGTGTATCCATAGCTTAGTTTCCAGTTATAAGGGAGTCATGCAGTATTTGGTTTTCGATTCCTGAGTGACTTCACTTAGAATAATGGCCTCTAGTTCCATCCAAGTTTCTGCAAAAGACATTTCATTATTTTCATGGCTGAGTAGTATTCTATAGTATACATATATATATATATATATACACATACATATATAATCACATTTTCTTTATTCACTCATCAGTTGATGGGCACTTAGGCTGATTCCACATCTTTGCAACTGTGCAATACGCTGTGATAAACATATGCATGCAGGTGTCTTTTTGATATAAATACTAAACACCTCTATCAAAGAAGGCCCAAAATGGCAGGAGAAACATTTCATATAAAACAATAATTATCAGGATAGTCACTTGTTATTGAGTACCTATATTGCATCTGATGTTGTAAATATATTCAAATATTTAATCCCTAAAGCAACCTTTAAAGTTAAGTGTTACCACTCTCATCTCCAGATGAGGCAGTGAAGTGTCTGAGGGATCTAATAAACTGTTCAAGTTACACACATGAAAATTTGATGTACACTTATTCTGATTCCAAAGGCCAGGCTTTTTTAGATCTTAGCACTGCTCTTATACAAGCAACAAATGAAAGAGGTTCAAGGAAAGAGAAATTTCACCCAATGTATTGAGGAAAAGGGTAAATATGGATGCTACTGCAATAGACTGAAAGGTTATGTCCTCTCAAAATTCATGTGCTGAAATCTAATCTCCAAGGTGATGGTATTAGAATGTGGAACATTTGGGAAGTGATTATGTCATGAGGGTGGGATGGGATTAGTGTCCTTATAAAAGAGGCCCCAGAGAGTTCCATCATCCTTTCCATCATGTGACAACACAGTGAGAAAATGGCTGCCTGTGAACCAGGAAGTAGGCCCTCAGCAGACAAGGAATCTCCTAGCACCTTGATCTTGGACTTCCCAGCCTCCAGAACTGTGAGAAATACATTTCTGTTGTTCATAAGCCACCAACTCTATGGTACTTTGTTATAGAAACCTGAATGGACTTAGACACCATTTAAAACTGTTTGAAAGATTTTAATAAAGAAGAATTAGCTTTAGTCTGTGTTGCTTTACAGGTCACAGCTTAGCCAGTTGGTAGAAGGGAATTGATGTGATGTTCAGCTCCACACAGTAACAAACTTTGTGTTCCTATGACTGTCTGAAAATTGCATGAGCTACCTTGAAAAGTAATGTACTCCCCATCACTGTCTATGTTCCGAATTGTTGGAAGTGCTGTAAAGAGAGTGCAAATCTTAGGCTGGCCTGAATGACTTCTAGGTTCCCTTCTGCTTGAAGATTCTATGTCTGCAAGTACTGCTGGAAGCACAACAGAGGCTTGTACATAAATTAATTCCCAATTTTCATGCACCTGAGGTCAGTTTGAACCATTATTTTTTTTTAAAAAAAAAGGCCGTGCACGGTGGCTTATGCCTGTAATCTCAGCACTTTGGGAGGCCAAGGCAGGCGGATCACAAGGTCAGGAGATCGAGACCATCCTGGCTAACACGGTGAAACCCCATCTCTACTAAAAATACAAAAAACTAGCCGGGCGTGGTGGCATTTGCCTGTAGTCTCAGTGACTTGGGAGGCTGAGACACGAGAATCGCTTGAACCCAGGAGGTGGAGATCGCAGTGAGTCTAGATGGCACCCCTGCACTGCAGCCTGGGAGACAGAGCAAGACTCTACCTCAAAAAAAAAAAAGCCTTCTCATTTCTGTTCAAATTGCCATTGATCTTCTATTCAAATTGCCTTAGCTATTTACACTACTTAAAATGCTACACATGGAATATTAACTAACCTTTATTGAGTGCTTACTACTTGCAGGATCTAATGGTTCTAATAGCTCCACAAACATTAAACCTTTGTATCCTCTTAACAAATTCACGAGGTAGGTGTTATTATCTTCATTTGACAGATGAGAACATCAAGGCAATTTGATGGTAAATATCCTGCTAAGAATTACAGAGTTAATAAATGAAGGAGAAACATAGTAGGAATGTAGATTTCGGCAATGTCATCCTCTCTCCCCTTCCTCCGTTAAATCAGCATACTTAGGCTCACTCACACTACCCTGCTGAGTTTCTCCTTTAAGCAACTTTGTACCAGATACTTGTGCTGTATCTTAGGGCGAGTTATCTGCATTTGTTAGAGTTCAAAACGCTAACCTTAGGGAGAACAAAGATGGTGAGAGATTACAGGCAGGAGATAAGTTTTTCTTTTACTTTCTCTACACCATAGAATTTGTAACAGGTTAGCATTTAGACAATTTATTATATATAAATCTAGCTCTGACTGTCAAGTTCCTTTTTACTGCTATGTTCATAAGACTTGATGATATTTATTAAATCTCTCAAGTCATCTTTCCTTTTCATCATTCTTCAGCACTCTGTTTTTAATAGCCAATGCTTAGTCAAGTTAATTTAAAGATTTACTGTCCAGAAGTTACAGTAAATTTTTTTTTTTTTTTACCAAAAATGGTGTGAGTAATGACCTGTTGTTGACATATCTTTCCTCCAGATTTTCTTTGCTGCATTAACTCTTCAAGGTCATAACTAATGACTTTCTCATGACCTTGAATTTCCTGGATTTGTTTACTCAGAACAACTGAACAGGTCATTTTTATACATATCTTAGAATCTCAATAATTAAAACTGTCTCTATTGACAGTGCCAAAGAATAGGAATAAAATTGATAAAGAATATTGAAAAATGTGGAGATATAAACACATTTTTACCATCTGTGCTACTACATGAAGCAATGCCACAGGCAATACTAATCAAAGTGAAATACAAATGCAAATTAAATAATGTGACATTTTAACAACACATTTCCCTTCCTTGAAAATGCCTTACCCCAATACTAAAATTAATTTGCATTCTTAAAAAAAAAAAAAACAGACTGGTGGAGCCAGCAGCATAGACAATAGGAAATTGCCTCAGGATTTGTAATTTGTCTTGAGTAGCACAAACACACACACACACACACACTCTCTCACTCTCTCTCTCTCTCTCTCTCTCTCGTGAAAATCAAGAAAGAATGCTATATTTATTTTTCTTGGTTTATATATCATATATCTTAATTTATTTATCATTACATAAGTCAAAATAAAACAATTTTTGTAGGCATTAAAAACTCTAGCTTTAGGCACCATACCAAGAGAATGATTGACAGTGACTCACAGGCATAAGGCTCAATTCAAGACAGAAAGAGCCAAGTCACAATACTGAAAAATAGCCAAGAGTCGGGGAATCTAGGAAATATCAGAAACCAGAAGATAGGTACGTGGTTATGACTCAGAGAGCAATCTGCTGTTACCTATGTAGGCACCACAGCAGTCAGAGAACTGGAAGAAATCAGGCAACATCCTATTGTAGGATCAAAGGGCAGTACCATGCCCTATATCAAATCGAGGCTCTCTCCAGTACATTTACATAACTGGGAGCAAGTTATTAAACCTCTTTCAAACCCATATTCCTCAGATATTAAATAGGGAAAATAATTCTCCTTTGAAGGTTGTTGTGAAGATTAAATGAGAAAATGAGTCTCAAGTGCTAGACACATCGTGTAAACTTAATAATGGTTATTTTCTGCCGGGCACGGTGGCTCACGCCTATAATCCCAGCACTTTGGGAGGCCGAGACGGACGGATCACGAGGTCAGGGGATCGAGACCATCCTGGCTAACACGGTGAAACCTCGTCTCCACTGAAAATACAAAAAAAAAAAAAAAAATTAACCGGGCATGGCTGTAATCCCAGCTACTCGGGAGGCTGAGGCAGGAGAATGGCATGAACCCGGGAGGCAGAGCTTGCAGTGAGCCGAGGTCACGCCACTGCACTCTAGCCTGGGCGACGGAGCGAGACTCTGTCTCAAAAAAAATAATAATAAAATAAATAAATAAATAAAGGTTATTTCTTTTACCAAGACCAAACCAAAGAAGCAAAATAAGTCCACACTGGAATAGGAACTTATACTTCAACAACTTAGCACGAGATATTTTACAATCTCATAGCCACTTTTACTCAACTCAGAAAGCAACTCAGCTGAAAGTAGCTCATGTCTTCTGGGAACACAATTCTGAATATTTTATAGCTTATCTATTTCCTATATTGTTCTTATTAGCTGATGGACTGCTCACAATTCCCTGAGGCAACGCTATTATATCAAAAATGAGGTTGTGAGAGCTAACTGATTCATTCAAAATCAAGTTAAAGGCAGAGCTGGAATTGAAGGAGTTGTTCTTAAGGTATGTTACCCAGCCTCTAACATGGATAACTAAAAACTATTAGCTACTTTTATAGAATCATAGATCCACAAAGTTTTAGAAACAAAAGTTACAGAAATAATCCCTCGATTCCAAAAATATCGGTAACAAACAAAAGGGATATTTAGTTAAAAATATTACTTTAAAACTTGTAAGACCTAGTAACTGAAAGTTTTCAAGGTTCAAAAAAACTAAAAAACCTAAATGTGTTCTGTATACAAACTAATTGTTAAGACTCTGCCCAAACTGAAGCTGTACCTTCACTTTTGTTCTTCTCTTGATAAACTTTTATTTTAATCCAGATATCAAGATTTCTGAATTTAAAGGAAAGTCTGCATATGAAAGGAGCAGAATTCTCTGTCACTGATAGTTCACTGACCTTATTAGAGAAAGTATAGATAGGACTCTTGATATCTGCTGACTTGATGAGGGTCAAGGCCTCTGGAGCTCAGCAGCAGCCCTGACTTCCTCTTACAAGTGGAAACTTACCACCCCAGGCCCAGCTCAGCCCAAGTCCCAACTTCAGTCTCATCTCAGCCCCAGGCTCACCCAGCCTAAGTCCCAGGCCCAGGCCCAAACCCAGGACCAGACTCAGGCCTGGATCATGTCTCACTCAGCCTCAGCCCCAGGCCAAGACCCAGATCCAGCGTCAGAACAAGCCCCAGTTCCAGCCTCAGACCCAGCCCCAGCTCCAGCTTCAGACCCAGACCCAGATGCAGGCCCACACACACGCTCCACAGCCTGGCTCCTGCACTCAGGTCTCTTTTCTTTGCCCTGTGCCCTTAGGATTCATATGGATACTAAGGCAAACACTACCTGCTTTTAAGAGAGAAATAAAATGGTGTGAAGTAGGGATATAGATGACTTATGACAGTAAGAGAAATCTGACATAGTTGACTCCATCTTGCTTCTAACCACCAAGCTATCCTTGGTCATTCCTGGGCATAGACCAAGCTGACTTTGGGAAAAATTTAGTTTACAGTTTAACCTTAAAGCAAGGATGACAATAGTCCTTCCCAAAACTAAATCACCTTTGTAAAACAAATGAAAGGCCACAAGGTTAGGATTCTGAGAGAGGCCTGAACTCTGTTGAAATGTGGGCATAGTTTCTATAATCCCTAATGCTCAGGAGTCATGCGTCCACAGGTTACAAGATTTGTGACTTCCCCAATTACTCCTACAGATAAGATCACTGTTTTGGAACCTAAAGCTGGTTTTTTGAGATGTCTCTCAGACTGACGCCACCCAGACTCCTGGCTCTTGACTCAACCAATCCTGTGGACTCAGCACACAAGGACTGTTTTCCATACCCCTATGATTTCATCCCCAATCAGTCAACATTCCTCATTCCCTAGTCCCCTGCCCACCAAACTATCCTTGAAAACACCTACCCTCTGAGCCTTCAGGGAGATTGATTTGAGTAATAACTCTGCCTCCTGCAGTGAGCCGAGGCGTGGCTGGCCGCGCATCAACTAAACTCTTTCTTTACTATTAGTACCATGCCGTGGTCCCAGAGAATTTATTTTGTCTGTGCAGAAGGCAGGAAGAACTCATCTGGCAACTATAATTCTTAAAAACCTAGTAAAATTAGGCGAGTCTTTAATTTTCAGCAAATTGTGGTAGAGGGAACACCACTGTCTTTTTGTTCTCTGTATTATTTTTCTTTTTTTTTTTTCTTTTTTTTTTTGAGATGGAGTCTCACTCTGTCTCCCAGGCTGAAGTACAGTGGCGCGATCTCAGCTCACTGCAACCTCCGCCTCCCAGGTTCGAGAGATTCTCCTACCTCAGTCTCTTGAGTGGCTGGGATTACAAGTGCGCACCACCATGCCTGGCTAATGTTTGTATTTTTAGTAGAGACGGGGTCTCACCATGTTGGCCAAGCTGGTGTCAAAGTCTTGACCTCAAAAGATCCACTTGCCTTGGCCTCCCAAAGTGCTGGGATTACAGGATAAGCCACTGAGCCCAGCCTTCTCTGCATTTCTTTTCTACATGTAAAAACTTCATGACTAAACTTTCCTCATGGATGTTACATTGTTTTTACTCAGCTTTCTACCTGACTCTCTACATAGGTGTTGGCCATTTTCATGAGCTTGGCCATCCAGATAGAATATGTAGTTTATACCATTCCAGAGGCACCAATTATTTTCTGCTTTATTTACTGCACAGTTTTGGGATCCATGCATGTGATGAGGGAGGCTGAAAGCTCCCATTTCCAGGCACACAAACCTTGAAGGTCCAGTCCTATGCTGTGTGAGGCTCCTCTTCCTTGCCTCTGGTAAAACTCCTCTCTTTTGACTGAGTAAACTACCCTTAAATCATCATGTGTTCTTCCTCTTCAGTTGTTAAACTCAAAGTTTGGTGATCTTTGCATTTAGACATGTGTTATGTAAATATCTTTTATTTCTCATAACTCTGGCTCTTGCTCTAATAAACTTTCACTTTCATTATTTATATATATGAATGAATTGACTTTTTTTTTCCAACTTTATCAATTCCTCTCTTGAGGCAATTCATGCCCACACTACATGATGAGCATCAAGACCTTTTGGGAAGATGGTAGCAAACTTCAGATATCATCCCCCAAATTTATTCTATCACATTTGTCCCTCAATTTCCCCTTTAAAGAACATTTATTTTAATCCATTTCTAACTGTTAGAATTTGGGATCTATTGTCTTTGTTTAGAGTTCATTTATCTAAAACCTCTCCCATGACTGGCTAAGATTTTGTGGGTAATTGAAAGTTTTCTCACCTCCCTCCACTGGAGTTCACTGTGTATTTATGCAAAAGGCTCTCTTTCCTCCCGTTGCTATATCCCCAAACTTTCGTAATTTATCCCAACCTCAGGATGTTTAGCCTGGGCTGGGCTTTGCAAAAAGATTAAGATCATCTATTTTTTGTTTTTTAAGTCAGGAGTTCATTTGGGTTGATGGCTCAGCTCAACTCTCCCACACACTCTGTTTTGACAACACTTATGATTAGAGATATCACAGCCAGAATTGGCTTTCTTGCACTTAAAAGAGGTTCAGTGTATCTAGCATGCAGATTCTATAATACAAACATTAAAATCAACTTCAGTCTCTCTCCTTTTACCCAGGACATCTTTCACTTCCAAAGATAAGTTTGCTCTAAGCAAACTTACAAACTGCAAGCCATGTTACAGGTGTGTATGATGTAGGGAATCTTTGATATTCTGATTAGATCATCCAGGTAGAGTTTGAATTTTCAATCACAGTCAGTGGTGCAAAAGTGGACATTTTACAATTTCATCATCATCAGTAACCTTACTCTCTACTTCTCCACCCTTCCTCCTGCTCTCCAATTTCTACTAAAGGTCCTGAATATAATCTGAACAATTAAAACTAAACTCAGCTGCTTATGAGATTTTCTCTGTTTCTGATGAGTAAGTAGCCAATTCCAGACTGTTTTCATTCCCTTCACCTTTTTTCCTCTAGGAGATGACATAAATGATTTTGGGAGAGGGGGTTCAATTTCCATCAGTATACACTGAGAAGCAGGTGCTTCTCTTTCTTTTTCTCACTTTCTCTGGGTCCTATAGTGGAGGTCTAATGCTATGTGTTCAGCCTCCAGCCTGCCTGCACCCACTGCCACAGCATCCACATCCCCCTCTACTTTTCCTCTGTCGTGACTAAGCAGGCCACTCTACATCCTGTTTATTTTACCTATAAAGTCTGTCCAAACCACTAATCAGCTCTCTTGTGCCTCTCTCAAGGACACAGAAAACTTTCTGAAATTCTGTGCTAGTGCAACATTGTGAGAAACTTGAAATAGGTTGTACTCTCCATCTCTGATTAAACATCTCTGACTCTACTCTTCAATTGCTAGACAATGATGACTTTGGTTGACTTTATACTGAGATTTACCTTCAGGCTTGTGCTCCCTCAGGCTTCATAGAAAACTTGTATCCTTTGTTTCAAGACCTCTGCCAAATCTATCTGGCCTCTGCATTTTACACTATCCAGAGCTTGGCTGGGAGTGAGGGTAGGACACAATGTGCCCTCTCAGTTACTGTCACTTTCTAAACTCTATCCTCTTCGCCTCTGCTAATGCTCTTCCCTCTCACTTATTAAACCTCATCGCCATTGGTGTGGGAAAATACTCTTATCTCAGCATGCATTTTTTTCCCCTAACTTTATCCTCAGGACTCCATCTTCAGCCATCTCCAGAGGCTTAGCCTTTTGTAGCTCAAAAATCCTTTGTGTTCTCAAAAAGCTTGGCTCTTATAAGACTTGGCTTTCAAAATGCCTGGCTCACAAGATTTAACAGATTTCCTAGGAACTCAATTGATTTCCTCTTTCTCAGCCGCATTTGCCCTCCCTGGAGAGGATAAAAGCTATTTAACTTGATGGGTGGAGATCTGAGCAACAACCTAAAAGTGTAGAAAGAACAAAACAGTTATTATCTCCTCCAGGTTTTATCCCACAAGAAACACAGAGTGTCAGGTACTTGGTAGCTGCTCAAAAAAGTATAGTTTCCCCAAATTTTCCTCACACTATTAAATAAGACATCTGCATTATTCTTAAGATCTCTAATGCTTATAATAAGAGTCAAATGTCCATTTCTTTCCTAAACATTCTCCCAGAAAATGGGGAATACCTTTTTCTACTAGATGGTCATTTATCCTAATCACAACCCCTAAGCTTATAAACAAACAAATGAAAAGCAATGTCAACACAGAAAAAGAAAAAAATGCATATTCTAAATGTCACAACTGAAAACTTATAGTAACTTCAAATCCTACCATGTCCAGTATATAGTTTGTGTGATCTATGGTTAGCTGATGGCTACAAAGGCTACAGTGCATAGATAATATGGTCTCTTTTGAGGTGTGGTCTACTTCCTTTTGTCTGTTATCCCCATGTATTGATCAGTTTTTATTACTCTTACTTACAGCATTCTAAACGAAGTGAGAGTAGCTGTCTATCTCCTGTAGTGCTATGTATTTCCAGTCATCATCCAGAACAACAAAAACTGTATCTGGTTTGTATTAGTTAGGATTGAAGCTCAGTTGCGGTCACAAAGGGTTCAAACAATACTGTGGTTCAAAGGAGTTTGTTTCTTACACTACAGTCCAGCAAGAAACAGGCAGGGCACTACAGGTAGGTAACTCTGCTCCATGAGGGGGTAAGGGAGAAGGGAAATCTCCTTTGCCCTCTGAAGGTTCACTGAAAAATCAACTCACAAAAAGGCAGAATAATTGGAGAAAAGGCAAACAAATGTTATTAACGTGTACACAGGGAGAACCACAGAGTGACTATCCATGCCGCCATCTATTTCAGAAGCTTATATACTGTCCTGGCAAATCAAGTTATGGAAGGCAGGAGAAGAGGAATGAGATTGAGAATATTTCTAGGGAGAATGAATGAATCAGGGAGCAGACATTGCACATTATCTTATGAAAGGGTCTGTTCAAGCGTGGCTACATTCTTGGTCTTACAGAGAACAGGGGAGAAAATTGTTCCTTTTGGTGGGTCTGGATCTTACTTAGGCAGATAAAAGATTTGGGGAGACAATGGTGGGGGAAGGTCAGAGAGACCTTGAGGCTTCTTCAATTCAGCATGTCAAAGCACCATACTTTGGGGTATGGTTTCTGACACACAACAAGGTCATTCAGGGACACAGCTTCCTTCTGAGAACTAAAAATAAAATCCTACACCCACCCCCTAACCCCTAACCAACTGATTGGGCTCACTCTCAGCCAAGGGGACTCCAGAGAAACCTTAAAAACTGAGTTCCTGGCCATAACTGGACAGGCGGTTGGATATGCCTATTTATAGCCCCTTCCTTTTGTGGTTTAGACATACAAGTGAGCAGCATTAATGTAAAAATAGAGATGATAAGACAGGCAGAATGGGCTCTTTCTGACAAAAAGACACCAAGTTATAAACAAGACCTAAGGCCACTGCAGGCAAAAGTTACATCATGCACCCCTACACTTAAAGAATAAACTATGTACTCACTGCCACGAGGATTTTCTTTTTCTCTAGCAGCTAAATAAGCACTGGCCTTGAGATAAACAGTATTGAAACAATTGCAGCTCATCCACTTCCAGGCACTGACTCACTGATTCCCCTGTTCCACAAGCCAGAACTATAGCTTTGATTAGACCAGAGACTGATTTCAGTAACTTTCTCCTGATAAGAGACCACCCACATGGACAGGTTCTGGCTTATTTACCGAGGCTTTGCACTGAATGCCTTCATGTCCCCGCTTCACATTTTGACATATAGGGCCTAATTGTCATGCATTTAAATGTTAAGTCTCTACCCCAAAGTGAATATGGGACAAATGTAACATATATGTTTGTTCAGTTTGCATGTGTTAAGACCCCCTTCATGAATATTCAGAGCTATAACCTGTTGGATAGACTTGATCAAGGCATTCTGTATAAATTCCTATTTCATCCTTCCCTCCCTCCAAGTGCCTGCCAATGGCCTCTGCCAGGGGCTATGCTTTCCAGCCTGTCAGAATGGCCACCTTGCAAGCTGTAACCCTTTATAAGAAATAGTCTCCTTTCCAAATTTATAGATATTGTGATTTATAGATTTTTTTTAGTTCATGCTTCTATCCGATGGCTTCACCAGCCTATGCAATTGTATCCACATCTAAAAGGACAAATATTATTTACATCCTTTGATACAGTTCGGATACTTGTCCCTGCCCAAATCTTATGTTGAATTGTAAACCCTAATGCTGGAGATGGGGCCTAGTGGACGTTGTTTGGATCATGAGAGTGGATCCCTCCAGGCTTGGTGCTGTCTTTGCTGTAGTGAGTGAGTTCTCCAGAGATCTGGTCATTGAAAGGTGTGTGGCACCTCCCCCAACCCTACTCTCCCTCTTGGTCCTGCTTTTACCATGTGATGTGCCTGCTCCCCCTTCACCTTCCACCATCATTGTCAGCTTCCTAAGGCTTCCCTAGAAGTTGTGCAGATGCCAGCACCATGCTTCCTGTAAAGCCTGCAGAATCGTGAGCGAATTAAATCTCTTTTTTTTTTTTTTCTTTTTTTGGTGGTGGTGACGGGGAGTGTGGGTGTTTGTTTGCTTTTATTTTCCTGCCTTCTGCCTTTTGAAACCTCTTTTCTTTATAAATTTCCCAGTCTCAGGTATTTCATTATTGCAATGCAAGAATGGCCTAATACACCCTCCACATCCACATTATCAGTTTCAGGAAGGAGAGAAGAGAGAGTGCAAAAGGCCTCCTCTTTTAACCACATGAAGCACATGTCCATTCCACTCCTTTCCATTTGCTAGAATTTAGTCCCACCATCAATCCTGACTGCAAGTGAAAATGAGACATATAGTCTCTAACTGGTAGCCAAGGCCCCAGCTAAAACTCAGTATGTTCTATAACTAAAAGAAATAAGAGGAAGATTTCTATAGCAGGACAAATAGAAGCCTCCGGCCCCAGCTGTTGGTGTTAACAACTGAAGTCCAGAGGTTTTCTTCCTGCTTCACTCAGCAAGAAAAGGTCTGAGCACAAACAACTGTAGCTCAGTATTTGTCACCCTGGTACTATTGACACTGTAGGTCACATAATTCTTTATTGGTGGGCTGGAGGATATTCTGGGCATTGTTGTATATCTAGCAGCATCCCTGGCCTCTACCCACTACATGCTAAGAGCACCCCCTACTCCAGCTGTGACAACGAAAAATGTCTCCAGATATTGCCAAATTTCCCCTGGGATTAAACTGGTTCTAGCTGACGACCACTACTCTACCTATAAGATGCTATCTCAGGGAGTCTATTCTTTTAAGGAATCTCCCCTTTGTTTTTAAATATGATATCCCTGAATGCTAGAATCTTCCATAGGTGTCAAGTTAATCCTATTCCCCTAGCCTTTTGACTCACTCAACAAATAATCTATTAAACACATACTAAATAAAGACTTCATGCTGATTGATGAGACGATATGGAGAGGAATTAGGAACCACATCCTTAGAGCTTCATAGTTTCATAAAGAAGATAATACATGCAAAGAATTATATGGGCTATAAAAAAATAGATATTGACATATAATAGCAATAATACATGACTGAAAGTGAGACATGCCCCTCATATTACTAACTTCTTTAGAATGTTCCTAAGTCCAGCGTGGGTCAATGCACAGTTTTTATTTTATTTGCTGTTGGGATGATTAACACATAAACCTTGTGTTTTTCCTACATTTGCATCTTAAGATGTTCATCTTTAACCCTCTGGAAACTGGTCTCATTAATCCAAGTATTCCCTCACTGCTGTTACATATTGATTAGTAAAATAAAAAGATGTGGTTGTCTGAAGATCTACTTAAGGCTACAATGCTTCATATTTTAGTCTGGGGTCATTGGTTGTAAGTAACAGAGACTCACATAGAGCATATTAGGTAAAATCCAAAAACCTATTAAAAGAGTATAGGGTCTATTTTTCACTACAAATATAGATCTTTAAAATATAAAACAAAATCCTTTCATCTAGTATCAGGATTTTTTTTAACTGATGGTAAATGTTAATTACTGTAAGAAACTTCCATCTTTCATTTAATTTTTATCACTTTAGAAAATCTAATCAGTATCTTTACACTAATTTTACTTGTCTTGTTAGATGAGTTAGTAAGGCTGGTAAATAATTTATAATAACCAGGTCTTATTAAAAATCTAATCCCTTTAGGTATCTAAATTTCTTGTTTTTTCTCTTCTACCCTGGATGTCTGTATTTTGAAGAATTAGACTTTGGAAGTACAGTGGACATAAAACCACTCTTTTCCACTCTGCCTCACTCAACCTTAACAAATCTGCCCATGCCCTGTAATTAGAGATTCTGCTCCCAGATAAACTCCTAAATGAACAAGGATCACATGCTATGTCCTGAATGTAGATTTTCTTTCAAAATTCTTATGTTGCAACCTAATACTCAGTGTGGTACTATTAAGAAGTAGGGCCTTTATGAAGTGATTAGGATAAAATTGATAATCTTATAAAAGAAGGTGGAGGAAGCCTCTAGCCTCTTCTGCCATTGGCATAATCTATAAAGAATGAGCCTTCACTGGACACCGAATCTTAATTTTGAGCTTCCCAGACTCCACAACTATGAGCAATACATTTCTGTTGTTTATAAATTATTCTAAGGTATTTTGTTGTAGCAGCCTGATCAGACTAAGCTACCACACAATCCATCTCTTTAGCCACAGCAGATAGAATAGAAGGAGGGTTTAATACCAGACCAATAATAGGGCAATTAATTAGTTTCTTTCTCAAAGGAAGTTCTTGAAGATTAAATGAGGATGATCCCTTATTTTCTGCTACGTAATGAGCAAAGAAGATGTCAATCTAAAGGATAGAGCAAAATAAGAGACTTCTTAGGGGACCAGACATACACTCCTGGAAGTTTGAATGTATATGTAAATGTAGTGACTCAAACTGTTTCTTACCCGGAAGACTGAGAAGACTAAAAGCTTGCTAGATTACTCCATATCAGCAAATATATAAGAAGCAAAAGCAATGTAACTTTTATTAGCCTGGCAAAGACATGCAAGTTTTTCATTGATCAAGGGGAATTAGGCTTGAACCATTTTACTAGTCCTCAGTTCAGAGACCCATCACCTAAGTAAGATGATCATAGAAGCACAAGTTGGAGCTGCTGAGTGGCTCAAAAACGTCTGCTTGAAAACACAAGACCCAGATAACTCTGCATCAAGGAGACTTCCTACAGGTCCTCCAAGGAACTCATACGTGTTGCCCATGCAGGCCACTGTAAGGAGACTTGTTACCTACATGACGTCAAAGACCAGGGACTACAGCAACATGAATCTGACCTTAGAGGAATCTGAGAGCAGAAGAGAAAGGAGGGTATAATCTTAAGGCAGAAAAGGCTTTGAATTAGAATTTTCAGTGAAGTTTTTCTAATAACTGAATATGACCACACTTATCCACATGATTGTGGAGACTGGCAGATATCAGAAGACTTACCCAAAGGTGTAATTTCCAACATGTCCCAGCTAGTAATTTCAAATGGGAGCAGCCTGAAAGCTGAGTTTAGACAATTTTGACTTCAATAACTCCTTAGAATTGTGCATTAGAAGGAGACAAAATAGGGATCTACCTGACAGGGATGCAACAGCCTCTAAGACTGGGATGGGTTGTTGGAAAAAAGAATAGTATTAAATACAATTATAAGACACTAGATCATTTATAAAGTATGGTTAAAAAATCATGATACCATACGAAAGACCTTGTAATCATCACAGAACTGACTTTTGGAGTCCAAATGACTACTGAAAAATCTAGAAATAAAATAGATATTGACTATTATATACTAAACAAATGGCCTAAGTCCGACCGATATACCTTGTTGTTAGTATGCCCTGGGCTTTCTAGTAGAGACAGTAGTTATTGTTAGTTTCAAAGAATGGCTATTAGGAGGCCAGAACAGGTATGAAGAATTTAGTATTCATTTGTTCAGAATAATTTTTTCCTATCCTAAAACAATGGATTGGGGTTTCTCCAGATACCATTTACTACCAGTGACTGATTTACAAGTGTTAGAATATTTAGATAATGTGATTGTATTTGGGAAGACTTTGGAGAAAAAAAAAAAACTAAATCCTTAGAGTGACAGACTATCTCAATGAGTCAGAATTGAATATGTTCCCTAAGAAGTAGGGTTCTGTTCTGTTGTGCCTGCGCCTATTCGTCTGCTAACTTTACAGTAGATATAGTTTCTCATCAGAGCAACTGTTGTCCTTATCTGCTGGCCTCCTTTCAGGAGATTTAGAGAAGTAAAGATGCTCTGAAAGTTTAGCTGGTGTTTCATGCTGTCAGTGAAAGATTACACCTGGATCCTCATTCATTTGACTTGTAAGCATTTGGTTAGCACAAAGCTCCCTCCCATGTGTTCAAAGATGCCCATAGTGGCTGTGGGAGAGAGACGAGTGACCCTATCACCTCCAGGGAAGCTTGGAGTAGGTAGTCTAAACCCTCAACCAGGTGTTCTCCCCCTTAGCTGACTATTAGAACAACCTGGTGAGGTATTTTTTTTTTAATTCAGAAATTCCAATTCAAGTAATCGATTTTCCTTTTAAGGCTTCCCCAGGTGACTCTAATATTTAGTGAGATTAAGCATGTTTGTCTTAATCAAACATCTCAATTTAAATTCTGCTGACTTTAATAACCATTGCACATCACACATTGATGGTGGCTCAGAAGTTGAAAGAGTGGTAATATACTTTTAAAAATTTAATAATTGGAGAATGGAAACTCTGGCATTTGCTAGTCCTTGACTAAAAGCTCAACCTCTTATTCACAAAGTAGACTTTTTATCGAAGAGGTGGGCTACATGAATAAATTTAAGGTGTATGTGTTTGAAAGACCATTTTAAGAGTTGACCAGTAACAACACTCTTACTTCTTATTTATGTCCTAACTGTTCTAAATTGGGTGGGACAGTACTACAAGGTTCACTGGCTATGAGAGTTGTTGCTGGCCAAGGTTAAACCAGAGAAGGCAAATGCTCTGTTAGGCAGGTATCATCCTCAGACACTGATACCCTCTTTAGTGAAGTAGTAAAATCTATTTGGGATGATAACTGAAAGAGCCTCACACAGTTGGGGTGGACAGAGACATGATTGATAATCTAGTGCTTCCACCAGAGATTCTACTAACAGCAACTGAGAATTAAGCAACTTGAAATCTAGCCTCCTTCTAGGTGGAAATGAAGGACTGATAATAGGGCCTTTGAGGCAGATTTGGAGGTATGGATCAGAGTGGAGCGAGAAAGGTAAGCATTCTAGCAAACTGTATCTACATCTTCCCCAAAAGTAGGAGAACCTTATTCAGAGCGTGAAATAAATGATCACCAATTAATGGTATATGATATAGTGTCATCATGCCCAAGGCATTAGTTATGGAAGCAGTTGGTCTTGGCCAGAAATACTGCTCCATTGTGCTGAGAATGAAGCATAATAATTTCCTCTAGGGAGGAAACATGCCAGAATCAATCATATTGTAGGATACAGCAGCTAATGTTCACACAAAATGTGACTATTTTCTCAGAGAAAAATATTATCCAGCAAATCAGCGTATCTGGGAATGACTCAGCCATTACACTCTATAATCAGTATGCATTGACTTTCCTGTGTTTAGAATCAGAGAGACAAAATCTGGACAACTTTCTCCAAGTTATGAATCAGTTTATAATTTCTATGCCCAGATAATTCCAACCTGAAATTTTCCACTTGTTTTCTTTCCAACCAAAGCAATTTTATTTTATTTTTAGTCAATCTGGAAATATTTTTATCAATTAATCTCCACCAAGTATAAACTTGGTGGAGATCAAAAGTTCCTATCATTCCATAGGAGGTCCATGCCAAAGAGACTTAACAAGTTTATTAATCACATGGGAACTCTCCTAGGAGGCAGAAAATACAATAGGTTTTCAAGTCAGGGCATCCAATGTCACTAAGAGTGTTGCTACTAGATTTCCTCTTTGACTCTTAATGGAATTACCAGAGCCTTATGCCCCTCCATGGCTGTTTGTAGGCTGCTTCTCCTAAGTTGCAGGAGAAGCTATAAGGGGTTTGTCTACCATCTTTTATGTTGATTTATCACAGCAATTATATAGAAAAACATTAAAGATGCCCTGTTACAAAGCCTGTAGAATTTAGTTTCAAATAAGCATAAAATACTTGATAGGTAAAATGGAATCCCATGTCTGAAAGTATATCAACTGGGTTTTCATCTTGCATATATGGTGGAGCCAGAGACCCAGAGACGAGGAGTGGAGCTATCAAGCAGTTCTTAAAAACCATTTGTCAATCAGGAAGCTTCACAGAAGAAGCTCTGCAACCCCACTCCCCTGACTCCCTACCCACAAACTCCCAAAATTTACATAAAACTCATGACTCAATGGTCCAAATGAGGGCAATAAGAGTTCCCATTTTCTTCTCCATTAGCAAGGAAGAGGAGAAAGAAGGTGTTGTCCTCTCCTTAAGAGTAGTTCCAGTGTATCCTCTACTTTGAGTAAAGGTGAGAAACATACTATCATAACACCGAGATGTCATGAATGCTCCTCTAAAGACCTTATTCTCCAAGCAGAAGAGTTGAAGCCCACTGGATCAACCCACTGCATGCAGGACAACAATGAGAAATGCATCATGAGAAAAAAGTTGGCTTCTCATGTAGAAGGAATCTGGATATTCACCCAACATCATGGTGGCAGCAAGAGTTCTTTGTGCCATCTCACGTTTCCATTCTGCCTGGCATGCTATTCATGAGCACTGGTTCTGTGTAAGCAATGGTTTCAGACATTGGTGATGAGTAGATAAATACTCGTTAAGTCCCTGACTACTAGTGGATCACATTATAGAGAGGGAAGAAGTAAAAGTTATTATAAAATGTGCTATACCAGCTATAGCAGAGGTATTGAAAAGACACTAAAGAGAGCAGAGAAAAAGGGAGATTTAACTGTATATGGGAAAGAGGTAGAAAGGTTTTACAGGGAATGCCTCATGATGTAGCTGTCACTTGAACTGAATCACAAAGGAACAATATTTCCCAGATATACAAACAGAATAATATTCTATGTCCAAAAACAAACAAGCAGGATTAATGTGTAGTAAAGAATTTGGCCTTGCCCTAAATCAGGTCTGGCTTTTGGGAGATAATCTGTTGTAGCTGATAGGAGTGTTTTTCTTGAGGATAGAAGTTGATTTCCATAGTCTTACAGCAGAAGCTGGCTACGTTAGGACCAATCATGTGATTTAGGATAGGGACTTTGGGCTCATGGTATCAGTCAACCCAGAGACTGAGATCAACTACATAGGCAATTGACAAGCATGCCTGCAGAATGAAGCCCCAATAAAAACTCTGGGCAGCAGAGCTCTGGTGAGCTTCCCTGGTTGGCAGTATTCCATGCATGCTATCAAAAACTGATAATGAAATATGCATGTTGAGTAAAACAAAAACTTGATGTTTGGAATTCTTCCAGACACTGCCCTATGCACCTCTTCCTTTGCTTGATTTTTATCTGTCCCCTTTCCCTGTAATAAACCATTAACATCATAGCTTTCAGTGAGTTTTGTGAAAACTTCTAGTAACTTTTCAAAACTTAGAGTGGTTTGGAGAACCTCCAAACTTGTATTTGGTGTCAGAAGTGAGGGTGGTCTTGTATGGACTCTTCACACTAACTCTGTAGTTGGACTCTAGTTGGACTCTAGCTCCTTTAAAACTGTGTCAGAAGTCTTGTGCATACATGGCAGTATGTGGACTGTGCCCTCAAACCTAACAGTTTGGCTCATTCTGAATAAATATCCATGGTAATTTTTGAAAATTCTGAATTATCTCAGTACTTCAATTTGGAGGGGAGGAGTGAGACATGTAGACTAATGATGACAGATGAGTCTGGAAAGGAAAGGAGTGATTATTTTATGAAAGGTCTGACTCACTGTAATAACTAGTTGGAATATATGAGTCCCGAATTTGAAGTCAAACTTAGGTCAAATCCTGACTCTAACACAGGATTAACCAAGGGAAATTATGTATCCTCTGTTATAAAGTGGTGAGGAGGATGAAGGGGAAGGTATGGATTAGTCAAATAAAGAGCCAGAAGTATTTCTACAAATGGGATACTTGGATCTAGGACTAAGAATAAATCACCAATAAAGAGGAAAAATTAATATCCAAGAAACTGGTTAATCGTGATGTTTTAATAACAAGTATATACCTCTCCATTATGTCTCCTACGGACTGCTCATATTGCTAAAATTCATTTCAAATAAATGCTCCTGTTCTGGTGGATTGGGAGTAAGCTTTCAGAATAGTTTTGAAGGAAGATTCCCAGGAAGTTCTAGTTTGATAGCCTTTGCTAGAAAATCCAAGAAGTTTGCCACCCACTCTGACTATTATTATTATTAATTTTTTTTGAGGTGGAACCTCACTCAGTCACTCAGGCTGGAGTGCAGTGGCACAATCTCGGCTCATGGCGACCTCCACCTCCCAGGTTCAAGCAATTCTCCTGCCTCAGCCTCCTGAGGAGCTAGGACTACAGGCGCGTGCCACAACGCCGGGCTAATTTTTGTATTTTTAGTAGAGACAGGGTTTCACCATATTGGCCAGGCTGATCTTGAACTCCTGACCTCATGATCCTCCCGCCTCGGCCTCCCAAAGTGCTGGGATTTCAGGCGTGAGCCACTGCACCCAGCCCACTCTGATTATTTAATCATGTTATTGATAAATTATTTTGCTAATCTGCATCTAGCCACTTTAAGATAGGTTAGATCTATGAAACAGACTGCATTTCCTAGTTTCAGAGATAATCATCTACTGTCTTTTTCACTCAGATTTATTTGCCTGTAAACAAATGCCGAAGTATTCTCTCTGTACATTTTCTATACAACATGCTCTTATTTTTTCATTGTTGTTCTATTTTATGATTGCCCTTTAGTATATGTTCAACTGTGAGCTTCCTGCTTGGCCAACTGATGATAGCAGAGCCCAGAAATACTTAGTTTTTGCAATGAATAAAGCTTGGAGACTTCTTGGATGGGTAAAAGGAGTGGAAGTGTGTGGATAGAGAGTCTGATAATAGGCAAATAAAGAAGTTTTCCTTGGTTCCAGCTTGTATGGTTGAGTAGATGGTGAAGCCATTAGCCAGCAGGGGTAAAACAGGATGAAGTGCAATCCTGGGTGCTCCATAATATGTTCAACAGGCTACATGGAATTTGAGGCATCTAGGTGAACATTTCAAAAAAGTGGTGACAGCACAGAACTCAGGTTCTATCAGAATTTGTAGACAGATAGATTGAGCTCTCTCTCTCTCTCTCTGTCTTACTCACTCTCTCTACCTGCCTACCAATTATCTATCCATCTATCTCTCCACCTACATACCATATATCTTTAGTAGTATATTATGATTAACAATCATCATTACAGTTTCTCTTATAATTCTAATAGTACCAAAAGCACTACTAGTAAATAGTCAATTTTTATTATTTTTAATGACGTATGACTTTACATATAGCAGTGTGTACATGTGTACTATTATTTTTTTAAATATGTATATAATCCCTAACCACTTCTCAGAGAAAGATATGAACTACTTCTACCATTCCAGTTCCCTGATGCCCCTTCCAATTCTATACACAACCCCTAAAAAGAGGGAACTCTTAATCTTATTCTCTCCTCATCATCTGTTTCAGGCAGATTCTAAGGTGGCCACCCATGATCGCCACTTTCTTGTATTCAAATTTGTGTAATAACCTCTACTGAAGTATAGGAGCAACATGTGACTGCTTTTTAACCTAATATGGCAAAGGTGAGGAGACTTCTTCTCCAGTACAATATGCTATATAAAACTGTCTTGATAGCAGGCTTATTCTAAAGTCTTTCTTTACTAGCTTGATGAAGTAGGTGGCCAAAGTGAAAAAGCCAGCTTGGGAAGGAAATGCAGATAGCACTTAAAAACTGTGAGCAGGGGCCGAGTGCAGTAGCTCATGCCTGTAATCCCAGCACTTTGGGAGGCCGAGGTGGGTGGATCATGAGGTCAAGAGTTCGAGACCAGCCTGGCCAACACGATGAAACCCCATCTCTACTAAGAATACAAAAATTAGCCGGGCCTGGTGGCACGTGCCTGTAATTCCAGCTACTTGGGAGGCTGAGGCAGGAGAATCGCTTGGACCCGGGAGGCGGAGGTTGCAGTGAGCCGAGGTCGCGCCGCTGCACTCCAGCCTGGTCGACAGAGCCAGACTCCGTCATGAAAAAAAAAAAAAAAAAAACGTGAGCAGGATCTAAGAACTGATGGTGGCCACTAGCCACTAGCCAACAAGAAGCCAGGGCCCTCATTTCTACAACCAAAGGAAATGAATTCTGCCAACACTCTGAATGAGTTTGGAAGAGGATTCTGTCCTAATCAAGCCTGAATAAGAGAAAATATCCTGGCTGATATATTGATTGCACTTGTGTGAGATCCTAAGCAGAGGACCCAGGTAAGCTGTTGCCAGACTTCTAGTCCCTTTAAACTGTGAGACTATAAAACTGTTTTGTTTAAAATCACTACATTTAATTTGTTACTACAGCAATAGAAAATCAATACATCATTTATTAGTGTTACTTGTTCTTGAACCTCATATTGAAGGTTCTGTTATATAGTCTTTACTCTTTTGTGCCTAAATGTCATTCACACAACATAATATCTATGATGTTCGTGTCCATGTTGTTACACGTAACAAGTTTGTTCACTTTTGTTGTTATATAGTGATCCATTGTGGTATTGTTTGGCTCTGTGTCCCCACCCAAATCTCATCTCTAATTGTCATCCCCATGTGTCAGGTGGAGGAACCTGGTGTGAGGTAACTGGATCATGAGGGCGGTTTCCCTCATGATGTTCTCATGATAGTGAGTTCTCATGAGATCTGATGGTTTTAAAGTGTGTGGCAGTTCTCCACTTGCTCTCTCACTGTCTTGCTGCCATGGGAAGAAGGTGCTTGCTTCCCCTTTGCCTTCTGTCATGATTGTAAGTTTCCTGAGGCCTCCCAATCATGCTTCCTGTTAAGCCTGTGGAACTGTGAGTCAATCAAACCTCTTCTCTTCATAAATTACCCAGTCTCAGGTAGTTTTTTATAGCAACGTGAGAACGGACTAATACACATTGTATGCTAACAAAACAATGCATTGTTCATGATCTGGTTTATTATCCAATCTAGTTTTTGGTTATTGTGAATAAAGCTTCAGTAAACACTCTGATCTTTTAGCAGATGTGTTCTCATTTCTCCTGAAATAGGATAAGTATATGTTTCTCTTTACTGAAAACTTCCCAAAGTCATCCAAAGTAGTTGCATCATTTACTTTCCCACCAGCAACTCACACAGCATACAGTAAACATTTTCTGAACTTAATTAAATTACTTTTGCACAAACTATATTGCAGTTTTGGACATAAAGTAGTTTCTTTGTTGGATTTTGCTAAAATCGACTTACCTGTCTACATGATGTTCCTGGAAATTTAAGCAATAAGATTTTGCAAAGAGCAGGCTAGTTACCACATCCAACATTGGCTATATTATATAAAACAAATGCTCAATCTTAAAAAGCATACTTCTACTGTTTCATAATTGAATTAAAATGAATTAACATGTACTTATATACAAAAATGATACATTCTAATACTCTATTATTTTTATATTTAATACTCCATCTTCTGCAAGATGGTATTTTGAGATTGTTTTTTCCTAGAATTATTTTTCAGCTCCTTTTTCTTCCTCATTTAATAAGCCAATAATTTCTCTCATTTCTACCACCTACTTATGCTTCTTTTCTTTTTCCCCAAGAGACCCTGATTTAGTTTAGGCCCTCATAATATTACCTGGATTATCGCAATAGCCTTTGAACAAATTACTGCCTCTAGCTTCGAAATTATTCTCCACATTCTGCCCACCATCTTCCTATCTTTTTATAATCCAAATCTAATTTTAGTTCTGGTGAAATGTTCTCTTTTTTCCAGAGTTGTATTTGCTCTCTTTCCTGTGATCTTATTGCATTTGTACACGACTTTATTATTACTCATCTTTAGGAAATTGTCTTTGTGTTTTCAGTTTCTAACTGTGAACTCCTCAAGAATGTGGAGGCTCTCTTGCTAATTTGCATATTAGCTCAACTTATTACTGATTCCTGCACAAAGGAGATGCTCAAAATATTTGTTGAATTGATCCCTTCTACTAATGAAGATATTAATGTATTAAGGGAATTGAGGATATTTAAAATGTTCTTCAAATAAATATTTAAATTTCAAAATATCTAATGCCGAGTAAAAGTTTTCCCTATAAATGATGTCATTGGGCATTATATTGAGACTCTTTCTGTCTCCGTTTCTATAGAGTTTCCTAAAGGCTGAGAACAAAACAAAGAGAGCAAGAACTTGCAACTTCCAAAGTGAGGCTAAACTCCCTGTACAGACCTAAAATAGGAGGGGCCCAAAATTGACGTTTTGACCATTAGCTTCTCACCCACCTTATGGGTACAAAAGAGTTAAGTTTGAAGATGCCAGGGAGTTAGGGAAAGAATTGGTTTTTGACAGTTATCTGGAGGAGGAAGATATGATGCTCCACCTCACTCAAGCCCAGTGAGAGGACTAAACTCCACTTCAAAGACTAAGTGGAGAGCCTACATGGGTCTGGTGTTGCTTAGGAACACAATCAAATTACCTGATTCATGTCTGAGAAGAAAGTGACTGGAGAGAGTTGGCTGAGATGACTTCTGACTCTAGCAGAGAGAGTTTTATAATAGCCATGCTCCCAACAAGTGTTTGCTTTTCTGGAGCAAAAAACCTAAGGACAGACATTGGTGTGTGATCTTTATTCATGGGACCCTGTCCAAGGGGGTTCCTGCTAGGGGCAAAATCTGACCCGAGAGGCAGAGGGAGATTATAAATTATCAGCTGAAAAAGAAGCACTGTCCTGCAGTAAAGCTGCTGTTGAAGGGGCTCAGTCAAAACCAGCTGTATAATTTCTGGGGCCCAGTGAAAAATGAAAATGCAGGGTCTCTTGATCAAAAATTATTTTAAAAATGCAGAGGCAACAACAGAGCATTAAACCAAGCCTGGGACCCCTCTAAGCCTGTGGTCCTGAGATTCTACATAGGGCTCACACCCATGAAGTTGGCCCTGACCTGGTTGTGCAGTCACACAGCTCACAAAAGCCCTCAAAAATGACCACAAGAGAAATGGGCAGATTTGAACTACTGCCGCAGTGCCCCCCAACCCACCAAATGAATGTCAGATTGCAGAGGTATTGGTGAAAGAAAACACCTTCTGCTCTTTACCTCTTTCCTCTTCTTCTCTTGAACCCTCAAGTCAGAGGCAGCCTTGTGGGAAGAAGAGTAGAAACTTGGTAGGGACATGGACCAGAATGTGTGTGACCACCTCACCACTTCTCCCCACTGCAGACTTCTGGTGGGAAGCAGACAAAATAAAGGGAAGAAGTTTAACTTTAGGTGAAGTTAGCAATTTTAAGTATTACACAGAGATAGGTGATTTAATTACTGAAATGAAACAATTTAGGGGGGAAAGGTAACTAGGAAACCTTTCTTCTTTTAATTTCTGAGAATTTATGGGACTTGCCCAAGATTTTTTTCAAGGTGGTGATGAAGAAGATGCCAAGACAGTGGATTTGCAGGGCTGTGATGGGAAAGAGTAAAGTACCTTTATAAATGTGCCCAAAAGAGTTCTTCTTATTCACTATAATGATAACGACTATTTTTATTTATATACTCAAATCTCTCCGGGTAAACACACACATATCCACACACAAACATTCATGCTCACATATATGAATTGATGTTGAAATATACATACATTTGAGGTAAAGAAGTTGAACTTGTGACTTAATTGAGCCATGTCTCTGAAATACATCAATTATAAGCCACAGCAAAAATATTGCTTATGAAAGAAACCAAAAACAGAATGTGTGCTTTAAATTTTTGTTCTTGTTCTACTTAAATTTGAGAAACTAGGAATATAAACCTGGCAGATGGGGGTGGGGGCATAACTCTAGACAAAGTTAGAAATGCAGATAAGGTATTCTGGCCAAGTCTTTAATTTTGGAGGTTATGGTTAAATCATCTGCAATGTACAGTTAAGAAATGTGCTTTTACTGCCCTCAAGTGGTTTTAAAATTGTCACTGCAACATTTCTGACGACTTCAAAGTGAATGTTTCAAAACCCTAAGCAGTCTTCACATTTTCCAGGCTATCTGACAAGGGAATCTGAAATAATAATCTTTTATTCTGAAATAGTTTCTAAATAAGCAAATAATGAAATGGATCAGGTAGATTTATGTTGTTGTGTTGAAATATATGCACTAATACAGATTTGTAAAATTGTTTCTCTTCTTTTTTTAAAAATGTAACTGTAGCTTATACATGGACTCTCAGCTGGTCAGGGTTTGCGTAGGAAGATAGTATGACAGTTACTTCTTCTTCTAAATTAAGCAGCTGAAAATTATATAAATATTCAGAGAATGTAAGCTTCAACATCTTTGTAAGTGCTGTTTCTCTGCTTCCCTTTCTACCTCACAGGAGAACACCTGAGTAGAGCAGAAAGCTTGCTGGGCCAGCCCTGCCTGCTGGCTCTTTGCTAGACTGGGTGGGTGGCCCACCGTGTTGCTGCCTTGGCCCCTCCTTGTCGCTTTCGGATGCTGCCAACCCCTTGTGATATGGTTTGGCTGTGTCTCCACCCAAATCTCACCTTGACTTGTAATAAACTCCACGTGTCAAAGGTGGGGCCAGATGGAGATAATTGAATCATGAGGGCAGTTTCACCCATACTGTTCTTGTGGTAATGAATAAGTCTCACGAAA
Organism: Homo sapiens; assembly: GCF_000001405.40. NCBI lineage: Eukaryota > Metazoa > Chordata > Mammalia > Primates > Hominidae > Homo > Homo sapiens. Next base: position 151,919,150 of record NC_000003.12, read on the forward strand.
TCTGATGGTTTTATAAATGGGAGATCCCCTGCATAAGCTCTTTTACCTGCCACTATGTAAGGCATGCCTTTGCTTCTCCTTTGCCTTCCACCATGATTGTGAGGCTCCCCAGCTATGCTGAACTGTCAGTCCATTGAAGCTCTTTCCTTTATAAATTACCCAGTCTAAGGTATGTCTTTATTAGCAGTGTGAGAACAAACTAATACACCTTGAGTCTCAGTCATGCTCTCCTCCACCAGCCCATAGTTTAAGAGATTACTTGCAGTTTCTGCTCTTGGCACATTTACTCCTCACCATTGTGGGCCATTCCAGGCCTGCTGGTTCTTGGCTCTCATCAGCCTTCTTCAGCACCCCCAGGGAAGCACAAAAACATGTCTATATATGTTCACACCAAAAGACAGCCCATGTTGGTGCAAGGTTTCTATCCTGAGCTTTCCTTTTGCTGAAACCTCCTACTGTTCACATGTTCGCTGATCAGAGTCCCCTGGAAGTCTTGTCAACACACGTTTCTGGGCCTATACCCAGAGTTTCTGATTCAGTAGCTCTGGGTGAGTTCCAATGACTTGATGTTCTAGCAGGTTCCCAGATGACGATGCTACTGGTTCTGGGACCACTTTTTAAGAACCACTGGCCTAAACCAGTACTTCCTCCAATTGTTCACATAGAGTTACATGTAAAATATAATAAAATAGCTCATATTTTTGGACCACAGTTGACCATGAGTAACTGAAACAACAAAAAGTGAAACAAGGAATAAGTGGGGACTACTGTAGATGGTTCAAATTTTTCTAATGTGTAGAAAAAAACATAGAGTAACGAGTTTCTCTTTCATAGACAACTATGGGCACATTTTTGAGCGCACATAAGTTTGTTCAAACAAGTTGGGTAAATACCTAGGAATGTGATTGCTGATTGTAGAGTAAGAAAATATATATGTGTTTTGTATATACATATAACACATCTTTCTCCATGTTTTTGTCTTCTTTATTTTATTTGTTGATATTTTGTCATTTCCTACACACATTTTCTATACATATTATATTAGATTTATATCTGTGTAGTTGAGCTACTGTAAATGGTATGGACTCTTTTTCTAATTTTAATGTTTAGTTGTTTATTGCTGGTATATAAGAAATCAATTGACTTTCAACCTTCTATCCTGTGACCCTTTTATATACACTTATCAATTACAGGAATTTATTGTCATTTCATTGGTATTTTAAAATAGAAAATTATATCATTTGTGAATATAGACAGTTTTATCTCTTTCCTTCTGATTGGTGTCCTTATAAGAAGAGGAAATTCAAACACACAGAGATACTAAGGATGCACACAGACAGAGGAAAAAATCACGTGAGGACACAGCAAGAAGGTGGCCATCTGCGAGTCATGGCGACAAGCCTAAGAAGAAGAAAAACCTGAAGGCACCTTGAGCCTGGACTTCTAACCTCCAGAGCGAAATAAAATTCCCTTGTTTAAACTACCCAGCCTATGGTACTATGTTATGGCAGCCCTAGCTAACAAATATAGAACCCTTAACATATTTATCATAGGTATTTTAAATTTTCTGTCTGAAATTCGAACATCTGTGTTACATTTGAGTCTGGGTCTTATGATTGCTTTGTCTCTTCAGACTGTGTATGTGTGAGTGTGTATATGTGCGCACATGCGTACACGCATGTTTTGCCTTTTTGTACATCTTGTAGTTTTTGCTGAAAGCCAAACATGTTGCATTGGGTAATTATTTTGCTGAAAGCCAAACATGTTGCATTGGGTAATTATAACTGAGATAAACTGTCCTTTACTGTCAGGATTTACATTAATCTGGCTGGAATCTAGGCTGTGTTTAATCTCAGCTGTAGCTGTGGGTGCCAGAGGCTTCATGTTCTTCTAGTCTCCTTGCTTTTGTCTTCTTTCTTGACTTTAGGATTCCCTAAGTACTCCTCCTCACAGAGAGTCTGCATCTTGCAGCTCTTTCCGATGTAATCCAGTGTTACTATATTGCAGTCCTGCTGGTGTGGTGGTAAAGTGTCAGTGAGGGGATGCCTTCTATATACTTAGGATGAAAACGCACACTTTTAGTCAGCCTGTGTCTGTGGGCTGTGACTTTCATAAGCATTTCTCCGGTTGTATAGTTTTTGTACCCTCTTAGTTGGGGCAGAAACACTAGAGGGAACTAAAGTGGGAGGAATGCTTTTTTCCAGCTTGGATAAGGCTCAGGTAAAGTCCTTTTATCTGCAGCGTAGTCCATTATGGAGGAGGCTGTGGGTATATTTTACATTGACTAGTTTTTCTTTCCCCTGCTAGTGCCACAAGGGAAACTTTCATGAATATTTACCATGAGAACCTGGAGGGGTTCCCAGAGGTAAAAACCCATAAAATTGTTGAAGCCTCTCTAAGATTGGGACCTCTAGGAGTTTTTTGCTCTCAAATAATCCATACTCAACCTCTAGGAATTTGTTAAAATTAATATTTTAGTTTTTCTGCCAGCTTATGGTGCTAATGGCTTCTGCTCCAGATAAGTTGCTCCACTGTGACTGTCTGGATTCACGTATGTATTCTTTTTCTACTGACCACTATAGCAAATTACTACAAACTTGGTGTCTTAAAACAACACAAATATATTATCTTAAAATTCTAGAAGTCAGAAGTCTGAAATCGTTTACATCAAGCTAAAATCAATTAGTCAGCAGGGCTATGTTCCTTCTGGATGCTCTAAGGGAGAATTCATTTTCTTGCGTTTTCCATGCATTAATATAAGGCCAAGCACTTTTCAAACTGGTATCACAATAGTTCTCTTCTGCTACCCCTTCCAAATTTGAAGACCATTATAATTATATTGGGTCCAACTAATATTGCAGGATAATCTCCCTGTTTAAATATCAGTTGATTAGCAACCATAATTCCATCTACTACTTTAATTCCTCTTTTCTTTGTCATATAGCATATTCATAGAATCCAAGGATTACGACTTGGATTTCTCTTCAGCCATTATTTTGCCTATCACTGCCTGTCCAGATTTCAGTGGCAGGTTGCTCTGAAACCTTAGTTCTTTGATAGATCTAAGAACAGTTGTTGATTCTTAGTTTCTTCAGCTTTTTGTTATTTAAGGATAGGAGTGATGACTTCTAAGCTTTTTTTTGAGACGGAGTCTCGCTCTGTCACCCAGGCTGGAGGACAGTGGCATGATCTCGGCTCACTGCAACCGCCACCTCTCAGGTTCAAGCAATTCTCCTGCCTCAGCCTCCTGATAGCTGGGACTACAGGTGTGTGCCACCACACCTGACTAATTTTTGTATTTTTATTAGAGATGGGGTTTCACCATGTTGGCCAGGCTGGTCTTGAACTCCTGACCTCAGGGGATCTGCCCACCTTGGCCTCCCGAAGTGCTAGGATTACAGGCATGAGCCACCACGTCCGGTCGACTTCTAAGTTTTTTAGATGGTGGGGCTAACACTAGAAGTAGTAAGCACTTTTTCATACTAAATCCAGAGTTCTTAAATAGCAGTAACTGAATCTCTCACCTTTTTGTCTCTGGCATTTATTAGATGGACAAGTTTTGAGTGAGAGGATGTGGAAGGAAGGTAATCTCTCCATTAAAAACACTTTGCTTTAGATTTGAATAACTTAGAGCAAAAGATGGAATATAATAGATTGACATTTCACAGAGGTGTCTAAGTAGTCCTTTGAAAATAAATGAGGACAATTACAGTAGATACAAAGAAGACTGTCACTGGATTATGATTTGAAAGCTGTGCCCTGTATCCGGTGAAGTTTCTCTTTAAAGAACATTTTGTGCTTCATCAAAACCAAACCAAATCTAGTCAATCCTATTTCAATTAATTTGGTTAGCCATGAATTTTTTTTTTAAATAACACCTAGAACACATTATTCCAGGGCTACTAAAATATACATGTACATCACTTAAACTACTTTCTTTCCATCATCAAAGAGTATGCTTAAATACAACTCCAAAGCCAAGGGTTTAATCCTAATCTTTTAGAAATTTTTTTTTAAGTTTTGAAAATTACCTACATATTATGATTTCCTAGATATTGTTGATGAAATGTAAATGATGGGGAGGACAACTGCAAAATGACATACAGGTGTCCTGGAGGACTCCACGTGACTTTATCCCAATATATGTATGCATTATTAATCACCAGGATCCACAATTTTGTGATCATAATGTTAAGACTTTTTTGAATCTTTTGGGCGAATGTTGATATGCATTTTTTATTTCCCTCTAACAAAAAGTCTTAAAGTCTCCTCTCTCTTGTCTTTTTACAGTATAACCAGAGTAGAATGTGGATTTAGGAAATATGATAAGTTGTATACCATCTGGTTCTTTACCATAGACTATTTCCCATGCTATTATATCAGAGGGCAGAAACTGGCAGCCTCAAATAAAGTTTGTTCTGTAGATACATTTTTTGGGAGGTCAGATATTTTATTAGAAAAAATTAAATCAGTTTTTAACATTTAAAAATCAGAAGATTTTCAATTTTAAAAATCTACATTTTTGGCTTTTTTAACTGGGAACTTATTTCCACCCATCAAGAGAAGACTGATCTTAAGAGAAATGTCTGTCTTGGGGAGGAGTGCAGGATGGCAGACCTCTTTATTTTGGCAAAATTCCTACCACACTCTATTGTATTACACCCAGTATATGCATGAATTTTCTCGATAGACATTTGAGTTTGCACTCCCTGACACTTTCCTCTGCTACTTCAGTTACTGGCTCTTATCACTGACATTTAAGAATCTCTTTATAATGGCCTAGAGAATAAAGTTGCATAGGATGCCTATCCATGGAAATTCCAATGTTCATACAGAGCTAAATCTGTTCATCAGTGTTTGCAATAATTGCTATGCTTTAAAATTTGTAAACGATAGTTGAAAGGAAGTCTTGCAGCCAGATGATATCTGACTCATTTTTGTAGTATGATTAATTGTGCTATAAAAAGTATTTTTTAATCTAGTCAGGATTCTTTAGGCTCAAGAGACAAAGAATACTCAAGCCCAGATGAATTTAAAACTAAAAGTTGAGTGTTATGGTTGGAATCTAGGAGACCTTTAAGAAACTGGTAGTGAGACTAGCAGAATTAAAAGATAGGCAGGGGCTGGCTGGGTACTCTGGGCTCTCTTACTAAGTGTCTCTGTTTCTTAGTGATTTTTTTTTTTTTTACAATGTCTCTTCTTTTTTACTCACTCTTCTTTTAAATACTTTTTTGCCTCCCAATTTTAACCTTCACAATGCCACACAATGTCCATCCCAGCCTATGACTTTTTTGGCCACAGTTGGTTGGTTTTTTGAGAGGACTCTGGCCTAGCTCATCTTTTGCAACCAGCCAGAGGAACTGTAAGACAACATGCAGCTTCTGGATTGGTAGCCTTTGGATAAAAGCGTTACTTGTCCAATCAGTCACAGCCAATGATGTGTTAATACCATCATAATCACCATCATGTCATCTCTTATCATTACTGTCAATATTATTGCTAACACGTCTTAGATGCTTACTATGTACCAGACAATCTCCTAAACACTCTAGACCTGATTCATTTAATCCCAATTACAATGTGTGAGGCAGACACTCTTTTGACCATATTTTACGGATGAGGATATTGAGCATGGTTGTGGTGCTCAGCAGGGACTTGAAGGCAAGGGCAGCATCCCTTATTGCTAGCTGAGGGACAAGCATAATAGATGTGTCTAGAAAAAACTGTTTTCCCTTTGGGCTTGCAAAATAGGAGGTTCACAGAGAATTACAGGGTAATCCCTTTATTGAGAAATTACTAAAACTGGTTTGCAATTTGCTTTGTTTGCACAGTTGTGCATCTCTCTAAATGTATTACAGGCTGGTACAGTCAGCACTCGCAACGGGACAACTTCAGGGTCAGACTTTAAAGTATATAGAGCTTTTTCACTCCCATTCCCTTTTCTGTGTTCCCAGATTCCATGAATCCTTTCTTTCCACTCTCTTCCCCTTCAGTCAGTCTCTGCTGTTGCTAGCTCCTCGTGAATTCTTTAGTTCTTTCCTCTGAAGACTCAATCTCACCCACAGGTTTCGACAACATTGTGAACACGGGACTCGGCAAGGTCAAGCAGTGACCAGACTCGGGGAATACTTGAGAATAAATGTTTGCTGCCCAACCTGAAACACCTAGGTAGTCACAGATTTTGTGCAGAGTTGGTGCTTAAAGGCCAGTTGCAGGCCCTGTGGTAAATTTCAGGAATAAAGGTAGGACCTCAGTTGAGAACCAGCAGCCAAATACAAGTCAAAGTGCAGCATAATGAGAGATGCACAAATATCAAAGCAATCCAAGAAGGAGAAATTAAGTAGTGGCAGGTAAATTAAAAGTCAGAGAGAGCTTTGGAGAGAGTGAGCATGTTGGGATAAACTTTGTCAACCTAGAGGATGTGGCTTCGGTGATCTCATAACCATGCGCCGTTGGGGTGTTATGAATCTGTACACACCACAGGTGGAGGCTTAAAGACAGCTATGTGCTCATTGAACTACTGAAAGCCACACAACCCAGATTTTCTTCCTCCAGGGGGTCTCAATGGAACACCGTTCCTTCTCTGTTCCCTCCTTCCCTCTCTCCCTCCCTTCCTATAATTGCCCTTTTCAGTCCTTTTCAGGCACCAGGTACTTTTCAGGTGCTAGGGATCTAGTAGTGAATAACACCCTACCCTCGAGGAATTCACATACTAGAAGTAAAGAGAGACCATAAACAAAAGTCCTACTGGAATTTCTATTTGCCAAGATTTCCCCGATGTATTTTTTGGACGTCAACCTAAGCCTGACCAAGAAACCCTCATTAAAACAAAAGTTACAGCTCCAGCCTCTGTGTGGCTAGTGGATAAGCCTCAAGGCAGCTCACAGCTCCCTCCTGAAAGACTTGTTTGCCTCATGGTTTTTTATGGATGAATCATGCTTCCTACTAGACTCCTGAGATTTTTTTTTAAAACTCTTGTCTTAATGTTCTTTTCTTTTACCTCTTTTCTTTTTATCCTAACCCACCTTCAGAAAATAATAAGATACAAGTCATGTATAACTTAAATGTATGTAAAACTTTAGTTTAAATAAATGTACCATCTTTCAGGGACACAGCCATCTTACTTCTTAGTTTGAAAAGTTGAATGAAAGTATTTTTTCCCTATTAGAAACATTTTAAAAGTAAGGATCTAAATGAAGTGACTACTAAGAATAAAGCCTGTCCAAATATACACCTTTTTTTATTATGTGGAAGGCAGGAATTTATTCAATGTTTCCTTCGGTTTTAACCAGAAACAAAAAGTACCTCATGCCTTCCAAAAATGCTCAAAGATAACGAGGAATTACACTGCCTCATCCTAATTCTCTCAAGCTTAAATTTCTTAATTACAGTTGTTTGCCAGCAGTTCTTTATTAGTATAGAGTCAGCTTCCAACAAAGGAGGAATCATTAGTGCAGCAAGATAGCTGGCCTCTTCGGGAGGAAACAGACAGCTGGAAGTCCACGACCAATTCTCAGTAAAGGGACACTGCATGGGTAGGAAAATGGTTGAAAGTAAACTTAGGTAGCTGAAAAGAGCCATGTCTGCCATGGCCTCGTGTTGAAGTTAGAGCAGAGCACACCTATTTATTCTGACAATTTAAGACCTCATTAACTAGACACTGCTTAGGGCAAATTAATTGTGTTGAAAGAGAAACACCCATCAATACATTTATTAAGTGTACCCCTATTATTAGAATCTTTATATTTTATATTCTGGGTAGGGTGGAGACAGCGAACTTGCTCTATAAATGATTAGTAAAGTGTTTTTTGTATATTTGAGTCAGACTAAAAAGTGTCCAAATATGTGCTAATGGTAACCCAGTCTCTAAAAATAAACTATGTGCCTGTTGCTTACAATGCTGGCTTCTTTGAGATCTATTTTACATGGTTTTTCCATGCCCAGAAAAAAAGAGGTGCGGCTCTTACTGCAAACACATTTGAAAATCTATCTGATGATTTTGTAGGGCCCAGAAAGCACCTAAACATGACTCACATATTACCAGCTTCAGAGCAACTGAAGCGATCGTAGCGATTGTTTTTTAACTCCCCACAGATGTTGGAAAATTACAAGGCTTGTGCTTCATAAAAATATCACTCTACCTACGCCTGGCTTCTGCCTTTATTTTAATGAATGAGAATGTGTAAAAATTTGGAATTGTGCATGTTTGAATTCCATAGGCAGTGATTAAGATTAACTAATTGATTGTGCAAAGCTTCAGAAAATTGAAACCAACTTGCTATATTTCATGGGCTTCTATCAAAACAAAATAAAGATTTGTTTGGCCTTTTTTTTTTTTTTTCATTTTCTGCTTTTATTGCCTCTTCTTTCTCCTTACATTTTATCAGAAGACAAATATTTTGGGGGCTTGAGGAGAACAGAAAAGGGCAAATTTCTCCATGTTATAACATTTTCTTATAGAATCTGACTCTGCAAAGCAGAGAAGTGATTCAGCTAACCTCCCTCAGGTTTTCTTTCCTAAATTTTATGCATGAGAAACTGATGCTCAGAAAGATGTTCACTGGTTATTCCCAGACCCAGAAAGCAAAGTCTATTTTCTTTATTCGAGCCATGTAACTACTACCAAAATTTTTCACTGAGTATAACCAAAACTAACTTCAGATGAGTTAAATCCAAAAGGAATTGTCAAAGTTTGTTGTATACTCACAGAATTTCCGGAAAAGCTGGAATGTTAGACTCTGAAAATGAGCAGGAACCACGAAAAGCTGAGTAGCAGGAACACGACCAAAATTATTCCTCAGGAAACGTTGGGATGGGCGTTATTGAGAGGTGACAGCGTGCTGGCAGTCCTCACAGCCCGCGCTCGCTCTCGGCGACTCCTCTGCCTGGGCTCCCACTTTGGCGGCACTTGAGGAGCCCTTCAGCCCACGGCTGCACTGTGGGAGCCCCTTTCTGGGCTGGCCAAGGCCAGAGTCCACTCCCTCAGCTTGCAGGGAGGTGTGGAGGGAGAGGCGCGAGCGGGAACCGGCGCTGCGCGCGGCGCTTGCGGGCCATCTGGAGTTCCGGGTGGGCGTGGGCTTGGCGGGCCCCGCCCCCGGAGCAGCGGGCGGGCCCCGCCGACCCCGGGCAATGAGGGGCTTAGCACCCGGGCCAGCGGCTGCGGAGGGTGTACTGGGTTCCCCGGCAGTGCCAGCCCACCGGCGCTGCGCTCGATTTCTCACCGGGCCTTACCTGCCTTCCCGCAGGGCAGGGCTCGGGACCGGCAGCCCGCCATGCCTGAGCCTCCCACCCCCTCCATGGGCTCCTGTGCGGCCCCGAGCCTCCCAGACAAGTGCCACCCCCTGCTCCACGGCGCCCAGTCCCATCGACCACCCAAGGGCTGAGGAGTGCGAGCGCACGGCGCGGGACTGGCAGGCAGCTCCACCTGCAGCTCCGGTGCGGGATCCACTGGGTGAAGCCAGCTGGGCTCCTGAGTCTGGTGGGGACGTGGAGAACCTTTATGTCTAGCTCCGGGATTGTAAATACACCAATCAGCACTCTGTATCTAGCTCAAGGTTTGTAAACACACCAATCAGCACCCTGTGTCTAGCTCAGGGTTTGTGAATGCACCAATCAACACTCTGTGTCTAGCTACTCTGGTGGGGCCTTGGAGAACCTTTGTGTCTAGCTCAGGGATTGTAAATACACCAATCTGCACTCTGTGTCTAGCTCAGAGTTTGTAAACACACCAATCAGCACCCTGTGTCTAGCTCAGGGTTTGTGAATGCACCAATCGACACTCTGCATCTAGCTACTCTGGTGGGGCCTTGGAGAACCTTTGCGTGGACACTCTGTATCTAGCTAATCTGGTGGGGACGTGTAGAACCTTTGTGTCTAGCTCAGGGATTGTAAACGCACCAAATCAGCGCCCTGTCAAAACAGACCACTGGGCTCTACCAATCAGCAGGATGTGGGTGGGGCCAGATAAGAGAATAAAAGCAGGTTGCCCCATCCAGCAGTGGCAACCCGCTCGGGTCCCCTTCCACACTGTGGAAGCTTTGTTCTTTCACTCTTTGCAATAAATCTTGCTGCTGCTCAGTCTTTGGGGCCGCACTGCCTTTATGAGCTGTGACACTCACCGCGAAGGTCTGCAGCTTCACTCCTGAGCCAGCGAGACCACAGAACCCACCAGAAGGAAGAAACTCCGAACACATCCGAACATCAGAAGGAACAAACTCCAGACGCAGATGCGCCACCTGAAGAGCTGTAACACTCACCGCGAGGGTCCGCGGCTTTATTCTCGAAGTCAGTGAGACCAAGAACCCACCAATTCCGGAAACATTATGGCCGCACTGCAGAATACCAGGTATTGCCCCTACCAACCCCGGACATTGCCTGTCATTAGCGCTGTCACCAGCACTGTTCAGACTCTGGAACTCTTGTCTCTGCTACCTGCACTGGGACAAAAATCTCCTTTGTCCCTGTATCTTTGCATCACTTGCTCTAGAGTGGATTTCCTGGCAGGTTATATGCCTTTATCCTCGGTACTGCAAAATCTGCAAAAGCAAGCGCCCATCATTTCTTACTTTTGTGGACACCGAAAGTAATGGATAATTCCTTACCCCATTCCTTGCCCAAGAAAGGAAGGGACTGCATGTGATAGGCAGCCACCACCACCAGTGATATCAGCCTAACATATCATGTTTATATTATTCAGTTAGAAAAGGAAAAAATGGCCACTTTTAAACAACATTTATATAATAAACAGTTAAAAAAAAGGAAGAAGCTGCACAACCCAAAGAATGTAGAAGAAAGAGCCCCTCTGCTACATCTAAACCAAACCTGTTACTACTTTGCCATGTTACCTTGAACAGGACCCTTCACCTCTCTGCTCCTGTTTCATTGTCTTACAAATGAGGGGTTGGACCAAGTGATCTTAAGGTCCCTTCTTTTTTGATATTCTCTAACTAAAACATGACAGTATCAAAGGGGGAGACTAGGTGGCTTAGTCTGTGGCTTTGCCAATCAGATCTCAATTGGAAGAAACAATCATGAGGTTGAAAGCAGGTTTGTGCAAACAGACAAGAAAGAAAACCAAGGTATTTTTTAAAAATTGTATCATTTGTGCTCTGATCCAGAAAGGGAAATGGGTTTTTTTGTTTGTTTGTTTGTTTGTTTGTTTTGGAAATGGAGTCTCGCAATTCTCCTGCTTCAGCCTCCCGAGTAGCTGGCACTATCAGTGCACGCCGCCACGCCTGGCTAATTTTTTCTTTTTTAGTAGAAATGGAGTTTCACCGTGTTGCCCAGGCTGGTCTCAAACTCCTGAACTCAGTCAATCTGCCCACCTCGGCCTCCCAAAGTGCTAGGATTACAGGCGTGAGCCACCGCACCTGGCCAAGGGAAAGATTTTAAAATTCATCTCAAGGGGTAAAATATTTGTCACCAACTAGAAAGCAGAATATCATATCAGAAAAAATCACTCTCACCTTTGTCCATATGCTGGAAGGCAACTGGAGTAGCCATCTGGATTCATTCATAAAAATTTGCTCTGTTAAAGCAAAGTGGATACAAGAGCACTTGGTAAGCCAGGACTGTATTGTTTCTGCATCATTAAGGTTACTCCTGTTGTCATTTTCATTGAAATCATAGGCATCATCTGGCAGGCTTTTTTGTTTTTTTGTTTTTTTTTTAATTAAGGGCTAGGGTTTTGTTGTGTCAACCAGGCTGGAGTGCAGTGGCATGGCCATAGCTCACTGCAGCCTCAAACTCCTGAAACAATTCTCCTGCTTCAGCCTCCCCAGTAGCTAGCACTACAGGCGTGCACCACCACACCTGGAAATATTTTTTCATTTAATATTTTATAGATACAAGGTCATGCTGTGTTGCCTAGGCTGATCTCAAACTCCTGGCCTCAAGTGATCCTCTCACCTTCGCCCAAAGTGCTGGGATTACAGGTGTGAGCCACCATGCCTGGTCTGGCACTGGCAGGCTTTGGTTTCTAATGCCTAACTTGCCAGCTACTTCCTCTAATCTAATTTTTTACAAACCCAAGAAGCTCTGAAGATGAGACAAAATAATTTTTTGAAAAATTTTCTTTATAAACACACACATACATATATCAAAAACAGAGAGCCTGGTCATGACATAACATTGTATTGAAGGGGTTCTTTTTATTTTTCTCAGATCTTAGGTTTATTCATCTTTTATTTTTCACCATAGAAATCCTATGACTCATAAAAACACAGGGCCAGGAGTCCTGTGACTCTATATTTTCATAGAGAGAACATGATTTGGAAGACCAGACTTAATAATTTTACTCTGTCTCAAATTTTGAATAGTGTTTGCTTTAAAAGGCATCTTATCACCGAAAGCAAAGTGAGAAAAATGAAGTCAACATTCACTGACAATTCTTGCCACTCAACCCTTTAAAAAGATAACCAACTACATAGTTACTGAGGGGTCCTTCATTATTAGGGAGTAAGGGGAATAACTTTCACATCTCTATAGTATTTATGGATCTGACATCTGGATAATAAGGTGTTTTGTAAGTAAATCTTTCGATAACATTGTTTTAATTTTCTGAGAAAAACTCAACCTTATTATCAAAACGTATTTCACCTGACTATATTTTCCCCAAATATAAAATTTACCAATAGGAGCAATCAGTCAGTACATACTAGGTCTTACTCATTAGTATATTAATACCAATTTCACAACACTGCATAAACAAATCAGCTTCATAGAATAAAATTCTAAAATATTCTGATGTAAATTAGTAAATGTATGCAGGGAATTATTTATTTACATATTAACATTAAAACATTTGAAAAGATTACACATCAACTTGAAGTACAAACACTCTGCAGATCATCTTACATTTTCTCTTGTGCCTTCTCAGGCTAAATGTTCTTAATGAAAAATGACAAGAAAAAGGTGTGAATAGTCAGCAGTGTTAATGCTAATTTTTGAGGTAAAGGAGACAACTAGCTTCAAATAATATTTGAGTGAAAATGACTATTTCCTCAATCATTAGTCATAGGGAAAGGAGAATGAGAACACTAAAAAAAATTATTTAAATAGCACTTTATATTCAAATATTTTAATTAAAAATTCATTAAATATTTTAAACTAAAGAAGTAAAGCATTTGGAACCTAAGCTCCAGGCAACTAAAATTTGGTCAAAGTATTTCATGTACCTGTCAAATTGCAGATAAAAGTTGTAGTTTCTTTTTCTTTTTCTTTTTTTGTATTCATCTTTGGCATTTAAAGTAGATTAGCTAGTTGTTGGGTGTGGACATCTGTGTCTTGAGCTTTTCTCCTGGAAATCAATATTTATTTAATAAACCTTTTTTCTTTAAAGGCAAATTATCATCTGTTTTTTCAGGGTGGTCCCGGTACTTTCCAGTTATAAAATAAAATCGGCTGAGATTCAAGAAGTTCATTTGGCTTGAGGTTAAAAAGTAAATTTTGGCCCTTTTGAATTGAAACTTGGTTAGTCAGAACCTCTAATCATTTCCCTCTAAAAAACCTAGGGTTATTTTATTTTAGAAGGAGACGACTATTGAATCCATGAGTCACTCTAAGGCAAGTCTTAATATTAATCTTTAATTCTTTATATTAAATCTCAAAGGGCCGGGCACGGTGGCTAACGCCTATAATTTCAGCACTTTGGGAGGCCAAGGCGGGTGGATCACTTAAGATCAGGAGTTCAAGACCAGCCTGGCCAATATGGTGAAACCCCGTCTCTACTAAAAATACAAACATTAGCCAGGCATGGTGGCACGTACCTGTAATCCCTGCTATAGGGAGGCTGAGGCAGGATAACCGCTTGAACCTGTGAGGCAGAGGTTGCAGTGAGCCAAGATTGCGCCACTGCACTCCAGCCTGGGTGACAGAGCAAAATTTAAAAAAAAAAGAAAAAAAAAAACTCAAAGGGATATTCTGTTCTGTTCTGGGATCCCCAGTCTCCACTCTACACATAATATTGCACATTTCAAACCAAGATTAAGAAGGTGAACGAACTCAGCACTGGCAGAAAAAATCCCTTGACTTTTGCAAAGTCAAGCCAATTCATTCTGAGCCCATATGAAGAATATGTTATTGTTCTGATACCTTAAGCCAGGTTTTTTTCCATTATTTTTAAAGTACCCCTTTAATTAATTAGAAAAGCATAAAATTAAATTTTAAAGCATTTTGTTTTACGCAATCAATTCATCTTTAGAAATGCATAAGAGAACGTAAGGATTGTCATCCTTCATTTTACAGAGGAAAGTGATAATAATCATTTGCTGAGTCATCAACACTACAAAATAAAGCCCTGGAGAAAAGGTTAGCATTTAGACAGTCTTTGCATCTGGGGTAAGTTTAGAAAACTAAAAAAGCTGCATTAAAACAAAAAGAAAGAAAAAAATTTTAAAAAACTAAAAACAGACCAGATGTTGACTGCTGAATGTCAATGGCAACAAGAGAAAAACAACACATGTGGATTTAATGTTCTTTCTGCAGATAGAATCTCAGAAAAACATATTCTCTAAGAGATCAGACCAATTTTGTTTGAATGTAAACCACTGCCTAACACACCCTACCACATTCCTATGCCTGGAGAAACAGGAAAGATGAAGATGAATAGGCCTAACATGAGCCCAAACTTCAAGAAGAGTCAGAAAATTGCCAGTGAATGAAATAAGTAAGAGCTCACACTTCATGGATATAACTCACCACTGCCATCACACCACATTTTCATCTGCCTGTAGAAAAATCAACTAGGTATTGCATGATCTAGATATCAGTTATTGGGATAGTCATGAAAAGTATTAGTCTTGCTTTCATGTAATTTGCAGAGAATCACACAGTTGGAACATTAAAAATGGGTTCAGGCCTGGCACAGTGGCTCACGCCTGTAATCCCAACACTTTGGGAGGCTGAGCCAGGTGGATCACAAGGTCAGGAGATCAAGACCATCCTGGCTAACATGGTGAAACTAAATCTCTACTAAAAAAAATACAAAAAATTAACCATGCGTGGTGGCAAGTGCTTGTAGTCCCAGCTACTCGGGAGGCTGAGGCAGGAGAATTGCTTGAACCTGGGAGGTGGAGGTTGCAGTGAGCCGAGATCATGCCACTGCACTCCAGCCTGGGTGACAGAGTAAGACTCCATGTTAAAAAAAAAAATTGTGTTCACTATTAGCTATGTTTATTTTCAGTCTCTGAGTCTCTGCAAACCTGTTCCCTCTTACGTGACCCCTGCCTTAAATAGGGTCATCCACAACCAACCAAATTCTAAAACCCTTTCAGAAGGTACAAAAGGAAAAGCCCAGAATAGATTTCTGAAGCTGAGACTCTTCATTATATATATTATTTCTGCCTCATAACTCTATGATGCTGAATTGAAATTCTCTGGCCCTTTTTCTCAACCATATTCCAATAACTGATAAGTTGAGTCACAGGGTAATGATACAATAAACAAGATTGGAAACACAGAGTTCCTTCCTAGGAAGATTTCACAGTCTAATGCATGAAGACAGGAAGGTAATTCACTATGATAATACAGTATGGGGGAGTGCTGAGAAACAGGAATGCACAAGAAACTGAAAGCAGAGAGATGTGCACTTAACCCAGACTTGAGGGGGTACGATGGGGGTCACAGAAGTCTTCCTTAAAGATGTGACCATTTTGCTAAATCTTGAAGAACTAGTGCAAGTAAGCCATGTAAAGAAATAAAGGAAAAGGCATTCTGGGCAGAAGGAATGGCCCAAGCAAGAGCTTGTAGGCCCAAGAAAGCCTGAGAAGTTCCAGGACCTACAAGTTGTTGCAAGAGAAGAGGAACTTTGTTTTGTTCACGAATGTGTCTCTAGTGCCTCAAAAAGTGCTGGGCACAAAATAGGTTCAAGGCCTTGAATGCTTGGATAAATGAACCCAACCATTAATTAACACTGTTGGCTTTTGAATGGAGAGGCAATGTTAGAGGGGCAGAGGCAGATGGAAGGAGATTATTCAGGAGGCTTTGGCTCTAGTGCAATGTGATGGAGGACTAGACAAAAACAGTGGAGGCAGACATGGGGTGAAGCGGGAGAAGTGGAGGTGTATTTTGGAAGTATAGCAGAAAAGACCTTGTATTTAGGAGAATGAAAGGATTGAGGACTACTCCATGGCTGAAGGCATCCAGGGAGTTGTGTTTTATTCAAATCTAACAGTGGGAGTGACGATGGAGATAAATCAAAATAAGCAATAGTTATGGAGCATTAGCATTTAAGTGTAAATTGTTTAACTGATGTCAGTATTTCTTCTAATCTTACTATAATTTTGTGTCATAAGACAAGTATGTCAATATTTTGCTTAACTCTTTTAGCGAGTTTTAAAAAATTAGCGACAATAATTGTATTTCTTAGTGGCTTAGCAGAGGGTTTTTACTTTCTCCTTTTTATATGTTTGAATTGTCTGAACTTTTCACAAAGATCGTGTAATTTCAAGTTGGTCACATTCACCACACTTTATGCAATATATACATCTCTGAAACTCTTGCATAATAAATACTTGCAAAATCCAAGACTTACTTCGTTAGAGCAGAGCCAGTATTTCTGTCTGACACTTATAGTGGTGCCACTGTGGGCAACAGTACAAACACAATTATAATTCACTATCATTTTCAAATTAACATTATTTTAAAATTTATAAATAGACTTTTAAGTTATTTTGTAGTAACAAAAATTTATGCAAGTCAAATACACATAAAAGGCAACTACACTGCACTTTTACAGGAAAAAATGTATTTGCTTTTTGTACAGTTATATGTTTGAATAGAATATACCCTCATATCTTTGATTTATAATTTTTATTTGCACAGTTTAGACTCTATTCAGGCAAGGATGCCCTATCCAGGCATGGTAAGCCACCTATTGACTGATAACAAGTTGTAGGTGAATCACATAAGAGAAGAATAAAGCCCAAGATCTCCTTGACAAATCAAAATTCAAAGGGAGGGTAAATATGTACAACTATTATGTATTCATAATAATTAAAAATAAAATATTTTAAAAAGGGAGAGTGTTATATATATCTATCTAAATTTCTATATATTAAGTAAAAAAAGTATGACTACTTTTGTATAATCTTTAAACAATACACAGAATTTAAATGTTCTTATTATCTCTGTAGTTTCTATCTCATCCAGTCTCTGAGAAACCGAAAAAATGGAGAGTCTTTAACTGAAAGATGCTAGAGTCACCTCAGTGGCCATTTGAAGACCCACTGTATCTTCTGTGCCTTGAAAAGAAACCCTGGGTGATCTGTTCTTTGTCCACCTTAGTTGTATATGGGGTGAGGGGGGTGAGAGATGGTTTGAACATTTTCATTTAGCTGAATTGGATATAACTGAAGAAATAAAAAAAGAATAGATGCTGAATGAAACAAGAGGAACAGACATCCAGAAGTGAGGCACCTTGTGACTGACCGCTACCTGACCTGACACATCACACGCCATACACACAATAACTGGTTTCCACTTCTACTTCCTCCTTTAATAGAACATAGAAGTCTTTTTTTCTTATCCTGGTTCACAATCATCAAAATATTTTTTGGCTCTTTTCACTGGTAAAAAGTATCTATAATCTCTCCGATAAACTAAAAGCACTTTCTTCTTCAAACAGAATGTTACTGATGTGGGGAACATCTTGAGAAAATGCTCTACTTTCTAAAGTAGCCTTGTGACTGGTCTCAAGACAGAAACACTTAAATAGAATCCTATGAAGAGCCACCATCCTCCACACACATATCTTTTCATGAAATGTGGGAAGTGGGAGGCAGGAGAGGGCTTCAGAAACATTTTTGTGAGATGGTTTATGGAATGGAGTTTAGGTACACATAAACCTAGACAGACATACAAATATATACTTGTTTACCCAGGTTGAAATTCTGAACCTTCTGAAGTCTGTCATTCATGAGAAGGTACTTAATTATTCATAGACTGGTTACAAAATTTGTACTTATTTTCCAGGAAATGTAAGTAGAAAAAGACATGGTTCTGGTGTTAAATAAAACCCTATCTGTGCAGAAGACATTTGATTCATTGTTCAAAACACATTCATGCCTACAAAAATATGACTCCTGTTTAGGTGCCAAAGCTGGTCAGAGGCTGGCTTACATGCTGCATAAGTGTTTTTTGCTTCCACCCTGCTTGGATGTAGTCTGATAAATAATACTGCATGTCCATGGGCTTTAACTATATTATTAATCATCATTTAGAAAATGTACATATTTGTGTACATTTATTTCCATAAGCAATTTCATTTTTCCCATTCATCTTCCTACATTTATTAAAACACTAAAATTTTAATATGATATGAAAAATGTACATTAAAAATATTAGATTGGGGCTCCTTGGTGCTTTCCCTCTGCTTACAATTAGTGCTTTAAAAAGAATAAATACTCATAATTACACATTTCTGGCTTTTCTGAAATGCTTGTCATTATTTTCATGCCACAATGTGATTTATAGCTTAAGTGAATAAGGTCCATTAAAGAGTTGAGACTGATCAAAAGCGGGAGATTTGAGTATCCAGAGGTTGTTTTCAACTTCACAAATGCCATACATTTGTTCTTTAAACCCTAACTCCCTAATTTTCTTGCTATAGCGTACAAAAAGAATAGAAACATTCAATAATTGGCCTCTTAATTATATAAAAATAGTCCTTCTCCAAAGAAGCATAACAAGAATTTTAACATAAACTTTCTCGTAATCCCTCAACTTCTCTACTAATGTATTACCAAAAATAAAATTTCAGGGCAGCCTTTCTGACTACATTGTTTAAACCAATTCAACATAGCATATGGTCTCCACACACAAAAGTATAGGAAATACAAGTTGTTAATAAGATGTTGTGTTATATGACAGGTTGCCAATGCTCATGCAATACCCACTGGATAACAGCTATCTAACTTTAAGATATTAGATTTGTTTTAAATCAAAAGAAACTTAGCCTAAAGTCATTTATGCTGACCTAGATGCAGCCACAGAAAATCAGCAAGTGAGAGATAGAGGAATGTTTGGTACAAATAAGGATAATTACCTGCAAATTAAGAGGTAATCAGTTTTCAACACGAAGAGCCAAAGGACTACTCTTGTATTACTATCTCCACCATTCTCTCCCAGAATCCTAACTCCGAAACTGCAGACCAAAAGTCTATGGGAAATTGGTAATTTAATGAGACAATAAACATTTAAGAACTATAATGACAGTAGTCTGCCTCTTTGAAGGAAGATGTAAAAGGATATTTTCTGTGACTGCTGAGATAATAATCATGTTTGAAGTCTATTGACTTCAAGGGATTTCTGGTAGGTGCTTAGCTAGCACCTACCACCAGAATTCCCAAGTATACCAGGAGGGGCTTAAATATAAAGTATTTGATTGTTTTCTCATGTTAAGTCTACAATATCAAGAAATAAAGAGTGTTGTTTTGAAGAAATCAAGCAACTGAAAGCATTTCAGGTGTTTCATAAGTCATCAGAATTCATCTGTGTGATAGGCACAGTTCAGTTTTACTCTTCTAATCAAGATGTTGTTGATTTTCAAGAAGCTAATATAAAATACAGCATAATTTCATGCAATTTTTAAGGTGCATGCCTCTATCTTAAATATCCAGATAAATGGTATATCGGATACACTTTTGGCTGCAATTAAGGAAAGCTCTAACAATGGGGTTAAATTATAAGGAAATTTCTATTTTGCTTAACAATAAGTCTAAAAATGTGTTCAGTATCACAATAGTATAATCAAAGTCTTTGATTACCATAACCTTTGGACTTGATCACTTTGATGTGTTACCTTTTCACTTCCATGCTCATTGCTTCATGGTCCCAAAAGGGCTGCTGAAGTTCCAGGAATCATATCCAGCAGCAAGGCAGGAAGATGAGGTAAAGAATGTCATTAAGCTTCTCTCCTCTTACGCTACTATCTTTAGTAAAAAAAGCAAAGGTTTTTCCAGAAATCCCCAGAAACTCCCTCTTAAATTTAACTGGTCAAGACTGTATCACATGGTCACTTTTAGTAGTAACATGATTGAAAATAATATATTTGGCCCTTTCAGCTTTTATAGAGGAAAGTGGAAAGGGGCAAAGGTGTTGTTAATGGCTTTTATGTCAGCCAATCGCCAAGGTCTGCTAAATTAGAATAAGGTAAATGCCAATAGCCTGATAATAGGGTTTCGCTAATTGAAATAAGAAATAAGGAGCTCCAGTTGCACAATCGGTTAGCAAGTTGTACTTATATAAAATAAGGAATAAACAAATCTTTTCTATACAGGATGGAGGAGTTAGAAAAAGAAGCTATTAGCTTTCCTGTAGCTCCTTTGATCCCTTTTATGTCCTGTTACCACTGGGTTTGAACCAGTCTCCCTCAAATTGGTATTTTATTTTATATTTTTTGAGACAGTCTCACTCTGTCGTCCAGGCTGGAGTGCAGTGCACGATCCCGGCTCACTGCAACCTCTGCCTCCTGGGTTTCAAGCGATTCTTCTGCCTCAGCCTCCCGAGTGGCTGGGATTACAGGTGTGTGCCACCATGCCTGGCTAACTTTTTTATTTTTAGTAGAGACGGGGTTTCACCACGTTGGCCAGGCTAGTCTCAAACCCCTGACCTCAAGTGATCAGCAGCCTCCATTTCCCAAAGTGCTGGGATTACAGGAGCGAGCCACCATGCCCAGCCTAATTAGTATTTTAATAATAGATTATACCTCAAAATAATTATTTTATACAAAACAGTAATGTGAATGAGCAAAATACAAATATATAAAACAGCATAAATGAATCTCATATTCTTGAGTAGGAAAGAAAGACACAAACAAGTACATGTTATGATTTTATTTACATAAAGTTCAAAGGCAGGAAAAATTAATGTGGTAATAAAAGTCAGACAGCAGCTTTTTTTGTGGAGACAGAGTGTGACTGGAAGAGGATATGAGGGAGACTTCTAAGATACAGTATTATTCTGTCTCTGGATATGGGTCCTGGGTTTTTTTTGTTTTGTTAAGATCTGTTAAGCTATACATCAATGGTCTTTGCATATGTATATGTGCATATACAATATTTCAATATAATTAAAACAAACAAAAATGTAATAAGAGAATCACTTGCTTTGATTTATTATGGCTGAGTACCACTAAAATAATAAGATTTGGAAATTTTAATATTTAGGTATTTGGGGACCTATCTCCATATATTGCCTGTATAAGATGAAAGCTAGTTATCTCTCAAATCTGATGGATTGATTTCATCTCAATTGGTTGTTCAAGGTGAATTATTTGGATGAAATAAAAATAAATCAATAAATACACACACATACGTTCACATGTATATGGATGTCTGTTTAGGAATTGTTAAAGTTCTGCTCTAAATATTTTTCGTTCCCACAGAATATTCACAGAAAACTTGATCCAGTTGAGGTTGCAAGTTTTAAACTTTAGCTCCAAGAGGCCCGCAAACATACTTTCTTGTATAAATTTCTGTGCATAGTAGTAGTATCTTCTACAGAAGGAATGGTGTTTTCTGCCAAGTTGAATTAAGTGCACAGAGCATGACTTTTCAGGGAACACTGTAACTATTGTATTACATGGTGAAAACACTGCTACTTATATTTTCACTGCAAAAATACAGTAGTCTTCAAATATATTCATGACTTACATAGAAAAGGGCTAGAATTCAGTAGCCCTAGCCAGTGTCAAAGTTCATTTTATACCATTTTATGAAAAATAGTAATTAATTTAAATCTCCAGATAAATGTGCCTATTTATATGTAGACATGACCTAGCAAGGAAAACTATATAACACAAGATGTATGATAGCAAGGAAGCAAGTCTTCTAAAAACTGGGTCTGATTCTGTAATCCACACAGAATCTTGTATGAATTAACTATCCAGGAAGGAAAACTAAGAGCTACATTCTAGTTTTCAAAGATAGAAAAAAGTCTTAGGAATCATGGGGAAGAAGAAACTGCTGAGATGTGAAATACAGTGGGTTAAAGAGTATTCTGTAAAAGACAATGTGGTAGAAGATAAATAAGCAGATTTATAATTTGTTCCTATGAACCTTCTCTACTTGCAACTTGCTAAAAGTCATGTTTTAATTAACTGGACAGGGATCCCTTTCTTCTCAGCATAGCTCCAAATATGTCCTTGGCATATTTAAAACTGCATAAAATAAGCAATAATGCCCTGACAATTCTGGCTTCAAAAACTGGCCATTTTATCCCTGAGTAGTTTTCCTGAAATGAAGGGCCAGCACTCTCAAGGCAGGCTTTTGACTCCTGTACCAAACTATAATTCACTTCTAACCTATAAACCCAGATAGAGAGTAGTGGAATGAAGGAGAGCTTTCTAATATCATATAAATCTATAAAATAGAGAGTCTTTGGTAGGAGCAAATACACATCATAAAATTATGTCCTCTACCTTTAGCAGCTGGGAAACATTACACACTACCACAATTCAATGGTGCCCTTTTAATTGCACATGCTTAAACAAAATACCGCATTATAATTACATTTGGCATTTCAAAGAGTCAAGAGTTCAAAACTGGAATGTGTTAGAATGAGAAAAATTATAACCAAATATCCCACATCAGGATGCAGCTTTTTGGACAAGCACAGTAATTCAGTTTCGGTATTTCATAAAAAGTGGTTTATTTCACTTTGCAATTTTCCATTTATTAGAAAATATCATTCATACAAAACAATATATAAATGCATATATTGACTTAAATAATTTTAGTAAATGATGCACCTATGTGTCCACTGCTGAGGTTAAGAAATAGAGACTGGCCAGTTTTTTCCAAATCCTCTATACATCTTCCCAATTATATCACCTTCCCATCCTACAAACAGAGGTTTTCGTCATTTTGACTTTTATAATAATCATCCCACGTTCTTTCGGCTTTAAATGATTTTACCACTTATGGATATATTTCTCCTATTTTTGAACCTTATGAATATGAATTCCTACACTATAATGTCTATGTCTTACTTATTTCATTCAATATGAGGTTTGGGTAGATTCACTGGGCAAAGCTCACATGTAACTGTCTCTCATTCAGTTTCCCTGCTGAACAGTGTTCCACCTTAAAACCAGTCTACAATGTATTTTCCATTCTACCATTGTCGGACATTTTGGTTATTTCCTGTAATATGTTATTAATTTTTATACATTTATTCCAGGAGTGAAATCCTTAGATCATATATTATGAGCATATTCAAACTTCCTATGAAATGTTGATCTATTTTTTAAATGTTTGGGCCAATTTATACATCATACCACCAATATTCATAAGTTCCTGTTGCTCCACATATATGCCAACATGACAGTGTCAGATTTAGTTTTTCACCTAAAGATTGGGTAAGACATGGTAACTCTTGTGGTTCTAACTTGCTTTTTTATTGCTAGTGAAGTTAGGCATCTTCTCATATTCCATAGTTTGAATGTAAGTGAGTAGAGTACAATGAGATATTTTGAGAGAGAGAAAGAGACCACATTCACCTAACTTGTATTACAGCATAACATTTAATTATTCTATTTTATTATTAGTTATTGTTGTGAATATATTACCCTGCCTACTTTGTAAATTAAACTTTATCATAGGTATGTATTTATGGGAGGGAAACATAGTGTGTACACACACACACACACACACACACACACACGGTTTAGTAGCATCCTCAGTTTCAGTCGTCCACTAGGGATCTTGGAACATATCCCCTGAGGATAAGGGGGAGACCACTGTATTGAGAATTTTGTGTTTCTTTTGAATTGTTAAACATGTTAGTCTTTGTCTTGCTTTTTTGTTCTGGATACTTCTTTTTTAGGAACTTTTAAGTATAAAATCAGCTTCTTTAATAGACAGAGGACTAGTTGAGTTGCCTATTTATCTTGAAATTCTCTGTTATTATTCTTTTGATATCTTTGGATTTTGTAACGAAATCCTCTCTCTCTTTCCTAGTATTGGTAATTTACATCCTCTATTTTTTTCTTTGTTAATCATTGTAGATATTTATTAAGTTTATTGGTCTTGCTTTTTTTTTTTTTAAAGCACAATTTAAAAAATTTGTTCATTGGCCAGGCGCGGTGGCTCACGCCTGTAATCCCAGCACTTTGGGAGGCGGAGGTGGACAGATCACGAGGTCAGGAGATCGAGACCATCCTGGCTAACACGGTGAAACCCCGTCTCTACTAAAAATACAAAAAATTAGCCAGGCGTGGTGGCGCCGCCTGTAGTCCCAGCTACTCAGGAAGCTGAGGCAGGAGAATGGCGTGAACCCTGGAGGCGGAGCTTGCAGTGAGTTGAGGCCTGGCCACTGCTCTCCAGCCTGGGGGACAGAGAGAGACTCCGTCTCAAAAAAAAAAAAAAAAAAAAAAGAAAAGAAAAGAAAAAGAAAAATTTGTTTATTGTTTTCTGTTTTCAATTTTAACAATTTCTGTTCTTATATGTATTACAAGATGCATTGCTTAACGACAGGGATATGCTCTGAGAAATGCATTGTTAGGCAATTTTGTTGTACAAACATCAGAGTGTATTTACACAAACCTAGATGGTATGACCTCCTGCACATCTGATATAGCACTAGGCTATATGGTATGCCTATTGCTGCTAGGCTACAAACCTATACAGTATGTTGCTCTACTGAATACTGCAGGCAACCACAACAGAATGGCACTTGTGTATCTATGTTTAGATACACAGATATAGCAAAGTTCATGCAATGCACTGGGACCTACAATGTCAACTAGGTGATAGGAATTTTCCTGCTCCATTATAATCTTTTGGGACTACTGTCGTACATGCAGTCCATCATTGACCAAAATACTGTTGTGACACATAACTGTATTTTCTTCTGCTTCTTATTTTACTATTGTTTTTATAGTTTCTTATACCGGAAATTGAGATTACAGAGACTTTCCTCCTTTTATAATGTATGTATTTACTGTTACACATCTTCCCTTTGTGCATTGCTTTAACTAAATTTGACTTAATTTGTTATGTTGCATTTTCATTCAAAATGTGTTCTAATTTCTCTTGAAACATTTTCTTTGACTCATATTATTTTGAATCATGAGCTTTAATTTTCAAATATTTGAAGGTTTTGTTTTTTTCTTTTGTTATTTATTTCTAGTATAATTCCATTATGGTCAGAGAACATACTTTGTGTGATTTCAATTATGTTTGTTAATGTGTGACTATGAGCCAGAATATCATCTATCTTGATGAATATTCCATGTGTCCCTCAAAATAATGTGTATTTTGCTATCTTTGGATAGAATTCTATAAAAATCAAGTAGATAAAGTTGGTTGATGGCATTGTTTTGTTCTTCTATATCCTTGCTAACTCTGTTAACTAGTCCTTTCTGTTACTAAGAAAGAAATGTTGACTGTCCAACTATATTTGCTGATATGTCTATTTTTTCTTTCAATGCTGTAGGTTTTTGCTTTGTGTGTTTTGAAGATCTGTGGCTTAGCTCATATAAATTGATAATTCTTATGTCTTCTTGGTAAATTAAGCCTTTTTATTATGTAATGTCCATCTTTATTCCTGGTAATCTTTGCTCTGAGTCTGCTTTGTGATATTAACATAGTCATTCCAGTTTTTGTTTGATTAGTGTTTGTGTAGTGATATGGTTTGGCTGTGTCCCCACCCAAATCTCATCTTGAATTCCCACATGTTGTAGGAGGGACCCAGTAGGAAGTAATTGAATCATGGGGCAGGTCTTTCCCGTGCTGTTCTAATGATGGTGAATAAGTCTCACAAGATCTGATGGTTTTATAAGGGTAAGTTTCTTCGAACAAGCTCTCTCTTTGCCTGCTGCTATCCACATAAGATGTGACTTGCTCCTCCTTGCCTTCTGCCATGATTGTGAGGCCTCCCCACCCATGTGGGACTGTAAGTCTATTAGACCTCTTTCTTTTGTAAATTGCCTAGTCTTGGGCTCATCTTTATTAACAGTGTGAAAAGGACTAATATATGTGGTATATTATTTTTCATCATTTTACTTTTAACCTATCTGTGTAACTATATTTTAAGTGGCTCTCTTTGCAGCATATAAGTAATTTTTAAAATCACTCCAACCATCTCTGTCTTTTAATTGGTGTGTCCAGACCATTTATGTTTAAATTAATTATTGATGGGTTTAGATTTAGGACTATCATTTTATTTTCTGGTTTTGTACTTATTCCCCTTATTTTATATTACTCTGTTTCCTATTTTAAGTCTTCTTTTGGGTAAAAGAATTCAAGATAAGAAGACTAACTTATTACATTTGCTTTGGTCTGAATATTTGTTTCCCCTCAAAGTTCACATGTTAAAATCCTAACCCCCAAGGTGATGGTTTTAAGAGGTAGGATCTTTGGGATTTGATTAGATCACAAAGGTAGAGCCCTTATGAATGAGATTAGTGTACTCTTATTTTAAAAAAAGGCTTAAGGGAGGTTGTTTGCCACTTCCATCATGTGAGGATACACTAAGAAGGTGCCATCTATGAGCCAGGAAACAAGCTCTTAGCAGACACTAAATCTGCTACCCCTTGATCTTGGACTTCCCAGTCTTGAGAACTCTGAGAGATAAATTTCTGTTGTTTATAACCTACCCTGGTTTATCGTATTTCTTTAGAGAAGCCCAAATGAACTATGACAACTTTTCATTGAAATGTTGCTCTTTCTTTTCTTCTCCCTTAATTCCTGGAGTTTCAAGTGTTTTGTTTCAGAAACAATTTCCCTTCTATCTAAAAACCTTCCTTTAGAAATTCTTTTAAAGCATGACTGATAGATACAAGTTCTTTCAGTTTTCTTTCATCTGAGGACATTTTTAATTTTATATCTAAATGAAATATCCTATCTAAATGAAATATCCTTCAGTAGTGAGAATTTCACTACTGAAGGATATTTCATTTAGATATAAAATTCTGGATTAAACATAATAAAACATTTTCTTAATTAGGAATTGACAGTTTTTTCTTTCAGCATTTCTTCTTGTCTGCCATGATTTCTGATGAGAAGTATTGAAGTTTCTAAATCATTCTTCCCCTATAGTTAATGTGTCACTTTTCTTTGGCTGCTTTAAGCACTTTTTCTTCGTCTTCGGTTTTCAGCAGTTTTATTATGATATGTCTGTGCATAGATTTCTTTGAGTTTATCCTATTTGGGATTTGCTTCACTTCTTTTATACATTTTCTAAAAAATAAAGTTTGGAAGATTTCTGTCATTATTTTTTATTTTTTTCATCATTACCCTATCTTTCTGAAACTCCAGTGGCATGGTTAGATCTTCAGGTATCATCCTGTTGGTCCTTGAGATTTTGTTCTTTTGTAAGTTGTTTTCTTTGTCTTGTTTCGGTTAAATGAGTTTTTTCTCCTGATCCGTCTTCAAGTTCACTGACTCTGTGCTCCGTTATCTCCATCCTGCTGTTGAACTCAGTGAGATTTTTATTGGAGGATAGAAGAAGGTGTTTATTGTATTTTCCCATCCTAAAATTTCAGTTTGGTTCTTTATATCTTTGATTTCTTTGCTAAAGCTTTTTGTTTAACCTTTGTTGCAAGAGTGTTCACAATTGCTTCTGGAAACATTTGTATAATAGCTACTTTAAAGTCTTTGTCAGCTAATTCCAACATCTATTGTCATCTCAGCTTTGCTGTCTGTTGATTGTCTTTTCTCATGTGAATTGAAATGTTTGTGCTTCTTTCTATGCTGAGTCATTTTTGACATTTTGTGAATTACTTCAAGATTCTTTGGAGTCTTGTTTAAATTCTACGCAGATTGTTAATATTTTGTTTCAGTAGGTTTGGGCCACAAGTTTTTGTTTGTTTGTTTCTTTTTTTGAGATGGAGTTTCACTCTTGTTGCCCAGGCTAGAGTGCAGTGGCATGATCTCGGTTCACTGCAACCTCTGCCTCCTGGGTTCAAGTGATTCTCCTGCCTCAGCCTCCCAAGTAGCTGGGATTACAGGTGTACACCACCGTGCCAGGCTCATTTTGTATTTTTAGCAGAGACAGGGTTTCACCATGTTTGTGAGGCTAGTCTTGAAGTCCTGACCTCAAGTGATCCACCCTCCTCAGCCTCCCACAAGTTCTAACCCACCCCCTATAGACTGTGGTTCCAGTGTTAGTTCAGTGTTCCAAACCTTTGTTGTGCTGTTTGCTCTCTCCTGGGTATGCACTCCACAGTGTTCAGTCTGGGACCTAGACTATCTGTTAGTTCAGTGCTCATAGATCTTTGATGTGCTGTTTGGGGTCAGATCTATGCATATGCAGGTTACATGAAAGTCCTATCATTCCTAAAGGACTTTCTTGGGTCACTTTTCTGAGCTCCTTTCTCTCCACAGTCTCCCCAGTACTTTGGCTTCCTGTGGCTTCATTTTTTGGTGGGCTGTCTCATGAAATTACTCTTGTCAAACTCTGTAATGCATTTCTATGATGGAGCACACATTCTCGCTCTACTGGAGCAAGGACTGAAAGATATAAAAAGCAATGGCATTTGCCCCATCCTTTTGAAAATGCAGCTACACCCGATGGCATCAAAGGTGCTCCTCCCTGAGAGCTATGGTTTTTGAGGTTTTCCGTAGCTTCTATCTCCATGGTTTTCCACGACTGGGATTAAGGTAGATTCTTCCTGAGAGGATTTCTCTTCATTTCTGGAAGTTATCTGAGTGCATTAACAATTTAAGATCACTTAAAGTTAAATACTTGAATTTGTTCATATCACATAAGTAATATGAATTCTAACTTCAAATTGATATAAGATTAGACTTGTAGTTATAATACTGTAGGGTGTTAAAGAAAAACTTATTCTGACACTTGTTAAAACTATAAGGAAGACTTTATCAGAGCTATTGTAATCGATGTCCTGAATATTGTAATAGGTGGTCAAGATTGGGTTCAACTCTGAATACAGCAAAAGCAACAAGGTGTCTATAGCCTATGAGAAGAGTGAGGGGGTCATGAATGGAGAATTGCTAAGAGGAGACATCAAAGGTAGGGAATTCTGGCTAAACAGTCTTAACAGGGTTCTTACTGATAACAGGTCAGGGTGACCAGGTATGAAGAGTGGAGGATTCTCTCTAAATTGACTTGGCAGGATTTAAAAACTGGACTCATGGAACAGGGAAAAAAGGAATGAAGAATTCTTGCTAAAACTGGATTCAAAGAACAAGAATCAAAGACAGGGTCCTAGGATGAGGCCTGGTTCAAAAGAGGATTCACAGGAGCTGCTAAAGTTTGGTCAAAAAGAGGGTTTAGGGACTCGTTTTTAAGTCTTTCTTCCCTTTCAGTGCCTAGATTCAAGATAATCAATATATTTTGAAACTGAGGGAAGAAGGGTTTGTTAGTTACATCTCCTTTCAGATTTCTCAGCTTGCTGAAATAGAAGCTTTGTTTCCAGTCTCCAATGCCCTGAAGGCCATAAAAAGGAAAGTTCAATTTTTTTGTTATTTAAAAGCCACCTGCATTTATTAGCTTTCAAAGTTTCAGCCTTCAAATGGATTTTCGCTTGGGTATTTTTTACTTCTGCAAGTTCAACTCCACATTTAGGATTTTAAATTTTAATTTATCTGGCATTTGAGTTGTTATCATTGAAAGAGTCTATCTGAGAAACTAACTCACCACACAGTTGGAAACAGAAGTTTCTATGTATGTTTCAATAGTGAATTCTTTTTATATTTCCAGAATAATTGCTTAGTTGGTAATATTTGGGTTCTAATTTTTCTTTCTTCTAAATAGTAAAAAACGTTTTGACTTTTTATCACAAAGGACAAACATAAATTAATTTTGTTTGTCCTAGCCACAATCAAGGAAAACAATTTTGGCAAAATTTCTTTCTTTTTTACTGCACAAAACAATTTACAGATTTGTTGCTATTTCTATCAAACTACCAATGACATTCTTCACAAAACTAAAGAAAATTATTTTGAAATTCATACAGAATAAAAAAGAGCCTGAATAGCAAAAGCAAGCCTAAGCAAAAGGACAAAGTTGGGGGCATCATGCTACCTGATTTCAAACTGTACTACAGGGCTGGAGTCACCAAAACAGCATGGTACTGGTACAAAAACAGACACATAGACCAATGGAACAGAATAGAGAGCCCAGAAATAAGGCTGTACACCGACAACCATATGATCTTCAACAAAGCTGACCAAAAAAAAAAAAAAACAATAGGGAAAAGACTCCCAATTCTATAAATTATGTTGGGATGACTGGACACTCATATGCAGAAGAATGAAATTGAACCCCTTCCTTATACTATATATAAAAATCAATTCAAGATGGATTAAAGATTTAAATGTAAAACTCAAAACTATAAAAACTCTGGAAGACAACCTAGACAGTACATTTCTGGACACAGGAATGAGCAAACATTTCATGAGAAAGACACCAAAAGCAATCAACAAAAGCAAAAACTTGACAAATAGGATCAAATTTAACTTAAGAGTGTCTGCACAGCAAAAGAAACTATCAACAGAATAAACAGACCACCTACAGGATGGGAGAAAAATATTTGCAAACTATGCGTCTGACAAAGGTCTAATAGCCAACATCTTTAAGGAACTTAGACAAATTTACAAGAAAAAGACCAACAACCCCATTAAAAAGTGGGCAGAGACCATGAGCAGATATTTTCCAAAAGGAAACATACATGCAGCCAGAAAGCTTATAAAAAAAAAGTCAACATCACTGATCATTAGAGAAATGCCAATCAAAACCACGATGAGATATTATCTCACATTAGTCAGAATAGCTATCATTGGTCAAAAAATAACAGATGCTGGCAAGGTTGTGGAGAAAAAGGAACACTTATACACTGTTAATGGCAGTCTAACTTAGTTTAACCATTATGGAAAGCAGTTTGATGATTCATGAAAGAGCTAAAAACAGAAATACCATAACTGGGTATAAACCCCAGGAAATACGAATCTTTCTACCGTAAAGACACATGCACACATATGTCCATCGCAGCACTATTCACAATGGCAAAGACATGGAATCACCCTAAATGTCCATCAATGGCAGATTGGATAAACAAAAGGTGGCATATACACCATGGAATACTATGCAGCCATAAAAAGAATGAGACCATGTTCTTTGCAGGAACAGGATGGAGCTGGAGGCCATTATTGTTAAGAAACTAATACAGGAACAGAAAACCAAATATCTCATGTTCTCACTTATAAGTGGGAGCTAAATGATGAGAACACAAGGACACAAAAAATTACAGTATGTTTCTCCATTTTCAATTCTTTGCTCTCTGAAAAATGTCTTGTGAACCAGTTAAGGCAAAAATTGAACCCAGACTTCTGTTTAATAGGTTTTTAATCTTTTGATTTTTTCAGACAATAAAATAAGAAAATCATTTTTGTAATCTCTGTAGAGTCTTTCCCTTGTCATGGTGAAACATTTCGGTTAGTAAATTAATACAGTCTGCGTATCTCAGAATATGTTTTACAAATATTATCTGAATCAGCTGCATATGTATAAACAGTTATTCTTGTCTGAAATCAAGTGTTTCTGTCTACCTAATATGAGAAGAAACATTTAAGTAAATGTGTATTTCTGTCATAGAATATATTGTATGTATACTTTAGAGAGATTTTTAACTGAAAGCTCAGAGTATTACTATATTTTAGCTGTATGAACCTTAAAATCAGTAAAACAAAAATATGAAATCTCAAATTCATCTTCTAGTTTATTACAAGTAATTATTATAAGTAATTAACATTTAAATTCTCATTTACTCTTTTGCTGTTCTTCAATTCCCATTTAAGTTATTATATATATTTATGAAATGCTGCCCGAACCACCAAATAACGTTTCTCCCTTTAAACTTGGCTTCATTTCCCTTCATTGAAAATTTAGCTCTATCAACAAAAGATTGCAAATTACCCCTTCATTCCCCAATGGTAATTTGTTGTATCTTTTCATAATCCAAATTCTTCCAAAGATTCAGATGTGGATATTTATCAATTTCCTTCCAACGGGAACTGTTTTCAATATGACTAAGCTTTCACATCCCAAGAGTTAGTTTGCTGTTCAGCCTTATTTTAGTTTATTCTATGTAAAAAGATCTCTTTTCCTCCTCCTGTAACTATTGTCACCTCACCAAATTCATCCTCACAGAAGCAATAACAGAACTAAGTGTCTTTTATCTGCACTTTCAGGAGGTTCCTGTGTCGTAAGAGAGCTCTCCAGGCCAATTAAGAAAACAGCTTCAGTTCCTATCATATCTCTTCCAGAGCAGTATTTTTTCCTACAAGGTTCCTTCTGAATCCTTTATGAAATTGCCTTCCAAGTGTCTTCACTCAACTTATATTTCTTTTCTGCTTTCTGGAATGTAATTGCTAACACTGAATTGTAAGAGATGCAAAGGATGGGGAGAACATAAAGTGAATCCAAAATGAGTTTTGAAATCTATTTCAAAACAGATTCCCTGCCTAGCAGATATTCCCAAATTGTGTACTGCAACATCAGCTTGCTGCATTTATCCCAAAGATTCACATTGTTGACTTATCCTCGCCATAACTCTGATATTTTCTTCATTTCAATGAAAAGAGTTGAGGATTCTTTTCAATTCCCCTTCCCCAGGTCTCCTCTCCTGTTATTCCAGAGACTTTACTTCCAAATCAGTGTCATCCTCATCAGTTCCCTTTTTACTCTCTGCTCTTGGTGCACAAACCTTGATTATAAAAGGCGTTAGTTAGGTTTATCTGATCTAAGTTTATAAAACCAAGTGTGAATCCTAGCATTCTGATAAACTGTTTGACCCTGAACAAACTGGCCTGGGTTGTAGAATGGAACACATCAGGACAGTTTATTCCATGCTTGCCTTTCATCTCCAGAAACTATTAAAAATGAAATATGATTTTCCATTTGAGCAGAGTTTGAAATCACTTTCACTACTTACTTTCCCTACCTCTTTCTGGTAAAGACTTCCTGATGACAGGAATTTAAGAATTTATTCTCATATGTTATGCTCTCTTTTCTAGCTCTATAATCCTCAGCTTGGATATTCCCACTGAACCCCTGCAAAATAATATGGTCTAAGCAAGAACATCCACAACTGTATCTACCTCTGTGTATGTTGCAAAAGGCCCTTTGGCATATGAGCGTTCTTTGGATGGTTGTGAGTCACGTGAGGGGGTATAGGGTAGCCCAGTACTGAGCTAGGTGAGTAGAAAGGAATTTTTTAAAAAGCAGTTTGGGGAGCTAAGTTTAAGGGCTTTATTTTTTACTATCTATAGCCATATTGAGTTATAAAAATGGGACCCAACTTTCTAACAGGAATTTTTTTCTACATTAATATTTGTAGATTTGGGAGATTAAGTAAGAAAATAACAACCAGTAAAATGTTGGTGGACTGAGTACAAGCATTGCTTATTTATTGGCTGGCCAAAGTACCTATGGGTTGTAGAGTAAACACACTATTCTAACTTTTAAGTTACGATCATGAGTTTATTTTACTCTCTCTCCCTCCCTCTTTGTCTCTCTCTCTCGATGAATAAAATTGCCAGAGAAATCAAGGTGCAAGATCAGAAAAGGACCTGAGAATCTCTGACTAAAAAAAAAAATTTTTTTGTCGTTGTTTTTTTTGAGACAGTCTCGCTCTGTCACTCAGGCTGGAGTGCAGTGGCGCGATCTCGGCTCACTGCAACCTCTGCCTCCCGGATTCAAGCAATTCTCCTGCCTCTCAGCCTCACGAATAGCTGGGACTACAGGCGCGCGCCACCACTCCCGGCTAATTTTTGTATTTTTAGTAGAGACGGGGTTTCACCATGTTGGTCAGGCTGGTCTCCAACTCCTGATCTCGTGATCCAGCCACCTCGGCCTCCCAAAGTGCTAGGATTACAGGCGTGAGCCACCGCGCCCGGCCATACAATATTTTTTAGAAGGGTGGTATACCCATTTTTTCTGAGGTAAAGAGGGGCCCATCCCAAAAGCAGTCACTTATCAGATACTGAGGGAGAGAAGGGCTGTGGGTCTATGAGGGAATAAAAACTTGCACTCAGGAAGCTGACATGGGTAAGGAAGGGGAGAGCAGCTTGCTAAGGTCTGCAATATTTTGGACTCAGATAGTAAGATGCTGGAGGGTCTATTCCCCCCCAAAAAATTGCTGTTAAAGGCTTTACTTTTGTGCTCATACTGTCTGCCAAAATAAGAACTCAGCATTGGCCATTGCTCCAGCTGTACCAAAGAGTCTAAACATAAAACAACAAACCTAGAACCTTCTGAAGAAAATATGACAATGTATTTTTATGATCTTGTGTTTTTAAGACTCTAAAGGAATATCCATGCAAGAAAAGATTTATAAACCAGATGATGCTTACATTAAGAAATTTTAGGCCGGGCGCGGTGGCTCACGCCTGTAATCCTAGCACTTTGAGAGGCTGAGGCGGGCAGATCACGAGGTGAAGAGATCGAGACCATCCTGGCTAACAAGGTGAAACCCTGTCTGTACTAAAAATACAAAAATTAGCTAGGCGTGGTGGCGGGCGCCTGTGGTCCCAGCTACTCAGGAGGCTGAGGCAGGGGAATCGCTAGAACCCAGGAGGCAGAGGTTGCAGTGAGCCGAGATTGTGCCACTGCACTCCAGCCTGGGCAACTGACAGAGCGAGACTCCGTCTCAAAAAACAAAATTTATTCTTCAAAAAAAATCAACAAAAAATGGATGTTGATAAGGTATGTTGTGTGGGAACAGGGGATATGTGGAAAATCTTTGTACCTTCCACTCAATTGTTCTCTGAAACTAAAACTGCTCTGTAAAAAAAGTGCTCTGTAAAAAATAGTTTATTTTCTCAAAAAGGGCCCCACAAGGAAAGTGAAAAGATAAATGGGAAGAGTTATTTGAAATGCATATATCCCACATAGAATTATTATGCACAATTATAGTGAACTTCTACTAATCAGAAAATACACACAAACACACAAACCAGAGAAGAAATGGACAAAAGGTATGAATAGAAAATTTGTGAAATAGGGAAACCAAATGGCCAACAAACATAGCACAAAAGATGCTCAAAGAAACTCACTGAAATGTAGGTAACTGCTAATTAAAATTACAATTTGAAATTACACCAATAATGCTGAAAAAAATTAAGCAGTCTTGCAATACCAAAATAACAAGGATCAGAACAATGCAAATTAATGGGAATTCTCATCACTGCAATGGAGCACAATTTGATGAAATTTAGTAAAGTTAAATATATAAACACCCTCTTATAATCCAGCAAATTTCGCTCTTTGGTATATGCCTCAAAAGACTTCTTATATATGTGGGCAAGGAGATTTGCACAAGAAAACTTACAGCAGCATTGTTTGTAGTAATAAAAACTTGGAGGGGAAAAGTGAATACTATTTATCAATGAAAACGAAGAAGCCCCACATGGATACATTTACAAACATAATGTTTATCAAGACACTGCGGAAGACTAGGTAACTGTGTTTCCATTCAAATGAAGTTTAAAGATATGAACATGATAAACATGTTGTTCAGGGATATAGACATATGAATAAAAGTCCACTAGAAATACATAGGGAGCTTGAACAAACATTTTAGGAAAGTTGTAGCTCTGGTGGGGATTGCAGGAGCAAGCAATCAGGGCAAAGTCTGTAAAGATGTTTCAACACTATCAGTAACGTTTAATATTCGTGGCTTGAGGGTAGAAAACAAGTGTGTCTTAATTCTTCTTTTCAACTTTTCTTTCTTACAGCTAAGTATAACTGAGCTTTTATATTTATCCAAGCCGATAATCTTTACCTCTTAACTGATACATTTTCTGTTATTTTTTTCTCTTTGCTCTCCTTTGTTCTTATTTCTGCTTCTAGGGTGTTTTTGTTTGTTTGTTTGTTTTGTTTTGTTTTGTTTTTTTGGAGTGACATGTTCTAAAGACAACATTGTTTTATTTTTCTTTGCTTATTTAAGTTCTTAGCATTTATTAACTATATTTTTTCTGACTAAATCTTTGTTATTTAATATTTCAGTCTTCCTCCTAAACATGAAGAGGACCCTATCATATATTAACTACCAATTAAGCAGACCCTTGTTATTTGATTGTAAAGTAATTCAGTTGTTCATTTATGTATTCATTTATTCATATTTGTAAACAAACACTATAAAGTAGATTTTGCATAACAAAATATAAGGTTTAGCAGTACAATTTATCAATGTCTTCATATGTTGTTTTTTCTTATATCTCACATCTTATTTTGGGTTCACTTTTCTTCTTGCTGTATGTGTCAGCTCTTTATTATATACCCAACTGCCATTTCCCTATTCCTTATATGCAACATAACCTTCATTTCCCAGAAAGTGATAGGAGATGGAGGGGAGGAAGCTAGGTACCTCTCCATACGACAAATCATGATGGATCTAAACCAGTTGAGGTCATCCCATTACCCTTGATGATTATCTAAAGCTGGGCATTTGCATTGACAATGGAGAGAGAAATGTGTCAGAATGTAATTTAAAGAGGCCTTCCCTTCCTGATTAAATTAGGTCACTGAAAGAAAGCCTGTTGCCTCTTTCTACCTTTTTCCTGCCTTCAATGTAGAAATGATTCTAGAAATGCAACAGCCCTTTTGTATCCATGAGGTGATATATATGAAACAGTAAAATGTATATATCATGCATGGTGTTACAGAAAACTAATAAGACCTTGGGTCCTGCTGACATTATAAGTACAAATGTATTCCCACCAGGTATCTGTGTCAGCATTCTCATTACACTTATATGAGACTTTATCT
The DNA here is from genome assembly GCF_000001405.40 of Homo sapiens. Taxonomy (NCBI): domain Eukaryota; kingdom Metazoa; phylum Chordata; class Mammalia; order Primates; family Hominidae; genus Homo; species Homo sapiens. The sequence continues at coordinate 151,955,882 of NC_000003.12, forward strand.
GACAGTTCAATATTGTTTTACCTGGAATAACTTGATACTATTGTATTTAGTTTTCTATGTGATCTTTTTTCTTTTTTATTTTAGCAAAATATATACAACATAATATTTGCCCTTTCAACCATTTTTAAGTGTACAGTTCAGTGGCATTAAGTACATTCACATTGTTGAGCCACCATCATGGCTATGCATTTCGAGGACTTTAGTTTTCTCAAACTGAAATTCAGTATCCGTTAAATGCTAACTCCTTGTTCCTCCTTCCCTACCAGCCTCTAGTAACGACCATTCTACTTTCTGTCTCAATGGCTTTGACTACTCCAGTAACTCATCTAAGTCTAATCATACAGTATTTGTCCTTTTGTGACTGGATTATTTCACTCAGCATAATGTCTTCATGGTTTTTCCATGTTGTAGCATGTGTCAGAATTGTCTTACTTTTAGGGCTGAATACTATTCTATTGTATGCATATTGTAGTAACATTTTGTCTGTGTATTCATTCATCAACAGATGCTTGGATTGCAGCTACAACATTTTACTTTCCTACCAGTAATGCAGAAAAGTTCCAGTTTCTCCGTATCTTGGTTAGCACTTGTCATTTTCTATTTTTCTTATAGTAGCCACCCTAATGGTTATTATACTTTGTAGCCATTTATATTTAATTCTTATCATTAAATTTCTTTTTGTATTTGTAATATTTGTTTTGTAGGTAAATTTGTTTGGGGAGGTATTTGGGTATTTTGTGTGTGTGGGTTTTTTAAAATATATTCTACCTCTACCCATCTGCACACATATTGCTGGTTAACAGATTTGGTGTAGCTCAAATCTGAGGGTTTCCAATCCAGGGCCAGTCTTAAAATAGTGGCTCAGGGCACGGCCCCATGATGAATCGTGGCCATCATTCACCCTTGCTTCAGTTACTGGTCATAAGGAAGCCAGTTGTCCTCTCACCTCCCCAGGCTCTCAGCTCTCTGGAAACCAGAGCTCTAAGCATACCTTCTGTTCTTCCCCCCACCCCTCCCTGCCATCTCCTGGCTTTTACAGTGATCTTGGTTCCATATAACCAACTTCTATGGTGGCTTTGTCACTATCGTCTTATGGGAGAGTCTCACTCCATCGCTATTACCTGTAGGATGTCTCCAAGTTAAGCAAGTCTATCCTTTTTCATCTCTACTTATTTTTTCCCTTATTTTTTAAAAAATTGTCATATATTTTTTGTTTTATCTACAGCCTAGTTGTGCTGTTTTCCTTGTCTACATTTATATTTTTGCTGCATGTTTGATATAGTATAACCATTTGAGTACAATAAATTATGAAATTCCTGAACCACCTTAATGTGCAGTCTCAAGATAAACGGAAGCAATTCTTTTTCTCTCATTAAGGCTACTTTGAGTTCACCTTCATAAATGTGTCTTTCTAGACAGTATACTTGCCTTAAGGCAGAAGAACACGAAGAGCTAGGTCAGTACCTTGTCATTAAATGCAAAGGTCTCTTGATTTTTGAAACCTCTTGATTTTTGAAACCTTACATTTGTAGTATTCTTTAGTTTGTTCTTCCTTTTTGGTTCCCATGAATCATTCAATACCTTCATGCCTGTTAGGGCTTCGTCTAACTTCCTTACTTTGTTTTACCCTCTCCCCTTTTTAAAATAATCTTCAAGCTGCCTTCTGGTTTCTAAATTCACTGCTTACCCTAAACATTAATACTCATATGCTCTTATTTCTTCCTTATCTTCTTGCTTGATTTGTGATAGGTTGTTAATACTTTTTCACTTTAGCATTTGGATTATATTTTTATTCAAAATTTAGGTTTCTCATCTGCTGATGGGTTTCCTAGCATCAGTTCCCTCAATTCTCTCTCTCAGTATTATAGAAGGGATCTAGAAAGAAGGTTCAATGACAGAAAGCAGCCCTGCAGGAATAGCCAGGATAAAAAGTATTTAATTTAAACAATTTTACAAAATATTCAATCATTTTGCCTCTTTCAACTTTCTTTATATATTTTGTTAATTGTACTTTAATAATTTCTCATTGAGTACTTGTGAAAACAATGAGTTATGTCTATGCTACATTTATTTATGAGTGTATTATAAACAGCTAGAAAACACTTCTACAAAAAAGATTAAGGAAAATACATGTGAGAATTGTAGGGAATTTATTCATTCATCCATATACATTTAATGACACTTATTCCTCATGCTTTGGAAATACAAATATGAATAAAACAGAGTTTCACACTTCAAGGAACTCACAGTCTAGCCTAATGACAGACACACAAGCAGGTAATTTCACATGTAGTGTGATAAATACATAACAGCAGGAGGCATGATGGAGGGATCTACCAAACTTGCCCAGAAAGGCCTAGTAAAACATTACAGATAAAGGCTTTGCTCAGCTGCATTTTATAAGGTGAGTGGACCTGAGCACACATACAATGTAGAGCAAAGGCATTCTAGGGAGAAAGGATCAGCAAAATATTTAAGGTTTATTTTCTCTTCAGAGGATGATTATAGGAATGATGTATCAAATACGTGGTGTTAACGTTAAGAGATTAAACAATAAGTGAGGGCTTGGATGAGATTGTCAAAGGCCCTGTGTACTTTACTGAAAATTTTTAATTTTATCTTGATGTCTGGAAAATTTGGCTATACATAATACAATGCATATTTGAGGGCAATGTCGTCCTTTATATAAGAGTGGAGATTAGGAAGAGAGAGCTGCAGAGGAGGAGCCAATGTAAATAACCTAGTCCTTAGTGAAGAAAATGGGCAGAATGTGATGGATTTGTGAATTGTGGCTGAGGTTGCACTGTTGGACTTTTTGGCTGACTGTGTAGTGGTGGTGAGGGAGAAGTAGAGCAGTGTCCTTTTAGGCTGACTGTGTAGTGGTGGTGAGGGAGAAGTACAGCAGTGTCCTTTTAGAAGATTCAAGAATTAAGAAAAAAATGTTTTAAAGATAAAGAAAAATACTAAGGCAGAAGGGAAATACTTACAGGACAGGATTGCCAGAGAAGGCCTTAAAAGATGAAATCAGTCTCCATTGAACAATTTGGTACCATCGTCTTTAAAGTCTATAAGAACGGGCCCCCCTGTAATTGCAGGTGTGTAGCCTGCATGGCTAGGTGCAGTCAAGAGCAGCAGCCCTGAGATGTGTGGTAGCTATAACAAATAGTTTTTGAGGGGACCATGTTTGCAAAAACAATTTGATTTAAAATGTATTATAAAACTCAAGGGCCCATGTGGAATACAATAATTTATCAATGAAGAAGTAGAATAAAGAGTAGAAAGGAGGTACTTACATATGTAGTTATTGTCCAGTCAGCTAACTTAAAGATTCTTTATAGTAGCCAGGCACTATCTCTTTCTGTTCCTATCTAGAGACCATCTCTTTATTATAAAATGGATATGTTATTATAAAATGTACCATTTACAGCTCATTTAATATCTCCCATAATAAAAAGAAAGACAGCAATGCTGTTGCTACTTATAATGCCATGGTTCTTCCAAACATTTTATATTGAAATAATAGAGATTTCTTGCCTCTTTTGTTCCCTAATACCATATTTTAATGATCTTTGCTCATGGTACTACATTAATCATTGTGCCACCTATAAATATTGGTGTCTGTTAATTATTTCAAAAGTTGTGACTCTGAATCTTTGATGATGACCACACATGTAAGTTTTACCTAGGGTATACTGAAATGTGAGTAATAATTAGTTTTCTAATTAAGTAAATTCATCATTCAGAAGTTTATAGTATAACTACTGAACAACATCTCTTCCATTCATCTCTACTCTTGAAATCTTTTGGCTGTAAATTCTGTGTTTGTTATCTCTTTCATTGTTGACTGCACCTCTGACTTTCACACACTATCACCAGCAAAGAGGATAGATGAGGGGTTCATGAGCAAATTGGGAAAAGAAGCCTGATTTGCACAGGGAATATCTATCCTTCACAGTACATCTTAAGAGAGTGAATCAGGAGAGCACAATATAACTACACACATTAGAGACAAGATAGGACATCAACAAGAGTCCACTGGCATTGCAGAAGACTGATCTCAAAAGCCCCTGGAAGAGATAGGTGCAGCTAGCTACCCCAGAGGACTGTGGAGGAGACAACGTGACCATCCTAGGTGCCAGAGATAGGGGATGCACATGGTAAAGAATTCCAGCCACCACCTCTCGAGTGCTGTAGACAAGAGGCAGTACTGCAGTGGGAATAAATATGGGTGAGAACGAACTTACAGACCTCCCGACACAGCTCAAGCTTAAAAATCAGAAAATGAACTACTGGAGCCCAGAGGTCTGAACAAATCTTATGTCCAAGATAATTGAGAGTCACCTCAAATCACCATTCTTGTACACCAATCTTGCATTATCTCATGAAAGAAATTCTTCACCAGCTAGTGGAAGAAATTTGCCAAGCAGGACACCTCCTGGATTATAGGCATGAGTCTTGGTGTCCACTGGTATATTTTGTCAACCCCATAAGTGAGACAGAGGGCCAAAGAATGTTCCAAAGGGGAGAAATTGGAAAGCTGGTCCAGGCTTGGTGTACCCTGCCCAGACTGTACCGTAGGCCCTGGCCGGTCCAAGCCACTCGAGAGAGACTTAGAACATTTCACATTTAGTACATCCAACAATCAGACCCATGCATGACCAGATCTGGGCTCAGGAAATCCCACCCAGATGGCACTGCCAATTCTAGATGATCCCAAGAATAAGGCACTCAGAAGCATAGGCAGCCTGAGGCATAGGTTCTAGTGCAGCAACCTACTCAGGTCTAATGGTGGCTCTAAGTAGTGATTCTAATTCAGAACATACATATAGAAGTTTCCCTTAGAATTTTTTCTTGCATTATAGTTAAAAGCTTAACACTTAATAAAGTTAATAGCTGTTAAACATTTTGCACGTGCAAGCATTCTGTTGTCAACCTTTAATGTATTTTCTCTTCAAATTCACTAATAATCTCATGATTATTATTATTGTTAGCTTTATGATATATAGGAGGAGAGTTACTTTAAAAATTGAATAATCTGTCAAAAATCACGCAAATAACAAATATCTGAACCAGGAATCAAACCTGAATCTATGTAACATCAAAGCCCGTGCTCTTAATGATGCTTCTAAATTTCCTAATCTTTGAGGTAGAAAGTAAAAATAATGAGTAAGATATAATAAGCATGGCAAGAAAGGAAATCAAGCTAAATTTTCTCTATTTGCTCTGAAAATGGGAGTTGGGTTATCTGCCAAGAATAAGGAACAGATGGTACAGAGTGTTTGAAGATTTACTGCTGTGGAATAAACTAGGAAGAATGTTTGTTAAGCAGCATTGAGGAACCAAATGAGTCTGAAAAATCATAAATACAATACATATTGGCATGATCTAGATGTTTCTGTGGCTTTCTGCATCAAGAATTTAGTGCTATGAAGAACAATGAGAAAAACATAACTGTAAGAAAAGTGAATGGCAGGGTGCATATATTGGTTGGTGCAAAAGTAATTGCGGTTTTTGCCCTTGAAAGTAATTACAGAAACCACAAATACTTTTGCAGCAATCTAATAGTAGAAATACGTGTGGGAACTCAAAGCTCGCCTCCTTCTCTTCCAATCCATGTGGTGCCATACTCCATCTAGAACTGGGAGGGGTCTTATATACACAGGGATATCCTAACCTGCACATCCTTTCAATAAGCATCTCTTAGCAAACCCCTCTCACAACTTGAGCTAATACACACCAGTAGTGCTATCAGGTCTTGAGAGGAGAGATCTGTGGAAGAAGGCTACATAGGACCTTGAAGCAGGATTGAGGCTGTTTTGGCAAGACATTCCAGGATCCTGGGTCCTGAAAAGCAATATAGAAGGGGCCTTTCCAAATTTCTCTCCTTGTGCACTTAAGTTGCTGTGATTGTCTGTGTTTTATGGCAGTACTCCTTAAGGATATATAAGTTAAGATACTATGAGTTGTAAATAACAGAAAACTCTACCCATGGTAAATTAAGCACAAACAAACCCAAAATTTATTGACTCAGGGACATGAGCAATTCAAGGCCAGATTTAGATGAGACTATTCAAAGTTCAAATGGGCTTCAGCTTTGTCATCTTGGTGCTGGTTTCATTCTCAGGTGAGGCTTTCATGGGGCTCATGTTTCCTCTTTTAAAAGCCTTTGGAAAACAAGAGTTCATTTCCCTGATCTCTTGGCCAAAGAATGAAATTGTGTGGACAACTCTAACTGACCTGACTCCAGTCATGTATCCTTTTTCAATCAACCTTTCTCTGGCATCAAAGATAGGCTGTTTGCCATAATCTTAACTACTCTTGGGAATGAGGGAGTGCTCAACCCCAACAAGCCACTAAACTGAGAACCTCAGTGTCCTGTTAGAAAAATAGAATGTTATATATATAATTGAAACAGAGATTGTTTTTCACATATGTTGTATTATGAACAATCACCTTACATGGTAATTTGTTGTTTTGTTATCCATGTAAGCAGAACACAGGGGTTTAAAATAATACAAAAAACCTGCATAAAACTCAAAACTATTTTTTCAATGTTCTTTCAAAAACAAGAAGATTTTAGAGGTCAATTTTGGAAGTAAATCTTTTTTCCATGCATTTAGAATAGCATAGCATCTGGCCTTGATTAAGTAAGCCAGTTGTCTAGGGACAAAGCAGAGAGACAGGAAAACTCAGTGGTGGGAAAGAAAAAAGAGTGCCTCCAGCAATAATCCAAGACTCCTCCTTTTTCACTAGTCTCCATTGCTTCGGATTTGTGGTTTCTGTGGATTTAACTTTTTCAAGTGGCAAATAGTTTTTATGCATCTGCTATAATCTTTCCCTAGGTAGTTTTATTAATTTTTTAAACAAAATTTTCTTTCTAGGCTTCTAGATCCTGATTCCTAAAGTGACTGAGCCCATTGTCCCTGTACCTTTCTAAGGGCAGTATTGCTGAGCTTGTCTATTAACATTAAAAACTGGGAAAGGGAGTACTAAGAAGTACCCAAGTGGATCATGCAGGTGACAAAAGTATTATTTCCTGTACCCACTGTAACAACAGCTCTGCCCCCACCTGTGATCAGGATCAATTACCCACAGCAAGATGCTGACTTCTCTTCTTCCCTGGTTCCTGCAAGGAACTGGGGAGTGATTCCATGTAGCTCCTTCCTGTTATGCTTGAAGTGAATCTCTCACCATGTGCATTTAATCATCTTCTTAAACTCTTAAAAGTCAGACTCATGTTGCTGCCACTCCATCATAGTAACTACTATTCATGCTATTCATCATGGTAACTACACTGGCCTGTATTCTGAAGGTTACACCCTGCCACCTGACCTTTATTGTTTCTAATTGTTATCATCCCCTATTGCAATTGATGAGTCTATTTCTGCAAATGCTACTGTCAGCCTTGGCTTAGAAAGGAGTGCCTCCACTGAACTTATTAATGCTGGGGCCCGCCCATCAGCACCTTCCTTTGGGTCATTGTGTGGACCAGAGTCCTCTGGGGGCATTCATAGTCACACAAAACGTATCTACTCTAAATCGCCTACTTCTCTGGGCCTTTCAACTCCTTCTTTCAACATCTGTCATGGCAATTCTGGCATTTCCATTTTACATAATGTAGCCATCATTTTTCCATGCTTCCAAAAGCCATCTGGATGTGTGTACCATATCCCAGGGTGTTAAACTCTGTATTTAAGAAGTGTGTAGAAGTGTGTGTGTGTGTGTGTGTGTGTGTGTGTGCGCATGTGTATTATTTGTTCTAAATGTATTTTCTGTCCCAACTTAGACCAACAGCCTCAGAATCCATATCAATGAGTAGTCAGGGAAAGACCTCGTTTCTCCATTAGCAGTCATAGAATATCTTTGATTATACTAGAACAAAACCATAGTTATTAGCCTAGCAGACAGAAGAGGAGGTTGGGGAAGATACCAAACTGGCAGGCTGGGGGAAGTGGGGAATGTAACATTGTCTATAAAGAGAAAGGCCCCTGCAGCATCTTTAAGGGGGGAGTGATAGCATTTCTGTAGGCTCAGACTCCAGAGAAATTTGGGGGACTAAATATTTTCATATGTGTCAACACAGATTCCTTATCCCATGTACCAGATTTTCCATTATTTCCCAAACAGGACTCTCAAGTATAGCATAGCCAACTAACCTTGGCTGTAACTTTTAAACTTTTTTTGGAATTTGGCTACTAAGAATAAAAAACTGGGCCTGGGCCTCAGCATTTTCTATTTTTTAGTACAGGATACCCAAGCCTTTTTGTATGCTGCCAACAAGACCCTCTGCTTTCACACTAAAATTTAATTGTTAATTAATGACTCTCAACTTTTTGTTATCTTTTCCCAGAACTTCAACTGAGTTTGGCAATATCAATTTAATTTCATTGTCTTCATAGGTACTACTTTATTCACATTTATCAAATATCTGATATATCTACCAACTAATGCATACTCCTCCATTGATAGAGCATCTCAGTTCACCCTGGTGAACAACTGCACTGCTGCTTTGTCCCAGGTGATTATTTGTTCTTCCTGTATGAATAATAGGTCAAGCTCCAAAATCTTAGTATCTGCTTTGTTATACTTTCTTACCATGGACCATCACCTGTCATAGGTAGAGTTTGCCAAGAACAGACATTAAAATGGATAGTAAGAGGGGATTGAGATGGCAGATAGGAGGCTGGACTAGCTTGCAGTTCCTTCTTGGTCAGACAGAGCAGCATGTGGAGACTCACATTGTGAACTTTTGCTACAAGAACTACTGAAGGAACATGCCAGGAAAGCTGAGAGAATTCACAGACCCTTTGAAGGAACTGGATCACCACTGCAGGCTCCCTGAGATGCCAAAAAACAGTGAGTGTGTTTGCATTCTCAATAGGGAGGCTCATGATCTGGGGTAAGTTCTCAGCCCTGATCACTGGCTGCCTGGAAATAGACTTGGTGCTGTTGGGGAGACACAGTGGGAGTGAGACTGGCCTTTAGGACTGTAGGCTGTGTGGGAGTAGGATGAGGCCTATGACTGCCAGCTTTCCCCCACTTCCCTGGTGACCTCTATGACTCAGAAGAGGCAGCCATAATCCCTTTAGGAACATAACTCCCTTGGACTGGGAACGACACCACCATCCCCAACAGCAACTGTATCAGCAAGCCCTGCCCAAAGAGAGGCTAAGCTCAGACAAGCCTATTCCTGCCTCCACCTGATGGTCTTTCTTTACCCACCCTGTTAGCCAAAAACAAAGGTCATAATCTCTTGGGAGCTTTATAGCCCTGCCCATCACCTGAGAAACCTGCACATTTAAACAGATATCTCTAGGGCAAGTTTGCATTCTCCCTATAGGACCACAGCCAATGAATTCTTGAAAGTGCCACCTCCTGGCTAGAGGCCAACCAACACAAAACCAGTGCACTAAACAAAAACACAACCAAGGATGCTTACAGAGTCCACTTCACTCCCCTGCTAACTTCACCAAGGCAGGTGCTGGTATCCATGGCCACAAGACCTGAAGATGGATCATATCACAGGATTCTTTGCAGATACTCCCCATTACCAGCCCCAGAGCCCAGTAGATCCACTGGGTGGCTAGATCCAGAAAAGCAAAAACAATCACCATAGTTAGGCTGTCAGGAAGCCCCATTCCTAGGAGAAAGGGGAGAACACCACATCAAGGGAACACCCCATGGGATGAAAGAATCTGAACAGCAGCCTTTGACTCCCAGATCTTCCCTCTAACAGAGTCTACCCAAATGAGAAGGAACTAGAAAAACAATTCTGGTAATATGACACATCAAAGTTTTTTAACATCCCCAAACGATCATATCAGACACCAGCAATGGAGCCAAACCAAGATGAAATATCTGAATTGCCAGAAAAAGAATTCAAAAAGTTGATTATTAAGCTAATCGAGGAGGCACCAGAGAAAGGTGAAGTCCAACTTAAAGAAATAAAATCATGATATAGGATATGAAAGAAAAATTATTCAGTGAGATAGATAGCATAAATTTAAAATATCACAACTTCTGGAAACCAAGGACACACTTAGAGAAGTGTAAACTGCACTGAAAAGTCTCAGTAATAGAATCAAACAAGCAAAAGAAAAGAACCTCATAGTTTGAACACAAGGCTTTCAAATTAACCCAAATCATCAAAGACAAAAAAAAAAGAATTTTTTTTTAAATGAACACAGCCTCCAGGAAGTCTGGGTCTATGTTAAATGTCCAAACCTAAGAATAATTGGAGTTTCCAAGGAAGAAGAGAAATTTAAAACTTTGGAAAACATATTTGAGGGAATAATTGAGGAAAACTTCCCTGACTTTGCTAAAGATCTAGACATCCAGATACAAGAAGCTCAAAGAACACCTGGGAAATTCATCACATAAAGATCATTGCCTAGGCACGTAGTCATCAGGTTATCAAAAGTCAAGACAAAGGAAAGAATCTTAAGAGCTGTGAGGCAAAAGCACCTGGTAACTTATAAAGGAAAACCTATCAGATGAACAGCAGATTTCTCAACAGAAACCCTACAAGCTAGGAGGGATTGGGGTCCTATTTTTAGCCTCCTTAAACAAAACAATTTTCAGCCAACTATTTTGCATCCAGTGAAACCAGGCTTCATAAATGAAGGAAATATACAATCTTTTCCAGACAAATAAATGCTGAGAGAATTCACCACTATCAAGCCAGCACTACAAGAACTGCTAAAAGTACCTCTAAATCTTGAAACAAATCCTCAAAATACACCAAAATAGAACTCCCTTAAAGCATAAGTGTCACAGGACTTATATAACAATAACACAATGAAAAAAAAAACAGATATTCAGGCAACAAATAGTATGATGAATAGAATAGTGCCTCACATCTCAATACTAACATTGAATGTAAGTGGCCTAAATGCTCCACTTAAAAGATACAGAATAGCAGAATGGATAAGAATTCAAAAACCAAGTTTCTGCTGTCTTCAGGAGACTCACCTAACACACAAAGACTCACATAAACTTAAGGTAGAGTGGGGGAAGAAGATATTCCATGCAAATGGATACCAAAAGCAAGCAGGAGTAGCTATTCTTATATCAGACAAAACAAACTTTAAAGCAACATCAGTTAAATAAGACAAAGAGGGACATTATATAATGACAAAAAGACTAGTTCAACAGGAAAATATCACAATTCTACATATATATGCACCTAATACTTGAGCTTCCAAATGTATAAAACAATTACTACTAGACCTAAGAAATGAGACAGATGGCAACACAATAATAATGGGGGTTTCTAATACTCCACTAACAGCACTAGACAGGTCATCAAGACAGAAAGTCAACAAAGGAAAAATGGACTTAAACTATACTCTGCAACAAATGGACTTAATAGATATTTACAGAGCATTCTACCCAACAACTGCAGAATATACATTCTGTTCATCAGCACATGGAACTTTCTCCAAGATAGACCATGTGATTGGCCACAAAACAAGTCTCAGTAAGTTTAAGAAAATCGAAATTTTATCACGTTCTCTCTCTGACCTCAGTGGAGTAAAATAGCATTTCCCCTGAAAACTGGAACAAGACAAGGATGTGAACTTTCACCACTTGTATTCAACTCCAAAAGGACCCCTCAAAACCGTGCAAATACATGAAAAGTAAATAACCTGCTCCTGAATGATCGTTGGATGAACAATAAAATCAAGATGGAAATTTTAAAATTCTTTGAACTGAACAATAATAGTGACAAAACCTATCAGAACCTCTGGGATACAGCAAAAGCAGTGCTGAGATGAAAGTTCATAGCAGTAAATGCCTACATCAAAAAGCCTGAAAAAGCACAAACAGACAATCTAAGGAGAATGGAACTGGCCCCCCATCTCACACCTTATACAAAAGTCAACTCCAGATGGATTAAGGACTTAAATCTAAGACCCAAAACCATAAAAATTTTAGAAGATAATATCAGAAAAACCCTTCTAGTTATTGGCTTAGGCAAACACTTCATGACCAAGAACTAAAAAGTAAATGCAACAAAAACAAAGATAAATAGATGGGACTTAATTAAACTAAAAAGCTTCTGCACAGTAAAAGAAATAATCAGCAGAGTTAACAGACAACCCATAGAGTGGGAGAAAATCTTCACAACCTATACATCCAACAAAGAAATAATATCCAGAATCTACAAATAAATCAAACAAATCAGCAAGAAAAAAAAATCCCATAAAAAGTGGGCTAAGGACATGAATATACAAATGGCCAATAAGCATATAGAAAAATACTCAACATCACTAATTATCAGATAAATGCAAATTAAAACCACAATGCAATACCACCTCACTCCTGAAAGAATGACCATAATCGAAAAATCAAAAAAGAATGGTGTGGATGTGGTAAAAAGAGAACAATTTTACACTGTTGGTGGGAATGTAAACTAGTACAACCACTATGAAAAACAGTGTGCAGATTCCTTAAAGAACTAAAGGTAGATCTACTGTTTGATCCAGGAATCCCACTACTAGGTATCTACCCAGAGGAAGAGAAGTCATTATAAGAAAACGATACTTGCACATGCATGTTTATAGCAGCACAATTCACAATTGTAAAAATATGAAACCAGCCCAAATGCTCATCAATCAATGAGTGGATAAAGAAAATGTGATATATACATATACACACACACACACATATATACACACACATATATATATACACACACACACATACATACACACACACACACACACCATGGAATACTACTCAGCCATAAAAAGGAACAAAACAATGGCATTTGCAGCAACCTGGATGGAATTGGAGACTATTATTCTAAATGAAGTAACTCAGGAATGGAAAACCAAACATTGTATGTTCTCACTCACACATGGGAGCTAAGCTATGAGAATGCAAAGGCATAAGAATGGTACTTGGACTTTGGGGACTCAGGGGAAAGGGTCAGGGGTGGCAAGGGATAAAAGACTACACATTGGGTACAGCGTACACTGCTTGGGTGATGGGTGCACCAAAATCTCAGAAATCGCCACTAAAGAGCTTATTCATGTTACCAAACACCACCTGTTCCCCTAAAAAACTATTTAAATAAAAAATAAGACATTAAAAAATAAAAAATAAAAAAGTTAAAAAATTGAGATGACTTTCAAAATATGAAATCAAGATTTACTTTTAATAAAAACATTACACACACACACACACAAAGATGGCTATTAGCACATAGCATATTAGTTAAGGAGTACACTTAGGATAAATACCTGTGTAAGAGAAGGGAGGAAAGCTGGATTGGGCGGAGGGTTGAGCTCTGTCACAATCTCAATAAAGGCCCCAGTTGAATTCTTGGTAAGCATTTGAATGAGAATGGTTCTTCAGAATCATGCTGAGTTGGAGTGAGGGAGGCAAGCATTTATATCTTTCCATTGATGAGCTGTTGGATGCAGGCTATCCATGGAAGGGATTGTTGCTTTGGATGAGGTAGTTTTCTTCAGTCAAGAAAATTCCCAATAAGGGTGAATCACAACAGACTATCTTCCAGTAGCACTCTCAGAGTTTAGGGAACTAAGTGCTTCATTCCTGAAAAGCAATTGCTGACACATCACATTGTGCACTACAAAGTCCAAATAAAATGTAACTGAACATTGAATTAGATATATGATCTTTCCAATTATGTCCTGAGTAGTTGACATTTGGAAGTAGATTATATAGCACTTCTAGTCCTGGTAACTAGAAATTGTTTAAATTCAGAAAAGGAAGATTTCGACAAGAATTTTTATGTCCTTTTTCCTTCCTGTAATAAATATTCCAGTAAACCATTGCCTCTATGGGATATTAGGAGTGAGAGATATTCAAACTACACAAGATAAAATTTTTGCCTTAGAAAAAAATAACCATGGAAATATGCCCAACTGGTGATGTCTTCTTTCCCCAGAAAAGATCAATTAACATAAGGGAAATTTAGGAGCAAATTAACTGCACATAAGTTATATAATAAGGTATTATTTTATTTGCTATGCTAACATATTTCAAAATTGATACAAGAAAATTTAAATAAATTAATGTAATTTGGATCTCTCTTTAAATTATAATTCTAGCCAAAATATGAAAAAAATTAATGTATCAGCTCCTTTGTGGTTTTGGTATTTGCACCATGTAACTCATTGTTTCTCTATGACCTCATGGTATTTAATCCTCTGACTTCATAGTCAGATTCTATAACAACTTAAATGATATTAAAAATAAAATATTAACACTAAAAAGAAATATTAGGATTGTATAGTACAAGAATTCTCATTTTTTAAATTAAAAAACAGAGATTATGTTAGGCAAAGTCCCCGGCGTAAACAAAGATTTAGAGGAAGAATTTGGACTTTGGGACTAGAAAGAGTAAAAGATTTACCTCTGCAAATTAGGAATATTTTTCTAATTCATACTCTTCTTTTTTAATATAGTGTTGCACATGTTCTTTTCTGCTCATATACTAACATTGTGAAAAATTATAATTTCACTTTTAAAAGATAAAATTCTTTTCTTAAATTCTTGATAACTGCCTAAACAAACAACAGCAAAAACAATAAATATAAAATCTAAGGGGATAATAAAATTGTTATAAAAGATTCATATTTGATCACATTTAATTTAATGACTGACTTCATAGACTGCATTTAAAAACTACAACACAACAAATTTAAAGAAGGGACTCAGACTTGTTCTAAAATAGTTGTTTGATATTTTCTTATCTTCACCACTCTTCTTCTCACCTTCTTCCTTATTAATAGCACATCAGGAAAACTACCTCAGATCAAAGAAGAGTCAGGGAACTCAGAAGACAACTTTCAAGATATCCACACAGTCATCTAGGTAAAAGTAATCATAACTGTTAAATTTGTGAATTATCTAATGGAAAATCCTTTAAGCAACAACAACAACAAAAAGTTTCTATGTCAGGGCTAGAGTTGCTTTCTACCTTTAAAACAATGAGACCCAAACATTTCACACATATGTTTAATAAGAAATATTAAGTGTATAATACCCCCTCTACAGTGGTGCTGATGTCTTTCAGAAACAAACATTGCTTAATTATTCAAAGGCTATAAATTTGGGGTGGCATATAGTACAAAGAGCAAAATGAGTACCCAAGTTAATAAACTACCCAATAATCTCTTCAAACAAATATACTGCACCTGTTTTTACATTTAATATCCAGAGTACATGGAAATGGCAGGAAGTAATATAGGAACTTCTACGGTAAAATCTCAATCTCTCTCTCTCCTCTGTCTGTCTGTCTCTCTCTCTCTCTCTCTCTCTCTCTCTCTATATATATATATATATATATATACACACACACATATATATGCATATATGTGTAAGATATATATATATATATATCTCACCCTAGTCAGGCCCTGCCTATCTTCTAAGGCCTATTTTAAGTCTAATCAGTTCCTTAGGCTTGACTTTCCACTGACCCTACTATTGCACTTCAAGTCTATGCCTTATCACTTTTTGATTGTCCTGTCAGACTTCCTCACAATTTTCAAGGTCCCTCTTGCATTGATTTAGTCTGTACTACACTATAAGTTCCTTGAGGGTTGTGACTATGCTTTAGGCCTGTCTTGGATTACTAATAATACCTTCCAATGTTACCCCACTTTTCTCCTGCAAGGTTAGAGAATATTTAAATTTTCTTAGTGTGACAACCTTGGTCATAGCTAACAGAAGGAAGTCAAGGTGGGGGAGGGCTGTCTCAGAAGTCAATAAAACCTGGGTCACCTACAAAACATAAGCCTATGATAAAGATATCTGTTCATTTTTAAACTATAAAGGTATATTGGGGATGATAAATTTATTCTAGCAAAATGTCTATTCCCTCTATGATATTGGTCATTTAATTTCATCTCATTCTGTTTCATTTGCCTTCAAATCATAAAACTCCTGTTTCCTTTCTGCTGGTGTAATTTTCTCTCATTATTTACACAGGATGATTACATATTTACTCTAGAGGAGAAAGAATATATATTGAAAGACCTTTGTCATTGAACCAGCTATGGAGCTTTAATCTATTAAGAATAGCCTTTGAGTGCTGTAAATGCTTTTTATCTTTGTGTGAATTACTGTTTGGCATGCCAAGAGCAGACATCAAAAGGACCCGTAAGTTCCCCAACACTTAAGTGGCCAAGCCTTTTTGGAGTTTTCTGGTAATTCGTTGACAAAAGCCTGTTCCAAAGGCAGTCGTTAGGATTGTTCTAACTATAGGAAACACTTTGCAGGTAGGAAGGCTTCGTGGAAAGCCCTCCCCTACTGCGGCAGCACACCTCAAGTAGGAGTTGAATGACATACTCCACACTTTCCTGCTCCATAGTCTTCAACACTCACTAGCATCTATTTTCTTCTTCTTCTTTTTTTTTTTTTCTTTTATTCTTTTTTTCTTTTTAAGGGACAGAGTCTTGCTTTCTCTCCTAGGCTGGAGTGTAGTGGTGTGATCATAGCTCACTACAGCCTCAAACCCTTGGACTCAAGCCCAGGCAATCCTGATGCCTCAGCCTCTGGAGGAGCTAGGCCTACAGGCACATGCCCATACCTGGCTAAGTTATTATTAATTATTATTATTATTGTTTTTGCTCTTTCTGACAAAATCCTTTCAGGCAATAATAAGTAGGGGCCAGGATAATTTATGTTCATGAGTTCAGAAAAATGCTACCTAATTTATGTTATCTGTTCTGAACATATCTGACAAGAAAGTTTTTCTCATGAGGATCTGTGCCTCTCCATTCCATTCCTCCCTTGACCTGTTCCTTACTTGTCTCGTGTCTTTTGCCTGAAAATCAAATCACCAGAGTCTACTCTGTTAATAACAATCATCATCACAGTAGCTCCTATGAACCTATCTCTATATTAACTTTATCATAATAGGCATAAACCGGAAATAACCCAGGATGCAAAGTAAATGAAGACTTACTCAAGGAGTATGTACTGTATGATTCTATTTATATCAAATTCTAGAATAGACAGAACTAATCTAGGTATAAAGAAATCAGGACAGTGCTTGCCTCAAAGAATGAAGGTAGAGATTAACTAGGAAAGGATGGTAATATTACAGATGTTAATAGGGTTATTGGTTATACAAGAATATTAATTTGTCATAGCTAAGCAAATATATACTTAAACGTTGCCCATTTTGTTGTAGGTTTTATATTAAAAGAAAATACGACAAACAGACATCCAATTCTGGTTAATAGTGTATCTGAAGTATGTAGAGGAAAGTGCCATTTGCTTTGAATTGCATTACAAAATATTTGTTAGGTGATGAACTTTAGAAGAATTGCTGTATAGATATGAAATAAAGCTAATAAAATAAGATGTTAACAACAAATGGCGTAGCCCTATGGGTGTTCACTGTAAAGTACTTTCAACTTGTGGTATGTTTGAAATGTTTCATAAACTAATCATAGTGGGAAAGGGAGTGCTAGTTAATTGTTCTTGTCAGTTTATACCTAGTAAGCCTTGCTAAATTTCTGAGAATTTTTGTGCAAATACCATTGTTACAGGAAAGGGATCCCGATCCAGACCCCAAGAGAGGGTTCTTGGATCTTGCATAAGAAAGAATTCAGGGCAAGTGCACGGTGCAAAGCAAAAGCAAGTTCATTAAGAAAGTAAAGTGGTGAAAGGACAGCTGCTCCATAGACAGAGTGGGATGTACCTGAAAGTAAGAGGAAGAACGCATCCACCCTAGGTACAATGATTGCATATATGGGGAGATGTGTTCTGCTACAAGGGTTTGTGATAAAGGATTAATTTCATTAAATACTGTATTTTGCAAGAAACGGTATTATTTTCTTTAAAGCAATATTGGGAATGCCTTTGTTATGCAGATATCGGGATATCTGGACACTCCCAAGTCTGGGTCTGTTTTAGTAAACATTATTAATCTGTTCCCTTAACCATAAACATCCAGAGTCTAGGAATGCCTAACTTTCTGGGAATGCAGCCCAGCAAGTCTCAGCCTCATTTTCCTAGCCCTCACTCAAAATGGGGTCGCTCTAGTTTGAACGCCTCTGACAGTATTATTCTTTGGCTTATAGAAATTTTATGACCAAACAAGACTCCTAGTATCTCTCAGAAAAACAAGGACACTAGGTATAAGAATGATAATTACATTATATGAATTATCTTTTACTACTATTTAGAATGACTTTATTATGTGTTAAATGAAAAATTTAAACTTGACTATTAAATTTAAATCAAAATAACTTGGCCTATGAATTAAGTCTAATTTTTGTGATGAGTTAGAATTTACCAAATAACATGTCCTAAGTGCAACCCTAAACTATGTTTTTTTAACAGTTGTAACTCCTGATACAGAAGGTCCTGGCACCATCTGGAGTCATGACTAATCTCGTGCATTTTCCCTAGAGGACAGAATTAACACACTGATCATAATCTCTTTAGCCATAATCTCCTTTAATCTTTTACAATCTCATTAGAACGTCCCCCAAACTCTGTAATGGACCTATTGTCAACTTCATTTAATGTATCCTTTTGTAATTCGTTACCTTAAATGGAAAATTTTATCATTTTAGAAATTTGGAAAATGTAGAAAATAATGTGAGCAAATGATTTAGCTCATATTTTACCAAAGAAAATATTTTATATATTTTCTCTTTTTAAAGATCTATTTTTACTTGGAGATCTTTTCTGGGTATACTTTTGCATCACTGTTTGATCTTTTCCCCTAAATGTTATCTGAGCATTTTCAACATGATCATACTTGTCATTATTTTTTATTATTATATAGTGTTTCTTGAAATAAAGGTATGGTTATTATCCTTCCACCATTCATTTATTTTGTCACTCATTAAAAATATTTATGGAGTGCTTCCATGTGCTACATACTTAGAAAACTCAGGCAGCAAGATAGAGATTATTTCTATCTTCATGGAACTTATAGCCTAACAGAGTTCATTGACATTTTAAAAAGCTATGCCAGTCAATAAATAAGCACAAATTGTGTTATGCACCATAAAAGGAAAAAAATTACAAAGTTGTTTGAGAAAGATATTGGAGAGCCTAATATTTATTTGAGTTTTAGGATACATTACAACCAACCGAGTAACTTTTGGGTTTTATGTCTGCATGTTTATTTCTCTTATCTTTCAATAGAATTATAAACTGGGAAGGTGAAGATTTTTTTGCTTATCATGTTTATACCTCCATGTGGCAGTAAATGTAGTATATTGAACACGGAACACTAAATAAATATGTATTCAATAAATTAATGATTTTTCTATAGGTATTTGTCTCCTTTTGAGGTTTTCTTGTTTTTGTTGGTGCTTGGTTTTGTACTGTTTTTCATATCTTTTATCACATAAAAATCATGGTGAACCCTAAATGGTTTGATTTATAAACATAACTTTTAAGCACAAGGTAAATGTTCTAAAGGAAAAGAAATGCCCAAATGTGTTTTCTCATGAGTTTAATATTCAAGTTCAATTATATGTTGAAAGATATGTTTCTGTGGTTTAGTGACAGATTAAAATATTGGTTTATCTTTATTATAGAGGAATAAATCCTATTAGATATAAACTCTTTGAAGCAAGAGGCTATGCTTTAAATTGGTTTCGATCAATATCCAGTGCCTTATAAAAAGAAGGTACGGCCGGGCGTGATGGCTCACGCCTGTAATCCCAGCACTTTGGGAGGCCAAGGCAGGCGGATCATGAGGTCAGGAGATCGAGACTATCCTGGCTAACATGATGAAACCCCGTCTCTACTAAAAATACAAAAAATTAGCCGGGCGTGGTGGTGGGCACCTGTAGTCCCAGCTACTTGTGAGGCTGAGGCAGGAGAATGGCGTGAACCGGGGAGGCGGAGCTTGCAGTGAGCAGAGATCAAGCCACTGCACTCCAGCATGGGCGACAGAGCAAGACTCCATCTCAAAAAAAAAAAGAAGATACCTGGTAATCAATGAATGGGTAAATGAGTAAATGAATGAATGCAAAATGGCCTTCTCTTTCATCAAACTTTATGTTCTCAAGCCATACACGTTTCATCTAGACTCCACAATGCTAGACGTTTTAGGGGGAGTTTTTCATTTTTTTGTTTTTTAATGATATTCCTAAGGTTTGAGCAGAACACCATAAAGATCATAACATTAAAATGAAATCAAAATTGGCCTTTTGCTTCCATTTTAGGGTTAACAGAAACACTGCAAGTTAGACTGCCAATCATCTCCCAATCAAATAAAATTCTTTGTTTTTCTTCTTTAGTTGTTATGTTTTATCTACATCCTTCTGCTATTCAGATGTTTTTCTCAAGTGACTTGGACATTGTAGTTCTCAGAAAAGATCTATTTTTACCAGTATGAATGAATTGTAGCTTAAGCTGCTTCCTGGCTGAGGAAGGTAGCTATTAAAACACTAACCAATAGAGGCTGGAATATGCCCAGTGGAAAGTGAGTGTACAGGAAAGCAAGCAAGAACACTGTCAGAAAAAGGAACATTTTAATGCATTCCAATGAGGCCAAAGATGCCACTAGGGTTTGAAAGGCAACCAGTTGTGATGAGCATCAATGACTCATGAAAACCACAATTTAGTTTACTTTACAGCTCCTGCTGCTGTTTCAGATGACTTAAGTCCTAAACTAATTAAGGAAAGTCACAGATTTCAGTATGGCCAAAGATAGGAATTGACCTATTTCCATCGATTTTCATTTCAGTGACACAATCATTGCTGGAGGCAATCCAACTTCTGTGAGTTTGACCTTTGTCATTAGAAAAATGAAAAAAATTAGATTTAATGATTTACAGGCTCCAATGCAGAATGATTGCTCCAAAAATAAGGTTTTCTAAAGAGAAAGAACTTTAGCGACATTCAAAATATTTCCAATTGACACACAGAAAAGTCTTGCTGTGCATTTGGAACTCTCTATTTCCACACATATCAAGGAAGGTTCGTGATGCCAGAGTTGCATTGGAGGTTCCCAAAGACCTCCTGGTTTTCCATATGGTAGAACCAGAACAGAAAGTCTTTCTAAACCCTGGGAAGCAGAGTAGCTTAAAAGTCAGCTAACTTCCATTCTAATAGCAGCTTCTGTGGAGTGAGGACATCACAATGTAAAAATGTAATCATATCTTTAAATTTTCCTTGTGGAAATAAGGTGTACAAAATTGAGCAAATCATTAACAGTACATAAATGGTCCACTGACAGACTTTTTTTTTTTTTTTTTGATTTGGAGTCTCACTCTGTTGCCCTGGCTGGAGTGCAGTGGCACGATCTCGGCTCACTGCAACCTCTGCCTCCTAGGTACAGGCAATTCTCATGCCTCAGCCTCTGGAGTAGTTGGGATTACAGGCACCTGCCATCACACCTGGGTAATTTATGTATTTTCAGTAGAGACAGGGTTTCACCATGTTAGTCAGGCTGGTCTCGAACTCCTGACCTCAGGTGATCTGCCTGCCTCGGCTTCCCAAAGTGCGGGGATTACAGGTGTGAGCCACCGCGCCCAGCCCAGACTATGAATTTATTAGGAAAAATAACATTTATAACAGTCAACCTAAGAACTACAATATTACTAGCAACTTATATTCATCCTGTGCTAACCTAGATCCATGCTTATCCACTCATTCTTCTGTCAAAACTAACGACTTTCTTGAGAATTTTGTGGTTTTCATTTTCTTGTTTTATTTATTTCTATATTATTTATGTCTTGCTCTAGCTATATATCATATATATCTATATCTAAAGAATATATTGTGTTTTTTTATTTTTATTTTTATTTTTTGGAGACGGAGTATCACTCTGTCCCCCAGGCTGGAGTGCAGTGGTGCGATTTTGGCTTATTGCAAGCTCCACCTCCTGGGTTCATGCCATTCTCCTGCCTCAGCCTCCCGAGTAGCTGGGACTACAGGCACCCGCCACCACGCCCGGCTAATTTTTTGTATTTTTAGTAGAGACGGGGTTTCACTGTGTTAGCCAGGATAGTCTCGATCTCCTGACCTCCTGATCTGCCCACCTCGGCCTCCCAAAGTGCTGGGATCACAGGCCTGAGCCTCCGCTCCCGGCGTGGTTTTTGTGTATACTGTTTTTAGTTTCCCGGAAATGCTTTTTTAAATTCAAATATTGTGTGCTAAGATCCCTACCTGTCGAATTTAGTTGTAGTTCATTAATTGTTCACTGCTGTATAATATTCTACTGTGTGAATATACTGCACTTCATGTATTCATTTTCTCATGGAGAGCAATTTGGGGTGTTTCCAGATCAGTTGTTTTCCTGTGGCAGAGAGAGTACAGAGAGTACTGCTATCAATATTTTTGTACAGGTATCCAAGTACCTACAGTTAAACTGTAAGTAGAATGGCTGAGTCATAGGGTACACAAATGTTGAACTTTATAGACAATACAAGTTGTCTTCCAAAGAAGTTGTACCAATGTGTACTGCCACCAACATTGTAGAAGAGATTGTATTGATCACCACTCTCTCCATCTCTTAGCAATCAATGTAAGACAATTTTTTCCAATCACATATTGGATATACATGTTCTTCATGTTAATCTTCTTTGGATCTTTATATATGTTATGAATATCTTCTTCTAGTTTTACCTTTTTTTTTTTTACTTTCTAAAAGGCATCTTTTGATGAACTATGCTTTATATTAATGTAATATAATTTACCAAGTCATTTTCTTTCCTGGTTATCGCTGTTTGTATCTTGTTTTCAAAAGTCTGCTCCATCCAAGATTAGAAATATTTTATACTAGAATTTCTTCCAAAATCTTTAATTTTGCTTTTGACCTTAATACACGTGGAGTTGATTTTGGTTATGTGACATACCATGAACTGAAGCCATTTTTCCGCCTCCATATGGCTTATCAAGTATTTTCAGCTCTATTTTTTTTATTGTGTTTTTTTGTTGAGACCACGTCTCAGTGTGTTGCCCCGGGTGGAGTGCAGTGGCACGAGATCTCAGCTCACTACAACCTCCACCTCCTGGGTTCAAGTGATTCTCCTGCCTCAGCCTCTGGAGTAGCTGGGACACTACAGGCGTGGGCCACAACGTCTGGCTACATTTTTTTTTTTTTTTTTTTTTTTGGTAGAGAGAAGGTTTCACCATGTTGACCAAACTGGTCTCAAAACTCCTGACCTAAGTGATTCACCTGCCTCGGCCTCCCAAAGTGCTGAAATTATAGGCATGACCACCATGCCTGGCCTCAGCTCTCTTTTTTAATAGTCCTTCCTTTTTCAATAATCTACTATGTCATCTCTGTTACATATCAAAGTTCCATATATGCTTGGATTATTTCTAAGTTCTATTGATTGATTTCTCTATCCCTGCATCTATACTGTATTCTTAATTGCTATAGCTACATTGTAAGTATTTTTATCTTGTAAAACAAGTCTCCCTTTTTCATTTTTCTTCTCTAACAGCATTTTGGCAATTTAAATGGAAGACAAGAGGGCAATTATAAGCCCTCTCATCTTCATTTAAATTTTAGAATTATATTGTCAAGTTTTTAAGATAACCTTGATGGAATTTTTAATTGAATTTTAAAAAGTGGTTAAGTTAAAATAAGGTCTTTAGGGTGGGCCCTAATCCAATATGACTGATGTCTTTATAGGGAGAAAATATTAGACACAGATCATGTAAAGACACAACAAGAAGGTAGCCTCTGCAATCCGCAAGCCAAGGGAGAGGTCCAGATCAATTTTTAAAAATTACCATCTTTATAATATTGTGTTTTTTGTGCTAGACCATAGTATATCTGGCCAGTTATTTAGGTTTCTTTAAGGCCTTTCATTAAAGCTTTATATTTTTATACTTTTCTATGACTTATTCTTGTATATCTCTTGTTTGACTATACCTGTGTACTTTAAATTTTGTTACTATTGAAAATGGTGTTTTTAGGTTACATTTTCTAATTATTTTAACTATATCTTCCTGTCTCTACTTTTTTCAATTTTAAATAATCTAGTCTTAAACCACTCACTGTATTTTGAGCTATGAATTAATTTAGCAGCATTCAAATAAATACATTAGACTTTCCCAACCCTGTGTACTTCCCTTTTTCACCACTCTATTACTCTTCTCTAACAAGGCAAAGTCTTTGATGCTCAGCAGGTTCTTGTTAAATGCTAGTCACCAAGCTAACATTGTCAATGTTTTTCCTAGGATCACTCCCAGAACACCAACGTTTTCATTAAATAAGAAAAAAATAACATTTGCCTTTCTCATCTCTTTAGGGAGAAAAACAACATAAAGATGTTTTCAATTTCCTCATGGGCAAATTGCCCCATCCTCATCCATCCCAATACCAAATTTTACTGCATCCCAAAGGGACATTTTATAGTCCTGACATGATTAAATTAAAAAAATAAGGGCTAGAGGAAGAAAATAAATTTGAAATCTTCCATTTATTGTATCTTCTGCTTGGAGAGAAAACATACAAATTATTGCATAAGATGTCTGAGAAGCTCAGTCATAAATAAATGCTTAACAATGCTTATCTAATGTTTCCCAAATGTTACCTAACAGTATAATATTTTAACTATATTAAAATCCTTCAAGATATTCTTTAAGAAATAATAAAGAATGAGGAGTTCATGTCTGGCAAAATGTCCAGTCTAATATTAGGTCCTTGTGGTCAAGCTATATATTAACTGTAATATATAATATGAAGAACACTGAATATATTTTACATTAAAATAACAGAAAGTAAAATTCTCCATTAGATGCAACTCTTACTGCAGAGGGAAAAATAACTTGCTTCCATTTTTTCATTACCTCAAGAATATTAATGACATTGTATCCAAGCAACAAGATGGTAACACTTATTATCTTATCATACTTGGATGATTAAATTTGCTGTCATATAAAAAAGAGGTATATTAATACCAAAAGACAGCTTTCTTACATCTAAATAGGATATATATATATATATATATATACTTCCCATATTTCCAATATATATAAAATAGTCTCTAATCAACTGTTCAGTTTTTGATGCACAATAATGAAGTGTAGTGATAGGGACCCAATCTGACCAATTCTTTAAGATATCTCTTCTATTAAAATTCAAGGTTCTGGCTGAAGAAGTAAGATTTAGAAAGGAGAGAGGCAGATAGATGGGTCCTAGAAAGAAAGCAATGAAAAAAACTAAAATCTATCTTAGTGTTTATAGGAAGAAGTGGTAGTGTTTTCTAGGGGCCTGTTGTGTGCACAAATCTCTATGATATTTGCTTGGATTTTTAAAATCTATTTTAAATTTATTTTAATTGTGGAAAATAAATGTAGCATAAAATTTACCATCTTAGCCATTTTTAAATGTACATTTCAGTGGTATTAAGTGCATTCATATTGTTGTGCTACTATCACCACCATCTACCCATGAACTCTTTCTTTTCATCCTACAAAATTAAAATTCTGTACCTATTAAATAATTATTTCATATATCCTCCTCTCCCAAACCTTGCAATCACAATTCTACTTTCAATCTCTATGAATTTGACTACTCTAGGTACCTCATTTAGTGGAGTCATGCAATATTTGTCCTTTTGTAACTGGGTTATTTTATTTAGCATAATGTTTTCAAGGTTCATCTATGTTGTGGGAAATGTCAGAACCTCCTTCCTTTATATACCCTATTGTATTCATCCATTCATCTGTTACTGCACACTCATTTTACTTCCACAAGTTGGTTATTATGAATAATGCTAGTATGAACACTGGTGTGCAAATATCTTTGAGTCCCTCCTTTCAATTATTTTGAGTATATATACCCAGAAGTGAAATTGCTGGATCATAGTCTAATTCTATGTTTAATTTTTTTGAGAAATAACCATACTGTTTTCTAGTTTTCTACAGTGTCTGCAGCATTTACTTTCCCTCCAACTGTGCACAGGTTTCCAGTTTCTCCCTGTCTTCACCAACACTTGTTATTTCCTGCTTCTTTAATAATAACCATTCTAGTACATAGGTGTCATCTCATTTACATTTCCCTAATAATTAGTGATGTTAAGTGTCTTGTTATCTGGTCATTGGTCATTTGTATGTTTTCTTCGAAGAAATGTCTATTCAAGTCATTTGCCTATTTTAAAATGTCTACTTTTTGTTGTTGATTTGTGGGAATTCTTCATATATTCTGTATATTAACCCCTTATCAGATCTATGATGTGCAAATATTTTCTGCAATTCCAGGAGTTGTCTATTTGCTCTATTGATTGTGCCCTAAATGCAGGGCACAGACGTTTTAATTTCGAAATAGTCTAATTTATCTTTTGTTGCCTGTGCTTTTGGTGTTATATGTAAGAAGTCATTGTCAAATCCAATGTCACAAACTTTTAGCCTATAGTTTCTGCTAAGACATTTATTGTTGTAGGTCTGTTATGGGCTGAACTGTATTTCCCTAAAATTCATATGTTAAAGCCCTAAACTTCAGTAACTCGAAATAGAATCATATTTTAATATAAGATATTTAATTTTATTTATTTATTTTTACTGTTATTTTATTCATTTATTTTTTTGAGACAGAGTCTTGTTCTGTCACCCAGGCTGGAGTGCAGTGGCATGATCTCGGCTCACTGCAACCTCCGCCTCCCAGGTTCAAGCGATTCTCCTGCCTCAGCCTCCTGAGTAGCTGGGATTACAAGTGCTCGTCACCACTAATTTTTGTATTTTAGTAGAGATGGGGTTTCACCATGTTGGTCAGGCTGGTCTCGAACTCCTGACCTCATGACCCACCCGCCTCAGCCTCCCAAAGTGCTAGGATTACAGGCATGAGCCACTGCGCCCAGCCAATATAAGATATTTTAAAAGGTGGTTAAGTTAAAATAAGGTCTTCAGGGTGGGCCATAATTCAATATGACTGATGTCTTTATAGGGAGAAAATATTAGACAAAGATCATGTCAAGTCACAACAAGAAGGCAGCCTCTGCAATCTGCAAGCCAAGGAAGAGAGGCCTCACCAGACACCAAACCTGCCGACAACATAATCTTGGATTTCTAGTCTCCAGAATTGTAAGAAAATAACTTTCTGTTATTTAAGCCCACCCAGTCTGTGGTATTCATTATGGCATCCCTAAAAACTAGTACAGGATGTGTGGAGTTAGTTTTTTTAATTAAACTTTTTGTTTTGAGATAATACAGATTTACATGTAGTTGTGTATCCTTCACCCAGTTTCTTCTAATGGTAACAGGTTATAGAACTAGAGTATAAATATCACAAGCAGGATATTGATACTTAGACAAGACACATGTTTTATTCAGATTTACCCAATTTTACTTTCACTTGTGCATATGCATGTGTGTGTATATGTATACAGTTCTATACAATTTTATCATATGTGTGTATTCATTTATTAACCACCACAGTCAAATACTGGATCCCTTGTGTTGCCCTTTCATAACCACAAATTCTTAACATATGGCAATGGCTTAACTGTTCTCCACATTTATAATTTTGTCATTGTAAGAATTATATATAAACAAAATCATACATTATATAGGCATACCTTGAAGATACTGCAGGTTTGGTTCCAGATCACTACAATAAAGCAAATATCACAATAAATCAGTTCATGCAAATTCTTTGGTTTCCCAGTGCATATACAAGTTCAGTTTACATTATACTATAGCCTACTGAGTGTGCAAAAGCATTTTGTCTAAAAAAATATACATACCTTAATTAAAAATACCTTTTTAAGTTAAAAATTGCTAATGATTATCTGAGCCTTCAGCAAGTCCTAATCTTTTTGGTGGTAAAGGGGCTTATCTCAGTGTTGATGGCTGCTGACAGATCAGGGTGGTGGTTGCTGAAGTTTGAGATAGCTGTGGCAATTTCTTAAAATAAGGTAAAAATGAAGTTTGCTGTGTCACGTGACTCTTCCTTCCATGAACGATTTCTCTGTAGCAGAATCCTGCTGCTGCTTTATCAACTCAGTTTATAGAATATTCTAAAACCTTCGTTGTCATTTCAACAGCGTTCACGGCGTCTTCACCAGGAGTAGATTCCATCTCAAGAAACCACTTTGCTCATTCATAAGAAGCAACTCCTCATTTGTTCAAGTTTTGCCGTGAGACTGCAGCAATTCAGTCACATCTTCAGGCTCCACTTTAGTTTTAGTTCTCTTACTGTTTCCATCACATCTGCAGTTACTTTCTCCACTGAAATATCCAACCCCTCAGAGTTATTCATGAGGGTTAGAAGCAACTTATTCCAAACGCCTGTGGATGTTGATATTTTGACCTCCTTCTATGAACCATGAATGTTCTTAATGGTATCTGGACTGGTAAGTCCTTCTCAATTTACTTCTTTCAGATTTATCAGAGGAATATGATCTACAACAGCTGTAGGCTTACAAGTGTATTTCTTTAATAATAAGACATGAAAGTCTAAATTACTCCTTGATCCATGGACTTCAGAATGGATATTTTGTTAGCAGACATTAAAACAATGTTAATCTCCTTGTTTGTCTTCATCAGAGTTCTTGGGTTACCAGGTCTATTACCAATAAGCAGTAATATTTTGAAAGAAATCTTTTTTTCCTAAGCAGTAAGTCTCAACAGTGATCTTAAAATAGTAAACGGCCGGGCACGGTGGCTCACGCCTCTAATCCCAGCACTTTGGGAGGCCGAGGCAGGCGGATCACGAGGTCAGGAGATCGAGAACATCCTGGCTAACGCGGTGAAACCCCATCCCTACCAAAAATGCAAAAAAATTAGGCGGGCATGGTGGTGGGCGCCTGTAGTCCTAGCTACTCGGGAGGCTGAGGCAGGAGAATGGCGTGAACCCGGGAGGCCGAGCTTGCAGTGAGCCGAGATCGTGCCACTGCACTCCAGCCTGGGTGACAGAGCGAGACTCTGTCTCAAAAAAAAAAAAAAAAAAAAAATTCAGTAAACATGCTGTTAACAGAAGTCCTGTTATTCAGGCTTTGTTGTTCCATTTGTAGAGCACAGGCAGAGTAGTTTCAACATTACTCTTAAGGGCCCTAGGATTTTCAAAATGGTAAAAGACCACTGGTTTCAACTTAAAGTTACCAGCTGCATTAACCTCTAATAAGAGAGTCAGCCTGCTTTTTGAAGCTTTGAAGCCAGACATTGACTTCTCCTCTATAGCTGTGTTAGTCTTCTTCAATAGCATCTTTTTCCAACAAAAGGCTATTTTGTCTACATTGAAAATCTTTTGTTTAATTTAGCCTCCTTCATCGATAATTTTTGTTAGATCTTCTGGATACTTGCTATAGCTTCTCCATCAGCACTTGCTGCTTCACCTTGTACTTTTATGTTGTGGAGATGGCTCCTTTTCTCAAGTCTCATGAACCAATATTGCTGGCTTCTTCTGTGGCTTTCTCACCTCTCTCAGCCTTGACAGTATTGACAGTTATGGCTTGGCCCTGGATTAGGCTTTTTGGCTTAAGAGAATATTATGGCTGGTTTGATCTTCTATCCAGACCACTAAGACTTTCTCCATTTCAGCAATAAGGCTTTTTCTCTTTCTTATAATTCGTTCATTCACTGGAGTAGCACTTTTGATTTCCTTCAAGAACTTTTCCTTTGCTTCCACAACTTGACCAGGTGTTTGGCATAAGAGGCCTAGTTTTCAGCCTGTCTCAGCTTTTGATATGCTTTCCTCACTAAATTTAAATATTTCTAGCTTTTGATTTAAAGTGAGAGACATGCAACTCTTCCTTTCACTTGAATACATAAGAGGCCATTGTAGGTTAAAATTGGCCTAATTTCAATATTGTGTCTCAGGGAATAGGGAGGCCTGAGGAGAGGGAAAGAGATGGGAGAGATGGGAGAGTAGCTTTATCAATGGAGCACTCAAAATGCATACATTTATCAATTAAGTTTGCTGTATTATCTACAGAATTTATGGCACCCTGTAACAATTACAATAGTGACATCAAATATTACTCATTACAGATCACCATAACAGATATAATAATAATGAAAAAGTTTGAAATATTCAGAGAATTACCAAAGTGTGACACAGAGTCACAAAGTGAATACGTGCCATTGGAAAAATGGTATGTCAGACTTGCTTGATACAAGGTTGTCACAAACCTTCAAGTTGTAAAAAATATCTCAATCTGCAAAGTACAATAAAGCAAAGCACAATAAAACAAGGTATGACTGTATAACCGTTGGGAGTTTCTCTCAGTATAATTCCTTTGACATTCTTCCAGGTTGTCATTTGTATCAGTAGCTCATTCCTTCTAACTGTTGAGTAATGGTCTATGGTAGGTATGTAACAGCATTTAATTAGCCATTTACCTGTTAAATTATATCTGGGTTACTTAGAGTTTTGGGTTATTATCCTTATATCAACTATTTTATTCTTTGCTTTTGTTTGTTGCCCTGTTCCTCTTTTCATGCCTTCCTGTGGGTTAATTGAACATTTTCTAGTTTTCCATTTTGACTTGCATATACTGTTTTGTGTGGTATCTCTCTGTATAGTTTTCTGAGTAGCTGCTCTGTATGGAGTTCTTAAAATCAATTTTCCTAATTGCCTCTTAAGTTAACTATTAGTATTCCTATATCACAGATAAGAAAACTGAGGCTGAAACAGTATGTAGCATATCCCAGATCACATAACTAGTAAGTGCAGAGCTGGAATCTGAACCTAAGTCTGTCTTACTTCAGAATCTACTGTCTTGCTACCATTGGCCACAGGGCAAAGTGGGAAAGCCTCACTCATTATAAGCCATCTTTACTAGGGAGGAAATTGACAAGATTTGGAAACACTGAGTAAGGATCCAAAATGTCGTATCTCAAGGCTTTTGCTCTTGTTCTTCCTTCAGTCTGTGATGCTTCTTCTTTAGTCTCTTTCTACCTATCTAAACACAACTTACTGGAATGCAGCCACCTCTATTAATCCTTCTTCAATTGCCTTACCTCTCCACTGTAGAAAATGATTGTTTTCCTTTGGTTTCTGCATGGCAGTTTATTTATACCTCTCTCCTGTCCTGGATTCTGGCTAGCTATTCATATACTCCTTGCTTCCTGTCTGATTGGAAAAGCTTTGAGAAAATGAACTAAGACATAATTAATCTTTGTCATCTCTAGCTAGAACAGTATCTAGTATGCAGTAGTTGATCTAGCAAATATTTACTGAGCTCAGTGAAACTGAATTAGTACTTAGAAGTTCTGAGTAAATCTGCTAAGTTATTTGGAAGGAGAGTTAACAAGAACCTTCCTAGATAATTAACAGATAATTACCTCCTTGATAGATTATATCTTTTACATGTGTCATTGAGAATTTTCAAGAGTTGAAAAGTAGAAAGCAGATCAATTCGATTAATTAACAGGTGGGGAATTCCTCGCTCCTATTTAGAAAATTCTTCAGGTTATAAAGGTTTCATTTAAAAAATTGTGTAAAGCTCAAATATCCTGGTACCCACAGAAAGAAGGAAAGAGTTTTTTTTTTATTTTAATCATTGTTTATCAAACATGGTGAAATATCTCTTTCAGGATTATCTCTAAATTCAGAAAAAAGATAAGCTAGCAAGTGTTTACCAAGATCACATATTTAAAACCTACTCTAGGGGAAAAAAAGTCATTTCATTGACATAATGACCCTTTTATACGTTTAAGTAGTGCTTTGCTTTAAAAGCCATAAAAATATATATACAGTAATACAGTAATATACTCATCTCTCATTCTAAAACAACTACTATAAACCATGATTTGTAAGAGTTTTAAACATAAACGCTTTACTAGGAGGGCATGAATACGATTTATATTGCTGTACTATTCCTTCCTAAGTGCTTCTTGAAGTCCATTTTCCTCATAAGTTGTGACTTCTCAAGTAGAATAGAAGTACTATTGAACGTTATTAATGCAACTCTATTTTAAAAAAATAAATTAAATTTGATTTTTTGAATATGACTAGTCAAAAGAGGAAGAATTGCATGAATCTTTAATTTTAATTTAACTAGGAATAAATATATACACAGTGATTACTCATCCTTAAGATTAATAATCATAAATCTTCAAGTTAAAGAGATCTTGACCATAGCTTAGTGTTACCCAGATGAATTAGTCTGACTGTACACTGCAGAGAATTATAAAATGATCCAAGATTCATAAATATGCACAGTGCTTTTCAGTTTATAAAATGCATTTAAATGGTCATGATGGGAGAGCACAGATTTGGAGACTAAAGTTAGGGAAGTTGTTTAATATCTGGGCAATTTCATTTCCTCTTTTCTAGTACCTAATCATCAATGGTTCATTACCTGCAAGGTATGAACATACTATTTTACAATATATATGCTCTTCTCTTGCTCCAGTGACCTTTGTCTGTCTCCCCTCATGTACCTTGTATTTCACCGCCCATTTTTCAATTCATGCCATGTTTCAAAATGACTTCACTTTGCTCTCACTTTGCTTCTTTCCATCAAACTAAAGCCTGTTTGTGTCCTAAAGAGAAGCCTGAGTTTCATGTCTCTTACAAAATTATCTAAACTACTCCAAAATTTCACATGCTGTCTTTCTTCTATGTGCCACATATTCATTCATCAAGCATTTGAGTTCATAGGTACTTTGCTACCTATGGTAAGCTGTATTCTCTGCCTGCAGCATTTTCGACATTTTTTAGATGCATTGCTCATAGTAGGTGAAATGAAGCAAATAAACTCTGCATCCAGCCAACATTATAGACGTATGTATAGCCATAATATTTCTGCATCCAACCAACATTATAGCCACGTATATAGTTAGGGAACATCCAGGAGGGACTCAACTTCTTATTTTTGGTTGTTCTTTGGGGTAACTATTTCTCAAAAACTCCTAGTTAGCATGAATCATATCACATCCTCCACTAGAGTATAAATCCACAAAAATAAACACTCTTTTTTTCTTACTGTTGTACTCCAGATAACTAGAGCAGTACCTGGTCCAGTGTAGGCACTGAATTATGTTGGTTGCATGCAGAAATCTTAGAGTTATTTGCTTCATTTTGCCTACTATGAGCAATGCATCTAAGAAATGTTCATGACATATTTGACAAATGAATTTTAATAAGACAGATATATCTTGGTCCTAGATATTTCAATCTTCACTATTATCTGTACTTTCACTAAGGAGCAAGACATAAGTAGGATTTAAAATGTGCAGAGAAGAAAATGTAGCAAAAGACAAAAGCACAGGTCTTGGATGGCTGTGCTCCTTTTAAATCCTCTATCTGAAAAAATTTTGATATGAAAATAAAAATTAAATTTAATTCTTCTTTTATTGATTATTTTTTATTTCATACATTGTTAGGTTAAATTGTTATCCTTAGCTTTAATATTTTTACTTTGAAAGATGCTATTGCCAAAAATAAAAGCTAAATAGTTTTTCAAAGATAATTTTTCTTTTTATCACCATGAGACTTAAGACACTCTTAGTTGAATAATCTCAATGTCATTTTTCCTCTGTGTGTCATGCAGGACATGAATGACAAGGGACCAGCAACAGAAGTCTTGCTAAATAGGAGGGAGTCTGACTGCATCCTTATCAGAAAGAGGGTGAGCTGGCAAAGTCAAGAAGCAAATTTAGGAAAATTAATTGAACAATAGCGAAAATGCAAGTTCATTAAAGTTTAATAAAGGCAAAAGAGAAACTGGTAATTCCCATTAATAAACAATCAAGTTGTTGGGTTTGTTGGGTTTTGTTTTGTTTTGTTTTGTTTTTTCACTTACTTTTGTTTTTGTTTTTGTTTTAGATGGAGTCTCGCTATGTTGTCCAAGCTCAACTAGATAGACTAGAACTCCTGGGCTCAAGTGACCCTCCTGCCTCAGCCTCCCAAGTAGATGGGATCATAGGTGTGTATCACTGCATCCAACTCATATAATCAAGTTCTGAGCAACTTATGCTCTCAAATATTATTAAATGATACTCCCAAAGGAACTCTTACATGCCAGACTTAGATTTCCATACATCTGCTCAAGATAGAACATTTGAATTTGACACATGGCTTGTTGTCTGACAGCCAAAAATTCAGTTTTGGCAGCATCAGTGTCTTTGTCCACAGTAGAACAACATTTATGCCATTATTTCAATATATTATTACAATGTCTTTTCAACATTGTTTCTTATAACCCCAAAACTTTTCAAAGGTGTTGCTTGTTTATGAAGGTGGGAAAAAGGGTAAGAGTGATGAAGTAGGAAGTAGGGATTTTTAATTTTTAAAACACAAACTTTTTAATTTATGTTTAAGACAATACAAGATTTTGTTTTAAAAAGTTGTTGCTAGAAAAAGAGCTTGAAAATTACTGCTTTTTAAAACACGAGTGAATATGGAAATAATAAGTGTTGATACTAATGATGAAAATCATAAGTATCATACATTTAAAATTGTTGCAAATATAGAAAACAATAGACCTGCCAACAGCAAAACATTTTTAGCCTACAATACTCATTGCTTTTAAGCTGGGAGACTATCTATTCCTTGGAGGAAGAATGGGGAAATTAAAGAACATGAATAAAATGCCACGAATATACTGTGACTGCATTTAACAAGGGAGGTGTGATGAGGAATTTTTAAAAAAATTTTTTTAGCTTTTTTGGAAACAAAGTCCCATGGTTGAAACACACAAACATGTTCAAGTTTGCTGCACATTTTCAGGAATACAGTGTATTCGAAAGAAAGTGGCCTGCACTATAAATCACGCAGGTAGGAATTGTTCTGAGCCCAAGAAACTTCAACATCTCAGAACTGGCTAACAACTTTTAAATCCTATAAAAGAAAGTTTTGACTCGGGTCTGTTTTATGACTGCCTCTGGGACTATGACACTGATATGCAGGATTTTTCAGCCTTAACACTATTGACATTTAGGGTAGGAAAATGCTTCATCATGAAAGGAGTTGTCTGAGCCTTGTAGTATGTTTCAAAGCATCCTTGACCTCTACCACTACATTCCAGTAGCATCCACCCTCTCCCACCCCATCTCCAACTTTCTCTCCGCCCTGAAGAGTGACAAAATGTCTCCAAACAATGCCAAGTGTCCCATGGTTGTATATTGCCTCTCTAGAGAACTACTGATATAAACTATAGGACCAAGCCTGACAGAAGAGCATAACCACAAAGTGATGCTAGGATTACTTCACATGCTTTCTGGACTAAAGAAATCCAAATGAAACAACATTATTGGTTAAAGTAATTGTGTTTCAGTACCTAACAGTTTCTCAACTGTTATAGTTTAGGTCTTGCTTTCCAAGCATTACTAAATGGGCAAATTCAGCTGAGACCATTATGTTAATATTGTCGACTTTGTTAGTTTATAAGACATCATTCTACTGCTATCTTGTACTTCAGTTTGGTGTTTTATGACCTATAAATATAACAATCTAGGTGAGAGGTTTATACTTTCATGTAAGTGTCTTTGAATGTTCCTTATAGGTAAAATTAGTGCTATAAAATATGACCTCTTGAATTTCACTGGGTTTTAAATAAGGATTGTTGATAACTTGAAAACTCTTGTCTTTAATTTTTAATAAAAGTTCTAAGTATGTCAAATTAAAAATTGTGGTAGCTTAATTTTTATTCTGTGAATAATTTACAACACAGATGGAACTCATTGACAGCTCTTAGGACCTTTTCAACAAATATTAAGTTAGCATCTACCAAATGTGAGGCATAAGAAATGAAGTGCTGAATGCTAATTTAATGCCTCTTAAAGACCTCTCTGTCTGAAGTTTGTGTGTTTACCATCTTTTTTTTTTTTTACTACTTATTATGTATAATTTTTACTAACTCAGACTGTTGCTGTTTGTTGCTACAATCACTTGGAGATAAAACTTACTTTTGTAAGTTTGAGAACTAAATCTCCATATCTAATCAGGATCTCTTCTAGGCTCCAGAAGTTCATCTCCAACTCTTTACGAGGAAGTTCAGTTTAATATTTTAATTTGCACCTGAAATGCAACAAATAAAAATGATCTTTATTCCACTCTTCATCCCCTGAGCTTCTATCAGATAGGTATCTCAGAATTTCTAGTCTGCAATACTGTGGGAAACAGAAATCTTGATGCTTTTTATTGCCACTCAACAGACCAGGTCTGGATCTGATCTATTGCAATAATTTTGTCTTGTCTACAAGCGCCTATCAAAATAAACTATACTTTGGTTGTCATTCAAGGCCTTTCTTAGACTATAAAAAGCCTACCTTTATATTTGGTTTGTCTTTTGACCCTTGACTCGAGCCAGGCTGACTTCCTACTGTCTGAATCCACCATGTACATTCCTGCCTTTTCACTTCTCTCATGAACACATTCCAAAATGGTTGCTGACATGAAGGCATCCAGATTTTAGTTTATAGCAATTTAATCTGTTTTCTGAATTCAGTTATTCTATATAATTTAACGTAAAAAAGTTTATGTCGGTCCTGCTTAAAATCATCTAGTGCTTTCCACTGCAGTTAAAATATACTAAATAATATGGGTCATGACAGCTCCTTCAAATTTAACTGGGCATACTGTTTTTGTCTACTAGGGCTGGAAGTTCTAAACTTGAACCATTCTCTCTTAAATCATTCTCAAATAAACTGACCACCTTTCCCAAAGGCATGTCTAAGTAATCAGCTTGTACTTCTCTTTCTGTGTAGACTATAATTCCACAGTTCATCATATGTTTCCTCTTTGTCGTGCTTCAGTTCAAATTCCGTCTTCTCATACAAGACTCTCCTGATTACACAGTGTAAAATGTCCTGCCTTTGCCCTGTTTTACTTTCTCTATAGAATTTATTTCCATGCATAATTAATTTGTGGGTTGTTTTTTTTTCTCTTTAACACAGGGAAGTTACTTCTCTGGCTTACTCTTTTATCTCCAGAGGTTTGAACAAACTTACAAACAGTGGTAGTTTAAAAAATATTTGTAGAATAATTGAATGAGTAAGTTCATGTTAAAAGTAGACCAAAGGTTTCCGCTTCCATGAATAGCCAAGCTGTTATTATATCAGCTTTCTTGTAGATAACTATAAACTATAGACACACACACACACACACACACACAGAGCATTGCTCTAGATTACACTCCAGTCCGTGCCATAAAATTGACTAAAACTCTGATAGAAACTTGCAGTCTTACATGAAGTGCCAGATGATGATTTTGAGTCAACATGAAAAGTGAGGGAGAAAATTTTCAGAGAGAAGAAATCCATCAAGGAAGAACTTTAAATGTAGTGCCTAAACTCTGCCCAAATTTCTTGATGTGCCCTGAACCATGAATATGCAAGACATAGGCAAAGCAGTCTACCTAAGTCTGAAAGAAATGAACTGAAAAAGCTGCCACCCAGCAGAGGGAAGACAAAATTGGCCAAGCCCTCTGTTGCAACTGAATCACAATTGACCTTCTCTCTACCCAACCTTGGTTCTCATACATCCTTATGGATTGTTCCCAAAAGCACTTTTGTTATGGATTTGTTCCCAGAAGCACTTCCTAGTAAATCACCTGCATGCTAATCTTTACCATAGAGTTTGTTTCCAGGGAATTGAATATAAGATAATAACAGAGATTTGAAGGCAGACCCCACCATTTACTATTGAAGCTACTTCTTTAATTCTTTGGGTAAGTTTGAAGCTTTCATGGATTTTATGAAGATTTAATGAGGAAGTAGACATGTGAGTAATATTATATGTAACACTCTCCACAGAACTAAGCCTTATTTAAGATAAAAAACTTTACAAAGGTGTTACTTAACTGGTGTTTTCTATGTCGAGCAACTAAGACTCTATTTTTTAAGCACACTTTTTAATCTGATGTAATTATACATTAATGTGAATTAAATGCAAAAATTATAAGTGTACGGCTCAATGCATATGCACAGCTATGAAACTACCACTCAGAGCAATCTATGAAACATTTTTCAGCACCCCACTCCTCACTTAACACTGCCACCAGAGACAACAATTACTCTGATTTTCATCACTATATATCAGTTTTTCCTGTTCTTGAACCCATATGGGTGCAATTGTACAGTATATGCTATTTTATGTCTGGTTTTTCCCACTCAACATAACTGGGTTCATCTATGCTATTGTGGAAATTAGTAGTATGTTCTCTATTTACTTATTTATTAATTTATATATATATATATATATATATATATTTTTTTTTTTTTTTTTTTTTTTTTGAGACAAGGTCTGGCTCTATTGCCCAGGCTGGAATACAGTGGCATGATTTTAGCTCACTGAAAACTGCACCTCCTATGCTCAAGCCATCCTCCCACCTCAGCCTCTCGAGTAGCTAGGACTACAGGTGCATACCACCATGCCCGGCTAATTTTTGTATTTTTTTGTAGGAACAGGGTTTTGCCATGTCGCCCAGGCTGGTCCCAAACTTGTGAGCTTAAGGGATCTGACCACTTCGGCCTCCCAAAGTGCTGGGATTACAGGGGTGAGCCACTGTGCCTGGCCTAGCAGTTTGTTCTTTTTTTAATCATAGTGATTCTTATAAAAATATATCACAATTTACTTACCTATTTTACTCCTTATCACTTAAGTTGATTCTTGTGTTTGGCTATATAATAAAGCCACTGTGAACACTTTTGTACATGTCTTTTAGCAGATACATGAACTCATTTATCTTAAATAGATGCCTAGGAGTGCAATTGCTGAATTATAGGATAGGTTTATTGGTCAAATGTATCTTGATAAAACCTGCCCAATATTAGGATTTGAATCCATACACTCTGTTAAATAATATATACATATATATATGCTACTAGTTAAATTAAAATATATAAAAATTACAAAGATTATGAATGAAACCTGTGAATGCTCAACAAGACGGATAGTGAAAAGCAGAGAAAATAATCATCTAAAAAATGAATAGAAAACACAAGTTCATTTCTCTTGTTCAGTGTAGCTACACAAACACTGGGAATCAGTCTAACCAGCATTTTGTTCTACAATTCTTCGTCAGACCTGCACGTTTGTTTTTAATTTACAGATAATACATAGAAAGACATATTGAGTATGACACCTCAGGTTGTCCTGAAGGTTGGATGAAGTAGTTGAAAACCCTGTCACTGATCTGCCTACAATGGGCTGGGCAGTAATGATACAGCAAAAAGAAAAGAAATAAAAGTATAATAGAATTAGAAGACCCTCACAATGGTTGCACTGTGAGAATATTCCTTGTTGAACATGAAAACAACTTATTAAATATTAAAATGGCAGTATATTAAAATGGCATCATCTTGAAGAAGACATTTACAAAAATAGAAGCATGGTTAAGGGAAACCAATAAGCAGAAATGGAGCCATTACCAGGGTTAGGACTGCAATCAGCAAGCATAAGGAGTTTTGTTACCAGAATCTGGAGAAGCTAGCCCAATAAAAACTGTTGTCTTCAGTGGATGAAATCAACCAAATGGTCGCATTGTGGCAAGGAGAGAGTTGGAGATGTAAATATCCTAACCTCATTCACTTTCTGCCTTCTGAACAGCTGGAACTTCTCACTGGCAAATTGCATGTGTCACTTCTGAATTATTTTCATAGCCAATAATTTTAAAGCTAAAATTAATAGGTCATAGGGTATGGATTTTTAAATATCTTAGTATGTTGTCAAATAGTCTTAAGGGATGGTTACACTGTTATATGCACTCAAAAGGATATTAGGAGAGTAGCATTTGTAATAACTGGACAGGTAGAACATTTTCTCTTGTACTTTAATAGACCATTAGTTTTTCTCCTGTGAATATTTTCTCTGTATATTCTCTACTTCTTTTAACAGTAGAGTGCTAGTGTTTTCCCTGATAATTTGCTAGGGCTCTCAATCTATTAAGAATATAAATATTTATTTATTTAAGCTAGATTTGCTACTCATTCAATCTTTTAAGATTTTTTTCCTACTGACAGTGCTTAGGGAGTTATTTCTCTTTCTGAAATCATTTAAAATTGTGTATTTCCTGGTTTACAGTACCATAGCGATTTTTCTGACTCAGAATTTCTTAATCTATCTGACACCTTTCAAATATTTATATAACAGTTGTACCATTTGGGAACATGATTTCTCTCTTCACTAATTTCTTATATGTGTTATCAAAATGCTGTTTTTTTCATCTTTCTGCCCTTCCTTCCTTCCTTTACTTCCTTCCTTTCTTCCTTCCTTTCTTCTCATACAGGTAGGATCCATTTTTT
Organism: Homo sapiens; assembly: GCF_000001405.40. Taxonomy (NCBI): domain Eukaryota; kingdom Metazoa; phylum Chordata; class Mammalia; order Primates; family Hominidae; genus Homo; species Homo sapiens. The sequence goes on from NC_000003.12 coordinate 151,995,986, forward strand.
GTAGAGTGATTCCTAGGATTTTTTTTTGTTTTCATTTGTTTTTTCTGTAATAAAGAAAATTGTGGCCGGGCATGGTGGCTCACGCCTGTAATCCCAGCACTTTGGGAGGCGAAGGTGGGTGGATTACCTGAGGTCAGCAGTTCAAGACCAGCCTGGCCAGCATAGCAAAACCCCATGTCTACAAAAAAATACAAAAGTTAGCTGAGAGTAGTAGTAAGCACCTGTATTCTCAGCTATTTGGGAGGATGAGGCAGGAGAATCACTTGAAGCCAGGAGGCAGAGGTTGTAGTGAGCCAAGATCACGTACACTGCATTCCAGCCTAGGCAACAGAGCAAGACTCTGTCTCAAAAAAAGAAAAAAAATTGTGACAAGCATGCTGTGAATTTTTTTTTAAAAGGTTAAGGTATGATAGGAAAATAGGAGCCAATTGGGTAAAGAAAATTCCAGGTAGAGGGAATATCATATGTGATAGTCATCTAATGACAAATAGAATGGTACATTATTTTAAAGCTATAAAAAGGACGGAATTGTTGAAGCAAAATGACAGAAGAGCAATTAAAGTTGAACCTGAAGAGGTAGGCCAAGGCCAGGCCACAAAGGGCCTTTGGTCAATTTATGGATATAGATCTTTATTTCAGAAACAAAAGAAAAGCATTTGGGAGTTAAATGATGAATAAAGAATGATATAGTTCAATTTTTAATTTGAAAAGAACTTTTGTTTGCTGAGCCCCATAAAATTTTTGACAAGCCTAGTTAGGCGGCAACTGCAGCAATTCAAGAGGAAGGCTTAGGAAGGTAACAGTGGAGAATAAAGTAAAATCAATAGAATTTCATGCTGAAGTGGATAGAGAGCATTAGAGAACAGAACCTTCGTTGAACTTAGAAATACCCATGATCTTTTGTGTTCTTTCCTCTGTTACGTGATGTTCTATAAGAACTAGGTCCATTTTCGTATTCAGGTCCATTTTCCAGCCCTCTGTTTTTTTTTTTTTTTTGGTTTTTTTTTTTTGGTTTTTTTTTGTTTAAATAGGAGCTGATCCCTGCACACTGCATTCACTCAGCTCACTTTGACTGGTCAGCCAACAAGAGGCCTTAAGGAGATTGAAAGATGAGAGAAAAGAGAAATCAAGGAAATTTTTTCTTCCTTCTCTTCCTAGAGTGGTATCTTCAGTCATGAATATGTTTCCCTATGACTGTGGTGTACATTAAACAGGTCTAGTGTGTTTCTAGCTTCCCCAAGGACTTCAGCCCCTAGAGTTCCATAGCACGTCCTCCCTTGGACCTGCAGCCTAAGGTCAATACTAGCTTCCCGCTATTGCTAACTTCTGGTTTGCCTACATATATTCTACTTGACTTTTCAGTTACTTCATCACTTATGTAACCAAATCACCTCTATATTAAATACTTAGAGAGGTTTCTATTTTCCTGCTTGAAGTCTTAGTGATATAAGCCTCAAAGCTCAAATCTAGAATTAAGAATTATAAGTGTCAAAGATCTATACCTCAGGCTTGACTCTCTCTGCCCATTTAAGTCAATGTAGAGGTGCACTGTACGGATTAAGAGAAGCAGTAGTGTAATAAATTAAGCACTTAAGCTCATTTGGTTCACCAGGCAGCCCTCTAGCTCACAGTTCTTTCTTTATAAAACAGAAATGTTTTTAAAAAGTAAGAGTCATTTTTATATACCTAACCAGTAGGGAGGCCAGTTTTGATATGGAATTTAGAATTTGTAGCTTTATGCTTACCCTTTATAACATGCTAATTATGGACAGTAAACATTCTGAATCAGGTGGTCAGTTCTATACAATTTTGATCTCTTTCAAAATACTCTTTCAACTTACACTTGAAAATTGTAAATAATCATATAAAATAATTATTTTATCAAAATTTATGTTAGTTCAACAGTCAAGCATTTATCAAGTACCTACTAAATTAGAGACACAACAGCACATTTTTTACATGTATTTGATTTCATCTCCCTTGTTTGTTACAATAAAAAATTTAGAAACTGATACCCAGAGAGGTTGATCGAATTGCAGAAAGTCATTGCAATAGACCTTAAAGTCACTCCTGTGATATGCTATAGCCAATCTGTTTTACTTTTGGCATGCTTTAGACCAAATATATCTTCTGGGTTTTTGTTTGTTTGTATGTTTCAGTTGGTCCAGATACCAAATAGACATCAAAAGGAAATGACATATTAGATCATGCAACTTAATGAAAAACAGCAATATTATAATTAAAATATTTCAACATATGGCGGCAAAGTGGAATTGTCTAAGAGCTTTTACATCACATTGAAAGACTAAATCTTTTTCTGCACTGAAGTCTAGCAGTTTGAGCAGATTGAAAAAGTTTCTGTATCAGATGGCTTTCTAAGTTTCATGCGTAGAAACCAATTCTGGCTAAATTATTAAAATAAAAATTTGAAAGAAAATCATCTTCATACCATCTACAAAAGTTCAATTTTTAAAACCTTTTCAGCCAGACCAGGATAAACTTTATCAAATAGCCCTATCCAGGAAATGGCACTTCTATGAAAAGAAACAGGACATGTTGTTTTGCCTGAACAACAAACTGTAGGTGAAGGGAGATTAATAGTTCAGAGTCCGTGAGTCGGCGGCACCAGGAGCCTGTTTCAATCCAGCCATGCTGGTGGTCACCTTGCCCCTTAGGTAAATGTTTATGTCAACGCATTTAAAGAACTGTAATAGTAGTGGAATGAATTTGTTATAGGTGATGATGATCGATCCTGAGGAATAATTGCCTACTATCATAGCACCATGAGGGACCACTGTGACATGATCAGATGATAAATTTAATAAAATAAAATCTTTTTAGTGTCTGTTCAGGTTTCATCAGGAGCTTATATTGGAAACAGTGATGAGCAGAAATGACTAGTACAGCAGAGGCTGTTGCTCTGATAAGGCACATGTCTGGTTGTGTGGGGCTTATCTGGTGTCTGCGGTTGATGAAGACATTATCTTCAGTTCCTAGGAGGGCACTGGCATTCACCGGTCTCCAAATACATCTTCAAAGATGGTTCTGAAGTAACACTGGGTCTCAAGCCTAGTGCAGATGGAAGAATATTGAGTACATAAAGATATCCATGTCCTGATCTCTGAAACCTCTGAATATGTTACCTTACATGGTGAAGGGGATTTTGCAGATGTGGTTAACTTAAGGTCATTGAGATAGGGAGACTATCTTGGATTATCCAGGTGGGCCCAATCTAATCATGAGCCCTTAACATTGGAAAATCTTTCCTATCTGCGGTCAAGAACAGATGTATTTAAAGAAAAAGGGTCAGAGAGATGCAATGTTGCTGGCTTTTAAGACAGGGGAAGGAGGCCATGAGCGGGAAAACAAACAAACAAACAAACAAACAAACAAACATGGGCAGCTTCTAGAAAGTGGAATCAGCAATGAAATGGATTCACTCCTAAAGCCTGCAGAAAGGAACAGGTCTTGCCAACATCTTGATTTTAGCCCAGTGAAACTAGTCTCAGACTTCTGACATACACAACTGTAAGACAATAAATTTTTATTGTTTTAAGCCATTAAGTTTATAATTTGTTACAACAGTGTAGTGAGTTTAATGGTGATCTCTCCAAAATACAGGTCCTCCTCCTAATTCCTGGAACCTATGCATGTGACTTTATTTGAAAAAAGAGCTTTGTGAGTGTAAGTAAGAATCTTGGTGGGTTAACCAGATGGGTCCTAAATTCAATGACACGTGTCCTGATAAGAGACACGCAAAGGAGAGGCACAGGAAGAAGAGCAGAAGGCCATGTGAAGACAAAAGCAGAGATTACAGTTCTACAGCCACAAGCCAAGGAATGACTGGAGCCACCAGAATCTGAAAGAGACAAGGAAAATGTTTCCATAGAGCCTTTAGAGGGATGTGGCCCAGCTGACAGCTTGATTTTGACTTCTTGCCTGTAGAACTACAGTAGGATACATTCTTGTGGCTTTAAGCCACTAATTTTGTGATACTTTCTTACATCATCCCTAGGAAAGTAATACAGACTGCAGTAAAAATACACCTTGGTAGCAGCAATGCCAGGACTCATTCCGAAACAATCTGGAAGTGATGCAGATCCCTGGCCTTGGGAGGACACCTGAGTTGGCTCCAGTAGTGAGGCAGGCCCTTACTTGGTCTGGCCTATCGCACATAAGAAAGTGCTGAGGTGATTCTTGGACCTCTCAGGAGACGGCATCGCTAAGGCAATAAAAGACAGGAGTTCTTGTCAACATGGAAAGGTGGTTACTAAAGCAGTGACAATAACAAAGCTGGACAATAATAGCTAGTGCTTACTCATGTGAGGCACTATTCTAAGCACTTAACGTATATTAATCCACCCATTCTCTACAACAAATTTCTTAAGTAGGTAGTAAAAATACTCCCCATTTTGTAGATAAGGGAACTGAGGCACAGAGAGATATAACTTTCCCTTTGCTGTTTTTCTGTATTGATTTATGAAAAGTTATATATTAAAAACTTTATATATTGTATATAAACATGTTTTGCAAGCTTTTTTTAGTTTGTCTTTTGACTTTTCTCATGATATATATTTTTAATATCCTAAATATTATTTAGTTATGTGTACTGGTCTTCTGTATTTTGTATATTGCTTAGAAAGGGCTTTTTGTTTTTAAGGCTTAAAAAATAAATCACTTGCTTTAAGAAAAATATTTACATTTTGGTTCATCCAAAATTGTTTTATAAAGATGGGGATAGGAATCCAACTCTCCTTGCCCCCTGCCAAATAGTTGATCAGTTTATCCCTAATGATCCTTCGTCTAGCAATCTGGATGATTTCTGGAGATTCCTCAAAGTCTAACAGTTTATAATTCTAGAAGCTAAGGATTATAATTAATCTCTGACAAATCATTGGGCATAGCAAAGACTAAGTTTTGGATTTTAAGCAGATATGAACACTTTATTAACAGATTCATCATGTGGATGGGTTGGGAATATAGACTCTTTCTAATAATGGCTGCATTCAAACCCAGGGAGTCCTAGCCACTAGGCTACAGTGCGTCTAAAGTGAGCTAATTTGGGCCAGGCGTGGTGGCTCACGCCTGTAATCCCAGCACTTTGGGAGGCCGAGGTGGGTGGATCACGAGGTCAGGAGATCGAGACCAACCTGGCTAACATGGTGAAACCCCGTCTCTACTAAAAATACAAAAAATTAGCCAGGCATGGTGGCGGGCGCCTGTAGTCCCAGCTACTCGGGAGGCTGAGGCAGGAGAATGGCGTGAACCCGGGAGGCGGAGCTTGCAGTGAGCCGAGATCTGGCCACTGCACTCCAGCCTGGGTGACAGAGCAAGACTCTATCTCAAAATAATAATAATAATAATAATAATAATAATAATAATAATAATATAAGGTGAGCTACTTTGAGCCCTCAATAATAACAATAGTAATAAGAGCTAACATTTGCAGAGTACTTAGGGACCAGACACTGTTCTAAGCATTTTACACATATCCATTCATTTTTATCTATATAATAGCTCTATAAGAGACAGCCTATTGATATCTGCGTTTTGCAAAGGGACAAACTGAGATACAGAGAGGTTAAGCAACTTGCTAATGCTCTCAGCAACAAATGCAAGAATTTCAGCCCTGATTTCCAAGCCATGGACTTAACCATTTAGCTATACTATTTGGGGAAATTTTATTTGTACCCTAAATGAAAAGGAGGTGAAGTCTTTTTTTTTTTCATTAAAAATTCAAATTCATCTTGACAAACTGTCAAGACAATCTCTGATGAGAATTCAAACTTAAAGAAAAAGCTGAAAGTCCTAGGGACCCAACGATCCATTAGTGTCATTCAGTGCTCTGCAGAGTTTAGGTGATATTAACAAGAGATATCACAGAGTAGTTGCTGGCAAAAAATTTATTATCTAATAGATCTAGTGTTGAGTCAACAATTTACTACAAACTAACTGTATGACTTAGGCAAGTTATTTTCCTTTTAAATATCAATGTTTTATTTGTAAAATGTGAATAATAATACCTATTTCCTAGTTTTGTTTCGAGGTTAAATAAGATAATTTATTATTTAACTACTTATGTCACTACTCACAGTGAATTATAAAAAGACCTTAAGAAACGTCAACAACTGTTTTTAATAGTTATTATTATTAGCTGTATCAGATAATTTTCAATAATTGGTCAGGTTGCGCATGAATTTTATAACATTTTTGTGCACCTATTATACATGTACCTGGAATTGTATGAGAACTTGAGAATACAGATCTAAATAAGAAAACGTTCATATTTTCAATAAGCTCAGAGCTTACGAATTTATTTTTTTATAAACGCTACAATATTAAACTTCAACAAAAACACTAAGTAGGCATTGATGAAATGCTTAACAGTAGCCAGTATTTTCAGCTTTACTAATAATTTTACAAATTTATTCAAAAAGTATTTGAGTTCCTTCCATGGGACCAGTTACTGTGCTAAGAGGCTGGTGAAATGATACAAAAATGATAAAAACAGTATTTGTTGACAGAGGCAAGAGAGCAATTGGAAGATTGTGATAATTGCTAATAAAATAGGTATCTTACAAGAGGGAGAAGGAAATTTAGCCTACTTTTTGCATCGTAAGTGTTTCATTTGGAAAGTAGGTAAATTTTAACTTCTCTTGTGATAGTCCAATAATTTTAACTGTAGTTGTTTGATAGTCCAATAATTTTAACTGTAGTTGTTTGCTTTGTATGAGGAGGTGATGTAGATCCATGGTGATGCCACCAGAAAGTAGAACCTGGAAGATGCATTGCCTATGCACTGCTTTGGGTTCTGGGACTAGAGCTCACTGCACCTCCCTCAACCCCCTGAAAAATGAAAATGACACGAATCCAGTGGCAGACATTTAACTATTCACTCTGTGAAGTTTTCTGGAAAGCAGTATTTATGCTTTATTTTATATTTACATTTATTTATCGAAAAATCAATAGTTCACCTGTGACAGAACTACCAGCATCGCCACTCTCTTTTGTCTCCTTATAGGTTAGGGGCAGGAAGACACAGAATGGTTTTAGGCAGGTTTATTTCTTAGAAGAAATCATGGAATCATGGAATCATAGACACCCACCTATGAGCAAGATTGACCAACATGGCTGCAATGAGTGGAATAATTCATAAAATAGCCTGTTTGTTTTCTAACTACTTTAGTAATAATAATGTAGTAATTTTTATAATAATAACTTTTATGTAGCATTTACTCTCTGCCTGGAAGTGTTTTAGACAATACTTGAACTCATATATTAACCCATTTAATTTCCAAGATGGTCTTATGATTTAGACGCTACTATTACCCTTGATTTACAGATAGAGAATCTGAGGCACAGAGAGGGTAAGATGTCAAACATCACACGGCTAGTAAGTGGCAAATATGGAATTTGAACTTGATGGTCTCAAGAGTCTATATTCCCAACCCATCCACATGATGAATCTGTTAATAAAGTGTTCATATCTGCTTAAAATCCAAAACTTAGTCTTTGCTATGCCCAGTGATTTGTCAGAGATTAATTATAATCCTTAGCTTCTAGAATTATAAACTGTTAGACTTTGAGGAATCTCCAGAAATCATCCAGATTGCTAGACGAAGGATCATTAGGGATAAACTGATCAACTATTTGGCAGGGGGCAAGGGGAGTTGGATTCCTATCCCCATCTTTATAAAACAATTTTGGATGAACCAAAATGTAAATATTTTTCTTAAAGTAAGTGATTTATTTTTAACCCTTAAAAACAAAAAAACCCTTTCTAAGCAATATACAAAATACAGAAGACCAATACACGTAACTAAATAATATTTAGGATATTAAAAATATATATCATGAGAAAAGTCAAAAGACAAACTAAAAAAAGCTTGCAAAACATGTTTATATACAATATATAAAGTTTTTAATATATAACTTTTCATAAATCAATACAGAAAAACAGCAAATAAAAATAGGTAGACATAAACACACAGTTTGCAGAAATACTGTTGAAAACAGATGACAGATTTTAAAATGCCCAACCTAAATACAAAAATGAGGCGTGGTGGCACATGCCTGTAGTTCCAGCTACTCAGGAGGCTAAGGCGGATGGATTGCTTTAGCTCAGGAGTTCCAGGCTGCAGGGAACTAGGATGATGCCATTGCAATCCAGCTTGGGCAACAGTGAGACCTGTCTCAATAAAAAATTTAAAAATAAGTAAAAATTCAAAATTCCCAACTTTAATTATAATTAAAGCAATTCAAATTAAAATAGCAACATATAACCATTTTTCACAGATTGTAGAGGCAATAATGTTTTAGATGGTATAAAGAAAGAAGCATTCTAATACTTTCATGGTAGTTGAAGATGGAACATTTTTGGAGGACATATCAGCAGTATTTAGTGAAATTTTACTGCCTGTACACTATCTCCAATACCATATTGAGTAGAAGTGGTAAGAGCAGAAAACCGCCTGTTGTACCTAATTTTAGGGGGAAAGCACCCAGTCTTTTAACACTGAATATGTTAGCTGTGGAATTTATTGTAGTTGCCCTTTATCAAGTGGAGAATATTCCCTTCTCTTTCTAGTTTATCGAATGTTTTTATCATGAAGTGGCATTGAATTTTGTCAAATGCTTTTTCTGCATCTATTAAGATGACCATGTGGAGTCACTTAATTCTACTGATGAGCTATAGTACGTTAATTGATTTTCAGATGTTAAACATTATCAAAATTAAAAGATTTATTCAAACACACTTAGGTTCTTTGTGGAGAACTTCAGAGCTCTTTTTTCTTATAGACTTTCTCTCCCCTTGGGCTAAATCTCTGAGTTGCTTTCTGCACAGTGAACAGGGTGGTAGCCTCTTGTTTTCCTGGCTTGACTGTCCCAGCTTGGAACCTCTGTACTATGAGTGAGCTTGGGTGAAGGCAATTGGCTTCCAGTATTCTCAGGCAGCTGCACCTGGGGACCTAACTCGTACTAGCAGGGGCTGTGTGAAAAAAGGGAGCTCCTCACCTCCTGACCATACTCACCATGAATTTAGTCTCTCTCATTTAGAGCTGGAGGGGGTGAGACATGTTGGAGGCCTGCCCCTCTATTCAATAAGCAATCACAGTAATGCTTTATTGGAATCTGAGGGAAGAGGGAGCTCCATCTCTTTGGACACACTGGCCAGGAGAGGAGCATCATGCTAAGTAGGTGTGGGGAAGGAGAAGAGAGGACTGTGACCCCTTACCTCAGAAAATGCCGTTATTTGTCACTCTGTTCTCTGTGCTCCACATTGTATTCACTGTCACCAAATCATTTTAGCTGTGAAACGTTGATATGTGTGACTCTTTCCCCACTTGATTGAGCTCCTTAGGGACTTGTTCACCTGGAAACCCCACTGGAGACTAACACATAGCAAATGAGGAAGAATGTTGATAAAAATGGCCAGAATTTCCAGGATTTTCACAGAATAAATATGGGGTTGATTGCCTTGAAAAGAATTCATTTACCTCCTACAAAGAAAATGAGTTTAAATAGATGAAATTTTTGAAGAGCATGTACAGAGACCAGACTGTTACTATACAAAGCTGCGGAGAAATGGACTAAGGAAATTTAAAGGCAATGCAGGTAAATGAGGGGAAAGTCTGCCAGTAATGAAAAGAAATTACAAATATAGGGCCGGGCACAGTGGCTCACACCTGTAATCCCAGCACTCTGGGAGGCCAAGGCAGGCAGATCATGAGGTCAGGAGTTCGAGACCAGCCTGACCAACATGGTGAAACCCCATCTCCCGTCTCTACTAAAAATACAAAAATTAGCCAAGTGTGGTGGTGTGTGCCTGTAATCCCAGCTACTCAGGAGGCTGAGGCAGGAGAATCACTTGAACCCGGGAGGCAGAGATTGCAGTGAGCAGAGGTTGCAATGAGCCTAGATCCCACCACTGCACTCCAGCCTGGGTGACAGAGCAAGACTCCATCTCAAAAAAAAAAAAAAAAAAAAAAAAAAAAAGAAAGAAAGAAAGAAAAAGAAAAAGAAAAAGAAAAAAAAAGAAAAGAAAAAGAAAATGAAATTGCAAATATAAATTGTTCATCAGAACACAGCTGTCCTCATTCATAAGGTCAGCAAATCTACTTCAATTGACTTTAAACCTAAAGGAGACTCATTAAATTTAGAGTCATTGTGGATATCTTTCAAAATAAGAACAATTGCTCATTCAAAATTGTCAAAGAATAAAGCTATTAAGGTCTGTGTAATCAAGTTTGCAGGTCTGCATGTATGAGGCATGAAAAAGATATTCTTAACCCAGAAATAGGACCTTTACAAAGATTACAAAAGAGAATGTGAAAAATTTTAGAAACAACTAGTCTTTTTATGAATTCCAATTGAGTAATAAACATTAAAATAAACAATAATCTTTATTGATAGAGAAAAGGGCTTGGCATAAAATCTTACAGTTCATCTAATCCAAACTTGTCCAACCTGCGGCCTGTGGGGTGCATGTGGCCCAGCATGGCTTTGAATGCAGCTCAACACAACTTTGTAAACTTTCTTAAAACATTATGAGGGTTTTTTGTGTGTGTGATTTTTTTTTAAAGCTCAACAGCTATCATTCATGTTAGTGTATTTTATATGTAGTCCAAGACAATTCTTATTTTTCCAATGTGGCCCAGGGAAGCCAAAACATTGGACACCCCTAATTCTAATCCAAAGTTGTCATGAGGGAAATAAATGAAGGAAATTAAATTGGAAGATATTATAACTGAACCAAATGTACAAAGCTAGTATTGGAGCACATAGAACTAGAAGATATAAATTTCCAGTTTAGTTGAGACTATTTCTCCTTGTATTCATATGATGTTGTTGTGATTGTTTATTATCTATTCACTAGTTAATCATTTATGGAGTATCTAACTGGGGACAGGCTGTTAGTATCTAACTGTTATGGGTTGGGGCAGTATGTAAGGAACAAACAAAATTCTTACCTTCATGGAACTGATGTTCCAGGAGGAGGATACAGACAATGAACAAAGACAAATAAAGATATATCAGGTATAAATCCTACAGGCAAATAAAACAGGAAAGAGCAATAGAAAGTGCTCGAGATGGGCAATTACTATTTTAATCCAAATTACTATAACTCATAAAGAAAAATTACTCCTTTTGAAATTAATGAATCTCATATTCCAATCTATGTATGTCCTCTTATTCTCCCTTCCTCTTTCTTTCCTTTATTCTTTCTTCAACAAATCTTTCTTCATCATTCTTCTCTCAAACAGCTCCATAACATAGTAGAGAATACAAATAATATATTTTATTTATTGTGTGTTTTTCTGGCTTCTTTATTATACTTTAATTTTTAGGGTACATATGCACAACGTGCAGGTTTGTTACATATGTATACATGTGCCATGTTGGTGTGCTGCACCCATTAACTCATGATTTAGCATTAGGTATATCTCCTAATGCTATCCCTCCCCCCTCCCACCACCCCACAACAGGCCCCGGTGTGTGATGTTCCCCTTCCTGTGTCCAGGTGTTCTCATTGTTCAATTCCCACCTATGAGTGAGAACATGCAGTGTTTGGTTTTTTGTCCTTGCGATAGTTTGCTGAGAATGATGGTTTCCAGCTTCATCCACATCCCTACAAAGGACATGAACTCATCATTTTTTATGGCTGCACAGTATTCCATGGTATATATGTGCCACATTTTCTTAATCCAGTCTATCATTGTTGGACATTTGGGTTGGTTCCAAGTCTTTGCTATTGTGAATAGTGCCACAATAAACATACGTGTGCATGTGTCTTTATAGCAGCACGATTTATAATCCTTTGGGTATATACCCAGTAATGGGATGGCTGGGTCAAATGGTATTTCTAGTTCTAGATCCCTGAGGAATTGCCACACTGACTGCCACAATGGTTAAACTGGTTTACAGTCCCACCAACAGTGTAAAAGTGTTCCTGTTTCTCCACATCCTCTCCAGCACCTGTTGTTTCCTGACTTTTGAATGATTGCCATTCTAACTGGTGTGAGATGGTATCTCATTGTGGTTTTGATTTGCATTTCTCCGATGGTCAGTGATGATGAGCATTTTTTCATGTGTCTTTTGGCTGCATAAATGTCTTCTTTTGAGAAGTGTCTGTTCATATCCTTTGCCCACTTTTTGATGGGGTTGTTTGTTTTTTTCTTGTAAATTTGTTTGAGTTCATTGTAGATTCTGGATATTAGCTCTTTGTCAGGTGAGTACATTGCAAAAATTTTCTCCCATTCTGTAGGTTGCCTGTTCACTCTGATGGTGGTTTCTTTTGCTGTACAGAGCTCTTTAGTTTAATTAGATCCCATTTGTCAATTTTGGCTTTTGTTGCCATTGCTTTTGGTGTTTTAGACATGAGGTCCTTGCCGATGCCTATGTCCTGAATGGTATTGCCTAGGTTTTCTTCTAGGGTTTTTATGGTTTTAGGTCTAACGTTTAAGTCTTTAATCCATCTTGAATTAACTTTTGTATAAGGTGTAAGGAAGGGATCCAGTTTCTTTCTGGCTTTTATCAAGAAGGATATTTTGATGTTTTTAAATGAATAGACTATCAGAAGATAAGCATTGTGAAGAAATTTACAATATGATAAAACAAAATGAAAGCATACATGAAGTCCGATACTTTTGCTAGAATTCCACGAATTTGGCTTTAGCTTTTCTAGTGAACAGAGAGGGGAGATAAATTAGCTATGAAATTCAAATGGCTACAAGGTGAAACAAATCAATTGCTTGGTGACACATGGCTACTTCTGATAGAATATTGCTACTGCTGGCCCTCCTTAAGAGAACATGTCACAGTAAAGTTAACCTTGTTCCCAATGTCATCTTTCTTCATCTGGTAGTTTCTGATTGAAAGAATTTAAGTGTGAAATATCCTAAAATATTGGATCTCATTATCTTCTTGATGGTGTCTACTATATGCCCAGGGAAATGTTACCTACTGTATTATAATAATCAACATGCACTATCACAAATTAAAATTACAGAGAAAACAGTGTTAACTATGGGCTGATATCATAGGCAATTTTTGTAGAAAGTATAATTTAAATTAATTTGCTAGAATTGGGAATGTGAAGAGAAAAAAGACAAAGGTTATCCAGGATCCAGTTGAGGATGGCAGCAGTAGGTTGGTATCATGATTTGTTTTGGAGACAGTAAGGAAATCATATTGACTTGAGCAGAAGCTTCATTTTATGAAACAGTGGGAGAAAAGTTTGTGACAGATAGTAAATGCTCTAGTTGTAGAGGGTAAGCTTGAATAGTATAGACTTGGTGCTTTAAGCTTCAGATTTTAAATTTGGTGTTCATTGGGTAGTTCAGGAGGCATGTAGACCTCCTAAAATTATTTATAATTGTGAATGAATACGTGGATTTATCCACATATGCATGATATGTATGCTTATCTTGAGAAAGTGCCTGTCTCATTCATCACTTTCTGAAAGGGACATAACCTGCTTATGCCAACAGCCAAACAACAAAAAGTATAGAAACATTGCCCCACAGTCACTGATTAACCATGGATGCTCATTGAGACTGCTGCTAGGCTTTGAAAACTTTGGGGCTACTAGCATAAAGTTATTTCCATTCCAAATTCGTGGAATTTTAGCAAAAGTACTGGACTTTTATGGCATGCTTTCATTTTGTTTTATCATATTGCAAATTTCCTCACAATGTTTATCTCCTGATAATATATTTATTTTAACAACATCAAAATGTCCTTAATAAAAGTCAGAAAAACACATGATAAATAAAATATATTATTTGCATCCTCTACTTTGTTATGGAGCTGGAAATCTTGGAAATCTTGATTTGATGGGAAGCAATGAAAGCCCTTAGTTTTATTCATTTTGCTCATATAATATCAAAAGCAGTAGTTCCAAAACTTTGGCAGATAGAATTTTCCACACCTTCACAGTCCTTCCTCCACTCAGTTTATTCTCCTAACTGGTTGATTCAAGTCTTTGTAAAGTCAGTACCTGTTTAGGGATTGTGTGGTCACAGTAGAATGTCATTCTAGGGCTCAGGAACACATAACCAATAATAATCATGAATTTCCAGTCCAATTAGATGATTTTTATTCTTATATTTGTCATAAAATGAAGCCACTGCAATATAATTTGAAAATTACCAACACCTTCTACCATATAGAATTTAATTCTTCTTTTGCAAAGTCTAATGACCATAGAGAGATGATAAGGCAGCTTTTTAAAGGCTTGGGGTAGTTGAGATAGCAATAAAAAGCAATAAATCAATGTTAGGTAAACAGAAGAAATAAAATGAACTAAAATTGTTTTAGGATTTTGGAAGTTTAGTTTTTTTCATACCAAAATCTCTAGGCATATAAAATCTCATGTAAATCAAAACTAATTTACTCTGCCAACTGGGTCTGTTTCCTTTGGGGTATTTTACACATTCTCCTCATGTTTCCAATTACAAAAAAAAAGCTAATTATCTTTAAATTAAGGCTTATCTGACAGCTGATTTTGCAGTAAACTTACAACAACAAATTTATGTTTTCCCATGGCAATACCACAAGATATGGAAACATCATAATATTGTGTTAAGATATGACTGCATGTTTTTATAAGATGTAAAACTTTGTTCTTGACTATATATCACTGTATAAACTTAATTATAATCTTTAAAACCTAGAACTTGGATGAATATGTTTTGTGTATTCAATAAAGACTATTGGCTCATTTGAAATGTCCTGAGTTGTTTCTGTTTCCACAGAAGCTTGTGAAAGAAAAGTAACTGGATATATATGTTCATCTTCAGCCTTCTAAGTCCCTGCTCAGTCATTGAAAGAGCTCCTGGCCAGAAGGTTGTATATGGTACTAGAGCTGAATACTATATCCCTTGCTCTTAATTCCTGGCACTGTCAATACATCAGCCAGGTGACCTTAAAATTATTCTATTCCCTCTTACTGTATTGCTTTATACAACCCTTTTCTGATCCACCTACATGATACTTTTCTGTCCAAAGCCATTATATTTTATGTTCAGTGGGCAGCATTACTAGTCAAGGCCTGTGACGGCTAACCTCTAGGGCATCTTCCTAATGAAATCTATTTCCTAATTGATTTATCAAGCCATATTCTTTCCTTCACCTGTTTACTTTCTTAGATTTATGTGTATTTTATCACAATTTTATTTAAAAAATCTGTTTGCCAATCTGAATGACCAAATATTTCTTTTTTAAAAATATTTCAGGCCAGACATGGTGGCTCACACCTGTAATCCCTGAACTTTGGGAGGCCAAGGTGGGTGGATCGCTAGATCAGGAGATCAAGACCATCCTGACTAACACGGTGAAACCCCATCTCTACTAAAAATACAAAAATTTAGCTGGGCGTGGTCGTGGGCGCCTGTAATCCCAGCTACTCAGGAGGCTGAGGCAGGAGAATTGCTGGAACCCGGGAGGCAGAGGTTGCAGTGAGCCCATGGCACTCCAGCCTGGGCGACAGAGCGAGGCTGTCAAAAATAAATAAATAAATAAATAAAATTATCTCAAATTTAAGCATTTTACCAATATTTCCAAAACCATTTAATGGTTCGCCATGAAGAAAATAAAAACAATGTAAATGACTTAGCATTGCTTTCATGGCCTTCCATAGCATGATCTCATCTTATTTCTCTGAGATCTCCCAACTTGCTATTTCAACTCAGGCTATTTCAACTCTTTGTTTTCCAAATATGTCATTTACTTCCATACTACCAATCTTAGCTAACTCATACTCCTTCTTCATTTTGAAAATCCCCCTTCTCATCTTGTAGGATAGAGGTAAAATGTTCCTTCTGCCCTGAATCCTTGTAGAATTCAGAAAGCTCCAATTACATCAGACTTCTCAACAAGCCCAAGCTGCTGCACAGACCGTCACAACCAATTCAAATAATTTTCTTTGCTATCTTTCATTAACCAATCAGAGTACATCTGGGCCCTCCCCTGCAAACAAATTTTTTGAAAAGCTTTATCTATCTTATCTATCTATCTATCTATCTATCATCTATCTATCTATCTATCTATCTATCTATCTATCTATCTATAAAATTCATATATATTTCCCTCTGTGTCTTTCTACTTTCTGGCAGAGTGTTTTACATATAGTTGTCACACAAATGTTTGTTAACTTGTATAATGTACCAGGATACCAGGACTAGTAACTTTAGCGCCTGGATTATTTTAAGACACTACTTGAAGGTTTAAAGTAACAACCCTTATGACAGTACAGCAAATTGGCAAACAAGCAAAATAGGAATAAATTAGCTCTGTGCTAACTAAAAGCATTTTAAAAATTACTAGTGTTAAATTACAAAATAATCAGTTTATTAAAATAAAAGCTTTGTCAATTTTAGACAATGGAATGATATATTTAGTAAATTTAGCACAATTGTTAAAGGAAAATTCCAGGTTCATGGAAGGTTATAAAATATGACTGTCCAAAAATTGGCCAGACCACGTTATAAATAAATGGATTTACTTTGGCTCACAATGTTAGTTCTTTCATGCTGCTCTTCTGTGTTACTCAACATTAGTCTTTGCAGGAATATAATAAGCTAGTTTTTGTTAGAAAGTCAGATTATAAAGCCAGTAACTGTTAGAAAATTTGGTTGGTCTCTGTGGAAACCAGTGTGTATGACTGGCATAAATGTTGTTAATGAGAATGACTGTGAAAATTTGACATTTGGTGTGATTTTCTGGCTTAACGTTAACTGAATTCTGTCCCATTCTACTATTTCATGTGTATCACTTGTGATTAAAAAACTAATAATCACAGTATCCCTTCCTTTATTCCCTTCCCTTTGTGGCAATAGGAAGATTTTTTTAATTCGTCATATTATGAGCTCTAGGTGAAAAAACTGAGGATAGAATCCCTTGGTCCTTTGTTATTGGACTCCATTTCATCAGAAAATTTGGGTAGGATAATTTATTTAAAATTTTTAAATTGTAACTATTATAATAGTTGTAATGTATTTACTTAGTACAAGAGTCTAAAGTTTACAGAACTTGTACTGTAAGTTCTGTAACAGGAGGCCTTCCAATGAAAATTCTTTCCCCCATAAAATTGTCATCCAAACACCCACTTCTGGCTGGCAACCGAGTCACCAGTTTTCTGCATAATTTCCCCAAAATGTTCAATACAAATAAGCAAAATGTGTATTTATTCTCATTTTATACTTTAGTTATACTAATCATAGCATCCTATACACATTTTGTTTGCCTTACTTTTTTTCCACTAATTTACCCTGAAGGCTATTTCATTTTGACATATAAAAGTCATCTTTTTCTGTATTTTCTCCCTTTCCCATTTTAAACTAAGGATTGTGTCATGCATATATAAGTCATGTTGCATGTATACATGTATAGAGCATATGCATCTATATAGCTTATGAAAGCTATGTAGAGTACTAATGAGACAACCACCTGTGCAGCTACTTCTTGGATTAAGATATGATACTACCAATAAATTTAAAGCCCATTGTGCATCACTCTTCATATTTCCTTTTATTTACCATCCAGAGTGTTTAAAAACTTGAAGTTTTATATTGAATACTCTCTTGCTTTTCTTCAATCTTACCACACATGTATGTAGATAATTACTTATTTTCATATTACATGTGTTTGAGCAATAATAGAAATCATACTACATGTATTTTTCTATGGCATATTTTTCATATTATGTGTGTGATTAATCTATGTTAATGCATATAATAGTAATTCATTAATTTTCATAATTACAGAGAGGAGCTAGCTAGGATTATCCATGCTCCTATTACAGAACATTTCAATTTATTTTTACAATATTTTGCTGTTGTAAAAAGAAATAGTACTATAAACTTTTTTGTGTGTACCTCCTGCATATGTACCAGAATTCCTCTACATGTACCTAATGGTGAAGTTGTTGAGTCAAGGGGTATAAGCACCAACTTTTCTAGATACCAAATCTTTTTCCAAAATGTTTATGTGAATTTACACTCACCATCACCTTTCTCTACATTCGCACAATACTTTTTAGTTTTGCCAGTCTAGTGAGTGTAAAACCGCATCTCATTTAATTTTCTTTTTCATTATTATATGTTAAGTTAGGAATCTTTTTATGGGTTCGCTGGATGTTGATTTTTTTCTCTTCCTGGAATTACTTGTTCATGAGATATACCCACAGAAGACAGCATAAAACATACATGCATAATTTAAAGAATAATTATAAAGCAGACTCTTGTGAAACTACAACTCAAGTAAAACTCAAAACATTTTCAGCATTCCAGAATCCTTTCATGTCCACTCCCCATTGCTCCTCATTTATCATCCCAGAGGTAACCATTGTCCTGATTTTTATTGTGTTACGTTTTTTTGCTACTGTTTGTCATTTCATCATTTATATATATATTCCTAATCAATACAGCTTAGTTGTGTCTATGTATAAATATTATAAAAATGGAACTATACTATATGAATCTTTTGCATCTTGTTCATTATTTCACATGCTTGGAAGATACATACACATTCTTACGTGTAACTTCAGTTCATTCCTATTCAACGCTGTATAATATTCCATAGTAGAAACATAGCACACAGTTTATTCATTCCATTCTTTTAGAGACATTTTGATTGTGTCCACTTTTAGTTATTTCAATCCTATACAGATATTCTCATTTGTATTTCCTAGAACAGACAAAAGATATTTACTTCAGGAATATATTAGGAGTGAAATTGCTGAGTAATAGGGTATGACAATGTTCAGCTTATTTAGGTAGTGCCAAATTATCTTCCAAAGTGGTGGTATCAAAATTATATGTACTGTGGTAGTCTGTGCCATTCCCTGTTTCTCCAATTCTATACTACTTTTTGGTCAAACTGTTTTCTTTCGTTTTTTCACCAATCTAACAGGTATCTAATGGCATCACTGTAGTTTCCATTTTCATGTTTCTTTTTAGCAGTACTTCATATTTTTAGTTGCCATTTAAATTTCCTGTCTTGTAAAAGGCCCTTTTTATTGAGTTATCTTTTACTTAAGAAATTTAGAAATTGTTGATGAGTTATTGGGTGCAGCACACCAGCATGGCACATGTATACATATGTAACTAACCTGCACATTGTGCACATGTACCCTAAAACTTAAAGTATAATAATAATAAAAAAAAGAAATTTAGAAATTGTTTATATAGTCTAGATATGAATCCTTTGTGAGTGTATCTGTTATAAATATCCTCTACCACTCAGTAGAGGATATCTTTCATTTTCATTATGATCTCTTTGGATTTAATTAATGCAGTAGAATTTGTCAGTTGCTTTCTTTATATTTAATTTTGTATTGTGTTTCATTTTTTAAAAATCCTTTCTTATTTTGAGGTAATACAGGAATTGTCCTATACTACCACATAAAATTGCTATTAATCTTCTATCTGGAATTGATTTTTGTTTATAGATTGAGGTAGGGATCAAATTTTGTTCTTTTCCATGTGGATACCTAATTGTATTTTTAGTAAATAATTCATCTGATCCCCAAGACTTGACATGTGATTTGCCATGTACTTCTCTCATACATCCAGTTTTCATAATCATGTAGATCTATTGGGAACTTTCTTTCCTATTCCAGTGGTTTATTTGTCTGTGCTTTGCCTGTCTTAGTTTTTATTGCTTTAAAAAAAAAACAAACCACCTGGACACCCTGAATTTATTAATGTAAATTCTCCCACTTTCTTTATTCTTCCTACAGTGTGTTATGGCTGTCTTTGGTCTTTTTCATTTCCATAAATTAATTGAAACTTTCTTAATATTAAGCCATTTATACATGAACATATCTACTTACTCATTTAGGTTTAGTTTGCTTAAATAATTTTTAATAAAATATTTAATAAATTTATGTATAAAATGTTTCACATTTTTTGGTTTGGGTTTTTATTACATTTTTAATTTAATACTTTTAAATATTAAACATTTGCTGATGTTCAGAAAGGCAAATGACATTTCATATATTGATACTTTCTAAAGTAACTTCTTTAAATAATCTCATTATTCCAAATGATTTATTTGTACAGTATATTGATTTTCTTCATTGACAATTATATTATCTGCAAATAATGACAGGGATTTTTTCTTTCAAAATAATTACTCCCTTTATTTATCTTATTGTACTGGCTTGGATACTAAGATATACGTTGAATATTAATGATAAAGTGAGAATCCTTTCCTTTTCCTGATTTTAAAGGGGATGCTTTTAATGTTTCATCATCAAATTTGAAGTTACTATAAACTTTAGAAATTACCTAAAATCAGCTTTTTAAAATTATCTTTTAATCCTGGTTTTCCACAAAAATTAATGTAATTTTTTACATGAATTAATTTTAAGTGTTATTTAATGGTCTTCCACATTGAGATGATCAAAAAGAAGATTACATTGTTTTTCTTCTTCCACCTGTTAATGGAATGATGTTAAACCAATTTTCATTCCTGAGATATGTTCAAACTGCTCATAAGGTACACTGGGGAAGAAATCCTCTTCCACTCCTTTTTTTTCTTGCAGTGCCAAGGTACAGTATCAACCCAGCACTACATTAAAATAAATTATTTGCTGGAAGTATTCAAGACCTTACTGGGGTAGTTTAAACTTGGGTCACATACCTGAGGAAGAGCTACCTTATAATTCCATTTTCTAAGAGGAGATATTTTATTATTTGGTCTATAACTAAGGTCAATATAGCAATGTTGGCTATGTTTACAGGGTCTCCCACTCCCCATCCAACCTAGTAACAGTTTTATTACGGTTGTGGCCCATTTTTATGAGAAAGTCTGATTTAACTCCCCAAAATGCATGGTTCTGGCCTTTTTTTTTTTCTATTTTACATGGTTCTTAATACTGATGCTCCAAGTCATTAAGGAATAGGAAGTTCTTTAGGCAACCACTACTTTTAGTGCTTGTTTATGTCTGAATTTGTGATTTAGCTTCAAGTTTGACTTCTAAAGAGTTCTTTTATTGCAAACTTAACTCTGTTATCTAATATGCATTTGACATTAATTCATTATGCTTACTTGCTTTATAGTGGATTTCTTGGATAAGCTTTCCTGGATATCTGGTGTACCATATTAAGGGAAATAAAAATTGCTTTTTATACAGACACATAGCATTCAATTGTATGCATGTAACATCATCTATATAGCCATAGGCATATGTAGTCATTCTTTTATTTTTATTGTTTATAAATGATACTATAAAAGCAATTTCACAAAATAGGAGTATGTAAGTAAAAAGTAGGAGAATTACAGGAACAAAGAGTTATACACATTTGTCACTGTGACAGATATTGCCAAATTACTCTCTTTAGAGATTGTACTACATTATGTTCCCACCAGCAATGTATGAAAATATCTGTTTCTCTTCACCCTCAACAAGAATATCTGTTATTACACTTTTGATTTTTACCAGTCTTACAGGGATAAAAAAAATGGCATTTCAGTTTTGGCTTATTTGCAATTCTCACATTCTAAGTAAAGGTGAAGTCTTTAAATATGTTTAAAAATCATTCAGAGCTTTTTATCTATAAATTTTATGTTCATAATTGTTTCTGTACTCTTTGTTCATTTTCTTTTGAATTGCTGGTCATTTCATATTGATTTGTATTTTAGCTTATTGCTTGTGA
The DNA here is from genome assembly GCF_000001405.40 of Homo sapiens. NCBI lineage: Eukaryota > Metazoa > Chordata > Mammalia > Primates > Hominidae > Homo > Homo sapiens. Next base: position 152,017,648 of record NC_000003.12, read on the forward strand.
TGTGAGTTGCCAGCATTATTCTTCTGTTTTTGGTATTTTGAGCTTACCTGTTTTTTTTTTGTCATGGGGAATGATTTTAATAAAATAAAAATTTTGCCTCTGGGCTATATATGACTATTGGAAGAGTCTTCTAAACTGGGGTATTACAAATTGTCGCTTTTATCATTACTTTTTTTTTTTTTTATCAAGTTCAGTGTCACTTTTGCTCCCTCTTTAAAACTTATAAGAATACAAGTTCAGGATATATTTGGCTATTTATCTAATTTCCTATGTATCTACTTTTTCTGACTACTGTGTGCATCCCAAATAGGAAGCATTCTTATGCAATGGTTCCATTTCTTTGATATTTAAACACACTACAGTATTCCTGGAGCAACTGATAGTTCTTTCAATGGCCTGGTTCATATGAGTTAGATGAAAAAGATGATCAAAGAGTCTAGGTATTGTCAATAAATATTCTGTAAGCTACAAGAATCTAGTTCAAAAAGCACCAAGTAACAGGAGAGTAATCCCCCTCTCATTCAACAAGATTGGAATAGGCAACTAACAAGTTAATCAAAAAAGTTAAAGAGAAATATCATTTTTAAAGACATATCACTTAAACTGGTAAAGCTAAAATACATATGAATGTAAAGTCATTGAACAACATTTTGACTCATTGCGAAGAACTTGAATTTGATCACAGCTTGCTTGATTAGAATTTCATCATCTTAATGCAGATACCAGAAGCCTAGAAGGCAGCATTGACATTTCCCTGTTTAGTCTATTTTAAAGTAAGTGTGTGTTTGTATATGTGTGTGTGCATGTGTGTTAAGCACTCTGGGTGCCAAACTCTTCTAGAATTTTCAGCTTTATTTCAATCATTTTTTGCTCCCCATTCAACATTTATTTTATGCATATGTTAATATTAGAAAGTAATCCATTAGCTTTGAGATTGCAGAATTATGTGAACATCTATCAACTTTATAGTAGGAATGAAGAATGTTGGTTAATTGGGTGACTTTGTTAAGTGGGATTAAATTAAGTACACTTCAGTTGCATCTGTTATAGGGAGTAATGGTTAATTCGGTGAGTTGATCAAGTAGAGTTAGACAGATTAAATTATACCTTCCATTTTTACCTTTCTTAGGAATAACAGACATATTTTCAAATCTTTTAGTCTTCAGATTTTTAGCTTTTCGAGAAAGAAGTAGATTGTAGTAATGTTAAGTTATTGATATAATCATATTCTGGAAAGTAGATCTAAAGCAATGTTGGCCAAAAAATATGAAACAAATGACAAAAATTCTTTCCCCTTGCAGAATTGGCACTAGTTGATTTAGGATGAGTTTTTCTAAAATCTTTTCTTGCATTTAGCAGAACTTTGGCTATAGTCAGTTAACAGAAGTTGGCAAAATAGTTCAGGTTCTTAATTAGAAACATCATACACTTCTCTTGGCTTTGTTCTCACCTGGAAATCAGAGAAAACATAACCTCATGGACAGCTGTAAGCCACTAGTTCAACTGAAAAAATATACCGGACAAGTGCCATTTGATATCTGTCAACATCCATCAACATCATCCTCATTACTATCATCAGAAATATCATTTACTGAGTATATGCCATATGTCTGGCACTGTACTCTGTGCTTTATTTGGTTTACTGTTTAAAAATTGCAGTGATAATGAAAGGTGCAGATTATTGTTCGCATTTTCCAGATGGGGAGAAACTCAATAAGGTATAAGGTATAATTTTCCAAAAGGCATCCAGTTAACATGTGGGAGAACAGGATTAATAACTGTCTAACTCTTTCCCAATCGGTAAAAATGTTTTCACTGATATAATTGTGTTAAAAGGTATGCTTTAAAGCAACAAAATGAACTTAAGTAAGCTTAATTAAAAATTGGTCTTAATCAAAAGGATATTATCCCATGAATCAGCCAGACTAACTGGTCATTATTTTGAAAGAGATTAGGATCAGCAACTGCAAAGTCAACAGAAATTCAGTCTCTGCCTCGTGTCCTTTTTCGCATTGTTTTGCTTCATTCTCATCCCACCCTCACTCTCTCTCCTGCTTGTGATATGTTAGAAGCTTGTGATATGTCAGATATTCACCACTGATAAGTCAATGAGGGTGAAGAGAGGGTGACACATCACTAATAAAATGGGAAGGAACACAGAAAAGGCTGCTAGCAGCTCACCAAAATCTACATTCTCTTTTAAGAGTACTGTTGGACTAAGTGTCCCAGCTATTTTACAGTTAGGTATAGCAAAGTTATTAAGTTTCCATCATAGAATGTGAATAAAAATGGTATGTGCCAATTCCAGCCCTAGACCCTATAACACTCATTTATTTTCAACCCTTTTAGGCCTGACCAGAATGGATAAAACTCAAACAAAGCATGACCTTGGAAGGCATATTTTAAAGTTGACAGAACATTGGCAGCTTGGATCTCTAAGCGACTAGGTGGAGCAGACCTCCCTTGTCAAATTTTCAGCCTACTCATTAATGTTATTTGGGAGAAATAAAGTTTCAGCATATTTGAGTAATACACTTTGGGGTCTAAATTTTATGCCAGTAAGTAGATCTCTCTGTTTATGCCAGAGAGAGGGCACATAGGCTGAGAAGTTCTACCTCAAAACTGTAAAGAGTAAAGTAGAAATTACAGGGGAACTATAAATAAGCCACAATAAAAAAAATGATTTGAACTTACCTATTTAATCTCAAATAGTTATTTCACCATGTCAATATAACTTTGTATGCACATCACCTTCTCTAATCATGGTTATAGCTGAAATCCTGATATCCTCTACTTAGACTTATTTTGCTTGGTTGGCTGTCACTCATATTGAGGGGATAGATTCTAGAGTTGTTTTCTTTGTCTCTTATAGGACATACTTTCCAAAGTCAGCCTATTTGGAAAATTTATACGAGATTATTCCAAAATATTGAGGATATATTCTTGTACATAATTCTGAAGTTCAAAAGAAATTAAAAATTAATTTAGCTCAGTGTTTTTCCCAAAAGAGCTTACTTACTATCCAATTGAGCAGAAGACACACATAGCGTTACAAGGTTAGTTAGCATTATGAAATATTTTACGTGCTATTTTCTTGATGTATTCCATTAAAGATTTCAAAAGCATGTATTCTGTATCCCACTTTATTAAAACAAATAACTTTTTGAGGAGTAGAGCAAGACGGTCAAATAGAAGATTCCGCCAATCATCCCGCCTGCAAAGACACCAATTTAACAACCGTCTAGTCAGAAAAACACCTTCATAAGAACCAAAAATTGGGTGAGCACTCACAGTACCTGATTTTAACTTCATATCACTGAAAGAGGCACTGGAATCAGGTAGAAAAGAGTCTTGAATTGCCACCACCACTCCTCCCTCATCCCCCAGCAGTGGTTGCATGGCACAGAGAGAATCTGTGCACTTGGGAAAGGGTGAATGCAGTAGTTGTGAGATATTGCAGTGAGCTCAGTATTGCCCTGTCATAGCAGAAAGCAAAACTGGGCTGAACTCAGCTGAGGCCTGCCCACAGAGGGAGTATTTAAACTTACTCTAGCCAAAAGGGAATCACTCATCCCAGCGGTTGGAACTCAGTTCTGGCAAGCCTCATCGCCATAGGCTAAAGCATTCCAGGGCCCTAAACAAACTGAAAACACTCTATGCCATAAGGACTGCAACTCCTAGGTAAGTCCTAGGGCTGAACTGAGCTCAGAACAAGTGAAACACCAGGCAGGGTGGCTAAGGGAGTGCTTGCTATACCTCTGCCCAAACTCCAGGCTGCACAGCTCATGGCTTAAAAAGAGACTCCTTCCTTCTGCTTGAAGACAGGAGACGGAAGAGTAAAGAAGACTTTGTCTTGTATCTCACTTACCAGCTCGGCCACAGTAGGATACAGCACCAGCCAGAGTTGTGAGGCCCCCTTTCCAGGCCCTAGCTCCCAGATGACATTTCTAGACATACCCTGTGCCAAAAGGAAACCTGCTGCCTTCAAGTGAAAAAGCCCAGTCCTGTCAGGATCCATTACTTGCTTACTAAAGAGCCCTTGTGCCCTGAATAACCAGCAGTGGTATCCAGGTAGGACACTGTGGGCCCTGAGAGAGAATCTGAGACTTGCTGGCTTCACATGAAACTTTTTTGCGTGAGAAAAGCAGAAGAAAAAGTAAAGAGGACTTTGTCTTGCACCTTAGGTACCAGTTCAGCCACAGGGGTGTAAAGCACCAAGTGGGCTCCTGGGATCCTCAATTCCAGCCCTTGGCTTTTCTGGACCTATCCTAGGCCAGAGGGGATCCCACTGCTCTGAATGTTGAGTTCTGGGCCAGGCAGCATTCACCATACGCTGACTAAAAAGCCCCTAGGCCTTAATGGAACATCTGCAGTAGCCTGGCAGTATTCTGTTGGGTCTGTGGGGGTGGTAACCATGGGGTGAGGCCTCTCTGCCAGGGGAAAAGGGAGGAAAGCGTGGGAAGGACTGTGACTCATGGTTTGAGTGCCAGCTCTGCTGCAGTACAATAGAATCAGGTAGACTTCTAAGGATTTTGACTTCAGTTTCTGGCTCCTGGACGGCACCTCTGACTCCACCCTAGGGAAACTTGCTGCCTTGAAGGGAAGGACGCAAGCCTGGCTGGCTTTGCCACCTGCTGACTGTAAAGCCCCAGGAACTTGAGAAAACAGGCAGTGGCCAGGTTGTTGTCACATCAGGCCTTGGGTGAGACCCAGTGATGTGCTGCCTTCAGGTCTGACCAAGTGCAGTCCCAGAGCTGGTGGCCACAGGAATGCTTGTGTCACACCACTCCCAGATCTAGGTGGCTCAGAACAGAGGAATAGAGAGACTCTGTTTGGGAGAAAGTAAGAAAAGAACAAGAGTCTCTGCCTGGTAATCCAGAGAATTTGTCCAGATTTTATCCAAGACCACCAAAGTAGTAACTCTACAAGTCTGCAAGAACCAGAGCATGATGGGGCTTGGGGTGCCACCTAAGGTAGATACAGCTTAGATAAAAAAACCCAAGTGCTTTTGAATACCTGGAAATCCTTCCCAAAAAGAATGGGTACAAGCAAGCCCAGACTGCAAAGACTACAATAAATAACCCAAATTTTTAACTCCCAGACACAGACAAACATCCATAAGCATCAAGACCATCCAGGAAAACATGATCTCACCAAATGAAGTAAATAAGACACCAGGGGCCAATCTTGGAGGACTAGAAATATGTGACTTTTTAGACAGACAATTCAAAATAGCTGTTTTGAGGAAACTCAAAGAAATTCAAGATAACACAGAGAGAGAATTCATAAGTCTTTCAAATACATTTAATGAAAAGATTGAAATATTTAAAAAAAGACATACATTTGGTTCTTGGGCATTTGGGTTGGTTCCAAGTCTATGTGGCACATACACACCATAGAATACTATGCAGCCATAAGAAAGGATGAGTTCATGTCCTTTGCAGGGACATGGATGAAGCTGGAAACCATCATTCTCAGCAAACTAACACAGGAACAGAAAAACAAACACCACATGTTCTCACTCATAAGTGGGAGTTGAACAATGAGAACACATGGACACAGGGAGGGGAACATCACACTCCGGGGCCTGTCAGGGAGTCGGGGGCTAGGGGAGGGATAGCATTATGAGAAATACCTAATGTGGATGATGGGCTGATGGGTTCAGCAAACCACCATGGCACGTGTATACCTATGTAACAAACCTGCATGTTCTGCACATGTATTGCAGAACTTAAAGTATAATTAAAAAAAAAAAAAGAGAGAGGAGACAAAGTTAAAGTGTAGAGTTGTTATTAGGTTTTTTTTTTTGTCTGTTTGTTCATGCAAACAGTATTAAGATGTTATCAGCTTAAAATAATGGGTTTTAAGATATTGCAAGCCTCATCATAACCACAAATCAAAAAAAAAAAAAAATGCAATGGATACACAAAAAACTAAAATGCAAGAAACTAAATCATACCACCAGAGAAAATCATCTTTACTAAAATGAAGACAGGAAGGAAAGGAGAGGAAGACCATAAAACAACCAGAAAACAAATAACAAAATGGTAGGAGTAAGTCCTTACTTATCAATACTAATATTGAATGTAAATGGACTAAACTCTTCAATCAAAAGACATAGAGTGGCCAAATAGATTTTTAAAACAAAACAAAACAAAAAAAACAAGATTCAGTGAGTTGTTGCCTATAGGAAACACATTTCACCAATAGGCCGGGTGCAGTGACTCACACCTGTAATCCCAGAACTTTGGGAGGCCAAGGCAGGCAGATCAAGAGGTCAGGAGTTCGAGACCAGCCTGGCCAATATGGTGAAACTCCGTCTCTACTAAAAATACAAAAAAAAATAGCTGGGCGTGGTGGTGCACACCTGTAGTCCAGCTACTTGGGAGGCTGAGGCAGAAGAATCACTTGAACCTGGGAGGCGGAGGTTGCAGTGAGCCAAGATTGCAGTACTGCACTACAGCCTGGGTGACAGAGTGAGACTCTGTCTCAAAAAAAAAAAAAAAAAAAGAAAAGAAAAAGAAACACATTTACACATTTCACCTATAAAGACACAAAAAGACTGAAAATAAGGGGATGAAAAAAGATATTACATGTCAGTGGAAACCAAAAAGAGTAGGAGTTATGATACTTACATCAGGCAAAATTGATTTCAAAACAAAAATTATAAGAGACAAAGAAGGTCCCTATAAATGATGAAGGGATTATTTCAGCAGGAGGATGTAATGATTGTAAATATATATGCATCCAACACTGGATCACCCAGGTATATAAAGAAAATATTATTAGAACTAAAGAAAGAGATAGACCTCAATACAATAATAGCTGGAGACTTCAACACCCCATTTTCAGCATTGGACAGATATTTCAGACAGAAAATCAACAAAGTAACATTGAACTTAATCTGAACTGTAGACCAAGTCTACCAAATAGATACTTACAAAACATTTCATCCAACAGCTGCAGAATACACATTCTTTTCCTCAGCACATGGATCATTTTGTCTATAGATCATATGTTAGGACAGAAAACAAGTGTTGAAACATTCAAAAAATGAAATAATATTAAGCATCTGCTCTAATCACAGCAGTATAAAACTAGAAATCACCAACAAGAAGAATTTTGGAAAATGTACAGACACATGGAAATTAAACAGTATGTTCCTGAATGACCAGTAGGTAAATGAAGAAATTAAGGAGGAAATTTCACAATTTCTTGAAACAAATGATAATGGAAACACAACATACCAAAACCCATGGAATACAGCAAAAGCAATACTAAGAGGGAAGTTTATAGATATAAGTGCCTATATAAAAAGGAAGAAAACTTCAAATAAACAACCTTATATAGTTTGAATATATGTCCCCAGCAAATCTCATGTTAAATTGTAATCCCCAGTGTTGGAGATGGGGCCTGGTGGAAGGTGTTTGGCTCACGGAGGTGGATCTCTCATGAATGGCTTGAGCCTTCCCCTTGGTGATAAGTGAGTTCTCACTCTAAGTTCACATGAGATCTGGTTGTTTAAAGGTGTGTAACACCTATGCTCTCTACCCTGGATTTTCTCTCTTGCTCCTGCTCTGGCCGTGTGACATGCCTGCCAAAATATAGAATCAATCTAACTGTCCATCAACAGATGAATGGATAAAGAAAATGTGGTACATACACACAATGGAGCTCTATTCAACCATGTAAAAGAACGAGATCTTTTGCAAAAACATGTCATTTGCAACAACATAAATGGAACTGGGGGTCATTAAGTTAAGTGAAATAAGCAAGGCACAGAAAGACAAACTTTGCATGTTCTCACTTGTTTATGGGATCTAAAAATCAAAACAATTGAACTCATAGAGAGTAGAAGAATGGTTACCAGAGGCTGGGAAGGGTAAGGGGTGGGTGCAGAGGAACTGGGGAGGGTTAATGGGTATTAAAAAATAGTTAGAAAGAACGAATAAGTCCTAGTATTTGCTTACCCAACAAAGTGACTGTAGTGAAAAGTAATTTAATTGTATATTTTTAAATAACTAAAAAATGGGATCAGATTGTTTGTAAAGCAAGGATAAATGCTTGAGGGCACGGATACCCCATTTACCTTGATGTAATTATTACCCATTGCATGTATGTATCATAATGTCTCATGTACCCCATAAATATATCCAACTACTATGTACCCATAAAAATTAAACATAAAAAATAAAATAAAATAAGTACCTTTTTGGAGTTAATATATTACAATATATATAAAATATCTGGAATATTAATCTCCCAAATATTAATGGTGATTATACCATTGTGATGTGATTACAAGTAATTTTTCATGGTTTGTTTGTTTCTATTTTCTAACTTTCTTCTTTAATACATTTGTATTACATGTATTATGAAAACATTTTTAACGTAAAAATATGTGGGCAAAAATGCGAGTTCCGTTCATTGCCTATGACTCACATCTAATGTATGTTTAAAAGATGGGTCAGGGAAAATGTCAAGTGCCAAGCTGTGTTTATTTTGCAATAAAATAAAGGGACATAAGTAGGAAATGAATAGAACAACTACACCTAAGAACTCCTCAAATATTTGAAAAACGGCCGCAATCTGTGAGAAATTACCACACTCATGAATACCTATTAAGATTTTAATACCAAGTTAACTTGCAAGATACTTTATTGTTTTGGAGATGAATTTCTTTTTACAAGTCAAATAGATTTTTTTTTGTATATGACTCTGGCCCAGGAGAGGGCAGACCATCACACATAAAGAATTTTAACTTAAGCTTTTAAAGAAATAATGTTTATGGCATGACTAAGTCCTTAAAAAAGGAAGGGGCAATTCATCCTCAAAATATGTTGTTTTTTTCTCTCAGTATTTCCATTTCCATTTCCATTTGTAATCATCTTCAAACACAAATACTCCCTTCTAAGTAAATTGTTACTGTGGTAGCTTTGGTGTCATGATTATTCTTCCTTAAAAAGTTTACATTTATTCTGAAATTACACCTTTTTCACTGAGTAGTGAATGCCTTTTAAGATGAAAGTTTGCTGCTACTTATAAGGGAAACAAACAAAAAGAAAAATACTATGGAAATGAACGGGTCTTACACTTTTTAAAGTTTTATTTTGTTTTTAATTGATACATAATGATTGTACATATTTGGAGGTAAAGTATGATGTTTTGATATATATATACATTGTGTAATAATAAAATCAGGAAAATTAGCATAGCTATCACCTTAAATATTTATCATTGTTTTGTAGCAAGAGTATTCAAAACCCTCTCTTCTAGCTATTTGGAAAAATAAATACATTATTTTTAACCATGTTAACTATAATCATCAATAGAAAACCAGAAATTATTCCACCTAACTATAACTTTATACTCATTAACTAATCACTCTTCCTCCCTCCATTCTCCCCAGCCTCTGATAATCACTATCTTACTCTCTGTTTAAAATCAGATAAAGACACATCAGCAACAACTACAAAAAAACGCAGAGGCCAATATCCCCGATGAACATAGATACAAATATCCTCAACAAAATATTAGCAAACCAAATTATAGAACACATTAAAAATACCATTCACCATGAGCAAGTGGGATCCATTCCAGGGATGCAAGAATGGCTCGACATACATAAATCAATAAACATGATGTATAACATTAATGGAATCAAAAACAGAAACCACATAATCATTGCAATAGATGCAGAAAAAGCATTTGATAAAATAATAATAATTAAGGTAATAAAATATATAATAAATAAAAACTCAAAATAAAAGCCCTCAACAAATTGGTTATAGAGGGAATGTACCTCAGCATAATAAAGGCCATATATGGAAACCCACAGCTAATATCATACTGAGTTGAGAAAAGTTAAAAGCTTTTTCTCTGAGATCTACAACTAGACAAGGATGCCCACTTTCACCACTTCTAGTCAACATTGTACTGAAATTCCGAGCCAGAGCAATTAGGCAAGAGAAAGAAAACAAAAGGGCATCCAAATTGGAAAAGAGAAAGCCAATTATTTGTTTGCAGATGACATGATCTTACATAGAGAAAATTTTAAGTACTCCACATACAAAAAACCTCTTAAAACTGATAAATTCAGTAAAGTTGCAGAATACAAAAATCAACCTACAAAAGTAAGTAGCATTTCTATATGTCAACAGCAAACTGTCTTTTAAAAAATCAAGAAAATAACCCCATTTACAAGCACTGCAAAAAAATACCTAGGAATAAATGTAACCAAGGAAATGGGTAAAGACCTCTACAATGAAAACTATAAAACATTGATAAAAAAAACTGAAGAGGACAAAAATCAATGGAAACACATCTTGTATTCATGGACTGGAAAAATTCATATTATTGAAATTCAACTTAAGTGTCCTTCACCAGTGGATTGGCTAAAGAAAATGTGGCGTGTGTGTGTGTGTGTGTGTGTGTGTGTGTGTGTGTGTGTATTTACCATGGAATACTACTCAGCCATAAAAAATTACATAATATCTTTTTCAGCAACTTGGATAGAACTGGAGGCCATTATCCTAGGTGAAGTAACTCAGGAATAGAAAACCAAATACCACATGTTCTCACTTATAAATGGGAGCTAAGCTATATATACGCAAAGGCGTACAGAGTGGTAGTGCACATAGGAGACTCAGAGGGAGAGAGGGAAGGAGGGAGGGATGAAAAATTACCTGCTGGGTACAATGTATACTATTCAGGTGACAGGAACACTAAAAACCCAGACTTCACCATTATACAATTCATCTATGTAACCAAAACCACTTGTACCCCTGAAGTTCTTGAAATTAAAAAAAAAAAAACTTAAAAAATAGACATAAAAATAAAAAATGTAAAAGTCGGTCCAATACTTTTAAGTCAGCAAAGAAATGAATGCCAAACTAATTTATTTAAAAGAGAGAGACCGATGATATAAAGTTGAATAATCCAGTGAAATTAAACTCCTTTGAGTGACAAGTTAAACCCATTCACAACACACACTTTGTCTATAGAACAAACCTGCACATGTACCCCTGTAACTAAAATAAAAGTTAAAGAAAAAGAACCTTGAAGACCTTATCTTGACTTACCGTATTCCTGGAACTAGCACAGAAAACGTCTTCACAAATGCTATATGAATGAATCAACAAGCCTAGAAAAATGACCCCCTTGCATGAACTTTAAAAAAAAAGTTAAGGCCATTTCCATTTCCAAACTATATAATAATTTAAAATTATTAAATAAATTTTAAGATTTGAGAGACAATTTCTTTCTTCTAGACATTTAAAATATAAATTCTCACCATGTTAATATCTTTTTAAGTATCAAATGACTTTGTTAAGCATACTAAAGAAGAGAACAGGAATATATGTTAAACTGGCTAAATAACCATATTATATTGTATTTGAGGTATTCCACCAAGATGGTCTACCAAGAATTCATTATAATCTTTTGTGCCCTTTTGCCATCTGGTTTAAAGTAAGTTTGAGGCCAAATCCCAAAGTACAAAATGCCAGGTTCATATTCAAAATAAGTTCAAGATTTTAAAAGTTATCCAAAAACTTATTTGCCTTTGCTTTTTCCATTCTTTGTTTAATGAGCTGATATTAAAATGACCTGCCATTATTAAGATAAGGGTTTAAAAATTGTAAACATATGTGCTAATTAGCATAAAATTAAACCCTGAAATTAATGGAAATCCAAGGAAGACTGGCTGCCAGGACATTTATTTTTCTGAAGTTTTATTTTCTTTCCTACGCTTCTGCCAGAGAACATTTACTAGTAACTGAATAAATTGCTCTAACGATTTCAGGTTTTGTTATGATACATGATTTTCAAAATTCCAAGAAAAATTTATGGGAACAAAATAATAATCTCCTAAACTCCAAAAAGATTAAAATGTGTTTACATATTTCATTAGGTTAATAAAAAGTTTTGTCAGTAATTACATGGAACGAAACTATTTTTCTCCAAAGTTTGAATAAAAACGAGTCTCATGCATTATATCTAGAATCATTATCTATAGCTCTATTGTTTTATATTATACTAGACAAATTTTTAAAATCTCATGTCCACATAATCTCACCCTGGAGAAACAAAGATTTCTAATTCTGAAATGGAAATTTTAAAAATAAACAGGATTAACTTTGAACTCCAAATAGGAAAATAAGCCTCAGTTCAGCTATTTTCCAAGTCTGGATATGGTTCAAAAGTCACAAGAAAAGTACAGCTAACTTAAACCCTTGATTTTATGATCCATTTGATTGGTTTTTGGTGACTTATTTAAAGGCATAACAACAAATCCTTTCATTATCTTTTCATGTAGTTTGAGAACTTTAGCAATAAAAAGGGAGACATGGTGTACTATTCAGGCTCTCTGAACACTCTCAATAGTGAAAAACAAAGAAAGCTAAATATGTGGTTACAAAAGACTTACAACTTATGAATTTAGCTCATATAAAATATTTGGCTTGTTATATTTATTCATATATTTGGGAGCTAGATGGCTTTTCCTTGCCCTGCCTCCACGGACTATAAAAGGTGTCAATTGTTCTAGTTTTTTAATCTTCCTGCAATTATTGGTTAGCAAACAATTATCCAGTTTTAAATCCTGAAGCACTCCTAATGGTAAACTTGTCCCCTCCCTCAGCTTGTAGATAGAAACTAATGTCCTAAAAGAACGCACAATTTCATTCTGTGGTCTGAATCAAAAATTTATCGTACTAAAATCAGACACACTAACTCATAATAATTTGTTCAATAATAAAGACTTCAAGAATTCTCTGTGAGCACTGTCACAAGGATGGACATTCAGGCTGAGGAGAGGCAGACATGGTTAGCCACTCTGTTGGCCATCTGGTTACCCACGGTCCCCACACATGCGCAGCTACATTCCCTGAGGTTTAGACATGTCTTTTTTCATGATGAAATTGGAGCTGAGATTCGCATTATTTAGTGCATTCTGGAGAAGGGCTCTGCTCAACTACCTGTACTGGAAGCTCCACACAAGTGTTATGCAATAGAAATATAAAGTGAGTCACAAATAGAATTTTAAATTTCCTACTAGCCTAATTAAGAAAAAAAGTAAATATAAATAGGTAAAAATATGTTTTCAAATATAATTTATTTGCCCAATATATCCAAAATATATTTTCATTGATTTCAACCTACAATCACTATAACATTTTTTGAATGAAATATACACATTATTTTTTATCATACTATTTTCTAAATCCAGTGTGTATTTTACACTTACACCTCATCTCAATTCAGACTAGTCATATCCCAAGTGCTCAGTGTCCCCTGTGGGTAGTGGCGAGAGTATTAGACAGTGCAGTTCAACATTGCTACTCTTCCACTTACCTACACAACCTCTAAAAAGAAATGATTAAATAATTATAAACATTAAGAATAGCTTAACATGATAAATACAAATAAGCTGATGGCCAGTTTTTATATTAGATCACCAGGGTGTAGTATTAATAGTTAAGCGTGTACTCATTAATTACACGACCTTGGGCATATTGCTTAACCTCCTTGTGCTTCAGTTTCCTCATCTACAATATAATAGAAATAGAATATTACCTACTTCTTAGGGTTGTTGGAGGATTAAGTAAATCAATATGCTTAAAGCACATACAGTAATGCTGGGAAAGGCAAGTTCTGTTGGAGGATTATGTAAATCAATATGTTTAAAGCACGTAGAACAATCTCGAGAGAGGAAAGTGCTCTGTAATTGATGGCAGTTATTATTAGTAGTAGTATTACTTCTATAGAACAGTGATTCTCAAAATATGTTTTAAAATACCACCAGCATTGCCTGTGATCTTTCTACAAATGCAGAGGTACTTCGTGAGAATTTTTATTTTACTAAGATTCCCAGATGACTCTTATGCACAGTAAAATGTGGGTAGAAATAGCCTAGAGATTAAGGAGAGACATCATTAAAATGACCAATATGGTATCTAGAAATAACAATTTGTGCTATAATTTGTAAGAAGAAAAACTGTGGGAAATAGAGATATTAGGCAAATAGAAAGCTATAGAAATATCAAAATATAAAAAGGAAATTTGATATAGAGGCAAAGTAAAAGCACAAGGAATTCTAACTACACTAACCTACTTCCATTTTAAAGATTCATTACCAATAAGACTAACTCAGTAGAGAGAAGGAAATAAAAGACAACAAAGGTAGAAATAAGTATCCCATTTTGGGATCTTTTTGTGTGTCTCACAACCCTCTACAATCAGTTACAGCCTGTTAATAGCCCAGTGAGGATGTTAAAACAGGTGATTTTTCCCCATTTGATAAATGAAGAGACTAAGACCTGGAGAAATCATGGCTTTCCTATATTACAGAGAGAATGAAATGGCAGAGTTAAAATAGGTATGACTAAAATGGCATGACAATGAAACAGTCATGACTGAAATCTTCTCAATCAAAACCTTGTATTACATGGGTGTATGGAGAATAATAATACTAATAATAGTCATAATAAAAATAGTAGTTAACCTTGTTAAAGGATAGCTACTGAACCTCAGGGCTTGAAATATGTTAACTAAATAACAACAACAACCCTATGAGACAGGTGCTATTATTACTCCTATTTTATAAATGAAGAAATTGATGCATAATTAATTCTCTGAGCAAATTCCCATGGTTAAGTCACTGAGTCCAGCTTGTACTTAGGCAGTCTGGCTCCTGAAACCATTATTAATATTATTATTATTATTATTATTATTATTATTATTATTATTATTATTATTTGAGACCGAGTCTTGCTCTGTCGCTCAGGCTGGAGTGCAGTGGCACTATCTCTGCTCACTGCAAGCTCCGCCTCCTGGGTTCACGCCATTCTCCTACCTCAGCCTCCCGAGTAGCTGGGACTACAGGCGCCCGCCACTACGCAAAGCTAATTTATTGTATTTTTAGTAAAGATGGGGTTTCACCATGTTAGCCAGGATGGTCTCGATCTCCTGACCTCTTGATCCACCCGCCTCTGCCTCCCAAAGTGCTAGGATTACAGGCGTGAGCCACCGCGACCGGCAGAAACCATATTCTTAACAATTATAATATATATAATACCTACTTAACTTACCAGTTAGGGCAGAGAGGTTGGTGAACTACACAAGACATAATTGCCCAATAATGTAATGCCCAAAATTTAGTAATAAATTTTCAAATAGTTCTTGACTTTATAAAATACATTATTCAGTTTCTTTTAACCCAAAGATATTTTTATGCATAGCTCTTTTAGAAAACATCTATTATATAAAGCAATATATGATAAATTGGCTATTAAAGTTAAAACTATGCCAAAAATGGATATGAAAGTGAATCTTTGAAAAGCATTCAAAGTTTAACTGAAAAATCCTAAGTCTATCTGAAATAACTAATAATAATATTCTGTTGAACCTCTATCTGCAAGGGCTAGGTGTAGTGGGGAAGGATGGTAAGAAAAATTAATTTTGTCAACTAGTGGATTTTCAGGCCATTTTGACACATTTGGTCCATTTCAGTGACTTAAAGACCAAATGAATTAATAAAATCTAAATCTTCACTTCTTCACAGCAAAAGGAACTGTCAAAAGAATAAATAGACAACCCAAAGAATGGGAGAAAATATTTGCAAACTATGCATCCAACAAAAGTTTAATATCCAGAATCAGTACAAAGCTTAAATCAACAAGAAAAAACCAAATAACCCCATTAAAAAGTGGGCAAAAGACATGAAGAAGACTTCTCAGAAGAAGACATACAGGTGGCCAACAAACATATGTAAAAAATACTCATCACTAATCATCAGAGAAATGCAAACCAAAACCACAGTGAGACACTGTCTATCACTAGTTAGAATCATTATTACTAAAAAGTCAAAGAACAAGAGATGTTGGAGAGGCTGCAGAGAAAAGGGAACACTTAAACACTGTTGGGAGGAATGTAAATAGTTCAGCTACGGTGGAAAACAGTTTGGAGATTTCTCAAAGAACTTAGAAGTATCATTCAACACAGCAATCCCATTACTGAGTGCCTAACCAAAAGAAAACAATTTATTCTACCAAAAAGACACATGCATTTGCATGTTCATTGCAGCACTATTCACAATAGCTAAGTCATGGAATCAACCTAGGTGTCCATCGGTGGTGGACTAGATAAAGAAAATGAGGTACCTATACACATGGAATAGTATGCAGTCATAAAAAAGAATAAAATCATGTCTTTTCCAGCAACATGAATGCATCTGGGAACCATTATCCTAAGCAAATTAGCAGGAACAGAAACCAAATACTGCATGTTCTCACTTATAACTGGGAGCTAAACATTGGGAAAACATAAAGATAGCAACAATAGACACTGGGGGCTACTACAGTGGGGAAGAAGGCAGAGGAGTAAGAGTTGAAAAACTAACTTGTGGCTACTATGCTCAGTGGGTGACAGGATAATTCATACCCCAAACTTCAGCACCACACAATATAGCCAGGTAACAAATTTGCACATGTACCCCCTAAATCTAAAATAAAAGTTGAAAAAGAAAAAAGCTAGATAAACATATATATTGTTGAAATGTGGCAAATATTTTGAAAACATTGACTGGTATTTAAGATATCAATTTTAAAAAATAAAATACTTGATTTATTAGGCAGGATAATTTTATATTTGTCTTTTGTTTTAAAATTCAGTTACTGTCATAATTTTTAAAAGTTGACAGAAAAAAAGAAAAACATCTAAATCTTCTTTTATGTAATAAATCAATCATATTAAATCTCATTATTTTTTGTTCCTGCACCTATCTATTTGAGTGATAAAGTTGATAAGGGCAGAGAAGTCTATTTATGTTCAGTTCATCTCTGTCAAAAGCAGGAGATTACAGCTGCCCTCTTTTGATCACCACAGATGACCTTGAATGCTATGATGCAACCATTGCCCAAGTGGTGGTCCTTTTTATGAACTTGTAAACCCCAAATATCTGAGACAGGTGTCTGTTAATTTAGAAAGTTCATTTTGCCAAGGTGGAGAACACACACCAGTGACACTGCTTCAAGAGGACCCGAAGACATGTGCCCCAAGGTGGTCAGGGCACATCTTGGTTTTATACATTTTAGGGAGACATGAGATATAAATCAATATATATAAGATGTGCATTGGTTTGTCTGGAAAGGCAGGACAACTCAAGCAGGAGGGGGCTTCCACGTCACAGGCGGGAGAAAAACGATTGCTTCTTTTGAGTTTCTGATTAGCCTTTCCAAAGGAGGCAATCAGATATGCATTTATCTCCGTGAGCAGAGGGATAACTTTGAATAGAATAAAAGGTAGGTTTGTCCTAAGCAGTTCCCAGCTTGACTTTTTCCTTTAGCTTAGTGATTTTGGGGGCCCCAAGATTTCCAAGATTTATTTTTTTTCACATTTCCCCATTTCCTTTTTAAAAATTTTTTGGGGAAAACAATTTAGAAGAAAATGAGTATCTGGTTTCAGGTTTTGTCTGATCTCTCAAGATTAGGATGGTTTTTTCCTAGACAGGTAGGTCCCAAGTTATTAGGAAAGCTAATTTTCAGCAAGTTGAGAAGTCTCATGTCCTATGAAAAGGAAATAGGGGGAGGGAGAAAAACAGCAACAAACAGAAGAACAATCCTGGAAAACTGATATAGGCCACATTACTCTGAAGTCCATACATCAGTAGGCAGGTATGAAAGTAGCTTATGTAAGTAAAAAGGTTGCTGTTATTTTCTTCTGAAGTTTAAGTTGTCTAGCTTCAGTTTGCAGGGCTTTACAAAAGCACAGCTTAGTTTTCAGTGACTCCAAATTAGGAAAAATGGGGGAAAAATTAAAAACATTATTTTGAAGACTTGTAGCCAAGGAAAATTAGAATTCAGTCCAAACTGTAGAAAATAATAAAAGTTGAGAAACATTAGGCAAGATTAAAATCTAGAAACAGATGTACTATAGTTTTTGAAACATAATTTTTATCTCTCCAGTTTCCCATTTTTACTAAAGACACATCATTTTAGGACTGATCTGTTTATTATACTTGGCCAGATTATTTGCATAAAGTGCAGCAAGAATAATTATTTTTTACATAGGCTTTATAAATTGGCTTTTATGGAACTTTGTTCCATAGTAGGAATATCAGATAAGACTTTTTTTTAAGTCTTAAAGTCTTTTGATTCCATCAAAGCCATGGATTTATACCATCAAATACCTATGATTTGGGTGAATTCTTCTCCTCTTAAGATCCCAAGATAACTTGGGGCCCTGGGCCTGTCAGAAAGTGACACACTTTGCTTACCACAGGTCAGGAACTCTGTACAGTGACTATGTAGACAAGATATGAAGCCAGTTTCCCAAGAGGCTTTTATTGGCTCTATAAGTCAAGTTTGATTCCTCAAAGGAAAGCATGCCATTCCTGTCAAAGCCTTGGTAAAATAACCAGTTTCTCCCATTGTGTCCTGTTACAAATGAAAACAGATTCTTATTGCACTTATGCAAATAACTATATTGCCATAAGTTAAGAATACTCATAAATAGTTTCCAAATTTTGGAGGAATCAGGTAGAGAGAAATAAATATGCTTCAAATTTTGTTCATAGGAGTATACTTAATTGTTAAAAGCTGTCAATAGCTCAAAATAAAATTTTGCTTGACTCTGAAAAACAAAACAAAGGATCAGCAACATTTTAAGCAAAAAGTTAAAAAGATTACTTGTCTTCTATTAGTTCTGTGTGGTTAATTCCTGTGTTGCTTGATATTTACGAACATTTCAGCTCTTCATGAATCCTGAAAATTTTTCCTCTATTCTGATGTCACAGTCTCCAAAGTTATCAGAAACCTGCATTCATGAACACCTGTTAGAGTTTTACAGCTGATTAAAAAACCACCTTCTAAAGAGGACCAAAACAAGACAACAATTGTTCATGGATGACAAAAAGTTTTTAGGCAGCCATAGTCAAAGACACAATTAATGAGGAAATTTGTTACCTCTGTGGCACACAATAATTTAACATAAAAATTATAGTTATTACTGATAATGTACACTAAGTCATATCAGAATTATAAGAGTTACCCATAATTTTGGAACACATGGCAGTTACATATTTATACAAATACAGCCCAAAGAAAACAAAACACCATTTCATATTTGACAATGCTTCCTGTATAATTTTTATACCAAATAAGCCAAATAGGTCATTTTTGGACTTTAGGAAAGCCGATATCTCAAAATTAATTAGGTGAGACAAAGACATAATTTATAATATGATTTTGGAAAGTTTGTCAAATATCAAAGGTTTAAAACATTTGACATCATAAAATAGGATCACAGGTCATTGTCAAGTCATTTATTTAAACAAAGTGATAACTCAAAGATTTCAAAAAAAGGTGAAAACCTTCATTTTTTAGAGAGGAGAATTAATTTTCCAATTAATAAGCCCTAATGAAAACAGCATAAAGTCAATTAGATTTGTATTCCAAAATTTTATAAACAATCTGTAAAATTTTAATCTTTATAACATCTATAATATACCTTTTATAACCTTTATAACCTTTATTAAGGAGTCAATTAATGCTTCAAGAAAACCTTGTTAATCTGAAACAGGGGTGCATATGCTGGTCTTGCATCAGTGTGCCTTTGACATTAATGGTTAATTTATTTAATTATAGATAAACTAAACTTATTTTATCTCTCAAAATTGGCCCTTAAAATTTGACATTCCCACATATTCTGCAATAGTCCCTGGGCCTTGAGGAGTTGAATAGATTTAATTTCTGACCATGTGTCTCAGGAATCTAATTTATTTTGATTGGCATCTTCTACATGGCCTAAAGATGAAGCTTTAATTACTGTCAGTGTTGAAGATTTCGCAAGACTTGGTGTCCTTTTTAGACCCAGAAGTCAAAGTCCTGTAACTCAATGTCACAAGGACTTTAAAAGCACATACAGAAAGATACACAGCTGTAATAACGTTAATTAATTTTTTTAATCTCAGTTTTTTTTTCTAAGCAAAACCAAACTTAATAATAATGGCATAGGAATTATTTCAATAAAATGTAAAATCTGTAAGGCCAGTTACCAAAAGGCAAAAGGAAAGACCTTCTGCAATGCAAAGAATATTATGTTGGAAGAAAACATGTCCTTTAAACTTTTAAGAAAACCTTGTTAGCATCAGGCCACAACAAACAAAACTTGAGGGGAAAAAAAACTTCTATGAGTTGAAATGAGTTGAAGGAGACCATTGCTATTTCATGCCCTTTAAAAAGAGAGAGAAAACTGAAAACGGTGAGATGCAATACAAGTTGAACATTGGGTAAAAAAAGAAAATTAAAATCTCTTATAATTTCTTAAGAGCAAATCAATTACTTAAGAAAATTTTATTGCTCTAATCAATTATTTAGTGTATAAGTGTTTTTTTACATCAAACCCAATATCTAGAAATACCATTATAATTTCCCTTTAGTTACAGACAACTTGATCATATAAAAGTTTTTTTTAATAAAACCTCTTATTGTGACTTAGACAGACCATTCATGACATGCTTGAACTTTCTGGTTTGTCCTAAACATCCCTTCTTCTTAAACAGCCAGGCATTTTATTGTAGGACTAAATTTACCATACAAGATTCTTTCTCATATAAAATTATTTCTCTTTAAGCTTTCTTACCAAAAAATATCTCTTTATTTCTATAACTTTCTTTATGTCTCTTATTTCCTGGCTCCTTTTACATTGTTTTATTCATAACCTTTGAATAAGCTTTGAATTAGACAAAAATTGCTCACCTTTTTAAACAGGGCACTTGGTTTTTAAAAAGAATGTTATTCTACAATATATTTTTATTGGAAAATACCCAGATAATGAAATATCCATTATATAATTTAATATAATGTTCAATTCTAAGTTACGACAAGTTTGTCTACAAGTATCCCATTACATTTACCTAATTATTTTATTTTAATCATTTACCTAGATTATTTATGAAAACTGCAGTAGTCATTGTTTAAAGTTATGAAATTCACCATTGCAAAATTCTAACTGAGACAGTGAAAAAGATAAGAACTAATTGACTCTGTCTTGCTTGTAATCTCCAAGCAGTCCTTATTCATGCCTGGACTTTGGAAGGAACTTAGTTTTTAGTTTAGCTTTGAAACAAAGATGATAACAGTCCTTTCCCAAAACAAACCTCCTTACTCTTTGTGGGCTAGGCTGCCTAAAGCCACAAGAAATAATTCAAGATGTAGCTATTTTCATTAAACTTATATCAATGTCTTATTTATTAAAAATTACACAAGCAAGGATCATTCTGTTTGGGGCTGGGTTTATAGTTTTGTAACCCCTACACCAAATTTTGACACCTTATAGTATTTGGCAGGGATAAGTATGAAATTGCTTGATTGATAAATGCAAACAAAAATGTATGCTGGCAATTCTTAAGACATTTCTGATTTATTTATTAAAGATTTTACTTAAGTTACATAAACTTGAAGAAGCATTTGATGAGTCCTTTCTTTTTTCCTGATAAAGTATTTGATTCAAGCATTTTATTTTTCTTAAGCCAATTAATTAGAGCTCTGTTATATATTTTCAGTACTGAAACATTGAGTACACAACACATAAATATATAGACATATGAGGTGTGCCCTTAGAAGTACATTTTATAAATTCATAAAGACATTTTGTTTCCCATCTTAGACTTTCAAATTCTTGATAACCTATTTCAATAGGTAACCTGTATCAATTATTGATAACCATAGGCAGTTGTCAGCTAAATAGTCTTAAATGTGCTTATTAAAGGAAACAACTCAGGTGAAAATCAACTAGAGAAATTCACATTACAGGTTACGGAGAGAAAAAGTCTAGTGTGATAGAAGGAAATTAAAATGAATTTAATTGCCCATTAAACATAAAATTATAGAAATTATAAAGGCCTTTTAAATATATACACACACACATATGCAAACACACAAAGATCCTTTAGCTTTTACTTCAGAACTTTAGTCATGAGATAAATACAAATTCACTGGCTTGCAAATAAAAAACCTGTTGGATCAAAACAGTGGTTTTTTTATCTTAATGGAAAAATAACAGCAGATTTAAAGCAGGCAAAAAATAAAATACAGAAAAAGAGAACTTAGGAACTCTGTAGTTTGCAGCAATCTTAGGGCTCTTTTCCCTTAATGTAAATGGGCACAAAGACCATATTACTTCAATTTTACATAATCTCTGGCAAGTAGAGGTGCCATAAAACCTACAGTGTGCTTGCAAGGGGGTCATTCTCCTCATTTTCTCCTCATTCTTAGATTATTTGTTTACCATTTTTTTTTTCTTAAAAGGAGGAACTGAGCTGTGGCCTAGAGTTTTTGTGTGGTGTATTAATGTGTGCTGCTTGTGGGCAGGACTCCACAGTATGTCACCACTGAGTCATTTCCACCCTCTTACAGGTCTCAGTTTCTCTCTCTCAGAGGTCTGTGACCTCTGAGAGGGCTCAAAACACCAGGTGATCAGCCCTTATATGTGTTTTTTGGAGGATCCCTTTTTTTAAATTAATTTTTTTGGGGATTTCCCTTCAGGGTCACTGCACACTGCAGAGGGTCAACCACCAAGGGGCAACTTTCGGCTCCCTTTCTCTTCAGAGCTGAGAAAACTCAGTTTCTCATTTACCTATTAACACAACAATTCAATTCCTCACATAAATGCACACAGACAAGCTGAATCAAGATTAATTTTAGGATAAAAAGCAATAGAGAAGACCCTTTAGAATGCATCTCCAAACTAGAATTAGGATCCTTAAACAATAACTTCCTAGGAGAGAAAAAAAGGGAAAAAAAAACAGCATACACCACTTCGTGCAAACTGTTCTCAGCCACCCCTACTTTGTAGCTCTCATCCACCACTACACATGCCAAAGTCAAGTCTTCTCACAGTACAAGGTGATTTCTGGTACCCCCAAAGCCAAGGAGATCAGGTCATGCAATACAGGAAAACAGAGCTTTAGACCTAAGAAGAATCTGCCCATGACTCTTGAAACTTCACAAAGAAGACAAAACACCCCAAAAGGGGTGAGTGGCACCTTTGTTCTGAATTCTTTAAAGGTGTTCAAGTCATTAGAAGCCTTCTCTAGTTTTTGTTTGTCTGTTTGTTTTTGTACTGCAGATGGCAAAAACGGAAGGAGGTAGGGTGGAAGAAAAGTAAACAAAAGAACTTTTTTTTTTTTTTTAAGACAGGAAGCAAACACAGAAACCAAGTGCATGGGTTTCTTTTGTTTTTTGTTTTTGTTTTCCTTGTTTGCAACTGCAAGGAATTTTGGCCAAATTAGAGAGGTTTTCTTACCCACAATTTGGAATTCTCACTTAGATCTGACCAAGTCAGTTAGAGTTGGTCAAATCTGATGAGAAAAAGGCTGGAACAAACAACAACAACAACAGAAACCCACAATATGATCACTGAGTGCCATAATGGTAAGGAGAAATTAAGACCACCTGGTTGTTAAACTTCAGCCAAGATAAAACCCCAATTCAGCTACTTACCTACGGATGGGTCTCAGGCTGAAGACTGCTTTCTACCATCCTAGAAGGAGGGAAAAAAAAACCCTCAAACTCATCTTCCTTGCTGGGAGTGAGTTCAAACTCCATAAAGGAGTTACCTGCCTTCCATCATCATGGAAACAAGAAATCTTGCCTTTTTTGTTGGAACCAAGTAAAACTCCAAAAACAAAAAAGTCGGGGGGTGGGGGAGTTGTACAGCAAAATAAACTTTAGATCTTGACCGAATTTTGGGAGATCAAGGATTCTCTGGAGGGGTAGGTACTTCCAGACCTCAGCAATCGTCATACTTGTTTGAGCCATAAAGTTAGCTCTTGCTGGTACCAAGCACCGAAAGATTTGTCAAAGGTGAGGAGCATCTCCACTCAGAGTCCCTTTGTGGTTACCAAAATGTGAACCCCAAAAATCTGAGACAGGTCTCAGTTCATTTAAAAAGTTTATTTTCCCAAGGTTGAGGACACACACCTGTGACACAGCTTCAGGAGGTCCCAGTGACATGTGTCCAAGGTGGTCAGGGCACAGCTTGGTTTTCTATATTTTAAGGAGACATGAGACATCAATTAATATATATAAGATGTACATTGGTTCCATCTGGAAAGGCGGAACAACTCAAGCAGGGAGGGGGCTTCCAGGTGACAGGAAGGTGAAAGACAAACGGTTGCATTCTTTTGAGTTTCTGGTTAGCCTTTCCAAAAAAGGCAATCAGATATACATTTATCTCAATGAGCAGAGAGATGACCGAATAGAATGGGAGGCAGGTTTGCCCTAAACAGTTCCCAGCTTGATTTTTCCCTTTAGTTTAGTGATTTTTGGGGCCCCAAGTTTTCCAAGATTTATTTTCCTTTCACAAGCTCTATTCATAAATGATTCTGGAGGGACTCCACTAGGGCTCCCCCGATACATTTGATGTTACAAGTATCTTCTTCCCCCTCCACCCCACAGGCTTGCTGCTAGGTTATTCTTACTGTTCCTATGGACAGCTCTATTGAGGTATCAGCAAGATGCCTCAAGCCCCAGCTGCCTTGGGCACCCTCCATCCACAGGATCTCACGAATTCATGCCATTTCAATGCATGGCTATGTACACTGGCTACAGGAGCTCTGCTACCTTTTCCCTACTTCTCATCCCGGTAACATCAGCACTAACTTGTGGTTTGGAGCTGAGATTTTTTCAGACAAGAAAAAGTCATTCATTCCACATCTCTTGATGGAAGAGATCCTGCACCACAATTGTGTAGAAACCAGAGAAACAAATTAACTGTCCACATTACTATACTCCATGAGTAAAGGAGAAAGAAAGGGCTAGTAATGCCCTCTTGAGCTCTGCCCAAACTTTTCCTTTTCTTCTCCTGGTATTTCTCCTGTTTGGTATAGTTGCTATATTTGAGTGGATTGTTAAATTATTCTGGTATTCAAAGCTTTTTGTTCTCAGCCTTGCGCTATCTTCAGAGAAAGCCCATAATAGAGTCAGCATGAACCCAAGCGTTCAGGAGAAAAAAACTAATAACAACTCTACACCTTTTACCATTATCATAGTAAAGGCCCAAATGATGAAGAATTAAAAATCTAGAAATGTAAATATAAATTAAGGAAAAAAGTGTACTTTTCAATAATATATACTGAATTAATAGATATAAATACTGATAAATGAAGATTAACACTATTTCAAGTACAAAATACTTTATTCAACAGATTAGAATTCCCGTAATAATATTCAATAAATGAAACTAATACTTCAATTGCTCTAATTTCCTTTTTCAGAAGGATTTGGAAAGAGACTATGAAAGAAGTTCTAGGCTGGGCGCAGTGGCTCATGCCTGTAATCCCACCACTTTGGGAGGCCAAAGTGGGCAGATCACCTGAGGTCAGGAGTTTGAGACCAGCCTGGCCAACATGGTGAAACCCTATCTCTACTAAAATTACAAAAATTAGCTGGGCGTGGTGGCGGGCGCCTGTAATCCCAGCTACTTGGGAGGCTGAGGCAGGAGAATCTCTTGAACCCGAGAGGCAGAGGCTGCAGTGAGCTGAGATCATGCCACTGCACTCCAGCCTGGGCAACAGAGCAAGACTCCATCTCAAAGAAAAAAAAAAGGAAAGAAAGAAGTTATAAAGCCAACCAGCCACTTTCATCATTAACTTTAGAGATTATTGTTATTATTATCCCCATTTTATATCTAAGAAATATGATGTTTGGAAATAATGTTCTTGCTCAAGGTTCTATGAAAGCCAGAATCTCTCAAATTATGACAGTAATTGAAGGTATCTTGATATTAGCTCATATTAGAGATGTCCATGGTATATGTATAATCTCAATTTCATATAAAAAGATATGAGTTTTCAGCGCATTTACCAAAATTAGGTGGCAATTGCTTCAAAGTAGCAATAGATTCAACTACTTGTGTGTGTCTAAGGTCAGAAACTGTCAAAGGTCAATGCCATAGAAAATTAATTCCAAATTAAACTGAGAGAAAGCCAAGTTGAATAAGCTCCACGAAGGAAATCAAGCAGAATTCTTTGGTGCCAAGATATTTGGCAGTCTTCTCAGGCATAACTGCTTCTCTTTCCTATTTCTCTCAATTTATTCCACATCATGTAACTTTATAAATGCGTGAGCAAATGTCCCCTTGCCGAGGTGCAACATTGCTCTGGGAAGTATAATTGGCACAATTCAGTAAACCCTAAGACCTTGGCAAGATGCATGCCACTGGCCACTGCTATGTTACTTTGGTTCAACTCTCTATTGGAAAATATTTTAACTATTTATTATGAAAGAAATAGTTACTCATCTCACATTCTTAGAGCAAACATAGGCCAACTAGATATTATAATGCAGTTGTATGGGATGTGTCCCAAAGCAAGAATACTGATTTGCTGTGGGTAGGGAGAAATGTTAGTTATGAAAGTATCACAGAAGAATACAGAGGCCAAACTATACATATTCTAATTTAGTGGTGTTACCCTTGTGTACAGACCCTTGCTACTCAAAGTATCAGCCATTAGCACCAGCATTACCTGGAGCTTATTTGAAACGCAGAATCTCAGCCCCAACCCAGAGCTACTAAATGAGAATCTGCATGTTAGCAATATCCCCAGGTGATTCAAAGGCATATTCATTTGAGAAGCACTGGTCCAGATAACTGTACTGTGTATACCACTTACCTTCTTGCTACAATCTTAATACTACAGTCAGAAGTTGTATCCTCTAAAAATGGCTGTTTCTCTAGGCACCAAGTTTTAAAAAGACTATTAAATGTAATCAAAATACAAATATTTTCTGAAATTCGCTTTTCCAATTTTTATTAAAATTGAGTAAATATTTTTACATTGTCAAATTTTATATTATAAAGAATGAGAGAAATACTTTTAAAACATAGTTTTACATTCATCCTAAGGCAGAGATATATGATATATATATCACAGATATATGATATGTGATATCTTTTATCTGATCTTTTATCAGATATATATCTCATATCTCTGTGATATATATTACATATATATCTGATAAAAGATTATATGGTATCAAAGTTTGAGATACTTATAATGAAAAAATTATCCTTTAAGTATTATCTGTGCCTAGAAATAAGATAGTTAGTGGGGGGCACAATAATGAGGCTATACCCTATATCTTGGAAATACTATAACCCTCTGAGTGGTATATATATTATACATCAGCTCATCAGATCTGAGCAGAGATACAAAAATTATGGAATGGCATCCGGGCCTTTGAAGGCTTGGCTGTAGTCTATACACTGAATTTTCCAGAATAAGTATTGGTCAGCCTCAGAAATAGAGAAGAAAGAGAAGGGGAAGAGATGGAGAAGAGGAAGAGAAAGAGGAAGGTAGATGGGAGGCAGTTATGGTCTTGCCTATTCAAACATGATCCAAGGGAAAAGGTATTTTCCAGACCAACTGAACTATGGAGTCCATGTAACAGCAGTATCTCTTGTGAAGACTGGTTTCTTAGCAACAAATGTGTTGATAATCTGACTTCTGTAATTTGCTTAAATGGAGAGAACAGGCAAATAGGAAAATGTTCTGCCCTAAAATTATCCTATCTACTGACTTGATGTAGTGCTATTTAAATTAGTTAATTTTATTCCGGTTAATATACCTCAGATTATTATAAATCAGCTAGAGTGAGTAATCAATTCTTCTAATCTTGCTAAATCTAGGACAGTGGTAAGAATATATAGCACAACCAGCAAGTATCAGAGCTGGAATCTGGACCCCACTGTAAGTTCTCCCCTTTCCTAAATTATGTTATTCCTTCACTAGAGGTTCCTAGATTTTTTTTAAGGGACTTCTTTGAAAATATGATAAAAACTAGAGATGAGATGCACCTATGCATAGACAACAACTAAAAAAGGTCATCATTTCAGGGGATTCATATTGCTTGAAACTTATCTACAGAACCTGTCATCTTCAAGAAACTTCTTCTCTGATTCAATAAAATACATTCACAGAATTATCAGTAGAATAATTACCAAATGTTCTATTGCTTACAGATACATATGTGTACACACAAACTAGAGATTCCATTCTAAGGAGGCCCCTTTTGTTTAGATAAGCATAATGATGGTTTTATGTGTGCAAGTCTGGAGATAACTTGTTTAGAGTAGCACTGGGGCAGAGAGGATGATCTGTAATGGAGACATGTCCTAGACAGGATAAGCAAAGTTAGGCTGGGCAGCGTACAACCCTCACAGCTCGGTGCTTTAGCTGTCTTAACATAATGAGGGCTTCTTTCTCCACAAATCACCTTTTGAGTTTGGGCAGCATTCCAACTCAGCAGTCCAGGCCACTTCTGTCCTAGGTCTCTACTGTCAAAACCCAAGGTCTTCTCATGATTGCCATAGCTGTAGAAGAGAGAATAAAGGGTCTCATATATACAATAAAATGCTTCCACCTGGAAGTAATGCATTTCACTTCTGTCACAGTCCTTTGACCAAAACTAGTACCATAATCCCACCCAATCCAAAGGAGCTGAGAAGTAAGGGTTACCAAATATCCAGAATGATAAGAAAACCTGACAATGATGGGTTCCAAAAATGTTTACTAGAAGACATGTCAAATAGAAGAGCCTCTATTGGTTTACTGGAGGTGTTCAATATTAAACTTCTCATTTGCCTACCCCATGTAATCTTTGATAAAATATATACCCTTCTCATTCTTCACAAGTTCTTGAAGAATTGCTGAGCTCTGCGTATCAGTGGGGCATACACTAGGTACAGAAAGCTCCACCCTAGAGGGCAGAGATGGAGAACAGTGAGCAAAAGACTGACATTCAATGATAGAATGCTATTAAAGAGGCAGCTTCCTACAGTGGAAAAAAACTGTCAGAGACATGCCTTCCAGGCTATAGTGTACTATTCTGAGAAAGTTAAATGACTTGCCCATCTGTAAAATGAATAAGCGGGATTTGATAACTTTAGTGTTAAATTGTACAGCACTAGCAATAGATGCAAAAGCAATTAAAGAAGAGAGAAATCAATTAAACAAGTAACATTATTTTTAGCAAGTAACCTCATTTTTTAGCCTATCTGACCAATCTATTACTACCTCTGTTGATCACTTCTATGAAAGAGATTTTATTAGGTAAGATATATCAAGAAAATTTAATTTTGCTTTTCCTTAAAATATAACACTAAGTATGAAAAACAGTCTTTAGACAAATAAAATAGGATCTTGACTTTTAGTGATTTTTATTTTTTTTAGAGATGGGTTCTCTTGCTGTTTCCCATGCTGGAGTGCAGTGGGGCAATCATAGTTCACTGCAGCTTCAAACTCCTGGGCTCAAATGATTATCACACCTGAGCCTCCTGAGTAGCTGGGACTACAAGCAAATGCCACTGTACTTGGTTAATTTTTAAATCTTTTGTAGAGACAAGGTCTCTCTTTGTTGTCCAGACTGGTCTTGAACTCCTGGCTTCAAGTGATTCTCCTTCCTCACCCTCCTCAAATGGTGCGATTACAGAAGTGAGCCACCGCACGTGGCCTCTTTTTATGCATTTCATTTTCATTTTATTTTCTGAAAAATACACTAAAATAAGTAATATTTGGTGCCATATATTTATTCCACTATTTAGTAGATGTATTTAGGATAATTGCATATATAAACATGATTATGTGTTAGAGTTTGGTCAGAGTTTACCTAATTCACAGCATAATTATGAACAGCACTCCATTTCATTCTCAAAAGTGTCTCAGTTTGGACAGTAAGTTGTATGTCACCCAATGTATGTGCTATATGATTTTCAACAACTGATTTTTGAGAACACTCAACATCAAGGCTCTTATCTATTGCTGTTATTATTATCAGCTCTCAAATTAACTGAAATCTAACACTGGAGACAATTAGAATTCATGCAAAATATCAATATATTTGTAATCTTTGTATTGTTCCCTCAGGGTACAAGGTTTTCCATGTTCACATCACCAACTACAGCAATCAACATGAGTTATTGTTTTCTCTTGGGTCATTTACAAGAGGAAATCCTCTGAGGTGAACAATCACTCCTGATTTCACAAGGGTAAGTAGAAGCCAGTAATAACAAACATTATCCTGTGACATTTCAACATTGGTCTGAATAAAATACCTGATACACAGAACACTGAGAAACACAAACACAGTCTATGGATTTCTTTGCCTTTGTCATGGAGGAGTTCTTACTTCCCCTAGAATAACTCTTCTCTAACTCAAAGTGAAAAATAAAAATAAAATTAAAAAGTTACATGACTCTCAATTCAAGCCTAATGTGGATCTCCTAAATGACCTTCTTTATAACTACTATTAAAAAGAGCAAGTTTAAATTTGCTTTCAAAGAGTGATCACCTCCTTTTTTGGTTTAAAAATTCAATACATTTTTAATATTTCTTTAGTGTTGACTATTTTTTCCCTGGTGCTAATTATCTTATGGTCCTCTAACTCATTATGCTCTTTGATGATCAACAATTAAATCAAGTTAAGACTACCAAAAGTTAGTAATAACAAGTCAAAAATCAATGCCAAACTAGTATGACCAAAAATCAAACTTTGGGCCATGCATGGTGGCTCGTGCCTGTAATCCCAGCATTTTGGAAGGCTGAGGCAGGTGGACTGCCTGAGCTAAGGAGTTTGAGACCAGCCTGCAACATGCTGAAACGTCGTCTCTACCAAAAAATACAAAAAATTAGCTGGCCACAGTGGTGCACACCTGTAGTTACAGCTACTCGGGAGGCTGAAGAAGGGGGATGGCTTGAGCTTGGGAGG
The DNA here is from genome assembly GCF_000001405.40 of Homo sapiens. Classification (NCBI taxonomy): domain Eukaryota; kingdom Metazoa; phylum Chordata; class Mammalia; order Primates; family Hominidae; genus Homo; species Homo sapiens. The sequence goes on from NC_000003.12 coordinate 152,048,415, forward strand.
TGAAGTTTGCAGTGAGTGAGATCACACCATTGCACTCCAGCCTGGGTGATAGAGTGAGACCCCAACTCAAAAAAGAAAATGACACTTTGCATCACCATCCTGTTTTGCTCCACTAACTCTCATGAGTTATTCTGTGTGAGATTCTACAGAGATAGAAATCCTTTACAGATAGAATTCCTTTACAGAGAAGTTGCTCTATTTGGGGAACATAGGTTAGTTATCTTAGCATGAGCCTGATATCACAGTCAGAAAAGGCAGTGATGTTTTGATTATACCATTGAAATCACATTAATTTAATTCAACTAAAATCTAGAAGGGGGAACTATCCGCCACTTAGTAAATTTTACAAATATTTTAATAGCAATATTGTCATATTTGGTTTATTTTAATATCCATACATTGCTGATAATTTCTGGGCAATACAGAAAGGCCTTTTTCATAGATCCTTGGTGTAGAGTTTGACATCTTTCTTCTAATACTGAGTTTTGTTCTACCTATACTGAAAAGATTTCTAAGATAATTATCACTGAATTCAGGAGAAGGTACCAAATGAATCCAGGAGGGAAGTCATGAGTAGTTTCCCATGATTACAAAAGAACTTGTGTTTCTTTCTTCACTGCCTCCGGAGTAAATGAATACCAAAAGCAGAAGGGGACCTGAGATATTTATAGTTAACTGGGCAGTTAGTGGTAGGTTGTATTATTTTGAAGCAAATTGCAGCTAATACTCTATCTGTAAACATTTGTTTGTATCTCCAAAAAAAATAAGGACTCCTTTAAATGTAACCACAGTTCCATAATTATACCTTCAAAATGGCAATAATTTGTTAATTCTATCAAACTTCCTAATTAGCTCATTAAAACTTTTAACTTTTAGTTTGCTTTTCCCAGACCCAAATAAGGACCAAAAATTACAATATATGTCCAATAAGTCTCTCTTAAACTCTCTTTTCTCTCTCTCTCTCTCTCTCCTCTTTTTTTTTTCTCTCTCTCTCTCCCTACCCATCTTGCTAATTATTTATGGATAAAAAGCAAAATGTTCACATTCTGTAGAGCATCTTACAGTCTGGATTTTGTCAATTGCATCCTGTGATGTAATTGATGTGCTTATAAACTCCTAATATTTAACCTTCATTAACCCTTTGGTTAAAATTAAGTAAAATTTATGTAAAAAATGACTAAGTGCTTGTTTTTGTCCCTTTTTTTATTTATCTTTTCTTGTCATGCATTAGGTACTGGGAATTGATCCCAAAATTCTTTATTTTCAATCCAGGTTTCTTTCCAATACACCTGCTGGTGCCCATTAGCTTATATATATATTTTATTCATTGTCTGGGTGTCACACAGAGAGTGGCTCTGGAAGGTATCTGGAAGAATATAGTTTAAGAGAGAATACAGAACTGTAGGCCTAACCATCATAAAATGGTTCCTCATATTGGGAAATATAATGAATCAACAGTGAGGAGCTCTTGGTGACCAAGTCAATATTTTTTCATCATCTTATAGTAAAATACCGAGGCCACATCACATAGTGGTCTAGAGAATATCTCTTTTAAAAGTGTTCATAGTAATATTAGCTGTTTAACTTTGGTGAATTTTTTTCCAGACATTATTTTGCAAAATATGGCCTCCCTAATTAATGAGGTTTTTTTTTGTTGTTGTTCTGGCAATTTCTTTCTAATATATACACATATATGACAAAATCTTTTTTAAAAATTGAAAAAAAGCTTGGAATTTATACAATTAATATAATATTGGCCTGGGTACAGTGGTTCACACCTGTAATCCCAGCACTTTGGGAAGCCAAGGAAGGCAGATTACTTGAGCCTAGGAGTTCAAGACCAGCCTGGGCAACATGGTAAAATTCCATCTCTACAATAAATACACACAAAAAATTTTAGCCTGGCATGGTGGCATGTGCCTACAGTCCCAGCTACCCAGAAAACTGACGTGGGAGGATTGCTTGAGTGGGAGGTTGAGGCTGTAATGCTCTATGATTGTGTCGCTGTACTACAGCCTGGGCTACAGAGTGAGACCCTGTCTTGTGCTCTCTCTCTCTTTCTCTCTCTCTATATATAACTATATTTATAGTATTTACATATATAATTTATATATATAATTCATACACATATTTATACATATATAATTTTAATATATAATTTATATATAATTATAATATATATAATATATAATGCTTATTACAGGATATGAATAACCACAGTGATATTAAAACTTAAAAAATATATTTTAGAAAGGCTTTACATGACCTTAGTAGTATTAATCAATGAAACTGAACTATTAATATTATCCCATTTCTTTTCTGTTCCTGTCTCACTCAAAGAAATTACTGGATCATGTTCCAAATGACCTGCATTCTCATCTTCTATTTACTAACCCTGGAAACAGAAGGTCACCTTAATTCTTGATACTTCTGGAAGAGAATTCTGATAGGTTTCCTGAGTTTCCGCATGTCTTACAGCAGAAGCACCTATGGTCTTTGTTGAGCCTTAAAAGATTATCTTTTCAAGGACATTTGTATAGTGAACAACCTTGGAGGTTAAAGTCTCCTTCCAGAACAGAGGGAAGGTTTGTTTACTCTCCAGTATAATAAAGATAATGATTTACTCTGTGCAAAACTTGGGAAGGTTGCTTGTGCAACCCATTGTAAAATATTAGGGTTCCCTAAGTTTTGGGCTTCTCAGCTGTGAAGCAATAGGTCACTCCAGTAGCAGAAGGGAATTTGATGCAAACATAAAACTCATGTTTCTTGCTGTGTTGTGAGTAATGAAATGCTTTGTTTCTGATCCAAGAGTCTTGTGACTTCTGCCTGTTTTCATAAAACTATGGTGGGTTAACTTGCCAACTTGCAGGTCGAGTAAAACCACAGTCCTTAAGAGATGCTACAGTTTGCTGTCTTTAGAATTAAGGTGCTGGCCTATGTGTTGGTTTAAATTTACTTTTTAGTTCTGATTCAACGCAGAGAAATAAGACTCTTGGTTCATGTCCTCAAGGACTTATAAACTTCTGAGGCTGAAAAATGTATAAAGAAATGTTGCAGGAACTGCTCCTTCAGCCGAAGTGAGAGTCAATAATCTCTGACCATGTCTATGACCTGGTTGGAGAGCTGAATGGGTTGGAATGTGACTGCACAGAGTAAGTACATGACGGCATGTTTGTCTCTTGTTTGGGCTGAAAAGAAGAGATTGAACATTGTCATCTGACATAACTGGGAGGACAAGAGAATGAAGATAACCCCCATGGAATGTAATCTGATCCCAGTGGTGAAATAGGTTTCCATAGTTATTTTCATGAAAAACCACTGAGGTATGGGAACACAGCAGAACTGCTCATATACAGTGACAAAGCATAAAACAGAGCAGTGAAGATGAGAATTCTTTCTCCTTGTGCACAGCACTTCCTTCTCCTAGATACCACGAAAACTCAGTCTGGTACATCTTGGTACAGTCTGAAGTAGCTGCACCAGAGCAACAGCAGAGACCCTGGTGCTCAGCAGGAGATGGTACATTCCCAGTGGACACAGCAGTATCCAGTGTCAGCCTGGTGGGAGATAGTAAATGTCCCTTGTGAAGCCAGCTTGTAGGTACATGTGGATCAACCCTGTCTACTACTAGAAATGTTTGAAAGACAATTCCCAGGGCACTGAGTTACTACTTGAGCAGGTTGGGTCAACATTAAAGCAATTTTGGTCATTTTCATTTATGTGACCCATTTATCTCCATGGTTAGTGAGGCATGAGGAAACTCAAGTTACATTACAAATAGAGTGAAATAGAGTGAGTGTCATAACAGAACTTAGTGTTATGGAAACTGAAAATATTTGAGCTAGATCTTGAGGGATGAATAGGCTTTTGCTAAGTGGGTAATAAAATTAAAAGAATCTTTTACAAAGAAAACAATTGCACAAGTCTACATTCTGGATTATATATTTCAAGTTAAATTTTGAATTGTAAGAGCCAAGTTATCAACGTTTTCAAGATTAAATTGTAAGTACCCAAATAACAGAACAAATACATTCAAAAGAAACATTTTACATACACAAGCCTGGACTTCTCACCTCAATAAATTATGTATAGTGATAGGGTTTGATGCCTTACAAACTCAAATTTAGTTTAAAAGGATTCTTCAAGTTATGTATTTTGTTAGTGCCTCTCCTCATAGCCTTTATACATATGAGAATTCATTCTGTTCATATGTGCCAATAAATTTAATCTTCCATTTTTTTTTCCAAAAATGTTATATTACATATCATCATACTTTATTTTTCAAGCAATATTTAGCCAATCAATTAATTTTATAAATCAAATGAAATATATACATATTCAAGGATATAGTTTCTTACCTATAAATTAGTCACCTCTATTATTGGTGTTTGATCATCAAGCAAAGCAAGACAGGAGAGCTTGAAGGTATGAATAGCTGAGGTTCCTCATGTTTAGGCAGACATACAAAAGCAACAGCAGAAATGTCTCTGAACAGATTCTACATCACATTTGATGAGGAATATGGTGTGAATTATACTTTGGCTGGTCTTAATTGCTTGATGTCCTAAAACTTTTTGTCTCATAATAATTTGAAAAGTACAATATGACCTAGAGAAGTGAGGCATTGTGAAGTCTGGCAAGCTCTAAAGAGTTTCCTATTGATTTCCCATCTCTTCTTTGATCTTTTATGTGGTGGTTTGTAGTCTTTCATTTTTTTACCATAAGCTATCACAAGCATTATCTGGTAAGTAATATGATAAATTATACCTTAAATTATGTTATTGAAAATTACCCTTGCTATATTAAATGACTCTGCTCCATTGAAATAAGGCATTTTTATTTTTTTAAGTGGCAAGGCTTTAAAACTAGCTGATACAAAATATCCAACAGCATAAATATTTATCTTCTGGGTGAGACCAAGTGATCTATTATACTTTGTTTCATCTTTGACATTGACACCTGTAGTTGTTTTGCAGCCAACTGCTGTGGTGCTTTTCATGACACCATAATTGAAGGTAATATACATGTGGAAGTTAGTGGCAACAACATCTCCCATATCACATGCTGTTCTTACATTGCAACTTTGACACTCCTGCTATTAACAGGTGAGGTCTATGTTTATTTCCCTTGAATCTGGGCAGACTTGTAAATACAGTGGAAACAATGTTATGTGACTTCTGTGTCTACATTTTTAAAAGGCTGGGTACCTTCCGCCTGTTTCTATTAAGATGTTCTCTCTTGGAATGCAGTTACCATATTGTGAGGAAGCCAGCCATATTGAAAGGTCCAGTTGAGTTTCCATCTGACAGCATCAACACATCAATCATAAGAGTAAATGATCCTTCAGGTAATTTTAATCTTACCACTCTCAAGTCATTCCTAGTCCTTGAGACTTCCTAGCTGAGAACCCAGATATGAGGCAAAGTCATCTCCACTGAACCCTTTTAAAATTCCTGACCCACAGAAACCATGAGCATAATAAAATGGTTGTTGTTTTATGCCACTAAATTCAGGATTGTTTATTGTGCAATTATAGTAACTGGACCAATATATTGTCCCTAACATCCTAATAACTCTTGACTAAACAATGTATGTATTTGGGGCTTGTATGACATATACTAAAATATATTTTTCTTTAGACCTGGTGCAGTGACTCACAGCTGTAATCCCAGCACTTTGGGAGGCTTTGGTGGAGGAACACCTAAAGCCAGGAGTTCCCAGAGGCGCCTAAGCAACATAGCAAGATCTTATCTCAAACAAATAAAAAATTAGCCAGGCATGGGGATGTGCACCTATTCCTAGCTAGTTGGGAGGCTAAGGTGGGAGGATTGCTTGAACCCAGGAGTTCAGGGCTGCAGTGAGTTGATTGTGCCATTGCACTCCAGCCTGGGCAAGAGAGCAAGACATAATTTCTTTCTTTTTTTTTTTTAGGAAAAAAAAGATAATTTTCTTTGATTTGAACTAAATTATCTTTCATGGTCATAATCAAATTGCATAATACTTTTTTAGTACGAATATTCCAAGCAGAAACAACTGCAAGTACAAAAGCCCTAGAATCGAAGCAAGACTGGAGAGTTTAAGGAACTGAAAAAGGCCAGTGTGGCTGCAGTGTAATGAGAGAAAGAGAGAATGGTAAAGGTGTATGAGAGACGTCTCATCATGTTTGGCCTTACAGGCCATGGTGAGGTATTGGGATTTTATTCTAAAAATTCTAGATGATTTGATGCAGCACTGCCATGTGCACTGATTCCCATTTTATAAGACCATTACAGTATGGAGAATGGCCTACAGTCTTCAGGGGGAGCAGCATAACCAATTAGAGAGCCAATGCCAGATTATAGGTGAGAAAAAAGGGGGCTTGAGAAAGGATCGCAGTAGCAGAGCTGTAGCAAAGTAGGTCTATTTGGTACAATGTTTGGACTATAGCGATTACAAGAATATGACATATGTCATGAGCAAGTTTGAGGAAAGGAAATTAAGGATCATACTTAGATTCATGGCTGCAATAACTGAATATGAGGGAAGTAACAAAATTGAGGAAAAGCTAGGCAAAAGAAAAGATTTGAAGTAGATATAATCAAGGGTTAAATTTGAGGTATATTTGGCAATTCTGTTTTTAAATTCTAATGAAAAGAAATAGGCAAATAGACTCACAAACATTATAATACAAGCTACTAGGTTGACCTGGTCAGAGTCCAGTTCATACAAAATGAAGAAAATATACTTTTGATGTAGTAATCGTTTTAGGACCAACTACAATTTTCTACATAGGCTGTATATCTTGTTCTAGTTCCTCTCTCTAAAATGTATTGGCTTGATGAGTAGACTGAATTCATTTAAACTGTAGTTATTTTATTGTTTTTATTTGTTTGGTACATCAGTTTTTTTTCATCAACTGGATTTCCTTTTCCTCTACAACACGGTGATAGGATGAAAAAAATAAGACGTTTATAGTGCACAATAATCTTAGATAAAAATGTAAGTAAAAATCTGTCAAAACTGATTAACTATCATAAGCTTTTGGCATATTTGAAACACTATTGAGAAGAAGCATTTGAAGTTCCTAAGGTCAGACCCTGGCCAGATGATAAAATTATAGATAGGAGCTATTTTCCCATATCTATGAGTAGAATATGAATAACTCATAAACAGGAGCCTCTCCTTTAAAGAATTTTATTATTGGCATTCTTTTATTTAAAAAGTAGACACTTAGGGGTGTCCCCTTAAAAGTACTAAAATCTTCCATCTGTGGAAAGTTTAGTAGTACTATTTGGAAATAATTTTTCTTAACTAAAGAAATTAAATATATATATATATAGTTCTCATTGCTGTTTTAAAAAATAAACAAAAAAAAATACTAGTGTAATTCAACTGAATGTTTCATTCTTATTCTACAAACACAATCACCCCAGTTTGTCTGAGTGGGAGATGTTTAAGGCTACCCATTCCTTGCATTGTTTCAGTTGTCGTGTAAGAGAAATAATTCACTCTTAAGCTGCAGGTAAGCGAACAGTGTCCCAGCTTGATTTTCATACTATGCGTTAGAACTGGTCTGGGTAGTTAGCTTGCACATCCAAACAAGTGGTTATAGTATTGATTGCTTTAAACAAACTAGTTATTTCAGCTTAGACTGTATGTGTTTTGTATGAGTGTGATTTACATGTGTGCTCATACACATGAGCATGCAGGCAAATGCAGAGGCATACAAAATTGACATGTTTTTTAGACATCAAGTTTTTTATGATCACATACCTATGGAGGAGTTAAAGATGGCTTTCTTTAGTCCTGACTTTCTCATCACCTTTGTTTATGAGTTTATGAGTTTTCATCACTGGACTATAAATTGTTGCTGGCAGGAACTGTATCTACTTTAGCACTTAGCTTTGTTTAGTACCTGGCGCATAGTAAGAACTAAATATTTGTCAAACAAAACATTCGTTGAAAGTAACACAATTGCTTCCTCTAACCACTGTCTCTTTCTTTTCCACCCCTTCACACACCTTGCAAGATCAATCTTCACTCATTCATTATTTATCCATTTTTAGGCGACATCCTTCTCATTCTATTGAAACTGTTTACATCTAACAAAAGTGAACAATAATCATTTGTTTGCCTAATTCAATAGCTTCTTATTAGCCCTCATCCTGTTTGACCTCTTTGCAATATTTAGCAGAGTTATTATCCACACATCATATTTGAAATTCCTTTGTCTTTTATGGCTTCTGTCAACCTATTTCACCTGTCTTCTCTGCCTATGGAAAAACACCTCTTCCTCTTTGTTTATCATTACATTAGGTAGTTACTAAGGTTTTGCCCTCAGGCCTGTTCTCTTTACATTCTGCTTGCTCCTTCCTGACATTTTCATCCACTTCTAGAGCTTCAGCTCCTGAAACTATATTGATGCTGTCTAACTCTATACTCAAGTTTTGATATTATATCCTGAATATTGTTCTTTGCAAAATGAACATCTGCATTCAGAAGGGGCTTGAAACCACTTTAGTTTTAAAAACAAACAGAAAGAAAAAAACAAATGGACTTTAGCTAGCTTAGGCAAAATCAAAGAGAAAAAGAAAGATTTACTGGGGCTGTTACTGGAGAATGCCAAAAAGCCTAAGGGATGGGATGTATGGCCACCACAAGAGGCCACAGTCCTGAGAGAAACTCAGGAAATCTTTCATCTCTCATTTTCTCTCTCAGAGCATCTGTTTACACTTTTTTTGTACACTGGCAGTTAGCTTTTTGTACTCGTTAGCCCACACGTTGGCATGTAACCAACAATGGTCCCCAAGTTTGCAGAGCCTCAGTTTCAGAACTCAGAGAAAGACCTACTTTGTTTTCTCTGTTCTGCTTTAATAATATAAGGCATTGACTCCTTAGGATGTCACATCCTAGGATGGGCGAATTTCTAGGAAGATATTAACCCACCCCATCCATTCTGGATATATAAAGGGATCCTTGCACAAATGACAGCTTCTTCAAAACCATGTGAAGTGAGAAGAGACATGTTTTAAGAACAGGAGGTGGTAAAGAGATAAGATTTTTCATGGCTAGACTAAATAATAGGTTTCCATTACCATGTCCCATATGCACATGAAAGTCGTGTGCCAAACTCATGAGAGTCCACCAACTCAGCCCCACCCGCTAAAAGAGAGAGGGAGAGAGAGACAGAGAGATCCAGATCCCTTCAGTAAGGAGATAATCCTACCCAGTAATTCAAGGTGGGAATTGCTGAATTGTCTGAGACTCCTTCCTAACTACCTATATCCAAACATTTTACAGTCTGTCAGCTTTAGCAGTGAACTGCTTCATGGCTCCATGTTGCCCAACCCCCCCACAGTAATCTTCCATTCACAATAACCTTCTGACTGGTCTCTTCAACCTCATCATTTCTTTTTCCAACCTTGGCCCATATTAGACCACCACATTGCTTCTTTTTTTTATTTTTTATTTTTGTGGGTTTTTTCTTTTTTCAACTTTCTTATTTTTTTCTTTTTTAAAGAGACAGGGTCTCCCTCTGCTGTTCAGCTGGAATGCAGTGGTATAATCATAGCTCACTTCAGCCTTGTCCTCTTGGGCTCAAGTGATCCTCCCCCGCCTCAGCCTCCCACCTCAGTTGGGACTAGAGGCATGCATCACCATGCCCAGCTAATTTTTAAAAATTTTCTGTGGAGACAGGGTCTTGCTGTGTTGCCCAGGCTGGTCTCAAACTCTTGGCCTCAAGCAATCCTCCCACCTTGGCCTCCCAAAGTGATAGGACTGTACCACATCCAGCCCTCAACCTGTATTTTAGATTGAGGGGGTGCAAGTGCAAGTTTGTTACGTAACTATATTGCATAATGCTGAGCCTTGGGGTACAATTGAACCTGTTACCCAGGTAGTGAGCATGTTACCCAACAGGTGGTGTTTCAACCCTTGCCCTTCTGTTCCCACTGTTGTAGTCACCCGTGTCTATTGTTCCCATCCTTATATCCATGTGTACCCAGTGGTTAGCTCCCACGTATAAGTGAGAACATGTAGTATTTCATTATCTGTTTCTGCATGAGTTTGCCTAGGATAATGGCCTCCAGCTCCATTCATTTTGCTGCAAAGGACAAGATTTTATTCCTTTTTATGGCTATGTAGTATTCCACGGTGTATATGTGCCACATTTGCTTTATGCAATATATGGTTGATGGGTGCTTAGGTTGATTCCACATCTTTGCTACTGTGAATAGTGCTGCGATGAACATATGCGGGGGGTACATGTGTCTTTTTGGTAGAATAATTTATTGTCCTTTGGATATATATTGAATAATGGGATGGCTGTGTCAAAGGTTGTTCTATTTTTAGTTCTTTGAGAAAACTCCACAACTGCTTTCCACAGTGGTCGAACTAATTTACATTCCCACCAATAATGTATGAGCATTCTCTTTTCTTCACAGCCCTGCCAACATCTGTTACTTTTTTAGTTTTTAATAATAGTCTTTCTGACTGGTGTGAGATGATATGTCGTCGTGGTTTTGATTTGCATTTCTCTGATGATTAGAGATGATGAGCATTCTTCCATATGTTTCTTGGCCACTAGTATGCCTTTTAAGAAGTGTCTGTTCACATCTTTTGCCCACTTTTTAATGGGGTTATTTGGTTTTTTGCTTGTTGATTTAAGTTTCTTATAGATTCTGCATATTAGTCATTTGTCAGATGCACAGTTGGCTAATATTTTCTCACATTCTGTAGGTTGTCTGTTTACTCTGTGGATAAGTTTCTTTTGCTATGCAGAAGCTATTTCCTTTAGTTAGGTCCCACTTGTCAATTTTTGTTTTTGTTGCAATTGCTTTTGAGGACTTAGTCATGAATTCTTTGCCACAGTCAATGTAAAACAGAAAAAAAAGGTATTTCCTAGGATTTCTTCAGGATTTTTATAGTTCGAGGTGTTACATTTAAGTCTTTAAGCCACTTTGATTAATTTTTGTATATGGTAATAGGTAGGAGCCTAGTTTCACTCTTCAGTATGTGGATACCCAGTTATCCCAGCACCATAGGAAGCAGAAATCATTTCCCCATTGTTTATTTTTGTCAACCTTGTCAAAGATCAGATGGTTGTAGTTGTGTGGCTTTATTTCTGGGTTATCTATTCTATTCCATTACACCACCACATCAGTTCTTTATTTAAAAACTATCACATGTTAATTCCTTGATGGTAACAATAGACACTGGGGACTACTGGAAGTAGGAGAGAGGGAAGGAGCAAAGGCTGAAAAAGTGCTTGTTGGGTACTATGCTCATTACCTGGATGACAAGTTCAATCATACATCAAACCTCAGCATCATGCAATAGATCCATGTAACAAACCTGCACTTGTATGCCTTAAATCTAAAATAAAAGTTGAAATTATTTTTTAAAAATCACAGCTTATAGAATAAAATACAAATAGTTCAGCTTTATGTCTAGATTGTCTTTATCCAGAGAATTCTAGTATTTTCTTTAGGCATTTCTTATCTATCTCATGAACTGTATTGTTTATTTGGCCACCTAGCCTTTTGTGTGTGCCCATTTAAAACCATGAAATGGCCTTATTCCCTTGTTTATTTAACAAAATCTTTCTCAACCTTCCGGACTTACCTCAAGATCCAATTCAAATATCATCCTCTCTGAGAAGCCTGCCTTCACACTTTATATCATCACGGGAATTAATTTTACCTACATTTCTTTAACCTAGTACAAAACCTTTAGCATTTATTTTCTACATTTTGTTATTTGCTTTGCATATTAGCATCTTGGAAATCTGATGCATTTTATATTTTCCCCATCCTTTAGAACCTCATATAGGGTCTGAAACAGAGAATGAATACATAAATATTTGTGAATGAAAAAATACGATTTTTATTATCAACCATGAATATAAAGTGGGCTCCTTTTTGGTAAATGGACTTCTGAATTGTGAGGAATCTATTTTCAGTAGGTTGTCTTATACAAAATTGTTCAACTTAAATATTGTTGAATTCTTCCTTTGTGATCTATAACACTGCTGAAATAGCACCATCACCAAGCAGTTTACTCTGTAGTGCTGAGAATGACATATAAACAATTAACAGTATACAAGTCAGATTACAAATTCTAGAGGTACAAGAAAATGCTTATGGGATACAAGAGAAAGAAACAGTTAATTTTGGCTGGTACTCAGCATTACAAATAAAACCACATAAAACAGACGGGGACACAATCTCAAATGGCATTCAAAATGGTCAACTAAATGAACACTGTGGGTTTTTAAAATTCTGCATAAATGTGGTACATGGTGAACAAATTCTGTCCTCTAACTACTAAATTACTTTTTAAATTTACCACTGCAGTCGTGATTTATAAAGCATTCACAAACACTCACACATGCAAGACTGCCAAAGGCAGTAATTTCATTGGCTGAGCATTCAGCCCTACTTTTAAATTAAAGGCAAAGATTAACATGTGTTAAAGTGAGGGTTTGCTAAGGCTTAACTATGGGTATCAGATTGCCTAAATAAAGCAGTAAGTCAAATACCAGGCCAAGCCAAAAGTGTTTGTTCTTCACTTAGGCTTCCAATCCCAGGCATCATGTATTTAAGAGCAAGCTCAAAGGCAAGCTTTTGGAAAACAGAGCATAATGTTGGCATGCAAGGCTTTCCCAATTAAACAAACTAATTCCCAAGAACAAAACTACAATAAATTGTCTGAGAATTCCAGAGAACAAAGCCCAGCGTGGGATGACATTTTGTTTTTTCTCATTTCATTACTTTTCTTCCCTATCCCTCTCGTTAAGAACTGGCATTAAATGCTCTGTGGGGTTTGATCAGAAATACACAGAGAATTTAGACTTGCTGTAAAAGCACTTGTTTTGCAGCCTCCTTAGGTTTGGTAGTAGCTGTCTGAATGAGCAGTCTTGGTGATTCTAAGGAAAGTCTAGTGGGACTTTGCTATATGTCCCCCTAAAATTCATATGTTAAAAATCTAGCCCCCAAGTTAATGGTATTAGAAGGTACGGCCTTTGGGGAGGTGATTAGGCTCCACCTGTATGAATGAGCTTAGTATCTTTATAATAGAGGCCCAAAGGAGTTTGTTTGCTCTATCCACTAAGTGAGGGCACAGCAATGAATCACCTATGAACCAAATAGCAGCCCTTTAGCAGATTCTGAATTGGCTGGCACCTTGATATTGAAGTGCTCAAACTCCAGAACTATGAGAAAATAAGTTTCTAAATTTGCCATCTTCAAAGAAAATCCAAGTGCCAGTAAGCTGTAGGGAAAGTGGTATGTTATTTATTTAATTCATCTAGTAAACAGTGCTTCAGAGAACAGAGAGAGACATTTTCACATTTGTCCTACCAAAGTGAAGTTTGTTGGCTGGACTTGAAAAATTTTTAATTTTACTTTAAAAGAAAAAAAAATATATCTTTTCAGGCTGTCACAATTAGCTACGAAAACATAATTTCATTAGATTGATTTTGCTATCAAACATTTAGTAAAAGATGCTTTTTTATTCAAATTATCCATTGTTGGACTGTATTATTTTCATTTGCATTATTTTGAAAATGCATTTATAGTTCATGCATAACGAATGAGTGACTAATAATACACAGATATATTCCTAAGTGCTTTCATTCTTGATTATTTATGACATTTATTTTTTATTCATCTGGCAGGGTAAAGAGCTCTAGGGAGCAAGATGACCTTTTCATACATGACCAATAAGAGATGAAAATGCATTTTATGTGAGTAATCTCTCTATTGATCAGGAAAGTATCAAGGATTATTTCAAATACATCATTGTTATTCAGCCAGTATATATCAGTATGGCACAGTGGCCAGCATCAATTTTCATTGGTCAGTACCCTGATAAATAGTTATAATAATCAGAATGGACATACATATACACACATGACAGTTATTTAGCTCACATTATATTGTGCCTTTTCATTTTTTAAAATAAACTCATTTTCAAGAACAATTTGAAAGTAAGATTCATATTACCATGGACACTAATAGCTTTCACTTTTTGTGTCTATTCCTTTACCTCCACCCTCATGGTAACACCCATCCTATCATTGTGACATTCTGTGTTCTCCCCCTATCAATTCGCGGAAGCAAACTTCACAGTCTTTTATATTTTTACTTAATCTGTTAAAAATCCCAGTATATTTTTCATATGTCATAACATTTTTTAAACTATACATTTGCCACTTTCAAAGAAGATCCAAATGCCAGTAAGCATAGGGAAGGTGGTATGTTTTATTATTTACTCAATCAACATATGCTGAGCATCTACTATGAGCCAGGCACAACGAGAAGTGTGATGGCTGGTTGGAAGAAACAGATTGGAGCTATCAGTTGGGTTATGGTGGAATGTCTGGTTATTGAGTCAACTCATGTACTTTAATAGGATCTCTGATTGGCCCATTTTGGGAAACCAGAAAATGTTGAGTGTAATCCTGCCATCATGATTTTCAAATTAACACATTTTCTTCCATCTCTTTTATACCTCTTCATGGGATGGTAAGTCTGACAGCAGCCTGTTGTGTCATTTCTCAGAGCAATACTTTTTCTGATGTTGACTCTTACTTAGGCCCATATCATATACAATTCATTAATAACAAGCACCTAGAATATAAATTATCATAGCAAAAACATCAATGTCCTCTCTACTTTACAGATGAATCACTCACAATCCAGAGACCTGACAACCTTCCCAGAGTCACACATCTATTAGCAGCAGGCTTGATATTCTTATCCTGATTCATCAGAGACTTCATTAGAATGAGCTCAGAATTAATATCCAAAGGATCATTTTTTTTTGTCTATTTAGTTCATATTAGTTAAGCTATTACTAATTAATCGATTAAACTAATATTGATATCCTTTTTGTTTTTAACATAAATTTTCACTAATTTGTTTTCATTTATCCTTTTCCTAAGATTGCATGGCCACCATGCTCTAATTTTCAAGGGAATGATATATACTTCCTATATGTACTTCATAATACTTCTTAACTAGATGTGAGAAAATAAGTAGACCTCTATGATGGCACTCAGAGAAGACAAGATGGAATGAAAACTTGCTAACTAAAAATTGTTTATCTTATTTTCCAAAAATATTGATCTTAATAATTCATATTTTAAACACTAGAAAGTAAAATGACCTCTATAAAATTATTCCTGCAGAACTAATATTTTTTTAACTCAGGGCTATTTCAGAATGAACGCTGGTTCCAATTGCTTTCCTTATAATATATACTCTGTTTTATTAATGGCTTACCATCTTTTTGCCAGAAAGTATAGTACTTTACGTTAGAATAACAAACAGAAGAGGAACTGGTTTCAACAACCATTAATTATTGCTCAAAACATTATAATTAACCATACTCCATTTGTTCTCATATATAAACATAATAGAAGGGACAGCTAATGACATCTCAAAGGAACAAATAATTCAAAACTGCACCTAATAATTTATTGGCGTATGTGGCTTAACTACAAGGGAAATTGCATCCAGTGCTTGCTTGAAAACATTAGCCTCTGGGCTGTAGAGAAAGAACACTAAAGGAGAGGTAACCATGAGCATATAACATTGTTTGGACTCTGACTTTTTTTTTTTTTTTTTGAGACGGAGTCTCGCTCTGTCGCCCAGGCTGGAGTGCAGTGGCTCGATCTCTGCTCACTGCAAGATCCGCCTCCCGGGTTCACGCCATTCTCCTGCCTCAGCCTCCCGAGTAGCTGGGACTACAGGAGCCCGCCACCACGCCCGGCTGATTTTTTGTGTTTTTTAGTAGAGACGGGGTTTCACCGTGTTAGCCAGGATGGTCTCGATCTCCTGACCTCGTGATCCGCCTGCCTCGGCCTCCCAAAGTGCTGGGATTACAGGCGTGAGCCACCGCGCCAGGCCCTGGAATGTGACTTTTAACTAATGGGATTTACATGACCAGTGGGAGAGAGACTCATAGTTTAGGGAAACTTCATTGTTTCCACAAAATTTCTAAAAAAAAACAAAACAAAACTTGTCTCTTAATCCCTAAACTGTCTGTCTGAAAGTCATAAGTACTATTTGTAGCTGATCCTACCAGCCAGAAATTTAACATCTGCCATTTTTCTACAGAGCTCTGCACATAAAGTATTTTTCTTATTTTGACTAATCAGTACTTCTTATGTGGCACTCCCTGATGACTCCACCTATCCAGGACTACATGTGGCCTTTTCTCTTTCCCATATCACTTAATTTTGTGTACAATGAGACCAAAGTAATTTTAAGAAAAACGTATGCTTTTACAATCACTAGAGCTATTAGAAATTTAGCTAATAAGAGTTATTTTTCAACATTAATGGAGCTCTAATAATAATAGAGTTACTCTCCAACACTATTATCACCATTTTTAAACCACTAATGGTATTATTTTCATTTGTATTTTAAAGATGGAACAATAAAATTGTTCCCTGCCAAAAATATTAATTTGTATACTTTTTATTTCATCATAAATAATAAAAAAGTCAAATGTTTGCATTAAATGGCTTATACATAAAATGTGGCTTTTCGTATCTATAGGATTCATCATATTTAATAGAATAATTAATAATGAATACAGCAGAAAATTTGAAGAATCACTTCTCTAGGATATTAGATGATTAAGTTTATTTTTTAAATTCAAGATATAATTTAGATATGAATTAGAGGGTATAAAATAAGGAGAGAAGTAAAAAAACATTTTTACATAGTAAAGACTTGTAACAAAGCACACTTTTATGAACTGTTACTGTTTAAAATTTACAAAAATAAATTTTGATGGAAATCCCTATGAATTTCACGGGTTGGTATGCTGATAGGTCAAAGTGCTAATCCATATTAAAGTTATGTGATTTGAAGACTTTGTTATTCACAGTGAATTCATGAAAATGGCTCAATAGAATTTCAGGCCAGCAAAACTTATACCTTTATTAATTCATCAGTCTTTTATTTATTTCAATGAATTTTATTGAACTTCACTACTATGGGTGAGGCACAGAGATTGCCCCTCTAAAGATAATGTCAGTTAGGACTCTCCTCTGCCCTCTTGCAACACACCCCTGACTAGATCCCCTGCTTCCACCCCTGTTCACCATAATTTATTTTTCACACTGAAGCCAAGCTGATTTTTCTAAAATATGATTCTAATCATTTTACTCACACCTGCAACCAGTTGAACACTAAATACAATGTAAACTCCTTAACTGGGTTTTCCAGCTTCTTTATGATCTGACCCCTGCTTCCCTGCAGCCTCGCCACTATAGGCCCTCTGCCTCCCTGCTCACTGCACCACAGCGTTTTGCCTTTTAGATTTTCATGGACATCAAGCTCTTTCTATCTTTAAGCTTTATTTTTATTTTTATTTTTTGTCTGAAATGCTCAAATGTTCGCCTCCACATTGTTGGCCTGGACAACTCCTACTCATTCTCAATCCTCAACAGAAAGACACCGTCAGAGCAACATTCCCTGAACTGTCAATCTGAATTAGGTCGTTCTGATTTGTAATCGATATATGTGTCTCTCTAGTTATTTAATAGAAGTCTCTCTCAGGAGACCGTACACTCCATGAGTGCACAAGTCTTGTCTACCATATTGACCATTGTGCACACAGCATTGAGCATAATGCCTGACATATAGGACACATTGTTGAAAATTAATTATTACATGTTTGATCAAATGAGTGTGTGAATGCTCTAATGGTGCCTGGATACATGCAAACTCTTCTTCTAAAGGAATTAAAATTAATACACCAATCTTTAATCTTTGTGTCCAATTGCTAAATTGAGATATGTAAATATGACAAAAAGGGGGGGCCTTTTTAGAAAGACTGGTATAAATTGGAAAATTTTAGAAAATTAGAAAATTTGACTAAAAAATCGAAGGAGGGAAAAAACAAGGAAATTACTAAAGAAACAAGTTAAAATAAGGTTAAGTGGACTTCTAATTTTATTATAACCGGCGTACTTATAAGACTGAGTTCGTTTAAAATTGTTTACTGATAGATAAAAACAAGCCCTTATTGTTTTAATTTCATTTATTGCTGAAAGACATTGAACATATTTTCATGTCCATTAACTATTTGTAATTTTGTTTCTGTTAACTGCTTTCCTTTGTTTACTTTTTTCTCATTGCTCAAAGTGATTTTATATGTTACAGAAATTAGCTCTTTATGTTTATAGTGTTTCAAATTTTTTCCTACTCTTAATTGTATTTTGACTTCATTTGTGATGTTTTTGTCATACAATTTTATGTATGTAGTTTAATTGTTAACTTGTTTCCATTATGAATTCTGGGCTTTCCCCACTTGAAGATTATAAAAAATATTCCTGGCCAGGCGCAGTGGCTCACACCTGTAATCCCAGAACTTTGGGAGGCCAAGGCAGGTGGATCATGAGGTCAGGAGATCAGGACCATCCTGGCCAACATAGTGAAACCCCATCTGTACTAAAAATACAAAAATTAGCCAGGCGTAGCAGTGTACACCTGTAGTCCCAGCTACTTGGGAGGCTGAGGCAGGAGAAATTGCTTGAACCTGGGAGGGGGAAGCTGCGGTGAGCTGAGATTGGGCCACTGCACTCCAGCCTGGGCAACAGAGTGAGACTCCGTCTCAAAAAAAAAAAAAATTGCCCATATTCTCTCCTAGTATGGTTTAAAATCCTCATATCTTCAGACAATATATTTATTAAATTCACTGAAGTTTACTTTATATACAGAAAACTGCATTTATTTTAATTGTGCATTTTGAGTTTTGATTGTTTTGTACACCCACGGAAACCACTCCCACAGCAAAGGTACATAACATTGCCATCATCCGCTACAGATACTTTGTGCCTGTTTAAGTCAATCCTTTCTTATGCCTCCATACCAAGCAACTACTGGTCTGCTTTTTGTCACTAAATTTAGTTTGCATTTTCCTGAATTTTATATAAATTAAATCATATAGTATGCATTCTTTTGTGCTGACTTCTTCTAATAGCAAAATGATTTTGATATTTATCCAAATTGTTGTATATATCCATAGTTTATTCCTTTTTATTGTTGAATACTATTCAGTGTGGTATATGAATGCCACATTTGTTTATCCATCCACCTACTAATTAATATTTGGGATGTTTCTACTTCATAGCTATTTTTAATATAGCTGCTATGAGTATGAATGTGCAAGTCTTTGCATGGATGTATGCTTTCATTTATCTCAGGTAGGTAACTGTCACTGAAACATATTTTTAAAAACTTTTAAGTTAACTTTTTAATAGACTGCTAAACCAATTGTACAATTCTCCATTTCCACCAACAGTAATGAGAATTTTACTAGTACTTTTATGGTTTGATTTTCCTTTCAAATCTTTGACATATCAATAATTTATCTTGATAAAAATGAAGAGGTAAAGACATTACACGAGTCCAACAATCTAGGCAATTTGTCCCAATACCATTAACTGAATAACTATAGTTTCTCTACTCCTTTGAAATGGGGCAATTTCTGTATTTGTTATTCTGTTTCTTCCTCTTCACGTACCATTTCTATATTATTTTAATGGTAGATTTATTTTACAGGGGTGCTCTGGCTGCAAAAATAATAAAGGCTAGAATAAAGCTGGCTTAAGCAGAAAAAAAATTCATACTATCATATAATGGCACTTTCAGAGTCTTATGAACCTAGACTTTGTTTTTTTGTTTTTTTTGTTTTTGTTTTTGTTTTTGTTTTTGCAGTATTTTACCCAATGATGTCATCAGAGACCCAGTTCTTTCCATTTCTCAGTTTGGACATGCCCATGGTTGCCTTCATCTTCAAGCAGAAAGTGAGGTGGTTACAACAGTTTCCAAAATCGAACTGACACCAATTAATACCCTGAAGAAGAATGAAGCTGTCTTCTTTTCCCCGCTAAAAAACAGTCAAGGCTCTCCTCCCATGTCATTTGTCCTAACTGGCTAACATTTGTCATTCCCTGAATCAATCATAGACAAATAAAATGGAGATACCATTATTGGCTTAAATTAAGGATCTTCAGACAGAATGGATGTTGAAAAAAGCCACTAAATCTGCCATATCTATAAAAAAAATTAACATTTCAGGACAATTTCCACCTCAACTCTTCACTAGCTTTCTTAGCTATTCTCATGTTTATATTTCCCTATACACTTTAGGATAAGATTCTTAAATTTTTAAAAGATCTTATTTTGCTTTTGTATGGAATACTACTACATGTACTATAATATTCAGACAGTTGACATCTTTAAAATATTGAGACATTCAATCCAGGAAGAAAATAGGCTTTATCCTTTATTCTGGTTTTATAATTTATCTTTTACTAGAATTTTAATATTTTCTTTATATAGACTGTTAATTTTCATGTTACAAAGGTTTTAATATTTTTGTTATTATTATAAACAGGATATTCCTCCATCACATAATGTTATTTACTATTTGCATATATAATAACTATTGCTTTTTTTTTTTTTTTTTTTTGAGATGGAGTCTCACTCTTTCGACCAGGCTGGAGTGCAATGGCACGATCTCAGCTCACTACAACCTCGCCTCCCAGTTTCAAGCCATTCTCCTGCCTTGGCCTTCTGAGTAGCTGGGATTTTAACCGCATGCCACCACGCCCAGCTAATTTTTGTATTTTTAATAGAGATGGGATTTCACTATGTTGGCCAGGCTGGACACGAACTCCTGACCTCAAGTGATCCACCTGCCTTGACTTCCCAAAGTGCTTGGATTACAGGCATTAGCCACCATGCCCAGCCATCTATTGTTTTTTAAAAATTAATTTTGAAATCAGCTATTTTACTCCATTATCTTGTCTTTTATAGATTCTTAGACATTTCTTTTAAATTTTCTGGGTATAAAATCATATTATCTGCAAATAATTTTAATTATATCATCACATTTTTACCTTTTATATTATCCTTCTCTTTTCTAATTAAATTTAACATTCTACCAGAGCAACATTAAATATACTAGTAATATTTATTGGATGCTTCTGGTATTTTACAGTTAAACACATGATTCCATATTTGTTAGAAATACATGTTTTTCCATGTGAAGAAAATATTCTTCTTGGTCAATTACCAATAATAAAGTTGAATTCTATTAAATGCATTTTCATTTGCAATTTTTGATGGAATATAATGAAGAAAATTAATAGATTTTCAAATATGAACCATCCTTGCATTCCTGAGATTGAATACAATTGATTGTTCTAGATAACTCAATTAATATGCTACTGCATTCTCTCTGAGATTAATTCCTTTAACACTTGTATTATTGTATGTAAGTAGAATTACTTTGAAATTTTTTTCTTACAGAATGTTAAAATTAAAGTTTTTGATGAAACACCAAGATAAAATATAATGTACTAGACATTCCTCTATTCCAAAGTTGGTGTTTATATCTCATGCAAAAATTTATAATGAAAATATCCATAGAGTTGCTACACAACTCTTTAAGCCCTGGATCATCTTTAACATTTTCAGCAGTTGACAGTTGGTAGTAAAGAGAAAATTTTGTAGAAAGAAATTTTGAGAGCATCATCAGGTTTCTAGGAATCCTAATGTCACAATGGGGAAGACTTGGGTAGTATCTGGTTCTCACCTCAAGGGCAGTGAGAGAGGTTTTGAAGAGGCTACCCTGTAAAGCTTTATTGGTATCTCCCCAAGTTTGTGACTCATGCCTTGTAAAGCTCAAGTGATACCTGGCAACAGAATAGAAGGCTAAAACTGAGAAGTTACTTCCTTTCTCTCTGAAAGTGGGTCAAATATGGGTTAATCAAGGCACTCACATATAGATTCTAAGTAGAAATGTCAGCCTGGGGTTATTTCAAGTGGGATCCACTTCAGGAGGGTTGCCTTTTAGGCTGAGAAACAACAAATGGAAAAGGATGTGGACTGTAAATCCAAGAGGAAATTCTATGTCATGGGGCTAGGCCTGACAAAGGAAAAACACTGCCTATGCTCCAGGAGTTTTAAAAAGGTACTCTTGCAGAGAAATCGTCAAAGAACATACACAAGTACCCTAAAAGTGAAAAACATTGTTTGCTTTAAATATCTGTATGCCCAGAAGTCATGAAGATATCTGTAAAATATGAGGTTTCTTACCTGCCTTCCCTCTTCTATCATCCTTAACACCTCCCCTAATCCCACCCCCCAACTTTGACACTGAGAGTGTTAAATTAAGAGATACTAGATAGGACAAAAATAAATGAGAAGGAGAAAAAGAAATTTCAGCTCAAAGGAAACCCCAGCTGGAAGGCAAAGGAAAAGATTTAAGTCAACTTCAAAGCTTTGGTCATTACATAGGACTGGAAGTTTCAAAAATCTGCAACTTAAAGGAATGGTCAGAGAGATTTTTTTTTTTTTTTTGAGACGGAGTCTCGCTCTGTCACCCAGGCTGGAGTGCAGTGGCCCGATCCCGGCTCACTGCAAGCTCCGCCTCCCTGGTTCACGTCATTCTCCGGCCTCAGCCTCCCGAGTAGCTGGGACTACAAGCGCCTGCCACCATGCCTGGCTAATTTTTTGTATTTTTAGTAGAAACGGGGTTTCACCGTGTTAGCCAGGATGGTCTCGATCTCCTGACCTCGTGATCCGCCCGCCTCGGCCTCCCCAAGTGCTGGGATTACAGGCGTGAGCCACCGCACCCGGCCAAGATTTTTTTTTAATTTATGAGTAGAGACAATATCCTAAAACCAAGAAACATACCTTTCCCTTTACTTAGAGTTTATTCTTCTTTCAAAAAGAGAATTTGATTGAGTTAGTTGTCCTCATTGCATCCATTAAGGGCCTCAGCTGGGCAAAGTTCTTGCAAATCTTCTCAGGCATTGTTGGTTCCCTCTCTTCCCAGCACAGCCCATAAATAACCATGAGGATAAAACGATGGAAAAGAAAAAAGAGTAAAAAATAAAATAGCCTATCAAAAGTACATAAAACGAACTCCTTAAATCATAAAATCGAAATCACAATTTCATGTGTTCTTAAATAAAACAAAAATTACAAACCTCATCAAGATGGAAACAGAAAGCTACTGCTACTAAGTCTATCATGTAAACTGTAACCTCTCATAATTTGGTCACACCAAGCCTATGGCTAATGTCGCTGTCTCAGATCCAGACATCTGTGGCCAGGAGAGCCAGGTTGCTTTCATCTACAGTAGTCAAAGCTAGAACCATAACATTTTAGTAGTAAAGAACTAGTTGTGATAACATTCTACAGAAAGGATTGTACACTTTTTGAAGGAATTTGTGCATCTATTCTAGAAAGCAAAATCTGCTGTTCTGGAAATTTGCCATAAGGTGTATACAATTGTACTTCAGCCACACAATCTGAATGGAGAGATACATAATTTGACACTCTGAGGCTGAATTCTGCCCCAAACTCTGTAATTAACTATGCAGAATAGTGAGCATACATTCATAAAAATATATTTAATTATTTATTTAAACCACATTAGTAAACATTAATTTACTGTTTGTTATAAATGTTACTTAAAGTCATTTAGAGGCATAATTTTAAAGTGCAATTTAACATTAATTTCATATCCTTTTTATCTTTTTCTTAATCATTTCGCCCTGAATCATAAGTGATATTACAAAGATATAGTGATATTTTGTTCATTCATCTAGCACAGAATTTTGCAATAGCAGCATGGCTGACACTCTGAGCTGGATAATTACTTGCTGTGGGGACTCTCCTGTGATTGTAGGATGTTTAGCAGTCCACTAGATGTCAGGAGTAACTGCCCTTTAACTACCACCAGTTGTGACAACCCAAAATTTCTCCAGATAATTGTTGAATATACATCCCACTCCCAGTTGAGACCACTGCTTTAGCAGAATGTTAAGGCTTTCCAGTTTACACATCTTGCAGTAGCTGCCATCCTAATCCTAGGGAGCTCATTGGTTATCATTGATTAAGACGTAAGACTAAGCTAACTGGTCCTTAGTTTACTTTTATAACCTATTCCATACTCAAACACACATAGCAAGAAAGAAACAGGAGATTGAGATGCTTCTAGGAGCATCCTTGTACAGTTGACGCTCTTTATGCGGGAGAAGAGATAGGTTCCTGGACTCCCCGCATGTACCAAAATCCCGCATATACTCAAATCCCAGTCAGTCTTGTGGAAACTGTGTATAAGAAACGTCAGCCTGTCATATACTGAGTTTCCAGTCCAGCCTTTGGTTGAAAAGAAATCAATGTATAAGCGGACGCGTGCATTTCAAACCTGTGTTCAAGGGTCAACTGTATTTGTGCACAATTCCAAAGTAGTATAAGGAAGGAGAATGTCTCAGCTTTCTTACCCCTCATCCCCAAAGCAGAACCTGATACTAAAGCTTTTATGAAAATGGATTATTCAGAAAAAGAACCCAAAGATAACAATTATGTTTGTTTCTTCAATTGGAAGGTGTCATTTTCTTGCCAGCGGACTTAACCTGATACTTTCTCTCTTCCTTTAAAATCAGTTATGGGCTCTGCATTATATATGTAGTTCCATGTTAGCTCCCAATAACCAGATCCAACTAACCAACTCTTAACTATTTGCATAAAATGCTGTTTTCGGTAACAAATTTCATCAGTTCGATAAACAGTGTCTCATGCAAAACAAACCATTTTGAATACAATAAAGCATTATTATTATTTATATTTTTACTTTTTGAAAGAGAGTCTCGCTTTCGTCGCCCAGGCTGGAGTGCAATGGTGTGATGTCGGCTCACTGCAAACTGTGCCTCACGGGTTCAAGCGATTCTCTTACCTCAGCCTCCCGAGTAGCTTCGATTGCAGTCGCCCGCCACCACGCCCAGCTAATTTTTGTATTTTTAGTAGAGATGGGGTTTCACCATCTTGGCCAGGCTGGTCTCGAACTCCCAACCTCAGGTGATCCACCCTCCTCGGCCTCCCAAAGTGCTGGGATTATAGGCACAAGCCACCTTACCAGGCCAAAGCATTATTTCTGAATTGAGATTTACCTTGGTTTAGTAACAGGCTGTTATTGGAAAATCATGACCGCAGTTGACTCTAGATGGAACTGTTAGCCAGGAAGTCACCAATATTCCATTTCTCATTCTCGGAATGCTTTGTTCATTCCCAGGGGGATGATTTTATGCAGTGGCAGAGTCGGTCTGATCTTCCTCTTGCTTCTCTTTCAAATTGCAGCATGAATAATATTATCTGATCTTTAGTGGTGGTGGTTCATGAAAATCATACTTAGATTCTTAATCCAGGAAGACCTTTTATTGAAACGTTTTGCTTTTCAAACAAATCTTTGCATGACTTCACATTTTCAGCTTATTTACTAATTCCTGTGTATGGAAGAAAGAAGAGAAGAATTGAAGGGGAAGATAAAGGGTTAGATTCCTTTCTGTTCACTACTAAAAAATAAAAGTCTACCTTATAATTCCTTTGATACATATTTGACATAAATAAGTGCAGTGTGATAAAGAGTAATTGTGACAGACCAGTGAGAAATCTGGCTTCATTGCCTTTTGAAAACATTTAATGTCTCCTTGTTTTCTTTTTTCATAAATAAGGGTCAATAATTTTCATTAATTTATTCAATAAAATTTATTGAGCCCTTGACATGTGCCAAACATTATGTTTTGTGCTGAAAACACAAGGGTAAATGTGAAAGACTTTATTACTGTAATCAGAGAAGTTACGTTAATACTAATGTATTAATATTCAAAAAGAACTCATCTGATAAGCAAAATATCATGTAAACAAGTTTAAAACTCAAAATATAAATCAAAACATGAGAATTTAGCGATTAAGAAAATATTCTAGGATTACAGATTGAATAATATTATGTAAATTTATGTGCAATAAGACTTGTCAAAAACACATGAAAGACAGCCTGAATGAGTGGTCAGAGATATTATTTCCTTGAATGAGAAGGCTTAATATTATATATACCCACATCAATTTATACAATTTAAACACATAAACTCAAATTTTCTAAAAAATAGGAAAAAAAATTTCTACTGATTTGGTTATATTCAATACAATGTTATTTCAAGAATATTTTTGAAATATTCATTAAGTCTAAAATGATATACATCCTTTGATATGGCATCCTTCTAGATAATTGTCTTCAATAAATAAATTTCAAAGTATAGCAACTGTATTAGTTTGTTCTCATGCTGCTGATAAAGACATACCTGAGACTGGGTAATTTATAAACGAAAGAGTTTTAATCGACCCACAGTTCCACATGGCTGGGGAGACCTCACAATCACGGTGGAAGGTGAATGAGGAGCAAAGTCATGTCTTACATGGCAGCAGGCAAGAGAGAGTTTGTGCAGGGGAACTCTCATTTATAAAACCATCAGATCTCGTGAGACTTATTCACTACTGAGAGAACAGTATGGGGGAAACTGCCTCCATAAGTCAGTTATCTCCAGCTGGCCCCACCCCTGACATGTGAGGATTATTACAATTCAAGGTGAATTTGTGTGGGGATACAGCCAAACCATATCAGCAACATATATGTACAAGAATATTCCCTTTTGCTTTGTTTTGACAGATAAAAACTCAAAATTTCATCATTAAGGGAAAACAATTACAGACCCATTTAATGGAGTAGCATGCAGCCATTAAACATTAAAAGATAGAACTAAATGTAGCAGCATGAAAATATGTTAAGATACACTGTTAAATGTAAAAAATCAAATTTCAAACATTATGTTTTGCATGATACCTTTCTATAAAAATAAGACAGTAACAATATAAGCATTGTGTATAGAAAAATAGCTGAAGGACTATATAGGCAGCAACAAAAGAGGTGGCATTATGAAGGATTTTTACTTCCTAGATTACTTCTTTCCGTAATATCTTAATTTAACTTTTTCTAACTTTTATAATTAGAAAAAATAATGGCAAGATGAAAATTCATGTCATTATTAACATTGTCTTTATTGGGATTTGACACTAGAAAAATTATGGATCAATTTTGCTAATCCTGTTTTTTCATCAGTTAGAACTTCTAAGTTGAGCTGGACTAGTGCTGTTAAATACTGCTATCTCAAGTAGTTTCTTAAATCGTTTTTAATCCTCTTTCCTTAAGGAAAACATGAGCAGCTATAGATAGCGTGAATTTGTCTAAACAAAAATGATTCAAGAACTCACACTATGAGACTTACACTCATGGAGTATTTGACATCTTTCTCAACAAATTTACCAAGAGTTTAACATTTTTCAGTTTCACTTTTTAATGACAGTATTTGTGTATAATTGCATTGTAAAGGACTATGATGAATTACTAGAAATTTTTTCTTTGCTGCTTCTGTGAATTTTTCACATTGGATTTTGACATTTTGTTAACTAATTATGTTGAAATAAGAAATGCAAGTTAGTAGCTCTGCTTAACCTATGAAATTCCATTCTAATTGGGTAGCTGTTACAACAATTACAGGGTGAAAAATGTGATTATCACTTCACCTCAGATTCAACTGAAAATGTGAGAGCCATTAATTGGGCTATGACCCTTCATACAGGCTAAAACAACTGATTTGGAGATCTCACTTTCTTTTCTATGTATTCAACTATATATTTTTTTTAAGTTGTGGTCAGAGTTTACTGTCATATCTACTATCATATATTGGGAAAATGCTTAAGTTATCTAAGTCTGTCATTTTATCTAAATAAGAAATCTGTTCAGTGTTGAACACCAATAATTCAAGAATATCTATATGGAAGAGACTTATGAGTGCATTCCGGCTTGAATGGCGAATCTTGTTTAGACTGCATGACATGCACACTGCATGCTTTTTCCTTTAGAGTATATACTATATATCAATAAAATAGAAAATTTTAATGATTTTATTCATACTTTAATAATATTTAGAAACTTCCCATGAAGACATCAAGGCAGGCATAGGGAGAATGGAAGTAAATGGAGCTAACTATACCTTAAGACACCACTTGATGCCTCCACTCACTATCATGTGCCAAGAAATAAGGCTAACACTTCAAAGAGCATACAGAACAGAATTGCAACCTGCTCTCCAGAGAAACTTAAGAAACAGTATTTGATATCGATGAATTATAAATAGTATGCTTTGACTTGATGGAAAAGAACATTAGCAAAATAATTGACTGAGGGATAAACGTTTATGCAGTGCTAGATAATAATAATGAAACTGAATTTATATAAATTTATAATGTGTATCCTTTGAGCTCAAAACAAAAGACTATTTCTAATTTTGTTTTTATAAATCATTTACCAAAGGATCAAGCACCTGGGTTGCTAAATAGTGTGTCCACATTGCCACTTTCCAATAACTGAGAGCTATTTAAGAGGATAAACAAATAAATGGAAAAAGCAAAAGGCAGGTCAAAAAAATCATAATGGTAAACTTTCCTAAATGGAGAAAACTAAAGAATTATTAAAATTACTCAGTTAGAAAATTGGCCAGGCACAGTGGCTCACACCTGTAACCCCAGCACTTTGGGAGGCAGGGGCAGGTGGATCACCTAAGGTCAGGAGTTTGAGACTAGCCTGGCCTACATGGTGAAATCTCATCTCTACTAAAAGCACAAAAATTAGCCAGTCTTGGTGCAGACACCTGTAATCCCTGCTACTCAGGAGGCTGAGGCAGGAGAATCACTTGAACCTGGGAGGTGGAGTTTGCAGTGAGCCAAAATCACGCCATTGCACTCCAGCCTGGGTGACAGAGTGAAACTCAGCCTCAAAAATAAATAGAAAAAAAAAGAAAAGAAAATTGGTTACAAATAATCTTTCTGTAGTGGGTGATATAACTGAAATTTGAAATGGTGTTTGGAGATGTCAGGAAACAAAGCAAACCTGCAGGCCCTTCTCCATGTCTGTTTCTATACCACAGGGGTTCTTGGACGCCCTTATTCTTTATTCTTGGATCCAGATTGCTCAAGGATAATGAAGGACTAAGTAGAACTACACAGTGGACAGTGACTAACATTTCAGTGCACCTCAAAGCACTATACGACTTTCTTTCAATATACCTAGAATAAGCTGTGTCCTCTCTTTCCAAAGATTGTTTTATGCTAAACAGGGTGATTTTTTTTTCTCTAGTTTTTGTTAATATGTACTAAGATTTCATGGTTTTTCTTACAGCCCTTTTTAGCTTGGCAGTGAATTCTTTGTGGAACAAACCTTCCCCTTTGTGCAACTTCTTGATTATTCACTGTGACATGCCCACCTAGAGATCACACACCCACTTCTAGATCATGATGCAGATCCCAGGACCTAAGAATTCCATGTTTATGTGCTCCTGAGTTTTCTTTCATGCTCCATTCTCCCTAAGGCAGACTGAATCATTATGTGTGTATCCCTAGATCCAAGGAGACAGAACTTGGATGGAGATTACACAGGCATTCACAGTACAAGACAAAGTAAGGTAGCATTCTGGTATAATACAAATAAAAGGGAGGTAGATGGCATGCCAAGTTCTGGCTCTCTCCATGCCACCATGTTCTGGTGTGGAACTCCAACCAGAGAATTCTAAGTTCAACCTGGCCTTCCAGGTCATTATGAAGATATGTTCATCCAGGAAGAAAGAAAATACATATTTTATTTAGCATTTTATTAGGATGAATTATTACTTTAAATATTTAGACACATAGTATAAGGACATGCTAATAGTGGGTTATTTTTTGTTTTTTGTTTTTTGGGTATTTTTGCTCTGGGCCCTATGAATATATGAGGCCAAGCCACTAAACACCCCCCATAGCTAAGATGGCCACAACACCAATATCACCAGGGATCTTGAATGTCACCACAAGATCTTGAGCTTTCAGAAGATTCAAATACATACCCTAATAACTGAAGTGCAAAGCAGAGTTGGCGAGGTGGAGATTTAAGCACAATGCCAAAGTAGTATAAGGTAGGAAAATGTCTCAGCTTGCTTATGCCTCACCCCCAAAGCAGAATCTGAGACTAAAGCTTTTATGAAACTGGATTATTCAGAAAAAGATCTCAAAAAGTAGAGAAGTTAAAAAAAGAAAAAAAAAACGGAAAGAAAGAAAAGTCAAGCTAAAGCTGTCTTGGTGAGCTGGTTCCCTGTGGGTCATTCAGGCTCAATCCTACTGGGGACTTGCTGGCTACTGTGTAAAATGCGCCTCAGATTTGTCCATCTAAGGAACATTTCAGAGGAGTATTTATCCACTAGCTCCCATCCTACCAGTATTCCCCTGGGTGTTAACTCTTCTGCTCTTTCGGATTTGTGTATGTGTCAGTATGACTGAGTAGTCTCAATAGTCTGCAGAAGTCCTATTTGGTAGAGGCAGAGAAGGCTAGAGTAAAAAGCAACAGGTATGTACTGCATTTGATGTGAAGTGCTGTCAAGTTGCATCTGTGAACAGCTGGTGGCCATGGCAATATCCAGAGTGAAAAGATAGGCTGAGAGAATGTGAGGTAAGCACAACAGTACCTGATATAAGAGGCAACAATTTCTTCAGGGAGGGATCAGCAAAAATTGTGAATATGTTTAAATCTGACTCCAGAGAATGACTAGATGCCAACTGTTGGAGATGGAGGCTATGTCAATTTAGTATGGCTGTGTATTAGTGTGTTTTCACACTGCTATAAATAACCACTGGAGACTGGGTAATTTATAAAGAAAAGAGGTTTAATTGACTCACAATTCTACATGGCTGGGAAGGCCTCAGGAAATTTACAATCATGGCAGAAGGCAAAGGGAAAGCAAGGCATGTCTTACATAGTGGCAGGAGAGAGAGAGTGAGGGGCAAGTGCCAAACACTTTTAAACCATCAGATATTGTGAGAACTCACTCAGTATCATGAGAACAGCATGGAGGAAACTGCCCCTATGATCCAATCACCTCCCACCAGGTCCTTCCCTTGACACATGGGGATTATAATTCAAGATGAGATTTGGGTCAGGATACAACCAAACCATATTATTCCACCATTGGCCCTTCCCAAATCTCATGTCCTTCTCACATTTCAAAATGCAATGATACCTTCCCAATAGTCCCTCAAAGTCTTCACTCCATTCTAGCATTAACTCAAAAATCTGAGTTCAAAGTCTCATCTGAGACAAGGCCAGCCCCTTCCACCTATGAGCCTGTAAAACCAAAAACAAGATTAGTTGCTTCCAAGACACAATGAGGATACAGGCATTGGGTAAATGCTCCTGTTCCAAATGGGAGAATTTGGCCAAAACAAATGGGCTATTGGCCCCATGTAAGTCTGAAACCCAACAGGGCAGTCATTAAATCTTAAAGCTCCAAAATGATCTCCTTTGACTTCATGTCTCATATCCAAGGCATGCTGATGCAAGGGGTGGGCTCCCACAGCACCGGACAGCTTTGACCCTGTAGCTCTTCAGGGTACAGCCATGCTTTTGTGGGCTGGCATTGAGTGCCTATGGCTTTTCCAGGCACATGGTACAAGCTGTCAGTGGACCTACTATTCTGGGGCCTGGAGGACAGTGGCGCTCTTCTCACAGCTCCATTAGGCAGTGCCCCAGTGGGAACTCTGTGTGTGGATTCCAACCCCACATTTCCCCTTTGCACTGCCCAAGTAGAGGTTCTCCAGGAGGACTCTGACCTTGCAGCAGACTTCTGCCTGGACATCTAAGCATTTCCATACATCATCTGAAATCTAGATGGAGATTCCCAGAGCTCAACTCTTGGCTTCTGCACACCCTCAGGCCCAAAACCGTGTGGACGCCACTAAGGCTTGGAGCTTGCACACTCTTAAGCCACAGCCCAAGCTGTACCTTGGCCTCTTTAAGCCATGGCTGGAGCTGGAGCTGCTGGGACACAAGATATCATGTCCTGAAGCTGAACAGAGCAGTGGGCCCTGCCCAAAAAAACATTTTTCCCTCCTAGGCTTCTAGGCCTGTGATAAGAGGAGCTGCTGTGAAGATCTCTAAAATGCCCTGGAAACATTTTCCCCATTGTCTTGGCTATTAACATTTGGCTCCTCATTACTTATGCAAATTTATGCAGCCCTCCTTAGAAAATGGGTTTTTCTTTTCTACCACAAAGTCAGGTTGCAAATTTTCCACAATTTTATGCTCTGTTTTCCTTTTAAACATAAGTTCCAATTTCATATCTTACTTTCAGAAAAAGCCACGTCATATCTGGAATGCTTTGCTCCTTAGAAATTTCTTCTGTCAGATACCCTAAATCATCTTTCTCAAGTTCAAAGTTCCACAGATCTCTAGGGCAGGGGCAAATGCTCTCAGTCTCGTTACTAAAGTATAGCAAGAGTAACCTTTGCTACAGTTCCCAATAAGTTCTTCATCTCCATCTGAGACCACCTCAGCCTAGACTTTATTGTCCATATCACTATCAGCATTTTGGTCAAAACCATTTAACGAGTCTCTCGGAACTTTCTCACATCTTCCTATATTCTTCTGAGCCCTCCAATCTGTTCCACACTCTGCCTGTTACCCAGTTCCAAAGTCACTTCCACATTTTCAGGTTATCTTTAGAGCAGTACCCCATTCTCCCAGTACCAATTTTCTGTATTAGTCTGTTCTCACACTGCTATAAAGAACTACCTGAAACTGAGTAATTTATAAAGAAAAGAGATTTAATTGATTCACAGTTCCATATGGCTGGGGAGGCCTCAGGAAACTTACAATCATGGTCGAAGGCAAAGGGAAAGCAAGGCATGTCTTACATGCTGGCAGGGGAGACAGAGAATGAGGAGTGAACTGCCAAACACTTTTAAACCATCAGATCTTGTGAGAACTCACTCACTATCATGAAAACAGCATGGGGGAAATCATGCCCATGATCCAATCACCCCCCACTAGGACCCTCCCTTAACACATAGGGATTACAATTCAAGATGATATTTGGGTGGGGACACAGCCAAACCGTTATCAGGCTGCCATAACACAGTGCTACAAAATGGGTGGTTTAAAACAACAGAAACTTATTCCCTCACATTATTGTAGGCTAGAAGTCCAAAATCAACCTGTGAGCAACATTAGTGTCTTCAGATACTAACTATGAGGGACAATCTGTTTCATGCCTCTCTCCTAGCTTTTGATGATGGTTGACAATTCTTGTAGGTGCATCACTTCAACCTCTGTCTCGATCTTCATATTGTGTTCTCCACCTATGTTTGTGCCTTTATATGGCTCTGTTCTTGTAAACATACTGATCAAATTAGATTAAGGGCCCACTCTATGCTACTATGATCTCATCTTAACCAATCATATCTGCAACTACCCTATTTTCAAACAAGGGGTCCTGGGGCTTGTGACTTCAACATAACTGTGTTGGGGCACACAATTCAACCCGTAACAGAGGATGATCACTATACACTGAGAGATTTCAGAAAACAGTCGTGCAGATTTTGAAACTATTCAGGAAATTGCAGTAAAATGCTGTAACCGAAACTTAGGGTAGTAAAGTGGGAATGGAAAGGTTAATAAGGCCTGGATCAAACCATCAGGGTTTAGAATGCAACAGTGAGAAGTGTGAGCTTGGTCCCACAGGAGCCATCAAAATTTCCTGTCTGCAAAAGGAAATGTGGTCTATGTTTACTTCAGCAGCCTTAAACTTTGGGGATAGGGATTGTAGAAGATTCAATTAATATTTTTTAAAATGTTTCATGTCTTTTTAAAATTAAGGACTTTCTACAATCCTCTATAACTTTTTTAAGTTCTGCAATTTATTTCCAATGGTATCAATGTTTAAAAATAAACTCCTCCTGAGTACTCCTGTTGCAGAATACTAGATACCCTTTTATAAAAGAATAACACAAGGTCAGGTGCAGTGACTAATGCTTGTAATCCCAGCACTTTGGGAGGCAGAGGCAGGAGGATCATTTGACCTAAGGAGTTTAAGATGAGCTTCGGCAACATAGGGAGACCTCATTTGTACAAAAAAATTTCAAAATTAGCTGGGTGTGGTGGCATATGCCTGTAGTCCCAGCTAATTGGGAGGCTGAGGTGGGACGATCATTTGAGCCTGGGAGATCATGGCTGCAGTGAGCCATGATTGCCATTGCTCTCCAGCCTGGGTAACAGGGTGTGACCCCGTCTCAAAAAAAAAAAAAAATCATAAAGCAATAATACAGAAGAGCAGTGTTGTTTCCACATCTTTCTGTTTCTTAAACATCAAGGTCATTAACAGAGAAAAAAATAAAAGTATTAAAGCTTTTTGATAAAACTCAGTATCTTTTCTCAAATATCATTGGTCAGATAGAAAATCTGCACTTAAAGTCTTAAAATTATAATTATAATATGTCAACAAATTAAAATTACACAGCAAAGGTAATATGTAATTAGTATTATATTAAATTAGTATTATAGCATTATATTCATGTTTAAAACTATTAGAGTTTTAATATGTACACTTCATGATTTATGGGAAAACTGACTTTAAAAAAACAAGAAATATCCATAGAACATATTGTTAATCTAAATTAATTCCAGTGGATAGACATATGGTGATTGACTCTAGGTGCTTTGAGTGTCCATATAGTAATAATTTGGGCTCAGCAACTTGCTGGAAACTGAAGTCTGTTAGTTAAAAGGCAGGAAAACACAATCAAGCTTGACCTAATTGGCATCTTCAAGGGGACCTGACTCTCATGAGCTTTAATGTCGCCCCTTTTAGGGTCTTCTAAGTCTGTCTTCTTGGTTGGAAACAAGAGTGTCTATGCTCTACCCAGGGTCTGGTTTACAACTATCTACAATAAAAGCAAAGAAATGGGCTTGATGTCAAAGGACTAATCCACATGTGAGCTTGGCCTGCACAGTAAAAAGGGGGCCATTTCCATATTATCACAGGCAGGAACAGCCAGACTTTGACGAGGCATTGAAAATTTGAGGCCTCTTGCTGCTCGCTATTCTACTCTTGTCACAGACATTGAAGCAAGTGAGGTTGGATAAATGCAAAGCCAGGCCTCATGTGGTGCTCTTCCATTGCACACATGTCAATATGTGAAGATTTCTGCTTGAGAGAAAACCATGAAAAATGGAAATTCAACATATGGCCAATGAGGGCTACAAAAATCATGGAGAGGAATAGTTGCACTCAAGGCTTTCAGTGGCACTCTTAGGTAATTGCTTAATTGAAATTTTATTCCTGTCATTGAACCTCACAGCAGGAGTGAATCTACAATTACAATGCAAGTTTTGATATTTCATTCCTGCTCTTTATACCAATGGGGGAAGAAAGGGCATTAATTAAGGGATAGCTACAAAACAAATTGCCCTTGAGAGGAAAAAAAGGGAGGGCTGTGAGAGTGGGTATGAATGTAAATAAAAAGGAGAGGAGAAGCAATATAGAAGGATTTTCTTTGTCCTTTATATTGCCAACAGCAAGATTAAAAAACAATTTTAACTGAAAGAGTTTATCCTTTATGGGTAGTTATGAGGAGCAATGACTAGAGTAAAATTTTTAAAAATCGGTTATAATCCAAATTTTCTTATTGGCAAAACAAGTGCTTTGAGAAATTCACTCCACTACTCAAAGCCTCAGTTGTCTATAACACAGATATAATTGCAAATTGTCTACTTTGTAGGATGGTTGTGATAATAAAAGTGAGATACTACATGGTAAGGCACGTTGCAAACTGTAAAGCTTCTGTACCAGAAAATTGATAGTATAAAGAATTAACTATTAATTTATTTTCAAATAGTGTGGGGGAGGGAAGAGGAGCTGAGAAGCAATCAATGCACTCTTTATTAGCATTCTAACAGAACTTTACAAAACGAGTATGTAAAAGAGAAACTCAGTCTTTCTGTTACCAATAATAAACCACAAGAAAAAATAATAATGGTGTTTAACTTTAAGACGCTTTTGGAGCGTAGATAGGTCTCTAATGTAAATAACTAGAAATAGAGTTGGGTTAACAGTGTCTCATCCTAACTCTCTGAATCTGATACTATTAAAAATATAGATTTATTGTTTTTATTTGGGTATAACGTCATATTGTTGTGCAGCTCTTATTAGTCTTAAATTGCTAAAGTCAACATCTTCAAAGAAGGTCTGCAAATAAGTCAAATTTAGGGTTTAAATAATTTTCCCAGTCCATTTAAAAAGTAATCTCTTAGGGAATGGACAAGAAAAAAAGTAGATTTAGATGAATAATTACATATAGTCAAGCCAACTAGGAAAAAACAGATCTCAGCCAACCTAAGTGTCTTTATTTTTTCTTATTATAATAAATATATCCATGGCCTGAAGAACATAAGAAGCAAATAATTATAAAATGAAAAACACAGTTCATACTGAGCTCATTATAATTCCACTGGCATATGATATTGAGTAATACCTTATTTAAATAACCATGTTCATATGTTTCTACCCATGACAGAATCAACTGGATCCCTACATAATATCCATTCTCCCCTTCCTGCTTTAGGAAAAACTCAATATTGTTTGGAGCAGTAAGATACCTGACAAAAATATTTTATTTCCCAACCTTTCTTCTGGTTACTAGTTTACATATGACTACGTTCTGGCCAATGAGTTATAAGTGGAAGTTTTACGGAGGCACTACTAGAAAGGTTCCTTGGGGGATAATAGTTTCCTTCTGTTGTTTTCTTCTCCTTCTAACTGTCTGGTAATGGATGTGAAGGTTGTTGCCCCAGCAGCTGTTTCAAGCAATAAATTACCTTGAGGAAGGAAACCATTTAGAATTTGATGGTAGAGAAAAAAAATGTAGGTTAAGAATGAATGTGGTGATTTATAGGATCACCATACCAGCACTGGGATATTCAGTTTGATGTTGGAGAAAAATTATGTTTTTCTTTTTTTAAAAAAATCTTTAACATTTTTAAATGCAACCAACTTAATCTTAACTAATATTCCACAACTAGAGTAGATGTTCCCTGAAGTCAGAGGCCTTTGCCATTTTATGCAGAGCCCAGTACACAGGAAGGCCCATAGCAGAGGCTCAAAAATATTTGCTGAATCTGAATGCATAAATCTGGTCCTTTCCCTCTGACCTACAATGCTTTCTTCTTCTTGTTCTCTACCTCTTCTTCTCTTTTCCACTTTTCTTATCATAATGTTCCAAATTACTTCCTCTATTGCCTTTTTATCTTCTACTAATTCTTGTTCTTCAAATAGGCCATTCTAGTAACCTTGACCATTCTGGTGTCCCTTCTTATATAATGGATGTCTACCCCAATGAAAAATGAGCAAAATATAAATCCAAAGAAAATGAACATTATTTGTTATTCTCTTTTAAATTGGGCTTTAAAAAATACACCAAGATGATGGGCCTGTATCATTGTTTAAGGATGTTATTCCTTTTAAAAACTACAGTTCTGTCTTCCCAACTGTAAAATAATTATTTACTGCATCATTATAAATATTTTCTAATGGAACTATAATCTAAAAACAAAGATCTAAATTTTATAAGATTCCAATTCATGTAGATTTGAAATTGTCAAGCTTTGTATTTTGGTTGGGTCTGGAGGATCGATTTGCAAGAGGGTGTGAAATGCTTATGAGAGCATTACAAATCCAGTTGGAGTACAGAGGTGATGCAAAATATTAAAATTCTCAATCAATTAAGATACAGAAGTCATCCCCTAATTTCTAAAGTAAAATTACAAATGGGAAAAGATTTCATCCTCGAAAAGGGGAAACAAATTAGGTGTGTTCAAGCTATTTTTTAAAGAAAGATGATTCTTTGTCATTCAAATTGTCTAAACCCAGGCACTTTTTGTTGTTGGAATTTTTTTACAAGTTCCTAGGATGAGGCATGATAGAATAAGCTGAATAACTGAGTTAAATTAGAGCATATGTCACTATAAGGATGTAAAAAAAAATGAAAGAATGAGAATCTTTTACTGCTAGTCTGAAAAGCCAAAGAATGTCTTTTTTATTTTTTTTAACTCTCACTGCTTTTAAAAAATTTCCCTCATTTTTACTTTTTAACAGTTTTCATGCAATATGCCTACGTGTGCTATTTCAGTATTTATAATTATGGATAGTAGTTCTTTGAAAATCTGTATCTTGATGTCTTTCTTCAGCTTTGGAAAATGTTTGCCAGTGTCTCTTCAACTACTACTTCAGCCCCATTCTCCTCCTCTCCTTCTCTTCTAAACATATGTACACCATTTTCAATAATTTTATGTCTCTAGTCCCTTTTCTATATTTTCCTTCTTTTTTGATCTTTCTATTTCAGTCTAGTTATTTTCTACAGATCTATTTTCCAGGTCTACAAACTTCTGATTTTTTGTATCTAATTTGCTGTTAGCAGTGCCCATTGAGTACTAAATTTCAGTTATTCTGTCCCTCAATTCTAGAACTTCCATTCAATTATTTTATATATGTTCTAATACTTTTCTAAAACTCTTTTTGTTATCTATTTTGTTCAATGTATTAAATACAGTTACTTTAAAGTCTATTTTATAATTCCAATATCTTGATTATCTTTGGGTCAGTTTCTAGCACCTATTTCTTCTCTAGATTTTTGATCATTTGCTACTGTCCTCTTGTAGACTTAAAAAGATTTTTACTGAATGCCAAATATTAAGAACTCACAAGGTAAGAGTCCTGGATGTCATTATCTTCCTCAAAGAAGATTTAATTATTTGGGCCAGTAGTTAGAGTACAGACAGATTCCCTTGGTCTAACTGGGGATGGATATGGTACGAGAATAGGATCCAGACATTTTAAGGGCTGTAATATTTTTACCTTGCCCTTATTCCTGTAACTGTGGAATGTCACCATAACCTCTCTTCCTTGGCAGGCTCTGATTTCCAACTTGTGTTTCTCCAGCCTTTTTAACCTGCTTTCTTCTTAGTTTCTCAGCATCTTATGCCCTGGCAGTTTAATGTTTGTCAAATGCCTTAAGACAAGAACTTTGGCCTCATTTCTCTACAAGTCTATTTTCTCTAGAATCTTTGTCCTTTAAGTCTAGCCTGCCTTGGTGGTTATTACATTTTTATCTCTTAATCCCAAGGGTGAGACAAAAGTTCTGGCAAGCCACTTTCTGGTTGGACTGTGCCCCACAGCATGACATGGCAAATAATGGCCAATGCTTCAATGGGAAAAGGCTGCTAAGAAACTACAGCTCCCTTTGACATATTTTCCTTCTTTTGGGGATCTGTATCTCCAATCCTGTCTGTCTTTGTTGGTCTCTATGCCTAAATCAGCTAAAATTTTTAAATGGAGATTTGTAGTAGGTTTTTACTGAAGGTTTTGTGTGATACAAGCTATTCTATCAGAGGTGGAGGATTTTTTAAATCAGTTCTTTAACCTTTCGTTTTCCCTCCAGGCCTGACTTTTTGTTATTGAATTATATTATATCAAGTTGGAATTTTTCTCAATAATACTAGTGAACATTTTCTTCTGTAAACTTTAGAAATATTGGCAAATTTACACGAAAAAAATGAACTTAGTTGCATTTATCCTAGTGGGTTAAATTGTTGTTATTATTTATGTGCCCAGAGAGGAACATAGAAGAGAACTGGTGAAACCTGAGAATTTTTGTTTTGTTTTCTTTAAATAGAAATCCCAAAAGAATTAAATTACATTTTAGCCAGTCTCTTACATCTATTTGCCAATGGACAAGTCCAAATATGGAGGAGTTTTCTTTTTATTTGGACTGATAAAATTAGCCTATCTATAATAGGTTAATACATAACATAGATTATTTATATTTCTATATTTTAGCTGATGGCTTCACTTACATTTATTGAATACTCATCTATAGGAGATAAATTCACATTTAAAAAGATGTCTATGTCAAGTGTGGAAGAGAAGAGAAGATCCACGGGAAGGAAAATTTGTCCCTGCTAATGTAATGTGCCTCCTGTACCAGGAAAAACAGCAGGATGGGGGGTGGGGGTGGAATGCATATACATACAGTGGCATCTCAAAACTGCTATGCATTACAAAATAAGTAACCATGAAACACGCATTACAAGAAAAACTATTTAAAGATATAAGAAAACTATGGGAGAAGAAATGTTTAAAAAGATAGAAAATTGTTCGTGCAGTTTTAGGGGTAAAAGTTTTATGGATGTTTCTTGCATGACTTTAACTTAGATACAAGAATATAGTTTCATAATGTTTCTTGGTATATTTAATGCTTTACTCCTACACAATTCACTGAAATGACATATCTGGCATTTTGTGGCTTAATTTGAGAACATAATGCCCATTCTAGTTCTTGCTGCAGAAATGCTTTAATATTTTATGTTGTGCTGACAATACTAAGGTGCTTGTCTCAAAGAACTATATTTTGCTGTGTTTATTGACCTTTCTTTTCAACAATTCTAAATGGAAGATACAGAATGGAAGTTCCTTGTTCTCATGTGATAACTGTTAAAGTTAGACTGAAAGAGAGATGTGTTATTAACCTACCTGAAGATAACTTGGAGTTCACATGCAGACAGTCACACACAAAGTCAGGAATATGGCTTAATTTTTAAATTTATAGTTCACCATCTTCCTTTTGAATTCCACAGAGCTTATTTATCAGAAATAGAAAATAATCAAACAAAACAGATTTTATTTTTAATATGCCCACTGGCTTAGTCAGACTTATTCTGGAATGAAAAGATTAATAAGAATTGAAGGTTTTCTCTTACTCATCTTCTAGTAATGAGTTATTAGTATAATTTCTGATCAATAAGAATATTTATTCGCTTTTTGCTTTATTTGCTGTTGGAGCAAATGAGTGATTATCTACTGTTACAGCAGTGTTCAATCTAATACAGCTATAGATGTATATCTATATATTCTTCAAAGATTGCCAGAAAGATATATACACCTAAACTGATAAGGATTATGTAAGGATTATTAAAAGAGAAACCATAAACAACTATAAAATGGAAAATGAAAAGATACAACAAAGGTGGACATGAAAAAATACAACAGAGAAGAGTTTTCCAGTTCATTTTAGCCAGTCAGAAAAGCTACCACAATGTGACATTTTGTACAGAAGAAAATTAACTTTTTGATCATCTGGCAAAGAAGAGGCACTCTAAAAGCAATTTTGATTCATTTGTAGATGTTCTAATTTTAGGCTCTCTTTGTATTCTTTAATTTGTTGCTAAAGCATAATTAGAAACTAATGTACATTTTCTCTTCTGCTTTAAGAAGCTTGACATTTAGCACTTAATTTTAACATACAGTGTCACTTCCTTTTATAATCATTATACTTTAAAAAATTCTGCTTTCACAGAATAAAAATAAACACAGTATTGTTATTGCTAACAACTCAAAGGCAACAAAAGATTCCCAAGTCATAGATATTCATACATGAAAGAAAAGTTGCATACTGCTCTTAAGAAAAATGAATTTATTGCTGAAAATATACAAATGGCTCAATATATATTATTTTGCTGATCCAGCAGCTTGTTGCTATAAAA
Source organism: Homo sapiens (assembly GCF_000001405.40). Classification (NCBI taxonomy): domain Eukaryota; kingdom Metazoa; phylum Chordata; class Mammalia; order Primates; family Hominidae; genus Homo; species Homo sapiens. The sequence goes on from NC_000003.12 coordinate 152,089,719, forward strand.
ATACTGACAATTATTAATCCATTGCTTTCCCTTCTGCTAGTGGAGCTATTATATCTTTCTATGAAAGTCACAAGTGAGAGATGAATTTGACATCCTTGGTAGGAAATTGAATAGAAGCAAGAAATCAAGTAGAAATTTAAATCTTTCTCCTGACTCTCACAGGAACACATGAAAATGACTTTTATAATGGCAAGATTTTCTTAGAACATTAAATTGTTATTTTTAAAACATGTTTATTGCAAACTGATATGACTCAAGAGATTTTAAAAATTCACGCCTTTTGAGAATAATGCACATTGTCATTCTGAATAGGCAAGCCATGCTTAAAAATATCCTAAAGAACAAAGAGTAGAACAAGGGGAAATATTACAATTTGTTTTTAATTACAAAATCTTCCCAGAATTTAAGTTAATTTAAAATTGAAATGACTTTATTTTCATTATTTTAATAATCATTGCCAAATATTTACCGAATGTCTACCAAGTACAAAACAGTGAAGTGAGTGTTACCAGCCTAAGGAGATATGATATAGTCTCTACCTACAGGGGCACATCATTTTGTTGGAAAAGATAAAGTAAGTTTAAAAGGACAGACATTCCCATTATCTATATGCTTCTCTTGTCCTCTTTAAAACCATACAACTCATAACTCTTTGGGCTTTAATTTAATGTATTTTTGGATTTCTTCTTCTTGATACAAGGTAAGAAAATGGAAGAGGTGGGAAAACCTACCGCAAATCTCAGTGCATTAAATCTCATTAGAGAAAAATGATGAAACACTTTAAACGAACTAGCTTCTAATTTTTTACAGCTATATCATTTGCAGAATGTGAATCACACTGTCACCTAGCAACTATTTATTTGCTCTAAAATTTTTTACCTAAAATAGACACTTTTCCCACAATTAAACTCTATTTTAGGTCTATCACACCTAATTCATTTTCCCATGGATGTCCCAATAGGAGCCAAAATAACTTAAAGTAGAACAGATACGTGACAGAATTGCTTACAGTGGGGTCTCAAGCACCAGATGCTGGCTGGTACTCGCTAACTCAACATGTTATAGATGTTATTTTACAGCCCATGTTCATAATTTGAAGAAAATCAATAGGGAAATATTACTGGATTAAAATTCATCACGGTAGGAGCCTAACCAAGAGGAAACCTTCGTAGGTCCTTCTTTGTCCTTTGCTCTTCTGGGCTTCCCTGAAAAACACTTTTCACATTTTATTGTAATACTCTGCTTATGTTTCTTTCTTCCCAACTAAGCTTTAAGCTACTTAAATAAATAGAGCCTCTCTTGCTTACCAAGAGGTAGGCAAAATGCTAATGTTGGAGAAGTATTTTTAAATGCTTAAACAAATGAATGGGATAAGGATCTAGGATTGTGTGCTATCTATCAGAGAGGTAATGAGCAAGTAGCAAATAATGTCACAGGATCTTGAGGGCCATGATTTCATATGGCTTGCTACAATCTGGGAACAAGGAGTGTACAGACTGGTGTTCATGTGGAGATGGACAATCACTAGCTACAGTCTTGTGATTGGTTGAAAAAAAAGTTTTTATTAGTGCTGAAACTCAGAATGAACAATTTGCAAGCAACCCTGGCATTCATAACTTGGAATTGCTTGAAGTTTTGCTTCATCACAAATTTGAGTCTCATGTACTATCAGTAAGCTGGTGAGTCTCAGCTAGTAATGGAGCTTAGCCTTCAACTTCCTAGCCAATGTTTTGTCACAGTTGTGAGCACTGGGACTTTGTAAGTGGAGTATTTTATGAATTCTCTTCCCACATCCATTGTTGTTAAGGAGTCCAAAATAGGAAACATTGTAATTACGGCTATGGGGGCCCCTTCAGCATCTGAACTGCAATTCTTTCATACCCCCGCATGAGTAATAACTGCAGCTGTGATTCTTTGACTTTGGAAAAAGTAGTATAGGACTTTCAAGTATTATAGATCACATATATGCATTACATTAGCTCTAATAACCTCTGCTGTTTTCAAATAAATATGATTATACTGGTTCTTTCTATAACTCCCTGTGAGATTTTTGTTCTCCAGTTTCCTTTATAAAAAACAATGTGCAATATACTGTATGTATTTAAAGTATACAATTTGATTAGTTTTGACATCTGTACACACCATGAACCATCACCACAATCAAGATAATGAATATATTCATAAACCACAAAGTGTTCTTTAGTCACTCCCACCCAACTTTTCCTGTCCCTCTCCCATCTCCAGGCAACCACGAATATGTTTTCTGTCACTGTAGACTAGTTTACATGTTCTAGAATTTTATATAACTGGAACTATACAGTATGTATTATTTCCTGTATGAATTAATCACTCAGAATACCTGTTGTAGCATATATCAATAGTTTTTTATTGCTGAGAACTATTTTATTGTATGGACATACCACAGTTTGCTAATCCATTCACCTGTTGATGCATATTTGGGTTTTTTCTAGTTTTTGATACTACAAATAAAATTGCTATGGCTATTTGTATGGGAAAATACTAAAGAGTGTAACAACTGGATAATACTGTATGTATATGTTAAACAGTTTAAGAAACTGGCAAACTCTCAAAGTAGTTGTATCATTTTACATTCCCACCAGGTTTATGATATTTCCAGTTCTTCATTGCCAACATTTGGTATAGTAAATCTTTATAATTTTAACTATTTTAACAGGTGTCTCATTGCGGTTTTCATTTCATTTCTCTATTGATTAATAATGTTGAGCATCATTTCTCTATTGATTAATAATGTTAAGCATCATGTTGAAAACATATTTGTCATAAGTATACATCCTTTATGTATTTGTCATAAGTATAACTTCTTTATTTATTTGTCATAAGTATACCTTCTTTGATGAAGTGTCTGTTCAAATATTCTGCCTAAATTTTATTTTTATTGCTATTTTTCTCTTACTATTGAATTTTGAGAGTTCTTAATGAATCCAGGATACAAATTCTTTATTATATATATAATTTGCAAACATTATATCAATTTCATAACTCATTTTTACACTCTCTTTACTATGTCATTGAACGGATTTTAATTTTGATGAAGTCCAATTTACTTACGGAACATATTTTTGATGCCATATCTAAAAATCATAGATTATTGCTTGACCTAAGATCATAATGTTTCCTTTTACATTTACTTCCAGAAGTTTTATAATTTTAGTATAATTTTACACTTTGGACCATGATCCATTGTGTGCCAATTTTTATATGGGCAAGGTCGAGATTGAAGTACAGTTTTTTTGCATATAAATATCCAATTATTTCAGCAATAGTTGTCTAAAACACCATTCTTTCTGCACTGAATTACCTCTTAACCATTGCCAAAATAAGTGGCATGTATGGGTCTATTTCTACACCATCTAATATATTCCATTGACCTATTTATTTATATTTATACCAATACCAACTATTTTTGATTACTATGGCTTTATAATAAGTTTTAAAATCAGGTAGTGTTAGTTCTCAAAGTTTGTTTTGTCTTGTTTTTTAAGTCATTTTGGCTGTTTTTGCTTCTTTGAATTTCACTATAAATTTTAGAAACAGCTTGTCAGTTTAAAAAAAAAAACCTTGAGATTTTGATTGGGATTACATTGACTATATATGCATGTATATTTGTCTGATATATATAAACAGAGAGAGAGAGAGACAACATCTTCTAACCCATGGATATGGTTTATCTTCATTTATTTAGGCATTCTTCAATTTCCCTCATTAAATATTTTGCTTTTGGAAAAAGTAGAACAAGAAAGGGTTAAAGTATTATAGATCACATATATGTATTACACTAGCTCTAATAACCTATATTGTTTTCAAATACATATGACTTTATCAGTTATAAAACTATAAAAACAATGTTATACAGTTTTCTGTGTAGAAGTTTTGAATGTCTTTTGTTACATTTATACCTAAGTATTATATATTTTTGATGTTATTGTAAATACATTGTTTTCATTTCATTTTCTGGATGTTTATTGCTAATGTAGAAAAATAATTTTTGTATATTGATTTTGTATCCTTCAATCTTGCTAAATTTATTTAACACTCAGTTAGCTTTTTTAAGATTCTATCAGATACATATTTTTATATTTGTTTAAGTCAACTATTGTGTCATTATGAAATGAACATTTTGATGTCTGGTAATATGTTACTCAGAAATCTACTTTGTCTGATATTCATAAACACTCTAAGCTTTCTTTCAATCTATGTTAGCATGGTATATCAATTTCAATCCCTAAAAGAATTATGTTAAAACATATTTGTCTTTATTATTTAACTGTACTTCCTATAATCAGTATATAGGATCATCTTGCTTTTCTATCCATTCTTAAATTTATCATTTAGTCTGAGTATATAGGCCATTTACATTTAATGTGATTATTGATATGGTTATGTTTAAATTTACCATCTTGCTATTAGTTTTCAATTTTTTCCATCTATTTATTTCCTTTGCTACTTTTTCTGCTATCTTTTATATTAATTAAAAGTTATTTTGTAGTTTTCTTTTTATTTCCTACCTTTCTTATTAGCTATGCCTATTTTGACATTTCATTGGTTTCTTGGGGATTGAGTAAACATTTTTACATTATCACCATCTAATTTTAAGTGATATTATATCAATTCCTTTTACCTGTAACATAAGAACCTTGCAATACTTTGTCACACATTTTACTTTTACATATTATAAAGCCTACAATACATTGCTATTATTTTTAAAGTCAATTATATTATTTAAAGCTTTAAATAAGAAATAAAAGGCATATAGATTTATCCATGAAGTTACTATTCCCCATGCTTTTCTTTCATTGCATTGATTCATGTTTCCATCTGGTATCAATTTCCTTCTGTTTGAAGCACTGCCTTTAATATTTCTTGTATTGCACATCTGCTTGACATGATTTATTTCATCTTGGATATGTTAAACAAAGTCTTCATTTCACCTTGCTTTTTGAAAGATATTTCCTGGGTATAGAATTATAGTTTGAAAGTATTTTGTTCTTTCAGTATTGAAAGATGTTGTTCCACTGTCTTCTCACTTCCATTGTTTTTATTGTTGTTATGTTAGAGAAATCTGTTATACTTACCTTTGTTTTTCTGTATGTAATATTTTTCTCTGGTTTCTTTTAAGACTTTTTTCTTTTAACACCAGTCTTGAATAATTTGATTATAATACACTTTGGTATAGTTTTCTTTATATTTATTGCACTTGGGGCTCACTGAACTTTTCATATGTGAGGATTCTGGAAATTTTCCAGTCACTTTTTTCTTCAAATAATGGAATATGCTTCAGAGACTCTAATTGCATATTAGTAGACTTCCATAAATTGTCCCAAAGATCACTGATCTCTATTTATTATTATTCTTTTTTCTTCAGAGTTCCATTTTTGATAGTTTCTACTGCTGTCTCTTCAAGTTCACTAATATTCCCTTCTACAATTTCTAAACTGCTTCATTCCATCCAGCGTATTTTTATTCTCACAAATCAGTTGTTATATTTAAAAGTTCAAACTGGGTAGTTTTAAAAACCAAATAGAAGCACTATTTGTCTACCAAATAGAGACATCTTTCATGTCTCTATTTAACTTTTGAACATATGTAAACTAGCTATAATAAGAGTATTAGTGACCTTGTTTGCTAATTTTAACATTTGTATTAGTTCTGGACCCATTTCAATTTATTGCGTTTTGTCCTCAATGTGGCTTGCATTTTCTTACTTCTTTACAAGCCTATAATATTTGAAACATTTTTTTGCTAGTCATTGTGAATTTTACTTCAATGAGTGTTGGATATTTCTGTTTTCATGCAAATATTCCTTAGCTTTGTTCCATGATGCAGTTAAGTTACTTGGAAATGATTTATTCCCTTTGGATCTTACTTTTATGATTTGTTAGACAGAGTCAGAGCAGTGTTTAATCTAGTACTAAATAAGCTCACTAGGCAGGCAAGTCTGTTTTGTGTACTCTATCAAATTACCTTTAAATTGTGGGTTTTTTTAATCTGACTGGTGGTACACTGTTACTTTTAATACTAGCAGGTGATTCCTCAACCTTGGACAGCCTCTTTGCATACATTTGTTAGTCAGTATTCAGCTGCATAATTCAAAGGGTATCTTTTACAGATTTCTGGAGTTTTCTGTTTGTTGCTCTCTTCTGTCTGGTACTCAGTCCTTCAAACTCTAGCTGCCTCAGTCTACCCATACTCTCAGCTCTATCTTCCTACACAGGAAATCTACTGGTATTCTACTAGTTTTCTCCCTATTGGCCTAGAAACTCTCTTAAGGAAGTAAGTGTTGGCATGCATTGGGCTCACCTTTTTTTTGCCTACAAACTCTCAGATACCTGTCCTTCCGGGGGGACTGTTTCAGATGAGAGGGGAAAACGTGTCCCTGTTAGTCCATTTTAACTGTAAGTAGAAATGTCTCTTCACAGTTTTAGTCACATTTGGAATAAATGGTCTTTAAAGGTCATTGCAGCCATATAAATCAGTGATTCTTTCACAGGTCAGAATATCCATAGCTGTGTGAGTTCAGCAGTCCCAAATTATGTGCTACTCAATAGGCTACTCTCAACTCCCTGTTCTTGTTCTTGGCCTGAAGAGCCCTAGCTTTAGCTCACACAATTTCTTGGGTGATAAAGTCCAGCTACTACCATCACCGCTACAGATCCATAAGGCTCTATGCAGCAAGTAGAAACCACTGTTCCTAACCTCTGAGGTCAGAGCTTTGATGACTGTGGCTTCTCTATTGCCTGTGTGGAAGAGTGGAAGAGCTGGGCAATGCAACCCAGGAACTTGGGTAAGCTCATACCCCTGGAGTGGACTCTGACCAGTGAGAGACAGCTGAACCATCAGATAAATTGCCTGTGCTTCTTCTACCTCATGCCCATCCTCACCCAAGAGCTCCCACATATAGTGATTTCATCAGGCTTTTCCAGAGATATCCTATATGATTGAACAACGTATTGCATTTTCTTGTGAAATTACTGACCGCTGGATTCATGCCCACCCCGTTTCTTGCCTCATTTCCCTTTTTTCTTCATTTTTATTGCCCTTGCACATAGCTACGCTACCCCCACCAAATAACATTTCTGCATAAGTTTTGGTTCACACTCTGTATTCTAGGGTACTCAGGCTAAGAGAGTGGAAAAATTAAAGAATATTAGAAAGACAATAATCATTCCATTAGGTAATACGACTTCTTCCTTTTTTATACAAATTTAAAATGTCTGGTTTGGCATTGTAAAGGAACAAACAAAAATATTTTAAGTTAATATGTTGAAAATTTATCTCAAATTTCCAGCTCTAGGAGAAATATTATAAGAAACTATTGGTCTTGCTGAAGGAAAAACAACAAAACCCAAATCCTCAGTTCCAGACCAGCTGCCAAACAAGGGCAGGCAAAGAATTTCATATGTAGGTACAATGTCATTGTGGAGGCTGGAATTTTACAGCTTTTATCCAGAATATGATTTGGAAGGTCTGTGGGAGAATAATGACCTAACACGTAAAACAACCTGTAGTTTGCCTGCAATTGTAAACACCATCATGACTTTAAATGGAAGAAACTGAAAATGTTTTTGCCTCAGTGCTCTGCCCTGTGTCATAGCTTTGTGACTTGTTTAAACAAGTTTCCTCGGCACAGTGGAGTGATATTAAACATGTAACACCTAGACCAAGTTACAGGCTGTGCAATGGTAGGAAAAAAAGATCATTTGGTAAGTATGAATTAGAAAGTGAGTAAATAAATTTTAACAGTTTATGTTGACAGCACATTCTAATAAGAAACTCCTGATAATGTGAGATTTATTCATAAAATGCTGTATTAGCACAGTGGAAGTCATCATTAAATAATTATTTTTAAACTTCCTTTTATAAATTATTCTTATTTATTCATAAGAATCAACAAAGTGAAATGTTGGGAGCTGGAAGAAAATGCTACCTAGTGTTAACACGATTTTTTTTTTAAGAAACTTAAAGTATTGTGGGTTGAATTACATTTCCCAGTAAGACATTTTGAAGTCATAACTTCAGTATCTGTGAATGTGATCTTATTTGAAAAAAGGGTCTTTGCAGATATAATCACATTAACATGAGCTCATACTGGATTGGGGTGGTCCCTAATCCACTGATTGGTGTTCTTAAAAGTAGTGCAGAGATATACAGAGACACAAGCAGGGAAGAGGGCAATGCGATGATGGAGGCAGAGATTGGAGTGATGCAACTTGAAGCCAAGGAATGCCGAGGATGCAGCAACCACCAGCAGCGGGGAGAGATATCTGTAACAATTTCCTCCAGACCCTCCAGAAGAAACCAAGCCTGCAAAACTCTTGACTTTGCACTTCTGGCCTCCTGAACTGTGAGAGAATACATTTCTGTTGTTTTATTTCATTCAGTTTGGGGTAATTTGTTACTGAACACAACAGAATTTTATGTAGAACAGAAAAATATTCTTGTAATCATCAAGTCCAATGGGCTGTAATTATTAAAACCACAATTTTAAGTGTACTTTTCTGCATAGTATTAAAAAGTTGCTGAAAACATATAGACAGCTGTTTTCTTATGTGTACTAGTCTGCTTGGGATGCCATAACAAAATACCACAGGCTGAGTGACAACAGAAATTTACTTTCTCACAGTTCTGGAGGCTAGAAGTTCATGATCGAGGTGTTGGCAATTAAAGTTTCTGGTGAGGGCTCTCTTCCTAGCATGCAAATGGCTGCCTCCCGGTTGTGTCCTCACATGTCCTTTCCTTTGTGTGTGTGCCGAGAGAGAGACAGCACTCCAGTGTCTCTTCCTCACCTCTGCTGGATTGGAGACCCACCTTTATTACTTCATGTAAACTTAATTGCCTCCACAAAGGCCCTATCTCTAGGTACAGTCACATTGAGGACTGAGGCTTCAACATATGAATTTGAGAGGTACACAATTCAGCCCATAACACTGTGGTTATTTTTCATTTACTTGTTTCTTTATTTTTATTTTTGTTTACCCATAATATGATCCCTTCTTCCTGTAACTTTTTTTTTTTTTGGAGTCAAATCTCCCTACAAGACTTGGTTTATATGATTGTTGTAGGAGTAACCAAACCCCCACACCAGGGATGGAATATTACATAGTCCTAGCTACTCAAAGGACTTTATCTTTCTATCCAGAAATGAGCATGAGGTTTAATGAAAGTGTTGGTTGGGACTCTTTACAAAGACATAGTGACCACTACAAATCATATTCCCTGGGGTTGCTAAAGTTAGACTTTACATGATGTGGAGTGAGCCTGCCAGAAGATAAAGCCACATAGAAGAAAGTAAAACCAATGAGAGGAGTGACAGACGACATCCTGCTAATATTCATTCAATGTAGTCAGTCAGAAGGTAGTCCCATTATATAGACTTTTGAGTTACCTGAGTCAATAAATTTTCATTTTTGTTTAAACCATAATAAGCTGACATTCTATTTATTCATACTAGTGTCCTGACTATAACAATTCTGAAATTTTAGAAAACTTGTGAATATATAATAATCCTCTATTTTCAGAACAATGATGTTAAATCATGTGATAGGCAGTTTCTAAAATAATCTCCAGTGATCCCCACTTTCTGTTATGTATTTCTCTATACAATCTACCCTTTTAAGAATAATCCAGGCTGGGTGCAGTGGCTGAGGCCCGTAATCCCAGCACTTTGGGAGGCCGAGGCGGGTGGATCACCTTAGGTCAGGAGTTCAAGACCAGCCTGGCCAACATAGTGAAACCTCGACTCTACGAAAAATACAAAAATTAGCTGGGCGTGGTGGCATGCAGCTGTAATCCCAGCTACTCTGGAGGCTGAGGGAGGAGAATTACTTGAACCTGAGAGGCAGAAGTTGTGGTGAGCAGAGACCGTAAGACTGCACTCCAGCCTCTGCAACCGAGCAAGACTCTATAAAAAAAAAAAAGAATAATCTGAACTTGTTGATTCACTTTTAATGTTTTAATGAACAGAATCAGCATAAGAAATGAGAATCTCACTTAGGTTACGTTATAAAAGACTGCATCTTCTGTCTTGAGTGTTCTGTCTCTTGTTATTTATTGGGTCATTTACCTGGGTGAAACCAGCTGCCATGACATGAGGCTCACCTATTAAAGGACCACATGAGTGAGACTGAAGGTAGATTTTCCCCACACTCCCCAAATAGTTGAGCCTTCAGATAAGACACAGATAAGCCAACCTGATGCTTAGCTACAATTTTATGAGCCAGAAGCACCCAGCTAAGCCACACTTAGATTTCTCCTGCACAGAAATTGTAAGATTACAAATGTTTCAAGCTGCTGTGTTAGGGGTTAATTTGTTACACAGAAATAGATGACTAAGACAAATCACTTTGAATAACAAATTATCAAAGCTACTGGAAAGAAATAATATGCTATAATATATTATTCACAAACAGAGATAGAGCCATTGACCATTTATTAGTTGCTTTCTAGACAGGACACTGATTTTCATTAACACTGAGGATCTCACCTTATAATTACTAATAGGAACAAAGCATCAAAGTATAGAGCTAGAAGAACAGTTTGTGCTTGAAAAACTCAAGTGTGAATGCTGGGTCAGCCACTACTAACTAAATGGTCCCGGAAAATCATTTAAAATTTCTGTGCCTTGGTTTTCCTCATCTATATAATGGAGAAAAGAAAACTTAAAGAATTTTCTGGCGATTATAAATTATGTATGTAGGGCACTGAATCCATGACTGGACATACAGGACAGAGCTCAGTAATAGATGACTATTATTTCTTTGACTATCGGAATTTGTCTTCAAGGTGAAAGATCAGGTTAGCAATAGGAATGCATGCCTGGATGTGGTCCCAAGTTGTGACCTCTAGCTTGTTAGCATTGTTTTCTAATCAATTTGCTTGCCCAGACCACAGACCTTATAAGGGCTCACAGACAGCAAGCATAGGAAGGTGTGACAGGCTATTGCGCAATTCAGATTCTCACAGATGAGGTTCCTTGTAGCCCTCCTTTGAAACTGAGAGAGGAAGTATAGGTTAAAGAAAATATCTATGCAATGTGTGAACTTAGTTAGTTTTTCCCCATAACGGGACTTTTCTGATGGTAATATTTAACCAAATGTCCCCAGCACCATTTAATATGCCCCTTTTGGTAAAGGTGTTAAGGCAATGTCAGCTTTGTTTATCTGCTTATACCATAGTTGACTGTGATATTTTCTATCAGTCTAAATTACAGTGATCTTTATATCCCTGGAGGCCAGTTAGGCAGGCTTACAAATCATCAGTCAAATGGGAAAATCAGTACATCTAGAGGTTAAGGCCATTTATAGTCTGGAAAAATCAAAGCCTATTATTGATTTAGAAAACCCCTGGAGAGTCCTATATATGTTTTGAGTTTGTGAAATCGGAATTATACATTAAATCAATAGAATTATTGACTGTAGCAAACATGAGGTTATTTCTCAATATATTCAAGGCTGATCAGATCCTCCTTAAAAGCATGGTGCCCACTTTAAAAATCCATAACTATAGAGAATCTCTCAAATGGTACCTGTATTGAGTAATAAATAAAAAATTAATAATTATTACTATGAAGCATAGCTATAGAGTTGCCATGAAGATGATAGCTGAGTACATCAGGTGCAGGATATAACAAAGGATTTTGTTGTTTATAAACCCAGTGTTTGGTGTTTATTTTATAACACAACCTACAACTCTCTATATGTATTTGTGTGTATTTAAAGCATGTAGGAAATAACACAGAATCCAAGGCACCCAAAACTCATTAAAAAATGGAAACAAGGATTCATATGCTGTTATGAAATTAGGCAATCCTAATCCTATTTTAACAGATCAGAGATAGGAGCATTAAAATTATAATTGTCATTTTTTTTTATTTCAGCAATATGTTCTCATCATAGAAAAAATGGAAAATACTCAAAAAGAATTATTTAAATCATTTATAATTCCAATATCCAGGGATAACTTATTGTAATTTGGCATATATCTCTATAATCTTTCTAAATGAATACTATATCTATATATTTATAGAAATATGTAACACATATTTGAGATTATACTAAAAACATAGTTTCGTGTGCATGCTGTATTTTTACTTAACAGTAATATAATGCCAAACTTGGCTTAATGTTTAATATGTCATTAGGCCAGTATATTGGACACACAAATATAGGCTAGACACTGCATGATTGTAAAGGATATCTTTCAAATAGAATATAACATGCCTCCTGGAGTTGTGTAGTATGACAGCCTATTTTAAACATTCTTAGGAAACACTTGAAATGACCATATGATTGCTCATTACATGACTATGCCATTCTTTATTAACTATTAGCCTACTCTTAGATGTTTAATTTCTGTTCATTTTTGTTGTTGTAAATAATGCTATGTGAAGTTATCTCTGCAGAAATATTTCTATTCTCCATTCATTCATCCAAGGATGTCCATGGAAGTAGAATATACAAGTTGAAGGATATGTACATTTTAAAGATTCTCTATAGATACTGAAATATATAACAAATGCTTCAAATAACTTCCATGGTCAGTTTTCTCATTCTTAAACCTCTATGTACATCACAGTTCTCCTGGTTTCACTTCAAACTAGAAGAAAAATGTACATCTATGACATGGTTTGGGTGTTTTGTTCCTTCCAAATCTCATGTTGAAATATAATCCCCGATGTCGGAGGTGAGACCTAGTGGGAAGTGTTTGGGTCATGGGGGTTGTGCGTCCCTCATTAATGGCTTGATGCTGTCCTTGCGATAATGAGTGAGTTCTCACTCCGAGTTCATGGGGAATCTGTTTGTTTAAAAGAGTGTGGCACCTCCCCCTTCTCTCTTGCTCTTGCCACGTGACATGCTGGCTGCTAGTCAGCTCCCACCATGATTGTCAGCTTCCGAGCCCTCACTAGAAGCAGATACCACCCCACCACCATGTTTCCTTTAAAGCCTGCAGAACTGTGAACCAATTAAAACTCTTTTCTTTATAAATTATCCAGCCTCAAGTATTTATAGCAACACAATAATGGCCTAACACAACCTACAACTCTCTATATGTATTTGTGTGTATTTAAAACATGCAGGAAATAACACAGAATCCAAGGCACCCAAAACTCATTAAAAAATGGAATCAAGAATTCATATGCCATTATGAAATTAGCCAGTCCTAAAATCTGACCTCTCTGCATTTTCACATTATTCTCCTCTCTCTATCCCTGCCTTCCTCCCTCCCTTCCTCCAACTGTCAGAATTGTCCTGTAATCAAACATGTTCACATCACAGCTTTTCATTTTCTATTTCCAATCAATTGACCAGTCTAGACCAAGTAGCATCCTGGATCCGTATTACATATTCCTAGACAGTAAGCCAGATTTTTTTTTTCACACTAGTTGTTTCTTCTCACTTAATTGATAACAGTGAAGAACCTCAGATGCCATGACAGGGAGAGAGTAAATGGAAACTGGATAAATTGAACCTGGGTCTGGGACTTTTACTTCAATGACAGCTGCCTATTTGTATATGTTTTATGTATGGGAATTTCTTGTACGCTTCCAGAGAAAGAGGGAGAGCATAACAGAGAGTGTGTGTGAGAGAAAAGGTAAATAAAATAAAAGAGAGGAGGCTAGAGGGGAAAAAAGAAAGAGAAAAGAAGGGAAGGGATGGGAAGGAAAAGAAATTGATGAAAAAGGAAAGGAAAGAGAAAAGGATGAGAAAGAGAAAGCAAGGGGAGGGAAAGGGGAAGGGAGAATTCAGTGGCTAAAAAAATCACTTGAAATCACTATGTACTACACCTTTTTTGTTGTATCCCAATGGAGAAACAGAACTTTTTTGTATCCTGATGGAGAAACAGAACTTTTTTCTTAAAAAAGAAAGTAAATCTAAAATGTGGATATATGGATACCCAGTATCACATTCATTTCTTTATAGAATACTACCTTTGACAGCTTTTCAAATTCCCATTTACCTCACATTAAGATCTCTCTCTATAAAGGGTTCCTTTAAGGAACATCTTGGTTGCTGTTCCCAGAGACCAATACTTATCTATGAAGCCCCAAAGAATAATAATATGCAACCACCCAAATATCTAAAGAGTAATACTTTTGCTGTGTCAGCCATCTTAGGAATTATGGGACTTTAAAAATATTAGCAACACTGAGATTTTCATGAATTATATAGATAACTTTATGATTATAGAAACATGTTAAAAGCCAAAAATAGTCCAAGAAGCTATTATGTCTTCTGGGCCACAAATCTGGCTGGTATTAGGGATGACAGTGGAGACCAGTAAGTTGGATTTAAATTAGATATACAAATAAATGTTTATACTTGAAATATTTTGAAGAAACAGAAGTAACTGCAAAATTATGAAGTGTGCCTGAGATAGTGTCACAATAGAGAACAAGGAAGCTTAACAGTGCAAGGTTGAATGTAGTGAATGGAAAAAAATAAAATAAAACCATTTCATGTCTTTATTCCATCAAGCTCAAACTGCTTGCTAAACTTCTTACACCATCAATACACAGACCTACCCAGTGTTACTTTCAATGTAATGGCAATAAACTTTCAGTGACATTTGGTGAACTCCACAAAGAAGAGTTTGTTGGTCTTTACCTACTTACGTGAATAATATAATCTCTTCATATTTACATGATAGAGAACTAGAGCCAAAAGCAACAAAAATAAGCAAATAAAAATGTTATTTGTGTTTTGACACATGGTTTAGTTATCATTAAAGTTTGAGGGTGGCCGGGCACGGCGGCTCACTCCTGTAATCCCAGCACTTTGGGAGGCCGAGGCGTGCGGATCAAGAGGTCAGGAGATCGAGACCATCCTGGCTAACACGGTGAAACCCCTTCTCTACTAAAAATACAAAAAATTAGCCATGTGTGGTGGTGGGCGCCTGTAGTCCCAGCTACTCAGGAGGCTGAGGCAGGAGAATGGTGTGAACCCGGGAGGTGGAGCTTGCAGTGAGCCGAGATCGTGCCACTGTACTCCAGCCTGGGCGACAGAGCGAGACTCTGTCTAAAAAAAAAAAAAAAAAAAAAAAAAAAAAAAAAAAAAAAAAAAAAGAAAGAAAGAAAAGAAAAGCTTTGGGGCTTAAAACTTTTAAGGGTGTTGGATTTTGTCTTGACATACTTTGCTCATAGAAATAAAAGTGTTATTGATGTTTGACATTGCCCTTTCGGTCAGCATGACTGAGAGTTCTCAAGACTGCCCCAGAGCCTTCCACTCAGATGATTCCTTTTCTCCTTTTGTATGTACTCATGTGAAAAACAGCTCCTCTTGCTCCCTTTTCCTTCCTCTTTTCCATTCTCATTCTATTCTACTTCCCCTTCTGCCGGAGTACATCTCTAAATACTGTTGGAGGAAGGGAAATTAGAAGTTCTACCTGGCTGCTTCTCCAGCAATGAACAAAAGGACTTCCCACCCAGTCATCTCTCAGGAAGGTGCTGCTGCCACTTCTCCATTACGAAGGTGGAGGGAAGAACACAAGGTCTACTCACTCAGAGCACCTCTATACTTAGCCCAGAAGATTTAGGCAATTATTCATTGAAGGTGTTTGAGTAATTGTGACCAAACTATAAAGAGCTGGGTGGTGGCAGTAGGAGAAGAGTGAGTGATTGAGTTTTGAACCCCTGATCAAGTTATTTTGTCCCTTTATATCACACAACAGGCCCTCACTGCCCAGACTTTTCTTGTTACTCTCGGAGACACCTATCGAGAGTATACCATAGATAGCACATGTATTAAATTGCTCTTACTTCTCCTTGAACTGCTACAGTCCTTTCTTTTAGTAATATGGCCCATCGTCTCTTTTCCTCTCTCCCTGAAGCAACAACTTTGTAACTAGTCACCATCAAGCCCTTTGATGTCTTGCACATTCCACAGCTCAGGCATGGAATAGTGCTGGCTTATCTCCCCTCCACGTGAGACAAGGGTGGGACTCTGAGTCATGGTCCTACGTTTTTCCTCAGAAAATGGTGGAATAAGTGCTGGTTGCCTGGATGGATGGAAGGAGAGTAGAAAAACAACAGGGTTTTTCATTCTGAACTTCATTTAGTACTCTCTAAAATCAAATACAAAATTTCTTTTGACTCCATCCTTTCTCAAAAGAAATCTATACTTCTTATTACTTTGATATTATCTCTTCCATGTAAACAAATACCCCAAGCTTATTATGTGAAAGCAAGCCATGAGTTATTTAAGAAAGTATCCTCTATTAACTTGACAATGAAAACCATTATCAAATAAATTATTTCTCTCTAATCTGGGAGGCTAAAAATATTTTCCTTCCTCACCTGGGGATAATTAAAATATTTTATATAGGGAGAAAGGCACTGAAATAAATCACATTATTAAATTGGGACCAAAATTTCATTTTCACAATAGAGGAAAAGATTTTGATTAAAACGTTATCTTGAAAAATAAAACCAAAATTATAAAAATGTGATAAAATATAATCTGATATTTAATCAAACTTTGTTTATAACTGCAAACATAGTTCAATTCTTGGAAAAGACAAATATATTTGTTTTTTTGCTGACAAATCTATAGTATTGCATGTTACCACATTCTACACCAAACATTTGATTATTTTCAATACAATTAAGTGGATTATTTTTGCAAATATATATATGTATGTATATACGCTCAATCAATTTTTGCAAGGACCTCTCTTAGATCATCTTAAATTCTTGAGTTTTCAAATCATTCTCTTTTGCAACTTCAGTCCTGTCCACATCCTTAGTTTTTTTTTTTTTTTTTTTTTTTCCTTCTCAATTGTTTGCTCATTTGCCAATGGCATTGAATAAGATCTAAGTATTTTTCTAACAATTCTTTCCTGGACTTCATGGAATTCTGTATCTTTTGCAAAACATTAAGTCTCATTTGGTAATAAATTTGCAATATATTTACCTTGCAAACATCCAGGAATAGAGGTAAAGTGAACCACAAAGAGATAGAAAGTTGCACGCAGGAGATGTCTATACAGATTCTACTGTTAAAGCAAGATACTTAAAGGGTATTTGAGAGAGAACTGAAGTTTCATGTTAGTTCATCCATGAATTTTCTTTCTGATTCTCTATGCAACCTTGTAATACAGGTCCCTAGAAAATAACTACACAGATAAACAAGGACCCTGTGTATAAGAAAATGAGGTTTAACTCAATTGGCTTCCCAAGATCTCTTAGAGAATTAAAAAGAGAAGGAAAAACTACTCTATGCTTCTTAATTTGTTCTTGTTTTACAAATCTTGATAAAGTCATGCATATTAAGCAGTCAAAATTCCTATGGAATCATTTGTAAAACTAATAGTGCAAGCAATTAAATATGTCTGGATTTTACTCTGGGTACTAATAGGACTGGTTCCAGGCAAAGCTGTGATGTGAAAGGAAGAGATATTCATGTTTACCCTCCTCCATGTTTGTGTTAGGTAAATTTTCTTAGATGCTTTGGTACTTGTACTCTTTCTTTTCTGAATTTCCAACACTGTTCTCCTGGTTATCTATGATCACATGACGAACTACACCACAACTTAGTGGCCTAAAATAATATTGCATTATTATTTCTCATGATTCTGTGAGTTTATGAGTCTAGTTACGTGGTTCTCACTTGAAGTCTTATATGTGATAACAGGCAGATGTTAGTTGGGGCTACAGTCATCTGGAGTCATCCATAATGATTCACTCATACGGTTGGTAATTAATGCTGCTACCAGCTGGTAGCTCAATTGGGACTGTTAAGCAGAGTACCTACCCTTGGCCCCTCTGTTTGGTTTAAAATCCTCTCAGAATAACAGCTTCCCTGCAGGAGCATCCAAGAAGTAAACACTCCAAGAGACTCAGGCAGAAGCTGTAAGACTCATCATAGTGACAGCATCAGAAGACACAGAATGTCTCTTTTGCTACATTCTATTGGCCAAGCAAGTCATCAAGGCCAGCTCAGATTCAACAGGATGAGGAGGAAATTAGCCTACAACTTCTGATGCGAGAGTGTCACATTAGGAAGGCATGTGGAACTGGGGATGCTATTGTGGTCATCTTTGGAAAATATTATCTTCCATGCCCTCCAAGTTGCCTCCAGAAACCAAGGTTACCTAGAGTGTGAACTTGTTCCAGATCCTGCTTCCCCCAAGTGTACCCCATTATGAAAGCCTGTTTTCATCTTCTCTTCACTCAAAATGAACTTTTTCTATGTTTATGGCCTATAACCATGCTTTCTTCTGGGAAACTGAAAAATAATGTAGATTAATGTGTTAATGACTACTGAGCTATTGCCTAACACTGGTAACATATTTGTCATCAAGCCATAATTTTGTCACAGTAAATGACTTAACTCAACATAAATAATTAAGAACAATTTTTGAATATTTTCAAAATGTATGATGAATAATAAATACCTTCTTATGGGCCATGTAGTAAACTCAGTGATATATGTATATAGTAACTCATTTGCTATTCATTGCAATCCTGTGAGTTAGATATTATTTGCATGTTCATTTAGCAGGTAAGGAAATTAAGGCTTAGAGAAAGTAGAAGCCTTGACAAGTATTTCATCACTAGTAAAGGACAGGGTTTGAATTTCTTCCCAGATGTGTATGAGACCCAATTGTTCCTCCAACCACTAAGAATATTGCCTCCCATGCTAACAAAATCTGTCTCCAGTCCCAAGAATATAAAACCTTCTTGAACTTCCTTTTCTTCTAGTGTTTTACAAGCCATCAAATTTTCATCTTTTTATGGGATTTTCAAATAAGATACAAAATATATATAATTGTCCTTAACTTTTAATTCATCTTGCCCCTTATCACAAACACAATATAATACATAACAGCTGAATGAGAAAAATAGTAAAGAAGGTTGATTCTGCTTATTATTTGGTCAAAATAATAAACATATATACATGTACACACACAAAGTAGAGTCTAAATTTGGAGGGTTTTTCAAAATATCTTACTTCAGTCAGAGTAGGAATATTTTCCTTTTACTTGAATCATACCTAGGATTTAAATTTGGTTCAAGTTAAAATATGAAGTGATCCCATTCATGATATTTCTTTATTAGAAAGTATAAGGGACAAATACAAGAAATGCCAAAAAATGAGCTTCTCTCTCAACTTGTAGGAACTTCTCAGTTCTATTGCTATTGCATATATTTATTATTTTCTGGCAGCATCTCTTGGAGTTTGTTCTCTCCTTGTCCTTAGTTCCTATATGTGCAGCTGACCCACCCTACAGTTCTAGGGTTGAAACATAACCTAGAGCCTTCCAAAAGAGTGACCATTTCCATGGCTACAACAATCAATTTAGGGGTAGGTATGTGAAAAAACAAAAAACAAAAACAAAATTTAGAGTCCTCACAAATATTTTTGCAAGTACTCTTAGGTAAAAGACTCCCCTTTGCTCTGAGAAAGCTAATGATGTGGATGATGTAAGCCCAGCATTACACTGGGTGACCCCTAGGCTGTGGTAGGTAATCTGCATTAACTCCTTCTTATCTTTGCATGCATGCCCTTTGCATTGTGACTTTGCTACTTGTGGCAAGAGATGAAGTCCTTAGAAACCATACAGAAAGAGTCTGCCATAAATAAATTATTCAATAGAAAAGTAAAAAGAGATAAATAGAAAGAGCTTTTAAAGCTGTAGGGACCTTAAGATTTCATTTAAGCTTCTATATCTAGTGACACATGAAGTCCATCCTGGACTTTGTAGATACATAAGTAAATAAAATCTATTTTTACATAAGCTATTTGAAAGGGGGTTTCTGTCGCTTGTGCCAAAATTGATCTGGCTTACATTTCAAATTATGTGTCCTTATGAATTTCAACTTAAAAATTGTAAAATTTGAGATATAGAAATAATAAAATATTTGAAATAAGCTTCAAGTAGTAGTTACTATTTCTACTCCTTAACTATTAAATATAATAGCTAATATTTATAAAAATACATGGATATTATTTAAAATTTGTTATATATAATTATTACTTTTTATTAATATTAGCAGATCTAATAAACTGTGTAGCTAGTATCTAAAATTCCAATCTCATATTATTTGTAGTTACTATATGCTCAACTTCTTGACCCATTATCAACTATTAAAATACTCCTAAATTATGATAATTCATACATTTCCTATTTAATATATATTAAATACGGCTGTTTTCTTTTTTAAAATTTTTCAATGTCTTAACACAGTTTATCATTCAATAAACATTTATTGAGTATATTTTTAAAATGTTTGCTGATTATATATCATGTGCTAAACACAACTCAAGATATTGGAAACTTCTCAATGAATAAAATATATAAAGCCTACGTTCTTACAGAGTATATGTATTGGGGATGAGAACAATAAGCAAATAAGTATTAAATAATATAATTTATTTTGACAGGTGTTAGAAAAACAAGGGAAGAAAATGACAGAAAGAGAGGTGATATTTTGTGGGGCCAAAAAGTCCTCTCTGAAGTGGTGATATTTTAGTAACATAAACTTGAATTATGGGAAGAAGGTAGCTATGGAAATTTCTGGCTAAAATGTTTTAGGCAGAGGGAATAGCAAGTTATTTAAAATTAAAATAGAAAAAATAAGTACATAGATAAATTCAGCATACAGAAATACACAAAATGTTCATCACTTTTATCTTTTTTGAAATTACTATTTTTAAAAAATATAAAATGTGGGGTATAATATGATTAGATAACACTCCAAGATATTACAACTAGGTTGATGTTTAATAAAATTATGTAAAAAATACATAAGAATATTAAGGGGAGCATCTGCCCAGGGATATGGGGTGGCAGCCTAATGAGACATGTTGGAGCCTGAATGGGGTGAGCAGAGTATCTTCACGAGGAAAAGGTCAGTGACAGCAACATCCCTGCACAGTGTATCAGAGCCCAGCATGAGTGAGGAAAACATGTAAGTTTGGTGTGGCAGTGTAGCACTAGGAAGTTGAATACACAAGAAGCAATGATCAAAAAAATACATTAAGCATAATAAGAGCCTAGTTTCTCAAATGTCAGACAAAAGGGTTACAGACAGGAAAAAAGAAAAAGCAAGAATGAACTCTGTGGTGTTGGATTTTGCAAACAATGGCATTATTGTGAACTATTAGATAGATGATAGCTAGCTAGACAGATGATAGATAGATGATAGATAGATAGATACATAGATAGATAGATAGATAGATGATAGATGCTCCATATAAATGTAAGTGTGTGGGGTGTGTGTGTTTGTGTGTGTGTGTGTGTGTATATTCCCTACCTCTCGCAGCTTGGGATCGTTAATCTCCAATAGTAATGAGCACACCTCACACTCAGATTCTGATTTCTAAATAGCATGGTCCACTCAAGGGAAGCAGAACTCCTTGGAGAAGTGATTCATTTAGGGTTGGGAAAGAGAAGCTGTAATATGAGCATGGAATATCTTGTCAAAAAGAAATAAATTCTTAGAAAATGATAGAGAAATGTCAAAGGGACACTACAGAAGTTACCTTGAAAGGAAACCCACTGACCAAATCTGGGGAAATTTTAACATCAAAGTAAATAATGAGAATATTGGACTGTGACCCATTAAATAAAATGAGAATCCATTAATCCATGCAGATATAAATTAATTAAAATTTTGATGAGAAATTGAATATTTGCATAGCCTCAAAATACCTCCCCACAGAAAATATTTATTAATTATAAAAAGAAAGAAAGTATGGTGAGAAGCCTGGAAGATACCACCTAAATCAGGTAATAAAGTTAACTTCACCAGTAATGGAATAAATCAAACTTATGTGTCACCTGATGGGATGAAAGCATTCAGAGTCACTTTGTGATATTCATGCCCAAATTGCATAACTTTAATCTTCTAATCATGAGGAAACATGTGATAAACCCAGTGGAGAAACATTCTACCAAATGACAGTCGTATAATATCTTTAAGAATGTCATGGTTCTGAAGTCAAGGAAAGACTAAACAACTGTTCCAGAATGAAGGAGTTCAAAATAAGACGACAACTAAATGTTGTACATAATTCTGTACTGGTTCTTTTCTTATAAAGTACCATATTGAAATAAAGTAGCATATTGAAACTGCTGGAAAAACGTGAATGGAATCTAGGGCTTAGATGGTAGTAATGTATTAATATAAATTTCCTAAATGTGGTTATGTAATAGAAAGTCTTTGATCTATGCTAAAGTATTTAGGGGTGATGAGGCATTGTGATGTTCCTTCACTCTCACATGGCTCAGGAAAGTGTTATTTAAATTATTCTTGCAATTTTTATAAGGTTGAGATTTTTTTCAAAATAAGAGCATTTTTTAAAACTTAAGTGACAAGGACAGAATAATTCAGCAACACTTAGTGATAACAAGATAAGAGTAAGTATTACAATGAGAAATTGAAGGACCTAAAGTAGAGCCTCTTACTCTGCTAGTATTATTATATTATCAACACTAGTTTAGGTCGTCCCCAGGCAGGCCTTTAATTCTCAGTGTCAAGAAATTAGAAATTAATATAAGACCCTAACATCTAGAATATGGAATACACACACACATATTTAAAATAAATCTTATGTTTTGTACTTTCTACCTAAAATATGTGGTGTAGTGATTCTAAGTCAACCATATTTTGTCTTTGAAAATCCTGAGCCCTCCATGAAATACCTAGGTATACATACTAACAGATTATGTGTAAATGTGTATTCTAATATAAATTCCTGGACATACAGAAGTCCCAAGTAGGCAAAAATTAGGTAAGTAGTTCTCCATACAGAATTCCCTCATATACATAATAGTTCTCCTAGATGTTCTACCTGTGAGACTATATTTTAAAATGCTGAGCTAAATTGAATGTGATATAAATATTTACATAATGAAATTCCCAAATTAGGTCTACAAAACTTAATTATAAGTGAAGATCTAATATAAACATTCTTTGGATTTTAGTGCCAGAGTAATTCTTTGAAGTATAGTTAAGAATAAAAGGAAAGTAATTAATAATAAATCACTCCACCCTCAAGAGTCATAAATCTATTTGCACTTTAAAATCTTCATTCTTATATAAAGATTATAATCTTAATGTTTCTTTGGAAAGTGACAAAATTTACATAAAATCAAAAGATTATGTCTTCTTAACTGACTCTGCTGTCCTTGGAAATGGGAGGTATCAGTTTTAATGGGAGGAAAGACTAATTGATGGATTAATTTCTGTTTGTCTAGTCCTTTGAAGATTAAGTGTTACTCAAACGCAATAATATTAAGATTTATTCATCACTATCAAGAGCAAAGCCTATCATAGATATAAATTCCCCATAATCAATCTTTCACTTATAAATGGAATCAGATTAATTCTATTAACAAAAATTAAAATAAAATGTAAGATTCCAATACCTCCCCCAAAGGACAGCAGCAATTAAGTCCAGTAATTGTGACAAGTATAAATAGTGCTATTGTCTTATTTTATTTTCTGTTGCTTAGAGCAGAACATCTGAAACTAGGTAATCTATAGAGAAAAGGAATTTATTTCTTACAGTTATGGAGGCTCAGAAGTCCAAGGTTGAGAGGCTGCATTTGGCGAGGTCCTTCTTGCTGGTGGGAACTCTCTGTAGAGCCCAGAGGCAGCTCAGGGCATCACAAGATAAGGGGGCTAAACATACCAGCTCAGGTCTTTCTTCTTTTTATGAAGCCACCAGTCTCACACCTATGATAACCCATTGATCCATTAATTCATGAGTGGATCAACTCATTCATGAGAGCCCTCATGACTCAATCACCTCTTAAAGGCCCCACATCTCAATACTGCCACAAAAAAGTTTCAACATAATTTTCAGAGGGAACAAACATTCCAATCATAGCAGCTATGTTCCTTAGTGAATTGTTTTATCTGCAGATAATATAAGCATTACAGAATACATCAAAATGTATCAGATTTGCTGACTCCTTATTTTACACTTACATTAGACTGTGTCATTTTGTTAACTTTCGTAAATGCAGATTGATGCTTGGTCTGAACATAACTTCTGAAAGCATTCAAAGCTTATATTAATTAATAAAACATTCCTTTTAAATTAAATCTTTATACTACTTTAATTTCTTAGAATTGATTTGGAGACATTGGAGGAAAATATATACATATTCCCTGGAGCTTCCAAAAATAATATCTAAGTATTACTCCTAGATAGAATTTTTCTTGGTTTACCATGACAATGAATAAAATTCCAAATTGAGTCATAGATTATAATGTGCTCTTGGAATAGTGCTAACAAATTTATAAAAATTAAAAAAAAACCAGGCCAACACTATTTAAAGTAGCCATGTGATACCTCTTATTTTACTTTAGATGTTTATAGGACTATGTAAACTGAATGACAAATTATTTTATCTAAGACCAAACTGAATTCTTGGCTCCTTTCAGCGGAATTTTATGCGATATCTGAATATATTTTCTGTTACCCATTCAGAACTGTTTATTGAATGTCTTTCATAATCTCAATGTACTGCTAGATGTTGGGCAGGATATAAGAGAATTTTAAGCACACCACCCTGTTCCAGAAAACTTTCAAAATACTTTACAAAGATAAATTTTAAAAACAAGTTAGTATAAATTAAAAATAAATTTAAAAGAAGACAAATTAACAAAGGTAGAGACACAAGATGTTACACAATCACATGCAAAAATGTAAACTTCCTCCCCAACCTAATTCCATACAGACATTCCCTTATTCACTCACTCCAGTCATACCAGCCTCATATCTGATTTGTCAACATGGGAGCTCTTGGGAACTTGCTTTTCCTCTACTATGTTCCTCCCACTTGGAATGCTGATCTCCTCAGTTATAACAGCACTCTACATTTATTCTATGTATTGCCTACCTTTACTGCCTTCAAAGCATTTACTACATTGGAAAATTATTATTTATTTGATAGTTTGTGTGTCCATTGTCTTCTGAACCAATTAGAAGGTCATCTCCATAATGACAAGGACTCCCTCTTTACATTTGCATCCTCAGCAACTAGTACGATATCTAGGATATAGTAGGTGCTTAATAAATATTTGTTAAATGAATACATTAAATATAGAAATGCATTATTATTTTTCTGAGCTCGCAATAAATTAAAATTAAAACATTTTTGTGGGCTCCTAAAGGTATTGTGGGTTCTTAGACTCTATGTCTACTGTGCTTATAGAATAAGTTTACTCTTTTTCCAACGGTAATTTCGATGTCACTTCATCCCCCCAAACACTTCTCTGATCCCAATAACTGTAGAAATGAACACACAGCATGCATTACTCTTTTATCTTCTCCACTTTGATAGCACTTTCTGTGAGCCCCAATAAACTTCATAATAGACTAGAAGCAAAGTCTGTATCTAATTTATCTTTCTACTCCTCAAAGCTTCCACCATAAAGCTTGACTTTTTTTTTTTTTTTTTTTTGAGAGGGAGTCTCGCTGTGTCACCCAGGCTGGAGTGCAGGGGCGCAATCTCGGCTCACTGCAAGCTCCGCCTCCCAGGTTCACGCCATTCTCCTGCCTCAGCCTCCAGAGTAGCTGGGACTACAGGCACCCGCCACCATGCCCGGCTAATTTTTTGTATTTTTGGTAGAGACGGGGTTTCACCATGTTAGCCAGGATGGTCTCGATCTTCTGACCTCGTGATCCACCCGCCTCGGCCTCCCAAAGTGCTGGGATTACAGGCATG
The DNA here is from genome assembly GCF_000001405.40 of Homo sapiens. Taxonomy (NCBI): domain Eukaryota; kingdom Metazoa; phylum Chordata; class Mammalia; order Primates; family Hominidae; genus Homo; species Homo sapiens. Next base: position 152,115,438 of record NC_000003.12, read on the forward strand.
AGCCACCATGCCCAGCGGCAAAGCTTGACATTTTCTAATTAACAATAAATGTATTTTGATTTCATATTGGATTCCTATACTAATAATATCAGTTCTAACAGTTAAGGAAGTTTCATGAAACGAAAACTACTTTAGATGGCCCTAGAGGCATTGACAATTCATGTCATAAGTGATAAAATGTTGAACACCTTTGGTAGAAACACTTCGTTGGTCACACCTCCTAAAATAATAGATAAATTGGGACCAGATGACAAAGAACCATGAATTTCTTTTTTTTATTATTATACTTTAAGTTCTGGAGTACATGTGCAGAATGTGCAGTTTTTTTACCTAGGTATACATGTGCCATGGTGGTTTGCTGCACCCATCAACCCATCACCTACATTAGGTATTTCCCCTATGCTATTCCTCCCTTAGTCCCCCATCCCCCCGACAGGCCCCAGTGTGTAACGTTCCCCTCCCTGTGTCCATGTGTTCTCATTGTTCAATTCCCACTTATGAGTGAAAATATGTGGTGTTAGGTTTTCTGTTCTTGTGATAGTTTGCTGAGAATTATGGTTTCCAGCTTCATCCATGTCCCTGCAAAGGACATGAACTCATCCATTTTGATGGCTACATAGTATTCTATGGTGTATATTTGCCACATTTTCTTTATCCAGTCTATTACTGATGGACATTTAGGTTAGTTCCAAGTCTTTGCTATTGTGAATAGTGCTGCAATAAACACACATGTGCATGTGTCTTTATAGTAGAATAATTTATAATTCTTTGGGTATATACCCAGTAATGGGATTGCTGGATCAAATGGTATTTCTAGTTCTAGATCTTTGAGGAATCGCCACACTGTCTTCCACAATGGTCGAACTAATTTACACTCACACCAACAGTATAAAAGCATTCCTATTTCTCCACATCCTCATCAGAATCTGTTGTTTCCTGACCTTTTAATGATAGCCATTGTAACTGGTGTGAGATGGTATCTCACTGTGGTTTTGATTTGCATTTCTCTAATGACCAGTGATGACGAGCATTTTTTTCATGTTTGTTGGCTGCATAAATGTCTTCTTTTGAAAAGTGTCTGTTCATATCCTTTGCCTACTTTTCCAGGGGGTTGTTTTTCTCTTGTAAATTTGTTTAAATTCTTTGTAGATTCTGGATATTAGCCCTTTGTGAGATAGATAGATTGCAAAATTTTTCTCCCATTCTGTAGGTTGCCTGTTCACTCTGATGATAATTCCTTTTGCTGTGCAGAAGCTTTTTAGTTTAATTAGATCCCATTTGTCAATTTTGGCTTTTGTTGCCATTGCTTTTGGTGTTTTAGACATGAAGTCTTTGCCCATGCCTATGTCCTGAATGGTAATGCCTAGGTTTTCTTGTAGGATTTTTAAGGTTTTAGGTCTTACGTTTAAGTCTTTAATCCATCTTGAGTTGATTTTTGTATAAGGTGTAAGGAAGGGGTCCAGTTTCAGTTTTCTGTCTATGGCTAGCCACTTTTCCCAACACCAATTATTAAACAGGGAGTCTTTTCCTCATTGCTTGTTTGTGTCAGGTTTGTCAAAGATCAGATGGTTGTAGATGTGTGACATTATTTCTGAGGTCTCTGTTCTGTTCTATTGGTCTATATATCTGTTTTGGTAACAGTACCATGCTGTTTTGGTTGCTGTAGCCTTGTAATATAGTTTGAAGTCAGGTAGCATGATGCCTCCAGCTTTGTTCTTTTGGCTTAGGATTGTCTTGGCTATGCGGGCTCTTTTTTGGTTCCATATGAAGTTTAAAGTAGTTTTTTCCAATTCTGTGAAGAAAGTCAATGGTAGCTTGATGGGGATAGCATTGAATCTGTAAATTACTTTGGGCAGTATGGCCATTTTCATGATATTGATTCTTCCTATCCATGAGCACGGAATGTTTTTCCATTTGTTTATGTCCTCTCTTATGTCCTTGAACAGGTTTGTAGTTCTCCTTGAAGAGGTCCTTCACATCCCTTGTAAGCTGGATTCATAGGTATTTTATTCTCTAAGCAGCAATTGTGAATGGGAGTTCACTCATGATTTGGCTGTTTGTCTGTTATTGGTGTATAGGAATGCTTGTGATTTTTGCACATTGATTTTGTACCTGAGAATTTACTGAAGTTGCTTATCAGCTTAAGGAGATTTTGTGCTGAGACGATGGGGTTTTCTAAATATACAATCACGTCATCTGCGAACGGAGACAATTTGACTTCCTCTCTTCCTATTTGAATACCCTTTATTTCTTTCTCTCACCTGATTGCCCTGGCCAGAACTTCCAATACTATGCTGAATAGTAGTGGTGAGAGAGGGCATCCTTGTCTTGTGCCAGTTTTCAAAGGGAATGCTTCCAGTTTTTGCCCATTCAGTATAATATTGGCTGTGGGTTTGTCATCAATAGCTCTTATTATTTTGAGATAGGTACAACTGATACCTAGTTTATTGAGAGATTTTAGCATGAAGGGGTGTTGAATTTTGTCAAAGGCCTTTTCTGCATCTATTGAGATAATAATGTGTTTATGTCATTGGTTCTGTGTATGTGATGGATCACATTTATTGATTTGCATAAGTTGAACCAGCCTTGCATCCCAGGTATGAAGACGACTTGGTCGTGGTGGATAAGCGTTTTGATGTGCTGCTGGATTCGGTTTGCCAGTATTTTATTGAGGATTCTCACATCGATGTTCATCAGGGATATTGGCCTGAAATTTTCTTTTTTTGTTGTTTCTCTGCCAGAACCGTGAATTTCAAGTACAGAATTTGAGTGTTTTTGTTTTTTGTTTGTTTGTTTGTTTGTTTGACAGAGTCTTTCACTCTATCACTTGGGCTGGAGTGTAGTGGTGCAATTTCAGCTCACTGCAACCTCAACCTCCTGGGCTCAAGTGATCCTCCTGCCTCAGCCTCCAAGTAGCTGAACTACAGGCATGCACCACCATGCCTGGCCAATTTTCCTTTTTTTTTTTTTTTTGGTAGAGATGGGGTTTTGCCATGTTGCCCAGACTGTTCTTGAACTCCCTGGGCTCAAGCTATGCACCCACCTCGACCTGTCACAGTGCTAGGATTACAGGCATGAGCCATCATGCCCAGCTGAGTATTGGGATCTTGATGCAGTAATCTATGAGGAGAGCCTGTAGGTTCTTGACCAGGAAAGCAACATGGTGAGAATGTTATTTTAGGAAGATTTATCTCTGAGTTGGGCATTGAAGAGATTAAAGCAGGAAAAGTCTGGAGGCAAGGAAACAAGAAAAATTGTAGAAATGAATTAGTATGACTAGACTATGCACCAAGATATAGTTTCATTCTAGTTTTTGTTTTACTTTTTACTTCATTTAATGGTAAATACAAGGCATTGTATTCAGGATATTCATTTTCTAAGCTACTTCTTTTTTCAAAAATTTATTATCTTGGCCAGGTGTGGTGGCTCACACCCGTAACCCCAGCACTTTGGCAGGCTGAGGCAAGAGGTCTGCTTGAGCCCAAAAGTTTGAGACAATCCTGGGCAACATAGTGAGACTCTATCTCTACAAAAAAAATAAAAAATAAAAAAAAATTAGCCAAGCATTGTGGCATGTGCCTGTAGTTCTACTCGGGGGTCTAAGGCTGGAGGGTTACCTGAGCCTTGTAGTTCGAGGCTGCAGTGAGCTATGATCATGCCACTGCACTCTTGCCTGGGTTATAAAGTGAGACCATGTTTGAAAAAAGAAAAGTCATGATCTTAAATGTCTTGACACATGTTTCATCAGAAACATTGCCTATTTCCTTCACACATGAAGCAACAATGTATTCTTAAATTTTCAGACCAATTAGTCAACAATCAAGCAATTTTTGAACAATCTTGGTAACTTTTTTTGACTGAGGCCACATCAGATTCAAATGCAAAAGCATAATAAAAATAACTGTTCTATATGTGGTACTTTCTAATAAAAAACTTTAAGTTACACTATTTTATTTATTACTATATCAACAAATTATTGGTATTACATAAAACCCATTTTATTGAAGACAAAACTGGTAAGTTATGAAGCTAAGAAATGAACCTAGTGTATCTGACACAGAGCCCATTTGCCTTCTGTCGACCTTCTCAAGGAAGGTAAACATATACATAAGACCATCATACTAGAAAGTAAGAGAGCAGATGCCACAAGGTCTAAACCCCTGCCCAAAATAAGATCTCATGAAAACACTGAACATGGAAACATGAAAACTTTAACTGGACCTTGAAATTGTAGCTTGTTCAGAGAACATTCTGAATAGAGTAAACAGCAGGAATGAAGAGTGGAGATAAGAATCATCTTGTCCTGTATCTAGAAAGGCTGTGTAAATGATAACACCAGATGAGAGGTTTCATGTTGAGTCATAGAGTGAATTGAACTGGATCAGTAAGATATGGTAAGAAAGAAAAATGAGACATGAAGAATGCTTCAAAGAAGTCTAATTTAAAAAACAGGCCGGGAACGATGGCTCATGCCTATAATCCCCACACTTTGGGAGGCCAAGGCGGGAGGATCACCTGAGGTTAGGAGTTTGAGACCAGCCTGGCCAACATGGCAAAACCCTGTCTCTACTAAAAGTACAAAAATTAGCCAGGTGTGGTGGTGGGCGCCTGTAATCCCAGCTACTCAGGAGGCTGAGGCATGAGAATCGCTTGAACCCAGGAGGTGGAGGTTGCAGTGAGCCGAGATCGCGCCACTGCACTCCAGCCTGGGCGCCAAGAGCAAGACTCTGAAAAAAAAAAAAAACACCTGAGTATGTGGGAGAATCACCACCCGGGAAGAGGAATATGGACGGAAGAACACAAAGAAAGGAGGGCTGACAAGAGAAAGGATAATGACTTTAGTTTTTAATATGCTATATCCACATGCAGTTATTTTTCATATAAAGTTCCTCAGTAGACAACTGGGGATGGCAAAATTCAACTGAATTATAAACAGAGAGACTAGAAGCTCTTAGAGTAACCCGTTACTAAAGAGAGTGCGGACTGAGCCATGTTGGCATCTATCAAGGAAGCCTGAAAAAATATGGTTACATCTTCAAAAATGCAATACTTAGAGAAAAAAAAACGTGAATTATATGGGGCATAGATAGTCATGTATATCAAAAAATTGTCAAAAAATTGTAGGGCAAGTTAGAAAAGGGATTAAATACACTTGTGTAAAGGTATGATTTCCCTGAACTTAAAATAAAAGTTGGAAATTTTTAAAAAGGTATGATTTTCCTGTATTATTCCCCATTTACTTTGCGTACAAAAAAAAAAAAAGAAACTGAGATTTTAAATTTTGCTCATTGTAATATATACCAGTATACAACAACCACTTGCACCACAGGAATTTCTGTGTGTGAATGGAGGAGGGGGTCACTGGACAAGCTTACAATGTGCAAGAAGTAGAAATAGGCCTTTCCTTTGTGCTACTAAATTTAATTCTCTCAAAAGCTTGTGATCTGGCTACTATCATTATTTTCAAGTTGGAGAGGTAAGTGTGGAGCTCACACTACTTGTTTACTGGATTGGAGAGCCACTATTCAAGCCCAGATTTGCCTGACTCTGGAACAGGCACTTTTGTCTACTATATGGTAAATTTCACTAAAATTAATGGGCTGAGTTAAGTCTGGATGCTGGAATACGAATGAGTAATTGAATGTGTTCAAAATTATAGGTCACATTTCAACACCATGCAGCAAAGGTGGGTTCCTCACCAACTCTCATCACTATTGCTCAATAACAGGAAATTAAAGATATTTAGCACATTTTTAAATAAATAAACTCAGCTTAATTCCACTTATCTTTTTCCTCCCAAACCTTTGAGGTATGTATCTACAATGTGCAAGGCTCTAGGCCTTCTCTTGAATTCATTTCATAAGCAAGTGGAAGTCAGATGTAAGTTGCAAACAAATAAAAATAAGTAAGAGATTTTATTTCTCTCTGACTTTCATCAGCCTCTGTTGAAATCTTATTTAAGTATTTTGTGGTAAACTCATTCCTTTCCTATCTTGAAGATGACGAGCTTTTTAGTCATCATTTTAAGAAGCCAACTCATTCTTTAACAAGAACAGTTATAGAGAGGCCAAGAGCAATAACTCTTATCATTTTATTCTGAGGCAGTGAATGTATTTTATACCATCTTTGGACACAATGTAAATCTCAGAATCAGGAGCTAGACTGTTTGTTTAAATGAATTAACTTCATACTCAAGTAGCCATGATAACTTGAACCATAAATTAAGCTGATTTAAAAGAACTCAGCAGAAGAACATTCCGAAACTGGTTATAGAACCAAAGAAGAGACTGAGATGTTTTACTTTTAAAGGAAGTTATTTTAACAGGATCTAATATACTTCATTTTCATTTTTGGTACAGTGTACTTTGGGACTTGGAAATTGGAAGAAAACTATATGACCATTACTAGAATGCTGTATCAATCCTCCTTACTAACAGCACATTAAAAACTTTTTCCCTTCAAAGTTTATGTAAGAAAAACTGAGTATGATATTTTCTCCTGAAATAAAGAAATAAAAAAAGAATACTTTTATATTAGAGAAAAGAATAATTACATATGTAGATTTGAACTATCTCTTATAATTGAGATTGTATTATTAAGGTCCATTAGTAAAGGTTTTCTTGTTACCTCTAATTTGTGTGTACAGAGAAGATGAAGTTATGTCCTCATGGCCCTCCCCATATATGCTTTACATGCATTGTCATGTTTCCTTAATACAGCTACTAGGGAATAGATATTACTGTTAATTCCAGGTGATAAAGAAACTGAAGTGTAGAGGGTTGTCACTTGCCCACTCAACTTGTAAGGGCCCCAGCAGGAATTCAAACCTAAGAAAACATACCTCCTTGATGGGTTGGCAAAATTACTATGTTTACAACATTCTTTTTCTTTTTTAATCAACTTTATTGAAGTAGACTTTACATAGGACAAACTATATTCATTTTAAGTGTCCAGTTCAATGAGTTTTGGCAAATGGATGTGGCCATGTAACCATCATTACAAGAAAGACACAGAACATTTCCACCACTCCCAAGAGTTCTCTCTCACCCATTTGGTGTCAGTACCTCATGTCTTCTTCCTTTCTGGCAACCACTGATTTGCATCACTAGCTACATTTTTCATTTTACTGCATGCATGTTTTGTTTGAAACAAGGTCATTTTACATAAAATGCCAAATGCATTTTTCTTCCTATTTAACAGTAGAGTTTGAAATGATAGGGTCCTTATATTAATATTTGTAAATATTGCCAAATAAAACTCCTAACCAGATACATAGCAATTAGTTTAGGGTTTAAAGGCTTGATGGCAATAAGAAAGGGAATAAAAGACTATATAAGTTTATTTTACAAAACTTGACTGAATGAAAAATCAAGTAGTAAATAATTTTTAAATAAAATAAATAGAAATAAAATTAATATGGTCTTATATACCCCAAAGTGATAGTACCCAACTTGGAGAGCGATCAATATGTCCAAATAATCTGAATCTCAGTCATGTTATCACCAGTCTTCTTTCTGCCTGACATCGTACTTCCTGCCTCCTTTACTCTCCTCGTGTCTCTCAACTTCCCTGCTTCCTTCTTCATACGTAACCTGAGGCTCTCCAGCTACCTTCCTTCTTGGACCTTTGAGTCACTTGTTCTGACCTGTGACCCAGGCAACAATTGAGAGCAGCAAATTGCTACAGGGCTTGACTAGCCCGAATGATGTCTTCTTAGTCCTTTACTATCTGATTGTTGTGGTATAATTAAAAGAAGTAAATAATTAGTTACAAACAGATGAACCACTTCAAGAGGTAAAGAAATTACAATGTTCAGATATGCAAAACACACGGCATTTTTTTTCCTATAACTCATCTGATTTGCCTTTGAAATTCCTACTTCTTTCAATAGTAGAAGGGAAAACAAAACACTCTTCAAATAACCTGGGCTACAGTATTTTTTTTCTTCCTTGTTAACTTGTCTCTTCTAATTGATTTTGTCTTTCTCAAGTAGGTCTTTCAGATGCTTTCTCCTTCATGCTTTTTGGAGAGATGGTGTCTGGATAACAATGGGCTTTCTTAGTCATTTGGAGGTAGCAGAGAAGGATGCTCAAAGCCACCAAGTTTTAGAAAAGTGTCTATCTACACTAGCTGTTCTTTTCTATTTTGATTATACTTGTCTTTTTTTTTCACAGCCAGATGGAGCACATAGGTTGAGCTCTCTACTGCCTCTTCTGCATATCATCTCTCACTTCTTCTCTAGAGGATTAAGCTTTAAAAGAGTGTCCACTCCACACTGGTGAAGAAACGCTACAATAGAGTCAGATCACTGGCACCAGATCTCTCAGTGAAGCTACAGAAAATTAGAAAATCCTCTTATATTGTAGCAACACTAAAATATTAAGGCTGTTGTTTTGCTAAGAACACAGAAACAGAATTTTGCAAGTCAAAATTAGTACTGATGTTCTTTGTCTTCTCTGTCTCTCTCATTATTGTTTTAGTCTCTGATATAGCAATGCCGATCTTCCTTGAGATAAAGTGAGGCTACCTGAAGGACTGTACCCCAAAAAATTAAAGAAAGAAAATCATATTAATAGACATATTTAAATGTATTGCCATGACTTCAACTATAAATGGGGGAAAAAAAGAATTCAAAACATACACATTTTTGTTTAATATTGTTTCACAGTGCCCTTTCTTATAATGTCAAAACTTCCCAGCCAGGCATTCAGAATTTTCCACAAAATTATCCATTTTTTCTTGCACTATTTTCCTGTAAAATATATGTTCTAAACACAACAACCCTTGTTTTCCTAAATGATGTCTACTCTTTTGTTTCTATGTCTTTTGCTCATACTATCCCCACTATCTAGAATGTCCTCCCTTGATAGACATCTTTGGAAGCCTGTTCACTTAGGCCTAACTCAAATCCCATCTCTCCCGTGAAGCCAAGCAATATTGTTCAGTCTCTATCTTGTTCTACTTCATATTTCTATTATATGTTTTAGCCCTGGTATAACAATTTATCTTTTTCTATATGTATTAGAAATTTCTCAGTGGCTCACGTCTGTAATCCTAGCACTTTGGGAGGCCGAGGTGGGTGGATCACGAGGTCAGGAGATCGAGACTCTCCTGGCTAACATGGTGAAACCCTGTCTCTACTAAAAATACAAAAAATTAGCCAGGCGTGGTGGCGGGCACCTGTAGTCCCAGCTACTCTGGAGGCTGAGGCAGGAGAATGGCGTGAACCTGGGAGGCAGAGCTTGCAGTGAGCAGAGGTCGCGCCACTGCACTCCAGCCTGGGCGACAGAGCGAGACACCGTCTCAAAAAAAAAAAAAAAGAAATGTATTCATCCTTCTGTCTTTCACACTAAAGTGAGTAGTTGCAGGGTGGGAACTACAGCTGGTGACAATTCACCCTGGCCTCACTGATAATATTCAGCTCAATGCTTTACATAGTGCTTGGCATGTGGTATGTAATCAAATCTGTGATGTTGGTCGAATGACAATTAAAACAAAATGTTATTTCTAGGTGGGCCCAGTGGCTCACGCCTATAATCCCAGCACTTTGAGAGGCCGAGGCGGGCAGATCACCTGAGGCCAGGAGTTCGAGACCAGCCTGGCCAACATGGCGAAACGCTGTCTCTACTAAAAATACAAAAAATTAGCCGGGCATGGTGGCAGATGCCTTTAACCCCAGCTACTCAGGAGGCTGAGGCAGGAGAATCCCCTGAACCCAGGAGGTGGAGGCTGCAGTGACCTGAGATCGCGCCATTGCACTTTGGCCTGGGAAACAAGAGGGAAACTCTGTCTCAAAAAAAAGAAAAAATGTTATTTCTGATAAAATTCAGAAGAATTGTGCCTGGCCTTTTGGGATCAAACAATACCTTATATATAAATCCCATACACAATCTATATAATACAAAGAACTTTACAAAAGATAGATTTTTAAAAATGTACTTTTCTAGTAACCAGAAGAGATTAAGAAGGTCTATGTTCTAGTAACTAAAGGAGATTAAGGAGGTCTTCGTGTTTAAATTGCTACATTTTTTAAAAATAAAAAATGCATTTTTATACTATTTGGAAAATTGCATGAAATTAGGTTTTTATATCTTGATACCTAAATATTGAATCAATTTAGATTATGTATATTGTAATTTCAGAAGAGCAACTACAGTGATCAGAGTCAAGGATAGTAATTCAAATTAAAAGCAAAAAAATTAGCACAGACTAATTTATATCTTAAAAGCACAGCTCAAGCTGAGCATGGTAACATGTGCCTATAGTCCTAGCTACTTGAAAGGCTGAGGTGGAAGGATCACTTGAGACCAGGAGTTCGAGACCAACCTGGGCAACATAATGGGACCCAGCATATCTTTTTAAAAAGTGCAACTCAAGGTATCTCAACATACTTGAAGAGTAGGAAGGCAAGAGGAGACAATATTTTTATAAGAACATAATTAGGAATAATTTAAATAGCCAAACATGGTATGATGTATTACTTGGTAGAAAGTGATGGCAACAAATTTTAGTGCAATGGGTAAAATGAAGGTAAAAAAAAATTAATGTATCTGAATAGAGCATATCGTTATTCAGAAATACATTGACATTAACATTGGCATAGTGATAGCCAGGATGACTGAATGAGCCCAATGCCTCCCAACCACAGATCCATGGATAAAAGATACAGAAAGTAAGACCAGAATCATGAGAAATTTAAAGGGGGAACTAAAAATAGCTCAGGAGTTGTAAAAGTGTTCAGAACAAATCACAAATAAATAGAAAAAAAACAATTTTGTTATCAAAGATAGACTTTTTAAAGCTGGGGTGCGTGCTTACCATATTACCCATGAATATTGTCAGTAGCCATTACTTTACATGTCTCTCTAAAGCAGCATTGAAAAAGCTGTTCTGAGTCAGAACATTTAGCAATAAATGTTCTCTCTGACAGCAGTGCCAAGGGACATCTTGTTGATGGATATAATCAATCACAAAGTCCTCTATTCCCACGGTCATGCTTCATCCAATCACTAAATATTATCTGTACTTTTGCTATGTGCAAGACACTGTTCTAATTTTAGTACACCATAAGAATGAATCATAGCATCTGCTCTTAGGAACAATCTACTCCAGAGGACATATAGATACCTCTATTATAGGAGCAGAAGAAGTATGTGCCACCCAAATTTCTTTCAGGAGTTCGTAGAGGAAAGATTACAAAATATTCTAACCCAGTGCCTTATATACGATCAATATTTGTCAAATTGGTTAATGAATTTATGAATCCAGTAATTTTCCTGAGCTCCATATAAATCTATTTGAGATTTTCATCCTGTATTATGTTTGTGGCACAAGATTTAGAGTTACCTCTCTATATAATATGTGTGTATATATGTGAATAAAATGACATCATTCAAGATTCTGTGAATAACATCTTTTTTATGAATCTTGGTCTATTACTAAATGTGTACACATGATTTTATGCACTTTGATTATATACATCTTTAGCTTTAATTACTCAGAATTTTACATTTCATAATTTCCCATATTCTCTTCAAAAATCTTTCTATCTCCTGGTTGCCCTCCCATCCTACTGGCTTCAGTTTCTCAGTCTCCTTTGTGGCCTGTGTTTCTTCACTATCTTCCTTATAATTTGGTCTTGCCAGGTTTCTGTCCTGAGCCTCTATTGTGTTCACTATGCATTTTTCTCTAAGTGACAACATTTGGTCTCGTGGTTTCAATGACCCACTAGTCTCACACTATTACCACATCTAATCCCCTAGCTTAGATATATCTTTTAAGCAGAGACTCAAACACTCAACTCTATACTGAAAAGCGACATCTAGATGACGTGACTCAACTCTGTACTGAAAAGCGACATCTGGATGATGTGACACACAGGGATCTGAAACTGAACAAGTCCTATTAATTCTATCACCTAAATATTTCCATAAGCCACACATCCTGCTCATTGCTACACCTTTAGTTGAGTCCCTTATTAGTTCTCAGAAACATTAATTCAACATCACTTCTCTGACTTTTCTATCTCATGCTTGCTCCCCTACCAGCACACCAGGATATATTTGCCACACCACTGACAGACTGATCTTTAGAAAGCTAATCTTATTTTGTTACTTCCCAATTAAAAATACTTTAGTGATATTACATAAATTTTAAAATAATTAGCATGGTATATGCCAACATTGATGACCTGGCCAACAACCACCTTTCTACTTTTACCATTGATCATTCCTATTATTCTCTATAAACCAACTAATAGTAAATTTGCAGGCTTTCAAGATGTCCTCTCTTCATTCTGTGCCATTAGAAATGTTTCTTTCTCTGCCCTTTCTCTCTCCTTTATCTGGTTAACACCAACTCAAGCATTTCTCCTAATACATTTCTCCTAATACATCTTCAAAAAGCAGTCTTTAATCATTAAAAATTTTTATATATTGCACCAAATATATTAGGCAGGTTGCAATCTTTGATGTAGGTATGAGTGCTTCTCTAAGATCATTTTAAGAGTTTAAAGTCTTTTTCTTTCTACTAGGAAATCTGAATGAAAAGATAATACAGACTAAAATTGTCATAGCTGTCTATATTGATGGTTAAGAGTTACTGATCTAAAGACCTAAGTTTGAATCCTGTCTCTCTCAAGTACCAGTTTGGTAACCTCAGGAAAACATTTATTTTAATCTCTCAGTTTTCTACTATCTAAAGTGGTTGTAGTTAACTGCTTCACAGGGTTTTTATGATACTAAATAAAATGTCATATATGAAGCATTTACACGAATATAATTATCCCAGAAAAGCCCTACACATCATCTACTATATACATTATATAATCTTTTATATTTAAAAGTGTATATCTGATATATTTATGAACAAAATGATACGGTGTCTGGGAATTGCTTCAAAACAATCCGGTGAAGAGAATAATCAAAGATGTGGAGGTATAGAGGAAACATGATTGTTTCTGAGTTGCTAACTCTAAAGCTTGTTAGTGGTATGAGGAGGGTCCATTACACTAACCTCTCTGCAAGAGTATGTGTTTGAAATTTTTTAGAATAGAAGTACTTTTAAAAGTATGAAGATTTGCGGTTTCTTTTATTAGAGTCAGATGAAGTGTTGGCTTGCATGTAGAGATCTCATCATATAAAAAGTATGTATCTTTGACTAAAATCACCCTCTGTAAAATGAGAAGCTATGCTTTGAGAGGTATGAGAGAACTGATATGATTTAGGGAACAGAAAATTCAGAACTCCAATCTCATGCTTAGTCCAAGGACATGCACCACAATGTGCTCTGGCTAGCAGATATACCCAGAATACTTAAATTCTCTCTCTCTCTCTCTCCACGCACCCGCCCTCCCACCGGCTTCCTCCCCTCTCTCTCTCCCACCCCCAGAATAAACTGTTACATTCATTTAATATAAACGCATGTATAATATCACATCAACATATACGGTTTTATATTTTTTTCTTTCAACTTTTATTTTGGTTATGGGGGTACACGTGCAGGTTTGTTACATTGATTCATCCTATCCATGAGCATAAAATGTTTTTCCATTTGCTGTGTCATCTCTGATTTTTTCAGCAGTGTTTTGTAATTCTGGTTGTAGACATCTTTCACTTCCATAGTTAGTTGTATTCCTAAGTATTTTAGTCTTTTTATGGTTATTGATGTGCCTCTCAGCTTGAACATTATTGGTGCACAGAAAGGCTACTGATTTTTGCATATTGACTTTGTATCTTGAAACTTTACTGAAATTGTTTATCAGTTCTAGGAGCCTTTAGACAGAAATTATGGGTTTTTCTACTTATCAAATCATATTGTCTGTGAAGAGAGATAGTTTGATTTTCTTTCTTCCTATTTAGATGCCTATTATTTCTTTCTCTTGCCTTATTGCTCTGGCTAGGACTTCCAGAATGTGTTGAATAGGAGTGGTGAGAGTGGGCATCCTTGTCTTGTTCCAATTCTCAAAAACAAGGCTTCCAGATTTTGCTCATTCAATATGTCAGCATACATAGTTTTAGATAGCAGAATTGTATTGTATTCTCATTGGATTTGCAAGTGCCCTAAATTTATACATTGTGGACCCTTAAGTAATTAATATAGAATTCACGTACATATTATAATAATTAAGGCCGGGTGCGGTGGCTCACGCCTGTAATCCCAACACTTTGGGAGGCCAAGGTGGGTGGATCACGAGGTCAGGAGATCAAGACCATCCTGGCTAACACGGTGAAACCCCGTCTCTACTAAAAATACAAAAAAATTAGCCGGGCGTGGTGGTGGGTGCCTGTAGTCCCAGCTACTCAGGAAACTGAGGCAGGAGAATGGCATGAACCCGGGAGGCAGAGCTTGCAGTGAGCCGAGATCACGCCACTGCACTCCAGCCTGGGCGACAGAGCAAGACTCAGTCTCAAAAAAAATAGATAAATAAAATAAAATAATGATTAAAGAGTACCTTTCTAACAATAAATATGTAAGTAGTGTTATATAAAAGAAGAAGAATTTAATTGGGTGTCAGTACACTAGGATTTTAAGCTTGGTTTCAAATTCTCCTACCTGCATAACTATGACTACATAACTCAAACTCTCTGAGCCTCAGTTTCTTCAACTGTCAAGTGGATACCTTAATTTAAATGTTGCTTTGAGGAGTAAATGCAAGAGAGTGGGAAGAAATATTTTGTGTACTTACAATGTGCTAAGTATTTTAACATTGAAAAAAAATTAAGCCTTCACAGGTATTTTGGCTGGGTGCAGTGACTCAGGCCTATAATCCCAGCACTTTGGGAGGCCAAGGTGGGTGGATCATTTGCAACCAGGAGTTCAAGACCAGGCTGGCCAACACGGCAAACCCCATCTCTACTAAAAATAAAATAAATAAATAAATTATCTGGGCAAGGCGACACATGCCTGTTATCCCACCTACTCAGAAAGCCAAGGCATGAGAATCGCTTGAACCCGTGAGGTGGAGGTTGCAGTGAGCTGAGATTGTACCACTGCACTCCAGCCTGGGTGACAAAGCAAGACTCTGTCTCAAAAAAAAAAAAAAAAAAGAAAAAAAGGAAAAAATAAACCACCTTCACATGTATATTGTCCTCTTTTAAAATTAACAAAATTGGGGTTCAGGGAGATTAAATAATGAGATAACATGGGTATACACAGTGAGCAAATAGTACATAGTAGATGCGTACTAAAGACTTGTTCTTGTCATATTATCCCAGTTCTCTGTTTATAATTTGTATTCAAAACTGCTTTAGAGTAAATTAATTTTAACAGCCAAACCTAAAGAATTTTATGACAGGTCTTTCATCAGATAATATTCTTCTGATGCTTTTTGGTTTTTGTAGATTCTCTTCTTTCAGTGGTTTCTAATATTACATTGTGACAAAACTATGAACTGACCACATAAAAAGTTAAATTCTTATTCCCAACAAAAAGTAGATCTACCATTTGATTCAGCAATCCCACTACTGGGTATCTACCCAAAGGACAAGAAGTCTTTATATAAAAAAGACACATGCACACGTATGTTTATTGTAGTGCAATTCACAATTGCAAAGATATAGAAGCTACCTAAGTGTCCATTGACAAATAAATGGATTTTTAAAATGTGGTATATGTACAACATAGAATATTACTCAGCCATAAAAAGGAATGATACAATTTCTTTTGCAGCAACTTGGATGGAGCTGAAGGCCATTATTCTAAGCGAAGTAACTCAGGAATAGAAAACCAAATACTGTATGTTCTCACTTATAAGTGGGAGCTAAGCCATGAATACACAAAGGCATACAGTGTGATACAATGGACTTTGGAAACTCAAAAGGGGGAAATTGGGAGGGAGATGGGGATTAAAAAAACTATATATTGGGTACAACATACACTATTCGGGTAACTGGTGCACTATAATCTCAGAATTCACCGTTATATAATTCATTCATGTAACCACAGACCACTTGTACCCCAAAAGCTACTGAAATATGAAACTACATTTTAAAAATAAAGTTAAATTCTCATAGGAAAATTTAAATATAGATTTTACAATTATATATAATAAAAGTGAATATTGGAGATAAGTAGGAAAACTAATATATATGATTGACAATATTATTTGTAAAATAAATAAGTTAAGGAATAAATGCTTTACTGAATATACAAATAAACAGTCTGTGATGTCGCTGTGTCTTGAGAGTTAACACCTTTATTAAAAATAAATGGCTTATTTTCTAGAGTCAAACTTCTTTTTAAAGAAAAAAGTTTATGATTCATATAGTCTGCTTTGGTAAAATTTAGGAGGTCTTCATGCTTGGGAATTTTAGTTGGAAATGGGACATGAATTTTTTTGAGTGAAGTATCCATTGGAATGTGACAATTCACATTTAATATCTCTATTTACTTACATTTGATGGCCCAATTCATGTAGAGTCTGGTCTTTATTGGGAGTTCTGGAGATTTTGGCTTTAAGAATGACTTTGTTTGCAAACTGGAAGTCATATTATACAGGCCAAAATAAATGAAATTACTCCCCAGGACTTTTGGAAATTGCTAAAAATTTAAGGATGCTTTTCTTTGTGTTTATGAAATCATGAACATGAAAATGGTAAAAATAAAATTTTACATACTTTAGATTTTTCAAAAGGTTTTTCTGTTTTACTTTGCTCAATCTTGGAACTTTAAACTTTTAAAGAACTTACACATATACACCATAACAAGGAATAATACATAAATAAGGATAAATATGTTCAGTAGAGGTTCATGTTTACATGAACATTTCCTAGATCATTTTTGACCTCATTTTCTTCTACTGACTTCATACATGGATTCCTTTGAATACAAATTCCTCCTGTTTGTTCAGTTATCAATCTGCTCTCACCAGTGTATATCCTCTGCTAACCTCTCTTTTTTTTTTTTGAGACGAAGTCTCACTCTGTCGCCTAGGCTGGAGAACAGTGGTGCGATCTTTGCTCACTGCAACCTTCACCTCCCACGTTCAAGCAATTCCCTGCCTCAGCCTCCCGAGTAGCTGGGATTACAGGCACCCCAGCCACTGCACCTGGCTAATTTTTGTATTTTTAGTAGAGATGGAGTTTCACCATGTTGGCCAGGCTGGTCTTGAACTCCTGACCTCGTGATCCACCCGCCTCGGCCTCCAAAAACGCTAGGATTACAGGCATGAGCCACCATGCCCAGCCATCCTCTGCTAACCTCTCTATGTCCCTTGACTCAAGCATTGATGCAAGTTATTCTACTTCATCAGGCAAATCATCTCAAATGAATTTTTGCAAAAGATTTAGGGGGAAAATGACCTTAAAACTGAATATCAGACATCACTTCTAAATTTTCTTAACTATGAATCTTAGTTTGTAGTTTAAAAAATATGAACACAATGATGAGTGAGTAAACGCAATGAGAGAGAAAAGGATATATGAAATGAAAGCTGTGAGAGCTCTGACTTCGTTAGGGAAAGGGGCAATGTAATTTAAAGATACAATATAAATAATATTACAGATTATCAATGTGCTATTTATCCATAAATTATATGTTTCTTATTCCTCCCATGCCCTAAGTCTAGTCTTTTCTATAATGCTAATAATAGGGTTGCACTATTACATAACATTTAGGATAAAGACAAAATGTAATTACTTGTTATCCTATTCCACTAGTCCTCTTCCTTTTCTTCTTCTTCCTCCTTTTTCTTATCCTCCTTTTATTTCCAAAACAGTTCAATTCTAAAGCCATTCTATGTCGCTGATAAAGACAGGTGCCTGCAGAGGTCAAGGGAGGAGTTCCCTGAAGAAAAGTATTCTGGTGCTTATGTAGAGGAAGGATAAGGGGAAGATCCTTCTGTGAGAAGAGCCAAGCATAAGGTATCATAACCCAAGAATGTGAAAGATGGTTCCACATTGAAAAACAGCCTGGGATGAGAGTTCTATCAAGGTGAAGAAGGCAGCTTTTAAGATGTATTATTATTTATAGAAATTTACAGGATACAAGTCCAATTTTGTTATCTGCATAGTGGTCAAGTCAGGGAAGTTTTTTTAAATGCAAAGCACAATAATTATTGACTACATTTGAAAAATGTTCGATCCTCTACAATATGTTCTTCAAAATTGTGAAGAGAATTTTTATCCAGAATATAGAAAGCACCTCTTACTACTTAATAAAAAGAAGATAAACCCAAATTAGCAATAAGAAAAAAAGTGAACAGCTCCTTCACCAAAAAACATATGTGGATAGTAAATGAGCACATGCAAAGATGCTCAGCATGATTGTCAATAAGAAAATACATATTAAAACCACAATGAGATACCGCTCACTACACACTCACCAGAAAGGTGAAAATTTCAAAGACTGATCATATTCAAGTATCATTGAGGATGTGGAGCATTCAAAACTCTTATATACTTCTGATGGGAATGAAAAATGGACAGTTACTTTGGAAATGAGTTTGGCAGATTTTAAAAGTTAATAGGACTCAGTCATTTCACTCCTAGGTATTCACCCAAGAAAAATGGAAGGATATGTCTATAAAAAGACTTGTACACAAATGTTCATAGAGGCTTTATTTGCAATAGGCTAAAACTGGCAACAACTTGAATATCCATCAGCAAGTGGATTGATTAGTAATAGTATAGGCATATAATGGAGTATTGTTTAACAGTAAAAATAATGAACTATTAATATATGCAAGAAAATGGATACAAAATTATTATGGTGAGTGAAAGATACTAGATACAAAAAATAAACATATGTATAATCCCATTCATATGAAATTCTAGAAAATACAAACTAATATCACAGGATGCAATGAGAACACAGAATCACTTCAGTGATGTTTCTACTAGAGATGCATAGTCTGAATCCAATCATGAGAAACTACCAAACCCAAATGTAGAAAAATTCTATAAAACAATGGCCTGTAATCTTCAAAAGTTCCATGAAAAGCCAAGGAACTGTTCAAAGAATATAAAGAAACATGATAATTAAATGCAAAGACAGACATTCTACTGGATATGTTTGCTATAAAGGCATTCTTGGGACAATTAGGAAGTTGAATGGGATGTGAGGATTAGATTAGACTGAAATAATTGTTCAGTCTTTATTGGAACTATTGATAATACTTGAATGACATCTGATTCAGTGGTAGTAAGGTATCAAAATATATTGCATGATTTTATTTATGTCATAGATATATTTAAAGACTAGCCCAGTTTGAAGAAAATGCTAAAATATCAGGGGAAGGATAGGGCATCAGGTTGGCAACTTGCTCTCAAATGCCGTAGGAAAAATGAAATTGTTCTTTGTAATATAATGGCTAATTTTTTCTAAATCTGAATTGATAGATATTATTATTGTTTATGTCAGCCCATCCCAATCATTTTAATCCTATACAGTATTCAGAGTCCTTTTATATAATGTTTTAGATTCCTTTAATAAAAATTTCAGAATTTTGCCCTACTGCCCCTACTTGCTCCTCTTTAAGATTGTATCTAAATGTGTAGAAGTAGGAAGGCTTAGGTAGGGCAACCACCAAATTAATAATTATATGTAGACAACAGACACAACTCAGGGCCATCCTGGGAAAACCAGGAGGGATGGTCAATTTAGACTTGTAATGTTGGGAATTAGACATTCTCAGTTTCATTCCAGATCCTCGGCATCTTTTGTACTCAACGTCAATGACACTCTTGTGCTGCTTGCCCTGTTGGCAGTAACAACCTGGGCAATCCATGATCTGATCTCTCTTGAGTCCTGTCGGGTTCTTGTTGTTTCACCTCTACTTGGCACCTGCCCTACTTTGGTCTTAACAGGTACTAAAGAAATCTCTGAGATCTGCTTGGCTGCAATCTCTCATTTGGACCAGACCCACAAGATGTCTTTTAGAAACTCTGCAGCTCTGTCAAGCTTCCCAGCCAGAAGTCCTACAACCTAGGAGTCCTGCCTGTGCCATAAGCAAACATGGCGTGGCTCCAGAAAGCGAAATGCTGGGCCTCTCTCTCTCTTTTCTTTTTCTCCTAACATCTCTGGACCTCTTTGTTACATTATCTAACACATATTCTCTTTTTTTGGACTTCAACCTCGTGGCTAAAACTTAATATCATATGTGGGTACCTTCTCAGAGTTAAGGGAGAAGATCTAAAATCTGATTATTAGACATGACCCATGATATTGTTAAATATGAACGAAAGGAATTTGGAAATTACTTCCTATCTCTAAAAAGACCTATCTTTTAAGCCTTTTGTAATGCTGCAAAATCCCATTTTAAATGCCAGATGTTGAATGTTAGCCCTTGGTTTCTTATGACAATCTTTCTGTAACAGTTCCAACATGACTCTTTCTTGCGGCAGGCTTGGGAAAAGGTCATCGTGGAAAGAAAAAAGAAAAAGAATACTATATATATATTTTTTTTTAATTTTTTTTTTTTTTTTGAGACGGAGTCTCCCTTAGTCGCCCAGGCGGCTGGAGTGCAGTGGCACGATCTCGGCTCACTGCAAGCTCCGCCTCCTGGGTTCACGCCATTCTCCTGCCTCAGCCTCCCGAGTAACTGGGACTACAGGTGCCCGCCACCGCACCGGGCTAATTTTTTGTATTGTTAGTAGAAACGGGGTTTCACCATGTTAGCCAGTATGGTCTCGATCTCCTGACCTCGTGATCCACCTGCTTCGGCCTCCCAAAGTTCTGGGATTACAGGAGTGAGCCACCGCGCCCGGCCGAATACAATATTTTTCTAATGTTACATAATACATTTACATTAAATGCTAAAGTCTTGTTTCACGTAAATATTGCAAGTCCAGTAACTTTTCTTAAATTTCTGAGGATCCTCGAGGTATTTGAGGGGTAGATACAAGCTTTTGATACTCATCTCATGCCACTGAGTACACACTTTTGGTACCAGGTTAATTATCCATCTCCTCTTACTCTCTTGGCTTTTAAAAGCTGTTATTTCTCTACAATCCACCTCAACCAGGGGCCCTGAAAATTCTCCAACATTCTGCACAACATTGCATAAGGTTGTTGTAGGTAATAGACTTTCTGAACTTTCAAAGTGAAAAACTTGAAGTTGAATAAAAGCATACCTGTTTCTACACTTTCCTGTTCCTGCATATTGTGTCTAGCCATCATTCCTCTCCTTGGGAAATGCTCAGTAACTGTTGGGAAATGCCCAGTCCTTTAAATGTCAATCCCAGCATCCAAGAATTCAAAACCTTTTTTAAAATTTAGATGGGATGCTTGTTTATTACTCAAAGCAATTCCTTCCTTTTTCTTTTTGTCTCAAAATCTCCCAATCATGAAGGCTCTTTGGCCTTCTCTTACATCCCCAAAATGGCTCATTAATTTCTCCTCACCCCCACAAGATGTACAAATCTCTCTCTGGATGAACTCTGCTGGAGATCTACAATAGAGAAACTCAAAGCTATAATCTAGCCTAGAGACATACTTTGCTGGTCTGCAGAATTTGCTTGTTTTCAATTCCTGTCTCATGTATTTTGGAAGCAGATAGTTTATTTTATAGTTTTATGGGTCCAGAGATGAAGAGAAATTTTGTCACAATATGGATCATACTGAATCTCATTCATATCTGATTTAAATAATTTAGATGATAATATGTGGGGCTTTTGAGCTAACAAGATTTAGATGAGAGTCTGGACTTGAGCTGATGCTGTAGTAAGTTGACACTTTTGGGGATGTCAGGATGGGGTGCATGTATTTTCCATGTGGGATGGATATTAGTCTTTGGGGCCTATGGTGGACTATGGTAGGCCAAAAAAGCACCTGTCCCCCCCCCCAAAAGATATTTATTTAAAATCCTTGGAAAGCCAATAAAAAAAATGAAATCATGTCTTTTGCAGCAATAGGGATGGAACTGAAGGCCCTTTTACTAAATGAAATAACTCAGAAACAGAAAATCAAATACCACATGTTCTCGCTTACAAGGAGGAGCTAAACAATGGGTAGACATGGACACACAGAGTGGAATAATAGACACTAGAGACTCCAGAGGGGAATCAGGGGTGAAAATTTACCTATTGGGTACAATGTTTATTATTCAGGTGATGGGTTCACTGAAAGCCCAGACTTCCCCACAGTGCCATATATCCATTTAAGAAATCTACACTTGGGCCAGGCGTGGTGGCTCATGCCTGTAATCCCTGCACTTTGGGAGGCCAAGGCAGGTGGATCATCTAAGGTCAGGAGTTCAAGACCAGCATGGCCAACATGATGAAAACCCATCTCTACTAAAAATACAAAAAATTAGCCGGGTGTGGTGGCGGGTGCCTGTAATCCCAGCTACTCAGGAGGCTGAGGCAAAAGAATCGCTTGAACCTGGGAGACAGAGGTTACAGTGAGCCAAGATCATGCCATTGCACTCCAACCTGGACAACAACAGCAAAAACTCCGTCTCAAAAAAAAAATAAAATAAAAGAGAGAGAGAGAGAGAAATCTACACTTGTACCCCCTAAATACATAAAAATAAAAAAGAGTCTTTTCACATGTGATTAAGTTAAAGATCATGAAATGAATTGATAAACCTGAATTATCTTGGTGAACTCTAGATCTCATGGCAAGTGTCCTTATCAGAGAAAGACAGAGGGACATTTGGGGCATACAGAAGAGCAGAATATATAGATACAAAGCAGAGAACATGATGTGAAAGAGACTCAGAGATTGGAGTGATGTGGCCACAAGCCCAGGAATGCTGGGACAGCCACCAGGAGCTGAAGAGGCAAGGAAAAGATTGTCTCCTAGAACCCCAGGGGAAGAACAGCCCTGGAAATTTCAGACTTCTAGCCTCCAGAACTGCAAGATAGTAAATTTCTGTGGTTGAAAGCCACCAAGTTTGTGGTAATTTGTTACAGCGGCCTTAGAATACAAATATAGTGTCTGTGTGTGTGTGTGTGTATGTGTGTGGTTTTATTTATTTATTCAGAAACAGGGTCTGGTTCTGTTGCCAAGGCTGGAGTGCAACGGCACAATCATAATGCCTATTCTCCATGGGAGCTGTGCCCAGTCAATTACCAGGAGCTACAATATAGCTAGCTACAGGAGTATAACTTATCAATATTTGCTTTTGCTTTAAAAAATAAAGATTCAAATATGAAAGTTGTATACATCAATTTTTATAAAAAGACTGATATAAAAACTAAATATTGGAGGAAACATCATTATAATATTCTTTGAGGAGAGTGAAAATAATTATTAGAAAATAAATTATCCTGAACTTCATTAGATTATACACAAGATAAAAGCATCTCACATAAAGTATCTCTTAAATACAAACATGGTTGCACTTATACAGATAGCCAAAAATTCATTTTCTATGGTGTATCCTAGTGTATTATTAGAGACTTGGGGACATTTGGAGGACATAACAGATTATTCATTCATTTATTCTTCGTTCAACTCTCATTCAGTGATTACTAACAAAAGGCACTATTAAAGGCCATGGATTTATATGGTGAGCAAAACTAACAATGTCTCTACAACAAGGCACCTATATTCTGGTAGAGGAGTCAGACAAGAAATAGATATATGTAATTATGAAAATGAAGCAGGATGAGCAATGTATAGACAGGGGATACCATTTTCAGTCAAGACTTTTAATTACCCTCAATGTCCATTTCCCTGAATGTTAGCAGGGAATGGGTAGCAACTGTATTTCTTAGCTTCTTTATAGCTAAGATTGGCCATTTCACTGCATCTTAGCCAATAGAACATGAAGAGACATGCTTAATAAAAGTTACTCTTCTTCCTCTTTTCTCCCATGGCCTCCATGGAATGGCAGAGCCTCCACATAGAATGGATCTGTATCCCTGAGAGATGCTTGAAGAAGGTGCCTCCCTCTCATTGATCACCTGTCTATTTCTCGAATGTTATATGAGAGAGAGAAAAATGCATTTCTTTTTTGAAACTCTCACTATTGGGTTGCTTTTTAATAATAGCCAAGCCTGTACCTTATCAAATAAATATTTTAATTAACATGAGCGTGGAAGGGCTTTCTGAGCAGAGACCAAATGAACTAAGGAGAAAAAAGACTGTGGAGAGGCAGCATGGTACATTAAGAACACAGCATCTGTCCTAATTTATGTTGCTTCAAAAACAAGTCCTGACATAGGGACAGGTACTTTTATGAAAGGTGATCCCAGGAAGCACAGATGAAAGAGTGAGGAATGAAAGAGAATAAAAGAGACAAAAGTGTGCCAATAAGTGGGTTACCCCTGAGAGCAACAGGAGCTCCATCCCATTCGGAGCCCTCTGAGAAACTCTGTAGAGCATACCTCACAATAGTTCCCCTGGAAGATGAGGGACCAGGGTACTTATCCACCATACCCATCCCCCATACAGAGTTTCCTCTGAGGCATTAAAGATTTGGCAATTCTGAGCTTCCCTGCATGAGAGCTGAGCAAGCCGCTAAACAATAGCGAGAGAAAGTTCTCAGGCCAACTAGTATAGATATCTAAGTGCCTAAGGTGAGAAGTTATAAGCATTCTGGAATTTACCACCTCCACTGCAGATAAAATCAGAGGTAGGCCAAAGAACAATGTGGCAGGACATCAATGATGTCTGATACAATATCTGAAGCCAGACAGCTAAGATTCCTGTGTGAACAAGGACATATTGTTTAACCTCTCTATGTCTGTTTCCTCTACCTGTGAAGTGAAGATAATTATAGTAACCACCTCCTTATAGGCTTGTTTTATTATATATTAAAAGAGTTATTATGTATAGTAGTTAGAATAGTGCTTATCACATAGTAAGCATTATTTAAATATTAGATTATTATCTGAGGTCAGAGCTCAATATATTTATTAAGCCTAAAACCATAATCTGTTTACTGTTGAATCCTCAGTGCTTATCACAACCAGTATCCTCAAACAGCTACCCAGAAGAATTGTTTAAGATTGTCCAACGATGAAGTTTACTACGGGGACAGTGATTGAATTTGATTCATGAATGGCCTAAGATATAATTTAAAAGAGTTTCACCAGCCTATTTTCTTGGGTAAGTAACTTTCTTGGGTAATTTTCACATTTCATAGAAAGCTTAGCTATAAATAAAATTCACAGAGTTTATTGGTAAATAGAAGAAAATCAAGGACTTAAGCAGCTAGTTTTTAAAGAAGTCATAAGTGCCAAGAGATTGTGCTAGGAGTTACAAATGGTGTCATTTGAGGCAGGACATGGTGGCTCATGTCTATAATCCCAGCTCTTGGAGTCTAAGGTGGGAGGATCGCTTGATGGCAGGAGTTGGAGACCAGCCTGAACAACAGAGTGAGATTCTGTCTGTATAAAAAAAATTATAAAAATTAACCAGGCACGCTGGTATGCACCTGTAGTCCTACTTACTTGGGAGGCTGAGGCAGGAAGACCACTTGAGCCCAGGAGTTCGAGGTTACAATGAGCTATGATCACTACGGCACTCCAGCCTGCATGACAGAATGAGACTCTGTCTCTAATACATTAAAATTTTTTTAAATGGTGTCCCTTGAAATCAAGAATTGAGGCTGAATTTGAAGATCTTCAGAATACTCCCCAGAGAACGTAAATGTAAAGAAAGACCAGGGAACTTTTGCTATGCATATGGGAAAGGTAGAGTACTAGAAATAGCAAATGAGAGAAGAAAAAGTCAGTACTCCATACCAAGCAATTAAAGCCATCAATGGACCATAGAGAAAAGAATACACTGAAATGAGAAGGGGAATAAATTGAATGTTTATTGAACGTAGGTCTCAAAGCCTTGCATTTAGATTTACAGAAGCACTTTTACTTAATCCTTACAATAATGTATTTAATAACTATTACTATCCACTAAGTCATGATAGTCAATCTCACTCCAAAATCCATTCTTTTATCAGACAATGTAAAGAGAGAGAAGGTATCATAAAGTCCCTAATCATGAGCTGTGTACTACATCCAGACTATCAGGAGAAACCCTTGAAGAATTTGCAAAAGAGCATCAGGACAAGAAAGATCTAACTGCAGGGCTGCCAGCTCTATAAATTTCAATTGTTTGAAGCAAGGAAGGAAATATCAATTGCCTTAGTCCCTCTATAAATAACATGATTAAGATAAGACTTTATAGTATTCCACAAGACAGAGAAAATAATATTATCCTACCAGATTACCAAGTAGATTTCATGTTCCAGAAACCCATTATGAGATGTCCTGCCAAGTGACAAAATTAGAACCCAGGTTCCCAAAGAAAGGTGAGGTGGTGAAAACTTTGAAACTATGACTAATTTCAAAGAAAATAATGATGAGGATAATATGCTGCACCTTGGCTTGGTTTGGTTTTACATTTAACTTACTTCAACAAAGTATCGGGTTTGAACCACAAAGGAAGCCTTAATTTTTAAATTTAAGTAGACTGCATAATATGGATAAACATCTTGGCTTTTTGCTTTGTTTTATTTTGCTTTTGTTTTTCAGTCAAAGGTATGCTGCTGACATTTACAAATAAATTTACAAATACACATCTTTGATGTGTTGGATTATTTAGAAGTTCAGAGGTGACTGTTTACTTTGTTTATACTTTTTATTGTTACTGAAGTTTTTTTAATTTAATTTTACTATTTTCCATCAGTGGGAAAAACATACATATAAATGAGTGAAATCAAGGTCTAAACATCTCTGGTAAAATATCTTCAAAGATGCTAGAGTAGAGTGAAGCTCCAGTGTTTTATGTGTAACTGTATCCAATAGCACTATGGATTATCTCAACAAGCACAAAGTACAAAAGGGAAGTAATTTCCTTTCATACACTACCTCTGGGAAATTTCTCTGGATGGTTTGTGTGTATGTTTTAATTTGGCAATAAATTTCCTGTTGGCATAATTCTCATCATCTTAATTCACTTTGTAGAGGGCCTAGCCCCACCTAATATATATATATAGTGAATTTATTTAAAAAAAAAGTATTACCTGGGTTTCTATTAACAACAACAACAACAACAAAAGGTTTATTGAGTTGAACTATATAAAATCACTGATATTGAGCTACTTTTGTTTAAAAATTACATTTTCATATGCTTCAGCCTAACATACTCATGGTACTTTTAGTGGTATAAGAATAAATGATGGCCAGGTGTGGTGGCTCACAACTGTAATCCCAGCACTTTGGGAGGCTGAGGCAGGTGGATCATTTGAAGTAGTCAGGAGTTCGAGACCAGTCCAGCCAACATGGCGAAACCCCATCTCTACTAAAAATACAAAAATTAGTCAGGCAGTGGTGGCACACGCCATAATCCCAGCTACTTGGGAGGCTGAGGAAAGGAAATCACTTGAACCTGGGAGGCAGAGGTTGTGGTGAGCCAAGATCGCACCACTGCACTCCAGTCTGGGCAACAGAGCAAGACACTGTCTCAAACACACACACACACACACACACACACACACACACACACACACACACACACACACGATGTCCCCATTAACATCTCTACAGCCTTTTAAGACTTTGAAGTATATTCTTGATTATAAAAGATAAAACACAAATATAACATGAGATATCATTATCTAAAATTTTTGGACTCAGTAATAATGTTATTATGAATATACCTCACATTTGGAGGAGCCACTATGGGGTAAGGATAGGTTTAAAAAAAGAACTGGTTTGTCCTATAAAGTCATTACAACACTTTTATATTTTTATCCTTTGATTTACCATTATTTGTACTTTGTGATAAACTTCTATAGAATTATCTAGCATAGAAATTAGCTGATGATTGACTGAATTCATCAATTCAGATCAGTCATTTTCCATCAATATTACATCCTGAGGAGGGTTAAATTCAATTTCTCAATTTGACCATCCATATCAGTTCTATAATCTTACCAAAAATACCATTGTTATGTTCATAGTAGGGCAGTAGATATAACTTGCGAAATAAGAGTCAAAAGATACTGGCTCATTACTAGAGTTTCACTCAGTCATTAACAATTAGTCCAGTCCACCATCATATTGTAGGACCAAAGTGACCCACAGTGATGCCACTCAGGTTTGCAGCCTTCCATTCAACCTTGCCAGGTCCCAAAAGCAATTTTACCATCATCTGGTATAATTGAGCTAATAGAGAGTATCAGTTCTTTTACTGAACCTCCCTCAAGGCAGTAATGTAATATTTGACTTATCTCATTGCATAATATATCCACTCATTCCCTTACTCAGCTACTGTTACTCCCTAGCTCTATTAACTGTTTAGTTTTGTCCAAACTTTTTCACTTTTGGAAGAGACATGAGATTTGGCCACTGTGCAGGTCCATATTGCTAACAGCAATAGTAGTCTAGCAAGTGTTTCCCCCATTCCAGCCCCCTACCATCCTCTCTTATTTATTTAGGGTGGGATTACAAAGTCACGTAACTAGCAGGTTATCTCAAACACTAGGCAATACAGCTACATTTTTTACTGACCCTAATTTTGCTCAATAGGGTAAAGGTACGGCCCACCCCATTAGGGCCTTAGGAATTGTGACATAAAGGCGTAAAGGTATAGTTAGTCTTTTGTTTAGAGATCTTTCCCACTTCTGGCACTCATAGTCCCAGGTCTGTATCAGGTAGGAAAAAGGAAAGTTGGAGTAATGGTGGGGAGGTTGGGGTGGGGTCGGAAATAGCGTAGTCACACCAGCATCCTCTCTCATATATTTCTCCCCAAATTCCCCAGAAAAGTAGAATTTATCTAGTGGAAACCCTCTCTTGGACCTCTTCATGTTAAGTGTGAAAACACATTCATGAAGATGTGTAAACCAACCTTTCTTGCTTTTACCTACTCCATTTTAGCAACAAATTGTCCAACTGCCTATTCTAATTCCCTATTAAACTGCTACTCAGAAGATTATATCTCTCGGCCTATTGTTGGACATTATGAGCTGTAAAATGTGTTCCTTGGTCTGAAGAAATGTAACTTAGCAGTCCAAATTGGTGCAGTATCTTCTGTTCCAGTCCTTTTATAGTATTTTGAGCATTTGCACCTACCACTGAGCATGCAAAGCCTAGCCAGAGTGTCTATTCCTGTCAGGGCTCATTTGTAGTCTCCAGGGGCTACCAGCATCAGTCCTACTTGCCAGCTATGTGCAGGAGCTTCCCCCTGGGGACTCTGACCCAAAGCTGTTAACAGTCTCTGTCTTTCTTGTTGGCAGACTGGACAGTTCTTATTGTCAATTTCTTCCTCAGAGTATATAAAAGGAATATGTCTAAGATTTGGCAGATCTCTGCATTGCTGCAGCTCCACTGTCCACACATTTCATGGATCCAGGTGGCCTCCTCGAGCAAGTATACCAGGATATCTATTTGCCACTTCCAATCACCTTCTGATCCTGGTGGGGTCTTCAGATTGGCATCAGCATATCCCACTATAACACAACCCTCAAATTCCCATGGTGATTTCCTTAGGGCTATGCTCCATATGTGTATCCCTTTAATAGGCTAGTTTTCTATTGCCTCTATGCCTAACCCTATGGCCAGGATATTGGCCATCACATATGACTCAGTAAAAACTCAAATATAGAGACAAATAGCATGCAATTCTGCCTGACGGCCTAAGTTATTTTTACCTCTTTCAACTAGAATATCAGCCTTCCAAATAAAGTGTTATCCACTCACATTGGAACTGCCAACTATAAACCAAGGGGCTCTTTGTTGATCAATCAAGAGCTGTTAATAGGCACCATCTAAGTGGCAATAGGATTTGGCAGGTCTTCAGGTGGTTTCAAAGTCAGCTCTAGGAGGAAAAATATTCATGGCACCTCCTCGAATTCCCCCACTAGTAGCATGTTCCCGTATAAACCATTTTCATTTTATTACAGAATTTTTCTGGGCATTGTCTTCTCCATCAGAATGTTTCTTTGACATCACTAAAGACATATGGGTATTTCAGGTTACAAGATTATTTTTTGCTTTGCAGACATAGGAGGTTTTCATTCAATTTCCCAATTTGACCATCAGTATAGGGCTGTATTAAATGGCACACAATAGCAACATAGCTGTCTCTCAGTGGATATTTTTCAGGTCCAAAATCTCAGTGGTCATTACTAGGAAGCACTTACAGTCTTTTGCCATAAGCCCCAATATGTGTTTCACACAGGCTTATTGTACTGAGAATGTATCCATACCAGCACTCCAGTTTCCGGTCTATATTTCAAATTAACCATTTTTCTGGGTTCCCGCAAACTTATTGTTCCTATTTGGTATGTCCAATCAATATAGGAAAATGGGCAGATTGATATACCTTCTGTTTTACAGAAAGTAAGAGAAATATTCCCCAGTCATACAGAATATCCATCTTTAATAATACATTCAGATAAAGGAGATGCAATCGCTCCACTTAAAGTCCATTCAAACATTTCAATTCTTATATAACTTTCCATCTTTAGTTTATTTATTTATTTATTTTGAGACAGAGTCTTGCTCCGTCACCCAGGCTGGAGTGCAGCAGCTCGATCTCTGCCCACTGCAACCTCTGCCTCCCAAGTTCAAGAGATTCTCTTGTGTCAGCCTCCCGAGTAGCTGGGATTACAGGCGTGCACCACCATGCCTGGCTAATTTTTATATATTTAGTACAGCCGGGGTTTTGCCATATTGGCCAGGCTGGTCTCGTACTCTTGACCTCAAGTGATCTGCCCACCTTCGCCTCCCAAAGTGTTGGGATTATAGGCGTGAGCCACTGTGCCTGGCCTCCAAAATTCTTGAGTTGTTGTTGGGTTATAGAAATTCATATCTTCTGCATAATAATCCTGGGTTAGATGTGATTTACAAATTTTTTTTCCTATTCTGTAGGTGGGTTGTCTTTTCACTCTCTTAATAGTGTCCTTTTTTTTTCTTCTTCTTCTTTTTCGTTTTAATAGATAGAGACTTGCTTTATCACCCAGACTGGAATACAGTGGCACAATCTTGGCTCACTGCAAGCTTTGTCTCCCAGGTTCAAGCAATTCTCCTGCTTCAGCTTCCTGAGTAGCTGGCTTTATAGGTGCTCTACAACACCAGGCTAATATTTTGCATTTTTAGTAGAGAGGGAGTTTCGTCATGTTGGCCAGGCTGGTCTTGAACTCCTGATCTCAAGTGATCTACCCACATCGGCCTCCCAAAGTTCTGGGATTACAGGCATGAGCCACTGCACCTGGCCCCATCTTTAGTTTATTAATCATTGCATTGCTATATCTTCCCAATCTAACTGTAGGCCGGGTAAGCACTTCAACAATAGGCTTTTGGCCTGTAGTACATGGAGCTTCTATGTCAAGGAATCCTAGACATGTTTCTTTTCTACCCCCTGGCCATTTTACTCACTCAAGTGCATATGGCCTTTGTTCCCCAGCTGGGGATTGGGCTAAGGAATCCAGGCCTTCTCAATAGTCTTTATCTTGCTTAGATTGTAGAACCATCATTACAGGCAATTGAAGGTTAGCTTTCTCATTGTCATTATTTTCTTGTGGCTTTTCATACTACTCTAAACTAGGGTGAACAAAGCAAATTTATTTATGGTCCTTCAATGTTGGGGACCCATAGGGGTTCCCACTGGTCCACTCTACTTCCAAGAGTGTTGCATTAAGACTTTTATCTTCATCCTATCAATGTCTGATTTATTCATCTAATTTCTTAATAACTATTTAAATATTTCTTTTCTTTTCTTTTCTTTTTTTGAGACAGAGTCTAGCTCTATCACCCAGGCTGGAGTACAATGGCACAATCTCCACTCACTGCAACCTCTGCCTCTAGGGTTGAAGCGATTCTCCTGCCTCAGCTTCCTGATTAATGGGGACTACAGGCACGTGCCACCACACCCAGCTAATTTTTGTATTTTTAGTAGAGATGGGGTTTCATCATATTGGTCAGGCTGGTCTCAAACTCCTGACCTCAAGTGATCCACCCATCTTGGCCTCCCAAAGGGCTGGGATTACAGGCCTGAGCCACAGTGCCCGGCCTATTTAAAGATTCAACCATCATTCTCAGCAAACTAACACAGGAACAGAAAACCAAACACCACATGTTCTCACTCATAAGTGGGAGTTGAACAATGAGCACACATGGACACAGGGAGGGGAACATCACACACTGGGGCCTGTCAGGAGGTTGGGGGCTAGGGGAGGGATAGCATTAGGAGAAATACCTAATGTAGATGATGGGTTGATGGGTGAAGCAAACCACCATGGCAAGTGTATGCCTATGTAACAAACCTGCACGTTCTGCACATGTATCCCAGAACTTAAAGTATAATTTAAAAAAAAAATAAAATTTCTACCTAGCTGGAATGAGTCCCTTGTCTCTTACCCCTTTGTTTTGCTCATTCTCTTAAAAATCATTCCGATCTTCTTTGTTATCTGTTGTTTCAGCATAATTATTTTCCTTTGAAAGTAGCTCTGAGGTTATTGGCTGTAGGTTAGACCAGCCAGAATCTAAGCATAAGGATCTGCCCTAACATTCTCCTTCACTTTTATTTTTATTTTTTCCTGTTAGTAGGGGCTCTGCAGCCAGAGACTGTAATTTGGGCCAGCCAGAATCTAAGTTTGGCCCAGTGTCAGGACCCACTTCAAACATTCTCCCTTACTTTTGTTTTCACTATTACTGATAGTCATGACCAGGGGATGGTATAGTTGTTGTTTTTTTCTACTTTGAATTTCCTTATGTATGCAGTGAACCAACTGTCTGGGAGTTGGAGCTATTATTTCAAAATTCCATTAATAAGTTTTGTCTCCAATAATGAACTGAGGTACATAAGTAGTTTCATACCGTAGCTGACCCTGTAGTCATCCAAGAATCAAAAGTTTGTTATCATTTGCCCTTTCATTCTTTCTCTTCCCAAACTACATATTTCAGTGACTCAGGATTTTTCTAGTGAATCTCACTTCTTCTGACACCAATATCTATATTGAGCCAAACTTCAAGTTTTGAGGACACAGTTCGCTAGACTGACAATTGTATGTAAGACTTCTGACACAAGGTACAAGTTCAGGAGTTTCCCAAAACCACCACCAGTTTTGATAATTTACTAGAAGGACACATAGGACTCACTGAGAGCTATTATGCATACAGTTATGGCTTGAAACTGGAAAGGGATGTATTAAGATCAAACAAGGGAAGAGACACACACAGAGCACAGTCTAGAGAGTTCTAAACACAAGACTTCCATTGCCCTAAGGAAAAATTACCCTCCTGGTATCAGTGTGTGACAATATGCTTAGAGAATTGACAACCAAGAAAGCCCACCTGCACTTCAATGCCCAGACTCTTTATTGGAGTTTCATGACTTGGGTATGATTGACTGATTAATTGGTTGCCCACACGGTTGCTCTCAGTCTCTATCCTCCTACTTCTCAGAGCTCAGGCTGATATCACATGGCCCAAGAGGCCCACCATGGGTCACCTCATTAGCCTAAGCTAACAGGTGTGGTCAGAAGTATCCACCAGGAGTCACCTTGTTAGCATAAACTAGCAGATGTAGTTTACAAGGCTCCCATGAATAACAAAGACACTCCTATCACTGGGGATATTCCTAAGAGTTTAGAGATTATTTTCCAAGGGCCAGGGCCAGAACAAATTCTTTACTAAAAAATATACAATTTTAAAATAGATAATCTATTGAATTTCACCTATGAAATTGTGTTTTTATGAAATTTTTGCTTTTCTTTAGCCCTCTAGGGTACATGAATGCAGTTTCCAATTGGGTGTGAGATACACTGCTAGTTGACCATGCAATATCCATTCAACCTTTCATCCTTATGAACAGAAGAGAAAATGGAGAAATTAACACAGAAAAGAAAAATGCATAGAAAGAATCAACAAAGCCAAAAACATATTACTATTTTTTTGGGAAAACTAGCAACTTTAACAAAGAAGAAAGAGAAAGAGAAGGAGGAGAAGGAAAGGGAGATCGAGGAGGTAGTGAGAAAAAGAGGTAGGGAAGCTTAAATAATTAACTTTAACAACAAAAGAGACATAACGGATGCAGAAATTTTTAAAGATAATATAAAGATGTTATGAAGAGCTTTATGCCAGTAAATTTGAAAACTTACATAAATTGGTCAAATTCCTGGGAACTGAATTAAAAAAGAAAGAAAATACCATAGTCCCATAACCATTAAAGTGTTTGAATCCCTAGTGAAAAATCTTCTGACAAAACAAAAACAAAACTAAAACAAATTCAGATATGGCTTTTCCAGCAAGTTCTACCAAACACTTTAAAAAAAGAATGAAAAAAAGAAAACCTACAATCTTAGACACACTGTGTCAAAGTATATAGAAAAGAAGGAAACATTTCAGTAAGGACAGCATGGGTTCAAGGAGACAGGAATTTAGCTCCACCTCTTGTGCAAAGAACAGTAAAAAATCCGTAGTTCATCTTTAATCTACCACAAAGTGGTTTTCTAAAGCATTGTTACAAGAAGGAGAGTCTTACTGGATCCTTTCACCTCTAAGAAAAAAAAAAAAAAAAGAGCAAAGTAGAAGTATGCTTATATACAGCAGTAGAAATTTAAACTTATGTATAATTTATTAATGGTGTTCTAAAATGAAATATTCAAACAATGAAATGACTAATATATAGATTATGGAGGGTAAGGGGCCAAACTACACATATATTGGAGGGAATTCACTCTCATTCTACATGTCTTAACTTGTACTGTCGTCATATGGATTCTTTCTGTGCTTTGCAATCTTTGCCTTTGCTAAGTTAGCAAATTCTTTTTAGGAAAAAAATGTGTGTATTTCCACATAAGAATACTTTTTATGTAAGTCTTTAACACATTTACATAGGTTTTTATTTTCTGTTTTAGAGATTGTTTTACACACAATAGACATTCAGTATTTGTTGAAATTAATGAAAGAATAGAGAAACATGAAAAGGGTCTGAGAAGACAATAATCTGCTTTGTAATTTATAGACAGCAATTAGGTCAAACAATTATAATAATGATGATGACAAAGAACAATATCTGAGGTACACGCAAAACCTGATGAGGGTTATTTGCCAGTTTTCCTGGCTATTTCTACACCCCTTGATCTCTAGTGAATGTTTCTACTTATAACTACACATTCTGTAAGCTTCACCTGCTGTATTTCAATCAACACTGTAAAAAATGAGGAGAGTCTTCTTGCTTCAAATTTGGTTTTTAGTTAATTACGTGATGTGTATATGATTTTCGTTACCTTTTCTGTATAGAAATCAGGAGAATCGAAAGTATGTTGATGGTGGAATTGTGGTATGACATTTTTACTGACTACTACTCATAAAAGTTTTATCTATGATCTCTATGGGTCGTTCCTGGCTTTTGAAAATTTATTTCAAGGAAGAGTTTTTGGAAATGAATTATAAGTATACAGTGTGCAATCTTATGTATTTGCAACTGTCTAAAATGTTATGATACCTTCCTTCCTCCTTGCAATCTGGCATTCATCCATTCAAGACATTTTAATTGAACTCTTACAATATTCTTAATACTATGATAAGCCTTGAAGGTAAACTGTGACTAAAAATGTTGCCAGATAAAATACAGGATTCCCAGTTAAATTTGAATTTTAGATAAACAGCATTCTTGTACTAAAAATTATTCTATGTTTATCTGAAATTCAAATTTAGCTGAGTGTCCTGTAATTTTTTGTTTACTTGTTTGTGATAAATACGGCAGCCCTAGTAAATACAGCCCCGATTTACTCTAACTTACTTTCCAGTTGGCAAGGAAGGCACTAATCAAATAATCCTCCAGATAAATGAAAAATTGCAACTGAGATAAGTATGAACAAGAATAAATTCAAAGCTGAAGAAGAAAAAAATAATTGGGAGATAAACCTGGTCAGAAAGGGGACTTCAAAGGAGACTTCTCTGTGGAAGGGTCGATGGATCCCAAATACAGCCGGGAAGGAAAGAGATGCTCTAGCACTTTTTCTTTAAATGACAGTTTTATATTCAACTTTAATGTTACAAGCAGTAGAAAGCCTAGCTGCTCACAAAGACGCAGAAAACATTCAAAGCCTTGTTTCAGGACCCACCCGCAGTCTTTCCAATTTGCCATCTGACTCATAATGAAGCCAGAGGCTGCAAGTTTTAGATGTATGCAAAAGTGGTACATTTCAATATTCAATTCCAATTAATGTGGACATTTTCTGGGGTCGGAGAAGGAAAGGTTATTTGTCCTATTAGGCCTCTGGCCCTTGCGCCTACCAGAAATGAGAGGAACCATGCCTGTTTTTAAATAGCAGGGAAAACTTTTTCAGCACAGGCTGGTGGGAAAGACGCAAATCTCTCTACTCACCTGGGAGTTGTCAGACAGGAGTGCTGAAAGTGACTACACCCTGCAGTGCCTCTGGCAGGATTAGGGCTCTCGAACTTTCCCAGTGGCCCAGCTTGTGATTCCTTCTTGCTTTCCAAATTTCCATATGCATGCAATATTTAAAAATGGTCTTGGACAGTTTGTATTAATTACTTAGCTTTTGAATATGCTCATTGTTTAACATCATTATAATAATAGTCCTACCTCAGGTTTATATGTTTATGCCCATATATTTGGGTTCCTTTAATTATCTTATTCATCTTTATGATGTCTGCAAAATAAAAGGGGAATGAGTGTTATTATACCAATTTTTATGGACACGGGAACCTGAGCATAGTCTCTACATGAGTTGCCAAAGTCATTTTTCTGACACAATCCACAACTGGACTGACTGCTTATCTAGACTCTTAGCTTTGTCTGGAGCTGTATCAAGTTAGTTAAAGGTGCAAAGTCCAAGTTTATTGACTGAAAAAAAAAACAAAAACAAAAATAAAAAAATCTTTAAAAGATAGCACTGACTGGCCGCGGTGGCTCACGCTTGTAATCCCAGTGAGAGGTGACAGCGTGCTGGCAGTTCTCACAGCCCTCACTCGCTCTCGGCGCCTCCTCTGCTTGGGCTCCCACTTTGGCGGCACTTGAGGAGCCCTTCAGCCCACCGCTGCACTGTGGGAGCCCCTTTCTAGGCTGGCCAAGGTCAGAGCCGGCTCCCTCAGCTTGCAGGGAGGTGTGGCGGGAGAGGCGCCAGCCGGAACCGGGGCTGCGCGCGGCGCTTGCGGGCCAGCTGGAGTTCCGGGTGGGCGTGGCCTTGGCGGGCCGCGCACTCTGAGCAGCCGGCCTGCCCTGCAGGCCACGGGCAATGAGGGGCTTAGCACCCGGGCCAGCGGCTGCGGAGGGTGTACTGGGTCACCCAGCAGTGCCAGCCCACCTGGCGCTGCGCTCAATTTCTCACTGGGCCTTAGCTGCCTTCCCGCGGGGCAGGACTCGGGACTTGCAGCCCGCCATGCCTGAGCCTCCCACCCCCTCCATGGGGCTCCTGGGCGGCCCGAGCCTCCCCGAGGAGCGCCACCCCCTGCTCCACGGCGCCCAGTCCCATCGACCACCCAAGGGCTGAGGAGTGCGGGCGCAAGGCACCTGGACTGGCAGGCAGCTCCACCTGCAGCCCCGGTAAGGGATCCACTGGGTGAAGCCAGCTGGGCTCCTGAGTCTGGTGGGGACGTGGAGAACCTTTATGTCTAGCTCAGGGATTGTAAATACACCAGTCAGCACCCTGTGTCTAGCTCAAGGTTTGTGAATGCACCAGTTGACACTCTGTATCTAGCTACTTTGGGGCCTTGGAGAACCTTTATGTCTGGCTCAGGGATTGTAAATACACCAATCGGCACTCTGTATCTAGCTCAAGGTTTGTAAACACACCAATCAGCAGCCTGTGTCTAGCTCAGGGTTTGTGAATGCACCAATTGACACTCTGTATCTAGCTACTCTGGTGGGGCCTTGGAGAACACTTTGTGTCCACACTCTGTATCTAGTTAATCTAGTGGGGATGTGGAGAACCTTTGTGTCTAGCTCAGGGATTGTAAACGCACCAATCAGCGCCCTGTCAAAACAGACCACTCAGCTTGCTGTAAAATGGACCAATCAGCAGGAGGTGGGTGGGGCCAGATAAGAGAATAAAAGCAGGCTGCCCGAGCCAGCAGTGGCAACCCGCTAGGGTCCCCTTGCACCCTGTGGGAGCTTTTTCTTTAACTCTTTGCAATAAATCTTGCTACTACTCACTTTTTAGGTCCCCACTGCTTTTATGAGCTGTAACACTTGCCGCCAAGGTCTGCAGCTTCACTCCTGAAGCCAGCGGGACCACGAGCCCACTGGGAGGAACGAACAACTCCAGAGGCCCTGCTTTAAGAGCTGTAACACTCCCCGCCAAGGTCTGCAGCTTCACTCCTGAGCCAGCGAGACCATGAACCCACCAGAAGGAAGAAACTCCCAACACATCCGAGCATCAGAAGGAACAAACTCCAGACGCGCCACTTAAGAGCTGTAACACTCACTGCGAGGGTCCGTGGCTTCATTTTTGAAGTCAGTGAGACCAAGAACCCACCAATTCCGGACACACCGGCACTTTGGGAGGCTGAAGCAGGAGGATCACGAGGTAAGGAGTTCGAGACCAGCCTGGCCAACACAGTGAAACCCTGTCTCTACTAAAAATACAAAAATTAGCTGGGCGTGGTGGTGGGTGCCTGTAATCCCTGCTACTCAGGAGGCTGAGGCAGGAGAATTGCTTGAACTTGGGAGGGGGAGGTTGCAGTGAGCCGAGATCATACCACCACACTCCTGCCTGGGCGACTGGGTGAGACTCCATCTCAAAAAGAAAAAGGAAGGAAAAGATAGTACTAAATATAGATAAAGAAGTCACAAAATATGCAACCAGTTAGATTAAACTCATCAAAAGTAAACTGACGCATAAAACTATTTTTTAAATCCCACCTATTAAATTGTGAAGTTATATGATTGCCATTATCATGGTAAACAGAATTATTATTAACTGCAACACTTTAGATCCCAGAGGTGGCATATGCTCTCAATTTTACCAATAAAAAAATCTGCAAGTGTGGAAATAAGTAGGTTTTTTCCTCCAAAGATTATTAAGTATTTTTGAATTATAATAGAACAGTGTATACCTTCACATTAACCCATGCCTGAGGAGACAGAAAATGAAAATAAGGTGTATCTTTAATATCTCAGCCTCTTTTTATAGTACTTTATTTCTGAATAACATTATTTTTTATAATTATATATATATTTTATTTTATGGTGGTTTAATTTATGTGCTTTTGGCTCAGAACTGATGTACATATCAAATGTATAAAAGATCTATGGATTTCATAGTTATATAATGCTGTATTTTTTTAAGCAAAGGCTTTATTTTTTCTAGGAAAATTTAGAAACAGTAATACATGTAGTCTTTCAAAAGAGCAAGATTTAATTTTTTCCATTTTTTAAAGGCTAGAGAATTTCCTCCTTATTACTGAAAACTCTACTATTGAAAGCTCCTCTTCATATGTAGGTTTCTATCTTGTTTCTGAGGAAAATAAACAGGTAATTTCAAAAAAGAATGATTATTTGCAGGGCACTGAACCTCAAAAATGATTTTACGCTTTCTAAAACTACCTGTGTTCTTCAATACTGCCCCAGACACTGGAGCAGAAGGAGCTCCAGGGCCTCCTCTGCAGTCAAAGCGACCCCACTTTTATCTGTACCAAGAAAGGTTTCAAATAAAAAGTGTTCCCCTAAAAGAAGCACCATTAAAAATTTCAGGGCAGAAGTATATCTCCCAGGTGTTATCAGATCATGTGTGTGACTTTTTCAATCTGCTCATGAGACAGGCCTACCAGACTTTGAAATTACTTCAAACTTGAGGATCCTTTTGATAATGAACACATCTGTGATTTATGAGAATGTGGTTGTACTTCATGGACTGCGATTTTTTTTAAGCATGGTATAGAGCTACTACCTACCATCTCTGCAGATTGTACAGAATTATCTGTGGCAGGATGCGGAAGATGCAGAGCACCTCAGCCCTAACTTTGTGACCAGCTAAAAGGGTTCCAGAAACTTTACATAAGCAATTCCAGTCAATCCTTGCTGTTATCCCGTAACATATTTTGGTAATAATCCTATTACTATTTTCAGACCCTTCTAGAATTAAATCACTTCTGTGACTGGATGGTCGTGGAATCTGTGATATTTAACACTACCTCTCTCTTCCTACCACTTAAACTCATTGCAAAGAACAGAAAAAGTGACTCAATTCTGAATAATTAGTTCTTTATAAGATATGCTGTCACATAGGAAGAATAATATTTTAGATGTTTTTACTAATTCATAAGACATTTCTAATAGGCAGCACTGCGGTAATATGCTTACTAAGTTCCAGTTTTGTTTGACCTGCCAGAAGTAAATTGTTCCTGTAAAGTTTTAATAATCCATGACATGTAACTCAGGATTTTTTCTAAAGGTTGTCATTATTAGCACTTATATAAATCCAGAAAACATTTTAATGTAAGTTAAGAGCCATTAGGACCTAGGAGGAAAAACGACTCTTAGGGCATTCCTGACATTCAGCGAGGATATTTTGAAACAATAATTCCTCCAGACTAACAGGCAGAACCCACTGCAGCCCTATGCTGTGGTGTCTGGAAAAATTCTTTTCATTAGTTCTGTAGATCACAACAGAAGGGGCCTTTCTCACACAGAGACATCTACTCAGCTTGCTTAGTTTTTGATCTCCTTTCTTCAATTCAGATGGATTTTGTAGGAACTTGCCATGTGTCACACTTTACCTTATAAACAGTAATGTATCTTTGGAACAACTCCAAAGAAACTATGAGAACATGTGAAATAGACTAGAGTTTATTTCAAGAAAGGTGCTTTGTAATTATGAAGTGTTATGATATGTTGTATGCTATAAACATCTGAACACATTCTGAAGTTGTAGATGTTCATTTCTTTGGAGTGTGAGACTGCCATACTCACCTTAATAACTCATAATAATCCTGTAGATATTAATATTTACCCTATTCCATTGACTATTATTTTCATTGAAGGTGTGTTTTCAGTCCGAGAAAAAAATAAAAATGACAAACCAGACATTCCCATTTTACATAAAATCATGGTGTTAAAATGAATCAACCATAGAAAGATATTATTTATAAAACCTCTGAATTGTTCTAGATAGAGAGATCCAAAAAGAAAAATCAGACAAGTCATGAAAATAACACTCAACTAATATTCTAAGGCCCAAAGAGAATTGACTTGGGTGATTTAGGGTGCTCTATATTACATTTCTGTATCTGTTGGATTTAGGTTTTTTGCCAAAAGTATCTATTAGAGGCAACTCTTGTGATTTCTTAGTTTTAGTGACTTGGGAATAGGAAAGTAGTAGAAGTAGTGGGAGATAATGTCAGCCTTGGTTAAAAATTCTAAAATCTAATAAATGGAAACAAAGCAGTTTTTGAAAATTATGCCTAAGGCCAATTTTTTTATTATGAATGAAATAAGTAACTTCAGTGAAAGTTTTGTAAAGTATTCAAAATGTTTTCTTGATGTAGTTAGCTTCTTGAGAATTTATGTATTTATTGTTGTTGTTATTTTACTCTATTTTTTGATTGCTGGTTTGTTTGTTTCCTTTGAATCAAGATTATATGCTGAATCTCAATGATGGTAAGCCATGAGATTTAGAGAGCTGTACCACGAGCAATCTGATTTACCCAGTTTCCAGAATGTTTGCCTGTTTGCAGCAGTCTGCCTCAATACTGAAGTTTAGCATACTTGAAAATTGCAAACCTTTAGCTAAAAATAACCATTACACATTCTCACGTTGAAAGGTAAGCCTGGGTATTGAAACAGTCATTAGTGTAGAGAAGGGGTGCCTCAAAAATACTCAAACAGCCCTTTCAAACAGTCCATTATTTCTAACTTTTCTATTCCTGTCATCACTACCAGTATCTCCCAGATGACAGAGCTTATAATGCAAAGGGTTAATTCCCTACGTTGCTTGGTCTCCTAAGCAATCAGTTACTTTTCTTTTTTAGTTGTTTCCAAATTAGCCTAATCTTTATCACTTCTTTTTCATAATATTGTAATAGACTAATTGTGTTCCCTGTCTATCTCTTTTGACCAAAGGGAAAAGTTTTGCTTGCTGATGTTACAGTGATAAGAAAGGAAAGAAAGAAAAAGAGAGAAAGAAAGGAAGGAAGGAAGGGAAAGAAAGAAAGGAAAGAAAGAAAGAAAGAAGAAAGAAAAAGAAGGAAGAAAGGAAGGAAGGAAGAAAGAGAGAGAGAAGGAGGAAAGAGAGAAAGAGAAAATGTTGTTTGAGGTCCTAATAAAGTCCTCAGTCTAGTATTCATACATTTTATCTCTCCAAGCCTGACTCTGTGATCTTTACAGCTGTCATACCTCCTCATCTTACACTCATTTCTGTTTTTTCTTGCTTTTGTTCTTACCTTCTACACCTTTGAATGTTCAGCTTCTCTCTGTAATCAAAATTCTAAAATGCTAAGGTTCAAGTAGAGTTAAACTTTTCCCCGAAGCCTTCTTCAAAAATTTACCCTCAAGAATCTTTTCTGTACTATTTCCAGGACATTTTATGACATGGATAGTGTCAATATACCTCATATTTACTAGTTTTCTGTATTTAAGTTAAATTAGGGATAAGCTGATTCTTATATGTTTTTCTATTCCACAAATTAGTTTTCTAAATTACAGTTTATGACTCATTTATAAAATCAATTTAGTTCACCAAGAAGTTTATTTTTTCCAATGAAATAGATATGAATAGAAAATACCAGAGAGTGGTACATGGAGTAAAGATGAATATTGATTTGTAACTCTTTTGTTTTTGTTTTTTTCTTGTATGTGTATGCACACTCTTCTGTTTTGCATCCCGATGTACAAATGTATTTTTTTTACCATGAATCATGGTCGTAAATATTTTTTAAACTTTACGAAAATTATGTCTGTACTCACTCATTCATATGTACAGTTATTCATGCATTCAACATGTTGAGTATGCTGGAAAAATAAAACATAATAAAATAGTCTCTATCTTGGAGGACCTAGGATTCTCTTAGGATAGATTGATAGGTACACAAACAATTGGAGATGATGTGCCTAAATTCTGATATGCAGAGAACAGATAATTCTCTGGGAAGATGAAAGAAGTAATAGCAGTTTCTTAAGTGTCTCTTGTTGGCACTTATTCTTCATTTTCCTAGTCAGAAATCAGCATGCTACATTTTAATTTAAATACTGTAAAGATATTTGTTTAATGCCTAGTTTCTTCTCTTTTAAATGAATTATATGGTTATTGACAAGTAATGAAGTTTAAATGAATTATATGGTTATTGACAAGTAACAAAGCTATCATATAATATAAAATTCTGTTTGGGCAGGTTGCAAAAATAATAAAGCCTCTTCAACAGGCTT
The DNA here is from genome assembly GCF_000001405.40 of Homo sapiens. Lineage (NCBI taxonomy): Eukaryota > Metazoa > Chordata > Mammalia > Primates > Hominidae > Homo > Homo sapiens. Next base: position 152,158,665 of record NC_000003.12, read on the forward strand.
GAACTATTTTTTTTAAATGATAGATTCATACTTCAGACAAGCTGTATCTACTTAAAGGAAGAAGTTTCTGTGGAAAAAAATTGGCCTTCGTAAAGTTCCTCTTTACACAAAATAAGAAAACTAACTCATAGTAAATCACCTGTCTTATTCTTTCCTCATATTATTAAAATAATATGCAAGTATGTTGCAATATAATATAAAATTTCAACAGTAGTATACATGTGAAATGCCATATTGATGCCTAAAAATCATATAAATCAATAAAAAATATTTGATAAGCACAACAGATTTAAAATAATTTAGACTGACATTCTATTTTAATTTTTTCTTTCCCAAAATTCAGTGCTCTTTCGTTTGATTGGGTCTACATTAAGAGCCAAATAAAGAAACGTTTGTATAAAAGGATTTTTAAAACACTTGAGAGTCTCTTTGACATAGCAAACATTAGAATCACAATCAAATTAAAAAAGAAAACAGTGGATTGCCATTCTGCAAATGTAACCAAAACATGCTACTGATTTCTAAATAGAGTGCTTTCTTGAAACCTGAAGAAACACACCTCAGATGTGTAACCTATCTGCTCCTCTGAATTCTTAGTACATGCATTTTAAATAAGTGGTATTTTATTCTTTATCCAGCCCTAATTAATTTATGTCATTATTCTTCATTTGAAGTTCATTCGAAGTTTTTACATATCCTAGTTTCAATACGTGATTTTAAAGTTAAGGAGCTTCTCCAAACAGTTAAGTGCATACCCACACTGTCTTTCTCCACATGTTACATTAACTGGAGCTCTTTTCTATGTTGTGCTGCATGGCGCTTTTTGTGCAACGCATTTCCAATGGCTTAATCACTCTATAAAGTCATGAGGAACTGTTTGCTTTATTTTGAGGAATCATGCTTCAGAGTCCAAGCCACTGGAGTTTATGCCCATATTAGGAGGTTGATTGAATAACCTTAAAAAAAAAAAAAGAATTCTCCATTTTATTTAGCTTTCTGAAACAGCTTGAAATTTTATTAAATTTTCAGTACATCATGTTTAAGCTAATAATAGGTATAAGCTCCAGGAATGAAACTCCAGTTCATTAGTTTTTCTTTCAAACAATCTAGTTTTATTTTCTAAGAAGTCCTGAGTTTCTCATAATTAATATTATATGTGTGTGAGTGTGTGTGCTATAGAATTATGATAATTTTTATATGATTGACATAAACTGATTTTACAGATTGAAAATATTTACTTCCTTGAGAATTACTTCCTTGGAGATTGTGTAGCATTTTTCAATGTAATTGATCTGTCTTAATTCTTATATCTCCTCTGGCATACAATATATTGTTAGTTCATCCAGATCAAGACATGATAGCTAACAACTGTATAGAGTTTTATACTTTCTTTTTTTCTTATTTATTTTATTTATTTTTTATTATTGAGTTTTATACTTTCAAAGGCTTATCTCATACACTAATAGATTTTGTGATGTCCTATTAACCACATGAAGAACACAAAGCATGAAATATTTTTGTTGCCAATTTATAGATGAGAAAACTGAGGCCCAAAGAGGTCTTCTGACTCCAAATTCCATATTCTGCATATATATATATAACCTGAGTATATAAAATAGTGAAAAGTCAGAATTCTTAGAATTGCCCATGATTACTGTCAATATGTTGAGATTCCTCTTTTGAAAGTTCCATAAACTCAATCTCTGTTTTTAGAGCTAACCCCTCTCTTCTCCTTTACCTCTCCACTCCTGCTTAGGCTGCCTGTCTTCGTGCTGCTCAGCCCTGAATCCTGTTTCAGTAGACTTTGGGAACTCAGAGTAGGGAAAAACTCTGCAAAACTCAGTGTCAATCTGAAACCCGGAGTGAAAATCTAGTCAGGGAATGAATTATCTAGAAACTAAAAATTCTAGGGACTGCACTAGGTGCTTTCCATCTGGTAATTCTTTTATTACATATAACAATCTATGACAGGTATTTTCAGCCCCACTTTAGGATGAGCTTAGATATAGAAATGTTAAATGACCTGTCAAAATTCCCTTGATATACAGGGAGGATTCTAGGATTCACCTCAAGGTCCATGTGACCTTTAAAACTTAGGATCATTTCACTACATCATTCTCTCAGAACATGCATGCAAGAGTGCTTGTTCTCACAAGTGGGGTTTCTGAAGACGGTTTAGCCTTTTCTTAAGTTGTTGTTTTGTTGACCTTTGTTCAAGAGCATAAAAACATTCAGCTTTTTTTTAAAGCAAAAAGTTTACGTCTGCTATTATTTTCACTTACGTAACTGGAAGACCTGACATATACAATGAGCTTTAGAAATTCATCACTCAGACCATAAGAAAGGATTTGCTCTGAGAAGCTGTGCAAACTGTGGTTATCAAAGAGGATTGGATTGAAATCAAAAGCAATTTGTATTACAACTGTCAAAAAAAGTCCAGGTTAAGCTGCATTACATGATATTGGCTTATAGATTAGCTATACTCCATAGATGACATATTTAATTCATGACAGTGTTTGCAGCCCCTAAAGTAAGAAAAGAGCATGCAAAACATAAACTCCTGGATAAGGACAATCAGGGAAATGGGAAGGCAGAGTAGAAAATGCTTGTTAAAAATTTTCAATAAGTATCTGTCTTTTGAAAAAGTTTTTCAAAATTTCACACAATTAAAGCCACCTAAATTATTATTTAATTATATTTAATTTTTAATGCCCTAAATATATAATTCATCTTTTTTTAAAGCAAATTATCTCATTAATCTAAGAACACTCTTTAACTCCTATGTTTGTTTGGTTTTCAGTCAGATATGTTCAATTCCAAAACAATTCAGAGTAATTTTGATATAGACGAGTGTAAAGTCAAGGAGATGGACTTGTCTATAACTAGTCGTGTTCACAAAATAAATCAACATTCCCAAGTTTACAGAGACGCATATACAAGTAATTCTTACCTTAAGAAAATCAAATGTATAAATGTTTGATTTATGAAACAGACAAATCATGCCTTATGTTCACTATAGAAGGATCTATTGCTACTCTTTGTAACACAGATAACACAGATTTCAGTTATCAAGACAACAGAGATACTTACAATGAAAATTCCCAGGTTCTAGTGAATTTTTTTTTGAAGAACATATATTCTTGATTATTGACTGCATTTTCTAGTTGTTTTAAATGAATTCTCTTCTATCCTTCTCCCCCAAAAAGTCATACTCCTACCTAAAGTTCTAAGTAAATTTGGAAGATATTTTTGCATATGTGGCATTAAAATATGCACTGATTCTTCAAACTTAAAGTATCAGAGAAAATGTTCTTTTCCACAGAACAATAAAACCAAAGAACGGGCTACTTTGGGTACCAATCTTTAAAATGCATGTAACTTTTATAGGAGCCAAGAGGAATTTTCCTGGGTCAGGCTGTTCCTCTCAGTTAATTGCCTTGGAATTATGACCCTTCTTTTCCCTGCAGTGTAGAAATATTAACCCTTGCAATGACACGCTCATAAGCCAATTAATAACAACATCCTGACTCTTTGTGTTTTGTGATTAACCTTCACAAACCTAAAGGGGTTGAAAAATCTTTGAGATAAAGTAGTTTCCATCAAACATCTTAATCTACTGACAAATGGGACTAAAAATAACTCTGGCATAAAAGTTTTGGGGGGAAAGCCAAATAGAATCTGTTCACTAACTACTACAGATCCCCTCCAAAAGACAATACACTTCCATGCAGGACACAACCAGACCATTAAAATTACTGGTAAGGGATGGGTGTTGTGGCTCAGCCTATAATCCCCGCACTTTGAGAGGCCGAAGTGGGCGTATCACCTGAGGTCAGGAGTTCGAGACCAGCCTGGCCAAAATGGCAAATCCCTGTCTCTACTAAAAATACAAAATTAGACAGGCGTGGTGGGAGGCACCTGTAATCCCAGCTATTGGGGAGGCTGAGGCAGGAGAATTGCTTGAACTCGGGAGGCAGATATTGCAGTGAGCCGAGATCACCCCATTGCACTCCAGCCTCGGTGACAAAGTGAGACTCTGTCTCAAAAAAAAAAAAAAAAACTTAAAAATTTTGCCATAAACTGAGAAAATCATTTAAATATTCTAATTATAAAACTATCAAAGCATTTTTTCTATCTTTAGGTTTATTTGTAGATAAAATATGATTATAATGGTTTGGTGCCAAAAATCTCATAGCAAAAGATTATAAAGAATTTCTATGCAGATAAAAAAACATAATGATCATTTTTTTCATTATTTTTGAATTGACAGTTTCAAAAACAATGTTGAGAAAATCAGTGTAAGGCTTGGTAAAAAAAAAAAGTTAGACTCCTGCCTCACACAAGATGTATTTTTTAAATCCAAATGGATAAAAGGGTTAAATGTTAAAACAAAATAAAAGATACATGCTATCAACTATAAAAGTATTAAAATGAACTATAGGTACACATGTCTATAACTATGACTGAGGAAGGCTTGAAAACATAAATACCAGAATTCATCATAAATATTTATCATAAATTCATCATAAACTATAAAAAGTTTGCTTTGAATAATGATTCCTTAAGCAAAATTAAGACAAATTATAAATTGGGAAACAATATGTAAAGCAAACATAAGAAAGGATAAATACTCATAATATATGAGAGCTCCTATGAATCAATATTATATAAAATAACAAAAAATAGAAAAATTTCAAAAGAACAAAAAAATGCAAATTGCCAATAAATGTGTGAAAAGATGTTTAACCTCTTTGATAATGATGGGGATAAAAATTAAAATAATGTCATATATTTTTTGTTCCCACTAGATTAGCAACATATAAAGCTGATAATATCCAACATTGGAGAGAAAAATGGACACTCTTATAAACTGTTGGTGGGAGTATCATTTGGTAATACCTTTTTAGAAGGCAATTTAGGCCAGGTGTGGTGGCTCAGGCCTTCAATCCCAGCACTTCGGGAGGCGAAGGTGGGAGGATAGCTTGAGCCTAGGAATTTGAGACCAACCTGGGCAACATAGTGAGACCTCATTTCTATATAAAAAAAGGTTTTTTTAAAAAAATTAGCCACAAATGGTGGCATCTGCCTGTAGTCCCAGCTGCTTGGGAGGCTGAGGTGGGAGGACCTCTTGAGCCCAGGAGTTCAAGAGACCTTGTCTCCAAAAATAAAAAATAAAAATTTAAAAATAATGTAACTTACCTAGAACATTGGACTTAAATTTAAGACCTGAAACTATGCACTTCAAAGAAAACATAGAAAAACATTTGCCTTTATGTATTTGGCAATGTATTTTTAAATAGAACACAAAGACAAGTAACAAAAGGAAAAATAAATTGGACTTGATGAAAATTTAAAACTTTTGTTCATCAAAGGACACTATTGGCCAGGTGTGGTGGCTCACGCCTGTAGTACCAGCTACTCGGGAGGCTGAGGCAGGAGAATGGCGTGAACCCAGAAGGCAGAGCTTGGAGTGAGCTGAGATCGTACCACTGCACTCCAGCCTGGGCAATAGAGCAAGACTCTGTCTCAAAAAAAAAAAAAAAAAAAGAAAGAAAACAATGAGCTATCACTAGACACTTATTAGAATGATGAAAATCCAAAACCCTGACAACACCAAATGTTTGCAAGGATGTGGAGCAACAGGAACTCTTATTCATTGCTGATGGGAATGCAAAATGGTACAACTACTTTGGAAGACATTTTGAGAGGTTTTTACAAAACTAAACATAGGCTTAACACAAAATCCAGCAGTTGCACTCCTAGGTATTTACAAAAATGAGTTGAAAACTTCACAGAAACCTGTATGCAAACTTTTATAGGAATTTTATTCACCAAAAGCAGAGCAAAACCAAGTGTTTCTTGAATAGATGATTAAACAAACTTGACATACTGTGCAATGAAATTTATTCAGCAATGAAAAGCAATGAGCTATCAAGCCATGGAAAGATATAAATGAAACTTAAATGCATATTGCATATTATTATTCCAATTATATGAAAGTCTAAAAAAGCAAAACTGTAGCAGTGGTAATCAGATCAGTGGTTACCAGATGTTCAGTAGGTGGTGGAGAAGGACTAGCTAAATATATAAAACACAGGGGAATTTTTAGGGTGGTGAAAATATTTTGTATAATACAGTAGTGGTGAATGCAAGATATTAAGCATTATCAAAATCCATAGGATTTTATGGCAAAATATAAACCTTAACAGGTACAAATTTAAAAAAAATTAGTTTGGAGAATACAAGGATGGAATGCAGAAAGTGACAAGTCTAAGTATATGACAAGTTTATAAAACAACTTCACTGAAGGTGGTTAGGGAATAAGGTGCTGACCCACTTAACATTGGGAATGAGTGTAATCTGTAAAGTTAAAGGGAAATAAATTGTATGTACACTGTACTGTAGCTGATAAAGTTGTTTCCCTTAATGGTACAGATTAGCAATTTTGAAGTCACTAAACATACATACTAGAATTGAACAATTAGGCAAATTGATGGCAAATGGTTGGAATCAGACTTCTTGCTGCTAAAATGAAAGGCTCAAATAAGCAAGGGAAGAAGACTAGAAGGATCCATATGGTAATGGATTAGAGTTGGATACATCAATAAGAACTTATATTTAGTTTGCTATATCTGCTGATGTTTACCTGTAGAAATATTTATAGATTGATAGATAGAATTTTTTTTTTTTGAGACGGAGTCTCGCTCTGTTGCCCAGGCTGGAGTGCAGTGGTGCGATCTCGGCTCTGTAGATGGATTCATATATATACATATTTCTCCTTGATCTGTCTGCTGAAAGAACCTGGAAACAATGGCACTTTAATTGCAAAGAGCACACGTAGTGCTCAGATCTTGGTTTTTAATACCATTAGAAAAGTGTAAAAGAAACCAAGGCTCCTTGGAGAATTGGCTGAATCTAGGAACAGTGCATGACATAGACAAGATAGGTCCATACTGATATACATAAATGATTAAATAAATAAATAAATGGGGGAGAAGTGACAGGTCTCCTATGGTGAAGAATTTTTAATACCTTACAGATACACCACCTTAAGAACGCAGAGTGTAACTTTCCACTCCTTTAGTGTGAACTATATACATGGTGGCTATAAAGAGGATTATATAAAAAGAGAAAAAGGAATAACTATATAGTGGAGAAACCTGACATACCTCAAGCCCAGTGATAAAGGTTAACATCAAGAGTGGCAAGTCATACTGATAGTATGCATGCTTAAAGTATATTGTGAGAATGACATTATATCTTAGTGGGATTCCTCTCAAAAATAATTACCATAATTTAATTATGAGAAAAACATCAGACAAATCCCAAGTGGGAGACAGTCTATGAAATACCTGACCAATAATTGGCAACACTGTGAAAGCCACCTAAAACAAAAAAAAGTCTGAGAAACTGAAAGCCAAAGGAGCCTAAGGAGAAATGACTATTAAATTTAATGTGATATCCTGAATGGTATGCTGGAACAAAAAAAAAAAAGGCATATTAGGGCACAGTTTAAAAAGAAAAGAAAAGACAAACCACAGACTGAGAGAAAATAGCTGCAAAACGTGTCTGGTAAGGGACTAGTATCTAAAATACACAAATAACTCTTAAAAGACAGTGATAAAAGCAAAAACTGGATGTGGATACACTGGTACTCTCTTTACTATCTTTGCAATACTTCTATAAATCTAAAATTCTCGTTAGTTGATGTAGTTTCTTCCTAGCCTCGATGGTCTTTACAATTTGGCATGTTTTTGCAGTGGCTGGTACCGGTTGTCCCTTTCCATGTTTAGTGATTCCTTCAGGAGCTCTTTTAGGGCAGGCCTGGTGGTGACAAAATCTCTCAACATTTGCTTGTCTGTAAAGGATTTTATTTCTCCTTCACTTATGAGGCTTAGTTTGGCTGGATATGAAATTCTGGGTTGAAAATTCTTTTCTTTAAGAATGTTGAATATTGGCCCCCACTCTCTTTTGGCTTATAGAGTTTCTGCCGAGAGATCAGCTGTTAGTCTGATGGGCTTCCCTTTGTGGGTAACACCACCCTTCTCTCTGGCTGCCCTTAATATTTTTTCCTTCATTTCAACTTTCATGAATCTGACAATTATGTGTCTTGGAGTTGCTCTTCTCGAGGAGTATCTTTGTGGTGGTCTCTGTATTTCCTGAATTTGAATGTTGGCCTGCCTTGCTAGATTTGGGAAGTTCTCCTGGATACTATCGTGCAGAGTGTTTTCCAACTTGGTTCCATTCTCCCCGTCACTTTCAGGTAGATGACTTGACTGTATATCTAGAAAACCCCATTGTCTCAGCCCAAAATCTCCTTAAGCTGATAGACAACTTCAGCAAAGTCTCAGGATACAAAATCAATGAGGAAAAATCACAAGCATTCTTATACACCAATAACAGACAAACAGAGAGCCAAATCATGAGTGAACTCCCATTCACAATTGCTTCAAAGAGAATAAAATACCTAGGAATCCAACTTACAAGGGATATGAAGGACCTCTTCAAGAAGAACTACAAACCACTGCTCAATGAAATAAGAGGATACAAACAAATGGAAGAACATTCCATGCTCATGGGTAGGAAGAATCAATATTGTGAAAATGGCCATACTGCCCAAAGTAATTTATCGATTCAATGCCATCCCCATTAAGCTACCAATGAATTTCTTCACAGAATTGGAAAAAACTACTCTAAAGTTCATATGGAACCAAAAAAGAGCCCGCATTGCCTAGTCAATCCTAAGCCAAAAGAACAAAGCTGGAGGCATCATGCTACCTGACTTCAAACTATACTACAAGGCTACAGTAACCAAAACAGCATGGTACTGGTACCAAAACAGACATATAGATCAATGGAACAGAACAGAGCCCTCAGAAGTAACGCCGCATATCTACAACTATCTGATCTTTGACAAACCTGAGAAAAACAAGCAATGGGGAAAGGATTCCCTATTTAATAAATGGTGCTGGGAAAACTGGCTAGCCATATGTAGAAAGCTGAAACTGGATCCCTTCCTTACACCTTATACAAAAATTAATTCAAGATGGATTAAAGACTTAAACGTTAGACCTAAAACCATAAAAACCCTAGAAGAAAACCTAGGCAGTACCACTCAGGACATAGGCATGGGCAAGGACTTCATGTCTAAAACACCAAAAGCAATGGCAACAAAAGCCAAAAATGACAAATGGGATCTAATTAAACTAACAAGTTTCTGCACAGCAAAAGAAACTACCATCAGAGTGAACAGGCAACCTACAGAATGGGAGAAAATTTTTGCAATCTACTCATCTGACAAAGGGCTAATATCCAGAATCTACAATGAACTCAAACAAATTTACAAGAAACAAACAACCCCATCAAAAAATGGGCAAAAGATATGAACAGACGCTTCTCAAAAGAAGACATTTATGCAGCCAACAGACACATGAAAAAATGCTCATCATCACTAGCCATCAGAGAAATGCAAATCAAAACCACAATGAGATACCATCTCACACCAGTTAGAATGGCAATCATTAAAAAGTCAGGAAACAACAGGTGCTGGAGAGGATGTGGAGAAATAGGAACACTTTTACACTGTTGGTGGGACTGTAAACTAGTTCAACCATTGTGGAAGTCAGTGTGGTGATTCCTCAGGGATCTAGAACTGGAAATACCATTTGACCCAGCCATCCCATTACTGGGTATATACCCAAAGGATTATAAATCATGCTGCTATAAAGACACATGCACACGTATGTTTATTGTGGCACTATTCACAATAGCAAAGACTTGGAACCAACCCAAATGTCCAATAATGATAGACTGGATTAAGAAAATGTGGCACATATACACCATGGAATACTATGCATCCATAAAACATGATGAGTTCATATCCTTTGTAGGGACATGGATGAAGCTGGAAACCATCATTCTCAGCAAACTATCACAGGGACAAAAAACCAAACACTGCATGTTCTCACTCATAGGTGGGAATTGAACAATGAGAACACATGGACACAGGAAGGGGAACATCACACACCGGGGCCTGTTGTGGGGTGGGGGGAGGGGGGAGGGATAGCATTAGGAGCTATATCTAATGTTAAATGACGAGTTAATGGGTGCAGCACACCAACATGGCACATGTATACATATGTAACCTGCACATTGTGCACATGTACCCTAAAACTTAAAGGATAATAAAAAAAAAATCTAAAATTCTCCTAAGATAAAAGTTCATTTTGAATGCAGTTAAAAATCCTATCCATTTTGAAACAATACAAATTTTATCTCAGAATAGACAAGCTGGAACAAAGCAGTGAAGTTCATTTATGCTGCATTATTCCTGAAGAATTCATAAGAGGTTCTGGCTTATTTTACTTTTCACCTAAAGCCAAGGGGTGTGTGTGTGTGTGTGTGTGTGTGTGTGTTGGGGGTGAGTGGGGTGGGCAGAGGAGATGATGATATAAAACATTTCTTCCATTCTATGATATAGCTTTTTCACTTTTTAAATTTCTAAAGTCAGGATATAGTCCACAATTTACGGGAATATTGAATATCCTACAGATTTTGGATTTTGTTAAGTTCACTTTGGTTTCTTCTCTGAAAAGCTGTTATCAAATCGGTTGTGCATCTTACAATCTATGGTGTTTTATGATTGAAAATAAATGGTCTATGAACTCCATACAAGTGTAGAGAACAACACTGTTCTTCCCAAAAGAATCATTCAGTTCTTTCAGTTCATACAACAAAATAACTCTACAAGGAAAAAGTTGTATTTGTTTACTTTTATATTCATAATTCAACTTTGTGAATATATAGGTCAAGGTTTACTGAGTTCAGTTTTAAACATTACCTTTAAATACTATCTTATATACATATACCAAGGCCTTCTGACTGTCACCAACCAAGTTAAAAAATACTTCAGGATGGGGTATTTGAATGCTATCCCATTTTTTTTGTTTCATATTAAACTTCTAGAGAATTGAGTGTTGTACTTGGATAATCTCAATACTGAAATCTGTCCCAAATCACAGCAACAGTGCAAAATAGGTAAAATTTCCTGTGTTGGTTGGCACACTCTCTGTCTTAGTCAGTTGGGCTGCTAGAAAAAATTACCATAGACTAGGTGGCTAAAACAACAAACACTTATTTCTCAAAGATCTGGAGGCTGGGAATTCCAAGTTCAAGGTGCTGGCAGACCCCATGTCTGGTGAGGACCCTAGTGTTAATTTGCAGATGACCATCTTCTCATTGTATCCTCACATGGTAGAGAACGGAGAGAGATAGCAAGCTTTCTCTTTATTTTTCATGAGGTCACTAATCCCATTTGTGAGGCTTCCCCTTCATGTCCTAATCACCTCCCAATAGCCCCATTTTCTAATATCATTATAATGGGGTTTAAGATTTTAACATATGAATTTTGGGGGACACAAACATTGAGTCCATTGCACTCCCTTATGGCATATTACCATCCAGTCTCTCTTCTTTAAAGGCCTTCAGCTGTGCATGGTGACTTTTTGAAGATAGTCACCATAATTCTCCTCAAGGAAAGATTTTAATCTCCAAATTCCCTCCCTGAGTTTTTCTATCCATAGTTCCCATTCTTGTAGAGACTTCTTCATCCTTTCAGATGTTATAGATATATGATAATTGACAATGTATTAATGATAGTATATTAATACAAGGGTCAGCAAACTATTGCATGGCCCAAATCCAGCCTGTACCTTTCTGTGAATAAAGTTTTCTTGGAGTCCAGCCACATCCATTTGTTTAAGTATTGTCTATCACTGCTTTTGCTCTACAATGGCCATGTTAAATAGTTGGGACGGAGAACGTACAGCCCACAAAGTCTAAAATATTTATTATCTAGCTCTTTATATAAAAAGTTTTCTGACCCATATTTTAATACAGTTGACTTTAGCAACACATATTTGAACTGCACAGGTCTACCTATATGTGGATTTTTTTCAATAAATATACTGGAAGATTTTTTGAAGATTTGTGACACGTTGAAAAAAATATACATATAAACCTGTAGTCTAGAAATATTTTTAAAAAGTTTAAAAAAAAGGTCAGGTATGTCCTAGATGCAAAAATGTATGTACATACTATTCATCATTTGCTATAATAAAATGTATACAAATCTATTATAAAAAGTGAAAATTTATCAAAACTTATGCACAAACACAGACTAGACATGGAACCATTTACAACTGAGAAAAATATAAACAAATGTAAAGGTGTAGCATTAAATCACAACTGCATAAAGTTAACTTTAGTGTATACTATATTACCGTAATAATTTCATAGCCAGCTCCCATTGCTATTGCAGTGAGCTCAATCTGCTTAAAACACCATTTCACACTAATCATCTCTGCATGAGCAGTTTGTCTCTCCAGTAAATTGCATATTGTAGTAAAAGATGATCTCTTGCAGTTCTTATAGTGTTAGTGTCTCATGCAATACCATAAACCTAGAATAACACTATGGGACCAATACAAAGTGCCACTGGTGAGGAAGGAAGTGCTTCCAAAAAGCTGAGACTAGTCATGACATTACAAGAAAAAGTTAAATTATTTTATATGTATCATACGTTAAGGTCTGCAGCTGCAATTCCCTACCATTTCAAGATAAATGAATCCACTGTCAGGACCACTGCAAAAAAAGAAAGGGAAATATATAAAGCCATCACTGCAGCTATACCAGCAAGTGACTGACACAACCTTACGGTTTTTGTGAAATATCTTTTTACTCATAATGAAGATGCAGGTTTTATGTGGGTTCAGGATTGCTATAGGAAAGGCATACCTATAGACACTACTATAATTCAAGAAAAAGTAGTCATTGTATGACAACTTAAAGCAAAAGAAAATTATAGGTTCTAGAGCTAGAGGTTTAATGCCAGCAAAGGATGGTTTGATAATTTTAGAATGAGATTTGGCTTTAAAAATGTCAAGATAACAGGAAAGCATCTTCTGCTGAACTAGAGGTAACAGACAAGTTCCCAGACACTACTAAGAAAATAATTGAGGAGAAATAATATCTACCTAAACAGGTTTTTAATGCACACACAAGTTTCCTATTCTGGGCTGGGTGTAGTTGCTCATGCCTGTAATACCAGCACTTTGGGAGGCTGAGGTGAGTGGATCACTTGAGGTCAGGAGTTCAGGACCAGCCTGGAAAACATGGTGAAACCCCATCTCTACTGAAAATACAAAAATTGGCTAGGCATGGTAACACATGCCTGTATTCCCAGCTACTAAGGAGGCTGAGGCAGGAGAATCACTTAAACCCAGTAGACGGAGGTTACAGTTAGGTGAGATCGCACCCCTGCACTCCAGCCTGTGTGACAGAGTGAGACTCTGTCTCAAAAAATGAAAAAAAAGTTTCCCATTCTGAAAAAACAAAGCCACAATAAATGTATTATTAAGGAAAAGAAGTGAGCACCAGAAATTAAGAGAAGAAGAGACAGGCTAACTCTACTGAATTTTTGCAAATACAGTTGAGTTTATGATCAAGACTGCCCTTACCTAAAAGCTGCTAAACTCTGAGCCTGAAGGAAAAAAATAAACACCAGCTTTCAGTCTTTTGATTGTACACCAACCCGACCTAGCTAATGAGAACCCCTGTTTGGGATCAGTTCCATCAATGCTTTGTCCCTGAAATCAGAAGGGACATTAAATCAGACGCACATTACCAGTAAGGAGCTGCCTTATTAAAATTATTTTGATATTGGACAATGCCCCTGGTCACAGAACCTCATGAATTTAACACTAAAGGCATCAAAATGGTCTACTTGCCCCCAAACACATCTTTAAGTCAGCTTCTGATAAGGGGGTCATAAAGACACTTAAGGCTCATTGCACATGGTATATGAAAAGGATTGTCAATGCTATGGAAGAGAACCCCAAAGGAGAGAACATAACCAATGTCTGGAAGGATTACATCATTGAAAATGCCATTGTTGTTATAGAAAAGGCTGTGCAAGCTGTCAAGGCAAAAATGAGAAATTCCTACTGGAGAAAATTGTGTCCAGATGTTATGCATGACTTCACAGAACTTATGACAGCCAATCAAGAAAATAATGAAAGATATTGTAGATACAGTCTTTTAAAAAAGGAGGACAGGAGGTGAAGGGTTTCAAGATTTGGATCTTGGAGAAATTCAAGAGCTATTAGACACTGTACCGGAGGAGGTAACAGAAAATGACTTGATAAAGATGACTGCTTCCAAATGTGCTGGACAATGAGAAAGAAGACATAGAAGAAGCAGTGCCAGAAAAAAAAATTGATATTAGACAATCTGGCCAGAAGGGTTTCAGTTATTCAAGACTGCTCTTGACTTCTGTTGTGACATGGACCCTTCTATCATATAGGCACTGCAACGAAAGCAAATGGTGGGGAAAAGATTAGTAACATATATAGAAATATTTTTAGAGAAATGAAAAAGCAAAAAGTCAGACAGAAATTAAAACGTATTTCCATAAAGTTACACCAAGTGTGCCTTCTACTCCTGCCTCCCTTCCACCTTCTCCACCTCTTCTGCCTCTGCCACCACTGAGACAGCAAGACCAACCCCTCCTGATCTTCTTCAGCATACTGAACATGAGGATAAAAATATTTATGATGATCCATTTCTACTTAATGAATAATCAATATATTTTCTCTTTCTTATAATTATTTTCTTAATAATATTTTCTTTTGTTTACTTAATTGTAAGAATACAGTATATGATACATATAACATACAAAATGTGTGTTAACTGACTGTTCATGTTATCGTAAGGCTTCTGGTCAACAGTAGGCTATTAGTAGATAAATTTTGGGGGATTGAAAAGTTATATGTGAATTTTCAACTGCAAGGGGGATCAGTGCCCCGAATGCCCACACTGTTCAAAGGTCAACTGTTTATTATTTGCATTGAGATATAGAGGTAATTCAGCAGGTAATTGATTTGAAAGGGTCCTGCTGCATAATAAGAGATGGCCGCTATATTCTACTTCACTTTTGCTTTACAAAGGTATTGTAGAAACAACTCATTAAGTAAAAGTGGTGGTAATAATGTTGAGATAAAGCTTATGAGACAGAGAATCCTGTAAGCACAGGCATTCAGTATTTTATCAAGATACCTGACAAATACATTATGCTCTACTTATGATCAAGATTGAGAAATGTTGACCAAATTGCAGTAAGGTCAGACAAATTTCACAACTAATTTTTTCTAAATAGTTAATATGAATCTGAATAGTCATCTAGGAATGTACTTCAGATTCTGGCCTTATTCAACAATTTTATTAATGCCTATTATAAGGTCATTTGCTGCATGCTGATCAAACCTGTATATAAACAATTTGGGAGTAATAGATAATATGTTAACTGAAAGAATAGCAATATCAACAGATTAAAACAAGAGACTAATTATACCCAGATGTTATTTAACAGGTATGTAATGAAAAGTTCTAATTGTGGTATACAAAACCATTTACACAACTATAAAATACGGGTCTGATGCCTTAGTAGCCTGGTGGGAAACATTTAAGTTTAGTTGACAGTAAACTCAATATGATTTCCCTTTGTATAGTAATTGCTAAGAAAAGTTAATTACGTTATTATGTATTAATTGAAATATGTGTCCAGAAGGGAGGAAAAATAATCATACAATATCCAGTTAATATGTTGTGTTGTATTTAGTGTTCAACTTACAGAGAAACTTTCACAAATTGGAATTTGTCTAAAGCAGACCACCTAGAATAATGAGGGACTTGACATTAGGTTACAAGAATAAAAGCAATAAGAAAGGGACAATTTAAGCTGTTGTTTTCAAATTTGAAGGGAGGACTCAAAGTTTTAAACTTGCCTGTAGCGCTAATCTTTGGATCAACATTAAATAAATAAACAAGTAGAGTTGACTCAAAAGATAATCAGCTTAGTTAGCTGTATACTCATTATCAGTGGGGCCATAAAAACAGATGATGAAGGTAATTCAGGAATCAGAAGTTAAACTAAGTTTTTCCTAAGACACTTAGAAGATTCTCTAAGATTTATGATTCTTTAGGTTTTAGTTGCTATGTTGTTGATGATGTTTAAATGAAATGCCTCACTCCAAGTACCTTGCCATGGCATTCTCAATTTTTTTATCTGTTACCTACCCATATATCCACCTTTGTCTTCTACTATGCCAGTCTTGAGTCTTGTGCACTTGGTGATATTTGACCATTTCTTACCTATAAGAACAGCAATTTCATATGGTTAAATCCAATAATCTAAATTTTCTCCAAAGATGCCTTAAACTTTCCAGCCTCTAGGTATATATGATTCCATTTCTGTAATGTAACAGTCCAGAACACTCTCCACCTCCACTTATTCAAATACTACTTTGTGTTTAAAGTTCAGTTTGTCCACTCATCCATGAAGACTTCTTTAGTCATTTCAACGTCTGATTGTCCACCTCTGCACATCTTTAGGACTTCTCACCCAGGACAAATGATATTGCTTTATATGGTTATTTGCCTTCTGCTATTAAGCCCTGGCTCTCACAAGTGCCATACCCAGTGTTTATCGAGCTACAGTATGACTTTCCAAACAGTAGAGGCTCAATATCTAGCTGCTGATGATACAGTTGCAAAGTTCAGAAGTGGCTAACCACTCTGCATCTGAATAGAACTGATGCTGAATGAAAGGCTATCATAATTTCTCACAGGGTCTCTGACCCATGATTCACTGTAAAATGTAATTAACATACAGTTCTCATACTTTGTAGTTAGCAGAGACAAAACTGAACATTTGTAGGTACATTCATATTAGGAAGGCTTTGGGCAGTGCAGTTACCAGGGTTATTTGTGTAGAACTATGAATTAAAGAGTTTTGCAAAGGCAGATCTAACATTCTTTTCCGCACAATGAGGTAAATCTTCCATTTGTACATTCACTCCCATTTTCATCTCTTTCTCTCCTTGAAATTTGTTTTGCAAGAACATTTTAATGCATTTATCTCCTTCCTTCAGCTTGTGAAATTACTCATGCCTGGGATGCATAATCGAGAGGTGTCCTGTTACATCCATGGGATTTGAGGCTTTATGAATCATTCCAACATCAGAAGAATGTTTGTATAAGAAGAAATAGATTTATATGAAAAAATGTATAAAGAATTTTTAACAACCCTGGCTCTTGGTTTGGGCAGGCTTACAAGGGAGAATTTCTATGTATGCAGGCAGCAAATACATAGTTGGCAACATTTAAATATTAAAATAGCTTCATGAAGGCAGGTGCTTTTTCACTGGGAATTTGCAGTGTGCATTTTCATCAATTTATCCTCCTCATTTTTACACATTGGAAAGGAATGACTTTAATCCTCAGATTAGCACATGGCAGTCCTTTAAAACTGGAATTACAATTTCTCCAAGCACACGGACATACCTGGTATGGAAAAAGGATAATTATCTTTACAGAAAAGCTACTAGGATGATTTGCCTGAGGGTGGATATGAAATCCTCTGGACATATTTCAGAGAAACAGCAATTTTTAAAAACATGATAGTTAGCTACTCTCTACTTGAAATAATGAGGTTTGTTTTTATTAATGAGAAGTTCTGGAGTTCTGTTTTCATAATGGTCGAGACATTGTGTGTGTGTGCATGTGTGTGTGATCTCTAAAATTTTATTTATACTTATTAAAATTAGGTTTTAGGCTACCAAGAATTTTTGAGAACACTAGAGGCTCCTTGTCACAATAGGAATCATCGGAATTTCAGTAAATGTTATTTAGTCTAGGGAAGCCCTTTCAAATGAAATGGCTAACACTGGAAATAATGCTGGGCATAGGAAGAGTGTGGTTTGTGGTTAGAAAGCCTGCAACTTCTAGTTCTCCAAAAGATCCTTTTTGCTGTATTCCTGTTCTCCTCATTTTTTGAAGTTTCCTAGCATATTTGATTTTCAGAAACTTTTCACAAAAATACCTGAAATTCTTTCACATAAATGAAAATGAATCATTAAATGTAAAACAAAATATTTGAGCTGTAATGGAGACCTGGGTCCCATCAAATCCAACTCCTTTATAATTCTATAGAAATGAAGCACGCTCTACAGAAGTTAAGTGTACAACTGAATTATTGAAAAGCTGGACATGCAGACAGTGTGTTCATTCCTTTTCATCATTGCCCTTTTAAGTCTGTTTTATCAAATACTTCTTTCCTGCCCTGGGATAAAATCTTGGGCTTTTCCAACTACTCTCAGGTATTAATGAATAGTGTGAATGAATAATCTAATTTTCCAAGCATTGAAAAGTTTAATATCCGTATCAGTTAGCTCTGGGCACCATAACAAAATACCACAAACTAAATGGCTTAAAATTTATTTATCACAATTCTGGAGGCTGGGAATTCCAAGATCAGAGTGACAGCTGATTTGGTTCTTGATGGGGTATCTCTTCCTGACTTACAGACGGCCACCTTCTTGATGGTGGGGAAAGAGGAGAGATCTTTCTCTCTCTTCCCCTTCTTATAAGGCCACTTATCAGATTAGCACTCTCTCTCCTCCATGACCTCATTCAGCCTTTACTGCCTCCTAAAAGCCCTATCTCCAAATATAGTCACATTGGTGGTTAGGGCTTCAACATCAAAATCTGGGGGAAGGGGACACAATTCCAACAATAACAATATCAAAGCTTCTGTCTCTCCTCTAATTCATAGCTGAGGCCTAACTAAGCCAGTTTTGGAAAGTGGTCACCTTTTTCCAGTTTTATGTTATTATTCATTCTAGCTTTTGTATTCCTCAATGGTCACAAAGCTGCTTCTTTCTTATGTGATGTGGAAGAAAGATGGGGAAAGAAAGAAGGGGAATTGGTATCATGTAGTTCTCCTTTCTCTATTCGTGCACTTGAGCAGATCTCAAAAAGTTTGTACTTTTAGGGTGTCCTTGGGAGCTTTTCAAACAAACCCATCATTATCCAGGGTCCTCTTCTGCTGAAGACCACAATGCTACAGAGTGTCTCCTCTAGTTGACTGTGTATGACACCTTCCTCAGTCCCTGCTTCTGAGTTTCCTACAGAGACTTTCCTAGTTGTGTTGCCATGTTCCTCTAGTGACCTTCATAGTCAGGCTCCCCTTCCAGATAACTCAAATCCAGCTACCTTCTGGGAGCCATGCAAATGTCTACTTTAACTTGTCAGGAAGAAATAACAATCAAAGCTAGCACTCACTATGTGCCAAACCCAGTGTCAAGCACTCACCATACTTCAACTCATTTCATTCTCACAACCCTCATTTGAATTATTTCTACAAAGCCACAGAAAAATTAGTTACGCAACCATGAACACTTAGTTAATAAGTGGTGGATGTGAAATATGGACTTAACCAGTAGAGACACAGAAACTACACTTTGAACCACTGCACCACACTGAGAGAATGACCAAGAGTGTTTCTTTTCCTCCAAATCTGTCTCATCACTCTGTCATCATAGGCAGCTCCAGCCTCAGTTTCTAGGTGTAAGTCAGGGACTCTTCCTCATTTTTTTCCAACTGAAGGAGCACAGACTAAGTCCTTCAAGGGTTTCATGGAAGTCTGCCTCATTCGATTTATCTGGAAAGCACCACCTGCTCTCCTCTATAATGAGAAGGAGAATAATCAAAACCATAATGTCTTTGGACAAGCTCACTGGATCCTTTTAATGAGCTCATATGGTATTGTTTAGCTAAAGATGGAAGATCCAATTTTAAGGCCCCACTCAGATGGCCTAGAACATCCCACTAGAACATAGGGGTATTTCATACCTGGTGCTTTAATCTTTGAGGCCCCACTGAAATTTGCCAAGGGAGGGAGCATACCATTTTGACATTCTATTTAATGAATTGCTCACTATCACACAATTATCTAGTTGCTAAGCCAGAAGGAAAGTAGTCACATAGCTACTAACAAAGTTAACAAATCTCTAGGAAAACATGGATTTTCTCAGGAATCAAAGCTAAAGGATAAAATGGCAATGTATGTGGGTATATTTCTGGGATGTGTGTGTGTGTGTGTGTGTGTGTTTAATCCGCTATCCATTCTGTCTTCTAACAATAGCAACCATATTTTCTTCTAATGAAGTACTCCACTTATACCTCAGGCTATGTGATCCAGGCAAAATTTACTCAGCTCCCATAGTTCTAGAGGTAGGTATCTGAACTCATTGCAGCCAAATTTCATAGCCACAATAACCAGTTAAGGGATGTACAAGGGACCCAGTTTAGTACAATGAGAGTTTCCTTAGACTTATTCTGGAACTACTATAAAACAGATGCCTTATTTCTTCTGGACTTGCTAAAACTGGTAGCCAATTTTTCTACCAATGGAGATGACCTACCTAGGTATGAAGCGCAAATATAGGAAAACAGCCTGAAAAGAAAGTGAAAGAATCATGATGGCATATCAGAAACTCTGGATCCAGTCATATCTGAAGCTAAATACCTAAAATCTTCAATTATATGGAATTAATACATCCATTTATCAATCAACTTGAAAATAAAATATCACAATAGAATATTAATGGATGGTAAAGAGTTTTTACAGGGCCCATCATGGGGTGTGGACTGATCCTGTTGACACTCCTGAAATTATATTTCATATGTAGTTGATTTTCCTGCTTCTCTACCCCAGTCATCGTCAATGTCCTATCTGCATCACTTTGCAGTCACCTTTGTGCAGAGTCACGGGATTTTAAATTCAAACACCTGAGACTCTGCTTGAAGGCTTCTGGCCATGAAAGACCTTTCTGCTTATGCATTGATTAGGCCAGAATTTCTGAGAAGTTTATGCATCCTTGAAGTAGACTTCAAAAAATGACCATAAAAAAATTGGTAGATAAATACCCTAGTTCCCTCACACCTTATTTGAGATGACACACAGCCTACCAGAGGTCCCTAACAGAACTGAGCCACTATTTCCACAGAGATAGCCTGCTCAATTATACATTTAATTGGCTTTCTTCCCTTACTCTAACTCATCACTTTCCACTTCCTTAGTGACTTCTTGAGATCACCTCCTAAGTAAACTATTTGCATTCAGAGTTTGCTTGTAGGGAAACTCAATCAAGACACCTTGCACTGGTTACGTGTCCTCTGACACACTTATAGGTGTAGTGGTGATGATTAGCACTGTCATTGTACATAAAATCTCTTGGACAAGGGAGTTTTTGGACAAGGAAGAATTTCTATCTATGCAGGCAGCAAATACATATAGTTGGCAACATTTAAATATTAAAATAGCTTAATGCAATCAGGTGCTTTTTCACTGGGAATTTACAGTGTACATTTTCATCAATTTTGCCTGCTCGTTTCTACACATTGGAAAGAAATGTCTTTAATCCTCAGATTAGCACATGGCAGACCTTTAAAACTGGAATTACAATTTCTCCAAGCATAGGGACATACCTGGTATGGAAAAGGGATAATTATCATTACCCCTGAGCTTTCAAAAACACTTCAACTACCACTTCACCCAGGATCTAGCTCACTGGCGCAAGTGAAAGGCAGCATTGTATCCTTTTTCAATTCTGAGGTTTTCAACCATTCAATGCATAGGAGAATCTTGTCCCAAGACAACACATTGTCCCATTTCCCACAAACACACCAACTTTTCAGAAGCACCAAGATAGAGTGAGCTCTCCTATATAAAAGGATCACAGGGTTACCTTGAATTTCTGAACGGGAGAGGGCCCTTCCTTCTTATCTAAAGGAAGAGAAATGGTATAAGAATTGATTTTCACACAGGAAGGGGAATATCACACTCTGGGGACTGTTGTGGGGTGGGGGGAGGGGGGAGGGATAGCATTGGGAGATATACTTAATGCTAGATGAAGAGTTAGTGGGTGCAGTGCACCAGCATGGCACATGTATACATATGTAACTAACCTGCACAATGTGCACATGTACCCTAAAACTTAAAGTATAATAAAAAATAAAAATAAAAAAATAAATTGTTTTACTTTACTTATGAAAAGGTTATAGAAGGAATAAAATATTTTAGCTTAAAAAAATTGATTTTCCATAAAACGTATTATGCATTCTGGGACAATTTTCAATGTAAAATAATTACTCCAGGACAACTGGTGTGAACTGAGACTGTCACATGCAACCTGGGACATATAGAGTTACCCTAGGTAAGACCCAAGGTAAAAAGCAAAGCAGAACTCTCCTTAAGTGAAAAGATTTCACAAGTTTCCCCCAAATACCTCTGCTAAGAAGGACTTTAATACTTTCAAAGTGGGCTGCCCCTTTTTGTCAAATCTTATATCTTAAAATTACTTTTCCATGAGCCAACATGCTGCCAATACAACCATCTATTTTCACTTTTCTCAAACAAAATTTATGCTCCCTGAGAGTATAACCACTTCACCCACCTTCCAGGAACATTTACATTTTAAAAGGTAATTTTGTTAAATTATGGAATGTACTATTTAGAAGAAACAGAATAATGTGGTAAGTAATTTTTTTTTTTACTTTTGAAGTATAAAAAAGGATATTTGGAAACAGGGAAACTTTCATATATTCTGCCAGAAAGAAAGTAAGCTTTTAGCACTAGATTTATTGTGTAGAGATTTTCAGTGGAGTGTCAAAATAGTTTCCCGCCTCATGTGGACTTCTTATTCCAAGCCCTACTATGTGAAGGGTGCACCCTGGAGATTACCAGGGAGAAGGCCCTACCTTGGCTCTTGTCTCCAAGATTCAGAAGGCAAGTATGGGTGGAGTATATCCACACAGTTTTTGCATTGGGATTTCAGTACCACCCTTCCCCAAACATCAATTAATATTATTATAATATGGTCAGATTTCAAAGAGTCATGGAGTTCCTTTATTTACTCTTGATCAGAGTGCCAATACCTCTGCAGTTTTTCATAAACTACATGCAGTAATTCTATCTTTGTATCCATCATATTGCCATAATATCTTCCAGGTGTTGCTTTTCTTTACACTTTATTGGACCAAAACAACAGAAACATGTTTGTATTAGCATACATACACATGTGAGCACATGAACACACATACTCTATGTCATTTAAGTGTAGGTTTTCAAAAAACTGTGCAGTTTACTTTGACTTTCAGCCATACACAATTGCTCAGGTAATGTTTTGAAAATTTCTAATGTGTTCTTTTGCATCTCTGAAAAGAATAACCTTTGCCTTGAGTACATAACATGTGTATAGGGGAAATTATAAATTCTTAACTGAAGAAATTCAGAGAAAAAAACACACTGTATCACTTAGGAATTGACTCTGGCTGCTAGGAACAGAGAACTGACTATAGTGACTAAAAATGTGGGCATTTTATTCTTTCATTAATGGAAGTCCAGAAGTAGGCCCTCCAGGGTTGGTATGGTGGCCCCAGAAAGTCACTGAGGGCCTAGGCTCCTATTATTTTTGCTCCACCATCTTTAATACATGGCTTAAATTTTCAAAGTCAAAAAATGGCTCATAAAGTGTTACCATCACAGTGGCATTCCAAGAAGAAAAAAAAAGGTAGGGACCTCTTTTGAGTTTAGTGTTCCTCTGATAGAAAGAGTGTGATATGACCAATCTCTCTTAAATCCTTGTCTAATATGGCTATTTGCTAAACAATCCCTTTAGTTAACGCTCAGCCTTGCCTTGGGGAAAAATTGCTTAGTTTCTACTGTAATTTATCTCTCCCTTGTCTTCTACCTCTGAAGTGATATATAATATCTGGAGGAAGAAGTATGTGGCTTGGGAGACTTGGTGTCTTTAGCAAGAGAGTGCAATCACCTGGCTTCACAGTGGGCCTTCAATGACATCCATGGGTCTCCAGTGTCCAGTCTTTGACTTCCTACTACCTAAGTGTCTTGCTGGCCTCCAGGACAAAAGTTTGTAATTTTTTGCTACAGTGAAGCATGCTATTTCTTTACCTGCTTGATTCAGTTTTCTTATTGATTCAGTTTCCTCTTGATTCAGCTTTTCCTGTATATAGACCCATCTACTATTTCTACCTCCTAAAACAGCCTCCTAAATGGCAACCCACCCATCTCCTTTGCTCTCAACACAATGTCCACAGCACATAGGAAATGAAAGAGCCTCTGGGATGACCCTACAAATTCTGTATGCATGACCATGCCACTGTGCCCTCATAATTGCACTAAGGCTCCCCTGCATTGGGCTAGGATACCCTACACAGCAATTTCTTCCTTAGGTACCCACAAAGGAAACAGAACAAGAGTGTACTGACTTGGTATTGTTATCATTTATCAAACATGTTCCTTCTCTGGATCAAAGCTGGAAAAGAGAAGTCTAGATATAGCACCCGATCTCTTGGAAATATTAACAAGACAAATATTAATTTGTCTTCCTAAATACATGAACTCATCAGCTTTGCACTAATAGACCTAAACTATCCATCTGCTGGAGGAAGACTAAAATGTATTACAAAAAGAAACCATTTATTGCGGTGGGAATGAAAAGAGATATTTCACTGCTGTTATGCAAATAAGATAATGCAGTAAGAAAAGTGTCTTGCAAGCCACTACATTATCTTGAAAAATGATCCAATAAACTTTTTTAAAAATCTGTTTTTCTTACCGTTTTGTATTTCAATAACCAAGCCTGGAAGATCAGTATCAGAGTTTTCTCCAGTGCAGAGAAAATGTCCTTGTCTCCATAAGGTTTGAGAGGAGATCAGAGTTATAAAAGAGTTTGGAACAGAGGGAGAAATTCCCAGAAGATGGCACAAAGAAGGGGAGATAGGAAGATAGAAGAGGAGAGAAAAAATATGTTGATTAACAGGAGAGCAAGACTATCAGAAACGTTTCCAAATCTTGAGCCTTTGGTTATCCATACCAATCTGTGATCTTGTCAGGTGGAAGAAAGTCTTAAGATTTACCTTTCCTAGTCACCTTTGGTTTCCATACAACTTAAACAGGTTGTATAGAAAACTTCTCTTAAAGTGGTTGAGAATCGGGTGTGGACTTTGGCAGATGGGATGGTTTTGGCAGGGACAAGGTGGCTTTATGGAAAGCGCAGCAGAGTAGACCACCAGATGGAGCCCAAGTGAGCTTTACAACTTGACATCGAGGGGCCTATAGCAGCATCAGGAAATGAACTGGGTTATCCATTTCTTTATCCATCCACTAGACTCTTACCAAGCTGTCAGAGAGACTAGAGTGTGCACCACTCCACCACAGCCACAAATCCATACAAAGTGCCGAATGAACAAGTAGTGACAAGGCAGAAAGAAGACACTGCTCTGTAGATACATTTAGGAAGAAAAGCTGATCAAACTAAGCTTTCTCTTTTTCCAGAGAAACGGTATTAATGACATAGAGAAATCATATGAATTATCCAATTGAGCTAAGTTTTAAATTCGGCTTGGTATTTAGTAGTCTCTTCCCAACTCCTGGTGAGTATTGGTTGTCTTCGCCTCTCTGAGTTACAGTAAAGTTTTTGACTCCTGTTATATTAGGATTCCCTCTCCTCAATTAGACTCAAAATCCCATCCTATCACCTGCTTCCCGCATTGCAATGTCCTGGAAAAATAAATTAAAAGGACATTTTTACAGTAAACCTACTTTGCTTCCTAATTTTTGAAATAATCAGATCTGCTTCCAAATCCTCATTAGCTGTATTGATGAGCTGAACCAAACAATGAGGAAACATTCACAGCTATAGCTGAACTTTCAGCATGGGCCCCACTAGGAGAAATCTTTTTGCTTCTATGTCCTTACAGCCTCTTGTTCTTTTGCTCTATTCGTACCTTCTAAGTGGTGGGTTATATAATCTTTTAAAATACACATGTAGAACAATCCAACCTCTATGTTAGAGGAAAGTAAAATGATGTCCTCACAAAGGTCTAGTTATATCCTCTTCATTCTTCCTACTAAATACTGAATCTATTTAGACCCCTGAGTTCTTCTAATGGAGTGAGGGTATTATTGTATACACCAGATAGGAGTGGCCTCACTCTACTCCCCTCCTCCTTCCACCTTTTTTTCAACACATAACCAAGAGCCCTTCCTGCAGATTTTGTTTGTTAGGGCAGGTTGGTAATATGTTGACCACCTAATAACATTGGCAAGAAAATTGCATAAAAGTTGAGTCCTGCATATGATTTTACTTTATAGTCATGAAAGACTTTCCATGAAGTCAATTCTCACTGCCCCTGCCTCTTTTCCATGCTTTTTAAATGGGATATGAGTACTCACATATGTGGGAGTGGGTCAGCAATTTTAAGAAATAGCCGAGTAACATTTTCCCAAAGAATCAATTATACTTAAAGACTTGGATAAAAACCATTCTCAAAATCCTATGAACTTATGCCTAAGCAAGAGTTTTAAAGAAAGTTCATCTTTGAAACACAAGACTTTGAGCTATAGTCCCAAACCATCCCATACCCTCCCCATCCCTCAAGACACATGCTGTCTCCATCCACTGCCAAACTTCCTCATTTCATACAGATAAGAAGCTTTGGATTTTTTTTTTTTGCATAAGTCCATGTAAAATTCAAGAGTTATCATATTTAAGAGTGAAATTGCCCTAAGGAAACTTTCTACTATTATAGTTTAGTAGTGAAGTAAGGAAAGTAGGGAAGTAAGGAAAGTCCGAATTTGGGGCAGTGTATGACTGTATATTTAAGATAATCTGGCATACAGGTTCTTGACACAAATTCTCAAAGGCAATCAGAGTTTTTGACTATTTAGATATGAATTATCAATATTAAATAAGCTAAGAAATACCAATTGGGTTTTGAAAGAAGTAAAATTGGGAGATTATATTCATATAAATTATGCTATTATTTGGCCCTGATTTTGTGTGTGTGCGTGGTGTGAGTGCATACATGTGTGTGAGTGCATGCACATGTGCTTGTGTGCATGTATGCATGCCTGGGTGTGTGCGTGTACACATGTGTGCATGTGCGTGTGTGTGCATGTATGTGTGTGCGTGTGTGTTCTACACTAAAGTGAAGTTTGTTCTGCAAGCTACTGGCTTGGTTAAAAAGGTTTGGAAACATGAGTGCAGTTCCAGTCATAACATTTAGACCTTCATTTCAATCCCATAATAATTAGCTTAAGTAATGTCTAAATATTTCTTTAAGCCACAATATCCTATTTTCAGCAACGGACTCTAAATCATAATGCACTGTATTTGCCTCTTTCTGACTTGGAATAAGTTCCCATGTGGAACAGTTGTAAGCTCCTTTGAGATGTATCAACTGCACCAAGATATAAAGTAAGACTGGCAAAAGGAAATATGTTTGAATCCCTGCTCTGACGAAATAATTCAGAAAAATTTTATCTATATGCTCTGCATCTGATTTAGTTCTGTGTTGGCATCTGCTTCTCATTGAGCAGAATCACCTCTGTTACTATTAAAAGGCCAAGAGCTGTCTTTGAAATTACAATGACGTGCAATTAAGAAGTTATTTCAGTTATCAGCATACAGTAACTCAACTAGCCATAGTTAAGAAAGTGTATAAATTCCAAAGACATTCAAAACATCTGGATTTGGATGCTTCTCCCTTTCCATAATTGATGTGTTAGCTGCTCATGGGTGAAAGAACATACAGCACATTTTAGGGACATCTGTTTCAAGTTAGGGTTAATTGATTTCCATTCATGTCTTTCTCTTTTTTTGCCCAAAATATATCAGAAAATACAGATCAGGAAAAAAAATGCATTTCAAACAAGCTTTTGTATTTAAATGCATGTATTAAGAGAGAAATATACAATTAATATAAAACTTCCTGGAATCTTTCACTACACTATGACTCAATTGTGATAATTTTCCTTAAAATCATAACTAAGACATTGAGTAATTAGTATGTCGTCATCACTGTGTTTAGTAATTTACAATCATTATCTTTTTTTTTCTTCTTTCTTTTTTATTTTAGACAGAGTCTCACTCTATCACCCAGGCTGGAATGCAGTGGCGATCTCGGCTCACTGCGATCTCTGCCTCCTTGGTTCACAAGATTCTCGTGCCTTGGCCTCCTGAGTAGCTGGAATTACAGGTGCACCCCAACACGCCTGGCTAATTTTTGTATTTTTTGTAGAAACAGGGTTTCTCCATGTTGGCCAGGCTGGTCTCAAACTCCTGACCTCAATTGATATGATTTTCCAAATGAAGAAAGGTAGTCAGAGATGGAAAGTAATTTGCCCAAGGGCACAACTCTTAGCAAAAGGAACAGCTGGAATTCTCACCTAAATGGTTTGATACCAAAGCTCACATTGTATAATTGCACTAATGGGTTATAAAATGCAATAGTGACAAAACCATTATATGGCACCAATCCTGCTGTGTGCAAAGCCTTACATGAAGTACGTTCAAAAATTTTTCAACTTACGGAACTGACCACTTCACAGTCTGCAAACCATTTCATGACAAATTTTAACAAGGAACTGGGACTGAATTTTTTCCCAGTAGTGTCCATGACTTGGTAAATCTGTAAACCTCTCTGAATCTGGGTTTCCTAAGGTAAGCTGGCTATATCTATAATAGTAGGATTGCTATGAAGATACAGGGTATTAATCTGTATTAAAATGTTTTGCATACACAGAAGAATAATTTCCTGAAGTGTTAAGTCAAAAACTTACTTCCCCAGAAATCGTAACAGATGTTTTGAGTGAAAAGAGTTCCAGGTCAAATTTGTTTGGGAAACCCTGCATTTTGCTGTAACTATTTACACCTACTACCCACCCACCCACCCCACCCCACATAGAAGACATGTGTTACCTTGTTTAAAACCTCTGCCATCCTTTTCTGGTAATGGGATTCATGCTATTGGGATATTCCTCCTCCTCTGACTCCACAGGCTGCTGGTGGAGCTGCTACTCACCCAGGAATTACAGTGGAGCAAATGACCTTATGTCCTGGAACATTTTACCTTGCTACAAGAATTGTGGGATATATCCAGGAGCAGTAGCTCACACCTGTAATCCCAGCACTTTAGGAGGCCAAGACGGGCAGATTACTTGAGCCTCGGAATTCAAGACCATCCTGGGCAACGTGGGGAAAACCCATCTCTACTAAAAAATACAAAAAATTAACCAAACATGGTGGCAAGCATCTTTAGTCCCAGCGACTCAGGAGGCTAAGGTGGGAGGATCGCTTGAGGAGGAGGCAGAGGTTCAGGAGGCAGACGTTGCAGTGAGCTGAGATTGCACCACTGCACTCCAGCCTAGGCAACAAAGTGAGACTGTGCCTCAAAAGAAAAAAAAAGGAAAAAGAATTGAAGTCTAAGACTGTGAACCCAGACCTGTTGATGGTCATACTCTGTCATTGCTGTAGAAATAAATTCATCTAACTTGCTTTTTGGCTTAAGCTTCTTTGACTTTGAGGTATGTTGAATATACTCTTTGTAGAGATTCACTATGAGAAACACTAGAAAATATTAGCAGATTTCAACAAAGTGTGGGTTTGAAAAATCAGACATCTGTCTCTAGGAGTATGTTATAAAAGAAGAAAAGAAAAATCAGACATATGAAGTGGAAATAAAGTATTATTAATAATAAGGAAATTAACAAAGTATTCTATGATAATCTTTTTAAAAATTTTTTATTGATACATAACATTTGTACATTCGTATGGGGTACATGTGATATGTTGTTACATGTATAGAATGTGTATAGAATCAAGTCAAGGTATTTAGGGTACTCATCACCCCAAGCATTTATCATTTCTATATGTTGGGATCATCAAGTCCTCTCATCTAGCTATTTGAAATATACAATACATTGTTTTTAACTATAGTCACCCTACTCTGCTATCAAACATTAGAACTTATTTCTTCTAACTCAATATTTGTACCCATTTACCAGCCTTTCTTCATCTCCCCCGCTCCCCCTACCTCATCTCAACACACATCCTTCCCAGCCTCTGGTAACTATTGTTTTACTTGCTACCTCCATGAGATTAAACTTAGTGAGGAAGGCATGTTAAAAGCTGACATAGGCCAAAAGCGAGGCCTCTTATACCAAGCAATTAGCCAAGTTGTGAATGCAAAAAAAGTTCTTGAAGAAAATTAAAAGTGCTACTCCAGTGAACCCACAAATTATAAGAAAGTGAAACAGGCTTTTATGCTGGTAGAGAGAAAGTTTTAGTGGTCTGGATAAAAGATCAAAGCAGCCACAGCATTCCCTTAAACCCAAATCTAATCCAGAAGAAGATCCTAATCGCTTTAATTCTATCAAGGCTGAAAGAGGTAAGGAAGCTGCAGAAGAAAAGCTTAAGCCTAGCAGAAGTTCATTCATGAAGCTTAAGGAAAGAAGCCATCTCCACAACATAAAAGTGCAAGGTGAAGCAGTGAATGCTGACGTAGAAGCTTCAGCAAGTTATCCAGAAGATCTAGCTAAAATAATTGATGAAGGTGGCTACAATAAATAACAGATTTTCAACGTAGATGAAACAGCTTTAAATTGAAAGAAGACACCATCTAAAACTTTCATAGCTAGAGACAAGTCAATGCCTGGTTTCAAAACTTCAAAAGACAGGTTGACCCTACTTTTAGGTGCTAACTTTAAGTTGAAGCCAATGCCCATGTATCATTCCAAAAATCCTACAACCCATAAGAATTATGCTAAATCTACTCTGCCTGAAAGAGAAAGCCTAGATGAGAGCAATTCTATTTATAGTATAGTTTACTGGATATTTTAAGCCCACTATGGAGACCTACTGCTCAGAAAAAAAAGATTCCTTACAAAATATTACTGTTTATTGACAATGCACCTGGTGATCCAAGAGCTCTGATGGAGATGAACAAGGAGATTAATGTTTCCATCCCTGCTAATGCAATATATATTCTGTAACCCATGGATCAAGGAGTAATTTGAAGCCTTATTGTTAAGAAATACATTTTGAAGGCCTTTAGCTGCCATAGATAATTATTCCCTTGGTGGATCTGGGCAAAGTAAATCAAAAACCTTCTGGAAAGGATCCACCATTTTAGATGTCATTAATAAAATGTGTGATTCATGGGAGGAGGTCAAAATAATAACATTAACAGGAGTTTGGACAAAGTTGATTCCAATTTTCACGGATGACTTTGAAGGGTCCAATATTTCTATGGAGAAAGTAACTGCAGGCATGATAAAAATAGCAAGAGAACTAGAATTAGATGTGGAGCCTAAAGATGTCACTGAATTGCTGTAATCTCATTATAAAACTTAAACAGATAAAGTAGTTGCTTCTTATGAATGGGCAAAGGAAGTATTTTCTTGAGATGCAATCTACTTGCGATGATTCTGTGAACATTATTGAAATGACAACAAATGATTTAGAATATTCCAAAATCTTAGTTGATAAAGCAGCAGCAAGGTTTGAGAGGATTGATTCCAATTTTGAAAAAAGTGCTATGGGTAAAATGCTATCAAACAATATCATATGCGACAGAGAAATCTTTCATGAAAGGAAGAGTCAACCAATGCAGCAAACTTCATTGTTGTCTTCTTTTTAAAAATTGCTGCAGCTACCCGAAACTTCAGCAACCACCAGTCTGATCAGTCAGCAGCCATCAACATTGAGGCAAGACCCTCCATTAGCAAAAAAGATTATGGCTCACTAAAGTTTCAGATGAATGCTAGTATTTTCCAGCAATAAAGCATTTTAAATTAATGTGTATGTATTGCTTTTTAGATATAATGTTATTGAATGCTTAATAGACTACAGTATAATGTACACATAATTTTTATTTGCACTGCAAAACCAAAAAACTTGTGTGACTTGTTTTATTGTGATATTTACTTTATTGCAGTGGTCTGGAACTGAATCCACAATATCTCTGAGATATGCCTGTATATAATCTTAAACATTAAAATAATTCCAAAAATATGGATATTTGGAATGATAGCGTTTCATCCTAAGCCCAACTTGGTCTTCATCTAATATCCCATGTATCAAATTATAAAGCTTAATTGGTAGAGTCTGCACATTTAATAAGGAATACTAAACTGAATGGCATCTTCTGGTATTAACTCACATCCCCATTCTCAGTAGCAGCCATGAGTTTCTAGAATTGGTGATGTCTGTTAACATGCTTTCAATGAAAGCAACAGAGGATGCTACTCAAAATAGCTCTAAACATTAGACAATGTATAACCTTGCATATCCAGAGGATTTTATCATTGACCCAGGAACTATTCAACTTTTCTTTCTAATTCCTCAGCTTTGCCCTCAGGCTTATCTCTTCCACCTAATTGCAAGTGGCTGTAGCAGCTCCAATTATTGCATTCTCATCCCTCAAAAAGACTACAAAACTGCGTATCTTTCCCTTGTCCCTCTTATTAAGTAATAACAGTTTTTCCAGGTGCCTCCCAACAGGCTTTCCTTTGTGTCTCATCAGCTGAGTTACATCATGTGACCATTTCCATTTCTATTACTGGAAAGATAAATAACTGGTTTAAACTAACCAATATTTACCCTCCTATCGTGAGAGAAGTCAGACTTAAAGCAAATGGTCTCCCATTACTTCAACAACTCACAATTCTGTGTATACATGGAAGGAGCAGAAATAGGGGAGAGCAATGTCTATCACAAGTACCTAAAAAATAAATGTTTTGGGTGCACAATTACAAAAAGAAAAAAAAATCAAAAAAAGAAAATGTAAGTTTAAAATAATCTCAGAGGAAAAATAAAATAGAAATTACCTTAAAATGTCAATAAATAAATATATTGCATTTTATATTGTCATTGGAAATTATGTTAAGGGAAAACTGGTGCAGCTAAAAAGAAATTTTTTTTTGAAAAAATATCTTACAACAGCTAAATTAGGAGAAATGAGAGCTATATAAATTATCACAATTTAGTTAATATTCTTCTATCCTGCCTGTTAAAATGGGCCTCCAATTGACATTTAAAAAATATGCTTAATTAGATTCACAGATTAAACTTTTCTACTGCAGTTAATTTAACTACTTTCTAGGTAGATTTTATATATATATATGTATATATATGTGTATATATATGTATATATATGTGTATATATATGTATATATATGTGTATATATGTATATATGTGTGTATATATATGTATATGTGTGTGTATATATATGTATATGTGTGTATATATATGTGTATATATATGTGTATATATGTGTATATATATATGTGTATATATATGTGTATATATGTGTATATATATATGTGTATATATGTGTATATATATATACACACACACACATATACATATGTGTGTATATCCGTGCATGTATATGCATATATATGTATGTGTACTTATACACTTTTATGAAGAACTGATCCTGGTTCTATAGAAGGGGAGAAGCAGAGTCCAATATAGATTGATTTTGTTTATAAAAAGAATTTTTTACAAGATGTCTTTTATACACACCTGTGAAATATTTGTTGCTCTGTAGATGAATGTGTTGGCACTCTGCCCCACAGAGTTTTATATATTTTACAACTAAAATGTCTTCCTAATTTTTTTCATTAGATAAAACGTTTCCATGCTATAACAACAACAACAAAATTGTCAGGGGTCTAACTGTGCTTCTCCATCCCCGCTCCTAAAGCCTATATTTTGGGAGCAGAAATTTAAAAAATGAGTGCCTCCTTCCCGATGTCAGAGCAAAAGCCAGATATCTCAGAGAGCAACTCCCCACAAGGGTGAGGATGTGGTTCACTGTGTGTACAGTGCATCAAGGCAATTTCTGTGCTGTTTGCTTTCTTCCCAAACCCCGTCTCTCTCTGCTCCTCAATCTAGATACTCATGCCCCCCAGAATTAGAAAACACTCTGCTTTCCAGCAGTCTCTCCACCATCACATATGGGCACACTCTCATGTGTGCTTAAAACTTTTCAGCCTGATATACATTTTCTATGGACTGAGGCTGCCTTCCATAGACTTGATAGCTACCTAGGCATCAGGACTAAGAAGATACACATAACCATGGTATGATGTAAAAGAAGAATAATCCAAGCACCCTTTCATTATTATTTAATAAGCATTTATTATCTGCCAGGAACTATGGATAAAGATATTAAGAACAGGTGTTCTTAATTAGCCAGGCATGGTGGCATGTGCCTGTAATCCCAGCTACTCGGGAGGCTGAGGTGGGAGAATTGCTTGAACCTGGAGGCAGAAGTGGCAGGGAGCGGAGATCGTGCCACTGCACTCTAGCTTGGGCAACTCCGTCTCAAAATAAATAAATAAATAAATAAATAAAGTGGTCTTTATACTCAAGGAGCATTTGGCTAGAGAGAAAGAGAGAAAATGATAAAAATAATTAAGTACAGGAAGATAATGAGGTGTCATGAAAGATGTACAATGTATAAGTAGGCCACCAAGGAGGAATTCTCTCTGAGGACTTCAGAAAAAAAGATCAAGGGATGATATTTTGTTCATTAATGATACAGGTTTACTATATCCCATCATTGCAAAACGAATGCACTCTATTAACGAAATCATAACTCCACATCTCTAAATAATCACCAAATAGACATAATGCTGGATTTACTCAGTCCTGCTTGGTTGCATAAGTTTGAAATTCACCTTCTTTCAAAGCAGTGTTTTTAGTCACTAATTTCACAATCTGTTAATAGTTTATCTGAAAGATAATAATGTTCTGCAATTGTTATTAATGAAAAGAGTTTTCTGTCACTGTTGAACAAGGAGTGATGACCCAAACCCAGGTTCAGTACACGCATGAGGTAGTCCACTGAGATCCATAGAAGGCTTTCATGAAATAGACTTGGAATCTGTACATTTTGCCAAGAGGCAATGAATTGAAAGGTATGTCGTTTAAAGTCCTATTTACTCTGCAGGCACCTTTTTGACTCACTGCTAAAAGTACCCATAAAAACTCCTCTTGAGCTAAAACAGTTTAAGTTGTCAACTGCACTAAGGAGGCCATAATCCATGGATCATGATCCAAACAGATAGTGAGAGCTCAGCCTGTCATATTGAAGCTTAGTAAGAAAATTTTGATTGTAGCTTGGTGAACTGATTAATGAACTAAAAAAAAATTCTTCTGAATTCTTAAAGGGGCTTCTCGTACTCTGAAAAGATTGATTCAGTCAATAATTTTCAATATTTACCCCAGCTTCTCATAAATATTTCTTAGCACTGTTCTTATCTAGACTAAAAACGAAACTAGTTCTTCCAGGCACCCAAAGCCACAAAGCTTCAGCTGTAGAAGGTCCAATTCAGTCATTCATTACCAGGCGCACATATAATGTGGTTAATCCGTCCTAATTGAAGGTTTTTTACTGCTTTTGCTTTTTCTGCAAACTTCCGTAGACTCATCAGCATGGTCCTGAATGAAATGTATTTCTCCACATTGATATCTCTCACTCGTACTTGCGATATGCGACAGGTGGCAAATAATTTACAAAATGCAAAGAGATCTGTTGCCTAGTAAACAATGCCTGGGACTTTAACTTACTCATTTCCTAGTGTTGGGGATGTAGATTTGAGAAGTAATTACACACAAAAAAATTCTGCTTCAGTTGAGAGGGTTCCAGTAATATCTGAGTAAGTCACAAGTGACCACATCAATATAGAGCTCAATGTGTTATTTAAGAAATAGTACAACTGAGAGGCCGGGCGCGGTGGCTCACGCCTATAATCCCAGCACTTTGGGAGGCAGAGGCGGGCGGATCTCAAGGTCAGGAGATCGAGACCATCCTGGCTAACACGGCGAAACCCCGTCTCTACTAAAAATACAAAAAAAAAAAAAAAAAAAAAAAATTAGCAGGGCTTGGCGGCGTGCGTCTGTAGTCCCAGCTACTCCGGAGGCTGAGGCAGGAGAATGGCGTGAATCCGGGAGGCGGAGCTTGCAGTGAGCCGAGATCGCGCCACTGCACTCCAGCCTGGGCAACAGAGTGAGATTCTGTCTCAAAAAGAAAGAAAGAAAGAAATAGTACACTTGAGAACTGAAGATGTTTCCTAAAGGAGAACTTTGCTCATTTCTAAGCCATCCATCACATAACTCATATGAGACTCATATGGTGTGCCTGGAGTATAATAGACCCTAGTAAAAAAATGACCTGCAGAACTATTCCAATTAGATCCTGTTGGCCCTTGAATCATTAATTCACTCAGCAAGTTTACATTCATTGAAGATTGGCTACATAATTTTGGGGGGCTCAATTCAAAATGAAAATTCAGGGTCCTTTTAAAAAAGTATTAAGAAATTCAGAACAATGGCATCTGAGCATTAAAGCAAGAGTGTGCCCTTCTAAGTGCAGGATCCTGTGTAATTAATTACACAAGTCCCACTCAGAAACCCAGTCTTATATTCATTACCTATTGTGCATTGTGTTGAACAATGCATGGAACAAAAACATGAATAAGAAATAGTCAATGGCCAAGCATGGTGGCTCACACCTGTAATTCCAACATTTTGGGAGGCTGAGGCAGAAGGATCACCTGAGCCCAGGAGTTTGAGACCAGCCTGGGCAACATGGTGAGACCCCATTTCAACAAAAGATGAATAAGTTATCTTTATTAACAAAAATAAACATTTAAAAAATTAAAAATAAATAGATCTTGCCTCCAAGCAGTTTACAATCTAGGATCATACCTAAAATCTGTAAGTGTTGTTAATTACATTAAAAATATTCATTACTCAGGTTAGAAGAAGAAATGAAGGAGTATATCCACTTTGGCTACCTGGGAAGTGTATTCTCTCTATGGGCAATTCCCTCACACTATGTAATGGACACACTTGTGTTTTTTATAAACTTCAGTGCATTTGAAAATGCTGTTCTTTATGACTGAACTGATTTCCATCGAATCTTTGCTTGGCTAATCCTGCCCATGCTTCAGGTCTCACAGTTTTACCAACTGAGAGATTGAATTAGATCGCCAGTTTCACTCTCATAACTCTCCAGATCTTGCCTTCCAAGTGTCTATCATAAGTTTTTAGTTTTATATTTAAGTTGGTGTTTTTTGTTTTTTGTTTTGTTTTGTTTTGAGATGGAGCCTCACTCTGTTGCCCAGGCTGGAGTGCAGTGGCGATCTCAGCTCACTGCAGCCTCCGCCTCCTGGGTTCAAGTGATTCTCCTGTCTCAGCCTCCTGAGTAGCTGAGACTACAGGCACCCGCCACCACGCCCAGCTAATTTTTTGTATTTTTAGTAGAGACAGGGTTTCACCGTGTTAGCCAGGATGGTCTCGATCTCCTGATCTGGTAATCCACCCACCTCGGCCTCCCAAAGTGCTGGGATTACAGGCGTGCGCCACTGTGCCCGGCCGGTGTTTTGTTTTCATTTACTAAAAACTCCATGAATGCAGGGAAGCATCCTTCATTGCTGTTCACTGGCATCTCCCCACTTCCTATTTTAGGACTAGGCCCAGGGTGGCACTTAATAGGTATTTGTTAAATAAATATCATTAAATGAAAATCCTAATGGAAGTGGACATAAGCAATAAGAAGTTAAAAGGGAGTAAGTGTAAATAAAAAGACTGAACAAACCTGTTAAGTTATTAGAAAATAGTTGGCCGGGCTTGGTGGCTCACGCCTGTAATCCCAGCACTTTGGAAGGCCGAGGCGGGCGGATCACGAGGTCAGGAGATCCAGACCATCCTGGCAAACATGGTGAAACTCTGCCTCTACTAAAAATACAAAAAATTAGCCGGGCATGGTGGCGGGCTTCTGTAGTCCCAGCTACTCGGTAGGCCGAGGCAGGAAAATGACGTGAACCCAGGAGGCAGAGCTTGCAGTGAGCCGAGATCGCGCCACTGCACTCCGGAGTGGGCAAAAGAGGGAGACTCCGTCTCAAAAAAGAAAAAGGAAAATAGCGAAGAGCCCAGTTTGTCTGGAAAGTGGGTTTTGACTTATACTAGGAAATAGAAGGAATTGAAGTGCTTGGTGGGGAAGCCATATTGTAGAAGGAATTAAATAGAAGGAATTAAACTGCTTGATGAAGAAAGCCATATTGTAGAAATACTTGAGACCCTAATTGGGGAGTTTCTATGTCATTTAGTAAGTAATGAATGGGGAAGGTTGTTGTTAGACTTTTTTAAGCAGGTAACTGTTTAAAAAATATATATAAGAAAATACAAAATTGTATTTTGAACAGAAGTGCTTCTAAGCAACTTACGGGCTTGATTGAAGCGCTTTATGGGAGAGATGATTGTCTAGGCAGTATATTTAAAGAAAGTTAAGGCATGAATTTGAATTGAGAGAGAGGATTTGGGGAGGAGATATAGGAGCAAAGATGAAGACAAGAAAAATACTTGAAATTTTGTTAATAGAGTGATTTAATTTAGTCATCTAACTTGTCAGTTTTGGGGAAAATTTAAAAAAAAAAACAACCCTTCTCCTTTTTTTCTAATCTTCTGTTGAATTAATAAACTATTAACTACAGTACATTTGCCTAAAACAGGAACTTAAAAGTTGAGAAACATGCTTAAGTTCAGTCTACACTAACGACATGCAAGTTTCATTTTCAGTCATGTTAGCTAACAGAACTGCAAAGAGAGACTAAATCTTTGATAATGTGTTTTTTGGAGTGATTTTTTAAATGGATTATACAAACGTTACCATTCACTAGAATTCATATTACTTAGAGGCATCTGAGCACATTTTGAAATGAAGTGTTTCAGCAGAGAAAGAAAATCCTCACCCCCACCAAAAAGAAAAAAATTGGGGATTTAAAAAAAAATTAAAAAATAAAATAAGTCCATCCTTGGAAAAGGCTTTTTAAAAATAAATTAGATGTATGAAACAGAAACAAATGAAACAAAATTTTTTTGTGTGTTTAATCAGCATCTAAGAGGTTTATTAAATTGCCTTTCTAATGTTGATATAAGGCAAAAGTGCAACCACTACTTCCATTAAAGGGAGAAAAAAATGCTAGAATAATGTAGAAAAGAAATTATTTCTGTGCACTCTATGATAGGCTGATCATTTCACATCTTGGCATATTGCTGTTGAATGTGGCATGCGAAGTTGGACGATAGTAAAAAGATTGTTGAAACTCAACGATTACAGCACATGCTTTAAAACTCAAGGGTTTCTATTGCTGGGTTTGTGACTCAGATGTCATTCCTAATAGGGTTATTTTGTGTTGCTGCTCAGTTTTAAACTCTTACTACTTAATCTCTGAAGATGAATAATAGTCTACTTCAGATCCTTCATCCATTTTGAGACTTTCTTTCAAACAAACTACACAAATGATAAATCAAACTAATGTATATTAGCAATCATTTATGATTTCAACATGCATCCTATAACTGTACTGAGTGGTGATGATGAAAATAATAAGAAAATATACCTGTCACAAGACAAAATTACCACAAATTTAATTAAGATCTTAATTAGCTTTTACTTGTGATTCTAGCATCAGGCAACACGTTGTTTTATAAAATAGAATGGATGTTTTGATGAGCCAAGCAGAGAAATTTGGCTTTATAGACAGAAAAGGGCTGAAGAAAGAAGAAACAGAACAACAACAAAAAAAATGGATTGGTTGCTTCAAAGTTAAAGGTTAAAGTGAAGGGGACTTCCTTGTCATGCCCACTGAAACTGGCCTGTTTGGGGATTTGAATATTATCTCTCTCTCTCCTGATTGCTTGGAAGGTTAGATAAACAACTTGGTTTCAGCTTGGTAGTATGGAGCTTTAACGTGAATAATTCCATTTTGGTTTGGTCTCTTGGGCCTAGTACAGGAGCTCAGTTCAAACCAACGGCCTCCCGTAAATTGTATTTGACAAGCCCCAAAAATAACTTTTAGTGCTCTATCCTCTACTTTGATAATTATTCAGAAGAATATTCAATGCATGAACCTAACTATGTAAAGCAGCAGGCATACAAAAATATTTTTTTCTCATGCCAAGCATATTATAGACACTATTCCTGAGATTTGAAAAAAGAAACATGTGTGCCACAGGTAATGTAAACAATATTCCTAGATATTTTTTGTTATCTCATGGTGGAAAAAAAATTGGCTTTGCTGCAAGCTGATTAGGAGATGAAGAATAAATATTATTTTGCAAAGAAATTCTGTTTATCTATCATAGTAATTGCATCACATTCACTTCTTTTTGTATTAAACTTTTGTTCCTTATATTAAAAAATCTCTTGGCAAAATGTTCCTAACTTTTCCCTTGCTTCCACATAAATAATTGAGACACAGAAGGTATATGGTCTGACTGACTTTAGGAAAAATATCTACCCTTAATAAATGAGAAAATTCATTGAAACGGCTCCTCACATTGAGTAGGATGAGTAAGCAGTCAACAAACACATTTTAGCTAGTGCTAGCATCAGTGAGGGCACCATCAAGCTTTGGACAAGGTAACACAATTTAGATTCTGACTGCCTGGCCCACAGTTTCCCATGTCTTGAAGAAGCAAATAGGACTTTCAATCAGTAATGTTAACAGCTTCTTTGACTTAGAAAAAAAAAAACTGTGGAAGAGAATATCAAGTGAAACAAAGCAACATTTATAAATGTGAATCTAAAGAAAGTTTTGCTCTCTTTTATTTCCTATTGTTTTACAAGCATATTTGCTTTATTTCACATTGACTAGTCATGTTAAAAATTGAAGAAGCTCATCA
This sequence comes from Homo sapiens, assembly GCF_000001405.40. Taxonomy (NCBI): domain Eukaryota; kingdom Metazoa; phylum Chordata; class Mammalia; order Primates; family Hominidae; genus Homo; species Homo sapiens. The sequence goes on from NC_000003.12 coordinate 152,199,132, forward strand.
CTTTGTGTTTATGTTGATGTTAGAAAAAGACAAGACAAAAACTCTGTTCCATAAGCCAAAAAGTTGCTGATATCAAATATGCCTGTGTAATATAGGCATCCCCCTTAATATCACCTTAAACATTTATGTACCGTTTAAATCTCTGTTACCTTGAGAACTTGGTTTTGGGGGTTTTCTGTTTTGGTTGGTTGGTTTTGATTGTTTTGGTTGAGTTTTTGTTTTTATTTTTTAATCTGTAAAATGAGTCACAGCTTCCTGACAGAAGAGAAGGAAAGACTAATGTGTTAATATTTTAAAAGAACACTCAGGTAAGTACTCTGCTTACCTCCCTGTAAGTCTTATGGGTATTGTAAACAGCAAATGGATTAAGAAGACTAGAAAGGCATAAACACATGCTTTGCATGTGATTTTATAAGATTATTGCAAAAATGAACTCTCCGTACACAGGCTAATCGGAGACATTACAGGGTTGCTGAAAATGCTCTGAAGAAAGCAATCATGTCACATGGTGCAGTAAACAAATGCTGGAGTTGTGGAGTTTTGGGGGTTGGGTTATTGTCAAGAAAGCAGAGTGCTGGCTGGCATTGATGTAACTGTAATTATTTATAATAGAGCTTCTCAAAAATTAGCTAGTATTCCTGGATGATAAAACATAAGACTGTTGGGCCCTATGTACAAAGTTTCTGATTCACTAGGTATGGGTTAGGTCCTAGAATTTCTAATACGTCTCTAAGTGATGCTGGTGTTTATCTAAGTGATGCTAGTGTTCCTGATGAGACCATTGAAAGAGGAGTTTAAACTAAATTAAGAGCAGGTAAGGAATGTAAATATGAGAAGCTGTCACAGTAGAATGTAGTGAAACTTTGACAAGAGAGAAGTATGCCCCTGCCTAAAGTATTCAAGTTGAAAATAAAATAGTAATACCAACAACAATTATAATAAACGCAGTTTTAAGCAAAATTAAAGGATATGAGCCTGATTCATCCTGTCTGCTTCTTGAATTTCAAGATTTCTTAGGGTCCTTCTCTAAATTTTTATATACTCCAAGTACAAACTTGATTATGACTTTATTGAATTTGGTCTCTATATTTTCATAGCGGAAAACTGAGGCTCATGGAGAAAATTAGAAAATTTAGTGAGAAAGCCACAGTGAAAAATCTCAAAAAGAGGGACTTTTCAAAAATAATTACAGACACCTAGGAATTTAAGAGGTAGGCTGCCACTTGCTGCAGGAAGCTCAGGAGAAACTGATAAAAGTCCTGGACAACAAGTATTAATAGCTTGTTGTAAAAGTATCCAAGGGCTGGCACTTAAGGAAAAGAAAGCCAATATTTATTGGAGGTCTATGATATGCTGTAATTTCTTCTAGGCATCTTTTAAATGTTTTTCTCATTTATCTTCACAATTATTCTATAAGATGGTATTGTTAGTACATTTTACAGATAGGAATCTAAAACTCAGAAACATTAAGAAGCTTGCCTGATGTCACATATCTAGTAAATGTGAGATCTGGGAGCTGAACAGAGGCCTGTCTTTCTCCAGTGACCATTTGGTTTTTGTTATATCACTGGCTTCTGCTCAGCCGCAAAATTGAGAACATGAGAGAACTGTTTCTACATGAAACCCCTCCCTAAGTCTACTTTTCTATCTGAAAAAAGAAATTAGCAAATTCTTTTCAGATAGTCAAATAACAGAACCATTATCATCCTGGAAGACAGACAGTACTTTTAATTATTTTATCAAAATACTCCGGAGAAAGGAAAGTAAAATGCAAAGAGCATAAGTTTTAGCAGCCAACTAAGCTAAATTTAAATCATGGTTTCATTACTTCTTGTCAGTCTGCTTTTCTCAGTAACATACCAGGGTGAGGTAAATTATATCTAAGTAATATGAGAATAAACAGACCTATATGACCCAACTTAAATTTAACTGATATAAATAAAATGTTCAAGCATAATCGCTGCCATATTACAGATGTTATAGAAATATTATTTCCTTCTACCTTTGTCTAAGTTAATATGATAAGCCAAAACACTCAGAAAATGCTCTTACTACTTGTTAGCAACTCACTTTTGTTTTTCTCAGCAGTCCCTTATCTGAACTCTTTTACTTTTGTTTCCTGTTCCATTGGTCTCTTCTGCTTTGCAATGCTTCTAATGCTTCTAATCTTTTACTGAGCAAAAATGCCTTTGTCTCATACTCTCTTATAAAATACATATTAGCCCAGATCCTAACATTCTCTAAAGAAAAGATGCTACTGAATGCAATGTTTAAGTAGCCTGAAATTGCACCTGCATTATCATATTTCATACTTTCATATTTTTGTTTATATTTCTTTGAAATTAGTTTTAGTCTTTCCTGTGTATAAGAATAAATATGCTCATTGTAGGAAATACTAAAAATGCAGAATTTTTGTAAAGTCCTCCAAAATTCTGCAACTCAGAAAAACCTCCACATTGTTAGTATTCTCAAAAAAAATTTTTTTTTTGCAGGCTTCCTTTCACTGGCTTCCTTTCACTGTGTGTGTGTGTGTGTGTGTGTGTGTGTGTGTGTGATCATAATTGGCTTCTAAATGGGTTATTTCACTTGAAATAATACCATATTCTTTTTCTTTTGTCATTAGAAAATAATTTAATAACATAGTTTTTAATGGCTGCATAATAGTTCATCATATAGCTATCCCTGCTTTATTTGTTTATAATCTCTCCTGGGAAAAGCACTGCAATACAAATATCTATTTAAATTGCCATTGCTTGAAAAATAGAACTAATGAGAAAAGACACAATTACAATGCATATTCAGTCTCATAATTACAGAGTTTGTACAGCTGTGGCTTTGGCAACAGAAGAATTAATTAAAATATCAAAAATTCACTATCATTCACTAAGTGACTCATGAATAGTTTTACAAGTTTATATTGTATATTGTTCTTATGAAAATGTTCATTGATATACCATTTTGTTATTGTTAGGAAGGAAATAATTTTCTATAAATATTTGTTGAGTAAACAGAAATAAAAAAGACTTTTGTATCTTTATATTCCTATGGTACTAAAAATATTTTCCAAGAAGGGAAATACCATTTCCTAACATTACACAAAATACATATGATAGATGGACAGAGGTTTATATAGTCATTGAAAGAATATTTCAGATTTTAAATTTTAATTACTTTGTTCATATTCAAATTCCTCTATCAATTCTTTATTCACAGCTGCTATGTGAATCCAAGCAAATTTTTCATCTAGAGACCCTCTCTTGCAAAATCTTTAAAGACAGTTGAACTAAACAATTCTTATGTCCATGTCAGCCCTAAAATCCTACATTTCTGTGTTCTAACAGGTTAATTAATATGGTTTCTAAATCAAAGCATAATAAAATTATATTAGGTACCTTGTTTTTGAGGATGAAAGAGAATATGCTCAAAAAGCTTTATTAATATTTTTCAGGTATACTGCTATATGTCAGCTAAAACTTTGGAAATTAAATAATTACATAAAGTATTATGACTATAACTGCTGATTATATAGAACACATGTAGGCACAAAACATGCATCTAAAAAAGATCTTGCTTACTTAAAAAAAAATCCTGTTTTTAGAGCACTATTTGTTTTGATAAGATAAACCATTTGTGTAAGGCACAATGAATGGCAAAATTCTTTTATCTTATCAAATAGAGGGTTACATAGGAAAGGATGCATTCTCCAGAATTTTGATAGTGTAAAATATTTAATACTGTAAGAGTTCTTAGTGGATCAGTAAAGACATACCATGAAAAGTTATTTTTGAGGAGTACTTAAGCAGTTACAGTGTTATCATATGAAGGCAAATTATAATATTCCTTCTTACTAGCCAGGCCTCCATGTACTTTTTGATCTTTTCCCTAAATGCATTTCATATTCCTTGGTTATATCTGAAGAAAGCCAATACCTTTAGTCCAAACATAGGAGAAAAGTAATCGGGGCTTTCACTGCAATCCAGTAGATGAATACATTATTTATTGATAACCTTTGTTATGTGTACACAGCTGGGGATGGAGGTGTGGTCAAAGTGTGGTAGAGATCACCAGAGGACACTTCAGACACCACTAGGACTGGTATGGCTTTCTCCTCTTCACTCCTGTTTTAAAGATTGCTCAGACTTTTTCAAGAAATGTGTAGAAATATGTTTGAGGCTCAGCATGCTTCTCTTATTTTGCTGATGAAGAGTCTCTGGCATTAGCCAGACTTCTTGGAATAGTAATATTTTTTAATAGCAAACTAACATGTCCTCTAACAAAAACCTTCCCTTCCCACTTTTTTTTAACCAGTTTGCTGAGTATCATGTTAGTATTCACTTTTTTCTTCATAAGAGCCTAAAATGCCTTGCATTTTGGCAAAGTGAATTTATTTTATTTTTTAGCTTCTACATTATTTAAAACAAAAAGTGTCGACTGCTTGAACTTTCATTTTTATATCAATCAATATTTCCTGGTCTCCTTTTCAAACGAGCTGACTTTTCTGAAGATTTTTAAGAGGCCACCTGATTTCAGGAGTAAAAATAAATAAATGAGAAGAAAGTATTTACTATTTTCAACTACATCTGTGGCAAAGAATCAAAATGTGCATATATCCCAACTGCGAAGTATCTCTAGTTAAAATATAAGCTGTTTAACATTAACTTTAATGTTAGCAACCTCACAAATGCCTTCTCTACAAGTCAGGGCCTCACAGAAAGCCATAAAAGGAAAGGAATATAATTTCTCTTGCTGGCACTTACTGAAAAGCTAAAATAGAATAGTAACAGAAATCATATTTGCCAGCCCTAACTGAAGGAATTGTGAAACATCTCAGAAGATTGTAAGTTATTATAAAAATGTTGTAATTACCATGCTATTAACTATGCCTTATAGGAGTTGAAACTTTTGTTTAACCAAAAATTATTTCAAGAACAGACAGCTAATTACTTACATTTAGAAAATATATTGCATACAAAGATATGGAGCATTTTAAAACGTAGCTTTAGGTTGAAATGCAGTAGTCCATTTTTTACTCCCTAATAAGAACTAGGATTTTTGAAATGATATTTTCAAGTATAGTAATAATATCTTTGAAATAATTCACTTATTTTTCCAGTTGCTGGCTTCAAAAGATTTTTAAAAACTGTGTCATTTATTTCATAAATTCTGAATTCTTTAAAGCAAACATGAGTGTGTGAAAGTTAGTTAAAGCACACCTACAGTAAGAAATTACGTGATTCTTACAGTGAGTTATTGCTCTTTTTAAAAGTGATTCATTGACTATGGCTTGGGTAGCTTAACCCTTTGAAGTACACATATCTGCATATACAGATTACACATGTTTTGAAAAAATGAGTAAGTTTTGAATTACAGGTATGTATGTGGAATTGTGAGGTCAATACAGAAAGTTTGGATAAAATGCCACTTTGGCAGAACGCTAAAGATTAGTGTCAGCTGTGGGATCTTTTTGTTGATGTAATAATGCACATTTCAGTTCACCTTAAACAATGACTATCTTGACTACTGTATTATGTCATTATATACTGCATTTATGGCTCTTTCAGGAATAATTGTGAAAGCTTTATTGAATTATTTTTCATTTCTTTTCTAATTACAATTTTCAATTTATGTCATATCCAAGGGAACATAACAAGAAACTAAATCAATTTATTTCTCTGTGTTTCTTTTTTAATAAAAAGAAAACTAAGCTTTTCTGATTTTTTTCTGAAATTGCTTTTTTATGCTTTCTTAAAAACAAATTTATCTTTAAATTTAAATTCAAATATGAAACCCCTTGCCAAGATACATGTTTAGCTTTTTTTTTCCTTCAGAGAATTTTTTTCCTGGTAAGAATAATTTATATGGCTGAGGCTTTAGTCCCAAAACAGTTTTAAATTGAAAAAAAAGTGGCTTTTAAGAAACCGAAATGCCCATTTTTTGTCTTAAATGAGTCTACCAATGCCTCCTTTCTCCTTTCCTCCACTATCCTCCCTCACTCACACTTCAACAAGTATACCCCCACACTATTTTTCACACTGTTTCTTCCCTAGAGTAAGTCCTTTTCAGGCTACCTGGTGGTTTGTCCACAGCCTAGGCAATGCAAATATCACCCAAATGAGTCCCTGAGATACATGTTAATAGAAGCTATACAATGTAATGTTAAGAACCAGTTGGCTTCTCTGTCTCCAAATACTGATCTAATACATGTTTGCAGATTAGATTTACAATGGATGAATTTACATACAGTTCTGTGCTCTGTAGAGAAATGTAGTTGCTTTAGAGTCGGAACGGCAAAATGTGGCTCTTCTGAACCTAGAAGAGAAAATTCTGACCCCTCCTCCTTCCCCATTTTAATGGTTTGACTAACCACAGACAAACACCCTTAGCATATTTGGGGAAGTAAGTTGTTATTTTATCGGTTTGAGGACTTCTCTAAACTTATCTTTTATATGCTCTCCAGCCCTAGGCTGTGATGTTTTCTGGTTGTCTTTAAATATCTGAAGAGGCAAAAGCTCTTGCTCTCAGTTCTTATTAACTTCTCGTCACAACAGGAATAGTCTGTTAATCTAATTTGCCTATAAACTTATTTTTTTCTTTCCTTGGTTTTCTACCCATAACATTCCCCAACTTAATTTGCTGCTTGGAACTTCTATATTGAAGACCACCCATTTCCTTATCTATTACCTGCTCATTCTTCACTGTGTCTATGGATATATCTGATGCTCTCTATTCTTAAAAGGATGAGAAAATAAGAAATAGGAAGAAACTGAGGGGTTGTTTTAAAACTCAACCAATAAATTATTGACATTACACCTAGCTGATACAAATCTATACACTCGTGGGTTCAAGAAATTTCATTTTCTTTTACGATCACGATTTAAAAGTGTAATTCTAACTCTGAGACATCTTCCCATTGGGATGACAGGAAATTCAATCCCAGGCACTCTCGGTACTCCCCATCTTCTCTCCCTCCTCTTCCCCCAGGCCCAGAGTGTTAAGGAATAGAAGTCACAAATATGATGTGGAAACAGTAAAAGGTGGCACCTTTTCAAGATTGTGCCCCTCCTCTACATAGGCCCATCTGATTTCTGATCTTGCTTGGACAGATCTTCTGTATTTTCAACAGAAGGCATAAATGTGAATTTTTATGTGAATTCTCTCAAATTATAAATATTTATTTAAATGATGCCATTTAAAAATATATAGCTTTAAGCCAATTCAGCCCATTGGCCACCATTTTACAACTTCTATCTTGGACATGGTAAGTGCCATAAGGGCACTTGCCATCAGGCTGCTTCGGCCTTTCTGCCCTGCGTGAAGGCAAGGGTCGGCCTGGCTATCTGTCTGATAACTTTTCAGAGCCCAGGGGCTCAGGGGAGATGCTCACTTAGATAGCCTCTACCCTAACATTTGGTGATTATCATTTATTACAGAGTACTTTGTGCTTCAGGAGTTCTCTAGTTCTAAAGGTTATTTGCACAAGCAAAACAATAAAAAATTAATTACACCAAATAGTAGGCATTGCATGGTTCTTATCAGGTGAAACTAGAGGAAGTATTTGGCATGTTTCTTTATTCTTTGCAGAGATTCCATAATTCCAACACTATGAGGAATATATTGGTAAAAGGAGAGAAGCTGGTGTCTGGCCCCCTAATACATGATGTGCTTCAAAAGTCCAGGCATGAGCAAATAGAAGATGTGTGAATCTGGACATGGATAAGGGAAAGAATGGAAAATAAAATTGCAAGAGATGATGTAGAGTAAACTGGATAGGATTTGGTACCAAAGATATAGACAGTGATTGGAGGAGGGCAGAGTAGACACAGATGTCTACAGTTTAAGGACTCTATGGATAAGAGGATGAATTTTCCCTTCAACAAAATATTGACTAATGCCAAATTAGTTTCAGATGATCTATAATCAGTTCTATTTTCAACAAATCAGATCATGACTCTCCGCATCTTAAAAGTTTCCATTGGCTCTCTGATACAAATGGGACACATTTTAGCCTCTTCTACTTGGTCTAAAAAGTCCTTTAACATACAACCTCAAACTGCCTCTCTAGTCCTTACATAGCACCCTGAATGCTCAATATTCTACATCTGCTCAAACACACTATTTTTTTCTTTGTTGTTTCTAAAACATGCCAGGCAAATGTCACAAGTATGTTGTATTCTCTGTTAAATTGGCAGAATAAGTTTATTTAAATCAGTTTGTGCCTAAAACAGCTCTCATTTTAGCTCTTGCCTATCTTTCCCCTACCCAGATCCTTTGAAAACAACTTGAGATAGTGTACAGAATTATGGTCGTCCAATAGGTTTTTACTTTCTTAAGACTGATTATTTCAGTGAAAATAAAAATTCTCTACCATTCTTACCAATTAAGTCACTTTGAACAAGTGACTGACTGTTTTTTTTTTAAGTTTGGGGTGCTAATTGTGAACATTAAATAAGACCATGTTTGTACATTAGATAGTCAAAAAATGTTAGATTCCAATTAACTGATCAGCAATTTGGCCAAAAGGAAATTGAGGCCACAAAAATACAGGAAATGGGAAAAGGGAGTGAAGGGTAGAAGAAAAAAAGAGGAAATATAGATAGTTGTATCCCTCCAACAAAGTCCCTTTAGATACTGTTTACTGGTAGACAGTAAATAGGCTCTTCCTAGAAAATTTAAAACATATATTTGTTAATTTATCAAGTGCTAGAAGTATAAATTTACTTAGTAAAATACTACTTCTATTAAAAAATTAGATAGCTTTGTAGATAACTTATAAAAATACTTGATTCTCATTATCTATTGTGTCAACAAATCTTTAAAATGAGTACCATTCCCTGTCAAAATCACACTAATGCCATATTTTTGCATAAAGTAAACATTCCTGATGACAGATGGAGGGCAATAAATATGCTTGAGAAAATACCTTATATTTCAGCCGGCCACAGTGGCTCACGCCTGTAATCCCAACACTTTAGGAGGTCGAGGCGGGCAGATCATGAGGTCAGGAGATGGAAACCATCCTGGCCAACATGGTGAAACACCATCTCTACTGAGAACACAAAAATTAGCTGGGTGTGGTGGCACATGCCTGTAATACCAGCTACTCCAGAGGTTGAGGCACGAGAATCGCTTGAACTTGAGGGGTGGAGGTTGCAGTAAGCTGAGATCATGCCACTGCACTCCAGCTTGGTGACAGAGGGAGACAGTCTCAAAAAAAAAAAATTACATTTCTATTCTTCCCAAAAGACATCTCAAAGGTGAACTGTGAATGAAAATCATTTTCTACAGCAGTGATATGGTCTGGCTCTGTGACCCCACCCAAATCTCATCTCCAATAGTAACCCCCACATGTGGAGGGAAGGACCTGGTGGGAGGTGATTGGCTCATGGGGATGGTCTCCCCCATGCTATTCTCGTGATAGTGAATGAGTTCTCACAAGATCTGATGGTTTAAAAATGTGGAACTTCTCTCTTTCTCTCTCTCCTGCTGCCATGTAAGACCTGCTTTGCTTCCCCTTTGCCTTCTGATATGATTGTAAGTTTCTTGAGGCCTCCAGAGACATGTGAAACTGTGAACCAGTTAAACTTTTTTTCTTTATAAATTATCCAGTCTCAAGTAGTTTTTTATAGCAGTGTGAATGTGGACTAATACAAGCGGTAAGCTGGATTTTGAGATAACTGACAGGAAGAAGTTTGGCTGGTAAAATGAACACTGTACTTCTGATACCCTTGGTTGTTTTCAGCTACCATCAGTTATAAGACTTCAGAAAGGTCTTGTTTGTGCCTGTCTTCAGAAAAAATAAAGAAAAGAAGGGAGAGAAAGAAGGGCAGGAAGGAGGAAGATAGGCTATATTGCCTTTGGTCTGGAATTTCAGCCACAATTCCAGCCTTGTATTTGCTAAACACCTGTTTCTGGCCCTCTAGTTTAATTCTCCTGCTGTCCTAACCACTTAATGCTAGATCCATCTTTGTTCTCTCATCTCTGACATTGAACTTGGCTGAAATTTGTCATACTCTATTCTCTTTCCCATAAAGGTAGTCTGTGTTCATTCCTAGCAAATGACTGTCTTGTGCCAAAGGTCATCCACCATTTAGTCAAGCTTCCCCACCTCAACAGAGTCTAGAGAATTAGATTCACAAATCCTCCCACTTATACCTCTATCGCTACTGTGCAACTCCCCATTCTATTCATAAAACTGGCTACTCATAAGAAGAATATCTTTAGGAAATGGTTTGTGGCTGTGGAAAGCTCAGAGATAGCCCTCTGGCTCAAAGGAAGAGTTAATTTAAGTCACTTCAAACAGATTACGTATCTGTTTTTTCCCTCTCTGTCTCCCCAATCCATTTTCTATGATTAGAAAATAATGTTTAAAAGTGATTTGTGATTCAGCTCTTGCTGCAAAGTGGGTATTTGTAGTTACAACTACAAATTGGCTTAACCAATTAAAGTCTTTGTGCAAAAAACCTTGAGATGAGAAGGTGCTTACACTGACAAACCAGTCAAGATAAAGCTTTTCAAAGCATCTGTCAGGAGGAGACATATGGAGTGAACACTGCAAATGAGGACAGCTAACTTGTCCTTGTCCTTCTCCTGTCTTTTCACTTTTCAGAAAGGTTCAGAGAAAGAAGGTACACAACTTTCACTATAATTCATTCCAGTGATTCTCCTAACATTGCGGCTAGGAAGTTTAGTTCTTTTAAGCGCGCATCTCCTTTTTTCCTATAGCCATTTAGATCCATTTACCTTTCTGCTGAATTCAATGGCAGCTGTTCAGTCCTCCGGTGTACCTGTTTCATAGTCTTTGCTAGTGTTTGATGTACTTACTATGTCTAGTTTATATCAACTTGTTCCTTTTGACTCATTTCCTTAGGTACAGTCTCAAGGTTTTCATCACTGTTCAGTTTTCAAGATGTTCATTGTAGTGATCTGTGTCCTTATCTGTATCAACGTAGGATTTAGTTTGCATACATTAATGCAGGCTTAGAAAAACAATAAACACATTTGTCTTTTCTAATGTAATAAGGAATCTGGAAATAGTAACTGCTGCTGGTTCATCAGCTCATCAGCTCAAAAAATGTTAGGACTTGGCTCCCTCAGATCCCCTAGATACTTGTGATTACATGATATCTGCACCATCTTCAGTCATCAGTCCAAATTCAAGGCAAGAGAAAGAAGGACAGGGAAAAGGTCAAGAGGCCCTACACCTGGTCAGGGCAGCTGAATCTGCTAGCCCCTTTAAAGAGCTTTCCCAGAACTGTATCCAATGACTTCACTTACATTACTCTGGCCAACTATAATGGTAGGGAGGACTAGAAAGTTTCGTATTTTAGGTAGGCTCCTTGACCTTCATACAAAAATTTTATATTTTGTTAGGAAGGGAAAGGAGAGAATTAATATTAGGTAAACAGTGAACAGCCTATATTATAATGTCTTTCTCTTCTATAGGATCATAAATCCTTATTCATAAGAGAAAAAGCACAAGTTTTTAGATTAAGGACCCATGGTGTAATGGTTAATTTTATGTGTCAACTTGACTAGGCCACAGTAACCTAATATTTGGTCAAACATTAGCCTAGATGTCATTTTGAGGGTACTGTTTAGATGTGATTAACATTTAAATTAGTAGGCTTTGAATAAAGCAGATAATTGTTCATAACGTGGGTAGTTATCATCTAGTCAGTTGAAGGCCTCAATAGAAAAAGACTGAAATTCCCAAAGGAAGAGAGAATTCTGCCTCTAAACTACCTTCAGACTCAAACTGCAGCATCAGCTCTTTCCTGGATTTTCAGCCTGATGATCTGCCTTAGATTTCAGACTTCCCAGCCTCCACAGTCAATTCCTTAAAATCTCTCTCTCATTCTCTCTCTCTGTATGTTTGCAGAAAACATACACCCACATACATATTCACGTGGTTCTGTTTCTCTAGAGAACTTTAATATACTGAGTTTGAATTTGGGATTCCAGACCAACTAGTTAGGTAAATTTGGACGGGTACCTAAGATTCAGAATCAGTTGGTATAAACTAGGAATACCAGGGATGTAAAGGCTGTGTTCTAAAACCTTGAATAGGTATATGGATGGTGGGTGGGAAGTACGTGGGAGGAATCTTCGGTCTTCTCATTTCATTGCTGTACTCTTGTTTCAACTGCACCTTCATTTCTGTTTATTGGGATTTGAAAATTTGAGCTTCCCCATTAAATTTTATTTGAAGAAGTTGATCTGATTAAAATAACACAGCAACTGATCTTTAAGTTTCAGTTTAGTTCTGACAAATAAGTTTTTTAATTAAATGGATTTAGCTCAAGATATTCTGGGATCTCCAACTGGTAGGGTCAGTTGGGATTTTAAGGGTAGGAGCTGATCCAAAGTAGATGAGATCCCCTAAAATATTCAATGCCCCAAATCACAGTGTCCTAAGAGGTGTTGCTAACCTAGACTCAATTAGTATAAATATATGGGGGATTCAGTCTAGTGTGTAAAGAACAACGGTGGGAGTTGTCTGACAGTGAAGGAAGTTGAAGTCGGTGTGTTGTGGTGTCATCGGTTGAAGTCATTGTTTAGTTTGGTCTGAGGCTGCACAGGTAATTCTCTGCCCTCATTCTGGAAGTGGGGGAGGTGGTCCTGATACATCACTCACTCTTAATCAGACTCCCTCAGGAGCAGAGATTACTCTTGACACCTAAGTCTGTTAACACAGTGAGTCTAGAGAGGACAAATAAGATCTGACACTGAGATCACACAGGGCCTTTTTATTACATAAAACTTTTTGCCCACAAGAGATATTCAATAAAAACATGTTAAATAAATAAATCCACTGTAACACTGTAACTTAAACATTGAGTCTAAAGGTCAGCACACTGTTTAATGTAAAAGTATATGTGTGTTCTTAAGGAGATGTTCTCATTAGATAGGGATTTGTCAAAGTTTCAGAGATTATTTCTTCTCGGAAGGAAATTCTTGTTTTTCAAGCTCTAAGAACAGTTCTAGAGAAAGATGTCAAATTAACAAGAAAATCGATATATGGTGTTTTAGACCATCTTACCACGTATTTTTCTCTTTTTTATTAGGCTACATGAGAACATCTCTACAAGGAGAAAAAATAATTTTTATCATAATATTAAGAAATACAATACAAATAGAGTTTACTGTTGGAACTAACTCTATAATTGACCGAAATTAGTTCTCTGTGAAATTTGACCAATAGATTTTTTTTTCTATCATTCAGTTTATTCTGTAATAGCTTTAGGAGAGCTATTACTGACCAAATGACTATCAAGATGTAGCTTTAATTTTATAACATAAAGTCTGTAGCAGTATAAATAATCAAGAGCTGTTGTTCTTGACATTGTTGTTAGCAGGCTCTAATTCCTGAGAATTCTGAGTACAATTCTGCAGCCTTGGACAAGTTACTTGGTTTCTATAAATTTCAACACTTCTCTCATGTGGTAAATAGAAATAATAATAATAGCACCTATTCCCTGATGTGTACTGATTTTGGAGATTAAATGAAAAAGTGCGTATAAAATGCTTAGCCAAGTGTCTAACACCTAATGTTTGAAAATTAGATGTTTTAGTCATAATTTTTACATTCTGATGGCTAGGTTTAATAGGTATAAATTGTTTTTCATTTTTAAATATAAGTGAAATTTTGTTAAGTGGTTAGCTTAACATAGGAGATTACAATCCTCTCCTATGTGCAAAACGTCTTATTCCTACATGAAAAATATTATCTAAACAGTATTATAGTCTTAAACAGCTCTTCTTACTTTGTCTTAGGGGAAATGTTCTCATGAAATGAAAAGTCCTTCTTCAGATCAATAAGTGTAAGATCAGAGAGGCAACGGGTCAGGAAAATCAGTATGAAGGATGAAAAGTGGGGAGGGAGACACTGAGGGACAGAGGAAAGGCGAAAAGACCAAACTGCTGAAAGTTTAGGGCAATGGCTTCTGGGTAACTGGAACTGAACTCTCAACACTGGGGCTGATTAACAATTGTATCACTGCTCTCCTCTCCCCAAAGACTACCCCACTGGGCATCTCTATTACTGGGGCTTTTATTATTAGGGCTCTTCAGACTAGTATTCTCAGCATTCTCAGCATTATCTCAAGGTGATTTTCACATGAGCTACTTTCAAAGTGCCTGAAGTATGTTGCAACTTCTGTTATTTACTACTTATAATGTAAGAACTCAAACTCTATAGGATCACAATTAAGGAAGAAATGGGGGCAGTGAGATTAGGAAAGACATTAAACTTAGAAACTACCAAAGGGAAAATTTAGCTCAGTGGCCTAAGGATGTTTTGAATTGCTAAATACTGTAGGATGAGGCAACTGTTTTTTAGCCAGAGTCAAAGGGCTTAAAGTGGGCCTGAAAGCAGGGAGACTGCCAACCAGGAGAAGAAGGCAAAAACAGGACTGGCAGATAGAACTGAGGCTAGCTGGTTGTATTAGTGAAGAGGCAGTAGTTCTCTCAAGGAAACTGGCACTGTTGGTGTTGGTTCAAGTTGAGAAGCAAGCCAGAATCTGAGCTGGAAATCTGAAACTCTCACAGACTTGAAGAGCATTTTGATCAATATCTCTCCTCTATTCTGCTATTATAGGAAGTCTGTATCTATTGGTTTGATTATTTAGCTTTCATCACCACCCAAATAGCAATACCAGAATTGCTCACAAATCTATATTTAACTAACATTTTGTGTATTTTTTCTCTTTATTCTTATTTGACTATATTCTTCTATCAGTAGTAACGCAATTTTTCAGTTCATATCTCCAAGTATATAACATTTCTATTTTTCAATTCTTTCCTTTTTGTTTTCACCTATCCTGGTAGAAACCTTCTCAGCCAGGAAGAGTGAAATTGCTCACTAACTGGGGAAGGCAGCTTTCTGCCCAAGTGGGTGTTTTGTTTTGAGATACCCTCAAGCAAGAATTTTGTAACAGACACAAAGAAGTCTCAAGGCAGATCTATTGAATAGTAACATTCAAACTTTCCTCCAGGAGGAATTCATACACATGCTACTGTTGTTTTCATTTTGAGTGACAGCATGATAAACTGGAAAGAACAAAAACTCTTCTGCCACACAGAGCCAAGATTGAATCCTGACTCTCCTATTTTTACTCTTGTAAACTTGAGCAAATGATTTCACCTCTGGAGTATCAATTTTTTCTTCTGTAAAAGTGAGATGTTGTTCATTTTGGAGAACCGTTAGCATGAGGTAAGAAATTATAGGGGGAGATACAGCATATGATAAGCACTCAACAAATTGTCATTTTCATTATCTTTGTTATTACTAATCATATTTCCCATATTGTCAAGTCATTGTAAAACATTGATAATTTTATATATGTTCTATGAAATTATCGTACTTTCCATACTTGGCTAATTAGCAAACATCTTTTATTATTGGATAAAAGGTAAGGCTCTTCAAGCATAGAATTTACAGAATGTATGTGGTGGTGATGCTGATTTTCACTTTCAGAAATCTTGGTGCTCAATTCCTTTCTTTAAAATTCTGGTAGTTAAATAAGTGCAAAGTAAGACATAATTTTGGCCAGGCACAGTGGCTCACGCCTGTAATCCCAGCACTTTGGGAGGCCAAGGCAGGCGGATCACCTGAGGTCGGGAGCTTGAGGCCAGCCTGACCAACATGGAGAAACCTCATCTCTACTAAAATCACAAAATTAGCCAGGCGTGGTGGTACATACCTGTAATCCCAGCTACTCAGGAAGATGAAGCGGGAGAATCACTTGAACCCGGGAGATGGAGCTTGTGGTGAGCCAAGATCGTGCCACTGCACTCTAGCCTGGGCCACAAGAGCAAAACTCCATCAAAAAAAAAAAAAAAAAAAAAGACATAATGTTTGCCCCCAGGCAAAATTAACCTAGGACGGAATATGGAGAAAACACAGGAAAGAAAAACTCAATGGATGCCATATATATATATATGAAACGAAGTTAAGAGAAAGTTGGGTAGGTGGATCAGGAAAGGCTATGATAGCCTTTAAAAGATTTAACATAGAGACATGGGGAACAGAATGAGGAGAAGGAAATTTTGGGTGGAGGGACCAGCATGATAGTAGATGCAAGTCCAGGCAGGGTGTCTCATACCTGATATCTCAACACTTTGGGAGGCCAAGGCAGGAGGATTTCTTGAGGCGAGGTGTTCAAGACTAAACTAGGCAACATAGCAAGATCCTATCTCTACAAAAATATTCTAAAATTAGACAAGTGTGGTGGCAGTCACCTGTAGTCTTAGCCGCTCAGGAGGCTGAGGTGAGAGCATTGCTCAGAGTTCCCAGGAGTCCCTCGAGTGCAGGAGTTCCAGGTTTTAGTGAGCTATGATCGCACCACGGCACTCCAGCCTCGGCCATATCGCAAGACTGTCCCTAAAACAACAAAAACAACAACAAAAAGATAGTAGATACAGGATACAATAATTTGTGGCAATTTTGGTGATAAAACCGTTGGCACGTTGCAGAACAACTCTTGTCAAACTCTTAATAGATCAACCACCTTTCCAAATAAAATGTTATGTAGAACTCTAATGTAAAAGATTTCAAAGTTATAATTAGAATACAGTTACTTTATAGGTTCAAATCTAGCACAATTATTCTACAATGTTCTGGCCTAATGACATCTAGACATTTGAAGCCCAGGTTAATAAACAGCAATTACAGTCTCAGCATCCACTGTACTTGTAACAAAACTTTGTAAAACTTCTAATGAACTACAGATTATTAGGTTTCCAGATAATTCATTTGAAAAACCACTATGGTAGAGGATCTGAAGTACAAACTGACAGATTTGCCCTTAACTCAGTTAAAAATTTGAAGGTTTTTTAGTGTGGGAATGATATAGGATAACACTTCTCTGGAAGGGCTAATTTCATAAAAGGAACAGGATGAACTAGACGAAATAAAGATCAGAGACAAGGAGACCTCATTATTAGGAGGCTGTTGAAATAGTGCAAAAGGGGTTGAACCATGGTGGAGTAAGAATGAGGTATTCATTAGCATTCTAGTTTAAATTACAGCTTGATTTTAATTTTACAATCTTAATGGTACTATAGCTATTATTACTTCTACATTTAACACATATAATTTTGTTGGTTTTAATCAAATTTTAGTTCTCTGAAAATTAACTGTATTTGGTTGAAAATGTTAATCTGAAAGAGTTTTTTTGTTGTTGTTTGTTTTTGTTTTTGTTTTTCTTTAGAGTTTTAGTTCTTTAGCTCTTGGCTTAGTTCAACCTTTCCAGCATGAGACACATTGGATGTAAATCACATGCCGCTATTTAAATGTATAAAAGTATTAATAACTTGGTTTAAGTCCAGACCCTTTATTTTAAATTTCTATTTTCTATTACATGACTTAATATAGACAGGATTGTATTTTTTCTTAAAATCTTTTCTAAAGAGTAGGCTTTCATCTGATACTGAAACCAGAGTTTAGAGAGAAAAGTTTATAATAGCTTTGTTGCAAGGCTCTAAAAATCAAAGGCAAGTATTTTGAATACATAAATAGCTACGTCTAAAGGTTCTATCATACTTTATTTATCAATCATCACCAAGCAAAGCGATATTCCATGTAAGTAAAAATTCCAAAATAATGAATGTTTATCACTTTAGATGCCTTGTTTTTCCATTTCATTCACTTTGAAAATCTTCTAAAATGCATTCCACACTGCCTTGCTGTTGGAACAACAGTATCATTACAAAATTTTCTTAATACTCTTTTTCAAATTTCAGATTCCTTTCTGGGTACTATATAGTCATTTCTGTTTCCAAGGCACCTAATTTCTTCAGATTTCTCATTGGTAACCATTAGTTAGCCTTCACAGAACACTGAAACAATAAACATACAGGAAAGGTTGTTACAATTGCATATAAAGTAAAATTCTCATGCCTGTAATCCCAGCACTCTGGGAGGCCAAGGCTGGTGGATTACTTCAGGTCAGGAGCTGGAGACCTGCCTGGCCAGCATGGCGAAACCCTATTGAGAGGTGACAGCGTGCTGGCAGCCCTTGCAGCCCTCGCTCACTCTCGGCACCTCCTCTGCCTGGGCTCCCACTTTGGCGGCACTTGAGGAGCCCTTCAGCCCACCGCTTCACTGTGGGAGCCCGTTTCTGGGCTGGCCAAGGCCAGAGCTGGCTCCCTCAGCTTCCAGGGAGGTGTGGAGGGAGAGGCGCCAGCGGGAACTGGGGCTGCGCCTGCACTTGCAGGCCAACTGGAGTTCCAGGTGGGTGTGGGCTTGGCGGGCCCCACACTCGGAGCAGCTGGCTGGCCCTGCCGCCCCGGGCAATGAGGGGCTTAGCATCTGGGCCAGCGGCTGCGGAGGGTATACTGGGTCCCCCAGCAGTGCCGACCCACCGGCGCTGCGCTCGATGTCTCGCTGGGCCTTAGCTGCCTCCCTGTGGGGCAGGGCTTGGGACCTGCAGCCCACCATGCTTGAGCCTCCCCCACTCCGTGGGCTCCTGTGCCAGCCAGAGCCTCCCCGACCAGCGCCGCCTCCTGCTCCACAGCACCCAGTCCCATCGACCACCCAAGGGCTGAGGAGTGCGGACGCACAGCGCAGTACTGGCAGGCAGCTCCACCTGCGGCCCTGGTGCGTGATCCACTGGGTGAAGCCAGCGGGGCTCCTGAGTCTGGTGGGGACTCGCAGAACCTTTATGTCTAGCTAAGGGATTGTAAATGCACCAATCAGCACCCTGTGTCTAGCTCAGGGTTTGTGACTGCACCAATTGACACTCTGTAACTAGCTACTCTGGTGGGGACCTGGAGGACCTTTATGTCTAGCTAAGGGATTGTAAATACACCAGTCGGCACTCTGTATCTAGCTCAAGGTTTGTTAACATACCAATCAGCACCCTGTGTCTAGCTCAGGGTTTGTGAATGCACCTGTCGACACTCTGTATCTAGCTACTCTGGTGGTGACTTGGAGAACCTTTGCGTGGACACTCTATATCTAGCTAATCTAGTGGGGAGATGGAGAACCTTTGTGTCTAGCTCAGGGATTGTAAACGCACCAATCAACCCTGTCAAAACAGACCACTCGGCTTGCTGTAAAATGGACCAATCAGCAGGATGTGGGTGGGGCCAGATAACAGAATAAAAGCAGGCTGCCAGAGCCAGCAGTGGCAACCTGCTGGGGTCACCTTCCACACTGTGGAAGCTTTGTTCTTTCACTCTTTGCAATAAATCTTGCTGCTGCTCACTCATTGGGTCCACACTGCCTTTATGAGCTGTAACACTCACCACGAAGTTCTGTAGCTTCACTCCTGGAGCCAGTGAGACCACGAACCCACCGGGAGGAACAAACAACTCCAGATGCACTGCCTTAAGAGCTGTAACGCTCACTGCGAGGGTCCGCGGCTTCCTTCTTGAAGTCAGTGAGACCAAGAACCCACCAATTCCGGACACACTATCTCTGCATCTCTACATCTCTATCCTAACTTTCTAATCTTCTTTCCACCACTTTTGGGTAATGGTCTTCTGCTCCAGCTAAACCAATTCTTGATGGTCTCATTTCACCATGAAACTATCATCTGTATTTTCTTTCAAATTATCTGGAATCAATCCCCAACTCTCAAAGCCTGGAGCAGAGAGAAAAGAACACTGAATATGTTCATCATTTTGATTTTGAAACCAAAAGTTTATTAAAAGTGACAAAGAGGCTGAAGGAAATCCCTATAATGCTTTCTTTCATCATTTCCCAATGTGTGATCAGTACAAAGCTAGGCCTTCTGTATATATCCTTTATTATCCTGATAAGTTATTTTTATGCCCATTTTTAAGGACAAAAAACAGAAGTTTAGAGACATTAAGTAGTAAAGTTGTCTCTCAGTCTCCGTGGGGGGACTGGTTCCAGGACCCCCACGGATATCAAAATCCACACTAGCTGAATTACTTTACATAAAATGGTGTAGTGTATGGATATAACCTATGCACAGGTTTCCACCTATGCACATATTCCCATATATTTTAAACAACCTTTGATTACTTATGATACCTAATACATTACCTGTACATCACTTCATTCTCGTGGGTTCAACGTAGTTCAGTGCATGACAAATTTAAGTTTTGCTGTTTGATACTTTGTGGAATTTTTTTCCTATATATTTTTCACTCACAGTTGAGTTGAATCTATGGATATGAAATGCACAAATACAGAGGGGTAAATGTGTGTCCAGAGACACGAAACAGAACATTAAAAATACGGGATGAAAGCCAGGTTTGCTCAATCTCATGGTGCTGCGTCTTAGAGCAAATAGCATTCTCATGTTTCCTGGTCTCACTTTTCATTGCAAAAGAGTCTCCATTTTCAGAAGCAACCTGGCATTTTCATGAAAGCTACCCTGATGTGCTCTGTCCTCCCCAGTTGCCAAAACCTTTTTTCTCCAGGTTTTGTAAGCCTGAGAGCATTGACTTGTTAAATTACAAATAGCTACATAGGGAACCAGATTAATACACAGCAGCCAGATTCATACACAGAAGCATTTTAGTAATGAACTTGAGAAAAACTAAAAATTTTCAGGAACGTGCTGGAATGTCAGGCACTGTGACCAGATTCTTGGAAGGTATTTGGGGGCAAGGATATTTACTGGAAACCCATCAAAGGCAGAAAAAGCTGCTCTTTGAAATGTGTATAATCTGATCTTTTCTAGTGACAGAATGACAATTTACATCCAATGTTTGTGGTAGTACAAGAATTGCTTTATTTAGCAGAAAAGAGGGATATGGCTGGTAATGGTTGATGTCTCTGTGTTTAACATGTAGATTGAACAGGAAGGGTGAACTATTAGAAGTAGAAGGCAGACGGAAGGACACGACAATTGAATGAAGTGTCAGAAAGAAAATAAATGCACTAGATTTTCTTTTCACAGAGTAACATTTTCCTTTCCATGACAAGAGACAGAGGGACATGCTTATAGATGACAAAGCAATTTTCTTCAATTTACAGTACTTCTTTAGTGCAGGGCAGTCCAATAGAATATCTGTAATAATGGAACATTTTTATAGCTCAGCTGTCTAATAAAATACCCACTAGCTACATATGGCTATTAAGAACTTGAAATGTAGCAAGTGCTATTAAGGAGCTAATGCTTTTAAATTTTTAATTAATTTAAATTTAAATAGCATCATATTGGACAGTGCAGCAGGCAAAATAGGCATTGAAGCCATTTCTCCACCTTTCCTGCCAAATTTAATAAGATTAGTTTTGGTTACATTTTATTTTTTTCTAAGTATTATCAAGAATTTGAAGCTATATTGCTGGTAGTATAAGCTAGCTTACTCAGGTGAGAAGTCTAAAGTAAGTGATATGGATCAGCCTTTCAAGCCTTGATCCATACTGTGTGCTATCACAAATAATGTTATTGAAATAAAAGTAATTTCACAAATATGTATTAATAGTATCTATCCAAATATACAAATAAAAATCATTTATATAAAATAGCATGGGATGTTAACGAGTTAAAGTAAAAATTAGTTAAGATGATGATTCCCTTTGTGCCATAGAAGAATGAGCTATCTGGAAAAAACATCAGCCAGTGACTTGAACCTCCTTCCTTAGTGGTTACATATTGCGAGGAAAGGAGGAACAATAAAAAGAAGGAGAGAATATAATTCAGGCTTTTCAAACTCAAATATCTACAGGGCCTAGGCAAAATGTTAATATGGGATTTATGAATCCATGGTAAGTGTGCCCCTCTCTCCCCCAAACCCCCACCCCCACCACTCCAATGTATTCTAGTCTTCTGGTTACACCAGGGGACCATCTGCTCAGTCAATCTGCCCTCACTACCACTACCACTGCCCAAGTCCACCTGAGGTAGCCGTCTGGCCTCTTTCATGTATGTTTCAACACCACTGTACTAAATGATTTCTATAGTCATCTTTAGTCCTGGCACCCTTTGATTCTAAGATTACATATTCAATATCCTTGATGGAGGAAAAAGGAGTCCTGCTTGAGTCAAAATGCTAAATCTTGGAGTTTTGATGTATGAGGATAATTTTATAACTGCTATAACCATTTATGAATAGAGGCTTTAGAGGTTGTTATATGTGTTTTTTTCCTATGTAAAGTACTATTCACTGTTTATTTGCACACCAAGTTAGAATCTCTAAATTAGGGGAACTAACTAGTAGTATGTTTACCTTATTTATTTTGCATATTACCACAAAATATCTACCTACCTCCAGTCTAGGAACAAAATACGTGCTCCATAAATATTTAATAAGTGAATGCTACAGAGATTCCTATAATAAACACAATCAAACATATTTGTCTGCACAGTAAAGAGTTACTACTGAAAAACTTCTAAATCCTTTAACTGTGACAGTGTCTGACAGCATAGCGGTCATTTCATTTTGTACTTTTGTTCACTTTTAATGTCAGATCCAAAAAAACATGGCAATAGTTAAAGTCAGTGATGAGAATTTATACCTGCTGGTTATGAATCCTCAGAGAGTGGCATGGAATGTTTCACTTATCTTGGGCTTTATCTCACCCACAAACCTAACTCTGTCTCCTTCCCTCAACTCTCAAAACTTGGTAATTTTCAGCCATTAGTTTATGATACGTGCTGAGATGATTTCTTTCTGTTTATTCTGCTTAGGAACTATGAGATTTATGGATCTGTAGGTTTACAGTTTTCAACAAATATGGAAATTTTGTCTATTCTTTCTGTCCTCTGTTCTCCCTCTTTTTCATTCTGGGTCTCCAGTTACCTATATTATCCCACAGAGTATTGAAGCTTTGTTTCTGTTTTTTAGTTATTATTTTCTCTGTGCTTCATTTTAGATAGCTTCTGTTGCTATAGCTTTAAATCTACTGATCTTTTCTTCTGAAATAAATTACTTACCACTGTTAATTTTATCCAGTGAATTCCTCATTTCAGATATTTAATTTTCATCTCTAGAAGTTCCATTTGTTTCTCTTTTACATTTTCTATTTGTGTCTCATAATTTTTATGTTTTCTTTTATATCCTTGAGGATATGGAGCATATTCATAATAGATATTTTAAAGTTCTTGTCACCAATTTTATCATCTCATTCATTCCTAGGATTGTTTGTCTCTATTGAGTGACTTTTCCCAGTGCCAAACATTGTGAATTTTAATTTGCTGAGAGCCAGATTTTGTTGAATCCCTTTAAAGATTGTTAAGCTTTGGCCACATTTTAGAACTTTGGTCTTTTGAAGCTTCTTTCTAAGTTATTTTAGGAAAGGTCTAGAATAAAACTTACTCTGGGCTACTTTGGCTCCATTTCTAAGATATGGGCCCTTCTGTGAAATTTACTGGATGTTTTTTGTATTCAATAAGGCATCTCTACTCTGGCTAATCGGAATTCAAAAAACTACCAGTTCTGTGCGAGTTCTGTGAAGTGTTCATCTTACATAATTTTTCTCTTCCTGGAAGATATTTCTAGTTTTGACTCATGGGACTTCACAGTACTCATGCATATTTGGTGTTCAGCCAAAGAATTATAAGGATCTCTAGCCAGATTTTGGAAGTCTTTCTCCACTTAGTTCCTTTATCTCAGGTACTTTGCCCCACAAATTCTAACTGCTGCAGCCTCCCAAATTGGGATATTTGTCCCCCCAGTTCAATGAGATTCCCAGGCTTATTCTGGTTTCCTCATTCCTTTGCTGCAGCTTGAAAAGTACCTTCAAACAAAATGCTCCTCATTTGTTTCTTTTTTCAGAGACCATTATCTGCACTGCCTATGGTCCAGGGTCCGTCTTTCGTTTTTTCCTTCCAACTTTTATTTTAGGTTCAAGGGGTACATGTGCAGGTTTGTTACATGGGAGAATTATGTGTTGCTGGGGTTTGGTGTACAAATGATTTAATCACCCAGATACTAAGCATAGTCTCCAACAAGTAGTTTTTTAGTCCTGACCCTTCTCCCACCTTCTACCCTCAAGTAAGCTCCGGTGTCTGTTGGTCCCCTCTTATAAGTTTCCAACTTACAAGTGAGAACGTGCGGTATTTTGTTCCCTTTCCCTGCATTAATTGACTTAGGTTGATGGCATCCAGCTGCATCCATGTTGCTGCAAAGGACATAATTTGATTCTGTTTTATGGCTGCATAGTATTCCATGGTGTATTGTACTGCATTTTCTTTTCTTTTCTTTTTCTTTTTTTTTTTTTTTTTTTTTTTTTTGAGATGGAGTCTCGCTCTGTTGCCCAGGCTGGAGTGCAGTGGCACGATCTGGGCTCACTGCAAGCTCCGCCTCCTGGGTTCACGCCATTCTCCTGCCTCAGCCTCCTGAGTAGCTGGGACCACAGGCGCCCGCCACCACGCCTGGCTAATTTTTTTTGGTATTTTTAGTAGAGACGGGGTTTCGCAGTGCTAGCCAGGATGGTCTCGATCTCCTGCCCTCGTGATCCGCCCGCCTCCGCCTCCCAAAGTGCTGGGATTACAGGCATGAGCCACCGCGCCCGGCCTGTACTGCATTTTCTTTATCCAGTATACCATTGATGGCCATCTAGACTGATTCCATGTTTTTGCTATTGTAAAATGTGCTGCAGTGAACATACATGTGCATATGTCTTTATGGTAAAACGATTTATATTCCTTTAGGTATATAACCAGTAATGGGATTGCTGGGTTGGAAAGGTAGTTCTGTTTTAAGTTCTTTGAGGACTCTCCAAACTGCTTTCCACTGTGGCTGAACTAATCCAGTTTCTAAAAATAAATATTTTCTATATTTACTCAGTTTTCTAGTTGTTTATGGGTGAAAGTTAATTCTACACTCTGTCACTCCCCCAGGGCCAGAAGCAGAAGTCTCCTGGTTTTCAAGCATGACTTCCTATTGTGCTTATGGTTTCACTTCAGTTGCTTTTAACACACAAGATCCTGTCTTACCACTGTACTTATATGTATACAAAATTAAAACATTCCTGAATAAGTGATTGTTTTTGCTTAGGTTATTGCTTTTCCTATTCTCAAGAGAATCTAAAATATTTTTTGATCTAGATTTTTGACTGGAATATCAAACCACTTTTGAGACAAGAGGCTTTTGTATTTGAGATGGAGAATCAGGTGGAGACAGAATTAGAACTGTTCACTCACAGTTCCAATTATTAGTGGTGGTATCTGCAGATTCAGGCTGCCATAAGAATAACTCAAATCTCAGTGAGAATGAAAGTATGATATTATATAGATTTTTATTATAATTAGTTAATTATAAGATAAGAGAGAAAATTTTCTCTTGTTGGTTGCTTTCTCTTCTAGGTGTTATCTATTACTCTGTTTTCGGTGAAACCCAGGATTATGTGACAGAAAGTTTTTGTATGAAAACTCCTTGAAAATCAGTTTTAAATGTAGCTACAAAGTTAGGCAGTTACTACCATTCCAAATTAGGAAGAAGATGTAGCTGCAGATCTAGTTAGGCAGAAATTATCACTTTTTTTACCTTTGAAGATGAGAAATATAGAACTATTACCAAAATTGATCTTAATGTAATAATCATCATGAAGCATTAGTGAACATATAAGTTAATAGCTTTGTTCCATTTGAATCAGAAAATTCACAGATTCTATGTAGTGCCAATGGTGCCAAGATTATATTATATCATTGTTTTAAAATTATTATTCATATCTCTATAATACAATTCAACCGGAAAAAAATGATTATTTTTTTAGAGTCAGGGTCTTGTTCTGTCACCCAAACCGGAGTGCAATAGCACAATCAAAGCTCAATGCAGTCTCAAACTCCTGGCCTCAAGTGATCCTCCCACCTCAGTCTCCCAAGTAGCTGGAATTACAGGCGCACGCCACCAAGCTAGGTTAAATTTTTTTATTTTTATTTTAGTAGAAATGGGGCTTTACTATGTTGCCCAGGCTGGAAAAAAAAAATGATTTTTATGTGCAGAATTAAGATGCTGTGTGCCCTAGAGGAAGAAGAATGCCCAAGTGATTTTTGGTGTTGACCTAAACCTTTATTCAAGAACACTCACCGTTTAATAATAATGTTTTACTGTATACATTTGTAAGTACATAAACCACATTTTAAAAAATGCTCATCTATTCCTAAAAATCATCCTAAGTAAAGTTACTAATTGAGTCAGGTAAACAGCAAAGACCTTTTTGTGACATATTTCAGAGTGAAATACCCATGACTTTTAACTTTAAACATTTAGCAGCATAAACAGTGGTAAGTTTGTCTTAGACCATTTGGAAAATTGCCTGGAAAGAGTTTGGGTCTTAGAAAGAATTTTGCTTCAACGTGAGATCTGTGAATTGGAGAGCTGTGAAACACTGTGCAGAGAGGCACCAACACTTTCCCGCCCCCTTTATAGTTAGTTGTAGGACTTCCTTGTAACAATACCCCTTTTGAAAACACTTTTACAATAGATGATAATGCATTGATTTAGTCACATTTCTAGTCTTTTGTAGTACAGTTAAAGATTGTATTGTTTTCTTGACCAAGCTAAAATAAAACAGATGCAAGTAAATCAGACAAAGATGTGAATTTGGCATATGAGTGGACACGGTAGAATTAATATTTATTCCTTATTGTTCAGTTAAGCAGTGTTAAACATATTCAGTTAATATGAACAAGGGGGTAATGCTTTCATAGTAAAAACTGCTAAATTTTGTAAATTTTGAAATTTAATAACTTAAACATTTGAAAAAGAGAGTAATGGGCAGAAACATGATACTAAAATCTGGAACATCTACTAAAGAGTAGAATAGTTCATACACTGAATCACTCATTCAACAAATACCTGTGAATGCTCTGTGTGTGTGTGTGTGTGTGTGTGTGTGTGTGTGTGTAATTATAAATATTTTTGTGCTAAGTGATATGGGGAATGCAAATTATATTAGGTCAAAGTACAGCCATCACCAGTCTAATATTCACTGTGATGGGAAAATAAGACACTATTAGTGCACAACAAAGTGGAATTTATTTATTTATTTATTTTTAAATTTGTACAGATTCAGGAGGTACATGTGCACGTTTGTTACTTGGATATATTTTGCAGTGGTGGACTTTGGGCTCAGTCTCCTGCCTTTTGGAGTTGGAAGTGTTTAAATGTTAAACTCTTCTGGAAACATCCTCACAGACAGACCCTGAAATAATGTTTTACCAGCTATCTGAGCATCCCTTAGCCCACTCAAGTTGACACAGAAAATTAACCATCACAAATGTTTTCAAAGGAGAAAAAACTAAGTTTTAGCTGAAGAAAGACAAAAAGACGAAATTGGTGCTTAGGTCTATGGATTGTGATGATCTCGCTTTGCAAAAACATCTGGATATACTATGAGATCATGCTGGAAGATCCTCAGATTAGTTCTCAAGAATCTATGAGAGTTTAAATAGGAAGCAAATACTATTTTCATTTTAAGAAGGTATTTATTTTTCTTTTTAAAAAATATATTCTGGATAAATTTTTTAATATTGATGTCATAACCAAAATTTTACCAGGGTATATCATATTCTGTCAGTTGTGCTTTTATTTTTAACTAGATACTAAAATGTGAGTAAACAAAATCTCAACTAAAGTTGATTTCTTCAGTTTTTTTTTCTATTTCAAAACAATTTTAAATGGAAAATTATGATAAATTTAGAGATATAATAATGTTAATAAAATTACCCAATATAAAGCCAGGTGCAGTGGCTCACGCCTGTAATCCCAGCACTTTGGGAGGCCGAAGCGGGTGGATTACTTGAAGTCAGGAGTTTGAGAACACCCTGGCCAAGATGGCAAAACTCCGTCTCTAGTAAAAATACAAAAATTAGCTTGGCGTGGTGGCACATGCCTTAATCCCAGCTACTCAGGAGGCTGAGGCAGGAGATCATTTGAACCCAGTAGGCAGAGGTTGCAGCGAGCCGAGATTGTGCCACTGCACTCCAGCCTGGGCGATGGAGTGAGACTCTGTCTCAAAAAACAACAACAACAACAATATAAATAAACCAATAAAGGAATACGGGATGTCAAATTATTTATTCATAAAATAATTGATTAATATTTGCAATAAAGGCAGGAAATCATTTAAGGAATATATCTTGATTTGTTTTACTAACTGATGGAGAATGTTCTTTCTTATTATCTTTTCCAAACAATACTTTATGTCACCATGGAGAAAGAGCATGATTCACCAACAATTCAGTACGGTTTTTTCAGGTTCTCTGTGTAATAGTTTTAGACCTTTTCAATTAAAACAGTTGAAATTCTTGCATGTAAAGTATGCTTTAAAATATTTCTCTTTCTCAATCTTGCTACCTAATAGCAAATGTAACTTTATAAGATATAATTGTAATCAATGCTCACCAATCAGGAATTGTTAATTTTTCCAATTTGCTATATATGCTGAAGAACGAGGGAATTTAGTCTTTTGAATGAAAAAAATTGCTTTCTTAAGAAGTCAGAGTAGATGATATTCTGTTTACTACGTGAATAATACGTATACAAATATGATAAAATAACATGATAAATATGACAAGTATTTCATAAATAATATGAAAATTGTGATAAAATAATATAATATAAAATATAAAATATGTGTGGTAAATGATAGATCATATGTACAAATTGTCTATAGTTTTGAAAGGTGTTTATTATATTTGACTTTTATAAATTTTTATTTTTTTCAATAATATGCTATGAATTTGAAATGAATAAGCCTCTTTGTATGTGCCAATCATGTATGTAACTATCATTTCTAAAGTGGAAATAATTTGGGTTTCTAGTTATATTTAAGGAGTTTTTACAAAATTTTGAAAGAATCCCCAAGTGTTTTCCTGAACTTTATCGAGAAACAGTAATCCAAAGTTAATTACGTGCAAGGCAAAGAACTATGTTCCAGTTTACATGCGATCAAATAATCAATAACTTAGAGGTGATTTATTTTAAATCCCCTCATTTTACAAATGTAAAGCTAAAGTCAAGAAAGGTTTGGTAATTTTTTTTTTGTATTTAAAAGTTTAAACCTATAGAAGAGTTGAAGTAATAGTATAATGAACAACCATATAATCTTCACTGTTTGATAACATTTTGACAAATTTCTTTGTTCTCTTTTCCTCACACACACACGTGCATATATATGTATGTTGAATTTTTTGCTTAATTACTTGCTGTTAAACATCATGATACTTTACCTCTAAATGTTTTAAAATATACCTGCTAAGTAGGACATTCTCCTACAAAAGCACATTACTATTATTACCTCCAAAATTACTTAGTGCAATTCAGTTATAACATCTAATGTATCATTCATGTTCAGATTTTTGTCTCCAACATGTCTTTTATGTTTTTCTCTTTATACTGGGTTTCAATCAAAGTTCATTCATTACACTTGGTTAAGAATCATTGGAATATTTTAATTTAAAACAATTCCTATGCTTTTTAGTTTTTGTTTTTAATGATACTGAATTTTGTGAGAGTCCAAGCCAGTTGTCTTATACAATGCCCCCATTTGGATTTGCTTGATTGTTTCTTTATGATCAGATGCAAATTAACATTTTTGGCACAAATATTAGGCCATTAGTTGACACTAGATAGTTCTTATTGCATCAGTGAGGAATCACATAAAGTTATATTGTCTTACTTTTGGTGATCCTAAATTATATCACTCAATTAATGGAGTGATCTCAAGATCTCTTCATTATAAGGTCTATTTTCCCTTTGTAATTTAAAAAAGTTATCTGTGATATGATATTTTTAGACTGTGTGAATATTCTGTTCTCTAATAAACTTTCACCAATTGGTTTGCAAATCTCTGATATTCTTGTCTAAGTTACATATTACTTTGGGGGTTGTATAATGATGATGTTTTAACTCTATAATTCTATATTTATTGTTAACATTCCTCTCTATGAAAGACAACTCCTTTTTTTCAGGCATCTTTATTTCCTTGTCCTTTCCCATAGTTGTCAAGGATCACTTCAGCACAACTGTCTTCTTTCTAGAAAGCCTCGTCTCACTCCTCACCTTTAATATGGCAAATGCTCTAGTCTTCATCCATGCACCAACATCTACCATCCTGGCCATTTCAGACATGCCTTGTCTCACTCCTCACCTTTAATATGGCAAATGCTCTAGTCTTCATCCATGCACCAACATCTACCATCCTGGCCATTTCAGACATGCCTTGAAAGCCACTCAGTCCCATTGGCTCTGAAGGGCTCTCATGGCTTCATGGCTCCCAGGTCCTCGTGGCTCTGAAGGACTGAGGAATGACTGGACGCGAGAGGTCCAGAAGAAAGGGTTTTGACTCAACCAAGACACAGTTTAATGAAACCGAAGTTTGGGTAGTAGGATTAAGGCTGACGGACAGATTATTTATTTACACTTTTAGTGAACAATTTCAAAAATAAGAAAAGCAGTAAAATAGTAAAATAAACCCTCAAATACCCATCATTCAATTTCGACAACTTTTAATATTTTGCCAATTTTATTGGATCTATTTTTCACTCTATTTTTTGTTGTCTAATGAAAATCCTATGCATGATGTCTTTCTATTCTTATATATGTCAGTATTTATTAAACTGATAGGGTTTGTGTTATGCAGAATTCCAAGATCGTCCCCCTAGATTCCTGGACCCTAGAGTACACACATTTTATCCCAGTCATTCAGTCAAACAGTAATGTAGGCACTGCTCTAAAGAATTTTGCAAAAGTAATTAAGAACCTCAATCAATTGACCTTAACATAGGAAGATAATCTGGGTGGGCCTGGCCTAATCATATGAGCCCTTTAAATCTCAGTCTAGAGGTCAGAGACAGAGGAAGTCAGAGATTTAATACATGAGGGGGATTCAACATGCAAGACATTCTCCATTACTATGAATAGCTTGAAGATAGAGGGAGCCAAGTGGCAAAGAATGAATCCTCTAGGAGCTGAGAGTCGCTCTGGTCAACAGCAAGTAACAAAATGAGAACTTCAGTCCTAAAAGCATAGAGAACTGAATTTTGTCCACACCCTATATGAAATTGGACCCTAATCCTCAGATAGGAGTAGCAACCCCTAATGTTGCCTTGTTTTCAGCAGTTTAAGATCCTGATAAGAGAACTCAGCCAAGATTCCTGATCCATAGAAAGTGGAGATAATAAATTTGAATTTTTTCAAGTTCCTAAATTTATGGTATTTTCAAAACTATAGAAAACTAACAGAATTATAATAAAACTATATATTTGTGTATATAAAATAAAATAAAACTGTAGCAAACTAATTTTTAAGAAATATCACCACCATACCATCATCACACCTAACAAAATTAACAATCATTACTGGGGAAAAGACAGTCTTTTCAATAAATGGTACTGGGAAAACTGGATATCCATATGCAGAGAATGAAACTAGACCCCGTATCTCTTGCCACATACAAAAATCAAATCAAAGTGGATTAAAGACTTAAATCTAGGATGTCAAACTGTGAAACTACAAGAAAACATTGGGGAAACACTACAGGACATTGGTCTGAGCAAAGATTTATTGAGCAATACTCCACAAGCACAGGCAATCAGAGCAAAAATGGACAAATGAGATCACCTCAAGTGTAAAAGCTGCACAGCAAAGGATACAATCAACAAAATGAAGAGAAAACCCACAGAATGGGAGGAAATATTTGCAAACTACCCATCTGACAATGGATAAATAACCAGAATATATAAGGAGCTCAAACAACCCCATAGGAAAAAATCTGATTACCTGATCAAAAAATAGTCAAAAGATTTGAATAGACATTTCTCAAAAGAAGACATAGATTGATGGGCATTTGGGTTGGTTCCAAGTCTATGCGGCACATATACACCATGGAATACTCTGCAGCCATCAGAAAGGATGAGTTCATGTCCTTTGCAGGGACATGGATGAAGCTGGAAATCATTCTCAGCAAACTAACACAGGAACAGAAAACCAAAACCACGTCTTCACTCATAAGTGGGAGTTGAACAATGAGAACACACGGACACAGGAAGGGGAACATCACACACTGGGGCCTGTCAGGGAGTTGGGGGGTTAGGGGAGGGATAGCATTAGGAGAAATACCTAATGTAGATTACGGGTTGATGGGTGCAGCAAACCACCACGGCATGTGTATACCTATGTAACAAACCTGCATATTCTGCACATGTATCCCAGAACTTAAAGGAAAAAAAAAAAAGCTGAGATACAACCTTGGAAAAAGAAAAGAAGACATACAAATGGCAAATAGACATATGAAAAGGTGTTCAACATCATTGATCATCAGAGAAATGCAAATCAAAACCACAATGAAATATTATCTCAGTCCAGTTAAAATGGCTTACATACAAAAGACAGGCAATAACAAATGCTCCAGAGGATGCAAAGAAAAGGGAACCCTTGTACACTGTTGGTGGAAATGTAATTAGCACAACCACTATGGGGAACAGTGTGGAAGTTGAGCTAAAAATTGAGCTACAATATGATCCAGCAATCCCACTGCTGGGTATATACCCCAAAGAAAGGAAATCAGTATATCAAAGAGATATCTGCACTCCCGTATTTGTTGCAGCACTGTGTACGATAGCTAAACTTTGGAAGCACGTAAGTGTCCATCAGCAGATGAATGGATAAAGAAAATGTGGTGCATATACACAATAGAGTATTATTCAGCCATAAAAAAGAAAGAGATCATTCAATTAATGGAGTGATGTCAAGATCTCTTCATTATAAAGGTCTATTTTCTCTTTCTAATTTAAAAAAGTTATCTCTAATATGATATTTTAAAACTGTGTGAATATTCTGTTCTCTAATAAACTTTCACTAATTGGTTTGCAAATCTCTGATATTCTTGTCTAAGTTACATATTACTTTGGGGGTTGCATAATGATGATGTTTTAACTCTGTAATTCTATATTTATTGTTAACATTCCTCTCTATGAAATACAGCTCCTCTTTTTCAGGCATCTTTATTTCCTTGTCCTTTCCCATCATTATGTTCCTTCCCATCATAACATTATCTTAACATTATGTTAAGTAAATAAGCCAGACATAGAAAGACAAACATCACATGTTCTCACTTATTTGTGGGATCTAAAAACCAAAACAATTGAACTTACGGAAATAGTGAATAGGATTGTTCCAGGGGCAGGGAATCATAGTAAAGGGCTGGAGGGGAAGTGGGGATGGTTAATGGGTACCAAAAAAATAGAAAGAATGAATAAGACCTGCTGTTTGATACCACAATAGGGTTACTGTAGTCAATAATAACTTAATTGTACATTTTAAAATAACTTAAAGAGTGTAATTGGATTGTTTGTAACTCATAGGATAAATGCTTGAGAAGATACATACCCCATTCTCCACTGTGTGCTTATTTCACATTGCATGTTTGTATCAAAACATCTCATATAACCCATAAATATATATACCTACTGTATACCCACAAAATTTTTAAAATAATTTAACAAAAAAATGAGAAAACAATCATTGCTTACTATGTTTGATCTTTGAGGGTTTTTAAAAGACATAATAATCATGGCTGCTGTTTTATTTGTTAAGTAGGCTTTTATGAACCTGTCAGGAAAGTTAACAACATCATATAACCTTACAATTATGAGAGAGCAAATTCAAACAACTAACATGCAAATAAACTTTTGGATCGCATCCCAAAAAAACTTGGAGTCTGTCTGTATTTCTCAAATTAATTAGTTGAAGAGTTGTAATCAAATGACTGTGGAGACCAAATTACTTAGAACATGTTAAATCATGTCATAGTTAACGTCTCCTCTTTGATGAGTCTCTGCCATTTTAAATAATTCCAATGAGTCACTTATTCTAAAAGTTGAGTATGTATCATTTGCATTGCATATTACTTATTCTCACAAAGGTGTTTTCCCTTTCCAGTCCCTTTTATAATATTCCCAGTGCAACCACCTCTCTTCTTGCACTTCAAGGTTTGGTTTTGTAAATAAACTATATAAGGAATAAAATACTGAATGATGATGTACCCAAGAGTTAATGATTTTTCATTCTGAGATGTTAGTTATATCACTTTCTGAACTTAACTCTATTTAGAATTTTGTTTCCAAATTAAAAACAAGCTGGTCATTTTCTAAATATTCTGCAGCTTCTGACATCAATTCCTTAGTGAGTTTTGATTTCTTGATGATTCTCAGTACCATGTTCACTGGATATTTGTCTGAGATTTTGATTATGTATCTCCCTGAAATCTTCATTTTCCAAACTAACTTTCTTAAGTACTATAGCTCCTTCCCTAATGACCTCCTCCAGATCTTATCCCTTTTTAGAAACTTTCCCAGGTTTTATGGAAAGAAATTACTGATGCATTTCACTCACTTTTAGTATAAGAACCACTAATACATACCTCCTGAAGTCACATAATTACTGATTTCCAAGCTTGTTTCTTGCAAGTTGTGGCCTATTCTGGTTTGGAGCAAATATTTTGCGTGTTTTTGTTGATAATTATAGAAACTATAGCAGTAGAAATTGCTTTGAACGTGGAGCAATCAGCATAGCCACAAGCATAGCTTGCTGCTAAAAGATTTAAATCAGTAGTTTACATTTGCAGGTCACAGTTTTCACAAAAGTTCTTCAAATCATACATCCAAATCATTCAGTAGCCTGGCTATGTAAGTTTTCAAAGGATATGTGTAACTGTTGTTCAAAAATATGCAAGTGATGCTGTGAATAATAATTTTATATGTCACTAAAATATAGTAGCTTTGTCATTAGCATATTTCCTGTCTGTAAGTAATAGAAATAGAAAGGTGGTTATATAGGATTTTGTTGTATTTTTATGTAATCCTACTTTTGAAAAATAATCTCTCTCTAATCTGTATCTACAGAAGATAGATAATAGAAAGATATAGTCATGCATCTTTTAATGGTGGAGATACCATCTGAGAAATGCATTGTTAGATGTTTTGTCTTGTGTGAGCATCAGAGAGTGTACTTACACAAACCTAGACAGTATAGCCTACTACACACTTAGGCTATACGGTATAACCTATTGCTCCTAGGCTACAAACTTGTACAGCATGTTACTGTACTGGATACTGTAGGCAATTGTAACATGAGCTAAACATTTGTGTATCTAAATATGTGTAAACATGGAAAAGGTACAGTGAAAATACAGTATTTTAATCTCACCGGAACACCATTGTATATGTGGTCCATTATTGTTATGTGATGCGTTTATATACACCTACATGTGAATCTGGAAGGATGTACATCAAAATTGAATAGTAATAATCCCCAGCTGATTGTAATAAAGAATGATTTTTATTTTCCTTCTCACAGTTTTTTTATTTTCTAAACTTTTATGATGATCATATATTGCTTCTACAACTCCCATCCACCAAAAAACTATATCTATAGTGTACGTATATATATATATATATACACACACACACATATATTTGTGTATGTATATCTCCAGAAAAAGTATTTTCAAAAAGCAAAAGTTTATCATGTCCTGACCTTCAAGAAACCTTTAAAACTACTGATTTACTTAAGAACACAAAATAAGGTCTTAGTTTCCCTAGTGTGTGCCAAGTATTTGAGCTTTGATATTTTTGTGAGTTTTTAGTCACTGTGAACATGTGAAGCTTTCTAAAAGCTATGTAACTGCTGGTAGTTGGCTTTTGGGAAGAACAGATACATTAAGGTCCAATTTCTAAATGTTTTATTATAAAACAGTACCTTGAAAAGCTCTTCAGTATGATTATCGAGGGCTCAGTCTGTAGTGACCACATGGGTATCTATACTTGCCATCAACTGTCAGAACTAGTCTTCAATGTCAAAAAGAGTTATTTCTATTGATACAGACCACTACCTCCAAAAACCAGAGATTAAATTCTTCCTAAGAAATACCACTTCTCTTATTGATGATTAACAGTTCCACAAACTGTGGATTCCACATTTTCAAATACGTATCTCATCATAACTACAAAGAAAAAGCAAATAAATGAAGCCAATGTATCATTTTATGAGACCTCCCAACACTAATTGCTCCATTGTTCCCTGGCGCCCTTGTTATAAAAGTGGCTGCAACTATCTCATTTGCTGAGGCCACCACTGATGGCTGTTGCATTACCTTCTCCATGGCTAGACATAGCCAGTACCCAGCAACTTCCCTCTTGGGACTTTTTTCTGACCTGCCCCCCATTTAGAAACATATTCTTCTCTTGTACTGGTTTCATGCTGTTGAAGGAAAACATATCCTTTTTTTGTTTCACTATAGAAATAATAAACATAGCCCTCATCCACTTGGCAGAAACAAAAAAATGTTTACCTAACTATATAAAATGCCTCTGCTCAGGAATTTGAAATGTTCTTACAGAAAAGGGTGTTTCTCACAAAAAAAGTTTTTTGTTTATGTAATCCATTTGCTAGGACATGAAGACTCTTGGAACTTACAATATCATTTGATTAAAATTGTAATGAATGTCCCAGGTAAGAAGTATTATATCTTTAAATAATTTCACATTTATAAAAAAATAGAAAGAAAATGGAGTGTTGATCAGAAAATTTTAATTTAAAAAGTTATTAAAAGATGTTAAATAGATTAAAAATGGAAGACTATTTTTAAAGAATTCTATTTTATATTATTTATCCAAGAAGATTAGAAAGACTATTATTTGTATTTTATAATTCACTAGTTACATTAAACAATTTTTTTTTCAGTACCTAATATGCCAAAGAACTGAGTTGAGACAACAACAAAATGAAGCATACTTTCCTCCTTTGGAGCAGAGAGTAGATAGTATATTTTCCTGATTCTAAGACTTTGTGTTCCTGTTTGAACATGTCTCAAACCAGGATTGGTCTTTTAGTTAATGAATACATTTGAAAGAGTATTATTAATCATTCATGCATCTTACATTTGACTCCAGTCTTCTACTGTCCCTGATGATCTAGAAGCAGAAATCAGAAAGCCAATGCCACTTCATGCTATGGGGATGTTCCAAATCCTATCAGGGACAAAAGAATGGGTGAGCTAGGTCTTGAGAGAATCCTGCTCTGCATGAGTTATTTCTATGGCTGCTGCATTCTAAATGACTAAGCATTTCTGACCCTGAAGAACCTGGCATGTGTCCTTATGACCCCACGTGAGAGGATTATAGAGAAAGGCATTAATTTGACTGGGATATCAGGAAAGATTTAAAGATACTGGAGCTGTCAGATTATTTTTATAAAAGCATTGTTTTGCTTCCATTATTTCTTTGTTCAAAAAATATCAAATATCCAGCCTGAGCAACATAGTGAGACCCCTATCTCAACAAATAAATAAACAAATAAATAAATAAGCCTGGCATGATGTTGCATGCTTGTAGTCCCAGCTACTTGGGAGGCAGAGGCAAGAGGATTGCTTGAGCCTGAGAGGTTGAGGCTACAGTGAGCAATGATCATGCCACTGAGAACTGAATTTTTAATTATATTTAATTTTAATCAATTAAATTTAAATTTAAAAAGGGAAACTGATTTTCTATATTGCTGCATATTTGAATGATAACATTGTTTATATATTGGGTTAAATAAAATATTTTATTAAAATTTATTTCACCTCTTTCTCTTTAAGGTAGAGACTACAATATTTTTAATGATACATATGGTTTGCATTATGTTTTTCTTAGACAATGCTAGTCTAAGGACAATAAAAAAGCCTGCTTTTCTTGACATTCTACACTTCAAATAAAACATTCCCTTTCCTCCAGATTTCCTCCCTGTTATAAAAGACTTTTGGTTGCAAGTGACAGAAGTTTAATTCAAACTGGTTATAGAAAAAAGAAAGAATTTATTGGCTTAGTTAATGAAAACAAGCTGAAGAGGGATTCAGGCATAGTTGGAGTCACAGACTCTGATGATGTCATCAGAACCCTCTTCCTCTTCTCACTTTCCCTCAGGTCTGCTTTCCTCTCTGTTGGCTTCATTCTTTTACTGGTTTTCTCCTCACAGTAGTCCCCAGTTTTAGGCTTATATAATTCTTACAGCTAGCCAATCCCAGCAAAAGCAGAACTTAAAATTTCCATAAGTAAGTCTTATTGGCTGGCTTGAATTACACGCTCCTCTTTGAACCAATCACTGTGTCAAAGGAAAACAATTAAACTTATTTCCCAGACATTGGTCATATGCTTACACCAATGTTGGTGTAGGAGGAAATTGATGCCACTCACCTCACATGCAGTGATACCAAAGAAGGGCCTGTTCCTCAGAGGAAAATCGTGACAACTTGTCACCAGAAGAAAGAGAATCATTAATGGGTAGGAAAAAACACAGACACCCAAAAAAGCTGATTGTTCACACTAGAAGTTTTTTCTTCTTCTTCTTCGGAAGACATATAAGACGCCTGGTCAACATAATGAAACCCCATCTCTACTAAAATACAAAAATTAACCAGGCGTGGT
This sequence comes from Homo sapiens, assembly GCF_000001405.40. Classification (NCBI taxonomy): domain Eukaryota; kingdom Metazoa; phylum Chordata; class Mammalia; order Primates; family Hominidae; genus Homo; species Homo sapiens. The sequence continues at coordinate 152,237,465 of NC_000003.12, forward strand.
GGTGGGCGCCTGTAATCCCAGCTACTCGGGAGGCTGAGGCAGGAAGATCGCTTGAACCCAGGAGGTGGAGGTTGCAGTTAGCCAAGGTCGCGCCATTGCACTCTAGCCTAGGCTACAAGAGTGAAACTCAATCTCAAAAAAAAAAAAAAAAAAAAAAAAGACACTGTTCCTTACAACACCCTCCATTTTCTGAAGCCCCTTTCTCTCTGGCTTCATCTGTTGTGCTCCTTCACCACCCCATTCCCAACCCTTCCAGTTTATGCCTCCCAAATAGGATACTACATGTAGCTCCGTGAATATGATTCTGTTTCTCTGACTTTCATGCCTTTTCCAATTTGTCCCCTCCCCTTTCAAACACCCATGAAGTCCTACTCATCCTCAAGTGTCAATTCAATCATTACACTTTCTGAGCCAATTCTTGATTTGGCTAGCCTAGGACATGTTCTGTAACTCTCCTTTGCGTTTCCCCTGAAACGGTACACCTTCTAGCAGATCAGTTTCCAATTCAAGTGTATAATTTAATTGTATGACGGGACTAATGTATATTTTTTTTAACCTTGCTTTTCCCCCTTTAGAACCTTGCTTTCTTGCTCAGGCTGGACCTGAACTCCTGGGTTCAAGTGATCCCCCTGCTTCAGCTTCCCGAGTAGCTAGGACTACAGGTACACACCACTGTGCCCAGCGAGGGCTAATGTAAATCTTGAGCAATGTCTGCTTGAAGTGGTATATTTTAAATGATCGATTTCATATAGTTTAATGAAGGGAGTATTTAGAGGTGTTGCCATGATTAGTAGTAAATGAGGTATGGCAGAGATGAGCAATGGTGGAAATTGCTAATTGGATTACCACCCCTAGACCTGAAAGGCAAGGAAGAATCATGATATTGGAACCTAGTAATAGCTAATAGCTGAGACTGAGAAAGACAGAGAGTAGCTGTGGCTGTAGGTGGAGGGATACAGACACTTCCAAAACCATGCCCTGGCAGCATAAAGGAGATACAAATAAGCACTCCAAATTCTCTCTTCTCTATATCATGCTGATCCATCCATTAGCCAAAGTTAGCTGGAATTTATTTGTATTCCCAGTCCCTATCATAACTCCCTACATATAGCAGATACAAAGTATTGAATGAATGACTCTCCATAAATCTCCTATATTCCTAGTTTTTTAAAGTTCATTTTTCTTAGTAAACACAATCAATGTAATATAAATGTACAACTAGATGTGATTTGTTAACCTTTGCTATGTTTTCAAATAAATATATTCAAAAATTAGAAGAATATTTTTGTCCAACTATTCATTCACAAATTAGGTTTGAAAATGCTCATCACCATCGTTCTCAGGAAACACGGTCTTCTTGGCCCTGTACCTATGATATTCAATTAATCCTCACAGTACCCCAGTGGAGTTAGTATTATCATCCACTTTTATATGTAAGGAAACTAAGGGTCAGAGATACTTGAAAATAATCAGACTATGCTATCCTCTTCAATTCTTTAACTGCATGTTAAAGAATTTAAATATTTAAATTTATGTTAAGATAAATATAAATATAAATGTTAACATAAATATTTATTTATTTATGTTAAAGAATGTTAAAATATTTAAGCCATTCTCTTAATAAGTAAAAAACAAAATCAGTGAACCAGAAATATTTCTGTCACCACTGAGCTATGAAAAGAGCAGTTGAAATATTGCTACTTCAGTAGTTTTAAAGTGGCCATGAAAATATACCTTGAGAAAGAAATAGTGGTTAAAACCATAAATATATTTATTTTATTTTACTTGAAATCTGTTTCCAGGGACATATGCACAGATGCTTATTTTCTTCTATGTGATAGGCGCATAATAGCAAAATTTACAAAAAAAGAAGAAAAAGAAGAAGAAAGCCGATTTAGGATTAAAATGGTAAATGCAAATGAAAATAATGGGAAATACGAAAACTTTAATATTTTTCTAATCTGCATGGTTTTTGAAATTTCTTTGGAAGGGTATTTTGAAAGTTCTAAATGCAAAATGTGATTATTACTATATTGTTACCTTTATCAAAATATCCTTTCATAAGAAAATAGTGCCCGAATTGTATTTAAAAAGAAGGTATTTTTGTGTATTAGATATATTAATCATAAACTATTTTTAATGCAATATATGATGTAACATGTTCATATATATTATAAACTCCTAACACATGTTTAAATGTATTTTTTCTTGCAATTATGTACTGCTTGGCACATAGAAGAAACTAACAATGTGTTGACTGAGTTTATTCCAAATGCTAGTAATAACTCAATAGCAATAAGCACTACTAAGGTTTAGATGGTGATCTCAAAAATCCCTGTCTACCAAAAGCAACGAAGGTTCTTTAGAGAAATGGGTGATTTCAGTTCTGGGGCAAGAAATACACAAAATGAACCTGGCTATCTTGTGCCAGAAATCAAAGACATTATCAGAGAATATTAGGGTCATCTCAAGAGGTTACCATAGCCAGCATGAAAAGCCCTAAAATGGAGGATGGGGAGAATGGACCATCACCAAAAAAGAAAAATTATTGCAATGCATTCAAACAGAATGTACTTATAATCCTACATATCAATAAAAAGCTGACAATTATGCAATAAAGAAATGTTTGGTCCTGGTAGTAGGTGATCAGGTAAAAAAAATAATAATGAGATAAAATAAAAAGAAAAGTTTGGAATGAATTAACAGGTAGTTCACAAAACTGGAATTGTAAAGGAGGATACAACATTAATATGTGTTCAATATCCACAGTAATCAGGGAAAAGCAAAATAAAAATATTAAGACTCCATTTTCTTGTCCATCAGATTGGCAAATCTTTAAAAGTTTAATTAAAGCAAATACTGGCAATCGCATAAAAAAACAGGAAATGTTGGAGATTAAACCTTTTTTGACTGGGCCATTTGGCAGTGACAATTAACATTTTAAATGTATATGCCTTCTGACCTAACAATTCTACTTTCCTGTATCTACCTCACATAAAGACTTGTACTACTTTTAGAGAGATATTTAAAATGCTCAACTGATCACATTATTTTTAGCTGTGAAGAGTAACACAAATTCAATCAGTGAGGGAATTAGATATATATGAATCAGTTCAAAAGTATGTCTTGGGATACCTTCAAGCCATATTAAGCTTTTTAAAAGTCCCAGTGAAGAACATACAGTGTGATGTTATTTACATTAAAACCCCACAAAATTATTTAACTCCTTATGTGTCTTACAGGTAATTATACAGGAAATAGTTAAGCAAGTATACACATCAAACTGATAGTATTACTTATTTCTAGGGAGAAGAATCATGTTAGAGGGAATTAAAATGGACTTTTGCTTTAACTGTATTTTTAATACTATAAACATAAGAAAGTGTTTAAGTAGTCTTTGTTTTATACTTCCAGTAACCGTATTAGGTGGTCATTTAAGGCCCCATTTACAGGTGAGGAAATAGGGCTCAAAAATGTTGCCTGACCTGCTGAAGTTTAAACAATAGTAGAATTGAAAAATTAATTGAGGCTTATCTTAGGGCCTCTATGCAGACTCTTTTCTGTACATTGCAAGTAGAAATGATTTTATATTTTGCATTGGTGAAAACTTTTCTAGGGAGATAACTGGGTTGGAAACAGAGATTTGGGAGCAATCAGTATTTGCCAGTTAAAACCATGCAAGGATAGTGAGATTGTCGGGTAAGGAGAGCAAGCCCAGGACAGAATCCTGAGAAGTGGCAACATTTACTAGAGGAGCAGAGTTTAAAGACTCATAAATAAATCAGAGAAGTTGCCACATAATCAGAAGGTGAGAGTGAAGTCAAGAGCTGAAAGACAGATAACATTTCCTGGAGGAGGAAGTGGTCAACATTGGCATGTGCTGAAAACAGGTCAAGTAAGAGGGCTTTTGGATTTTGGATTTGGTAACAGGGAGATCACTGGTGATTTTGGCAAGAGTCTTGATAAATAGGAGGAAGCAGAAACCCATGCAGGAGGAAGAAATGTGAGAAAGATAGGTGGACTTAGTATGGTGGGTCCTCAAAAAGTATAAAATTACAGTATGATTCAATTCCACTTCTGGGTGTATATACAAAAAAAATGAAAGCAAAGATTCAAACAGATATTTGCACACCCATGTTTATAGCAGCATTATTCTCAATAGCCAAAGATAGCAACAACTCAAGTGTCCATCATCTGATAAATAGGAAACAAATGTGGTATATACATACAATAGAATATTATTCAGCTTTAAGAAGGAAGGAAATTCTGACACATGCTGCAACTTTGATGAACCTAAGTGAAATAAGCCAGACACAAATGGACAAATGTCATATGGTTCCATTCATATGAAGTACCTAGAGTAATCACATTCATAGAGATAGAAAGTAGAATGGTGGTTGCCAGGTTGAGGGCAGGAAGGAACGTTCAGTTATTGTTTAATAGGTACAGAGTTTCAGTCTAGAAGAATGAGAAAGTTCTGGAGATAGATGGTGGTGATGGTTGCCTAACAGTGTGAATGTACTTAATGCCTCTGAACTGTACATTTAAAAATGGTTCAAATGGTAAATTTTGTTAAATATATTCTACCATACACACATACAAAAAAGATATAAGGGCTCAAGTCAATGTGGGCAACTTTCTCAAAAAGTTCTGATGAAGAAAAAGAAAGTAATATGACAAGTCAGTCAGAGGAGGAATTTTTAATAGGGAAGAAACTTGAGCATATTTATCAGCCTGGAAGGGATCATTAGAGAAGAAGAGAAGTAGAGATATACATCCACTATTCAGGCAAAAGGTACACAAATATTGAGGAAATACATTAAAATTACAGCAGACATTGAGGACTATGCTTCCAGAGTGTGACTGGGTCTTTGGGGACTGATAAGCCTAGTGTTTTATATAATGATACCCAAATACAATAATATTTAAAATTTGTCTAAACACATAGAATCTAAGCAATTTTAATCACATTGACAACTTCTCTGTAGGGATTTCCTTATAAGTAGTTCACAAAGGAATTCAAATAAAATTTGATATCAATGACATACTGGGGTTTTGTTCGTTTATTTGTTTTTGTTTTTTGTGCGTTTTATGGAGGGGACAGCTTTCTGCATTTGGTTTATTTAACTTCCTGCAAACTCACATTAAGTATGAGTTTAGGTGAAATGGAAAATATTTCAGCTTCTAATCATCTCCTAATTACTCTGTTTGTTTGTTTTTGAGACGGAGTCTCACCCTATGGCCGAGGCTGGAGTGCAGTGGCAGGATCCCGGCTCACTGCAAACTCTGCCTCTCAGGTTCAAGGGATTCTCCTGCCTCAGCCTCCTGAGTAGCTGGGATTACAGGGGCCTGCCAAAGTGCCTGGCTAATTTTTGTATTTTTTTTAGTAGAGATGGGGTTTCACCATGTTGGCCAGGCTGATCTCGAACTCCTGACCTCAAGTGATCCACCCACCTCGGCCTCCCAAAGTGCTGGGATTACAGGCGTGAGCCACTGTGCCCAGTCTAAGTACTCTTTAATGCCTCTTTGGACATAAGGTTAAATAAAAAGCAAAGAGTGTGGTGCAGTGACAGCATGATAGCTTCTAAAGTCCAGAAAGTGGTTCTTGCAACATGTGGAGGTTTGCATAATTACTGTATTGCTCTTGCAATCCATCTCCTTCTTCCCCAATGAGCAAGGGAGTTTGGGAGCAACTGCCACACATAAAAAATGAAGCTACACATTGGCTTCTATTATCTGGCAACCTAAACCCATGATAAATATATTTGTATATATCCTTTTATTTGAATTTGGCAGTAGTACTTGCTTTGATCAACTTTTTTATGTCTTTTTTCAACCATTGTCCCTACTGTCCTTTAAATATTCTCATTTACTACTCCAACCTGTAAGAAACTTAGCCAGCTAAATGTTCAGTTTTGCAGGATCTGCACCTCTGCACCTGTTTTTTACTCTTGTGGCTGAAGTAGTGAAAGACCATAGTTCATGTGTAAGTAACAGTTTCAGTTTTGCAGTGCTTTATCTATATGTAACAGGCAACTATTCATGAGAAAGGAAGTTTGAGACTTGTAGGTAAAAAACCGCTACCCAAATTCCAGGAAAATGTCTGTTTACTGGAGGTTTTTTTTTTTTCTTCCTTTAATAAGATGCCTGTAGTCAGATTAGCATTTGTGTCATACTTCAAAGACTTTAAATTAATTAGACTTGTAAAAGCAAGTTAATTCCCATATATCAGCTGGACAGTTTTCTTCTGCATAGAGCAATGTTTTCTGTGATCATTGAGCCACACAGGAGATGCTTCCTTATGTAAACGAGCACTACTTAATCAAGTATAGGTTTCTTTTCTTTTCTTTTCTTTTTTGAAATGGAGTCTCACTGTGTCTCCCAGCCTGGAAAGCAATGGCCGCGATCTCAGCTCACTGCAACCTCCGCCTCCTGAGTTCAAGCGATTCTCCTGCCTCAGTCTCCTGAGTAAGTGGGATTCAGACGCCTGCCACCATGCCAGGCTAACTTTTGTATTTTTAGTAGAGACGGAGTTTCACTATGTTGGCCAGGCTGGTCTTGAACTCCTGACCTCAGGTAATCTGCCCGCTTCAGCCTCCCAAAGTGCTGGGATTACAGGCGTCAGCCACCGTGCCAGGCCAACTATAGGTTTCAATAGCTTAACTTTTCTAAAATTTGCTTACACATATAAACATGCATATACTTTAATTATATATGTGTACAGGCACCAATTATAGCCTGTTGCTGTGATTTCAAGTGTAAGCTTTATGAATAATTTTCCATGCCCCATAAAATGGATAAAGCATAATGACTGTTATTTCATAACTTCCTCTTTTGGTGGACTATCCTTTTGCAGAGGAAAAAAAATAATGTAACTAGAGAAGAGAGTTGAGCAGAGAACTGAGCTCTTTGAAGTGCTGGTAGTTTGTCTCAACCCATGAAGCAGCTTAACAAGCAACTATAACTAAGCATAGAGGTAAGAACAATTATTTGCTATTTTTCATTTTATTATTTGGATTGCTATTTATATAGCAACAATTTAAATGCTGGCCACATTACAGTGTAGATTAGATAAACCTGATAACTCTTTCAAGTAAGTAACCGACATTTTAAATAAAAAGTTTAATACATTTACAAAGCTTCAGCTTCACATACAAGCTTTTAAAAACCTGGAAAAATTTAAAGTTTTCATTGATCTCCAAATTATTTTACCTGCAAAATAAAACGTTATCTTTCTTGTGTATTTGTAATTTTGCACACAATTTAGTGCTGAAGAGGCATTTGGATTATTAACAAATTTGATAACTTTTCTTCTTTCCCAGCTCTAGATTATTTCTAATATTCTCTCACAGATATACTTTTGTTCATTTTGCATATTATTAGTTGAGCACTTTCCAGAAAAAAAAGCATTCTTACATTTGTTTTTACCCACCGTGAAAATATATTGTATCATTTAAAATATGACATTTCAGTATTATTTTTATATCATCACTTTATGATGATATTTGTTTAGAAAAATTAATTTGTAGTGTAGACAGCATGACTTAAAATTTTAAATGAAATATGCAAATCTAATTTTTAAAATGTATTGTTTTCTAAATAAGTTTAATTTGTATTTATAATGCTTAAAATATAGTAAGAATGAAAACAAAGTAAGACATTTGGTTTGATAATTGGAAATCAAACTAAACTGAAACTGATCTTATTAGTGAAATTCTAAAATAATCTAGATCCTAGAAACTTTTATTCAAATTTGCACTAATCCAGAATAATACCTACACATATTAACTGTATTTAATACAATTGTATTCATAATATAGCAATTTTTAAATCTTCCTTTTAAAAGCTGTTGGTTTCTTTATACTTTGGTAAAAACATTAAGGAGTGTTTAATACAGCTTTGAGAAGAAAAATCTGTTTAAGTGAACTACTCTGGCTATATATACATATGGAGGTTTGAAGAGTTTGCCTCTGAGCATTTTCATAATTGAATCCTTTTGAGAAAGTTTCATACATCACACATTTACCGTGTGAGATTTGGTAAGTATAAATATCCCAAGATGTATTTGAAGCTTTCTTAATTTGGTTTGAAAAAATTAGACTAATCTCATGGCTTCCAAAAAAGAAAGTCCACACTATCCCATCAATTAATAGATTTAATTTTTGATAAATTTTGGTAAATGGTGCTGTTATTACTGGTTCTAGTATGTTACCTAGTACCTAGTTGGTTTTTTGTTGGTTTGTTTTACGTATTTTCATGCACTACACCAATAAGTTGCACCAATAGTTGCTGTCTTCTTATTATAGGGAGAAGGAAAGCAGAGTGTTACTGTTACAAACTCAGATGTGAATTGTTGAATCAAATTTGACATACTTAACTCGATGAAAATTTTAAAATTAAGTTGATGGTTGTTAGAAATCCGTTACAATTGTGCTTCTTCATCTTTATCACACACTAATTAAACACAACTGCTTGTCAGGTCTAGGGGCTCAAGCCTGTAGTCCCAGCTACTTTGGAGGCTGAGGCAAGAGAATGGCTTAAGTCAGAAGATCAAGGCTGCAGTGAGCTGTGATTGCACCACTACACTCCAGCCTAAGTGACAGAGCCAGATTCTGTCTCTAAAAATATAAAAATAAAGAAACCTTAAAAATAAACACAACTACTTCCATCAGAAGTTCAAATGTCCACAATTTTAACTATGAGATATTTTGATATCATGAGCTATTAAGTGTTATATGTAGTATGGTAATATACTAAATAATGGCTAACAATCACAAGGAAACATAGCCCAAGGAGATTACAATATAAATTGGTCATAAGTGTAATTCAGAACAGCAAATGAAGGCTAAAGCAGCAGAGAAGATACTATCTTTCTGGCAAGACAGATTTGTTGTTGTTGTTGTTGTTGTCAATAATTAGTAAAGTCTGAATGAACATCCTAGTTCTAGATTATGGAAAATAAGTTTTTAAGTTGTTCTCTCTTTGATAAAATTGTCTTTACATAAGAAAAAAATGAGTGCTCATCTGAGTTTCCATGATAATATTAATGGTAAATAAATATTAACAAATATTTAATATTAATTATTTAATATTATTGTTTATTCATCATAAATATGATAAATAATTTATTACTGGAAAATTTAATTTTGGCTTCTGAGCTGTAGTATATATTTTACTGTGTTTTAGTAGATTATGTTTATGTGACATGATTGTCTAAGAAGTTTTCATTGAATCTAATAAAAATTGAGACTGGATGACTGCTGTGTATAGTATTGTAAAATTTGGTCTCTGTCTTAATAAGGCATAGTTTGATTGTGTGAAGTGGATGATCTTCTTGGGGGTCTATTAAACTATTGGGTCCAGGGTTGATGCTGCTAATCTCACAGTTAAATGGATGTTCTCCTCCTCCTTCACAAGATGACCTTCCCAAAGTTGCTCATCTATAGAAATAGAAAAGAATGATCTGCTTATAGAGGGCTCTATCCCACTCCAACAAATAAACGTATATTATTTTTCAAATAATAATTACATTTAGGAATAACAGTGCTATTTGTTTTTGACATAAATTACTGAACTTCCAAAAGAACATTGAAAGATTTAGTTTTTGTTTAGCTGTTTTGTTTCCTCTTCTTTTGGCCATTTTCCCATTTGCAAGAATAAAGAGAAGAAAGTTTGTTGCCTGAAAGAAAGATTACAGTTTGGGTGCAAACTCAGAGACATGACCTGTTATTGAAAAACAAAAATCTTTGTATCCCAGATAATGTGGGTCTTTCAGCCATTTAAAAGAAAATTTGTGCCCTCCTGTGTTTGTTGACTTTCTATTTATTTTTAATAAATGTAAATTCCAAATGATTGCTATATTTGCATATTCACATATAATTAAAATATGCTAAATAAATAAGAAATTATTATGATTGCAAAAATATGAGCTATGACAGTACATGAGCTCTGTATGATAAAATATGTATCATTTTCATGATACATGAAAAGAAAATACCTTTTACAGATATAAAGAATAAGGGTAAGCCATTTTATATTTCTGAATACTTCCATTTAAAAAAATAAATGAAATGGAATCTAATTTACATATCTGCATTGTAGAAAATAAAACCACTGTTCATTAATTTTTAATCTTTAAAATATAACTTGTTATTTGAGAATTAGTATAGTTCTGTTATTTGTCTGACATCATTGATGCTTTTTATCATTTTTTATTAACTAAAATTAGGCACTTAGATTTAATGTTTTTAAAATTCCTTCCAGTTTTATTTTTATCTTTATATACATTTTCTAAATATAGGTTTTAACTTTTTATTTAATTTTTTTGCTTTTAATATTATGGGGGAAAATACCAGATTTGCATATTTAAATCCAAATTTAAATAAAAATGTCATTAGAATCATTCATTAATATTGCAACCTTGGAAAGCAGATGAAGAATGAAGTTAGTCTATTGGTGTTGCTCCATGAACCAGTATAAAATTTCATACCTCATTATTATTCTACTTTACAGATATTTCATCATGAGCCTTTAGTTTTTTTTTAATATGTAGTGGTTATCACATTCTCAAAATTTTTCTCACCTTGGGAAAAAATAAATTGCAATATGATTTTGAGAAAAATCACCACAGTTTTGATTTTGAAAAAATAAGTAAAATTTTTAAAAGTGTACCTTAATTCAATCTATTTTCTTTTGCACAAGAAAAAATTTTAAGTAGGTTGCTTTTATTCTCGTTCTATGTGGGTGAATATAGCTGAATTGGAGGAGCAGCAAAAACATTTTCTATGCAATTAGGCGGCCTTCTGAATAAAATACAATCATATATCTGATGGCAGTGAGTTTTCTTAAATGCTCACCAGAAACTCTTGTTACACTTCACCTACTTTAAAACATCTTATTTAGAAATAATTGGAAGCTCATATAAGTTGTAAAAATAAAAAAGTATAATGAACCCCTTATATCTTTACCTAGATTTGCTTAAATATTTTATCCCATTTGCTTTATAATGTGCTCTCATTTTTTTCTTTATATTTTTCTATGGTCATAATTTTTTTCTGAACAACTTAAGAGTAAGTCACACATAACAAGGGCTTTCAGTCTGAATTTTCCAAGAATAGAGATAATCTCTTATTTTTTTTTCAAATAAAATTTTTTAAAAAATTATTATTATACTTCAAGTTTTAGGGTACATGTGCACAATGTGCAGGTTAGGTACATATGTATACATGTGCCATGCTGGTTTGCTGCACCCATTAACTCATCATTTAGCATTAGGTATATCTCCTAATGCTATCCCTCCCCCCTTCCCCCACCCCACAACAGTCCCCAGAGTGTGATGTTCCCCTTCCTGTGTCCATGTGTTCTCATTGTTCAATTCCCATCTATGAGTGAGAACATGCAGTGTTTGGTTTTTTGTTCTTGCGATAGTTTACTGAGAATGATGATTTCCAATTTCATCCATGTCCCTGCAAAGGACATGAACTCATCATTTTTTATGGCTGCATAGTATTCCATGGTGTATATGTGCCACATTTTCTTAATCTAGTCTATCATTGTTGGACATTTGGGTTGGTTCTAAGTTTTTGCTATTGTGAATAGTGCCACAATAAACATACGTGTGCATGTGTCTTTATAGCAGCATGATTTATAGTCCTTTGGGTATATACCCAGTAATGGGATGGCTGGGTCAAATGGTATTTCTAGTTCTAGATCCCTGAGGAATCGCCACACTGACTTCCACAATGGTTGAACTAGTTTACAGTCCCACCAACAGTGTAAAAGTGTTCCTATTTCTCCACATCCTCTCCAGCACCTGTTGTTTCCTGACTTTTTAATGATCTCCATTCTAACTGGTGTGAGATGGTATCTCATTGTGGTTTTGATTTGCATTTCTCTGATGGCCAGTGATGATGAGCATTTTTTCATGTGTTTTTTGGCTGCATAAATGTCTTCTTTTGAGAAGTGTCTGTTCATATCCTTTGCCCACTTTTTAATGGGGTTGTTTGTTTTTTTCTTGTAAATTTGTTTGAGTTCATTGTAGATTCTGGATATTAGCCCTTTGTCAGATGAGTAGGTTGCGAAAATTTTCTCCCATTTTGTAGGTTGCCTGTTCACTCTGATGGTAGTTTCTTTTGCTGTGCAGAAGCTCTTTAGTTTAATTAGATCCCATTTGTCAATTTTGGCTTTTGTTGCCATTCTTTTTGGTGTTTTAGACATGAAGTCCTTGCCCATGCCTATGTCCTGAATGGTAATGCCTAGGTTTTCTTCTAGGGTTTTTATGGTTTTAGGTCTAACGGTTAAGTCTTTAATCCATCTTGAATTAATTTTTGTATAAGGTGTAAGGAAGGGATCCAGTTTCAGCTTTCTACATATGGCTAGCCAGTTTTCCTAGCACCATTTATTAAATAGGGAATCCTTTCCCCATTGCTTGTTTTTCTCAGGTTTGTCAAAGATCAGATAGTTGTAGATATGTGGCGTTATTTCTGAGGGCTCTGTTCTGTTCCATTGATCTATATCTCTGTTTTGGTACCAGTACCATGCTGTTTTGGTTACTGTAGCCTTGTAGTATAGTTTGAAGTCAGGTAGTGTGATGCCTCCAGCTTTGTTCTTTTGGCTTAGGATTTACTTGGCGATGCGGGCTCTTTTTTGGATCCATATGAACTTTGAAGTAGTTTTTTCCAATTCTGTGAAGAAAGTCATTGGTAGCTTGATGGGGATGGCATTGAATCTGTAAATTACCTTGGGCAGTATGGCCATTTTCACGATATTGATTCTTCCTACCCATGAGCATGGAATGTTCTTCCATTTGTTTGTATCCTCTTTTATTTCATTAAGCAGTGGTTTGTAGTTCTCCTTGAAGAGGTCCTTCACGTCCCTTGTAAGTTGGATTCCTAAGTATTTTATTCTCTTTGAAGCAATTGTGAATGGGAGTTCACTCATGATTTGGCTCTCTGTTTGTCTGTTGTTGGTGTATAAGAATGCTTGTGATTTTTGTGCATTGATTTTGTATCCTGAGACTTTGCTGAAGTTGCTTATCAGCTTAAGGAGATTTTGAGCTGAGACAATGGGGTTTTCTAGATATACAATCAAGTCGTCTGCAAACAGGGACAATTTGACTTCCTCTTTTCCTAATTGAATACCCTTTATTTCCTTCTCCTGCCTAATTGCCCTGGCCAGAACTTCCAACACTATGTTGAATAGGAGTGGTGAGAGAGGGCATCCCTGTCTTGTGCCAGTTTTCAAAGGGAATGCTTCCAGTTTTTGCCCATTCAGTATGATATTGGCTGTGGGTTTGTCATAGATAGCTCTTATTATTTTGAGATACGTCCCATCAATACCTAATTTATTGAGAGTTTTTGGCATGAAGGGTTGTTGAATTTTGTCAAAGGCCTTTTCTGCATCTGTTGAGATAATCATGTGGTTTTTGTCTTTGGTTCTGTTTATATGCTGGATGAACATTGATGCAAAAATCCTCAATAAAATACTCGCAAACTGAATCCAGCAGCACATCAAAAAGCTTATCCACCATGATCAAGTGGGCTTCATCCCTGGGATGCAAGGCTGGTTCAATATACGCAAATCAATAAATGTAATCCAGCATATAAACAGAGATAATCTCTTATATTATGGTTACATCCAATTATCTACTTCATAGATTTACATAGCTACACTACTTTTATCTAATATTTGTCCATGTTCCAATTTTGCTGTTTATCAAATAATGTCTTTTTAAATATTTCCCCTCCAGTAAATCACCCAGTCTGGAGTCAATTATCACACTTAGTTGTCTTGTCTTTTTAAAATGTATTATTGTTAAGTGATAAGTAAAAATTGTTTATTTTTCTTGTGTAACGCATGTTTTAAAACATTTATACATGGTGGCTAAATGTATAATGGATCAATTGAACTAATATATGCATTACTCAAATCCTTTTTGTGGGGAAAACATTTAAAATCTAATCTCTTAGCAATATTTAAGAGTAGAATACATTGCTATTAATTATAGTCACTACGTTGTACAATAGATCTCTTGAATGTCATGTCTCTTTAGTCTCCTTTTGTCTGGAACATTTCCGTATCATTTCTTTGTCTTTTATGAAAATGAAGATTTTAATCATTATGGCATATTCACTCTTTTTTTTCATTTTAATAAAGTGCTCCTCATTGTTTATTTTTCTGACATTTCCCCATGATTAGATTACGGTTATACACTTTCTGCTGGAGTTCCTCATAGGTGATGTTGTTTCCTCTCCTGCTATCGTATCTAGAGGCACATGAGGGTCTTATGTCCCACATTGTTAATGTTCATTTTTGTTGCCTAGTCAAGGTGTTGTCTGATTTCTCTATTGCATAATGATGGCTCCTCATCAAAAATTTCCTCTCAGATTTAACATTCATTGATGTTCTTGTCAAATGCAATCTTTACTATAATGGCTGCAGTATGATGGCTTTACAACTTCAGCACTCCCTCCACATTTACATTAGTCTTTCCCATTCTACTGTAAGCAAAAGAACTCCCATCTTCAACATCTATTTAATTATTAATTTATGTATCTGTTTGTTACTGGTATGGATTCATGAATTTCTTTTTTCCATGACTCAACTATTTTGGTGCTTAAATTGTTCACATTTGACCAATGGAGCCCATCCATTCTAGAACAAACTAACCTACCTTCCTTCCTTCCTTCCTTCCTTCCTTCCTTCCTTCCTTCCTTCCCTCCTTCCTTCCTTCCCTCCTTCCTTCCTTCCCTCCTTCCTTCCTTCCTTCTTTTCTCCCTCCTTCCCTTCCTCCTTCCCTTTATTCCTCCCTTCCTCCCCTCCCTCCCTCCCTTTGTTCCTCCCTCTCTCTTTCTGGCTTCCCATTCAGGGTGATCACAACACTCCTTTTACATACAATTAGGTTCATTGTTTCCAATTTTAGGGTTTTTCCCTTTACATTTTTATTGATTTAATTTTATTTTTTGAGTCAATTAATTTACTTTAAATCTTTTTTTAACCTGTAGAGATTAAGTGCTGCTTGCCTTAGACATTTCTACTAAACAAACCTGATACACCCTAACTCAAATGTTATTGATACAGTTCAAAAATACCTGCTTGAGTTTGGGGTTGAGCTTTTATCTTTGTATTTCACATCTCTTCAATCTACATTTAGTCTGAAGTCAAATTATCCTCCTTTGCATTCCAAAAAGTGACAGTTTCAGAAAAGAAAGTAGATAGCTGTAGTCACACTGGTAGTTCACTTACCTTATGGGTTTATTATTCCAGAGTTTTTAAAAGTTAAATGGGCATGTTACGGAAAAAATAATTATGTAAAGCAAATAAAGACAAGAGTAATCATAAATATACATAGTCTATAAGAGCTAAAAAAATTTTCACTCTTTTATATGTGATTCTAGAGTATTCCTGCCCCCAGTACTTCCCTATATTCTACTCCAGTATTCATAACTGAAAATAAACCCTAAAATTCATAATAGGAAGAGAAATTTGTGGTTGGTGTCGAAAGATTCATTTTCATGTTCCGTTTTATCACTTACTGACTGTGGATCTTGTATAAGTTACATCTCCTGTCTTTCCAGACATCCACCCTTATAACCCTAAATAAAAAACAAATTCATACCTCCTCAACTTTCTACCAATTTCTGGGCTCATACTCCACACAGATTATTAAAGCTATACACTCAGATGTTAAGAGGCATCTCAAATTCAACATGTCCCACATAAAACCCCTCATTTCCTACCCCTCTGTCTGCTCCATCACCAGTCTTCTTTGTTTACTAAATAGTACCACCTTACCCCCATTATCCAGGCCAACAGTATCCTTAATTTCATTCTCTCTTTTCCTCACCTACACTCCATCTATCAGCATGCCTGTCTCTTCTGTTCCCAAAATATATTCCAATGCTGACCAGAATCACCTGTTTCACATCTTGAGCAAAGTGTAAGACACTGTCATCTCTGGTCTGGACGTCTCTGTTTTTGTGTTAGCCTATTAAGAAACCCTCTTTTTCTATTCTTGCATCCCTACCAATATGATCATTTAAAATATCCATCAAATCATGTGACCTCCTGCTCAAAATTCTTCAATTGCTTCTTATTTTAATTAGGATAAAATCCAGATTCCTCACTAAAGCTTATATGTCTTTGTGTCTTCTCTCATATCCTTTCATCTCTTCATTCATGATATTCTGGCTCTACTCCTCATGTTCCCCCCAGAGTATTCTGAGCTCATTCCTGACTCAGGGATTTTCCACATGCCCTTCTCTTTTCCTGGCATGCCCACACATCTTAGTGTGACACAACTTCTTCTTTATTTGGGTCTCTTCTCAAACATATCTCCTAATAGATGCTTCCCGTGGTCCACTACATATTTAATTGTAGTATTCCCAACCCCATCACTCTGTCATTTTACCCCATTTTAATTTTACTGATAGCACATAAAATGTTACACAACATGTTGATTTTTATTTCTTTATCCAATTATTTGTTATCTGTTCCTTTCACTAGACTGTAAGTTCCATGAGGGCAGAAACTTGGCCTTTGTTGTTCATGTTACCTTTACATTTTCTAGTAAAATAAATGGAGCATAGTAGGTGCTCAGTAAATAAACAATGATTAAGTAAAAGGTCTCAACATTTCTGATAAGCATAATAGAAATAACTATCTTCCAACACTGTCTTCAAGGGGCCAGTACTCTAAACTGCCATGCAAATGTCAGGTGTAGTTTATTTTGTCCGTGTTGAGTCAAACGAACTGAGACCAAAAAGTGGTCCTTGGAGACAACAAATAGACAGAGAAGTTCTCTTTTTTTCTGTGCTGGCAATTTTCCACTGAGCTAAAAAGAGATAAGTTCATAGTGACTGCCACTAACTTTTTAGAATCCTGGGGTGCAACACCTCTGCATTTCTTGCCCCATTGCCTCTGCCCTTGTCCTGCCTTGCCCTCACCCCCAAGAAAAGCATGCACCCACTCTTCCTTGACAGTTAGGGTTCATTGTTTTCCTCAACTACATGGAAGAGTAATCTCCCTCCAGAATCCTTTCCTGATTAGCCATCTGCCTATGCTGGCCTCACATCTATGCTTATTTTCAATATTTTTTTGTAATTACTTCCTTGTTCTATTTTTGATCTTGAAATGGATTATAAAACTACTCTAGGAAAATTCTTTTTCTTGTACATCCAAAATATCAAGGTTAGTTATATGTATTAACATATAACTAAGTTTTTGAGATTATAAGGCCCTAAATAATAATAAAACCAATGATAATGATGATAATTGCAAAGTTAGTAACAATAATAGCTCTGCTATTTCGTGTTAAACTTTTTTTGTATCATCATGTCAGGTGCTTCACATGATTAACGAATTTAATGCCCTCATCAGTCCTATGAAATAAGTACTATTATTTCCACTTTACAGATTTAAGGAAAAATATAGAAGTTCAGAGAGGTAGGTAGCTTAATAAAGGTCACACAATTGATCCTGGTGTGTCTATCTCTAAACTGGATCTGCATCATATTTATATATGGCCTATACCACTTAATTTCTGAGAAGCAAAGTAGGTAAATCTGTGGTTTAGATACAGTTAAGAATTTATAGATTATTATGATGCAGTCCTAAGCCAGAAATCTTACAATTTGGTGGAGTAAATATTAAAAGAAATAGATTTTAAGACACAGCATAAAAAATAGAAGGTGCCACATGAAAGATCAAAATAATTTAGAACTGTACTTCCAGGTGTATTGATGGTTACAAGGCTCCCTGGAGGTAGCTGGTTTAAAGCTGAACTATTGAAATTGTTTCATTAGGTGGAGAAAAGTTGTGATAATAAATTTTCAGAAGAGTCCAGAAAATTTTCAAAGAAATAAAAATATTCTAATATTACATTAATTTAATATTGAGCCTTAACTTAAAATATTGAGCCTTTTTAATATTGAGCATTATCTCCTATAGTGCTACCACAGGAGATATTTGGTGGCTCTGACTTTATGGTTCTTCTCAGGAAGTGGGTTATGTGATGAGAGGATTTTTAACTCTTGCAAGAAGCTCTGTTTTCATTTTAAAGTGAGTTTATTCATGAAGTCATATATCAAGCAGTATACTTTGGGCACTATTTTAGGTGCTGGGGAAATAGTTACGGACAAGATCAAGTTTCTACCCTCAAGCAGCCTTCAGTCTAGTGGGGAAAGAATGGAGTAAACTAGTAAAGAAATAAAATTTTAAAGGACTTCTAGATAGTGATAGTGACCAGAAGAAAATCCAGCATAGTAAAAGGATAAAGAGAAGATGGGAAAATCATCTTTACGTAGGTGGTCTCCTGAGATGGCCTATTTGAAAAGGTAATATTTAAGCTAAGACCTGAACAGTGAGAGGATTGAGAGCACCATGCAGACGACTCCAGGAAGAGTAGTTCAGGAAGAGTGATTGACCAGCGCAAGGGCCAGAATGAGCTTGGCATATCTGAGAAGTAGAAAAGAGCCTGGGTCTCAAAGGATGGTGGGAGATGAAGCTCAGGAGCTGGAGTTGAGAAAGGGCCAAGTCACATAGACTGCAGACCAAGGAATGGAGTTGCACATATGAGCAAACATTTGCAAGGACGTGCACGTGTCTTAATTGGGGATGGGAATGCAATGAATGACCATTATCTCTGGCTAACACAGTCTTGGAAAAACTGTTGTATGAAGAGAAACAGGAATTACTACATAGGTAAAAGTTTCATAGGAGATAAATTATTACATTTAGGTGAATTTTAGATAAGCCAAGTTTACCTGGATAAAAGTGAAAGGGGCTCAGGTATTATTTAAATTTGTAAACTCAATGTTTTCAGCAAAAATTGTCATGGAATAATTGACTCTAATCTTGGCCATTTGAAGATATGTACACTGATTTCTGATAATGGTGTCATCATGCAACCTAGTTTCTGCATGGATGAAGCAGAAAAGACTACAGAAACAACTATATTTTAGCCTCCAGAGACCACAGATGTTTCCTTGTTTATTGTTCCCAAATCCCAGTAGCTATTGGGATTAGGGATAGCAATCCCTGGCAACATCAACCCGCTCCCCTTAAAAGTAGACGTAAATTACTCTGCCATTTTCCATGGTAATTATATTCCCTATGATTTATTTTTATTATCCTAAGAGATCTAAATGAATCATATCACTACATTTTAAATCTCTGTTAGTTGGACACTGCTTCCTTTAAGGGGTAGGAGGTTGAGGGCTGTGATTTGGAGAAAGAATACAGAATAGCTTACTGAAAAGACTCTTTTTAAATTGAGTAAACAAGCTCAATATTTATTTGTTAGGAATGATGGAAAAAATGGCCTTCCCTCATACTTAAGAAGTTAATAACAACAAGTATAGATTCTTCTATTTCTGGTTCAGGTTAAAAGCCGCCCATAAAAAACATTACCTGGCCTTGGACTGAGTGTGTACTAGAAGGATGACAATCATGTTGTCCCCAAGGCAGTTGGATGTGTTGTTGTAGGAGCCAGAAGCTTACTTTTGAGTGCTCCTGGCAACCTCCAAATAGAAAACCATTGTGCTACTGGTATTACAGGGTGTGGAGGATTATAGATGACTTATGTGCTATTTAAGCAATGCATTCTATCTTATCATGTATATATGTGGGTATGATGACCACCATACTATCGGATTATTGCAGAGTGTGAGGTAGTGTGCGGTTTTTAAGTGCGTGTGTGTGAGAGAATAAATGCTTGAATATCTGCAATAAGTATTAGAGAGCACTCCTGAAATATAAGCCACTTCCTGACCTGGGCATATTAACCAAGAAGCAAACCTATTAAAAGTATGAGAGCATTCGATTTTCTACAATAATAGTACACATTTGTTGACATGAACTAGATTCAGGAAGGGAATACAGAAAGAGCAGGCAGACATTGGGCCTATTTAATTAACTTGGGGCTTATGATCACCCTTCAGAAGAGGATGCTAAGGATGCCTTCTCCAGAGCCAAGAGGCCTCTCCTTGTGCCTTTATTTGGCTTTCCTCCTCTCATTGGTGACCCATCATGTTAGGAAAAAAAAAAAATCTCTCAAAAGTGTAAATGTTATTCTTTCTGTGGGTGATGTCATAATTTTAGTGGCCCAAGCATTTGTTACTAAAATAGTACTTAGCAACACATAATCATTATTTTCTCCTCTTAAAATTCTGAGTGTGTTTGTTCTGATGAAGTCAGGAGACACATTTTTCAGGGAGGTAGGAGTAAGAGCTTAAAAACACGAAGTAATGCCTGGAATAATCTCTTGACTTGTGTTCCTTAAATAAGCAAGAAGACAACTAAATTTTCCTTCCTGTGGCGACAGCTCTGGCGGAGTAAAAAAAAATTTTTGAAATATAGTGCTAAAGGAAGTGGTTTTCATGCAACTGTGCATCTTATACTCTTCGTTAATGTGGTAGATACCATTTGCTTGGCTTCATTTGACTTGTCTTTCTCATGTTTTTGCTTGTAAAGTGGGTGAGAAAAGTTCGACCAAAGAAACCTGTGCACTGACCAATCAATAGTTATGTTTCTAAAGTTCCTGTTAATCATTTCAGGAAACATCTTGGGCTCCTTTTTAATTACATCCTACCTAATATAAAAACTGTAAAGGTATCTCTGTATACCTATACCATCTTGTAGAAAATAGCTATATATTTCTTAAAATTTGTAATTTGATTTGAATCCTCATATTTTGAAGAGACTTGAAGCTTAACAAGAGCTTATTTTTTAAAAAACATATTCTGTATTTTAAAATTTCTAATTACTATTTTAAATAATGAAAATAGCTGTAATTTATCAAAGGCCTGATCAATGTTAGGATAATTCTCATGAAGTCATTTATTATCATAATTCCACAAGGTAGACATTTTAAGTTTGCAGGAACCTGAGACTAGGAAAAAATTGTCCAAAATCTTATGCCTAATAACAGATTCTAAAGCCTGTCTTTATGTCTAATAGCCAAGGCCATGGGAAATTACACTTAATCTTTTCCTGCCCTGATTCTTCTAAAAAGTGTGTGGGTCATGTGCAGGCCATTGCACCAAGTTGGTTGTCAGGGGGAGGTGGGTATGCCCTGTTGCCAAGAGCAGCCAACAACAAAGGCAGCAGGGCAAGGTTGCAGCAAAGACCAAGGTTGCAACATCAATAACTACTGCCAGTGGAAACTAGCCCATGTGTCATACTTGGTATGTATATATCTGTTGCCAATAACCCCAAAGTAGACAGTGTTTTCCTTTTAGTCACTGAGTAATCTAGTCATAAACAAAACAGATTTACTTCATCGGCTGCTTCTTTCATCATGGGAAGGAAAATGCCCAAAGTTATGCCACATATCGTCTAAGCATACCTTCTTTCTAACAATTAATTTTGGCTGCCTTCTATGAATCTGATATTGGTGCCAAACATTCCCTTTCCCACAAGTTCAAGAGTAATCAAGAAAAGTTGACACCTTCTAGTGTCCACGTGGGCTTCTTGGTATTTAGGGACCTTGGCAAATTATTTACAGCTTCTTTCAGACGAGCCTTCCAGAGCTTTGTAAGAATAAACAAACTTCAAAGGTCTCCGAAGGGGAAAAACTGTCCTGGCTAAGTCTATAATTTAGGCTATCTTTAGAGAGTACAACTCCATAAAGAGAGAGGTCCAAGAAACCAGCTTCTTTTATACAATTAACTTTTTCTTTACTTAATTGTAAAGACTAAATGACAAGTAGGAAAGTGCTTTTGCAGAAGCGTGGGAGTCTTAAAGCTGTAGAAGGAAGAAACACTGTGCATGGGAGTAAGTATGTGGGTGGGAGTTATAGATTACTGCTCTTTTGCTAGTCTAGAATAACTATGCATAAACATCTTTATAGTAGTAACTTGAACAGAATCGTTAAACTTCTATTAAAGGCACTTGATACATCATTCAAAATAAGCACAGGTTACCTTATATCCAGAAACAGAAAAAAATCATTTTACATCCAGCCAAAAAAGATTTTAAAAGAGCCTTTGATTTTTGACAAAACAAGTGATAATAAAATTAAATTTTTATTTTATTTTCAAATATTAATCCAAAAGCCGACATGCTGTACTTCTTGAAGTTATCAAAGATAAGCTGGCTAGCTTTGTCTGTAGATATCATACCCTTAAAAGATTAAGCCCAGGAAGTGAATGACAGTAACACCAAAGACTGCAACAGCAAGAGCATAGTACTAATGATCAGTCAGAGATTTCTTCCGACCCTGCCTTTAGAGGCTATGTGATGGACACCTTGCCACTTAACACAAATAGTCACTATTTCATGCAACTAGTAATAGAATTCTGTCCTTACAAATGAAGAAGAATTCAATGTGCACATGTAGTACAAATACTGTGAAGACTTTCAACTATAATGTGAGACATTTGAATTCAATAAAAAAGGGAGAGAGCAATAAAATAATTATAATTGTTTATCTGTTTAGATTCACCAGATACACACTCTCATTTTTCTCATTCACTAAATTTTGCACATTTATATTATTTACTTAGTTGATCATAATTATTTACCATTTCATATTCATTGTCCTTGTTATACTGCATATTTCAAGAGGCTTCAGGTCTAGTTTTTCTTACCATGTAGCCTCAGACTCTAGGAAAGACTGGAATTATGCCAGGTGCTCAGTGACTATTGTAGACTGGATAGGAAAGTTGATAGCAATAAGGTTTAGAATGAAAATGCAGCAGTAACTGGTGAGCTGGTGACCTATGGCCAGAAAAGTTTGAAAAAGGAAAAGAATGCTCCACATTGTCTAAAAACACATTCATTACTGGGAGGGCTCGATGGAATCAGGCCCTGTCAGCAGTTACTCATTGCTAAGCCCATTGCAGAAACATGGGCATTCAGATCCATCCAGGTGGGGCCAGGAGGGTCAACTGGACTGACGGCACATTCACGAAGGCCATAAACTAAGATGTCTAGCATTATCTTCAAATGAGTTTCAAGTGAGGTATGTTCTGCTAACTTGTTTGTGTTTATAATTTAACTATGTTAATTTATTGAACGAATTTATAAAATATATTGAATGTACAGAATAGCTTTTGTTGAATACACATAATTACATGTATGAGTATGTAACTGGTGAAGATATGTATATCTTCAAAAGGAAGTGGCCAAGGACACACTTTATCTCTCAGAGGCTCTGATGTCACTCTCAAGGGGGTGCTTATAATCACAATTTCTTAGCAAGAGACAGGGTATAGAATTTTAAACAAACAGCAAACTAAGCATTTTAGAATATGTAGGATTCTCCTTTGTGTGATCTTAACTCTTTGTCTTATCTGTTTTTAATCCTATGGACCACTAATGCTTACCCGGCATAAAGTGAAACATATTTTGGTTGCCTAAGAAGCACCACTTCCAAGCATGTGCATGACAAAATGTACCACCTTGCACCACCAGTTTAGCTATCCACAGCTAGTCCTAACTCCCTCATTTCTAGATGCATATGGGCACCAGCCTACCCAAATCTAATTCTATATGAGATCGAGTTTCCTGCAGATAATTCTGTTTCTATTGAGCCAAATAAACTTTACTTGCCAAAGGAAAAAATGGAACAGGTCAATGGATTGCTACCTATTCTGGTTAATTTCCATTTCCTAAACTCTAGCTTCTTGCAGAGTTTAGGCAAGAAGCTGGCAACCTTGGCTGCGCTTTGAAATCATCTAAGGGGCTTAAAAAAGATACAGACGCTTGGATGCCCCTCCCAGAAATTTTGATTTAATTTGTCTGAGTTGCAGCCGGCCTATCCAAAATGTAGTCAGGGTTAAGAACCACCGCCCTAGTTTCAGTCTCCTCATTATGAGCATGGGGTCATAATTACCTCACATACCTCTTGTTTTAAGTTCAAGGAGATAATGTGTGACCTTAGAGTCCTTAACACTTTCATTACTCCTTTGCTTCATGAAAGACAAATAAAAAGGAAGGACATGGGGTTGGCAAGTCTGGGAAGGTGAGGAGGAGGGATCCTTCTGCAGAGTTCTTCCAATGAGCAGTTCATTAGGGTTAACAAGCTATCCTTTGTTAAAGCAAACGCTCTTGAGGGATTAAGCCTCATTCTCGCCTTAGTGTGAATGACTTTAATCAGATAATCTCCTATCACCTAGTTGAGGATTTGTTACCGAAAGCCTAGGGGAGGCAAAGAGAGAGAGTTGCAAGGCCAGTTTGGGATTCACTGAGGCAAGCCAAGGAAGCCTCAGCCTCTAGGAAAGAAACCTGACATGTAGTAAGCTTTCCATAATGACAGCATGAAAAATCTGAACAACAAACTTTCTCCTCATGTTGCTAGGACAATATTTGTTAAAAGTGTTTTTCTGATCAAGCCTCTTGTCTGTCCAATAGCCTTTCATGACTTTTTTTCTGACTTTCTTTCTGCCATGAAGCTCTTAACAAGTATCAGGTAGTTTTACCATTTGCCAGCTGCTTGGGAGTCCGTGAGGAGCAAGGCCTTGCCCAGTCCTATCCTCCTTGCCATCTGCTTGGCACATGGTAAGCACGCAGGGTTTGTTGAATTTAACTGAATGGTTTCATTTGCTACGCTCTTTTCCAACTGTGATTTTTCCCTCACGTCTGTCCCCAACCGCTAGACTATGAACACCTTGCAAAAGACTTAATAACTTCTTTATCCCCAGTGCCAAGCACAGCCCTTGGCACATAATCAGCAGTCAATGACTATGTGTTAAATGTATTAAGGAACAATAGCCAGTGTACTGATGCCTAAGTTAATATATTAAAATTAATTTATGACTGTACTGCTCAGTTCCCACTCTTTTGGACAAGGCAAAGAGGAAAGAAGAGAAAAAGAAACAGATATATGAAACTCCCACCATTTATTAATGGGACAAATGTTGTTCTTATTCAAAGGTCTCTTTAGAACATCTTTCGAGACATGATTTGAAGGTAATTTCAGGAAACTCAGATAGGCAAGAAGGAATAAGAGGAGCTAACAAAAGATCCACAGAGAGAACTCACACAATGGAATGAAAAGAGAGGGATGTGGAATATCATAGAAACCAAAGGAAAGGAACCTCAAGAATACAATGAGTAAGTAGATAGATACAGCCAACATTTAGGAACATTGACACTGCTATTGGCATTGTCAAAGATTGGTTTACCTTTAGAAATAAATAAGACAATGGCCATATTTTTTCATATTTGTTTTCTATATGGAACAGTGTTACTACGTAGAAATGTTTGGGTTACAGTACATAAAACAGTTTCACTACGACATTTATATTAAAAGCCCTATTAGATACTATTTTTAAAAGATTGCAAGGGAATTCTGGGCTAAATAACAACACAGAATTTTATGAAATGGTAGAAAGTGTTTTACAATATTACATGTAATTACATATTATAAGCATAAATAGATAATATGTCAATTTTGATCTTCTGGCTGTATTCTATATTTATTTTTATATCCGTTTAGTTTATTGAAAGACCACGATTGCATATTTACTTGTCTTTAACAACAGTCCATAGTAGAAGGTACGCATACATCCCAGGTAGAGTGTTTATAAATATATTACACATTAGACAGATGAATTCAGGAGCTTGGGGTACTGGCTGTGAAACACTGTGGGGCAGGAGGCTTGTCCTCTTGTTAGCTGCAAGGCTTTGGTCAAGGGCCAACTCTCCAGCTTCCATTACCTCATGAAAAATGAAGATTATATATAAATGACATGGGGGAGGTGGCCTTTGTTTTATAAGATTGTCTTAAAAGATTAAATTTGGAAAAGAAATTGCATATATAGTACAATATTAACTATGCTTTTAAAAATGCATTGGAAAAGCCTAGAAGGAAATAAACTGTAATACAAACAGTTCCCTATCTCTGGGAACTGGAAACACTGCTGATATCAAAATATTCTACCTTCACTAATTTCGAATTTTCTACATTGTGTTGACTCCAAATAATAAATAAGTCACACACAAACAGGCATACCACATCTCCCTTCCCTCAAGTTATGTTATCTCGAGGATCATGAGTCTTATGGCTTCTCTTCAACTCTGAGATGTAAGGTTCTAAGGTTTGTTGTACCCCATTGCCGAGGGTCTTCAACCAAATCACATTCCGCTGCTGGGTCCCCAGCCATTTGCTGTCTGTTGCCTCCTAGACAGAGCCCACTTTTGGTTTGCTGTCATTCTCAGCAGTGGTGGACTTCATGCAGTCTCTTCTGAGATTAGACTATCAGCCTTTACACAGCAGTCAAGAGTTATCTAGTTATCTTTGTGAAAACAAAATTTAGATAATGTTCCATCACCCCACCCCACCCCTGCCTCTAACATAATCAAACACTTCAATGGTTCCCAGTGAGGAAAAGTATCATGGTTGTAGCTTTGCATTTTGAGTGTGATTAATTTGATGGAGATTCATTTTTTCCCTCTTCCTTGACTGTAAGCTCCTTGAGGTTAGGTAGTTTTTGTTCACCATTGGCTCTCTAGCCCTACCATGAACCCTGGCCTTAGGGCTCTTGCCATGCAGTCCCCACTGCTTTGAATGCTCTTTCCCCAGTTATTTCTCACTTCACCGAGAACCTTGCCTGCATATGACCAGCTCAGTCCTCCATCCTGTTTCACACAACCTTCTCTCCCAAATCCCCCCAACCTGCTTTATTTCATAGCGCTTATCTCCATCTGAAATTACCTCATATGTTTATCTTTTATTTTTTATTTTTGACTTATTTTTTGTTGCTTGTCTCCCCCTAGTAGAATGCAACCCCTTTGAGGGAAGTGATTTATCTGTGCTGTTCATTTCTGTAACCACAGTACCTAGAATAGGAGTTAGCCATGGCTGATGCTCAATAAATGTTTGTGAAATGAATAGAGTCATTGTGTGAAAAGTGTTTTCTGTATGGAAAGAAGAAAGAAAGGATGAAAAAATAGAAAGAATAAAAGAAGGAAAAAATGAAAGAAGGAAGAAACAGAGGAAGGAAGAACTATACTCTTGGAAATCTCATGTAGCACCTCCTTACATTAAACTGGGGAAACTGTTAGGCCTATTTTAGAGCTTCTTCTTGTCCTTATTGTCTTTAAGAAAAAAAAAAAGACAATGAAAATGAATGGCCTGAGAGAGTCAGAAGACACTGATGTCAGTTCTGCTCTGCCATGGTGCCAAGTTCCTTAAATAATGCACTCCTCTGGTTTAACAAGGGAACAAGGCCAGATGCTCTCTAACATTCCATTCAATGCTAAAATTCTATGATTTTGAACTTTTAATTTCAAAATGTATTTGCTTACTGTCTCTCTATTGCCAGATCCTAAAATAATGATATTGAAGATACAGATTCAACTTTTAGGTAAAATAACTTAATTGAGAAATGCATAATATTTAACTGCTTTAAATTTCATAAACATTTAGTAGCAAATATATTGATTTTATATATTTTCACATTCATGTGCAATATACGTGTTATACATACAATATATTGTATTATATATCAAATATATACATAGTATCTATTAGAATACATATTTTTATTTTTAAATAATGAGCACAAAGAAATTGTGTTGTGTATGAAATATATAAAGGTCCTTGAAGATAAACTAAATTCATGTAATTCTTTCTCTCAAGTATATGTATTCAAATATCTGAACAAGTTTGAATTCTACAAAAGAAGGTCTCACCTCTCTCCTCAACCCTGTTGTGAAGTTTAATGTGATAAATTTAATGCATCTACTTAAACTTGATTCTCCATACAAGAATGTTTGCAACTTTTGATTGCCTTTTAGAGTCATCTTCTCTTGACCATCTATATTTAAATATTGATTAGGAAGCACAGGACATGAGACTAGGTTCTGGTTTTGACACCATCTTTCAATCAATTATTTTTATCCTGGTATAATAAAAATAGCATTTTAAAAGAGTATACCTCCTTGAGATATTTTTATTTAGGTGATTTGTTTGTGTGAGAGTGTGTGTGTGTGTGTGTGTGTGTGTGTGTGTGTGTCAGGAAAGACAAGTTATATTGCAGAGGCAGTGAGAGCTTATTGAGCTATGAATGTGGTATGCAGAAGAAGTAAGTCACAATTCACACAGGCACTCACACACTTACATAGGTACCTTAAATATCCCCATTGGACTGAAAAAGATAAATGCTGCCATTATCTTTATCTTTATTATTGGTAAACAAGGAGCTGACATTATCTATAAAAACCATATTCCTTAACTGTATTTTTATTGAGATTCATTGGTATAATTAAAACTTGAATGGACTGAAATATTTCAGGAACCTGCAGTGAACACTCTTTCCTTTATCTGAAAATGTAGTTTATTTCATCTGAAATTGTTTTCTATAATTTCCCTCTCCACCCATAAATGACCTTCTTTTTATACTCATGGATATACTCACTTATGAACCTGTAGACTATACACTTCACAGAAATAGGAGAAACCATAATGTTCTCCTGGCACTGAGGGAATATCAATGGTATTCTAAATGAGGAACTATTAACTTTTTATTACAATAATGATTTTTTAGTAATTTCCATAGTTTGAAATGTGGTTAGGATGCTACTGGCAGTTGAAAGCTGACAACATGATTGAATAGTTTTAACATGATCTGGTGTTTGTTACAGTGCTTTAAAATTTTAAATATTATCATTCATGTTATAATGTTATCCAGTGATAGTCAATTAGGCCAAATCAGTGGTAATTTAGTGTTATATCACAATTTATTTGGACTCGAGTTATAGATTGACCATTGCTTTGTGAGTTTTCTTAGCCATTCTGTTTTTCTGTATCTAATGTAAAATAACATTTTTTCTCCTTTTTTATTTACCAGGATGGTTATTCTACTGTTTCTAACATTAAAGGATCATCCTTGTATTTCTTTGTATTCTGTCATGGAGTAAAAAACATGTCTCATCTCAGTTTCCATTTCTCTTTTGCTCCCAGAAGTCCCCCCTCCTCCAGTGTTGAAGTAGAAATATAATTTCCCCTTTTGCACCATAAGCAGGTTCAAAAGTCCTGTGTTTCACCATGTTGCTCCAAACAGCAAATTTTCTAACCCACATGAAAAAAGAACACTACAGTTCTAACTTGGAATTCTACAAGGGTTTGAGAACAATTGAAAATAAATTTCTACCACTAGGATTAGTCCTTAGTGGTTCGCAGGCATTCTAAGCAGAGGGGCATGGAAGCTAGCTAGGGCACCAACCTGCTAGCAGATGCAAAGTTTGCTCTACTAAGAAGTTAGGCCTTTAATATCACAGACAATGGGAGGCAAAATGAAGACATAAAAAGGCAAGTAGCAAGCAATTCAGTAGGCTAAGCCAGGGATTTGAGAGTCTCCCAAGGCTCCTCCCTTCCTCATTCCCTGCATGAGTCATTTTTCCAGTCTGTCCACACCCATTCACCCCTCCATCCCACACTCTCATTCACCCTCCAAGCTGCCGTCACAGGAACTTTCTGCAATACAAGTCCAGACTCCATCTCTGGCCCTTGCTGCCTAAACTTTCCTAGTTCATTAGTTTTGGCAGTAAAGTTGAGACTCGTTAGATCAACACAGACCTACTTTTAGTGTCATCTCCTGCCACTCTCCTGTACTACCCTACCCTCGCTTCTCACAGAAAGGCTGAGAAGGCTGGCAGACCCCTTGTATATACCCTGCTCCTTTCGTTTTCTTTGAGACAGGGTCTTTTAATGTCACCCAGGCTGGTCTCAAACTCCTGGCCTCAATCCTCCCTCCATGGCCTCCCAAAGTGCTGGGATTACAGGTGTGAGCCATGCCATCCAGCCTGCCCTGCTCTTTTCTCTTCTCCACCTGGACTCTACTCCCTTTTGATCTTGCCAACTTCTACACACCTTTCAAGGCACCAGTTAAATGTAAATCCTCCAGGAACCCTTCCTTTGCCATCCTCAGAGCCCTCATTGGATTGCTTCCCACATACAGCACTTATCCCTTATGCAGAATTAATCGGTTTGTCTCTCACCTACTAGAGGCGTTATCCTTGAGTGTAGGGACTGTCTTATCCATTCTTGCATCACTGGCATAGTAGGCACTAAATGTAGTTGCTGAATGCTTAATAAGAGGAATGGAAGTCTTCGTAGCTTGGGGTAGATACTAATGGGCAGATAGAAAGTTCCCATCCCTGTTCTCTGAGAAAGTGTCAGTGTTCTTTTAGTTTGCTTAAACTGTGTGGGTACTTGAGTCCTTTTAAACGATTAACGCTGGGAAGAGGCACCATTTAATTAATTAATTTGTTCTGGAAGGGATCAGTGTACAATTTTAACTCAGTGCTTTGTGGATCTAGCTAAAGGTCAAGAACTAAAGTCGGCTATTAGTGCCTCTGGAAGATATTTCTGCACTTTAGCACCTTTCTGATGTTTTTCCTTCACCTCGAGCTGGCCTCACTCTCTTCAACAAAACCGAACCTGCAGGAAGAATGTTGTACCATATCCAGCATTTTTGTCCCAACAAACATGGGACAAACGTTTTTCACTAGAATCATCCTTGAACAAGTTATCCGAATTCCTTACATTCAAAGGAAATCCTGCCCCCAGTCTCCAAAACTTCATCACATCACAGACGTTCAGGATTCTTTCCATTCAAAGCAAAGCCAAGTTACATCTTATAGCACCCAGTGAATTATGATATGGGGCTGCGGTTTATTTGCTCTGGCGACAATATGGCTTACTTGCCGTGGAATATCCCGGTATTTCAGAAGTAACATATTATTTTTAAAGAGGGAGCTTTGCTTTCTCTAAATCACATGGTGCAAAGTTGGGAATACAGTGGCCTGTAAATTACAAATATTATTTACAAACTAGAAGGAAAGCTGACATGTGTTTGTGCCTGTGTGACAGTTTCACTAAGGAATTCCAAAACTGTGGATAGCCTGTTACTTGAGAAAAATACACGGTGGCAGTCTTGCAGATGTTTTTCCCGCCTGTTAGCCCTCCAGGTTCAAAAACTGTTTGGTGCATTTTAAGGCGGCAGTCTCACCAGATCGCAGGATTCTAGTCTAATTGGCTTCTAACCTTCAATCTAACCTTGCCGGCTTCCTTGCAAAGCCCGGTGCAAGGGCCTCTTTCAAAATGAACCCACTGGTGTGCCTAGCAGTCGGTAGAAGAAGCGGGAGGGCGTCCGGTCTGCACGCCCGCCGCGAGGTTACAATGCTGAACGCATGAGATGGAAGATACCAACGGGAGGCCGAGGGGATCCACGGCGCCCGCGCGGGCTCCGGCTTCCTCCTGCTCTCGGCGCCGCTGGGCGACCGCCCATGACCCGCTCTTGCGGGCTCTGTCCGGTTGACAGGCGACCCTGTGGCCCGGGGAAGCGCGGGAGGGCGCCGGCGGAAAGTTGAAGAGCGTTTTTCTCGCCGCCGCGTGCATTAGGAGCTCGACGAGTCCGCCCTGGGCTTCCTGGTGGGGCTGGGCGGGCGGGGGAGGGGCCGCGCAGCAGCAGCGGAAGCCAGACCTCGGCGATAAGAGGCTGCACAGCGACATGCAACAGTCTTTTCACTGCAGCTGAATGAGTTGTGGCGCCCACAATGCTCCCATGACAAGGAGCTGACAAGTTCCATTTTCCGTCGCGGGCATCTTGGAATCATGACTCCCACAATGCCTTGGGCACTTGGTCGACAGTGGGGCCGCCTCTGAAAAAAAAATGTGAGAGGTAAGTTTCCATTTTCACAGTTTCCCCGCGCCGCTTCATTGTTCGGACTCCGGCGGGTCTGCCCGTGGCTGAAGGAGGAAGTGCGAGGAGGTGCTCGCCGGCCGCGGTTCTCCCGGGCAGGGGCGGGCCGCTCGCGGTAGTTGGTTTCGCGTCCCTCAGCACCTCCTGCCCGGGGGAAGGCGGGAGGGTGAGCCGCAGCCGCTCCTGCGCCCTTCCCTGCCGCGGGCTCTGCGGACGCTGTCACGGCACAGCCCGCGCACGGCTTGGCAGCCCAGCGGGACCCAGGGAGAAACAGGGGGGCGAGAAGAGAAACAGGTGCGTGCAAGTGTACTCACAACTTAATGACCTTTGTCGGGGGAAGGTGTGAGTCCCTCTGAGTCGAGCGGCGCGCGGGTCTTCCCGGCGGCTCCCGCATCCCTGGCCCCGGGGCTGCCATCCCGCCCGGTTTTCATCTGGGCCAAATATGTGCACGCAAAGGTTAATTCTCTGCTTGCTACCCATAAATTACGCATGACATGTTTAGCTGGGCTGCCTTATATGGAGAGTGCTGTATTTCAGGCCAGTTTGCCTTTTGCCAAGTTTACAGGGCGGAAGACGCCCTGTAGGAGAGGGCTGCCTCCTCCTTTTCTTCTTCTTCTTTTTTTTTTCATCGTTTTGTAGTGCGTCACTCAAAAACTGTAAGAAAAGTAAGTATAGAAGCTCTTTGGGTGGAGCCGCAGTTGGTTGAATTGCTTTCATGAAAGGTTGAAAAGAATGAAAAGTAGTTAGTACTTGGGTTCTGGTTTTTAGACAAAAGCAGGACAAATATGTAGCCACCCCCCAACTTTTTTTTTTTTTTTTAAACGGAGCCGGAATCTGTTATTGGTAGTAATGTGTCATGTGAGAATACTTTGATTCCAGAGCCTGTAACACGAGCAGGTATATGGTGGCGCTTATGCCTTCCCCTCGCACAGCACTTTACAACTACAGGGGTGTTGCTGCCAGAGTAATATTGTATTCTTAAGGCTCTCTGGGGCCGGGAGAGTATGCGGCTGTTGGGATTCTGGGGTGTATTTCCGTGGAGTATGTCTCCCCAGGATTAAAGTTAAGAAGCTGCCGGAAAGGTTGTTGCCGCTGACTTCACTTTGTGTGCCCACCAGCACAGGCACAAGTCATAGCAGATGGATGGCAAACTCTGCCATATACTCTGAGGAGTTTCTTAAATTAATACGCTAGGAGAGAAGTCATAATTAATGCTTTTAGACTTTCGAGCCCTCTGCAGCGTGCTTTGAAATACTACACCGGTGGACACTATGTCCCTTCCTCCTGGGTTTGAACACAGTGTCTGTTTATACACAGAGGGTGTTTAGTACCTAAGTATTCTATACCAGCACAAGAGAGCCACTCCACAGTTATCTCTCTGTGTGGATTCCTAAGTGTGTTGGTGTTTCTCCTTGCTGTTGAGATAAAATATTATCACCCAGAGAGAAAATGAAAGTTCAACGACTGTAAAATTTATCCCAGGAATGTGCAGTTCAATACTTAGAATGTCTTAGATGTAGTTATAGATAGAGGCACTGAATAAGTTATTTTGTAGCCTGAGAATGCACATCGCTGTCACTTGTATCTTGCTTTCTTAAAGTTGGTGACAACTAAGGCTAAACTTCTTTAGAAAACCTAATGTTCTAGTTTTTATCTGTTTTGTGTATTTGCATGGGAGTTACTTTATTATTATTATTATATTGTTAGGTCTTCTTTGAAAATGTAGGCATAGCTTTTTTAGTCTTATTTGTTTAATGGGGGGTTTCCTTGCTGAAGACTACAAAAGTTGCCTTTTGTGTTTTAAGGAACAGGTTGGGTCAGCAACAGAAAACCTGTTCATCTATAATTATAGTGTCACTTAAGACATAATAATCAGATTTCATTATTACTAAGAGACTCAGAAAAACCTCACATATGCCTAGTTTAATTTTTTTCCTTATGTAACTGTGAACAAATTTGTGTGTAGATACACATCAAGTGTGGTACTCTGCGCAGTCATGCCAAAGAGAAACTGAAGTGTTATATGGTTTGAGATATTATTGCTTGTGTTTACATTTCCACATTTGAGGCAAAGTTAGACTCCAAGTTGAATTCATTAAATTTTGATTCCAACATTCTGTTCTTCCTTTGGGCACAGAATTCCTATGAAATGAAACACTGGGTTTTGTTCCAGAACAAGAACAGACTAACCCAAAATTTCTCCTGGGGGAAAAAAAAAGAGTAAAATTATATTTCTCATTGAAAATTGTATTTCTCATTGAGGAAGGGTGTGTTACTTTATTATATAAAATGCCTTATCTTCATTATAAGAAAAAAATGCCCTTGCATTTGTCACTGTTGCCATACATTAGGCCTGTATTTGATAGATCTATATGGAAACAGAGAATAAATAATCTTGCTGCACCTTCTGGCTTTCTGCTTGGTGATAGATGTGCGGATTAGAGAACATCTCAGGTCTTGGTTAGGAGAAGCTGAAAAGAATAGGTGATTGGGTTTTTAAAATTCTGTATGCAAAGGCATTAGGGTGGGTAGTAGATATGAGAGTCAAAAGAGTGGAGGAAAGAAGTGAAATAGGTTCACGAAGTGATTGGCCCAAAATAAAATCCCATCAACCATATGGATCATAGAGAATGTGACATAGAAAGATTTTAAAGTGTATGGTTTTTTTAGGCCAAAAAGCTTCATATGTTTGGAAATCTAGAATGTGCTGTCCAGTACAGTAGCCACATGTGGCTGTTGAGCACTTGAAATGTGTCTTGTCCAGATTGAGAAGTGTAAAATACTACCGGTTTTGAAAACTTTATATGAGGGGAAGAAAGTAAAACATCTGATTAATATTTTTATATTTATGATATGTTTTAATGATAATTTTTGATATATTGGTTCTAATAGAAGATCTTACTAGATTAACTTCACCTGTTTCTTTTCTCTCTCTCTCTCTCTCTCTCTCTCTCTCTTTCATGGTGTCTAGAAAATATAACAAATGTGGCTAACATCGTATTTATTTTGGACAGTGTTGTTCTAGGATAAAGCAGGAAAACAATATTCTGGGAGAAAGCTTAAAGATTTTGCTGGTCAAAACAATAAAATTGGCTTATTTTATTATACATAGAAATACCTCGTCTTTCTTATCCATTGTAACCAAAATTTGAGAAAACACACCACCTAACATCTATTTTTATTTCCTCAAAGCTGCTATTTAGTTTAGAGATTTGATGGTGAGGTAGTAATAATAGAGAAAAACTTATAATTAGAGAATGAGTCTTAACACCTCTCAAAGGCCAAAATAGAGTATGATTGTTACTTAGGAACATTTTAGAGACACTGTAGTTATCATTGTCCTGAAGTTACCAAACATAAACGAGTCACTAAAATTATTTTAAAATAGAGATTTTAGTAAATAGCAATTATCTTCAAATACTTAATATGTGTTTTCTTTTGCTAGAACTTTCTTTAGAAAGTTAAAAAAAAAAACCCATATCCAAAGTCCTGAGCAAATGTTAATAAAAGATTGCTGCATTCATAAGAATGAAAGATTTTTACCTGCAGATAGGAGGGTATTGTTTTGAATATTAGCAAAGGTGAAAATGTGTTTCTAACGTAACATTATGGGCTCTGAAGAATTTCTATACATGGAGACACTGTCTTTATAATTTGAACACATTCTTGAGAAGGCATCTGACTGGTAAACAAAGCACAATGGCATAGGTCCTGGAAACATTCCTTTCAGATATTTTCATAACTGAAGTACATTTTGCCATTCACAGTGAGTGTTAAGCTGAAAAAAATGTGGTTCTTTTCTAGCCATATAAAGTATGCTTACTATTATTTTCTCGAAGGATGCCAAAAAATGTAAAATGGATGTTGTGGATTCTTCGTGGGGAGGTTAGCTAGTTTGTATATAGAGCCTCAAGAAGAGTTGCCTCAGCTTGGTGCCATCTTGAGTCTGTCTTCCACTAGATGAGGCATAGCTTCCATTAGTGTCAGTGCGTGTGTGGAGGGTGAGGGGAAGAATGATCCCCATTAACTTTGTATATTGTTTCTGATGAGTCATGGAGCATATTCACTAATGGTTGGAGAATTATTGATTGCAAGGCAGAGGATTCAAGAAGAGCTATTGGCATATGGCATTAACTGTCTCTAGACATATTTTTTATTTTTAAATTTGAGGTAGAGAAATCGGTTTTTACGTAGTGTTTTTCATATTATAAAAAATAAACGTTTATATAAGCATTACAGATACATCCTTGAGGAAAAAAATAGTAAATACATGGTTATAGTTTTCTACATATTACCAGTTTTTTTCATAACAGATCCAGAACATCTCTTTCAGATAATCGTTCATGTTTTTAGAGAGGCATCTCATCATATGTGCCTGTGAAATCTGTAAAAATATGTGTAACACACATCTTGAAATATTTGTGTTAGGAGAATTAAGTCTTACACATTTGGTTCTTTTTCTACTGTTTTTGATTATGTTCTCTAGGTTACTATGATTATCTTTTGTTAAAACAGTTCAGGAAATATTAATCTCAAAACGAAATGTAGCCATATTGGACAGAGTAGAGAATTGCTTTTCCACAGAGACCAGTTATTCCAAAAAGGTGAAGATGTTTCTGAAATAATATCATGCTCATATGCTCCAAAAGAAAAACCATCATCTCTTTTGACATTCTTTTAGGAAACTGAGAGATGTATGTTTTATATACCAAAAGAGGTGAATAATAGTTGATAAAGGTATGCAAAATACATACTCCTGTGAAGTGTGAACATACAATTTGTATGTAACGCATGCATGAGCATATAACTTTCCCCAAGACAATGCCAATTTATTCAAATCACCTGAATGTTAAATAATATCATACTATTAAGAAGAATTGTGGTAAATATGAAATCTAAATACCAGTGATGATGTCCATGCTGATGTCAACTCCATTCCAGTCCTGCTTTAGCTAAATTCACAAAATGAAGAGATGTCTTTCTCCAAAGTAGTTTTCCAAAAATTTGTATTTGACACTGGATTTTTTCCTACGTTTTCACTTTTAAAAGTTTAGAAGCTATTAACTAAAAATGAACTTGTTTTAGAGAGCTAAGAAGATTCTAGATTTATGGGGACATTTAGTTCTATGAAATAAGCATTACGTTGCTGACTTGAAATATTATTCTATCATATAAAGTTGATTTATAAGTGAATACATATTGTGAAAAAATACCACAGTAGACTTAGTGAAATCTACCAAACTTAATCAAGATAGATATACGTTGTCCTCAAAAAAATAAGAATCTGGTAGGGAAAATAAGAGCTTCGAAAATAACTATAAAGTAGAAAGTGATATTTAATAAACAATGGCTGGGTAACATGGTATGAAAGTTCAGATAAGGGAAAGTCTTAAGATAACTCTGACTTGACCCACATACATGTAATAAAGGGAACAGTCCTTAAATGCATAAATAATGGGAACAAAAGGTATTCAGTATTTTTCAGCCTTAGCAAAATATTATTCTGTTAACGCAGTATTCTATTCAGCAATGGTTCCATATTTTCCATATGTTTATAGATAACATTCAGATATCGAATTTTCATATATGTTTTAATTCATTTATTTATTTCTTTTATCTAGGAGAAATATAATGGTTTCCAAATGTCCTATACTAGATTATTGATAGATTTTGTCATTAGTTTTACTATTGAATACCATGAAATATCAGCTGTTGCAGCCACTAAATAGTTACAAACTGTTGGTACTACAGTTTACTAGTCAATCCATGGTTATATGCTTGTGCTATGCTAAATATAAAGGATTCAAGATGAGGACTTAAGCAGTTCATATTTGTATTTAGAATATTATCAAAGATATTTTCTTAACTTGTCTCAGTATTAGAATTTACAGCCCATTTTCAGCTTATTGTATCCAGAAATTTCAATCATATCCAATAATTTATCAGCATTTGTTGATGACAGTAAAAGTGACACATTAGCATTTTATTTGTTTCTGTGTTGTTTGATTACAACAGTGACATTTTAGCACTCTTTGTGGACGGATAACTCTTCTAGTAGAAAGAAAGCAGGAGGGTGGTCAAGCTAAGTGACAGATACAAAGAGTTGGAGGACATAGGGCTTTCTGTGGGTAAGAAATGGATGAGAAAAGCTTTATGTCACTGACTAGGCTTGCAATTCAGTATTCCCCTATCAAAGGCCCCCTTACTGATGTTTCTGTTTACCAGATCTTGGTTTCAAGATGCCAGGTTCTGAAGAGATACACCACGAGTTCTTATAAACACTATATCTAAATTTGGTTTGAAAGTCTAATGTTTGGCTGTGTGCAGTGGCTCACACCTGTAATCCCAGCACTTTGGGAGGCCGAGGCAGGCAGATCACGAGGTCAGGAGATTGAGGCCGTCTTGGCCAACATGGTGAAACCCCGTCTCTACTAAAATACAAAAAATTAGCTGGGCATGGTGGCGCATGCCTGTAATCCCAGTTACTTGGGAGCTGAGGCAGGGGGATTGCTTGAACTCGGGAGGCGGAGGTTGCAGTGAGCTGAGATCATGCCACTGCACTCCAGTCTGGCAACAGAGCAAGACTCTTGTCTCAAAAAAAAAAAAAAAAAAAAAAAAAAGGCTAATGTTTATACCAGGCAGGTAGAAAAACAAAAACGGACCTCATTAGAGGATACATGAGGTTTCTAAAAGTGGAACTCCTTTGTAAATGTAAGAAGTGATATCAATATTATTATTATTTTAATATACTTATTTTGAAGTAACTAAGTTTTTTTGTTTATTTCTTGAAAGAAACAATAGATTGGGGAAAAACCATTTACTCTTTTCATGCCCTAGTTTCTAAATCTGTGACATTATAAAGGTGTAAATATTTATGAAAATAGTAGAAGTTGCCACTGGCTGTATTCTTTTAAGTAAGGTATCTCATTTAATCTTTTCTACTGTAAAGTAGCCGTAAAGTAATAAGACTTTTACCTTAAAGATCATGACTAGAACAATTTTTTCATTTGCGGAGATATGAGGCTTGTCATTTTTATTATTCCAATGTTCATGTTTTTAACCAATTTTTCTTGTCTTGCCTCCACTGATTATATATAAAGAATAGCGATGAGAATATAGCTGTAATTATGATTACTAACATCTTTGAATACTTTCTGTGTGCTAAGCTAAGGTTTATAATTAATTCATTTATTCCTCAGAACAACCCTATGGTATAGGTACTGTTAATATTCTGATTTTACAGATAGGGGAACTGAAGCACAGACAAGTCCAATTAATTGTGCAAAGGTACTTAATTAATAAGTAGCACAATAAGGAGTTGAACCAAGGTAGCCCAGCTTTAGAATCCATGCTCCTGTGTAAAAGAATAAAAACAGATTTTAAAAATACTTATTTTGGATGCTGATAGGAGCTTGAGAACATAAACGTTTGGAATACTTTAAAAGACTTGTACTTTCTACATCATTTGAAGAGATTCCAGAAGAATGGGCAGAAAGTAAGAGGATAGAGAGAAAAGGCCTGGGGTGAGGGGTGGGAAGCATTAATAGGATAGGAAGAAATGAGGAATCAGGTGTTCAAGGGAGATTGGTGCTACACTTTTGAGGTCATTGATGACCAGCTAGTAAGTTTAATAATACGTAGTGTGGAACATAAACAGACACTTGGTGTTTAGGGTAGTAACCTTACAGGAGTTGTGTTTTGGTGACATTTTATAGGGGTAGGACACATATAGAATGAAGTAGAGATTGTGGTTATACAGAACAGAGATGAGGGACTAGATGAGGGGAGTGGCCCTAGAATGAAAAGGAGGACATGTATGCTGAGAGAAATGTGATAAGGTTAGGCTGCATAGGATGTACCAGCTGACTGGATGTGGATATTAAAGGCAATGGGGGTATTAACAATTATTTTTAAAATACAGCAAGAATTTAAAAAACTTTTAATCAATCAAAAATTCCTTATTTAAGAATTATATAAAATATCAGTAAGTGAAAAACATTTAAAATTGTATTTTATCAGGGATTATAACTTAAGTAGAAGATACATGTTAATTTCTTAAAACATTTCATTTCTGTGCTAAGCTCTTTCAAAGCACTGGATGGTGATCTAAAGGTCACCAAATTCTTTGTCCCAAATTGGTAATTTTAAAGTAAACATAATTTCAACGTTAGGCCTATTTTGTTATTTGCTGAGAAATGTCTCAATGTCAACCAGGCAGTTCTCCTCTCTTATTAAAGTCCATGCTCAGAATGCCTGTGTAACCTATCCTTAGTGATAAACAAGGTGGCAGATAGATACATGATAAAACAAGTTTGCCATGTGCTCAATGTGGCTGACATTTATACTTCTCAGACCTTGCTATTTTAGGGAAGGTATCAGTATAACCAGGGCATTCTTTTTCCTGGAACTAAAAATCCTTAATAATCAGTCACTATTATAAACAGAATGATTTACATACAGGAATCAATAAACAGTTGCTTTTGGTTAATGGTTATCTGGAGTAGGAGGATAGTTATATTTCAAATAGAATAGAAAGCTTTATTGGAATACTTACATGTCTTTTTAGTTTGAGGACCTTACAAGCTTTTTACAAATAAATGGTTTAAAATAGTTTAAACAGAAAATGTCAGAACATTGATAGATTATGTTTTATTTAATATACAGAGAAAAATTCCCATGAAATAAAGACAGTTTTCAAGAAAAATATTCTATTTATAAATATTTACAACTTATTAGTTATTTAGATTGCCCGTGTCCATAAAAATAATACAGAAATTACACTATTTATGTCTTTAAATATAGCATGTTTCTATAAACTAGAGAATAATGTTGACAGTATTTTATTTTGCCTTTGTTAGTATTATGTGAAAGTCACACTTATTACATGCCTTTTTCTATTATTAGACTTTTTTTCCTATCTAGTTTTTGCCTTGTGCTATACAGTATGGTGAAAATCTATTTAGCTATGTCATTAAGATAATGCTTAGAAAATGCTAATTTTTAAGTAACTAAGATTAAGTAGTATTGGATATTCTTTGCCTTCTTTATTATTCTGTCATTGGGCTAATTTTAACTAGACAAATTTATTCCAAAGTATTTTGAGCCATTATTTGAACTTCATTGCTGTAACATTCAGGAAAAACTGCATTGTCTACCTAGTGGCATTCAGATAAGGCATTTGGTCTTAGGTACCTCTTCCAAAAGACTTTTAAGAGGTTTGATAAGCATAGCAAAAGTGAACGACGGAGGATACAAGAAAATCTTTGATCCAGGAGTAGTCTCTCTGAAGCATTGCATGACCTTTCCAAAAAATAATTTGAGAAGTGCCTA
Source organism: Homo sapiens (assembly GCF_000001405.40). Taxonomy (NCBI): domain Eukaryota; kingdom Metazoa; phylum Chordata; class Mammalia; order Primates; family Hominidae; genus Homo; species Homo sapiens. The sequence goes on from NC_000003.12 coordinate 152,278,444, forward strand.
ACAATAGAAAAATATATATTTTTTCCTTCAATAGGAAAGACTTTAGAAAAAATATACTCAAGTAGAATTCTGCATAATGCTTTCTGGGGGACCACATTTGCTGAAAATTGCCTACGGGAAATGACTTTCTCAGAGTGATATAGTTTTGAGGACTGAGATTTTAAAAGTAAATATTTTATTGGGAGCAATTAATTTAGGAAGAATAGTATTATGCCTATTCCTCTGTAGTTGATTAAAGTTTACTAAGTGCTGAGGTCTTTTCCCTTAAAACATTACTTTGCCATGTTAACAATCAGGTCATAGAGGAATGAATTCATCTTTTGTGTTTTGCTAAATAATCAGTTAACAAACATATTCTGAGCACGTTTAAAGTCAAAGGATTGTAGTAGGTCACAAGAGGGAGATCGAAAGTATAATTACATAGTGTCTTTCCTTCTTTGACATACAATTGGGTTGAGGAGAAAGACTTGAAAACTTAATGCAAGGCACTATACAAGTTAGTACCAAAGGAGGAAACTGAAAGAGGGAAGGAAATTCAAAGAAGGAAGTTTTTGTGGAACTGAATGGCAAGGGAATGCTGTGGGGAAGAGGGGGCATCTGTCATAGGCCCAAAGATTAAGCACTCTTTTCGGAATATGGAGTGACATAGTAAGAATAAGGTGGAAGTAGTGATGAAAGCTACCATATTTGAGCAGCGTCTTTTCTATGTGAGGCCTTGCTAGCTTATGTTGTTTTTGGAAAAAAACAGATAGACAACCTGGTAGTGATAGTAGACAATGAATGAATTGGGCCGGTGAGTCAGGAATCATCATCCTCTTAGAGGACACAGACTTAGAGAAATTATCTTATTTGCCTAAATCCACATAGCTGGTGATCAGCCGAACTGAACAGAAGCCAGGTCTTTTCATACTTCAAAACCAGCATTCCCCAACCCCATCCCTCCCCATCCCATGATTCTGTTGGGAATGAGTGTGGCATGTTTATGACATAGTAATTTTAAAACTTCACCCATACAACAACTGACATAAGTCAAGAAGATAGAAATTTTATTTAAAAGGCTGTCAAATGTATTTTCATCTTTTTTGCTTTGATGATGGGTTACAAATAGCGTATCGTTTGACAAATGCTTATACTCTGTTTCTTGGATTTGTAAAAAAAATAAAACAAACTAGGCCTCCCATCTTCAGTAGATATGGTATGGAGTTGCAGTATCATGATGTTGTAACAGTGCATTTCGCAGTAGGTAGACCCATTTGGGATTCCCTCAGAGGAAGCTTGTGAAGTTTGAAGATAATGTACTTTCTCACCAATAGTATGAGGCTATAAAATTTTCACCAAGAAATGATAGGGGCAAAAGTTTATAGATCATGGTTGTTTGATTATTTTATGCTTTTATGTTACATCATCTAATTTATACATCAGTCTCTGCTCTCTGTAACTTTACATGTGATGTAGCCTGTGACTTTAAAAGATAAGCTGTTAATTGTAGAGTTGTGCTGTTGGAGACCTGTCACTTTGCTAACAAATTCCTCTCTTCATAGAGCTATTTAGAACATATGGCAAATAAAATTATGTGATTATGTGTTTTTAGAGAAAAATTTATTTATATAAAATGAAAGTCTTTGCTTTTGGCTGCAAAAGAAAGCATCCTTAATAGCAAATATTGATTGCAGTGCCAGTGTGCCATGTATCATGCTATACCCTTTGGAGGAAAAAGAGGTAAGATGTGCCTGTTCTCAAAGTAATTTCCAGTATAGTGATAGAAATATTCACAAATAATGGACGGGCAAAACAAAGTGGGCACAAAGAAGCCAAGAATAAGCTGTTTGTGGGCAGAGTGTGGAATTTGCCTAAAACCATTCGGTAGACAGGTTAACTCTTTAGATACTTTGTATATATTGGAGAAGAGACAAAATCAACTCATAATTTATTAAAATGATGTGATTTGATATGTACACCATTTAGTTTTTCTGTTCAAGTATTTGGTAAATAAGTGTGATGCCAGCATAGTATCATCCTGGACTAGACAGAAGAAATTAATTTATTTCTGATGCTGGCAGTTTTGGAGAAAGGTGGGCACATACGGTTCATCTGAATCTTCCTCATGCTAAATTCTTGATTGGAAGCAGGTTAAAACACTCAGGTTAACGTTTATGTTAACAGAAAAGAAAAATCAGTCAGAGAGAGGTGCGTTGTATTTAACATTAATGACAGAGAATTTTAAATATGCACATGATTCTCTTTTTCCTCCAGCTTTTCTTTCTGCACAGGAAATAAAGCTGTATTTTGTAGGCCAGCTTCCAGACTTTGAAATGGTGAAAGTGCAACTGTGCATATTCTTCTATAAGACCCCATTCAGCTGTGACGTGTTGTTGTTTCCAAGATTTAATCTGCATTCTAGTTTAGAAAATTCAGGATTTTATTGCTTATTATTATTCATTTTTATTCATAAATATTTGTTTAAAGCCCATTACATATAAAGTTTTACTATAAGATTTTAATTGAAATTTTTAAGACAAATTAAGAATATGGTTTCTGATTTTCTGAAGTTTATGGCCTATAGAAAAAGGTCCATTCATAAGTGAAATAATAAAAGCAAAACAACAAAAGACTCGAGCTTTAGCCATTCTAGTAATTATTAAAATAGCTACTTTCTTCGTAGGAACTTATTATTTTACATGTGTGATCCCATAGCTCTTACACAATTCTGTGTGATTTAGGCATTGCTATCTTTCTGGCTCCCAAGTGAGAAGATTGAGGCTTGGAAAGATTAAGGTTAGGGGATTTGCTCAAGGGTCATATGATAAGGTACTACTGTGAGAGCTGAGATCTCAACCCAGGAGTTTTGCTGTTTTTCTGCTTGTTTATTTCCATCAGTATGGTATGAATTAGGCACACAAATACTCATTGCATGTAGATTTGGGACCTACTCCAAGTTAATTCTGGAAAGACTCAGTGAAGAAGATAAGATGTGGAAGAGGTTTTTTTTAAGCATTATGGTCATGAAAGAGCAGACTATGGAATGGACTTTGAAGTTTCACTAGCTTTGAAAGGAGGGGTATATCAAATGGCCTAATCTGCCTGTGTGGTTTGCTCAGTATTAGTTCTACTCATACCTAATACCCTCTGCCCCAGCACTCGCCAAGATCAGCAAAATCTACTTTTAGACTCAAAATCATTACCACCTGTGAAGTTTCTGATGTCGCTTCTGAGTGACATAGCACTCTGTCAATTGCTCTGTTGGATGGCTTTGCTGAATGGCACCTTTTAAGAAGTGCCTTGAGCCCCAAAAGAGTTTCAAATGCTCTTGTAATCTATTCAGCTGCATTATTGAAGATATTAGGGTAATTCAATTCATTTTTTCATCACTAAAACATAGAAATCTGTTGCCAACATTAAAATAGACAAACATATCATTGAAAATTTAATAGCTCTACATTCACTTGGAGATTTCCGATAAACTTTTCTCACTTTCCCCCAAATCCTTAATAATTAGAGCATGTCCATGTGTGTATGTGTGCATGTTTTTGTGTCATATCCCTATGTGTCTATATATATATTCCATAAATGATTGTGAAGTGGTACACAAGTTGTAGCTAAAAATGAAATAGAATAAATGTATGAAGCTAAGGGATCCATTCTCCAACTAATGCGTTAGTTGACAAATTTGCTCTGAAATATTGATACCATTTTGTGATTCCCTGTATTGAATACAAGTATGGGCTTGTGAAAATATAGTATCCACAGACCCTAATTAGAAACAAAATAAAGGTATTCTAATATACCTATGCAAATTTAAAGTTTTAACTTATTCATATAACAGTTTTCAGCTTGTCAGTGACCTGATATCAATGGATTTGAAAATGATTTTACCTTTAAGTACCAAGAATTCTTAGGGACATGTGTGTGTGTGTGTATTCAGATTAAAGATTCCATGCTAATATACTAATTTTTTGGCAAGAAAATTAAGCACCTGTATTTCAGTTTAATAGTACTGTGGTAAATGAAATATATTAAACATGCAGATTCTGTTACATTCACCTAATATTAATTTGAATTTTTAATATTCTAGGCACTGTGCTAGATATTGAATACATAATGGTAAACATAAACAGATAGTAAACAGTTATAAAATTTAGACATCTCTCAATTTTCAAATTGGCCATTGCAGAAATAGTGACATTTTATTAGGTTTTGTTGCCACAAGATTTTCAATAATTAAAAAAAAATTATTTATAGATGCCAGTAAATATTTATTTTACAGCATCTAGATGCCAGTAAATATTTATTTTACAGCATCTACCAATGTTAGATTTACTATGCACGAAGGAAGGATTTTATTTTCATGTAAAGAAAAATGCCATTTTATGCTTAGAATCAATGCTTTACAATTAAACAAGAGAAATAGCATCACAAAATAATACGGGAAGAGAAAACTCATTTTGAGTAGCAGCAAAATATTGTGAGTTTAAAAGGTCAGGCCAGTACAGGAGGCTCCAGTTTTGCCACTCACTATGCAGAATGCTGTGACAGCCAGGGCTGATACAGCTGAAAATATCTGCAGCTTTGGAAGCCTTGTAAGTTTCAGAAGGTCATTTTGGCATCATGATAGGAGCACAGATTCACATGGAAGGTCAAACTGGACAGCCAGGCAGGAAGATAGGTTGCTGAACCCAGTGCTTGTAGATTTTAGAGCAATCACCAACTGCAGTAACTGAGTTTTTTAATTCAATGCAGCCATCTTTCATTGTAATGTTTATTGGGGAATGAGCTTTACTTGGTGGGGAAATTATAAATTACCTTCTCTCTTCTGAAACCTAAGTGTTGCATCTACAACTTTCCCTGGTATCAAGACAAATGTTACTTTAATTTTATTTACGTGTGATATATACCCCATCAAGCTTACAAAAGTAAAGTGCACATCAGATAGGACTGTTGTTGTTGTTGGTGGTGGTGTTTTTAATCAATTAGAAGGCAAAGAAATGAAACAAGTACTTATGATGAAATTGAGCACTAAATTTATCTCTCAGCTTCCTGGCAACTGAAGCAGAAGCTTTAGGAAGTGAAAAAGTCCTGAGTTTATTTAATAAGATTTCTTCAGATCCCATACACTGTCTTATTCTTAGCCCTTTGGGTGTTTAGTTAAATATACTGACTCTGCCCTTGGGTGAAGTCTTGAATGGGTGAATTCCAATTACTAAAAAAGTGAAGGCTGAATTCTTTAGCCTGCCTTTAAGGCCCTTACTGATTTGGCTTCAGCCCAAAGTTCCAGGGTCATCTTCTGCCAGCCCCATTACATACAGGTGTTCCATACAGACCAGTTCTTCCAGTGTTGATATGCAGTGCTTTCCCACATCCCTGCCATTACTGTCTGGATTTCTACAGTTTGGATTTCTACTCCTTTTTGTCTCTAACCAAATGAAACTTGTCCTTCCAGACCAACCTTCCATTTCTTATCCCTTTTGAAACTAACCTTGACCTCTCTCTTTAACTTACCAAGCTTTCTTGTTACCTCTACTGTGTACTTCTCGCTTCCTTTTTTATATATAGTTATTTGTGTGTTAGTTTTATACCTTTAATTAAACATCAAATTCTTAAAGGCTGGATCCAAGTATTCTCGCTATATCTAGGCTACATATAAAAGGTGGTCAATACACAGTTAATATAATCAATACACATATTTTATGTGTATTATATATTGTTAATGAATATATTCATTTAATAAAGTTACTGTTGAATGTATTTGAATTTCTTGAAGGAAAACATTTCTTTTCCTAGGATAGTAGGGAACAAAGAAAGAAAACCTAAAAAAAGAAGCACAATTAGAGAAACACACTCCTGTAATTTTTCTCAAAGGAAATATTTTGAGACAGCAGAACCAAGATTATAATTTTTTTTAATTGTTTTGACTTTGGGTTTTCTTTTTATAAGTCAGCTTAATATTTGTGATTTCTCTGTGCCAAAAAGTAACCAATATTAATAGAGAACAGCTTTAGTACATGTAAAAGAAAAAAATCCTTTATGTCATTTCAAACCCTCAGTGCTTTCTTTCTGACAGATTTTTAATGGTTTTATCAGCTGTTAATTAGGTTGGTGCAAAAGTAATTGCAGTTTTAAAAAAAGATCGCAAAAACTGAAATTACTTTTGCACCACCCTGATAAAAAATTGGCCTGACTATATTGCTTTGAAATGTTTCAGACAGTATTCTGTCTCCTTCATTGCTCTTCAGATACTGTTTTAGCAGTTTATCTAGATCAGTCTTACTGTGTGCATAGTCAGCATACATCAGTTTTATACTTTTAAAGCGGCATTGCATTTTACCTACGTGGAAGTTTTCTGCAGACATATTTTAAGCTTCTCTAAGAAAAGCTCTGAAGAAAATGTAGGCTCCTGTTGCTCGGAGGGCTGATGAATAAATTTAAAAAAATCATGCTCAAAGACCACTTCCTTGACAATTAATCTTTCAAAATCAGCTACGGAGTATCTAGAACTTCATAATCTATTCAAAATTGATTAACAATCTTAATTGAGAAGACATTTGTATCTGAAGTGTAGAATTTTCTTGTCTCCAGGTATACATTATTAATGTTTAGTGTCTACCCCATGGACATAAAAGAGCAATAGCATCCGTTCTCAGCTCTGTAAAAGAGACCATCTTATCTTCTCTAGAATCAATATTCAGGGGTTTCTCCTTCACTTACACACACCTCACTCTGAGCTAACCACAAGCAATGCAGTAGTGGTACCTCCAATAAATCCCACTCACCCCCTATCTCTCTCCCTTCTTTTGGCTTCTGTTGTATATATTAGTAGTCATTGTCATTTCTACCAAGTTTGGTATTAAATTGCTAGCATGTATCGTGTATCGTGAATGAAGTTTTACATTTGAAATCAGAAGAGCTGATTTGGAGTTCTGGTTCTTCCATTTATTTAGCATAGGGATTTTAATGGGTCAGTCACTTAACCATGCAAGCCTCGCCTCAATTTATTTGTTCACAAATGAGCAAAATAATATAACCAACCATCTCTTAGAGTTGTGAGGAACAAATAGTAATTAGGATGAAAATAAATTGTATGTCAACATATAAAATATTATTTGCTATTTTTGAATAATAGAATGTATAAGTTGTTGGGAAAGTAAATTTCTATGCTTGGCTTCTTCAGTGGAAACTTTTTTTTTTTCAATTTTTTTTTTTTTTTTTGAGACAGGGTCTCCCTCTGTTGCCCAGGCTGGAGTGCAGTGGCATGATCTCATCTTACTGTGGCCTCCCGGGCTCAAACAATCCTCCTGCCTCAGCCTTCCAAGTAGCTTGTACTGCAGGCATGCACCACCATGCCTGGCTAATTTTTGTATTTTCTGTAGAGACGGAGGTCTCACTGTGTTGTTCAGGCTGGTCTCGAACTCTTGGGCTCAAGCAGTACTCCCGCCTTGGTCTCTCAAAGTGCTGCGATTATAGGTATGAGCCACTGTGTCCATCCTGAAACTTTTTTTTTTTTAATTAAAGAACCAAATGAACACCTTGCAGATTTTATGTATAAGCCAGAAAGAAAGCTCAGTACATGTATAGAATGTAGCACAAGCCAACTTTTCAAAAATTAATCTTTTTAAGGGGCATTATGTAATGAAGGAGCATACATTTTTAGTTTTATCCAGGATAAAAGTGGTTCTTTTTCCCCCATTAACTTTAACACAGAGGTTTTACTTTAATTTAAATTCCAAGGACTAGGTTTTTGTTGTATATGAAGAAAACGATTTGACTAAATCCAATGTAAATGTTTTTCCTTATTCTTTGGGGGCACACACATACACACATTAATCCTTATTTTATATTTTATTTATAATACAAATATTTAATTATATTTTATTTATAATACAAATATTTAATTATATTTTATTTATAATATAAATATTTATATTTTATTTATAATATAAATATTTAATTATATTTTATTTATAATATAAATATTTATATTTTATTTATAATATAAATATTTATATTTTATTTATAATATAAATATATTTTATTTATAATATAAATATATTTTATTTATAATATAAATATTTATATTTTATTTATAATATAAATATATTTTATTTATAATATAAATATTTATATTTTATTTATAATATAAATATTTAATTATATTTTATAGGTTGAATAGGTTCCTTGTTTATCTTTTTTGCAAAATAATTTTATTGTTATAAATTGTTCTTATTATAAGCAATAAATAAGGAACCTAAATATCACAATCTGTAAAGCATTTTATTTGTGTGTGATTTTATATGATAGTTCATTAGACATTAGATAGGAAAGTATGGAAAGTTTTGAGATTGCTACATGATTGCTCTTTTAATTTGTCCAATGTATTCCTTTAAATGTTGTGAGGGATTTTTTTACCAGTGAAGTAGCTTTTGCATGCTAAGTTGTAGTGAACTGCTGGGCAGAACTAAAACATAAATGGTTTGAGGCATGATTAATAGTTGTATATGGTGGCCGGGCGTGGTGGCTCATGCCTGTAATCCCAGCACTTTGGGAGGCCGAGGCGGGTGGCTCACGAGGTCAGGAGATTGAGACCATCCTGGCTAACATGGTGAAACCCCGTCTCTACTGAAAATACAAAAAGTAGCCGGGTGTGGTGGTGGGTGCCTGTAGTCCCAGCTACTCAGGAGGCTGAGGCAGGAGAATGGCATGAACCCAGGTGGAGCTTGCAGTGAGCCGAGATCACACCACTGCACTCCAGCGTGGGTGACAGTGTGAGACTCCGTCTCAAAAAAAAAAAAAAATGGTTGTATATGGTGTAGTATCTTAGAGTGATGTGCAGTGGCATGCATGATTTAAAATAATATTAATAATCATAACAGAGCTTTTTTGTAACATTTTATAAGCATACTACCTTGCTGAAGTAGTCGATGGAATATAATCAAAGATTGTGTCACCAAATCTTTAAACAGGACATTTTATCAGAGAAGATACTCTGGTTTCTTAGGTAAAGTTATAGGGTAGAAACACAGTAAGCAGTCTCTGGTAAGAATAATATTTTAGCCTTGATTGATTATGGTTGCCAAAATTTAATGGAATTAAAAATAACCTGGGAAAACATAGATTCCTGGTTTCTATCCTCAGTAGGTCTAGGGTAGGTCCCAGGAACGGTATATATTTTTAATAGTTACCCACGAGTCACTGATTCAGATAATCCAATAATCTTTCTGGAGCATCAGTATCCCAGAGAAACAAATGTTGCCGTTAATAAACAATTTGCAGTTATTTCAGTTTATTAGCTAGCTACGATTGCATTCTGATTTGCTGTGGAAAGCTGGTCATTACTTTTTAAGAGCATATGATGCTGATGGAAACATGTAGAGCTTTAATCGCTGTCTCATTAAAAGGATGTAGTTTATTCTTTGTGTTTCCTTATTTGTTACAGCTTTTCCAGAATGCACAGAACCTTATGTGCAATTAAAATAATTAAGAAAAAGATATTGTTTTCTATTTAGCAAAGGAACTAAATCTCATGCTCCCTTATAGTTTCTGTTCAATATGCATTCTCTTTTGAAAGTACAAATTTGTAATAATACAATTTTTGATCTCGTCTCCCAAGAAGCCTAACTTTATTTATACTCTGACTACACGGTAAAATCACATTGTCAAAATAAAAGCGTTGGTAATGCTCACATTCTGCCAACCAACCATATTTGAAGTCTTTTAAAAATTCACTTTCAGGTACTTTATTCTGTAGACTGTTATTTAATAACTAAGAAAGAGAGTTTGAGGAGGACAAAGTGAGGGCGGAATGTTTTTATTTTCCAAGAGGACATACATGCAAAGGCATAATCATATAAGAGTATATACCTATCTTGGTTATTTTAATTAGAAGTGCATGCTGCTTCAGGGAGACTCCCCACTCCTGACTCAGGAATGACTGCGAGTGGAACCCCCGCCTCAGGGAAAATTACTACATGGGAAAATATGCTTGGGCCTACATGAGTTTTCCAGAGTTCTCTTGTACCTTAGCTAGTTTGATAATGCTTTGCATTATGTATAGCAGTTGTCAGAAACCATTTCCTTTAATCAGTTAGCATCCAAAAAAGGAAGGGGTAGCAGATATTTTCTGACATTTGTAGATATAATGTATTAAAAAAAGCATTACCTTACTCTTATGACATAGTGTTGTCAGAGATTTCCCAAATACAACATGCCCTGCAGATTCTTAAAACTACACATTTTCCTTTTGTTAATAAGAAAATAACAGTAAAGTATTTATTGTCTATTTTGATACCCTGTCAACCCAAACATGTATTCCAAATTCCAGCCTCTGTTTCTTTGTAAATAATTACAAAATGCAAATACTATGATTGTTTTAGGAATGAAATGCCATGTTTTGATGCAACAGGAGTTGAAAAACTGATTTTACAAATGTTTCCATTGATTAGCTGCTATATGAGGGCTAACAGTTGAAAATATTTTGGAAAAATACAAAAACAGGCTTTCATTTCTATTTATAGAAAAACAGACATACTTTTTTTGCATGTTCCCACAAGAGAAATTTACAGTGTAGATAAAGTACAGCATAGGCTTAACAAATATAGAAAAATATGTTATTGACTCTTGGTGGAAGTACATATTCGTAAAGGTTTTCTTAAAGTTTTTTATTCTAGTTCAAAGTTAATACATATATGAATACACTTCATGTTCTAAGGATTTATATTATTAAAATCACTCATAAGCATAGCTTTTTATATGCAATTTCAGCATTGATTAAAAGAGTGAAAAATGGGCATTAACTTAGTTGACTACTGATAACAAAATGGACATATAGTGGAGTAATATATAATTGTTAAAAAGTAATTATATTGATCTGTTTCTATTGACATAGAAAGATCATTAATATATTTTATATTGTGGAATATTAACATAATTTGTTGTTTAATCTCTGGACCTAGTTAGATATGTGAATTATGTGAAACCTTCTTCCAAGGATATTTAAGTTACATTGAAGTGAAAATAGGAGTTGTCAATGCATGTCTTTGTTTTGTGGCGTATCTTAGTCTTTTAAACCAGGGAAAAACAACTGGGTCTTGAGTCAGTGTTAGTCAGTGAAAACATTATTCTTGTTTGTGAGCATATGTGAATTTGTTATTTTTTTGAAAAAAAGTCAAGTTAAACTGATATATCTTGTTATGAAGAATATATATTATTATGAGGAATATATTCAGTTAACATTGGTATATTTTTTAAAAGTATGTTTGAGATTATTTGTTAAAAAGTAATCCTTAAGGTCAGTTGTATAAGTCAATAGAAATATCCATAGGATTGTAATGTTAAAGTGTGTAGCACCTATGTGGCTTGAGTATTTGTAAGTTTGGAATAAGAAATATGTTAGTGAAATAATAGGGACTTTTACTGATTATATGGAATGGAGGAAATATTTGTGTATTACGTTGTGTCATGAGAAGTTCACTAATTTGTTTTTTTAGGATACATTCGAGCAATTCCATACTCATTCGTCATTGGTTTTAGTCATTGTATTCTGAAAAATAATTATTTTGGTCTTTTTATTTAATTATAGGCATAGATTTTTCTATACTTTTTTTCATAATGATTAATAGTTAAATCACATATTTTGGGCCATATTCAATATAAATAAGCTAATACAATTTTCCTGATTGAGGTTATCACACCAGGTTTAAAATCAGACATTTGGAAATTCAAATTCTATTTGTTAAGATAAAGCTTCTGTGGTCAGATTTAGTGGGTAGTACTGAGGGCAATTATCACATTAAATTTTTAGAAATTCTGAACAGTGTGGCAACTATTAAGTTTGATCCTAATGAGATATGCTTTATATTTTGGGCAGGTTTTTTTTTAAATTATATCTGTCATTTTTTTCACATGTTGATTTTGTAATTTATCCTACTTGAGTCTGCTAAAATAGGAAAAAAATAGGTTAATTATGGAGAAGATCTTATAACTATTGGTTGTGAGAATGATTTCTGTGTGAGAGGGAAAGTTGGAATAGAGGGGCAAAGAGGTACAAAATGCAGCAGATTTCACCAATGTATGAGGTGCTGTGGAAATATTTTCTTAGTTCTGTGATCAATTAACTTCATACTTATTTTTGTGTTGTGCAATAATGTCATTAGGGATGCACAGATGAATTTGCTACCATTATTTAAGCAGTGAACATCATATTTTAAATGTTTTAGGCAGAGGTGCCACCAACCTCAGCAAGAAGCTTGGTGATGTTCAGAAGATATAGAGGTTAAATATGAAAACTATGATTTTGGCCCTTAGTTACTGTATCAAATAAAATAATACTCATTTAAGTAAGCTTTAGGATCAAAGTCTATAATCAGGACATTGTAACGGGAATAACAGTATTACTGTGTGTTGCATTTCATTTAGCGTTCACATTTTTGTTGTGTTAGTTCTACATTGACAGATTCGGGTTGGGTCACTGTACCATTCTTCCTGAAAATTGCCAAGATGATGAGATTTGATTTTTCTACCATTTAGCTCTTGAGCACATAACAGCATTTTAACTTTTGCTGTAGTCTGTGTTCTGATTCCCTATTTACTATTTTGAAATATTAAATGATATGGACAGATCAGATATGTCTACCTGAGGCTAACAAGATGATGTCTTTGTGTAATATATAGGTAAATAAAACACTAATTAGGAGTAGTGCTTTCTCTTGTAGAACAATTAAGTAGCATTCACAGTTTTATCTCATTATACCTTCTTGTAGAAGGAAATGTTAAAATACTTCCTCTTTGAATAGCATCAGAAAAAATGCAGTGTTTCTTTTGCTGGAATTGAAGACTGGTTCTGTCAGAATTTCACAGATAATTATTTAAATATTTTAAATTTGCAAAGCCACATAAATCTGTTTCGAATATTCCATGGCTCAAAATATCTTTCTTCAACTTCATAATCAAGGAGGTATTTAAATATGTTGCTATTTTAACTTCATCGCCTCATGTTCTCTTTCCAATGAGTGACGTTTGATGCTGGTTTCATTCACTTATAAAGGTGACATCCCCAATATACTAAACCATATAGCTTAAGCATTGTAATTTGTCGAAAATACAAACTAGTCTGATATACTAAGAAAAATCTTCAGTTATACCACAAATATTAATTGTTCGTTTCCTCTGGGCCAGGCATTGTTTTGGTGATCTGTTTCTATTAATGGAGAACTAGTGTAACCACTGCCTTCTCTCATGGAGCTTACATTTTTGTGGCAAAGGCAAATGATAAGCAGATAGCGAGATAAGCGTGTAATATTACTCTGCTTTCTTCACAGTACTATGTAGTATTAGATGGGGTTTTTTTGTTTGTTTTGTTTTTTAGACGAGGTCTCACTCTGTTACCTAGGCTAGAGTGTAGTGGCTTAGTCATAGCTTACTGCAGTCTTGAACTCCTGGGCTCAAGCAGTACTCCCATTTCAGCCTCCCAAGTTGCTGGGACCACAAGCACATGCCATGCCATCATGTGTGGCTAATTTTTAAAAATTTGTTTTCTGTAGAGATGGGGTCTCACTGTGTTGCTCAGGCTGGAAGTGTAATGTTATGTACTTCTCTCAAAACGAGTCTGGACTGCTGTTGGGAGGAACAGAAGGTTGGGTGCTTTGGATGGTGGCCTGAAAATCTTCTAAGAAGATAACTTTGCAGTAGGGACTTGGACGAAGGCCTATTGGGGTATAGAGCTAGTATGCAAAGTGCAGTGATTCATTGTGATAATTATCTTCTAGTGAGCTTAAACCTTTTACATTTTTAAAAATTTTGCCTGATACAGGAATTAATTCAAAATTCACTTTTAAATCATTGTCTGTATAGAAGCTTTATGTTCTGTTTTGTCCTAAATATGAATACTTAAGGATCAACAATCATTTTCTAATTGGAATACAGTTTAGTTGCCACTGGAATTCTAATCTTTGGCAGTAGTGTGTCACCTAACCGACACTCCTTCATTATCCTTCCTACAGTAGACCACTAGGTGATTTAGGGAACCAAACTGTTGAATGGATCAGAATTCTAAAAGACTGCTTCGACAGAGCTTAGATTACTTATTTGCGTTAGTAAACACAATCTTCCTTTCTTGGCAGCAGCTAGTCTGAAATGTGGCAGACCAGCAGGCCACATTGGCAGTCTCTATGCCATTCCAGAGGATGTGTGATTGAAAGTTATCTTTTTCTTTGCAGTATTGTTAAAACTTAGTCATTTACATATCTCCTTCATGATTTTCATTTATGTGTAGTCTCTTAGGTATATTTGTGTGTATATGTATCTATTCTTTAAATCTTTTTTAAAAATTTATTTAATTAATACTTTTTTTTTTTTCAGACAGGGTCTTACTCTGTTGCCCAGGTTGGAGTGCAGTGGTGTGATCATGGCTTACTGCAGCCTTGACATCCTGTGCTCAAGCAATCCTCCTGCCTCAGCCTCCTGAGTAATTGGGACTACAGGCATTTGTCACCCTGCCTGGCTAATTTTTGTATTTTTTGTAGATATAGGGTCCTACTATGTTGTTCAGGCTGGTCTCGAACACCTGGCCTCAAGCAGTCCTCCACTTCAGCCTCCCAAAGTGTTGGATTACAGGCGTGAGCCACGGTGCCCGGCCCTTTAAATTTGTAAATTAAACTTTAATTTCTTCCTAAGTTATAATATTGATGTAATCACAGACCGGACACACTAGTTTTAGCATTCTAATCCATCTGTTAAAATTATGTTGTTTGTGCATCACCTGAAATTGCCATGGGTACTGCTGGTAGTGTGCTTACCCCTCACTGAGAAATACTTACCTCTGCTTTTTGCTATGTGGAGTTGAATAGTGCTGAAGGCTGCATTAACTCGTTCAGATGGCAGTTCTTCCCATATAATGTATAACATCTTTGTTACTCTACTTAGCACCTTAGTGAATACAGAGATGGCTGTACAGCCTCCAGAAATGCTAAGTTGGTTGGTTGTATATGGAAATCTCTGTTAATATTTGGGACAAACCCTGGGAATAATTGTGTGAGCAAACTTAGTTTACTAAAGAACTGCATTGCTAATTATGGACTTGTTGACACCAGTGAGCCAGGGGAAGAAGTTGTGGTTTTGGGCAAGGGGTTCTTTCTTATCAACTCCAAACTTACAGGGTGAAGTTAGCCATCTCTTTCAGTTAGATTGAAACTATCTTAATAAACAAAAATCATAATAAACGACCTCAAAAAATTACTTAGTTAACTTCCTCAGTATATAACTTATATCAACATTAAAAGCATATTAAATAAAATTCTTCAAAATTACCAGCTAACTACTCTGGGATATAACTGGACTGATTGCCTATATTTGCTTTAGAAGAACTTTTGCAATGATTAGTAAACATATGTGAGCAAGAAATTTAACCTTGCTCATAGAGGCCATCCAGTTCTCCAAAAGAGAATTTCATTTTCATACCTTGTAAGCATCTCTTTATCTTCTATAGCAGTAGGTATGTGACTCTTAAATAGGCATTCATATGAAGCCATATATATATATATGTAATTTTTAAGAATAATTGTTGAAAGAATAAGAATAATTTCATTCTTCTTTATCCTTTTCTCGGTTTTTATTATCTCTGTCATTTCAAATTTTATTTCTTTCCTTTTTATTTTCTCCCTTATATTTATCTTAAAGTAGAATATATACATGATTTCTGATATCATTCAAAAAGAAATTGGTTCTTGTGGCAGAATATTAGTGTTGTAGATGATGTCAGATAAAGCAAGAAACTATAGCGTTTGGAATGTGATCAGTAGGTTAAAGAGGGACTGCTGTTACCTATTATTCAGATTTTAAAGTTTGATTCTTTTTTTTTTTTTTTTTTTTTTTGAGGCAGAGTCTCGCTCGGTCACCCAGGCTGGAGTGCAGTGGTGTGATCTCGGCTCACTGCAAGCTCTGCCTCCCAGGTTCACGCCATTCTCCTGCCTCACCCTCCCGAGTAGCTGGGGCTACAGGTGCCCGCCACTATGCCCAGCTAATTTTTTGTATTTTTTAGTAGAGATGGGGTTTCACCGTGTTAGCCAGGATGATCTTGATCTCCTGACCTCGTGATCTGCCTGCCTCGGCCTCCCAAAGTGCTGGGATTACAGGCGTGAGCCACCGTGCCCGGCCTTAAGTTTGATTCTTACAATATTTTTGTTGTTCAGAGAAGTTTATTATAATGTATTGAAATATAGGTCAGATATTTACCTCAGAAGCAATGTACCCATTAGTAGAAATCTTTCCTTTAATAATTATTTACAGACAAAATTTATTTTAGGCCAAATATGTTTGCAAGAATTCTCATAATCTGGACATTACCCACATATCTTTAAACATTATATCTATCTGTAGAACAAAACCCCATTACTTAGTTAATGTTTTGTGAATTCAGTATTGATCCAAATTCTATAAAATCTTAATTTACCAAAAGAGATTTCTATTTTTTGAAATTCTTTTTTTAATATAGAGAAGGAATATAAAACAATAATCTGATATCAGCAGTTTAGTGAAATTGATCTATAGGATATAATTTGAGTTTGTTACCCACAGTGCCCTATATCAAGGGCAGGCACATACATTATCAGGTCTAGCTAGACTAATGCATAATGGCCAGTATCTATTTTAATTGTTCAGTGTCTATGCCTGAACTAATTATTAATACTTTGATTATCATCCTTGTCTATGTCCTTTACAATTAAATGGTACAAATCTATGTTGATAATGCTTTCAGTAGCACTTTTGAAGTAAATAGAATTTCTCTGCTACAGAAAATAAATATAATCAGAACACTGATTTGCAAGCATTTTAGTAATCAAAGTATATTTTGTACTTGAGGGATTGTCTGTAACCTGGCAAAAAGGAAAAATAATCAACTCTAGAAATTAATTTTTAGTTGTATTTAGATATGACTACCAAGCAATGCAGATATTTCTTGGGGTACCAGTCTTCTTACATATATTGTCTGGATGCCATAGATCATGATATTAAATAATCTATTTCATCAGTGTTGGGACCACATCCTCCCATACATGTTTATTTCTGTAAGTGTGAATGAAGTTTACTCATTTATCAAACATTTTAAAAAAAGATCTGTTATGTTCCAAGAACTGTGTGATGGAAGACACTGGACCTACACCCTGTTGTCAGGGCATATATAACATTGAGGGGGAGAGGTACGAAGAGCTACAAAGTACCAGAAACATTCTGAGATGGAGTAATGTTTAGCATAGTTGACCCAGTCCTATAGAGAAGGTGATTTTTGAACAGCAATTTAAACAAGGAGAAGGAATTTGCCAAGTTGCAGGGGTGAGGAAGTGTGTGTCAAACCAAACAGGGAGTTAGCATGTAACAAGTCCCAGGAGCTCACACATGTCTTGGCACCTGCCAAGAACCCTCAGCAACTCCTCTCCAGGGGAGATACAAGAGGTACAGCACTGAGAGAAGCAACAAGATAAAATGTATCAGTTTGTTAAAAGGGAAAGGTTCAAGAAAGAGGGAGTTGTAAATCATGTTACAGGTCAAGTAAAGGCAAGAACAAAACATAGTCTTTGGACTTGGCTTTCCTGACAGCATTGATGAACTTTGCTGAGCAGTAAAGTAATGGGTGTGAAAGTCAGACTGATAAGGATTCAGAAGTGAATGGGAAAGGAAGAAGCAGAAAAACAGCACGGTAGATGACTCTTTAGATATTTGCTTGGGAAGGATGGATTAAGTGCATTAGGGAGAGGAGGATGCTAGCCAGGGCAGGGTCCTCTTCCTCCTGCCATGTCACCGTCTGCATGTTGGAGTTTCTTCAGCACATTTGGAAGCTAAGAGAAGGAACTGCTGAAAGACAGGGCGTGCATGTATAGAGGAGGCAGAAAAAGAACTAGATCTTGAGAATGACTGAGTCAAGGTGGAGGCTTGTGGAAGCTTAACTGTGGGCAGGAGGAGGGAGAACTGGGAGACCAAGAAAGATACAGAAAGATAGGTTAAAGACTTGTGAGTAGGAAGGTAAGAAAAAGTTCATGCTTAAGGGCTACTGTTATGGCTATGAAATATTCGTGACGCATAATATTATTATCCACTATTGCTAATGAACATGGAGAAAGAGTAATGAAGTTTTAGAAAGGCTGCCGTGTGCAATGAGATAGGGAGCTGTCCAAGGACAGGGCTAGATTGTGAGGCAGTGAAAGGGCCTATGTGACCCTGGAACATAATAATTTATAGAGGCAATGATTGTGTGTGTGTGTGTGTGTGTGTGTGTGTTTTCAAATGTATGTTTCAGTGTGTTCATGTGTTGTATTCATATATGTGTTCATGTGTGTGTGTTTGTATATTTTGTACCCTAGAAGTAATCCAAATCCTGATGCAGCAGTTGATAATTTAGTTTACCAATATTTTTGGAACTCCATCTATTTTGCATCATTATGGCTAAGCCATGGGGTTACTGAGATGAATAATATATTTTTTCTGTCCTTAAAAACATATGGTCTAGTGGGTCAGATATATAAGGAAATAAAACACTGTATAGGGCATAGGTGCAGAGATAATTCAGAGAAGGCAGTATTACGATATGGATGGATAGAGATGGGGATAATGACATCTTGGTAGCTTTTTGGAGGAAGTAACATCTTAGCTGGCTTTAGAGGAAGAAAATAGTTACATGTGAGGCACTTGAAGATTCTGAAGAGAAGGAGTAAAGACATTGTTGACCATGCAGGTGGTCCATTCTCAAGGCATGAAATCATTGAGTAATTCTTAATGCAGAACAAAGTTTCAGGAAGATAGACACAGCTTACAGTTTATGACTGGACCTTTGTTTTTTTTTTTTTTTTTTTTATAGAAACTGGCATTAAGACCTAGGAACTTTTTTGAAAACCAAAATATTTCTTGAACACTGGGGATGAGGTTTTTTTTTTTTTTTTTTTGATGGAGTCTCACACTGTCTTCCGGCCTGGAGTGCAGTGGCGCAATCTCGGCTCACTGCAACATTCACCTCCCAGGTTCTAAGTGATTCCAGGAGAATCACCCAGCCTCCCAAGGAGCTGGGATTACAGGTGCCTGCCACCATGCCCGGCTAATTTTTTGTATTTCAGTATTTTTAGAGACAGGGTTTTGCCATGTTGACCAGGTTGGTCTCGAACACCTGACCTCGTGATCTGCCTGCCTCGGCCTCCCAAAGTGCTGGGATTACAGGTATGAGCCACTGTGCCCAGCCATGGGTTTTTTAAATTTTTTTTAGACAGAGTCTTGCTCTGTCACCCAAGCTGGAGTGCAGTGGTGCAATCTCAGCTCACTGCAGCTTCCGCCTCCCGGGTTCAAGTGATTCTTCTGCCTCAGCCTCCTGAGTAGCTGGGATTATAGGTGCCACCACCACGCCCAGCTAATTTTTGTATTTTTAATAGATATGGGGTTTTACCATGTTGGCCAGGCTGGTCTTGAACTCCTGACCTTGTGATCCACCCACCTCAGCCTCCCAAAGTGCGGGGATTACAGGCGTGATCCACCAAGCTTGATTGATTTTTTAAATCTCTATCAAAAGTTGTAGTCGTACTGTAGTATTTTCCAAATAGTTTTGGAAAGTAGTTTTTTAAACGAAATTTAGTGTTAAAATGGCAATATTAATCTTAAACAATTTAAGTTCTAGATGTTCGTGTTTTTTAATGTACGTATGTATTTATATCCTATACTCTAGTTTCCAAAAATTATAAATATACCATATGCCAATAGAGCAATTTTGGCTCATGAAGAAGTATCATCAAATACTAGTTATCATACTGTGTCATTGCCTCTTTAAAATGTGAAAATTTTACTTTTTAAAGCCTTGTTTTCCTCATTGGCAACATTCAAACAAAAAATAAAGAAGAAAAATCCTGATAGAAAAAGTAAGTTGTTAAAAGTAAAAATGCCCTGCTCTAAGAAGTAGTCTTGTGGTGCTGAGTTAACTGATCATCAGGCAACAGGGGATCCCTCATCCCCCACCCTCCAGCTTTGTTTGGAATTGTACTTCTGAAGTGCATCACGCTGCTCAAATCAAATTGCTCACTTAATATTTAATGTTTCTGCGATGGAATCACTTTCTCCCTTGAGGTTGACTTCAGATTTACCAGACACACTGACAACACTGTACTCCTTATTTTCCCCACATGACCTCAGCTTCTGCTTTAAAAATGTACGAATAAAGGATGCTTTTGTTCATATCTTGCCTGCCTGTGATATATTGACAAAGTGTCTGCGGGCTCAATGGAATAGTTTTACAGTATGAGTGCTGTTTTCAGTGGAGGGGCAGGACTTGGGCTTTAGAAGGAAGTGAATTGGATAGGTCAGGAGAATGTACCATTTGTAAACACCCCTTTCCTTTTTTATTCACGTGTCAGGACAGCAGGAGCAGGCTGTTCAGTGCCCGTCCCTGCGCAGAGCCGGAGGGAAAGCAGCTTGGAAGTCAGCTGCAATTTTTAAACCTTGCTTTTTATTCCCTGGTAATGATCTTCAAGTGCTTAGACTTGTCTGAGAAGCTGTTTTGAAACTAACATGGTTTAGTCCACTAACTGCATGTTGGGTAAATTCAAAACCCACATGCTCGTCCTCTTGCAGTGGAATAAGTCACATCTGATGGACATTTTCTGTGCTTATAGCATAGTAATGAACGTCTGACAGGCGCGACCTTTCATAAGACAACCCACACTATTGGCTTTCTGCCCAGAATATTGCTGCAACACTATCTGTGATTGGTTATCTCTCTATCATGCATTGCTTCACAAGGGGAAACGGCCCCTTTTTTTAATAAATCTACGATGGCTGGCTGCAATATGCCTCACTGTAAGTATTTTGTGTATGTATGTGTGGGAGAGAGAGAGAGAGGCTGACTTGAATATTACTTAGTCTGGTATCACATGGCAAGGTTGTGATACTGTAGGACATCAGTGAAGTGCTACTTAGTAAATCTTAACCTATCTCTTTTTTCTACAGGTTGGTACTAAGAAGTGCCTTTCCTGACGTCTCTGCTGCTTGGAACCGCTTCTAGAGCAGTCTCTGCTTTTGCCTTGCTTGCTGCCAGCTAGACTGTGACGACAGCACATCCACCCTCCACCTCTAGCCCAGACACCCCCATTTCTACTTATAATCAAGAGAAAAGCTCTAAGTATCTGGCATTGCCCTAGGCTGCTTTAGTGTTAAAAGAAAAGTTTGCTGAAAAAGTAAGATATCTTCTGCCAGGAAATCAAGGAGGAAAAAAAAAATCATTTTCTCGATTTTGCTCTAAACTGCTGCATCTGTCTATGCCAAACTAATCAATACCGATTGCACCACCAAACTCCATTGCAAATTCAGCTGTGAGGAGATTCCCTTTCAGACAACTTTGCTGAAAGCAGCTTGGAAATTCGGTGTCGAAGGGTCTGCCACGTTTTCATGCTTGCATTTTGGGCTCCAAATTGGCACTGGGAAGGGGTTACTGAGAGCACAAGGCTGATACCAGGCCCTACTTTTAAACGTTCATCTACTTACAATCCTAGTATTTCTCTAAAAACCAAAACCTCTTTGAATTAACAGTTTCATGCTGTGAATTTCTAGTGGGAGATCTTTTCCTTGATATTGACGACACAATTTTCCATGTACTTTTAAAGCAGGGAGTGGGGAAAAGTATTTTGAGGGGACATTTTCATCATCAGTTCAGCTTTTTTTTTTTGGTTGTTGCTCTTTTTTGGGGGGGTTGGGTTTGTTGGTTTCACTGAAACATTTAACTACCTGTAAAATCTAAACATGGCTGTTAGTGTCACACCAATTCGGGACACAAAATGGCTAACACTGGAAGTATGTAGAGAGTTCCAGAGGGGGACTTGCTCACGGCCAGACACGGAATGTAAATTTGCACATCCTTCGAAAAGCTGCCAAGTTGAAAATGGACGAGTAATCGCCTGCTTTGATTCATTGAAAGTGAGTAACTATTATATTCTTTTAAGGATATTCAATGATTGAATGAGGGGTATATGGACATACAGTTCTCTGCATATGGGATTATGGATTGCTTTGTTCATAGTTTAGTTATACAGTGTGTTGATGATGTTGGGCTGGGGAACTTTACGAGAAGCAGTAGAATCAAGTCTGGCCAAACTTTGTTATGAATAACTTTATCAGTCCTTTCACTGCATGTTTTTTTTTGCTAGGGCAGAAAGTGTTGACATATTTTTCACTTAGTAATGGCAAAGTGTCTGTCTGTCCCTGGAAATGGTAAATGTAGCTACCTGTGAGTGTTTAGCATATGCATATATTATATATAAGGCCATGGCAATAGCTGAATGAGGATGATTTTTATTTGTTGGTAAAGGCATTGTACAGTTGCAAAAGAGAAGCAGATTTAAAATCAGCTAAACTTGGATAGACTTTTTACTCTTTTAATATTTTGACATTTTAGATTTTCTTTTTATTTTGTGGGCATTTTATTTTCAGGCCAGAGCCACGCATTTTATGGAAAATGTAACTAGAAGTAAGGTGCTGAACTGCTGCTACAGCACCTTACCTGAGGCACAAACTTTGTTGCATGTGAGTTATATAAATAAGTAGAAACTCATAAGTACTATTGTTTATTGGATTTTTCCAGCTTCAAAAATTCTAATGTGAATTAGCAGTTTATTTTCTGTTAGATCATGATTTTTTTTTATTTGTAATAGTCTTAGCTAGAAATGTTAAAAGTTAGCTTTTGTGGGCACCATAATACTAAAATATTTACTTTAGTGTTTCTTGACATTCAAAAATGTCATTGGATTTGTAATTCAGGTATCATATTTGAAAATGAGTCTTTTAAAAGATAACATAAATATCTTTATTTTGACACACAAGGTCAAGACTAGAAATGTGTTCCTGGGTACTTTCAGCCTACTTGGTTTAATCAAATTGCTTTTGAATATGAATGTCCTAATTTAATTCTTTGGACCTTTGAGGGGAGGACACTATCACTTCTACATATGTAGAGAAGTAAAAGTCTCATAGATCCATCTTGTCTTTAAAAATATATGGTGCTATAATAATCTTTTCTTTAATAACATCAGGGTGAGTTATGAGTTAATTGTTTCAGTTCATTGTTTCCTGGTCCATTTTAGGCTGTTCATTTTGCTAAAGTTTTTGCCAAAGATTTCGAGAATATGATCTTTAGAGTTGAACAGAAAGGAGGTATTAACAACAAAAATATTTTAAAATGTTAGATTCTTCTTAATGTCATAGTCCTAAAGATCAATAAGCAAAAGTTATAAACTCCCATTGAGACTTTCTTCACCCTTTCCTTTGAGAGGCATCAGTGAAGGGCACAGTGGTTGTACCTCCGTGAATGTGTATTCCTAAATTCATGCTGGCTGAATTCAGGTGTAATTAGAGACTGAGACCCATAAAATGAGGGGCAAGGAGCTAATTACTCTTGTCGGTAACCAGCTGTGGCCATAAGTAACCCTGTTTTGACCCAATTAATAGTAAATCCAATTTTTAATCCTACAGACAGTTGATGGTGCACTCGTAGCTGCAAAATGAAGGACATTAAATTTGGCTGTGACATTGAGTGGTTACACAGAAGACCTGCTTCTACAACATTTGGAAACATTGTGAAACATTACTATTCAGTTGCTATTTTTCCATCTCAAAATATTTTTTTTTAGTTGCTGCTCACTTATGGCCACAGAACAGTCCCTTTTTGAGTAAAGCAGCAAGGTTGCTTAATGACATGCTATGTGGTTAACAAGATTCAACTGCCACATCAAGGACTTTAAATAATTTCAAGATTTTAAATGTATTTATGAAATGAACTCATTACAGCAGCTAATCAATGCAAACTTTGTCCTTTTTCTTTGTCTTTCTAAGAGAAACTGAATTTAATTTAAATTTAAATTACAGTGTCTAAAACTTGGTAAAATATTTTAAATTTGAATAAGAGGAAAAAAAAAACATGAATTTATTTATGATGGAGCTTCATACCCAGGACAGTAGCTTCTTAAATGTTAGTAAAATAATTATGTTAAGCATTAAAACAATTTTGAATATGTAATTAAGCATTTATGTTAAAAAACATGTTTCTTACGTGTGTGTGTATATATTTATAACTGACACATGTGATTCTTTGTACAGTATTTAGAATCCTTCCCTTCAGATAGCAGTCCTCTTGTATTCAGTCTTGTGGCTAAAATAGATCAAAAACATATTTTAAAACTGTTAAAGTAACTGTATGACTCATGCTTGAAGTTCTGAAATTTGGGAGCGTTATGAGGTTTCCATGCCATTAACCGCTAGATCATTTGCATTCTCTCACAGAGTAAACGGAAAAAAATTTAGAAAACTTGTAATAATCCTGACTTCTTTAATAAAATGTGTCCTGTGTATTGCTTAAATCCATAGTCCAGCCTTTTCTGAGTTCTTGAGCCATGAGATGGAGGTGGCCTGTGTAATCTACTATTTTTAGAAAGTTAGGAAAGCAAACCAAATACTCTCTGAGAGGACCCTATGAAATGGCTGTACCCTTCAGCTGTGCTGCTTCAGACTTTGGCCAGGCTCCCAGGTGACTTACGTTAATAGCAGACTTCTAGTTAGAAGAGGAGAATTTATTTCATTAAAAAAAAAAAAAATAAGTCAAACAGTTCAAGAAAGTATTCATTTATGTAAAAGAAGTCAATTGGTATGTTACTAAAGATAATAGGAAGAAAATTAGCTCACTATTTTAGTTGCATACTGATGATTTTAAGGTTTAAATAATTAGATTTAAATATACCGTATGTAAATGTAGAAGTCTGTATCGTAATAAATCTGTTGCTAAGTAAAATGGGAATACATGACAACGAGGAATGTAGGTATTAAGAATGTCAGAATTAGAACGAGAACAGTAAAAGAGCAAAAGCTGTAATAATGTGTGCTAGTATATAAACAATACTCTAAATACTTAGTTTCTCTAATTTTCCTTTTACAATTGCAGTTTTAATTTATAATAGTCTAAGAGCGTATTCAAGCTGAGACTTAAATTGCTTACGTGCTATAGATTTAGGTGTATTAGCTATTTCAGAAATCCAGAACATTTGCAAAGGTGCATTATTTTATGCCAAAGAGGATTATGTTCCCCTATGGCTTGTGAAAGAGATAGGAAAAAAGAAAAGAAAAATATTAACACTGCAAGCCACCATTAGAAAATTATATTTCAAAAATGATGTTTCAAATCAATGACAAATTGCCTATTCAGTCATGAGCTCTCAACTAAAATTTGGGGAGTCAATGTAAAGAAAGCCTACAGAATGTATTTTAATATTTGCCAAGTTATTTATACCCTCAAAAAAAAAGCTTTTACGATATGATCAACAGAAATAGACTTATTGTTTACTGAATTCTATTTCAAATACCCATTCATTTTTCAGGTACTAGGGATGGGAGAAAGAGAATATAACCTTTATATTTACTATCTATTTTCCAAAAATCTAGCAAAATTCTTTTACCTTTGAAAACTTTAGTCACTTGTTCCTTTATCAAATTGAGCCATTTTATTTAAGATAATTAAAATTTCTTTTTGCTATATACAGTGATATCTATCTATAAATAGCACCCCGATCAGATTTATCATAGACACATTTGAGATCAGATTCCACTGCAAAGTGGCATACAATCAAGGGTGCTGAGAACAGTTTTAAAGAGCCTCTGCAGGCTTAGCAGAATATATGAAGTATGGAAATTAGGTATTAGAAGGCACACAAATATATGTACATACAGGTAAATGAACAACTAAAGCACTCAAAATCAGTAAGGCAAACAAGTATCCAGATGGTCACATATGGATTGGATGGCATAACTAGACATGATAAAGTAGTCCCAAAGGTGGTTATAGTTAAATTTTAGAAGATCCTCTGTTGCTAGCATGGTTTATCCTCAATCCAGAAATTGCCTGTGTTGCTGCTGTTCTAAGCCCCAAGCATAGACTTTTCATCATATTTTAAAAACCAGTTTCACTGATAATCCTGATAAAATATCTGCAAGTTTTAGACTAAATATGCAATTTTCAATTAAAATTTTGATCTATTAGGGTCCTAACTGGAATCACTGTTACCAGGAAGTTTTTTTGTGGTTTGATTTTTAACCACTGGTATCTCCCATGTATTAAAACTTTGACAGATTATTATATATACTGTGCTGGCACATATATTCAATGTGTCTTTCAGTGACAGATTGACATATCACTTCCTTGTTTTCTCCTAATAACTTAGGAGATGAACTAACTATAAGGCATAACCTGCGCAGCAGTATGTTTCATATAAAAGGTCCCTAAGGAGAAACTTCACAACTTTGTAAAGAATATCCTGTGAATATGCTGCAGTGTCATCAACTCTGACATAAACCTTTCTTTAATGAAATTCTCAATAGCTGCAGTTGCTTTGGTGAAACTAGTAATTGTATTCATTTGCCTGTTTATATTAGAACTTTTTTAGAAAACTTTTTTTTATGAGTAAAGGTTTTTTTAGACTATTAGATAAATTGTAAACCATGTTTCGAATCAAGCTACCTGCTGCAGTAATTCTAGAACTATTTATTTTGCTTCATATTATAAGATTTTGGTACACTGCGTCTACTTTTTTTCTCATGAAATCTTGCTTCACTGTGTGAGTGTGACAAACTAAAAACAATTTAGACCTCAAGCAATGTGGCACTTACAGCTGAATTCAGTTTCATTGTAATTCAGATGTCTGAAGCTAATCAAAATTCCACGGAGTACCCTTGAAACAATTGCATATATAAGGCTGTTTCTCACTTAAAAGAGACAATGCAGTGTGGGGTGAATTGTCTTTTGAAGAACTGTATGACACATGCCCAGTTCAGGTGAAAGGTGAGAAATGGAATGTTTCTCAGACCTAGCACAGACACCTAGGGACCTAGTTTGGGAAGCTTATCTTGTCATTTTCCTTGCCAAGGATAAGTAGAGGATTTCAGCTATCAACATTGCTAATCCGTTACCTTTCATGCTGAGCAATGTCTCTGCCTTCCCACAGACTTAGACAAAGCTTCTTATTTTCTTACAAAGAGGTCCTATTGAGGAAATTTGAATTTTTTTTTTTTTTTTAAACTTAGCAGTACTACATCCTGTGCTTTTAGATAGGTGAGCAATTTTCCATGTTAACAGCTAGGCCAAAAATCATGACTGCCAGTAGAAGTGGGTAACTAGATAGATAGATAGATGGCCTTTGATTTAGCACTGATGATAGTTATTAGCATGTAGCAACTTAAGTAAAAGCAACTGGAAAGGCTTGATAGAAATTCTGAGTTGTTTGAAGTATAATAGATTATTAGGATAGTAATTTCTTTGTGAATTTTACTGTAAACAAGCTTGATTCTAGTGAGGACTTATGCTAATTGCTCACTTATACTAACAGCAACTACAGAGTTTTTATTTAATACTGTTTCTTATACAAATATCATCAAATGCACATCTACCTACAGCATCATCCCTACATTTTTGGCACATGTTTGAAATATTTTCACTTTGAGATAAAGTTTGATTTTTTTGCTAGCGATAAAACTTTCTATGCTATGAGCTTGTGTTTTGAAAATTACTGATAATTACTAAACAGTATAACCCCTGATATCTTCTAATTTGGTTGACAGGCTGTTTGTCCTCTGGATTCCTGAGGGCCTTGGCCATCTCTGACCATTACATTTCTTCTTTTGTTATCTCTGAGTTCTTTCCAGCTTTCTAATTGTCCATCTTTAGAACTATTGGTTCCGATCTTAAATATGTCTTTCCATAGTCACACAGAAGTGATTTAGACATTTTGTCTGTGAAGAATTAGATTCAGCTTTGCATAACAGAGACACCTCCCCTACCCTCCCCAGCATTTGGTATAAACAAATTAGGGGTTTATATTTCAGTCGTCTAGGTCTATTTGGCGACTCTATAGTCATTGGAACTCAGGTTCCTTCTCTCTTAGTTCCTAAGGAGCACATGGCTTCCAACTTTAGGATTATTTCAAAATTGCAATGTGGCCACTGCAGTGCCAGCCATCATATCCTTAGTCTAGCAGGACGCAGAAAAGGCAAGACACCATAACTCAGCCCAGCCAGGCTCCTTTTAAGCAAAGGTTCTCTGAGCTTCAGCCAGTAATTTTTCAGTCTCTTATTGACTGATTTTGGTAGCAGGGATTGCTAGGAAGTATTTTTTTGTATGTTTGTTTGTTTTGTTTTGTTTTTATTTATTATTATTTTAAAAAACTGTTGCCTTGATTGAAATCAGGAGTCTGGTAGGTAAGACAGAAGGGGAGAATGGAAATGGATGTTCAGGAGGGCCATTTCTGGAATAAAAGAGTGTTTATTTTTCCTCTCATAAAACTTTCAGAATTAAGTAAATCTCTCTGGAAAGCATCTGGGTAAGGGAGGTGGTTGAAGAGATACCACTTTTGAAGAGAAACTGAAGTCTTCTCATCTTGACAAACTTGTCATCACTTCTGTCTTGCTTATTTAGTAAATAAAACCTGGCATATCACAAATGGATTTATTTTTCCTTATAGAGAAAACTAAAACAGCTTCATTTTTTATCTTCTTATAACTGTACTTATTTATTTATTTATTTGAGACAGAGTCTTACTCTGTTGTCCAGGCTTGAGTGCAGTGGTGTGATCTCGGCTCATTGTAACCTTCGCCTCCCACGTTCAAGCAATTCTCCTGCCTCAACCTCCCGAGTAGCTGGTCCTACAGGCGTGTATCACCATGCCCAGCTAATTTTTGCATTTTTAGTAGAGACAGGGTTTCACCGTGTTGGCCAGGCTGGCTTGAACTCTTGACCTCAGGTGATCAGCCCGCCTTGGCCTTCCAAAGTGCTGGGATTACAGGCGTGAGTCACCGCGCCCAGCCTACTATTCATATTTATATAAACAGTCACATTTTTATAACTGGAATATAGCAGAAATGCCATGTCATTAAAAACAGGTCCCAAGTGATTTTATATGACAAAAGAATCTGCACTTTGATTTGTATTTCTGCTGCTTCCACAAATACACTTTCTTATTTTTTCCGTATGGAGTAAAATAACAAGGTGAGTTAATATTTATTGAAACTTAATGTATGTCAATCAGTGTTTTCAGTGCTTTTCATTTTTTTCATAGTATTTTGTCCCTATAAAATCTCATCGAGATAGTTACTGGTGTTACTTCCATTTCACAGATGGACACACTGAAATACAGAGAAGTTAGGTAATACATGCAAGGTCAGTCAGCCAGTAAAATGTGGACTTGGAGCCTCGTAATCTGATTTCACAGCCTGTACTCTTAATTGTTTTGTTATGTTTGCTGGAAAACATTGCTTCTTAATTTCCATATGCATATTCTAAGGATTCGACAAAGAAAATATAACTAACAGCAGTACTTAAGAATAAAAATGAATATCCAAGACAAATTTATAGTACAGGGCCTAAAACAGTAAGTACTCAGAAGTAATCACTGTATTTTAAGTCAACAAATGAGTCAAGGAGTGAACCCAAAATAGCAGAAAGAATGCTGCCACCAACTTTCAAAGATGTTGTATCTGTTGTAAAATATATGGCCATATAGGAAAAATTTTAAATGAATCATCTTAGATAACTAGTCACTGTATAAACTATATAGCTGCCTCCCCAGTGCATAAAAAGCCATATTCAAAAGGTTTAATTGTTTAGAAAATGTTTTTCCACAGAAGCAAGGTGATTAAGTCATCGGGTCAACCCTGAGAAGCCAAAGTAGCCCAGAGGATGCTTGAGTTATAGTTCAGTACAAACAGTACCTTGGAAACCCTGGTTATTAATTAAACCCAAGAGGCTCCATAGAAGTGTTATCTTATCATAAATCTTGAGAACTCCTAGAGTCACAGACCCCAGCTGCTTTTGTCAAACTATTTCTGTGGCAAAGATGTATTTTAAATTTCAGTTTAGGGTTCCAGAAATTCAGCTTGCCTAGTGCAGGGGAGGTGGCCTTTCCCAAAGTCCTGGAACTCATGCTGTGAGCCAGTGTAGTTTTCCCCAGCTTTAACTTTGGGCTGCTTCTGTTTCCTGAAGCTAGTCTTTAATAGGGCATTTGCTTAGAATCAGCAGGATCTAAAGACAGGGTATGCAGTGAGGAGCTGGAGTCCAAAGCTTCCCACCTGTGTAACCTTTAGGGTGGGAAGGTGTCGTCAATATGTCTTCCAAGTGACCCCCATGTTTCTAAGGACTCAGCCTGCCTGTTTTTTGAATGTAGTGCTCATTGATCCTGGGCCCTGTCTACTGCAGAGCTTAATGAACAGCTTCTCCCCATTCTTCCCCCTCTCTGAAATTTTCAGCTGTGTGGTTGTTGCTGTTGTTTTCTAAATACTAGTAGCCATGGGGAAACAGGTAGATCATAAAAGTATCAAACTCAATTTTTGTTTTGTTTTGTTTTTTTTTTTGGCATTTTATCATAGGATATGGTCAAGAGACCGGTTGTAAAAACTCAGATGTGAGGAAGAAAACCATTAGGAGGTGATAAGGATTCAACAATTTAAGTAATATAACTTATGTACTTCCTATGTCAAACTTTAGGGAGGCAGATGTTAACAATACAGTCCTCAAGGAGCCGGTTACTAACAGGGAGACTAGTATATTAGGTGGTGGCGGCAATGGTTAGGAGGGGGAAGTTTCTCGACAGCAATTGCAGGGTCAGTGAAAGAGATACTTGAGGAAGAGAGAAAGAAATGGCTCTGGTGGTTTATCTTTCCTTTTTCCCCTTCCCTCTCTCTCACACTATTAATTATGACATCACAAGTGGGAATAAAAGAACTAGAGGGAATCCCCAGTAAAAGACTTCACATAGCCACAGGCCACCAGACTGTGGCAGCTGTCCCTGAATCATCATGGGTCAGTTGGTAACGACCTGTATTTTAACCCTAGATCACAATTTTAGGCCCAGCAAAATTGTTCTGAAGCTGTCTAGATTTATTAAGCTATATTTATATTTTAGTTTATGTTAATATGAGGTTGAGATCCAAGACCCTGTTTTCTCCAGACCTCATATGAGTACAGTATCTTAAGTTAGAATTTATCTCTCTGCATAAAAATCAGACCTAGTGCGTAGGCTTCTGGATCTCAGAATCACTTATACTTAAGTCCAGGCTGTTCTCAAATAAGGCAAGAAGCATCTGCTGTTAATAGCTGACAGTAAATTACACAAAGTAAAACATGGAAAATTAAAGTCAGAAAAGCTAGGAAGCTTTTCTATCATTTTCAATTTTCTGCAAAAATACAGACATAATCAGTGTTTAGGATCTGCTTGTGATGGATAAATTACATCTGTAATTCCTTCTTTTCCATATTACTGCATTCAGACGATAATTTGCTTTCAGATATCTTTGCTCATCTAATCGTTCATAGACTGGAAATAAGTAGTAACATCTCCCAATCCTAGGAAGCATTTATAACTAGTCTTTGCCTTTTTGGGTGTTGATAGACTAGTGGTGATTATAAGCTTTCGAGCTTCTGAAAAGCACAACGAAGATTAAAATAATCATAGGATAATAAAATACTTTAAAACCCTTCTAGTCTTTAATTTTAAAATGTTCCAGTAGAACACAAATTTGCTCAGGTAACACACAAGTAAGCATTAAATGCCTTCCTGTGTATCTGAGAAGTTTGTTATGAAATATTTTGGAAACCGCTGCATAGTCAGTGTAGGAGGAGCAGATGAATTTTAGCTGTGGTTATGTGTGCTGTAAAAGACTATACGTGCTTGTATTAGTCAGAATGAGTACACCACTAATTTTTGTATGGTAAGAGATTTATACTAAGCTCATCATCAGTTTCTATAATTCAGTGAGATAAAACTGAGTCAGATTGATTTTTAGGTAGCACATGTAGAAACAGCTAATTTTATTCCCCTGATTTGATCCTCATCTATTGATTATATAAACTAAAGAAGCTAAGAACAATTAACCCTTACGAGGTTACACAGTCAGGAGATGCTGAACTGAGATTCAGTGTAGAAAGTCTGTCTTCAGAGCCTATGCTTTTAGTCTTTATGCTAAGTTTAACTTGTTTAAATAGCAAGATTATGAAGCACTATACAGTGACCTCGTATAGACAAAAATATAGTATATTGATTATTAGAGAAACTACATATTAGACTGTTGTACATACGTGGGCAAGTATTTGTTAAATCATTTCAGTTGCCTAAATTTAAGCAACTGTGCTGTTTAAAACATGCTCATTCACATTTTTTCTTAATCTAGAAAGTCACTTCTGAATAATTGCTTGTTTAGATTTTCTCATTTGGTGTGGGAAATTTATATTAAAATTTTAACTAATATTCTAACAATACAGAGTCTGAACCTAAAGTCCAGAAGAATTTTAAGTCATGCCGCAGACAGGATGAACAGTATAGCAAATCAGAATAATAGACTGTTTGGGGGGGTTGGGGGGAACCCATGAGAATTTCAGGATTTCAAGATAAAGCTTGGAATTGAGGTAAAGGCATCAGATAAGGAAGTGTTTCATTTCATAACTTTTTTTTTGCTTGAAATATAATATATTTTAAATCACAAAAGTAGTATAACTGTTATTTTTCTAATGCACAGAACCATGAGACTTTTTTTTTTTTTTTTTTTTTTTTTGAGACAGAGTCCCACTCTGTCGCTCAGGCTGGAGTGTGGTGGTGCCATCTCAGCTTACTGCAACCTCCGCCTCCTGGGTTCAAGCGATTCTCCTGCCTCAGCCTCCTGAGTAGCTGGGATTACAGGCATGCACCACCATGCCCAGCTAATTTTTGTATTTTTACTAGAGGTGGGGTTTCACCATGTTGGTCAGGCTGGTATCAAACTCCTGACCTCGTGATCCGTCTGCCTTGGTCTCCCAAAGTGCTGGGATTACAGGCGTGAGCCACTGCGCCCAGCTCAAGGCATTATTTTATAAGAGGCTGAGATTTTATTCATCTTACTAGGCATTTATTTATATTATATTGTTTCTAATATATGCCTAGTAAGACAGAAATATGCTTAAAAACCTTTGTAAATCTTTACAAGTTGTACTATATTAAGTTAAAATCCAGATGAAACCATTCACCACCTCTTTGACAATGATTCATATATCTTATTGTATGTCATGCTTGTTTGTGATTTTGAGTATTACATTTCAGAAATTTTCTAGGACTAAAATTTCAGTAGTTTATTTTAATTTTTTGTTTATTTGTAATAATTATCAATAATGCTGAAATATTTAGATCTAGTAGGTAGAATTTTTTTCATGTGAATACATTAATTTTAATGATGTATTTAAAAATAGCTCACACTATTCTTTTTAAGACTTTTGTTATATGTAATTGGACAAAAATTTGACCATGTAAATATAAGAATCGTTGATTCTATTTTGTTCATGATATGGCATAAAGAGCATGTTTGCTCTCAAAAAACATGGGTTTGAGAAGATGAAATTTCTGGGCATACTGGGTATTTAGTAGCTATCAGATTGTAATCCTGAACTCTTAAGAGATGTATCTCGGATGGGCGCGGTGGCTCACGCCTGTAATCCCAGCACTTTGGGAGGCCGAGGCGGGCGGATCACGAGGTCAGGAGATCGAGACCATCCCGGCTAAAAACGGTGAAACCCCGTCTCTACTAAAAATACAAAAAAATTAGCCGGGCGTAGTGGCGGGCGCCTGTAGTCCCAGCTACTTGGGAGGCTGAGGCGGGAGAATGGCGTGAACCCGGGAGGCGGAGCTTGCAGTGAGCCGAGATCCCGCCACTGCACTCCAGCCTGGGCGACAGAGCGAGACTCCGTCTCAAAAAAAAAAAAAAAAAAAAAGAGATGTATCTCAAATATTAGAATTGATCATGTTATTTAAAATACTCCATGGGAAATATAATTATTTTTATGGAACAGTTCATTTGGATGAATGGTAGCTTGAACAGAAACTTTCGATACCAATAGCTAGTGTTATAAGTGTCCTTTCCTGAAACTCTTGCCACGCATTGTGTTTTGGCGATTTTCATGGTTGTACGAATTTAGTCAGACAGCCAATTAGAAATATATTTTTAGAAAATTAAAAATGAATTTATGTGGATTCAATGAGATCAGTTGGGTAAATCCCTTAATTCAGTGTCATGCTCATGTAAATACTCCATAAATGGTAGCCATTAGTATTGATTGTTCTTATCTGAATGCCAGAGTTTAGTCTAAGTTATCTTTCTTCTTATGGGAGGAACTTTGTCTTAGGTCAGAATAAAGATTGTTATATAGATTCAAACTTGGTATGTAATTCAAACTTATTTTATGTTCAAGACTAAATTGATCATAGGGAAAAGTGACTGGTGTTCCTTGTCCTTTCATTTCATTTCTCTGGACGCTTTCTTCATTGGTTTACATTAGCTATAGTGTAACTTTTTATTGTGTTTTGGTATTTTCTGAGTGTCTAGATTGGCCTGTATGCTCTTTTCTTTGGGATGAAATTTGTAATAAAAATTATTTTGTAGCAAATAAATACTGGCGACAGGAATAATGACAATGTGACTACCAGTGGTTTTCACTTCATTCCCAGTGTCACGTTTAGAATTTTCATCAAACTAGGATCTTCAGAATAATTGCAAAAAGCCACATGAAAAAATGTGCAAGTGAAAACTTTTTTTTTTTTTTGAGACGGAGTCTCGCCCTTTCACCCAGGCTGGAGTGCAATGGCACGATCTCGGCTCACTGCAACCTCCACCTCCTGGGTTCAAGCGATTCTCCTGCCTCAGCCTCCTGAGTAGCTGGAATTACAGGCGTGCACCACCACACCTGGCTGATTTTTTTTTATCTTTAATAGAGACAGGGTTTCACCATGTTGGCCAGGCTGGTCTCAAACTCCTGACCTTGTTGTCTGCCTGCCTCGGCCTCCCAAAGTGCTGGGATTACAGGTGTGAGCCACCGCGCCCGGCCAACATTTTATTTTTTATGGCAAAGAATCAAGACTTTGTTAAGAGCCTAAACCGTGGATTCAGCTGGATCTGAGTTTGATACCATAGTGACTTCCTAGTGACATTGTGCCAATCACTTTACTGTCCCAAGCTGGTTTCCTTATCTGTAAAACAAGTCTAGTATCATTTGCTTTCAAGATTTGTGAGGATTCAATGAGATCAGTTAGATATAAATCATTTAATGTAGTGTCTTACTCCATGTAAATACTCCATAGATACTAACGGTAGCCGTTTGTATTGTTCTTATCTGAATGACAGAGTTCAGTCTAAGTTATCTTTCTCTTATGGGAGAAACTTTGCCTTAGGTCATAGTGAATGTTATTTGTCATTATGCACATTGCACTACAGGTCTCTGTGTTGTTTGAAAAAATTAAAAAGGACTTAACCTTGAATGTATATAAGTGTGCACATACTAGCTTATTTATTTACCTGTTATCAAGAGAAAATAACCCCTTAACCTCTTAACATATGTATGACTTGACTACTAGCTAAACCAGTAGGTATTAATGGAATAATTCAGAATTTATATTGTCTGTACCTGAAAATTCATTTTGTAAATGCAGTTAAGTATGAATGGAAAAATGGTTGTAGCCATCTGTTAGCAAATCTAAATTCATTTAAAACTAATCCTATTTAGCTTTATGCTGGTCTACAATAAATAATTCATACTTGATATTTCAAATGCTGTATTATTTATGTAAATTTTCTCCTAAAAGACTCACCTAAGACTTTTCTAGAAATAAAATTGTTTATTCAGCAAAGTACCTGCACAGATTAGAAGGTTAAATATTAAAGTTTATTTTTTCATGATTGCACTATTCTTTTCTATTTTTTTATACCTATATAAACTTAATTGGTCAAATATCTACCACTCACTTCCTCAAATGTGTAAAGAAGCATCCAAATCCATAATACTCTGTTTATCACAGCTTTTTTTTTTTCCCCCTTTCACTGTCACTCAGAATCGATAGGGATCCAATTCTAGCCTGTTGAAATGGTCCGTTTTGCTCCAAGACTTTTTTTTTTTTTTTGAGGTGGGAGTTTAGCTCTTGTTGCCCAGGCTGGAGTACAATAGCGTGATCTTGGCTCACCGCAGCCTCCACCTCCCGGGTTGAAGCGATTCTCCTGCCTCAGCCTCCCAAGTAGCTAGGATTACAGGCATGTGCTACCACGCCCGGCTAATTTTGTATTTTTAGTAGAGACAGAGTTTCTCCTTGTTGGTCAGGCTGGTCTTGAACTTCCAACCTCAGGCGATCCGCCTGTCTCAGCCTCCCAAAGTGCTGAGATTATAGGTGTGAGCCACCATGCCTGGCCTAGCTCCAAAATTTTAAAAAGCATTTGCCTCATTTATGAGTTTGAGACTTTTAACATCATTAGAAATAGGAGAGCATGTACTTTTTCCAGCAAGTGTAAAGGGGGAAACAAACACCAAAACCCCATCTCCCTGATTTTTTTGGCTTTTCAGAAATAATACAGCCTAGTCCTATGGCCAGTTCTGGGTTTTTCTTGACAGCGTCTGTAACTGTTCTTGTTATAGTCTAATTCTGGGTATGAGTTATGTGTTTACAGTTTGATTTACTGAGCCATGCCACTGCATTCTTGTTAAGGTTATTGATTATTGCCCATTCTGTTCTGCTGTGTATTATTGATTTAGTGTGTGACAATGAGTTAATTGTATTACTTGATGTTGAAGAAGGATCAAATATCTGTTCAAAGGGGATGCTTGTAGCCTGTGTAATTGAGTTGGCTATTTCAGGCTTTTAACATGTTGTGAAACAATTAGGAGAAAGTACAGGAGGACCTCTGAGGGCAGGGAACATAAAATTTGTTTTCAGCTTTTTCGCAGTTGCCAAAAATGGTGCCGTAAGGCTTTCCTGGAATTAAGTAGTCAGTTGGTATTTGGTTAGCAGATGCTTTGTAAAACCTAATATATTCCCACTATATTTCCTTTAAAAATCAAGGGGGGGTTAACACCTTTAGATTGTCATGTTTTATTGAGAAAAATCCACTTCTCTGAAACTCCCTATTACTGGATATAAGAAAAAATAACAAGCAAGATGTGTTGTGTATGTTGGTGCCCACATTTTGGAGGAAATTACAGAGATAGAAAATTAAGCTAAATTATTAAGAATCTGATGAGTTCTTTTTGCTTACTACAGTTTTGTTTCGTATTTGATAAAAAAATTTCCATGTAATAACATTTAAGATAAAGCCAGTATTATTTTCTTTGACATTATTTTGCAGTTTGAATTTTCTAAGCTTTAGACAATTCACACTTAATGTAAAAAAAAAAATTAACCTTCAGAATGAGATCATGGTGCCATGGTTCTCTAATGAATGTTACCTTTTGTTTTAGCAGCTCAGTTGGCTCTAATCCATGGAAAAGTTTTTATTTCCCATCAGCTCCAAAGTAGGAGCCAAACCAAAGTTTAAAGAAACGTTTTCCAGCAGACAAGTTTCTACAGATAATAGTGAAAGCGTGTGAACACACACACACACACACACACTCTCTCTCTCTCTCTCTCTCACTCCTCTCTCTCTCACACACATATGCGCGCGCACACACCCACACGTCTTATGGAAATATTAAATCAGGAAGAATTTCTGAAGTTCTCATAATAAAAATAACTGTAATATTAATAAAGTACTCCTTATCAGTTATTTCTCGTCACATTGTGGCCCCAAGGGTTTGCTTGACTTTTCAAAATGTATTTGCTTCAGGATAAATTGAAGAAGTACCACTCTCTCCCTGTATTAATACCTTTCAGGGCTTTTGATCTGTAACCTCTTGTCACCTCTGGTTTATCTGGCTTAGCATATGAATTTTGAAGAATGAGGGAGCATAAACAATTATGACTGCCTTTTAAAAAATGCACGTTAAACCTGCGGCCTCAAACTTGTCAGTTCTGAACTTTAACAGTAGAAAAGTGAAAACTCAGCGTTGAAAGTAGAGAGTGTAAGAGATTTTGCCAGTTGGACCACTTTGCTGCAAATACCTATTAGACCCAAACCTTTCTTTTGCCTAGTGATCAGCTATACTAATAGCAAGATCCACTTAATTCCATGTGAGTCAACAGCTTGCATGGCATGCCCACTGTGTGCAAATAGCTTCTCAGGTACTTTTCCAAGCGTCCTGCCTGCACAAAGCAGAAGAGACTTGGAATATATTTATTTATTCTCTCACCCCACTGCTTGCTCTATCACCTAGACCTTCATGCTCCATCACCTAGTCCTGCTTGCTCCATCACCTAGTTGGAATTTCTAAATCAACAGACATGGGCAGATATATATTTTAAAAGCTGTGTGCCTCTGATTAACAACCATTCCTTTAATACTGCTGAGAGGTTCTGGGAACATAGTATTTTTGCCATGACTTCTCAATCTATAGAGAAGATGTATTTATCTCCTAAGGATAAAACCATCTGGAAATTTTCACATGCTCCAGACTTTCAGATAGAGCTGGCTTTGCCTTCTCTTTTTCTTCCTCCTCTTCCTTCTTTTTCTTCTTTTATTTATTTATTTATTTTGCTTTGCTTATTAAAACTATGGATGAATTTTTAAAAAGATTAAGAAGATAAAATAACCTTCTCACCTGCTTAGTAATTTCTTATTCATAGTTAGAAGGTACAGTAACTGTTTCATAACTGTCCCCATTAAATTTCTGATTCAAAAAATATATATTTTTCTTTATAAATACCGTTTCCTATGATTTTTGGTCCCTAAAAAGCAAACAAAAAAAAGCTACTTGATGGTACCTTGGTTGTAGTTA
The DNA here is from genome assembly GCF_000001405.40 of Homo sapiens. Lineage (NCBI taxonomy): Eukaryota > Metazoa > Chordata > Mammalia > Primates > Hominidae > Homo > Homo sapiens. The sequence continues at coordinate 152,317,130 of NC_000003.12, forward strand.
GCAGGTCTCCATTTTCTACAGATCTTCCATTCTGCTTTATTAACTTCCTTTATTAATGACAAATCAGCCAGTTGATAAAATAATGTGTTAACTTTTAAAAGATTCTTATAAATTTATGTGGAGTTCTGTGACTACCTGATATGACTTTGTGACTATTTTAGTTGTATAAAGAATTTCAAATTATTTATTCCTTTAAAAAAATTTTTTTTTCAGAGACAGTCTCACTGTCACTCAGGCTGGAGTGCAGTGGCGCAATCTTAGCTCACTGCAACTTCCACTTCCTGGGTTTAAGTGATTCTCCCGCCTCAATCTCCTGAGTATCTGGGATTACAGGCATGCACCACCATGCCGGGCTAATTTTTGTATTTTTTGTATAGATGAGGTTTCAGCATGTTACCCAGGCTGGCCTTGAAATCCTGAGCTCAAGCGATCCACCCACCTTGGCCTCTGAAAGTGTTGGGATTACAGGCGTGAGCCACCGTGCCTGGCCTATTTTTTGTTTTATTTTTTTAATCTTGAAATAACTCCACAGTTATCTCCAAGTAAGTCTAATATCTTCTCTTTGAATTTCTAACTGATTCTTATTTATAAACCCATAGAATCTGTAAACCCACAAACAAATGATTCTTCATCGATCAAGTTCTGTTTTCAAATAGATGTTCAACGAGATGTTCAAAAAGACGATAAAGGATACATTGTAACCTAAGGACTTTATTTCGTTCATTTGGTCATTTACCTTTTAATTGTAGTGGACTTAAATGTATACAGATTTTCATGTACAACAAGTAGTATCCTTTAGCTGCAACAAATGAATAGATTAGCCTATGTGAATATAGTTTTGCAAAATATTAATGTATGAAAGTAGTCCTAAGACTGCAAGTACTGTTGCTTTAGAACTTCATGCATAAATTGGGTGTGTTGTTACAGGATACAGAGAAAATTGATGGTCAACCTTAGCCTGTAGTATATTTTGACAGTGTGAATGAGTCAAGCAAGCAATTTTCCAGACTGTTTAATGGTACAAAGGAAAGGGCTGCTAAGGAAGTCATTCTTATGACTAGCTGAAAAATATTTTTCTTAGTGACTGTTCTAGAGAAAAACAGGTCACCGTTGGAAGAAAAAAGCAGTCTCACGTTACAAGCATTTTGAAAGTGGTTTGATCATTAAAATGTATTTATCTTACGACAAAACTTAAAACGGATACTGCTTACTATATTTGCAATGTCTTGAAACTCAACAAGAAATTATGTAGCATCATTACAAGTTTTAATTCATGGTAGAATTTTGGAGATTATATTTATTGAGCTATGTTTTTTATTTCATTAGTACAAATAAAACTGCATTTTATTTGTTCTAATGATAAAATGTTTTAAGTTTATAAAATTACTGCAAATGTATTCCACTGTGTGGTTCTAAACTGCATTTGAATTAAAATAGGACTTGATTGATGGAGAATCATTTGTTTGTGGGTTTACAGATTCTCTTCTAGGTAGTTTGAAAAGATTCATTGTCCAGCAGCAACTGTTCACCCAGAGACATAGTGCTTAGCATGAGCTTGATGGATTCAAACCACTGGGTTTATCATTACTACATAGATCTTTGAAAAGACAGGCTGCAAATCTTGTTTCTAAGCTGTGACTAGCTATTATTATGTCAATTTGAAGAACAGAAGTAAAATCAATCCAGATTCAAAAAAAGACACTCTACAGGCATTCACAGACTGCAACCAGTTCAAATTGTAATATCCTGCCTATTTAAAGTCCCCTGATTATTATGATTATTCAATATCATGTTAATATTTAAAACTTGGAATACAACCTACTAACCTTATTTTTATTTGTACTACTGGAAGTTCCTCTAGCATTTTTGAAGTAGCTTGGAAAAAAATTGAGATTCAGTTGTGGTTCTACTTACATTTTTACTAGAGTAAGTTGGAGAGACAAATCAGTGAGTAGTCAAGTCTTCATATAATCAAAGCTTTTAAAATATGATAACAAAAACTTCAGGTGTTAGATTTAGCTTCACGGAAAACCTTTTTTTGGGGGGCCTAAGTTTAAAATGTGTTTTTTCTTTGCATTTTAAAAGATTGCTTGTGCAGTGTTCAATGGTTTTGTTTAGCATTTAGAGATGATTTTTTCCTTTGTCACTTTCCACATTGAACTCTGCTGATTTAGTGTGTTAGAATTGCCATCAGAAGAGTCCTTAGAAATGATGTCATGCAGTTCATTAGTTTTACAGATAGGGAACCAAGGAGTGGTGAGGTTAGGGTTTAATCATATCCATAAAGATCTTGAGGTCATTAGGACCCTTTAAATGTGACTAGTTAAATCACAGCAAAAACTAGAATATATTGTCTTCATTTCAGGAAAATGGCATCATTGACACACCTGACAGATGAAAACTGCTATTAAGGTCGAGTCCAAGTGACAAAACTTTCTTGACTGTTCTGAGGCCTTGGTTACGGTGGCATTAAAGTTCTATACTGTTTTTTTTTTTTTTTTTTTTTTTTTGGCTGGACAACAGACTCTCCAAAAAAATGCATGTGTATACATTATGCTTATTATAAAATTTACTAATAAAATGACATGGAAGACAATTAAAATTATAATAAAATATACAATGCTCAACATTTAAATTCTATATGGCCAATTGATTCTTACAGAATGCCTTTTTGATTTTTGTCCAACTCTTGCATCTGTAGTCAACCTGTGGTCGCAATTGACAGAAGAGTTTAATTCTTTCTTTGTGCTCTTACTCCTGGGTCCCTCATTGTACAGTGATCATCAAATGCAACATCCTTCATGAAAATGAATAGCTTCACTTTTTGGCATTTCCTTCCTTTTTATGTGTCATAGAATACACTACATTATTCTTGATTTTACAGTTAATTTGTAAATTGTTTCTAACCCCCACTAGTTTATAAACTCCTTAAGAATGAGAAGCTTGCATTAATCACTTCTATATATATAGTGTTTTGAATATCCTTGGCATTCATTAAATGTTTAGTGAATTGAATGCGATGTTTCTTCCAGACTATGACCAATAATTGTGAGAAGATTTTATGTGTTTTTAAATTCAACTTTAGAGAATTTCTTTTTGTGTAATAGGACATTTGTTGGACAGCAACATGTAATTACTCATAAAATGTTTCTCTGCGGAGTCCAGCATCCTTCATTTGTGATAGGACTCATCCAGTTAAATTGCTCAGGCACTATAATGGACTATTTATGTTCTGTTGATGTAAATTTCTAGAACAGGCCTTTCCCTGGACTCATGCCATGTTTTGTATGTTATCTTGTGCAGGCAGCACATGGGGACCTAGTCAGGCTTCCTGATATGATAGCTGTATATACAGCCCATGTCTCAGAGGGGAATGATAAATTGGCCTGTGCAGTGACACAATACACAGTTATTTTGGTGACAGTATTAACTCTCTTTTCATAAGGGTGCTTTGTTGGAAAACTATTCAGCTTAACACAGAATATTTAGCTTTCAAAGGTTGCATAGGGAGAAATGATACTGCCAGGATAGAAACATTATCAGTTTTTTCTTTCTTTTTTTTTTTTTTTAATCTTTTTTGACTCTACCGAGAATATTGAAAAGAGTTTTGATTAGTATTGGTGTTTATTACGAGAGGAACATTCTGGGAACCAGACTATTAGTATAATTATTATTGTTTTTATTATCAAACTAATAGCACTAACAAGGACATACGGTATTTGTCAAGGGATTCCTATATCTCTGTTACACCTAAATTTCTCTATACTCTAATTTTAGAAAAAAAGTTTTGTCTTCCAACTGTGAATACTTTATAGTGTTGCAACTTCTGCTTCTAATCTTTAATCTGAAGTAGAAAAGAGAATCCAAGCTTCCAAGAAGTATGTCTCTAGACTCTGCCACTTATTAACTTGCTCCTTATTTTTTCTCTCCAACAATTATTTTAAGATCTGTATGATATAAGCTATTTTTAGAAGAACTGAAAAGTTCTAGAGAGTAAAAAAATGTTCCAGATTGTGTGTTGGTGCCAGTAGTACTGACAATTAAATATTTGATTGAGGAGAAACCTACATTTATCCACTTTGAAGAGGATCATCAGGGGAGTTAAAAATTTAGTACTTCAGGCTCATTAAGAGTTAGAATAGAGTAATTATGTAGCTGGTAACAAATGCTACAATCACCACTTGAGCATTGTGATATGTTACTCATTGAGACTTACTGGCCTTCTTCAGGGAACTTCAGATTTTATAAAAGTCATTTGCTTAGAGAGTAAAGTTCTGCTAATCCATTATTTTAGTTCTGTCATCTTTTTCTGCAAATAGGGTGAGTTTTCCGAGAGGGTAAGTCCCTGGTAATAATCTTAAAAATGATACAACTTTACAGAATATCTCCCCTTGCCATGAAGCAATACTTAATGTCTTGAACAGTGAGCCTCTTGTTCATGCAGCATTTAAAAGAGATGAGTGTAGAGGTCTTCCTTCTACATTCATTTTATTCGTTAGTAATTGAGAAGCAGGTCTAATTTTCTAATCTTGCAAGTTGGGAAATTATTAAAATGCTCAAGAGACAGTAGATCAAGCCTGGTGTCCCTTTCTCCATCAAATTTTAAAGGATTTTTTTTTCCTCAGTAATTCTGCCTTTGTGTATTTCCAATCTTGCTTCCTATTTGCATTGCACACAGTGGCATGTCAATTTCAAAAGAAAATGTATTCAGATCTACTTTCAAACTAACTGAAAGAGATAGTGGTATTTATTTTATCCTGAGGTTTTGTTGTTGTTGTTATGGTTGTTCTTTGTTTTTTAAATCTGGACATATCAGTAATCTCCTAAGAGAATCTATTCCAAACACAGAGACTGTTTATTCTTGTTTTAGATACTGTTTTAAAAGCCAGGTTATGTTATTATAGTATAGATATTTTAAAAAATAATGAAAACAGAGTTTTTTTAACCATATTTTTGTACTGCATAAAAATGCAGTGACAAGAGAAAAACATTAGAACTCTGTCATACTCCTAATATAGACCATTGCTGTTAGGTTTCTAACTCCATGTTCCCTGTCTGGAAGCTTTATAAGGCCGTGCCTTAGTCTTCTTAAGCCTAACACATTGTAGCCTTCCAATAAATATTACTTTATTTGTATTAAATTTAAAATGGAATAGAATGTGGTACATCACCAGCGTTCATAGCTCCTGACCCATGCCATAACTTTCCTTGCCCCATCCCCAAGATTAAAAAAACACAAACTATTAGACTAATTATAGTCATTACAGTTGTAAATTAGGTCATGCATTTCATTAAAAATTGACGCAGCTCCCTTTTTGAAAGGCTATGTCACGGAAATGCAAACTAGCCTTGTATATAGAACACTAAAATCATTTAACTTGAATTATTCTAATTACGATACCACAAAGATTAAAAAATACATCTATATTATCTCAGTCTGATAACTGGGCTGGGAAAAAATGTCAGTTTTGATATGTAACAAGATTGGTATGAGTTATTTTACGTGACAGTTTTATTGATTGATTTTTTTCATTTATAATCACTAATTTTGTGAGGTTTTCTCCCCTGCAGCAGTGGACTGAAAAAGTTAACATTTTTCTGGCATTTTTTAAGCGCTAAGAGTAGAAATCAATAGTTAAATTGACCTAATAAAAGATCTGTGCATCCTACTACTGTGACAAGAAGAGCAACAGAAAGCAACATGTATAGACTCTTAACAAGGCTCAAGGCACATTTTGGATTTGTTTTGCATATGAATTTAATAAGCATGAGACAGTGCTAGTGAATTACATTTGTTTTATTGAGTCTATTTAAGCCAGGATACTGTTAAGTAATAGACTGACGGTTTGTGGGAGCCAGATTCAGTAACAGGTCAGCAACAGACTTGCCACATGCCAAAAATGGGGTTATACTGGTTTCAGTTTGCTAACTGCCTAAGTAAACTTGTGTAGAATTTGCATTTTTTGCTTTGCAATTACTGGTTACTTCTCTTTAACATTACATTTGCATTCTATGTAAAAAATAGATTTTATATTTAATTCAAAATTTATCCAAATGTACTTACTCATTGGACATTATTTTTAAATGATAAAGGAACTTAAAAAAGTGATAGGATCAATATAGTAATAATTCTAACTCCCTTTTATACCCATATAAAATTCATTTAACTAGACTTATTCATTCAACAATATTGTTAAATAACCTAAAGGAATTTTTTTAAAGAAATAGTGTAAACATACAAATATGAATAATTTGAACTCCCTTTTATATAAATATATCTGTAGTCACTAACTGTAAATAATTTAAAAAATATATATGTACACACACGTGCGTGCACACACACACACACGTCATGCCTTAACAATGGGGATATATTCTGTGTGTCATTAGGGTATTTCATTGTTGTGTGTACATCATAGAGTATACTTACACAAACCTAAATGGTATAGCCTACTACACATCTAGGCTGTATAGTACGGCCTATTGCTCCTAGGCTGCAAACGTATACAGCCTGTTATCCTATTGAATACTGTAGGCAGTTGTAACATAATGTTATGTATTTGTGTATCAAAACATACTCAAACGTAGAAAAGATATTGTGTTGTGCTATGAGGTTATGATGTCTACAAATGTCACTGGGTGGTAGGAATTTTTCAGCTCCATTGTAATCTTATGGGACCACCATCATATATGTGGGTCCTTTGTTGACTGAAGCGTTGTTATACAGCTATTGACTATAGTTAGTGAAAAAATCTAGTTCTATGATTGGTTTTGTTCCCTCCTTTCTTATGATCACTATTCATTCAACACCTTTTATATGACATGCAGTTTGAAAGCACAGGGTATGCAAAAATTATCCCCGTTTTCGGTTGCAGTATCTGTTGCTGACCCAGATAACTTCATTTCCTTCAGCTGTGCTTTCATTTTCAACTTCTCTAGTTGGAAATAAATCCTCTTGTGTTGCCCCTTGAGGGAGAAATCGTTTAGCAGGAAATCACTTACTAATCACAGTTCATTAATCACATATAAAGAATACTTTATAAATGTCAACTGTCATTCATAGAAAATGTATGTTACCTTGAGGAATGTCTATGAATTACTTATTCATTTTCATTGCCTTTCACACATTATATTCCTTAGGAGTTTATTAATTTCAAATATAAATTGACTATGACTTATACAGAGTCTTGCAAACAAGAGAGATAGCAGTTTTGCACCTTTTCTTTGATTTACTTGTTATCTTCCTGGTCATGTAGTTAGTCTGTTAAAGTCACTCTGCCTGTATAGCTTGTTGAAGGTTACAGGCAGTGGAGTGCTGGAACTGGTTTATGTCGAGACCTCTTCCCAATTCCATGTTCAATGATGTCTTTGTTGATAGCTTAAAATTGGCTATGGTGAGAGCGTTTACACTTTGGAAATTGGCAGATGGCAACCATAGTTCTCTCCTAGACAACCACTTATTAAACCTTTAGCAGCACTCACTGTTTATAGTGTTCTTTTTCGTTTTTTAAAAATACTTTTATTATGAGGAATAGCCATGTAGAATTTTATTTCCAGATATTTTGTTGTTTAAAACCCTAAGAACATCACTCACTATACCAATTGCCAACTGAGTAACTGGGAAAGTTACTTAGCTTTTCTGTGCCCAAATGTCCTTATCTGTAAGACGGGGATGATAATAATAGCACGTACCTTGGGATTGATGTGAGGTTGAATAAGAAACACATTTATTTCAGTGAATACATAATGACCTGGAATGAATACTCAAATAATGCTACCTGTTATCTCTCTGTACTTTAATTAATAGATATTTATTGATCCCTTACTAAGTACTTAGCATTTTGCCATGTACAGTGGGTCATCTACTGAGACTCAGTACCTCCCACATCAAGTTATTAGCCACATTGACCTGTGGCAAATGACTTCTTTTGATGTTCCCATGTAATGCCACATACCCGCCCCCCCCCGCCCGCTTTTTTTTCATTTGTTTTTGTTTGTTTTTTGGTCTTTCTGCCTGGGACTCTTTTTTCTTCCTACATGAGTTTTGCAGACCTTTTCCATGTTTATATATGGCTCATACATTCCCTCCTCTAGAAAGCTTCTCCTCACTCTAGACCTGGCCACATAACTGTTTTGCCTCTTTGCTTATGTAGTTTGGAGTATGAATCATAATAATTATGTATCTTACTCCATCTCTGCATTTGATTCCACAGCCTACGACTTACACCTTTGTGTTCTTAACCTCTTAGTAAGAAATGCCTGACACGTAGTAGACTGACTAGAAGTGTACATTGAATGTTTGCTGGTTAAAGGAATGGAACATGGACTTCACTCATAGAGACCTTACTATTTGGTTGAAGAGATAATGCATACACATGTGACATGAAGGTAAACACAAAATATATTGAAGATATCTGTATTTTATTTTTTTTAGTTTATAGTTAATTTTTACATACTATATATTTTTGTAGTAGGTAAGTCAATTATTTTCATGCTACAGATATGGACATTTATGTATTTATGTACAAATACATTGATTTAGGTTATCTAGGCCAGATTGTAAGTAGCAAAGCCCTGTTTGTAAACCAGGTTTTGTGACTTCAGGTTAGAAATATTAAAAAAAAAAAAAAATCCTTAATTGCTCTTCCAGATATGAACTCATTCTTTTTTTTTTTCCCCTGTGATTTCTGTCTTTTTTGTTTGTTAAGTTTAAAAAATTTATGGCAATTTTTAAATGTACATAATATTAGAGAAACAATATAACAACCCCCTCCATATATCTATCAGTCAGCATTTTGTATGCATGTATCCGTATGTGCATCAGCCAACATTTTGCCCTTTTTGTTACCTTTCACACTCCTTTTACCCCTGTAGCATGTTAAAAGAAGTCTCAGACATCCTATCATGTCACTTATACTTCTTCAGTAGTATCTCTGACAGTTAAGAACTTATTTTAAATATAACTCCATTTCCAAATCTATGAAAATTGACGACAATTTTATTGTATCATTTGATAGCCACTTTATGTTCAACTTTTCCTGATTGTCACAGCAATGTCCTTTTTTAATAGGTACGTTTTTCCAGTTAGCATCTATGGTGTCATTTAGCTTGTTCTTCCATCATCCTTATTTTCTGTAAACTGAAAATTAGAGTCGAGTTTAACTTTAATGTTATTTATTATTATTTGGGGGGAACATTTCCTGGAAGGTTCTGTATACTTTCTATTTCATCATATCAAGAGGACATAATTTTAGTAATCCCTGCTTTTAATGATGCTGCAATCTATCAGTGAATCAGATTGGCCTGGGCCAATCCTTATAAAGTTCTCCATCAGACTTGGATCCAATGATTTCACCTCATTGTTGATCATTTTGTAGCCATGATATTTTTTAGAGTTTGCAAAAATGGTGACTTTTAATTATATAATTTCTGCTGCGTTTATTATCAAGAATTTTTTTCATAAAGATCTTTTCATAGTAACTAATGGTCAACTTCAAAACATAGTTTATATCAGAAAAAGGGAAAAAATGCATGATATTTATCAATTTTCAGAATCAGATATTCTCTTCTAACATAAGATCTAAATAAGCTTACACATATAATCAAGGATGCCAGTAAATTTTTCTAAAAAATTTTTCCCTTGGGAAAATTATTTATTTATTTATTTATTTATTTATTTATTTATTTATTGAGACAGAGTTTCACTATTGTCTCCCAGGCTGGAGTGCAGTGGTGCAATCTTGGCTCACTGCAACGTCTGCCTCCTGGGTTCAAGTGATTCTCCTGGCTTAGCCTCCCGAGTAGCTGGAATTACAGGCATGCACCACCATGCCCAGCTAATTTTTTTGTGTGTATTTTTAGTAGAGATGGGGTTTCATCATATTGACCAGGCTGGTCTTGAACTCCTGACCTCAAATGATCTGCCTGCCTTGGCCTCCCGAAGTGCTGGGATTACAGGCGTGAGCCACTGCGCTCGGCTGATAAATTATTTGAATTGCTTCTCCTAATTTTTTTTGATTAATATGTTTTGATAACATTGTTCCTATGGTAATATTATCAAAAAAGTTTTCTTTCCTTCCTTTTTGTTTATCATTAATGTGCCTCTGTATGGTTGAATTTATTTACTCAGAAGATATTTATTGGGCATCTGTCTTTTTTTATCAAGCTCTGTGCTAGTCCCTGAGGATGTAGATATGAGCCCTGCTTTTTTCTTTTCTTTCTTTCTTTTTTTTTATTTGAGACAGACTCTCACTCTGTCACTCAGGCTGAGTGCAGTGGCATGATCTTGGCTCACTGCAACCGCCGCCTCCTAGGTTTAAGTGATTCTCCTGCCTCAGCCTCCTAAGTAGGTGAGATAACAGGCATGGGCCACCATACCCAGCTAATTTTTGTATTTTTGGTAGAGATGGGGTTTCACCCATGTTGGCCAGGCTGGTCTCAAACTCCTGGCCTCAAGTGATCTGTCTGCCTTGGCCTCCCAAAGTGCTGGGATTATAGGCTTAAGCCACTGTGACCGGCTGCTTTTTTCCTAGAATATATAGTTTGGGTTTCTTTTCCACTCGTGATGTGATTTAAAAAATTGAACCTGTTGTATATGAATGTGGTTTTGTAAACTATAATATTTGGTATCATATACTATATTTTTTTCTATATATATATATGCTACTATATAGTCATATAGTAGCATTTTTTTTTATAGCTTTCTTTGGAGTTCTTGGTCTTAGTGTCTAAAATAGTGGCCATAAAGGAATTTGGAAGTTAAGTTGTTCTTGCTGACCCAAAGAAAAATCAGATGTTTCTGTTTAGGACACTGTATGTGACAAACAAGGAAGTTTTTATTAATTTATTTTTTTGAAGAAGAATTGATGAGAGAATAATGAGAATTCCTCCAAGATTAAAAGTAAATTATAAGATCCTGTGCTATTTTAATGTAAGCCAACATTTGAATTTAATTTGACTTCTATTTTCAGTAAATTAGAGTGAAATTTTAGGGATGTCTTTATCTCCTATAGTGTGTGTTTTGCCAAGATTTATTAAGGGTAATTTTGGATTTTAGAAAATGTACAGTTTCTAAAGGCTTGTGAACGTTTTATATTGATAGAAAATGTAAGTAAGACTAGTAACACATTATTTTCTCCAAAGGATCCTGTGACTGACACAAAAAATATGATATAATATTGAATCTGCCAAAAGATGCACTGTTAATCTAGGGTTATGTTATGTTGTTATTTTATTAGGTATGTGATACTATGGTGTGAATTTTAGAATATAGGTAATTATTTAAGTAATTACTGTAATTCTAAACATCTTCTGAGATGTTTTCTCTAAAGCAGAAACTCAGCTTTTACTCATGTTTAGATAATGTGATATAGCTGTTCTAGATATTTGAGATTAGGGTTGAGGCAAATTGTTGACATATAATTAAAATGTATTTTATAACTAAAATTTAGAAGAATGGAAAAAGTTTACATTGTATTTATAAGACTTTGCTAACATGCTTTATGACATTACGGAGAAGTACTAGGAAGAAGGAGATCTTTAAAAGGAGTGATATTCTGTTTGCTTTGCTGGAGTACCTTATCAGGAAATTTGAAATCTTAGCCCTTTAATTGTGATATCTGTTAATTCTAAAACTTACACTGAATTTAACTTTGAAGGTCAACATATGGATTTTTTTAAAAACAATATTTACTCTATCAAAAGATTAGTTGTATTTTTGACTTGAGGAAATAGCTTAATCTGAACAGCACGAAACTTGACAAAAAAGTTTGCTAATACATAAATATTGGCTATTTTAATCTGTTGAAAACGGAAGGCTAGTACCAAGGGAGACGGTAGTAAAATTATAGAAGGAGCTAGTGAAAAGTAAACATTATGCAACATGAAAAGAATACTAGGGGAAAAACTGACAGAGTAGAATAACAGGAAGATTAGTCACTTCTGGAAGGAAAAAAGTAGGTAGGGGCAGGGGGATGAAGTACTTTAAACAGGAATGTGGAACTGGAAGTGCTAGGGCTAAAAGACAGATGTGAGCTTATTTGGGAGCTAAACTGGGCTTTGAAAAAGGAATAATACTGGTAGCATTTAATATCAAAATTTAAATTTTATGTTAACAATAAGAAAAAAATGGAGAAAAATTTTTGTTAGGGATTATAAAATGCCTGTTAAAATAAAAAGACTTATATTTACTCCTTTGTGGAGCTGAATTGGTTTCGGTCAGACAGCAATGTCAAATGCAAATCAAGAAAATACATTTCTGAGGCCAAGGCAGGAGATTTCTTGACCCCAGAAATTTGCAACAACCCCAAGGAACATAGTGAGACTCTGTCTCTACCAAAAAGAAAAGAAAAGGAAAAGAAAAGAAAAAAAATTAGCCAGGCATGGTGGTGAGCACCTGTAGTCACAGCTACTCAGGAGGCTGAGGTGGGAGGATTGCATGAGCTTGGGAAGTCAAGGATGCAGTGAGCCATGATCAGCCATTGCACTCCAGCCTGGGCAATGAAACAAGACCCTGTCTCAAGAAATATACATATATATTTTATCTTATATATATATATCTTATATATTATATATATATATAATATATATGTCATATATAATATATAATATATATAAGAAATATATATATAATTTCTTTCAAAACCGGTCAAAGTTCTTTTACTTTCAAGTGATGGATAAAATAAAACCATTGTGGATATCATGGGATATATGTGCTATTGGTTTGAAATAATTTTCACTTTTGCATTTATTTATCTGTCAAAGGAGTACCAATCTCTAAATATTTTAAGGATTATTTCTATGAATTCTCTAAAAAATATAAATTGTAACTGTCTATATCATACAAAAATATTTAGCAATCCTTATAACAGAAAACAAGATAGTAAACATTGTGTGTATGTTCATGTGTGTGTATGTGTGTTTATTGGTAGTCTCATTAATCCCTAGTCTCTACTGACGTTATTAGGGACATTAGTGGAACAGATTTTGCTGAACACATTTTCAGCCACTCTGAGTGTTCTTAGGTATTTTATTTATTTAGAGACTGAATCTGTGTTGTCCTGCCTGGTCTCAAACTTCTGGGTTCAAGCGATCCTTCTGCCTTACTTTCCCAAGTATCTGGGACTACAGATGCACACCACTGCCCAGCTAAAATGTACTTTAAATAAAGTAGATAATTCTGGGGTTATCTCAAACTCCTGGCTTCAAGTGATCCTCCTGTCTCAGCCTCCCAAAGTCCTGGGATTACTGGCTTGAGCCACTATGCTTGCCACCTCTGGGGTTATATTAGCATGACACCAGGACAAAAATCTGCCCATTTTTATATCAGGAAAAAAAATGCTACTTTCATTTAGGTGCAGAAAATGGCTTATGCCTATTGAAATAAAAAATTCAGTCTAATTTAGACACCTAAGATTATTATTTGCTATAACGACATGGAATACATCACTGTGTGTCACTGAATTCATGGAAATGCAGTACAGAATGCAATACAGTAATCCCCCCTTATCTGCAATTTCACTTTCTGCAGTTTCAGTTACCCATGGTACAACACGATAAGATATTTTGAGACAGAGAAACCAAGAGAGAGACCATATTCACATAACTTTTATTACAGTATAATTGTTCTGTTTTATTATAGTTATTGTTGTTAATCACTTACTGTGCCTAATTTATAAATTAAACTTTATTGTAGGTATGTATAGGAAAAATAATAGTATATTTAGGGGTTGTTACTGTCCATGGTTTCAGGCATCCTCTGGGGGTCTTGGAATGTATTCCCCATAGATAAGGATTATCTACTATATACAGTCAGGTAAGCCATTCCCATTGATTTTATTACAAATTGCAGTGCTTCCATGGCTTGCTTACACATAATTTGCTGAGGTAACTTTTGCAGAAAGTAACCATTTTACGTGAACACCAAATACTGATTAAAAAAATCTCTTTTTCTCCTTTTCCCTCTCTTTCTCTCCCTTCTCCCTCTCTCCTTCCCTGTCTTACTCCCTCGTTCCTGCTCTTCTTCTCTTTTCATACTCACACAGACACTCCTTCCCCTACACACACACACATACACACATACACACACACACCCTGCCCCTGGGCATAACTGAATAGGAAATGTTTATTTTCCAAACTACAGAAAAAAACCTTATCTCAAACACTGAAAGTCCTTCCTTTTCCTGGTTTGGAAACACTAAGTCATACTGAGTCACTTGTAGATTTTCTTTAGCCAGTTTTATTTAAAGCATAAAGTTGTGAGGACAAAATGACTCAGGAATTTGTAATGTACCATTAGAGCTTTTCACTTTTAGGATGCTAGTTCATATTCAGATGACTTAGTATTAAAGATTGATGGGTTGTTTACTTTCTAGAAGAATCTGAGGAGCTCACTGTAACTTCACTTATTTTGACCTAAGTATGGCCTAGAGTTTATGCTTATTAATTCATTTATTTCTCGGTAAAGCCATGTCCAAGGAATTAAATAAAAGGAAGCGGACCCAGTAAGGGTTGATGAATAAGAAGCTGTTACCTTACTCATTTACATGTATTACTTCAAATGTTATTGATTGATTGATTGATTGATTGAGATGGAGTTTTTGCTCTGTTGCCCAGACTGGAGTGCAGTGGCATGATCTCAGCAACCTCTGCCTCCTGAGTTCAAGCGATTCTTCAGTCTCAGCCTCCCAAGTAGCTGGGATTACAGCCTCCCCACTACCACACCCAGCTAATTTTTGTATTTTTAGTAGAGACAGGGTTTCATTATGTTGGCCAGGCTGGTCTTGAACTCTTGACCTCAAGTGATCCACCCGCCTCAGCCTCCCAAAGTGCTGGGATTACAGGTGTGAGCCACCGCTCCCGGCCTTGATACCTCTTTAAAAATGAAGTTTGTTAAAATGATCAGAAACTTTAATGCAGCTGATTGCATTGCCATTGACATCAGTGAGAAATAAAAACTATAGCTATAATGGTTAAGTTGAGCAGTTGGAATCTGTATGTCTGTATCTATCTATGTTTATTTAGATGACTGGATAAAAGAGTCATGATTCCTCCTAGTCTATCACGTGGTAATGCCAAGGTCAGAAAAATCATTTGTTATGATCTATCTTATGTAAAAGCCTGTGGAGTTACTTTGTTTTCCTCACTCATAAGATGTCAAAATGTGCTTTCTAGAATTTTTGAATAATTTTTGCTTAAATTCAGTGTTAAAGTTGGAGACTGAAACAAATTTAAATCTGTTGTTAGCCAAAGAGTAAATCAAGCTTATGTGGGTGCAATATATAACATGACTACCCAAGAAATTCTGCAAAAAAATGTAGTTGTCTAGCAATTAGGTACAGAGTTGTCATCTTCCTTCTATGATAACTTTTGATTATAAAAATAATTGAAGGTAAATAAACTGTAAATGACACACCACCTCAAGCTATGCCACATGGGCACCTAAATAAGTTCTTTTTAGTAAATGCCACCAAATGGCTGTATTTCTTACAGCTTATGGCTAAATTCTGACAGAGGGGAGGTGCCTTCACCATAAGAGTATTTTCTCTTTGAAGTTTTCATGGTTTTGTGTGTGTGTGTGTGTGTGTGTGTGTGTGTGTGTGTGTGTGTGTGTGCGCGCGCGCATGCGCACACACTAGTTTATATTAGGTTAGAGTTTAAAAAAAGCTGAAGATAGCCAAAATTAGTCCAGAGAGTTAGACTTGCTGCCAAACTAAAGAAATAGCTTGGTTTCAGTATTCTTCTGGCTTCTCAGTCTTAACATTTGGGGACCTGAGTGCTTGATTTGAGCTGACTGAAATTAACCCAGATGGCCCACTTTGGGTCCTCAAGAGCTAATTAAAGGAAGTCATTTCAGTTGCTGAATAATCAAGGCCGTACCTTCCTCCAATGTTGGTTTCAGCCCACACCTTACAGATGATCGCTGGCTTTCTGAAGCTCTCTCTAAACTCATAATTATTGTTTGGACCCTGCATGTAACTAAATTAATTTGCCAAGGATGGGAATGAAATGTAAGTTTTATTGGCAACAATGGTAATCCCCCAAAACAGAATGACAGATACAGTGATGGTAATAATGTTACTGCCCTGTTAATGCCTCCGAAGATAAGATACACTTGAAAAATAATGTGAAAACTGAATTTGTCCTTGATTTGAAAAATCTGAGAATCACATAAAATGTTTGTTAATTTCTTAAGCTGGTAAATATCATTAAGAGAAATGGACACATATAAGATAAGTTTGTGTGCATATTTGTACACAGTTAGGTTTTTGGAAAAAGACAGGGATATCAGATGCTCCTGCCACCAGGGTTCTGGCCAAACACGACATTTCCTACTCTTGTTTTTGAAGAGTTCTAACACTTCATCAGTTTTCAAGTGTCAGTAGAGAGTGGGCATAAAACCACAATTTCAGGAGCTGCATTCTCTGGGTCCAGATTTCATCTTTGCTACTTATTAGTTGTATAACTTTTGGCAACTTAACATTATATGCCTCAGATTTATCAGATATACCCTATTAAATGGCAATGTGTCTACCTTGTTAGGTTATTGTGACTCTTAAATAAGTTAATACATGTAAAGAACTTGTGGAATTTCAGGGCACACAATGTTACCTTACCATTGATATTATTTGCTGTTATTAAATCTTAATTTTATGTAAACATTTTAAAATGTCTGTCTCGTTAACAATAAATGTGCAATATACAAATAAATGAAAATCAAAATTAGTGGTGGAGTTTTAATGAAATAATTTAGAGCTCCAGCTCTGGAACTGTATAATCTTCATTCAAATCACTGTGACCTTGAAGAAGTTATGTAACCTAACTAAGCCTCAGTTTCCTTGTTTCCAAAATGGGAGCAGTACTAATATCTAATCCTTAGAGGAGTTGTGAAAATTAAATGGGATAACACGTATAAAGCACAGAGAACAGTGCTTGGCACTTAATGAGTCTACAGTGTGTGTTAGCTATTGTTTTATTAATTCTGTCATGATGAAGTGAACACTGTGATGCAATACTTTTATACTTAGAATCTGCCTATATAGGGTTTTCAGTTTTGCTAATGAGGAGTGTTATTCTCTGCTGTGTAAAGAACACATGCTTTGGTGTTTATAATTTTTCTCTAATAGGTAAATGATTAGGAAAAGAATAACCTGTTATTTTACTTATCCTTTGTTGAGATATTTAAATTATACAAAAAAACTGTAGATGGCTTTTTATATCTATAGGATTTTAGCTCTGGATAAATCAGTTAGGTAAATGCATTATTAATGTTGGAACCTGCTTAACTCTGTTGTCCAGCCACATTGTAGCCACTGGTTAAGTCGAACGCCACTAGAAAGAAAAGCAAATAATCAAAAACATCAAAATGGAAATGAAATATGGAGCAAGGAAGTCATTACTTCTGTAAAATAAAGGTCTGAGACCTAATATTTTCCCATTGGTTGGAAGTATTGATTATGAAAACATTAGAATTTTCAGTAAAATTGTTTCTGTGCCAAGATGGCAGATAGAATATTATGAAAGAAATGACCAAAATTGCATATGACATTTATTTTATATGGTAACATTCTTTCTTTCATTAACAGGAAATTTTAGGGCAATTATTTGCTTATTGGGAATGAGAAGGATGAATGAAAATTTAAAAAGGATTCATCAAGTCTTCCTTATAATAAAGTAAACTTTTAAGAGCATGTTTTTCCATAGAATTAGAAACTTAGAATTTCATAGTAACAGTGTATTCATCACCTCGTTTGGGGAGCAGATTTTCAGTATGATCACAGGAAAACACCTGTTTTGACACTCTGAAAAAGGTGCAGACGTACGGGCAAACTCTCTGTAGGTGTAAATAAGAATGCTTTGGCTAGCATCCTGCAAGGAGATGGGTCTAAATGGTCTGCTCCAGCTTCTGCTGCTGCTGCTGCTGCTAATATTGCTGGGAAGGAAAAGTGGCTGACCTGGCATATCCATTACTCTTGGTGCTGCAGCAGTCACTCAGGAAATGTTGTTTAAGGGGAACCTTCTGGATCCTTTTCATGGCACCATGGCAAGAAGAAGCTGTATCTTATCTATGGAAGATAAAGCATGGAGTTGGCTAATGGATGCTGGTGAGTGAATAAGGCAATTGGGGAGCCAGTTTGCTAAGATACCATTTGGGTAGGCCTGCTCGCTCAAGGCCTGAGATGACATCCATGGGAAATGGCTTTTGGTATTCTGTACATTAGAAACTGTTTTAGAGAGGAACCGTGGTTTTCACATTGGTGATCTGATCTGTGATTCTGTATATGTTCCATAAAGTTCTCATTTATTCTCTGCTTCACTACTTGAAATACTAATATTGAAGTTTGTTCAGTACTTCAGTAGATGGAGCATAGTTTTCCATGTAACTTCTTAGTCACTAATCTCTACTCTTGTTTTTGACTTGCCCTACAGTGATTTTTAAAAATAACTCTGTGGTATATGAAAGCAGTTGTTCCTCCTTTCAATTCTAATTGAGCACCTTTTTTTTTTCACAACAGTAGATTATAGGATTTTAAATTATCTTCCCTTTTATGATTTACATCAGACACAAACATGTCAATAGTTTACTTTTGTCCAATTAAAAATTGGAAGAAATAAGAATTTTAAGTTAATCATAGAGATGTAGGTCAAATTTTCTTAGAATTATTATTCTGTGGTTAATAGGTATCCCATAAAAACGGTAAGAGCTATGTTTGGGAACTTACAGTGGCATAGTAAAGGTTCTGCCAAGTCATGGGGGAACAGACTTGTTTAACTTCAACTTTTAACAGATTCATTTGACCAACCCCCTCTCCTCAACTCTTCTTTTTTCATGAAGAGTGCCTTTCCACATGTGGCACTACCGGACAGTAAGTGTTTATTGAGCACCTACTATGTTGCTAGGCAAACTAGGTGCTGGAAATATAACTGTGAGCACATTCATCAAAAATTTTTCCCCTTGCGATGCTTAACAACAGTTATGAAAACCTTTGTTTAGATGATCTGATCTTATGTAAGATACTTTAATAACAACATAATTTTTATTCAAAAATGTAATCTGAAGAGCTTCATAAGTGAATAAACCTACAATTTCTGATTGACAATGTTTATTTACTTCTCTTCCACTTTTTTGGGGGTTTGTTTCATTTTTGTTGTTTAGATTGTTAAAAACTGGTTTTCACCAATGGGATTAAGAGCATAGGTGCAGAATACAAACTGCAATTGATTTTTAATTTTTTATTTAAAGTCAAATTATTACCTTTAAAAAAAGGTCAGCCTCCATTTGGATTCTGCCATAGAGGCTTACACAATCTTTCTGCATTCAAACCTATCACATTGACATGATTATATTTTTAAAAAATTAAGTTTAGTTTAAGTCAAAATCTAACCTTAGGCACTGTCTCTAAGATGAAAAAGTATTTTTAAAGGAAAATTTAGATTCCTCATTCTCTTATAAAATCCCAGTTCCCTCAAATTTAAAATACTAACTGCTTAGGCAGTACTTAACATGTCATAAGGTGGGAGTTACTTCATTTTATAACAATGTCTAACTCTTAGTGACTTATCAGACAGAAGTAAACCTTGCACAAGCTATTTGATAGCTTTTATTTCCTGTGTCACTTAGAATATATATTTTGCAGGTGAGGGGAGAAATCAATTTTCCCAACACAGGATAGTTTGAACCATTTGTCTCAAAGTAAAATAGACTACTGTTACTATTTTAGTTACCTTAGAACTAAATACCTTGGAATAGAAGAAATTAGATATCCGAAGTCAAGAATTACACACACATAACTGCTTTTAGGCAATAGCTTTTCTTCTTTACTAATTTCAAGTATAAAGTCCATGGTTAATTTGCTTCGAGTCTTGAAAAATTGAGAGTTCCTAAATGATTTTGACCATTTTCATTTTCATTTCATACATATTAGGAATTATTAAAGTCCTGTCAGAGTTTATACTGAACCTCTGACTTGATTTTATCCAGCTCATCAAAGCAAAATTGTCTTAGTAGCACTCTTTTGTAGCTGTTTAATATTTAATATTCAGTGGGCTCCTTAAGGTGAGTTCTTGAAGGCTTGTGAGTAGTTGAAGAGCTGTGAATGGTGGTTAACAAGCTATTATCATCTCCTTGAAAAGCATAACATGAAGCAGAGATTCAGGAAAATCTTAGACAGTGATTAGTCTATCTGACAGTGCATCAAAACTAAATTAGTTGGCCAAGCACGGTGGCTCACGCCTGTAATGCCAGTACTTTGAGAGGCCAAGGCAGGTGGGTCATTTGAGGTCAGGAGTTCGAGAACAGCCTGGCCAGCATGGTGAAGGCCTGTCTACTAAAAATACAAAAATTAGCTGGGTGTGGTTGTGCACGCCTGTAGTCCCAGCTACTTGGGAGGCTGAGCCAGGATAATTGCTCAAACCCGGGAGGTGGAGGTTGCAGTGAGCCAAGATTGCGCCACTACAATCCAGCCTTCCAGCCTGGGCAACAGAGTGAGATTCCATCTCAAAAAAAAAAAAAAAGGAAAAGAAACACCAACTAACTAAATTAGTTATATTTTCTGTCCTTCCTCTTCTTTATCCTTTTTCTTTTTCCATCTTTTGTTCTTCTCATCTCTGCACTGCTTATCTACTTGCTTCTTCTTTGTATTCTTCTCTTATCTCATTGAATTTCTTCCGTCTGCCTCATCTGATCATAACAGAAAGTGATAAGTTTGATAAAATGTATATTGTACTTACTAAAAACAATTTTAATTATTTATCAATTTAAAAATCAGTTGTTTAACCTTCTCTCTGTCTTTCCGTTTTCTCATCTAATTCCCAATAATGTTGCCTTTTAATTTCTGCTGCCTTGCGGATCAGCACCCTGGGATTTTTTTTTTGTATTTGTAAATTAAATATTGCGATGACAAGATATAATAATTTTATGTCACTTATTAGATTTTTAACCATAAATGCCGTAGGCATGCTATAATATGTATTCCTTACTTTTCTTTCTAGAACTAAATCTCCATACCCACTTCATCCGTGTTTTTGGCTTATGTATGGGATGCTAGAATGGCCTATCTCCATGTATTTTGTTGCATTTCTCCATTGCTTCTTGTGTTCTGGCGGGAATCTTGGTGATTCTTTTCAAGCACTACCTGAGCTCTGTGCCAATTGTTCCTCTTCTCCCAGGGTGTTGTGCTGCGTGGTCATGTCTCCACTTCCTTAGCCCTGTCCATTGACAGAACCTTGGGTTCTGTGATGGCTGCCTCTAAACCCTTGTGAAAGCGGGGAATATTCCTCCCCCTGCTGCTACAGTTGAGCACCGTGCTGGGTACCATGTTGCCCTCTACACTTGCTTTCAGTTGTTAAGGCTTCCCAAGCTTTGGCTGTGGCTCAGTGATCCTGCTGTCAAAACCCTGAAACTTTCCTAGCCTGGACACTCAGTGGTAGCAGCAGGTGTTGGGATTTCTCCAAGCCCCTAAGACTCTGGGAGGAAGAGAATGGCTGTTTGACATAGACCTCAGGAGTTTTCAAAGCACCAAGAAACCTCTCCAGAAGATATGTAAAGGTAAGATTCTGATTTCTCTAGGAAGCCGTTCTAGAAGCTAAAAACAAAACCCTGTAGCTATGGATTTAATATAAGTTAGTAGTTAAAGAATGTCCTTGGGAAACTCTGTGTTTGATCAAACCAAAATATGAGTCTTAGGGAACTATTTATTAAAAACTCTTATAGGAATTTTGTGTGAGATTCACATTAGTTTTATTTATATTAAATTTGGCATGGAACAGATTTTTAAATATTCAATTTTTTTTATTCGGACTCTGTGAAGCACTTTTTCACAATCTGCATTGTATATCTAGTAAGAGAAATCTTGTTGAGAATTAAAATGGTTAAAGATAAAATAGAAATTATTTTTTCAAATACCGATGTTTTATTTGCCTCTGTGTTAATATTTAAAACCAAAAACATTTAATGAATATATCTTCAAATTCTTCAAGCTGAAATTCTTAAATCCATAATTAATTCAAAAGGAATTAGAAGAGCAGTTCAAATCTTAGTTGGTAGTGCTAGGGATGCATTACTGTCCTTTGTCAAAAGTTACTGCTTAGTATTCTAACTATGGTGATTTCTTGCTTTATTTTTAGATTTTAAAGGGAAAAAAATTAAAATAAAAAAACTTTTTGGGAAAAAAATTCACTACATATGGATATAAATAACCTGAATGGAGGATACTTGTGGAGAGGTGGTAAGGGTGTGTGTGTGTATGATGGGTAGGGGAGAGAGATCAGCAGCATCTTAAGTTAACAATACAAAACACCTCTTCAGTGTTATGAGTTTGTGACAGCTGTTATTCAGTGCCCCCTTCCTTTTCTTTTTTTTCCCCCGCCTCTATTTTCAGGCAGTAATCTGTGAAGTGATATTAAGACACCTCTTCTAATATGAGATCATTGTTGGCCTTACTGTCAGTTTAGGTCTTCTTTTTTTCGCCCATTTGTTTTCTTTTCAATATTAACTTAATTCCTTAAATGGTTTCCCCTTGTTGAAATTAACGCTATTAGCTTACTACCACATTGGAGCCCTTTAATTTCAATGGCCAAAAATGCAACTTAATTTTTAAAAATGAAGGAAAATGTTTACTCATAGCTGAACAAAATGAAAAATATTGATCTTTGACAGTGTTTATTAAGGATGCTTTTTATTTTTAGTAAACTTTATTTTTATTGATATTTCATTTAACATAATTTCAGAGTAGCTCTGTGCTGTAAGATGAGCAAAAGAACAGATACCCTAAATCTCAAAGAGCTTTTTCTTTCGTGTTTTTCTTCTGAGTAGGGCATGAGGTTTCAGATTCCCCAGTGTTGACATCTATTATTTTCTACCTTGAGATTTTACCTATAGACACAGAAAGAGGAGATAAAAAGGCCAGGCATGGTTGCTCATCCCTGTAATCTCAGCAATTTGGGACGTCAAGACCAGAGGATTGCCTGAGGCTGTAAGACCAGCCTGGGCAATATAGCAAGACATTGTCTCTTCAAAGATAAAGAAACGAACAACAACAACAGTAAAAAACTGGGCATGGTAGCAGGCACCTGTAGTCCTAGTTACTCAGGAGACTGAGGCAGAAGTATTGCTTGAGCCCAGGAGGTCGAGGCTGCAGGCATCACTGCACCCCAGCCTGGGCAATAGAGTGAGACCTTGTCTCAAAAAGAAAAAGGGGAGATAATATCAACATGCAAAAACTGAACAATAGTAATCTCTTGTGGTGTATACTTGCCACCTCTGTAAGATTGTAATGACAATGACTGAGTTTTTTCCTGCCAAGTTCAGTTCCATTTTTTTTTTAAGTAAAATATCAGACTATGTGAATTTATAGACTTATTTCTCAGAGTATATTAAAAATAGTGGAAGTTGGGAGATTTTTAATTCTTCATGAGTCCAAGCTGAGACATAGCTACAACTGACAGGATCTGTTCACCATACATACTTCCAAGTTTGGAAACTATCAGCAGGCACCTGCAACTAAACCCACAAGCGTAAATGTTCCAGAGTGTTAGAATCTTATTCGCATAATACCTAGCAAGATCCCAGATGTAAACGGGAGAACTCAAATGTTCCTTTGGATTCCGTGATGGCTGAGAAGCATCCAGGCCTGCTAACTCACTGAAGAAGAATCCAGCAGAAGGGGACTGGACAGAACCTACTTTTGCATAACCACTGATCCCACCTAAAGCAGCCAGTGCTGCATAGACAAAGCCAAGCCAGTATAAAGGCACCTGTGGGCCAGGGTCCATCTGCATTGTTCTCTTCTAATTCTCTCCAGACAGGAGACTGCAGCAGGCCTGCACCTATACCACTTTCCTGAAGGTCTGGGTAAATTGATGAGGGGACACAAACTGTACGATGCTTATTTTTTAAAATGAAAAGATGTTTAACAAAGCATTTTATTCATATATGAAAACATTCAAGTTTATTCCCTCTAGACTTCAAAGTATAACTAAATGAAATGTTTTGAAGTGCATTAAAATGGGTAATTCTTTCATATATAAAAACAG
Organism: Homo sapiens; assembly: GCF_000001405.40. Taxonomy (NCBI): domain Eukaryota; kingdom Metazoa; phylum Chordata; class Mammalia; order Primates; family Hominidae; genus Homo; species Homo sapiens. Next base: position 152,341,160 of record NC_000003.12, read on the forward strand.
AAAAGTGAAATTTTCATGCTTTTATTAACACTTATAGTGAGTTTATAATTTTTTAAAATGTGTGGCACAGTCTCAAGCTAGTGGTTAGCATTATTTGCAAGTTTGTCTATAGAGTGCATTTTGTCTTTTCTATTTCTAGAACTCTTAAATTCCCTTGGGACAAGAAATGAAACAAATATAAGAATGTAAATTATGAATTCTCTTTCTTGGAAGTTTAATTTTAAAAAATAGTTTAAGTACTTTTAGAGTGGGAATTTAGAACACTTAATTCACAAACAGTATGAAGTACTTAATCACTGAAAGTATTAGAAGTGAGTGTTAATTCTCAAAATAAGGTCTCAATCGCAGTCATAATTTCTATAAGAATTTCTGCCATCACTCTGTTCATAAGACTAGTACTGCTCAATTCCCATTGTTTCCTCTCTCCCTTCTGTTCTGTTCTGTTTTTGGAGAGCATGGGAGCTGTCCATACCGGTAGGCAATGAGGAGAATGTTTATAATTGAGATTGAGTAATGTCAAATATAAGCCTTTTATGATACGATTATTTCCTTTGTTGTAATAAATTTCTCAGCCTCATTAGGCATATCCATGTAGAAAATAAATTTAAAAATAAAGTGTGTACAGAGCAGCTAAAAGAGGTGGCAAATATAGGGATGAGCCCAGATAGTGACATTTTTGGTACTTTAAGGGACTGTTTCACTTCAAAAACAAAATATTCCTGTTTATTATTTTTAGGTGGAAATAAAAGCTCACTGAATCAGAATTATTCAAAATTAAAATGGTGTCTTTAGTTAATGGTAGTAATGTATGGATTACCTTTTACCTTCAGTCCCATTACAATGATTATTTTATTTATTTTTCACAAAAACACCTTGAGGTGTAGTTAGCATTATTTCACCTATACAAGTGAGGAAACTGATACCAAGAGAAACTTGGCCTCACAGCTGGACACAGGATTCAAACTCAGGAAGTGTGGCTCCAGAGTCCATCCATCCTTAGAGGTCCTTGTTAGTTGTAAATCTGGCAGTGAGTGCCAGTTCTCAAATCAGTCCTAACCCTTTTCATAGCCTGGTACCAGCAAGGGGATTCTGTCTGCACCTCCTTCCAACTCAATTTTGGGTTGCCATTCACTTGCTGGCTATTTGACCTATCCTCTCTCAGCAATAATCCCACCCTGTCTAAAATATGAATAATATTGTCTCCTTCTCAGGGTTTTTATGAAGATTTAATTTTACGAGACAGAGTATGCCAAGCACTTAGCACAATGGCTAGCATATAGAAAATAGCCAATAAATTATTGATGTTATTATGTAATGTTTCCAGGGTCACACAACTAGAAAAAGATTGAGTCAGAATTCAGGCCCAACTCTGTCTTACTGGGAAACTAAACAAAACACACACACACACACACACACACACACACACACTTTCCACAAACAACAGGACCTACAAAGCAAAACTCGTGCTCTTTCTGGATTATAACACTACCTCTCAACTCTAACCATAACTTTTAGATGAGTAAATAAGGATGTCATGTATGTGCTGAAGGGATAAGTAGCATAGTTTAGTGGCTTAGGGCAAACTTTCAAATTGAGGTTTCCATTGTGTGACAGCAGGCAAGTTAACCCCTCTGAGGTTCGTTAACTACACATATTAAACTAAAAACAGTATCAGTTGTATTGCATTATCATGGATAATAAATTTTAATACAATTAAAGAGCTCCAATAAATGTTGGCTTTTAGTAATTGATATAGATATAAATGTTTCTTTAAAAATATATTCACAAAATTGGGATGCATAGTTAGTGAAATCATAAACATGTAAAGTCTTAGAGATGGATATAATCTTAGTAGATGATCTTCCATTTTTGAACAGTCTGTATGCTTTCTCTGTCAAATCCATTTAACCTCTCTGAAAGGTCAGTGGAGAAAGGGGAAGAAGGCATCAGAGATCAGGACTGACCCAAATATGGGGTGGTTGTACCTCCAGAGATGTGGGCAAATTTTCTCAGTCTTGGCTTGATGTCAGTGACTAGCATTGGAAAACCAGATGGTGGAAATAACCCCTGTTAAGCAGATGATGGGATTATCAATCTTGTGTTCTTTCTCTTTTGAAGCAGAACCCAAACCAACGGTTGGGACTCCAGTCCTGAAGAGAGAGAGAGTTACCTGGACTGAGTTGAATGCCAGAGTTTAACCTTGAATGCTAGTCACAGCAGGGACTTCTTGAATTCTTGGAGCTCAAGTGTCTGGCCTGCCTTACTAGATTCTGAACACCTTGAGGTTGAGGATGTGTATCATAATATTTATTTGCAACTTTAGAACAGTGTCTGGGAAATAGTGGGCACCCAATGCATGTTTGATAATTAAATAAGAGCATAAGATCCAGAAACGGTACAGAAGATCTTGTTTAAGGATCCCAAGCCATCAAAGGGGTTAGAAATCGAGGCTGCAGTGCAGAAAGCATAGGATGTCCTGGGGATGGGGGTGGGTGCCATGGAGCTGAGGGTGCATAACATTTGTAATGACGGGTTTAGGAACTCAGTAAACTGAAACTGTCAGTGTAGCCTATTCAATAAATGTAGGAATAAAGTATTCCAAATTGTTTAAAAAATGTTGTAAGCAGATGACATATTTAAAGAATTGAAAGCCATTGGAATCCATTTATATTAGTTTTTCATACAGTGAAAAATAATATTTCTGGCACTAGAAACTCAATTTGGTACCAGAGACTTGAGGAAAAATGTATTTATAAATGTGTCATTGATATATTCCCTTATAAATAAGTTATTAAATAGGGTTTTATGTTTATAATATTATAAAATTGTAATTTGTATGTATGAACGTTAAGAACTTACATGGATGATGGGGGAAGTAAGAGTGGAAGTGTAAAAGATGACCTTTTTTTGGGGGGTGACTGGTATAACTTTGAGGTTTGTTTTTTAACTATAATTTTACTACTTGTTTGATATATGTTTCCCAGAAATATGGTGAAAACATCTTTCAGTCAGAATCTAAGTTAAAAAACATAAAACATAGTAAAAAGAACAAAGAGAATTAACTATGTTTGGTCTATTGAGACAACAAAAGAAAACACAAAGCACAAACTCATACTTTTTTTCGGACTATAACACTACCTCTCAGCCCTAACTGTGCCTTCTCTGATAAATCAGGATGCCGTGTGTACTAATGGGAGATGTAGCAAAGTTTAGTGGTTGCCACAAAGGTGATTTTAGGTAGTCCTAACAGGTATTGCAGTGATTTGGCGTGGTATATCAAAAGCCAGAGACACTGGTACCTTGTATTAAAACCCTGGATATTGTGTGCTGGCACCTGAAGGAAGGTTGTTTAGAAAACTTAAACTGAGAGTAAAACTCAAACCAAGTGTTTCCGTGAACATTTGTGTCTTCTTAATTTGAAAAAGGCCATGTATTAAACCAGTGCTCCTGTCAGTGTGGAACTTTCTGGTTTCTCAAGAAGAGTCTCTTAAATTAAGCACTAAGTTAATATTACACATTTAAACATTTTCGCTTTCGAAAACATACATTGTTGTGAAAGTAAAATATTAAATGTAGAGAGAAATTATCACTTACACGTGTACCTTATTTTGTAGACTATAGAGTCCATTTGTGCTATTATTATTTTCAGATGTGCCTGTAAAGTGGCTTCTTTTGCTGTTCTTTTCTTCCTGCTCTCTCTGTATACACAAATGTCCATACAGATGGAAAGGCACACAAAGACACACAGACACCCATGCTTTTGCTTTTACTGTAAAAGAGTCATACTAGAGTAGAAATTACGTGACATTAATTCTCTGTAATTCTCTATTTCTTTCCTTTCATGGCTATGTATGCCTGAATTGTATGTAGGTCTAGCATACCATTTGGGCATGAAAACGTTGTTTTACTTCACTTACCCTGGGAGACTTTTTTTTTTCCTAAATTCCTAATGCCTGTTTTTAATTTATTTTGGCAATTCACTGTGGGAGTTTTAATTAGGTAGTATGTTTGGGTTACTATTGAAGCAGTATGTATTAACTACCAAAAGTTAAACTCATCGTAAAACCCTTTACACATGAAATAACTTAGATACCTTGAGTACCAGCTTTTCTTTTCCCTGCCCTTATCCTGGATGTGTCCTTGGCAGTTTAATCTGCTTTATTTTACTCCTTTAAAAGCGTAAGATGGAATGGCTCAAATAAAATCAGTGGGATCTCTCCCTGAGGAGAATTTTGTCATCAGAAATAAAAGTGACAACACCAAGAGGGGAAGTGTTATAAATAAAGTGAGTAGTGTTTGGTAATCATCACCATTCTTGATTTCCTATGTGGAAATAGGACTTTGATATATGCATTTTTTAAAGCATCTTGCAATTTAAAAAATTACACATGGAACAAGCCAAATAAATATTTTTAAAATACTGTTTTTATTTAGAGAGAGAGACAGCTGTATAAACTGCTCTGTGTATGTGTAAAACATTGATAATACATTAGACATAATTTGCAGAAACTACTAATTTTCACATCATTTCCAAGTAGAACTGCAAAGGTACAGTACTGGTTTAGCTTTATGGTTAAAAGCATTGGCTCTAGAGCCAGATAACACAGGCTCAAACCCTAGTTCTGCCGTTTACTGGTTGTGTTACCTTGGGTAGGTTACTTGACCTTTTTGAGCTTCAGATTTCTAATCTTTATTTAATGAGTTTTAATAATAGAATAATAGGATTGCTTTGAGGATCAAATAAGTTAATAAACCACTTAGAACAGTGTTCAATAGGCTGGATTTTTGTTTGTTTGTTTGTTTGTTGCTATTCTTTTTGTGTTATGTTTTGTATCCAGCAGAAGTGGTTATTTAGCTTCCTATTTTATGAGGTAGGACTGATGGGAATTGACAGTCTTAGGAAAAAGTACAACTGTAAGTCAGTGGAAGTTTTTCCTAGTCAAGATGTCAAATGCCAGAGGTCGGATTCATGTGGCAGGATGGGGTCCAAACTGTACAAAAGCTTGGAGATGAATGAGGTGAGACAGCTAAGCTTAAGACAAAAAACAATGTGAAGTTATGTCCTTGGGCAGTGTTTGCAGTAGTATAGTGCCGCTTTGGAAAACTTAGAAGATGATCCTCAACTGTGTCCACTCAAAATAGATTGTGCATCTCAATGTCATAGAGTCAGAAATTTCTACCACTATCTGTTTAAATCATCGTTTATTTATATTCCTTAAATATTCATACCTTTCACATAAGTGAGATACATTATTTTTAAAAACGCAGTTTTCCTTCTTGATTTTTTCATATTGTCCCATTATTCTGAGAAGAGTTTATTTTATGAGAATTAAGTTATTATCTTACAGAATAAATCTGATTACTGACTAGATACAAGATAACCACATATTTTTCCTAGAATAATTTAATTCCAATTTTACTTATTTGTACCTTATATGACTTATTTTCAGGTTAGAAAAATGTGGTCCTACAGTTTTGTTTTGAAGTTTGCCTGGGCCATGTGAAGCCACCATTATCATTTACGTCAAAAATGAAGGTTATCTGTTGCCCAAGAGAAAAATACAGCATTCTCAATTTAAAACACTAAAATAGTGAGGGTTTCATAAGCTGTTTCAGTGATTTCTGACCTTGGGTTGGAAAGCTCTCATGTCTCAGTTACCTCAGTGGGTATAGTGACATTGTCCCAGTCTGCATTACCAAATTGTTTCAAATCACTTTAATTAAAAAAAAAAAAAAAAACCAGTCATGGTGACTCACGCTTGTAATTCCAGCACTTTGGGAGGCTGCAGTGGGAGGATCGCTTGAGTCCAGAAGGTGGAGACAAGCCTGGGCAACATAGTAAGACCCTGTCTCTACAAAAATTTTTTTAAAAATAAGAATAAATTATCTATATTGTAATTTCAAAGTTTAGGATTGAGAGATTGAGCTCATGCTTTTTAGTGTAATTATAATTTTGGAGCTATGCTGACATATTTGTAAACAAACGCTTAGTGAAAACTCATATAACAATAGAACAGCCAACTATACTGTATTAAGATTGCTACATGAGAAGAGTTCCCTTTAAAAAGGAAATTTCAACTCAGAGGAAAGTTTGATTTGTGTTCATTAGAGAACCAAAAATATTTAAAAATATTTTCCATGAGTTGAAAAGTAACATGAAAAAAATGGATTATTTTAAAAGCATTAATTGACACTTTAAAAAAATATATTTTTATAGAACCTCAAATTGAGTTAAAATTATACTTTTAGTCACTTTTAGGTTATAGTTTTCATATCAAATGTATTTTAAATTTAGGTTTTATGTCTTTTAAGTCTTCAAATAGGCCATTTTCTGCCTATTGCTCAAATATGTCGACCTTTATAGCATCAGGTCAGTTTACACTGAAAGCTTTCAATGTGTTTGGCATTTTTAATGGAAGTCAGGAGCTTTACAACAAAGAACACAGAAAATCATGTAAGAAGACAGTGTGAAAAAGCACTGGACTTGGAGTCAGTTATTTGGCTTCCTATGACAGGTCCCCATTTGATCACCATGTTACTCTGTGCGTGTCATGTTTTCTCGGAAGTATACCTGCCGCCATCTTGACTCCTTGGTTGAACAAATCTAATAAAGATAATGCACAGCACAGTACTTTTTGTAAACTGATACTCATCTCTGTGAAATAATTCATTTATCTGAAAAGCAATATAAATGCATGTTTAAAAATATACTGTGAAAGTCAATATTTTTATGAATTCTGCTCATGAATCCCACAACTGTATGTTGTTCTCATGAACAGTAAAATTGAAAATGTAATTATTGTTTTTATAAGGATAATTGGTAGTATAAATTTTAATCTATTTAGAATAACAGGTGGGTGAAAAGAATACAGACTTTTCCTCCAGGATGAGTCATAGATTTTAAAAATTAAGATGATATTTACCATTTAGTCTACAGTTTTGAGAATGATAGTTCTATTGCTTGAAAGAGTTAGATACCTTCCAAAAGAGAAAAGGAATGTAATGGGAGGAGAGATAGGCAACAGAAAACAAGCATCTGTCCCTTATGGAGAAAAATGTATTTTTAACAGATACTAGAGAATATAGAAGTTGCTATATCAACAAAAAATTTTTATTTGCTCAAACAGGTGGATAAGCCAATGTGTATTTACTGAATAAATGAGTATGTGCTAGTGGAAATCAATGAGTGAGTGAATAAGTGAACAAGTAAATGGATAAACTCAGTAGGTAACACATTATTCTTCCTGTTTATTATTTTTAGGAAACAATACTTATTTGAAAGTATTACAAAGAATTCACTTAAAGAACCCTGGTGAAATTCCTCATTTTCTCTTGTGGTAATAGGCAGTTGTTATAGTACAGTCATAATCTTTTGGTTGTAATTTATTATGTAGGTTGAATTACTCTACATTTACAGAGCTTTTGGGAATCAGGAGATGAGAAAACACAAATAATAAGCAAAAGGGCAGTTAGTACTATCCTAAAAATAAACATTGGCCCATGTAATCACATCCTAAATAAAATAAACTGAAGTGGGTTAAGAAAATTATAGCGGTTTAGAAGAATTTAGTGTGTTTTCTAGCCCCATTTTCATTTGATTTTGATAGTAATGATTATTAAAGGAAGACAGAGTACTTTGTACTTTTAACATTTAGCCGGCAGCAGCAATTGCAGCAATATCCAAAGTGTATTGAATGTCTTTGGTGTAGAAAAAGGCACTGGACTTGATATGATCATAGAAGGTTTTTAAGTGCTTGAGAAAAAGGTTGGGGAAGCAGGTGAAATATGAGATTAGGGCTTGTTGGAAGTCTTAGGACATTACAGAGAGCATAATAAGTCTTACTACCTCCTGGGAACAGAATGCATGGTTACAAAAATAAACTGAGGTGGAATTTGAAGAGAAGGGAAGAACTTTGGCTGACAGGGAAGCAAGATCAGGTTAGCAAAAATTCTGGCTATCAAGACCTCTCCTGGGGCCCATTCCCTAAGAATGTATCCCTTGTGCTAAATAGAGTATGTATGTACAGGCACACTGTACATGTTTGAAATACTTGAATAACAGTTCTTCAGGGATTACTGTGTAATTATTTGTATCTATTGCCTTTATCTTAGTGCTGATTTATGGGGCTAGATTTTGACTTAAGTTACCTACAATGTCTTGTTTCATAGTTTGAGAAAGTACATAAACAATATTGAAAAAACTAAACATCAGTGGTGTTATTTAGTGAATAGAACAGTTGGAAACATATCTTATTTTTAAAAGAATAGCTGAATGTGACATATCCATGGCATGTTAAAAAATGAAAAAAAATGGAAACTGACTTTGAACAGATTATTGAAATGCTAGTGTATAATTTTTCTGAGTTGCACTATAAAAAATTTTTACTCTTGCAACTAGAGGAAATCACTCAACTGGAAGTGCTGGATATAATTTCTGACTTATCCATTAGTCATCCTAATAATAAGAAAGTATTTAGTTCCTTTTTTTCATAGCGGTCCATCTTAAACAATAAAATTACATAGCCCACTCAAAGATATTTCAGGAAAATTGAGGTGTTGCTTTCAAAAAAGTATTAAAAAGTGGGCACAGTAAATTGTCTGTGTGTGTGTGTGTATGTGTGTATTTTAATGCTACTGTTTTTATCATTCATTTCTCATCATGTAGATAGGAAGGTTAGCAGAAAATTACCTTGAGATTTATAGTTGGGATGACTAGGCCTGGAGCATTGCCCTTTGCTAAGATAAGAAATATAGGTGTTAAAATTGATGTTTTCTCTTTCTTTTTAGGGAGAACATGTAATTGGTTTGGGAGGGTTGAATTTAAGGAAAAACATCTGAAACCCTCTTACACAGACTGATAGTGCTGTGATAGGAAGAAAATACCCAGAGAGAATGTACAGTAAGAAGAAGGAATCTAAAGACAAACCTTGGCGCATCTCTCTATAACCAGCAGTCAGAAAGGAGGGAAATCAAAAGAAAGTGTCAGAGAATGAGTAGGTTAATACATAGCAGGTAAATGAGGATGGTGCTTTGCCAAGGCAAAAGAGAAAAACATTCAGAAAGTAACTAGTTATTCTATAGAGAAGACAAGAAATGAGAAAAAAATCACTTTGGCTGTTAAAAGGACAGTAGTAATCTTTGAAAGCAGATGAGTAGAATTGGGAGAGAGGAGGTAGAATTCAGATTGTAAACCAGATTCCAAGAAGATGAGTCACTAGTAAATTGGGAGGTAATGCATGAGGCCTCAACACATGTAGACAACTCTATAAAGAAATTCAATAATAATAAGAGAAGTGGGAGTCAGCTGAAGGATTCAGCACAGAAGAGGTTGTTGTAGAGCAGTGAGGGTTATTCCACTGCAGAATAGTGGAAGCATGTCTTTTTCACTAAGGGAAGGGGCAGCCGTCAGTGGAGAGTGAAAGAATGAATGACAAATCGCTAAAATAGGGAAATATCAGAGAAGATGAGAAGGGATTAAGAAAAAGTGAGTTAGAGAGATTGGCCTTGAATGGAAGATTAACCAAAAACTTCCTGAGAGACAGAAATGAAGGTGCTTAGCCAGATTCCATTCCCTAATACTACCTGCATTTTGGTCATCCTTGTCATTTGGGTGGTTCCATGCCTTGGGTCCACACTCCTTTCTTTACTCTTTTTAAAAATATTTTATTTTAACTTTGACTTATAGACCCATCTCGATAGAATTTCATGAGGGCAGAGGACATGTTTTATCCATGCATGTGTTCTAATGTGTTTCGGTAACCCCCGAAGTCAGTGCTCTTAGGGGAAGAAGTTTCATAGCCCTGCCTATCGATCATAGTACAAGGCTGATGACTAATTAGCTACCTAGGTGAACCTCAAAAGCTGTTTCCAAAACAAGTCCTCAATTTCTAATGAATGGGGCAGATTATTATGTATCAGACTTTTTTTTTTCCTGTTTTTGGTTAATAAAGTTACTGCATAACAAAACATAACTTAGAGTTCAGAAGTGGATATATCCAAAGCCAGATAGAAGTTGTAACTATAATTCATTGTAATAAGTAGAAACATTTAACTGAAAAAAATGAAAAGACAAAAATTTGCAAGGCAAATAGTTGTTAAATGCCATGGTTTATACCACTATGTCAAACAAATGAGATTTCATTATGTCATTATATTTTGTCTGATCCATACCATAAGCACAAATCCCTTGATTAGAATAGTTGGATTGCATTTTCTGATTCTTACATAGCAAAAATAACTCTAAGCAAAAGTTAACTAAATGTTGTCTGCCTCTCATGTAGAAAACATGTTTTATGTTAGTGTTTGTTTTATGGTTGCTATTTTTTCTGTAAGTTATTAGTTTTCGAGTTTTATTAAAGGTGTAATTTCACAGTTGGAGTATATTTGTCAAATCCTGACCCTTTTTACTTGTACATATATGGTACAACAATTTTTTAAACACCTTTTTATGTGTAAACACTTATAGGAGGGGTTTTAAGGTAGTGGGCTTGAAGTCAGACTGCTAGTGTGTTGAATTCTGGCCTCAGGAATCACTAGCTATGCAATCAGATACAAGTTACTATAAGCTGTAGTTGTGTCATCTGTAACACTGGGTTACTTAAAATTCTTTGCTGAAGTGACTTTTAAGATATTTAAATGAAGTGAAACACAAAAAGCATGCAAACAGGGTCTAGCACATGATAAAGCCTTATTAAATGTTAGCTACTATTATTATATTTTCAGATTATATTTTGGAGATTCAAAAGTACTTAGTAAATGTCCAGCATTGCTCTAAGCATATACTTGGTCTCTACTAATCCACTTTATTTATTTTTTTCACAAATGATCGATAATCTATTTTTCAAAGTACAGTTAGACATAGAAACATTATGAACTGTCTACCATTTTTATGGCTTTAGACTCAACATTATATTTGAAGTGAAAAATTGTAGCTATTTTAATTCCTAAATTATGTAAAGCTATAAAATGTGTTATGTTAGCCAGTTGATTTTATTCCTCCTGAAAATACTTTGTTTTATTTCTCTTCAGAAGGAAAAATAGAAAGATAAGACAGTAAATTTAGGATGAGCAAAATATGGCCGATGACAGCTTTCATGTATTCATTTTTTCATGTTTTAAAAATTATTACTATCACTAATCACTTAAAACACTGGTTGATTATGACTGTTGTACAGTTGCACAGACATCTTGTTTTCTTCTAGAGAGTCCCAGGAAAGCATGAGAACATCATTTAACTACACTAGAATTGTAAATTAAAACAATTTTATCCTGGCTCACGTCTCTAGGGCTGCCTTGAACCACTCTTTAGTGTAGACTCTCCTGTCCAACCTCCCTGGAGTTTTTAAAACACATCGCCCTGTCTCACATTTCTGTCTTCACACAATTTTCTTTTCATAAAAATTTTCCCACCCTGGTTTTTTTTTGCTGTTGTTGTTTTTTTTTGGTTGTTGTTGTTTTTAAACTTACGACTCATCCTTTTAGACTCAATACCGGAGACAGCTCCTCTGGGGAGTCTCCCTTGATCCCCTCCATTTCCTAAGCTGTGGGAAATGTCTCCGTTAGTAACCCACATCAGTTCCTGTTGCAGTCATTTACTGACCTGAGTCCTCTGGGATGCAGCAGAGACACATCATTTGCCCTGCATGTACTGTGGCTAACACTGTTGTGTCAGTGCTCACTTAGTGTTGGTTGAATGACTGCATGCAAGAATAGCTGTTTTAATTTGGACATTAGGCTAAGTTTTATCCTTTTTAGGGAGGTGCATGGATGTAAACTTCTTGGATTATGTAGTACGTTATGAAATGAACTTGTTTAAGTCTATTTTATGATGAATAGTTTACAAACATAGAAACAACACTTGTAGTAAACTCTCTTAAAATTAAATCCAGACAGATTTAAACTATGTGTGTCAGATATAATTTTTTGTCTTTTATATGAGAGTACAAAAGTCAGAGTACTCTGTGATCAGCGAACAAAAACACACCTCAGTCTCAGAAGCTTATCCTAGCAAAGGTGTCTTTCTTTCTCCTGTAAAGTCAATGGTGTACTCTTTCATCCAACTACTCAGGAATCCAAGCTTACTCTGCCTTCCTCTGATGTGTGGCTTCCAAAGTGTCTGAGGCTGTGTCAGAGAGAGATGGGAAAAGAACATTGGTTTCCAATAATCTCTTCTGGGAAATCAAACCACCATTTACGCTTAGTGTCTTTTGGCTAGAATAATGTGCCACCAACTTAATGCAACAGAGGCTGAAAAGGTTGCCTTTTAGAGTAGTCAGGCAGAGGAAATAGTGCGTAGGAATTGACCAAGCCACTAGGTGATTTGTCTCCTTTTTTGTGTTTCTATTTTTGATTTATTTAATTTTTTTGTGATACTTGAGGGCCTGGATGAATGATGTGAGGTAGATACCACTGGGTAAATTCAAGTATAAAACATAAATTCTATACTAATTATCAAGCCCTTGTCATATCTTAGGCATATTAATTATTGAAGAAGAGTCTATCTCAACAAATCCTTTTTTTTTTTTTTTTTTGGCTTATAGTCCATTTTGAAAATGTGGTAGACATTTTAAAACATAGTGCACATCAGCATGTAACCTCAAAATCTGGCATGCAAATTCAGAGGTTCACAAAATCTCTGCAGCCCACCCACTGTAGCCTTCCCAGAGTTAAGAGCACCTGGCCTGTGCTACATGGATTGGTGAAATATTAGAAAAGATGAGAGAAAATCAGTATGAGCATAAATTTTATCTTCTTTTTGGTGAGTACTTTGAAAGAAAATTAGGACCTAATCCCCTAGTTTAAGTGAAAGAGGTAATTTGGTTGCTACATGATAGAGATTCATTGAAGGAGAAAGAAGTAGACAGTAGACAAAGTTGTTGTTCAAAGTATAATCAAGAGTCAGGCATCCAATTGAGGTCTGAACAATAGCTTTTATTCATGTTCTCTCACCAGTCTGTGTTACATGAAGCTTTAATGATATTTGATGATTGAATTCATTTTTTAAAATAGCTGCATTGCAGAAAAGTGGTTTGCTATTAAAATATTACGTACCTTAGGAGACTGAGGTGGAAGGATTACTTGAGCCCAGGAGTTTAAGACAAGCCTGGGCAACATAGCAAGACCCTGTCTCTAAAAATAATAATAATAATAACTGAGCATGGTGGCTTCCGCCTGTGGTCCCTGCTACGTGGGAGGCTGAGGCAGAAGGATCACTTGATGCCATGAGGTGGAGGCTGCCGTGAGGCGTGGTGGTGCCATGGCCCTCCAGCCTGGGTAACAAAGCAAAACCTGCCTCTTAAAAAAGAAAAAATTACGTACTTGAGTTTGGATCATACAGATTAATGAAAGAACTACAAAAGATTTTTACTGCTTAATTCTGTATTTGGGGTCTCTTCATTTTTAAAAATAATAAAGCAATTTGCTTTATCTTACATTGGGGTTTTATATTCCCAATTATTTCACCTTAATTTTACAATTTTTACTATATGAAAAAAAAAAACTGCCCTGAAGCCTTTGGTTTATATAGAATAAAATAGGGCACATATTGTTGTGTAAGAAAAGTAAATACCAACTTAGCATGTTTAATCATGTTGTAGAATTATGTATTTTCAGAGATAAATACTTGTTACTTAATGTCAGTTTTATAGATGAGGAAATTGAAATTCAGTGTTTAAATGATTCCCCCTTAGTATTTGCTTCTATAGAAATTTTTACCTGTTTTCACTCTGGTTTCTCTTCAGATCGTGTAAATCTTTCGCCTTTTACTAAAGAAATTTTTACCTATTTTCAGCAGTTTTCTCAGTGTATTGTAATTATTTCATCAAAAGTTGAATCTCCTTACCAAACTTGGGTACTACTGAAAGGCAGAAATTTCTGTTATTCATCATTATTCCTCCAGAGCTTGGCATTTTTTTTTATGCTCAATACATTGAGTGAAGGAATGAGCAAACAATTAAAAGAAAGTATGACAAAAAAATCGTAAGTGAGATCCAGTCTCTGCCCAAATGCCTGAGAGGCAAAATAGCAACATGATTGGTGCTGGGACTCCAGAGCCAGGCTTCTTACCAGCTTGACTTCATACTGTCTCGGTCAACTTGGCAATTGATATTATCTATCTTATAGTGTTGTTATGAGAATTAAATGAGTTAGTATACACAAATGCCTAGAGCAGTGCCTGCGTCCAGTTTAATTTGGCTTTACAAATTTAAACCTGCAAGGATTATGTAATTAGACATACATAAATTTTACACAAATAAAAATCAGAGTGAATGTAATTTGACATCAGTTGAATAAAATGAAGCAAAATATCATAATCTTTGGTTTATTACTGTGTATTTGGTAATCCTGGAAATTGATACAATTTGCATTTTAGTTTAAGTGCATGTTATTTAAGTAACATTTAAGTTTTATAAGATCATGGAATTAACCATTTTTTCGTATTTTTCAATTAGAAAAATTTTGTATTTTTACAATTAGAAAAGTGTAATTTTTTATTAGTATGCAACAGATATGACACAGCTAGGCTAAATCAAATTATTACATATAGTCCAAAATTTAGATGATTATACTGAATATTAGTATTCACTTACTGTACTACTGAAGAGTCAACATTTCAAAGCTAATGATGAAAATTATCTACTAAGTGTGTGACTTTTTCCCCAAGAATGATTTCATCTGCTTCCACCAATTTCAGTATTCTAGTTGATAGAGTCAAAATCATAGCATGCGGAAGCAGCACAAGATATCATGTGCAACATGTGTTGTGCCAAGTCAGTAAACAGCCATCGTAGGAGTGGCCAGCGTGGCCTTATACCTTACTAGAACCCAGAGAAAAAAGAGCCTGCTTTTTAAAGAGAAAGGCAAAATTGCTTCTGGCCTCCATTTCCCACTCTTTGTTTCTCATGGGAAGAAGCAAGAATTCCAGAATCGTGTGAAATTTTCATGGTTTTATGAAATCATTCTCTGAGTCATTAAAATGTATGCTAAGAAAAAAAATCTAACTTATGCTTTATGCTCAGATGCAATTTTAATAGTCTCAAACTAAGATAAACAAATATCCCAGCACACTTTTTTAATTAAAAAAAAAAAGCACCCGAAAAACTTATTATTCTATTCTTTCCTGAGATTGACTAGAATTAATACTTTTCACAGTTTTTATGTGCCACCAATAGCACTAAACTTTTTAAAGGGTATTGTCTCTTTATAAAATGTATCGACCAGAATCTGCTTCTTAAACAGTGGAATACTAGAATGTGTTACAGAGGTGAGGAAGCTTCTAGTAATCCAAGTTTGCCTGACAAAGTCCACTCTTTAAAATGTCCTGATTTATTTATTTGAGACAGAGTCTCACTTGGTCGCTGGAGTGCAGTGGCACAATCTCAGCTCACTGCAGCCTCCACCTCCTGGAATCAAGTGATTCTTGTGTCTCAGTCTCCCTAGTAGCTGGGATTACACGTTCGCACCACCACTCCCAGCTAATTTTTGTATTTTTAGTAGAGACCGGGTTTCACCATGTTGGTCAGGCTGGTCTCGAACTCCTGACCTCATGATCTGCCCAAAGTGAGACCTCGGCCTCCCAAAGTGCTGGGATTACAGGCGTGAGCCACCACACCTGGCCCTGCTTTTTCTTTTTTAAAATGATAAAAAATACAGTTACTTTTATTCTGTATTCCAGAGGGGATCTGGGCATATGTGTGTAGTGTGTGTGTGTGTGTGTGTGTGTTCTTACTGTAACCCAGGTATATCTTAATGCAAAATCATGTGTTTCCCTTGTGGTGTTACCATACTTATAATATCAAATGTGGTGGGTCCTGTGGTAGAGAGGCAGTCTGGGAATGAGTAGACCTGATTTTAAACCTCCAATTCACCATGCTATTGACGTAAATGTTGGTCTTCACTTTACTCATTTTCTCAACAGAGATCATGTCATCCTGAATTATAAAACATGCCTGGCCCATCTCTCCAGGCTGCTGGGAGAATAAGAATAGAGAGCCCAGTGTAGTACAAGCCCAGAGAGAACTTCAAGAATGGTAGCTGTGGTTTGTGAATTATTAGCTACTATTCTTAATAGTGACACAAGGACGGAGGCAGGATTCAGTTTTCAGAAGCCCACAGTTATAGTCAAGACCATTGCTACTCCTTAGTTATATGATCTTTGAACGGACTTTTTACATCTTAGAGCCAATTTTCTTATCGCTAAAACAAAGTTGTAGCATCTGCCATGATTACTTCAAATGGCTGTTGTGAGTTGTGTATAAAATAATACTGTTTTGTAAATATAAATCATGATAGCAGTTTTCTCATGCTTTCTTAGTACTACATTTCCAACCCTGAGATGGAGTGTTATAGGAGCAGGGAAATCAGCCACGGGTGGGTGTGGGCAGGAATGGTTAAACACTACTGTTATTTCAGTAATGTGATAATTGGAGTTTTAAGGGTATGTGTGTGTGTTTTGGGAAAGTAGAGTGGAGCAGGAGAAAGGGTATGTAGACAACTGTGTTAGAGAAATTGAATCTCAGATGGTGAGTGTTTTATTTTCCCACCTTACTCTTGCTTCTTTAAGTTACTACTCCCACAGGAGATTGGCTATAGACTGACATGAGTGAGTAAAGTTACTCATTAGGGGAATCTAAGCTTCAGTGAGATGATAAGAAAGTGATTGAAGCAGGGAGCTGTGAAGAGTTAGAAATAAGGTTGGCTCATGGCATGCATCATCAGCTTATCAGGACATGGATGGTGGCAGAGAAAGGAAGAAAACTCATTGAAATAAATATGGGGATTTCAGGGGTCCATGGAGCAGAACACACTTGAAAAGGTCAAAATGAAGTTAGAAGGGTGTGTGTGTGTGTGTGCGCACGCACGTGCGTGTATCTGTGTCTGTGTGTGTATAAATTAAGGAATGAGTATGCTTGTAGGACGTATTTAAGAAAAAGGGGGTTTGTTAATTTTAGTCTTCTAAATTTTACACACTACATCAGTGAGGACAGTTTCAGGTATCCCATGAAGAGCGAAATGTGTATAAAGAGAGATTTTTTTAAGCTTAAAAGACAAATTATGATTTCTGAAGTTTTGAAGTCATATAAAAGTTTATTCACTTCTTATAAATATGTTATTATCTTTGATTAGTGATATTTTATTAAAGGTACTTCTCATTTTTATTCATATTTAAACATAAATGTGTTGATGAAGATAGTGATGGTAATGTTAAATCATTGGCTTCTTGAGAATTGTGTAGTCCTGGTATGTGAGAGAAAAAAAGACAATAAATGATAAGTGACTCATTAGGATAAAGGATAGAAAAGAGAGCAAGAAATATTTGAAAAATATGTATTTCATTTACTGTTAAATATCCAGTTCAATTAGTTTTCCCTGCAACTAGATCTATTTCCTTTGCTGTTAAGGAGAATGAATTGAGATATCCAACTGATGACATTCTGTTTTTCATTTTTTCCTTTTATTCATGTTGCTAAAGCATGCTTTGCTTCTTCCCTGATTATGGATTACATAAGGAAGCACTAGTTTAACTATCTTTTCTAAAAAAGTAACTAAGGGATTCACATCAGTTAACCTCTGAATTACAAAGGAAATGTTGTGGACATTATTATTATTACTATTATTATTATTATTATTTTAATAGAGATGGGGTCTCACTATGTTGCCCAGGCTGGTCTCAAACTCCTGGGCTCAAGTGATCTTCCCACCTTGGCCTCCCAAAGTGCGGGAATTACAGGTATGAGCCACCGTGCCCAGCCTCATCTGGTTTTTAAAGTAATAAATACACATGCTTTAGGAAGATATCAGTTGCTTAAAAGTACATTAACAATTAATTTCCCTTGAAGGGGAAACAGTTTGACTCATTCAAAAGCTAGATTTACTGCTTATGAACAATGACTAATTATTTCCCTGAAGATTAAAACCTTATATCCCTGAAATAACACAATTTAAGTTTATATGCCTATTATATTATTTGAGTTTAACTACATGTATAAGCAAGAAATTGTTTTTGCATTCTTCTTTGCTGTCACTAGCAGAAGAAACTATATGTATTTTGACCTAGTAAGTTTCAAGTCATTTGATTTAAAAGGAGAATCCAAATGGATTTGCTTATCAACAGATTGCCAAACTAAAATTTAAAAAATAGTATCTCCATTTCTCACATAATTTTTATTTAAATATTATTCAAGTCTAAAATTCCATCTATTATTTATCACACAATTCTTAGTTGACTCCTGACTGTCTAGGTGAGATGGATCCAGTGGTATCCTGGTAAATGTTTACCAACCTGCTCTTATGGGGGTGGGGAAGGAGACACTGATTTGTCAGGTTTGCTGATTTCTGTGGTGCAGGCACTAATATCACAGACTTAAAGCTACCTAAGTGAAATCACTAAATGTGGAGGTAAGAAGAGATGCTCCCAATCAGCTATTGCCAGCCAGTGTAAGCTGGCTCCTGCACATTCCTGGAGAGGCCAAGATTTGAGAATCCCAGGATTTTCATTCTGGGATTTGAGAGAGGAGTATAATAAAAGATAAGGGATGGTTCTAGATATCTCTGATGGTGTTAATTAATGTGATTGCTACATGTGAGCATAGGTGCTCCAGGCCCTTTCTTCTATTCAGATAGAAAATTCCTCAGTGATTCATAGTGGTTTTAAAAGCTAGGAGAGAGTTCAGACATTAGGTAAATCATCCCTGTTTTATGGTGCCTATCTTTTCTTCATCTGCAGTTAGACCAGTCTCACTATAAAATACAAAGCACAATAATACACAGAAGCTATTTACAAGTGAGATTTAAAAATTATACTTACTGCCTTTTGAAAACATTGGGCTTTTTCCTCTCTGTTCAGCTTTGCCCAGGATACCTGTTAGACAAGTCTTCAGTATATTCTTTTGGCTTTGTCATGTCAACCACATACCTTGGCCAGGTCTCTGATGATTTCCAAATGTTTAATCATCCTAATTTGTGATATCCTTGTTCTGTCACTTTTTTAGTATCTTCAGCCTAACGTGTCTTGAATAGGTCTTTGGTCTGTGCTTATAATCAGGTTAGTAGTCCTGTCGTTTTTCCCTCCTCCAATAAATCTTTCATATTTTAAAGGAAAAGCAGCTTCCTTGTTAAACCAATCATAACAAAAGCCCCACACCCTTATCCCAAACCTTCGTGGTTAAGATTAATGATAGCTGAAAATCATATACCCGTTTAATAATTATCTTGGTAATGTTAATAAAAATTTTAATTGTTTTCATTGAAAAAAATCAAATATGAACAATCCCTCCCTGCCTGTGCCATTTAGGTCACTTACTCATCCTGGAATCCCCTGATCTTCTTCCTGTCCCCATCTCTCTCTGTCCTTTAAGACTCATCTCAGGAATCATCCTTTCTATGATGCCTTCTCTAGTTAACTCCCTCTGCTCCCAGGCCTGATTGGGGGTTCTTCTCCTATGCTTCTTCTTAGGGCTCCCATAGAACTCTGTTGACCCTTCATTAAGTAGTTCTACATTTATTATATCTGCTGTCATTTTCTCCTCAGCTTTTATTTTGAAAAAAAATTAAACCCAACAAAAATTATAATACTAGTATAATAAATACCATATACCATTCAAGTAGATTTTCCAGTTGTTAACATTTTGCTGACACTCTCCGTCATATACATTTTTCTGAATCTTTAAAGGAAATAAGTTGTGCATATCCATTCCTTTTGTTAGTCAACTTTATCTAGATTTTGCGATTCTTAGATTAATTATACTTAATAATTTTTGAAGATTTATTTCTTGATTTATTCATTCATCAAATATATATTAAGCAGCTATTATGTAACAGATGCTAAAGCCTTGAAGGTTTCAATGGGTACATAGCCTGATTACAGGATATTTTAGATATATATGATATAATTATGACCAGATCAGATGAGGAATAAAATATTACCATTGTAAGTGTAGAAAAAAACCCATATACCCAGATCTATGAAAGTGTCATCACTGATTCATCATTGATTCGTTCAGTCACCAGTTGTCTACTCTGTGCTGTTCTATGTTAGGTGCTGCCAGAGACTGTGGGTATACATTTGAGGCTTCTTACCCTTAAAGAATCTCATCTCACATGAGAGACAGAAGATTATCCAAGAAAGCAGTGGAGTATGAACATCAGTGGAGTTCCCATGGTTCTATGGAAACAGAAGACAGAGAGGCAGGCAGATCTTTCTGTGTAGTTCCAGTGATGCTTAGATAGTAATTTGAAGGATAAGTAGAAGGAATAAACTAGGTAGATAAAGAGACAGAAGACATACGAGATTGAGGCACCATTATATTTTAAGTCAAGGAAGCATGAAAAAGATACAAGATGTTCCAGAAACTGGTGGCGGTTTAATACAATGGGAGGGGCAAATGCTAAGGGGCAATGATGAGAAAAGGAAAGACACAGGGCTAGAGGGTTAGGCCCAGGTTATGAGGGACTTTGTGAGTTAAGCTGAAGAGTTTAAAAGCTATGGTAAACCCATGAATGATTCAGATGGATAATGATAGATACCAGATTTGTGTTTCTAATAAGGTTATCCTGAAAAAGATGGTGGAACAAAATTGATCTTGATGTCTTGATAGTTTTAATTTAGGTAGATTAAATCTTGCTTTAATAGGAGCTAACTCAAATATTAAAAGTGATTCAAAGGTGATTACTGTACATTTAATAAATTATCCAGATTATTGATGCCTCAGCCAATTTATCTTACCTAAGAATTTTATTTTCTTCCACATTGTTTTCTTCTAAGGTAACCAGCATTTAAAATTTTAAAAATGTGTTGCTCTCAGCAAGGAGTTAGTAGTTTCTGCAGCTAATATTGCTGCCTGAAAGACAGAAAGAGGGAAAGGAATTGCTATAATTAGACACCTGGCTTTGTAAAAGGACTAGATGTCATTTAGAGCATTTTATTTCTTGCTGCAAAACTCTTTCTGTTGAGTAAATGAGTAGGAATTAATCAATGACAACATGACAGTGATTCTGGAGGTTTTATAATGGATGTAATGTTTTTGTTTATTAGATCAATTAAGCCTGATTGACTTGCAGATTGCAGCAGCTCTGACAAAGCACCCATTGCTTATAACATTTCAATTCTCTGTGCTCACTGCCGCGCGGATCCACTGGCAGGATCAGCAGGCTGCAGGGATCTTGTCAGAGACAGCACTAGTAGGGGTGGTTTGCGCAGATGTCAAAAGTCATATGATGTAGATTCAAAAAAGTTACCTAGTTGTATTAGTTTAACACTTTGTTTTAACAGTTTTACACTCCTACAGTCAGATAGCATAGTTCATACTCGAAGATTAATACACCAAAAGAGCTTATTAGTTTGATTTCTGAAGGATGTCAAATTGTTAAATTTCCATGTAGTCTAGGGTTTCTTAGCCTCAGCACTATTGTCATCTTGGACCCGATAAATATTTGTTGTAGAGGGGTGTCCTGTGCATTGTAGAATGCTTACTAGCATCTCTGGCCTCCACCTGCTAGTAACAGTTTTCCCCCAACCTCCAGATGTGACAACCGAACATATCTCTGGGTATTGCCAAATGTCCCATGGTAGGCAAAAGTGCCCCTGCTTGAGAACCATAGTTGCAGACATTTAACAGTTAAAGTAAAACAAAAAAAGTAGTTCACTTAACCTTTCCATGGGCTAATTGTATTTATTTATTTAAAAATCTATATTGATACATCTGTACTTGTAGAGATATAGATAAATGTTTGGCACTTTGCTAAGTACTCAAAGTTGGGGAGTATTTTATAGAATGAACAAATCTGAAAGATCCATGCAATTGGCTAAATTAATGTGTGTGTGAAGTTTCCATGTTTTTAAAATTAAGATAGGCAGGAAACTAAGTCACAGAAATGGGTATCAAATAAAATAGATGTTCTATTTAAAAATTCTATGTTTTGACATAATAATAGGAGAAATAGAATTGCATATGTAAGAACATCATCAGAAGATTATCTTTTTCATTCATGGTTTGCAATATTGGAATTATGCATTTGTTTTATAATTTTATTTTTATATGCATGTTTAATATATATTTTTTTCACTTTTCAAATGGTATTACTAGCATGTGAAAATAGCACTGAGGGATATAAATTGAAGCTGTTATGGGATTTTATGTGGACCTTGCACACCAAGAGCCTGATCTTTGTTTTAAAATGTTGTTAACTCAGTGTTAAATCAGAGTGTAAGACAGCAGGGAAAAGAGTAAGGCCTTAGCAGGGACTATGTGCTATGATCATTAAGTTGAATAGAGGTGTAAGATCCTTCTAGCTATTATAGAAGAGCAGTTCATGGAAGACCAAGTTTCTGAGAAGAGGAGGATGAAGATGGTAGATAAATGAATATTCCAAAATGAAACTACTTGTTGTCTTTGTCCAGTGTTAAACTATTACTATCCATCATTTTCTTCTTTGGTAATCACTTACCAAATGCTGAGCGTATGCCAGGCATTAAGGTGCTAAGCTAGAAACTTTCATTTACATGGTTTCATTCAGTCTATAAAACAGCCCTCTGAAGCAGGTATTGATAGTTCCATTTTAGAGAGAGGGAAACTAAGAATTAAATGCCTAAGTACGGGTCACACAGTCTGTTCCTATTGCAACTAGAGATTAAGCCTCATTGCTATATCATTACCTTATTTGATATATTCAACAAGCACCTTCAAATATACCACGTAGTTTTTTTAATGAAAAAATATCAATTCCTGCCCATTTGTATATAATAATCCTTATCAGATCCTCTTCACATTCTACGCTTTTTCATACTCTTTCTGAAACAAATTAAGAATGAGATTGATCCTTCATACAGCTGATAACCTGTGTTGATACAGTAGCTATATTTCACCAAAACCTTTTTCATAATAAGACTATTGGTCAGGTGCATTTTTTTCCCTACAATACATTAAATTCAAGATGCCCTTTATTTTTCATGGACAACTCCTGGAAGCTAGTTAGTTCCTTTTGTCTCTAATTTGATTACTTAAGCTATAAAATAGAGGCTATAGTAATAATCTCCACCTGTTTCATAGCTCAAGAAATAGCATCTTTATTTAGCGGTGCCTACATCTTTTATGTTTAAAATTCCTTAAGACAAGACATCTGTACACAATGTAGCTATAGTGTGATTTACAATAACTTTGTGTTTTTGTTATCAGCAAGAGATCACTTACAAAGAGACAATACACCCTTTGTACTTGCTAGTAAAACACTACATAGTTTTACATGTCAAGCATATGTAAGGCATGGTGGAAGTCAGGAAGGATAAATTCATTACATGCCTGTCATCACATCAGAAATCCACCTCAATCAGAAGTGGTGTGGGAGTTGAAACATATCTGCCACTCAGGTGATATATTAATCAGATTTGCCCTTTGAATTGTACAGTAAGAGCTGTAATGGCATTACATATTTATGGCCAGAATTGGCTCATTAGTGGATAGCTTTGATTTGGAGGTTAAAAAAAAAAAATCTAACTATGTTTTATTTTCCAAACCCAGTTTTACTAACATGTTGTAGCTTCTCATAAAATATTTTGAACTAGTAACATTAAGTTTTGACAAAAGCTTGTAACCTGAGGGGAAAAAAAATTGGTCAGATACTGTGAGAGAGATTTCAAAAGAATAGGGAGTAAATTTGTTATTACAACAGTGAAAAGGAATACAATTTGTTATTTTGTGACTTGTCCTGCTTTTTTTTTTTCATAACCATTTTTAGAGTTTTTAGTAAAGATCCAGGGGACGTTGGTTCGATGTACTAGCAGCTGCATGAAAATGGACTGCTTCATGTGTGTGCTCATCTATCTGTCTTCTATCTCACCGAGTTGTCTTTGACAATTGACCTCTCCTTTGGAGATCTTTTCAGATAATTCCAGACACTGTATAATGCCAAACCTTAGGATAGTTGCAGGTGGCATATGTAGAAAGCATTTTAATTATGCTACAGATTTGAAATAGATGCAAGTCATATCTTTATTGAATTTAACACCTTTAACATATATATTGAGATGAATTTCCTAAGGTGTAGTCCAAAAACGCTTGTCAGTTCATTCATTTTGAAAGTAAAATGGGCATGGGGCCTAAACAATTTTCTGATTTTTTTTTTATAACCCCTCTTATCACTTGATTATGTGAATAGTTACCACATGACTATTCTCTTCAGGTTTCAGCAACGAAACAGAATGGTTGAATGTTTGCTACTTCCACATTGCTTCATTCAAGGCAAAATAACTCACCTATTAAAATTGTCATTATTTCTTTTCTGTCTAAAGTCTCAAAGACTTTCCCTTTTCAAATTTTGATACCTTAAATTGGATGAATCTAATTGAGCCTTTAAGCTCAGTTTATCTTACCTAACTAAATTCAGAGGTTGCTAAAAGGATGTACTAGAGGTTAAGTTAGTAATGTTAAGCAGTTAATTTTTTTTCCCTAAAATTATGGCTTCTAAAAATGGAATTGGGAAACCCTTGCTTAATTTTACCTGGTGTCTTAAGAACAGTTTGTGTACAACTGATATAACCATGAGGTTGATAGAAACAGAACTATATTATTTTAATTATGCAATTCTATTAAACATCTGTTAAAAGGCTGAAAGGCTGAAAGTGTATGAAATGTTTTTTCCAGAAATTCCAAGATAGCTTAAGGGACCTTTTTTCTCGTCTAAGATATTTTATTAGCATAAAAGAAAAGATACACAAACTCACACACATATATTAGTGACAGGAAGATATTTTTGGACTTAGATATAAAGAAACCTTTCAAAATCATAAACAATAGAGCCTTTGTTAGGACAAACATGTAAAAAGGTGCTATATTTGCTACAACCTAGGAGGAACACAATACTGACATTTCAGGAGCCTTCATTTCTTCATCTCCAGAATGAAGTAGTTGGCTTAACACTTTCTAAATTCTATTTCAACTCTAAGAAATTACTAACTGCAAAATTAAAATCAGAAAAAAAAGAGTAATTTTGTTGATCACAGTGTAGCTAAAAAGTTGTTAACTAGGCTGGTAATCATAGCCCGAGGGTTTGTTGTTGTTTGAACATTGAGTAACAGGTTTCTAACCTTGAGTTTAATTACCATCAGAAGTGTCTTATTCTGATGTTAAAGGCCAAATATCTGTGATTTCAGGACATAATTCTTTGAGAAAGTACACACCTTTCATCACATGTAATTTTTACCAGCTGATTTTTATAGCACTTAATGTTACTCCATTTCAATCCATTTGTCTTCTTATTTTGCTGTGTGAGTCATCTTGCCGAGTTCTGCAGAGGATAATGTGATACCCTCAGCACTTAATAAGCTGGCAGATACATTTCCAGTTGAATGTTGATGCTATGGAAAATTTAACCGAATTAAGCTATAATGCTTCACTTACTTTTAAGTGGTCCATGTTAGAAGATTAATGAAGGAATCTTTTCAGTTCATTGTTATATTTTGGAAATATAATACTTTGATAGGATACTTTGGTAGGATAAATTATAACAGGTGTAAGACTGCAATTTAAATATGTAGGCATAAGGAAGAAACAATATCACAGCCAATTAGGAAAGTGAGTAAGCTTTTGAATGTCATTATGCTTTGTTGTTTTTGTTGTGAAAATTAGGGGCATCAAATTAATTGATTATTAATGTCAGTTATTTTAGATGGTGAATAAAGACAAATTTTCTTTAGATATCATCTCATTTATTTTCCCTTAATTAACAGTGAAGGGATAGTTTGCAGAATATTAGACATTAATAATTTTATGTACAAAAGAGAAAATAATACAGTGTTCATAATTCTGTGATTGAGGATGTATTATATATTTACATAAAACAAGGCTGTAAATTCTAAAGGAACAATACATTAGACGTAGTTTACATTTGGCTTTTTAAAATTATATTTTAAGTTCTGGGATACATGTGCAGAATGTGCAGGTTTGTTACACGTGCCATGGTGGTTTGCTGCACCCATCAACCCGTCATCTACATTAAGTATTTCTCCTAATGCTATCCCTCCCCTAGCCCCCCACCCCCTGACAGACCCCAGAGTGTAATGTTCCCCTCCCTGTGTTCATGTGTTCTCATTGTTCAACTCCCACTTATGAGTTAGAACATGTGGTGTTTGTTTTTCTGTTCCTGTGTTAGTTTGCTGAGAATGATGGTTTCCAGCTTCATCCATGTCCCTGCAAAGGATATGAAGTCATCCTTTTTTATGGCTGCATAGTATTCCATGGTGTGTATTTGCCACATTTTCTTTATCCAGTCTCTCAATTGATGGGCATTTGGATCGGTTCCAAGTCTTTACTATAGGGAATAGTGCTGCAATAAATATACGTGTTCATGTGTCTTTATAGTAGAATGATTTATAATCCTTTGAGTATATACCCAGTAATGGGATTGCTGAGTCAAATGGTATTTCTGGTTCTAGATCCTTGAGGAATCGCCACACTGTCTTTCACAATGGTTGAACTAATTTACAGTCCCACCAACAGTGTAAAAGTGTTCCTGTTTCTCCACATCCTCTCCAACATCTGTTGTTTCCTGACTTTTTAATGATTGCGATTCTAACTGGCATGAGATGGTATCTCATTGTGGTTTTGATTTGCATTTCTCTAATGAACAGTGGTGATGAGCATTTTTTCATGTGTCTTTTGGCTGTGTATATGTCTTCTTTTGAGAAATGTGAGTTCATATCCTTTGCCCACTTTTTGATGGTTTTTTTTTCTTGTAAATTTGTTTAAGTTTCTTGTGAATTCTGGATATCAGCCCTTTGTCAAATGGATAGATTGCAAAAACTTTCTCCCATTCTGTAGGTTGCCTGTTCACACTGATGATAGTTTTTTTTTTTGCTATGCAGAAGCTTTTTAGTTTAATTAGATCACAATTGTCAATTTTGGCTTTTGGTGTTTTAGTCATGAAGTCTTTGCCCATGCGTATGTCCTGAATGGTACTGCCTTGGTTTTCTTCTAGGGTTTTTATGGTTTTAGGTCTTATGTTTAAGTCTTTAATCCATCTTGAGTTGATTTTTGCATAAGGTTTAAGGAAGGGGTCCAGTTTCAGTTTTCTGCATATGGCTAGCCAGTTTTCCCAAAATCATTTATTAAATAGGGAATTCTTTTCCCATTGCTTGTTTTTGTCAGGTTTGTCAAAGATGAGATAGTTGTAGATGTGTGGTGTTATTTTTGAGGCCTCTGTTCTGTTCCATTGGTCTATATATCTGTTTTGCTAGCAGTACCATGCTGTTTTGGTTATTGTAGCCTTGTAGTACAGTTTGAAGTCGGGTAGCGTGATGCCACCAGCATTGTTCTTTTTGCTTAGAATTGTCTTGGCTTATACAGGCTCTTTTTTGGATCCATATGAAATTTAAAGTACTTTTTTTCTAATTCTGTGAAGAAAGGCAGTGGTAGCTTGATGGGCATAGCATTGAATCTATGAATTACTTTGGACAGTATGGCCATTTTCATGATATTGATTCTTCCTTTCCATGAGCATGGAATATTTTTTCCATTTGTTTGTGTCCTCTCTTATTTCCTTGAGCAGTAGTTTGTAGTTCTCCTTGAAGAGGTCCTTCACATTCCTTGTAAGTTATATTCCTAGGTATTTTATTCTCTTTGTAGCAAGTGTAAATGGGAGTTCACTCATGATTTGGTTCTCTGTCTATTATTGGTTTATAGGAATGCTTGTGATTTCTGCACATTGATTTTGTATCCTGAGACTTTGCTGAAGTTACTTATCAGCTTAAGGAAATTTTGTGCTGAGACAGTGAGGTTTTCTAAATATACATTCATGTCTTCTGCAGACAGAGACAATTTGACTTCCTCTCTTCCTATTTGAATACACTTTATTTCTTTCTCTTGCCCGATTGCCCTGGCCAGAACCTCCAATGCGATGCTGAATAGGAGTGGTAAGAGAGGGCATCCTTATCTTGTGCCAGTATTCAGAGGGAATGCTTCCAGCTTTTGCCCACTCAGTATGATATTGGTTGTGGGTTTGTCATAAATAGCTCTTATTATTTTGAGATACATTCATCAATACCTAGCTTCTTGAGAGATTTTAGCATGAAGGGGTGTTGAATTTTATTGAAGGCCTTTTCTGCATCTATTGGGATAATCATGTAGTTTTTGTCATTGGTTCTGTTTATGTGATGGATTACGTTTATTGATTTGCATATGTTGAACCAGCCTAGCACCCCAGGGATGAAGCTGACTTGATTGTGGTGGACATGCCTTTTGATGTGCTCTGGATTCGGTTTGCCAGTATGGTATTGAGGATATTCACATTGAAGTTCATCAGGGATATTGGCCTGAAATTTTCTTTTTTTTGTTGTGTCTCTGGAGGTTTTTGGTATCAGGATGACACTGGCCTCATAAAATGAGTGATGGAGGAGTCCCTCTTTTTATATTGTTTGGAATAGTTTCAGAAGGAATGGTACCAGCTCCTCTTTGTACCTCTGGTAGAATTTGGCTGTGAATCCATCTGGTCCTGGGCTTTTTTTGGTTGATAGGCTCTTAATTACTGCTTCAATTTCAGAACTTGTTATTGGTCTATTCAGGGATTTGACTTCTTTCTGGTTTAGTCTTGGGAGGGTGTATGTGTCCAGGTATTTATCCATTTCTTCTAGATTTTCTAGTGTATTTGCATAGACGTATTTATAGCATTCTCTGATTGTAAACTGTATTTCTTTGGGATCAGTGATGATATCCCCTTTATCATTTTTTATTGTGTCTATTTGATTCTTCTCTCTTTTCTTCTTCGTTAGTCTGGCTAGTAGTCTATCTATTTTGTGAATCTTTTCAAAAAACCAGCTCCTGGATTCGTTGATTGTTTTTGGTTTTCCGTGTCTTTATCTCCTTTGGTTCTACTCTGATCTTAGTTATTTCTTGTCTTCTGCTAGCTTTTGAATTTGTTTGCCCTTGCTTCTCTTGTTCTTTTCATTGTGATGGGGTATTGATTTTTTATCTTTCCTGCTTTCTCCTGTGAGCGCTTAGTGCTATAAATTTTTCTCTAAACACTACTTTAGCTGTGTCCTAGAGATTCTGGTACATTGTGTGTTCTCATTGGTTTCAAAGAACTTATTTATTTCTGCCTTAATTTCATTATTTACCCAGTAGTCATTCAGGAGCAGGTTGTTCAGTTGCCATGTAGTTGGGCGATTTTCAGTGAGTTTCTTAATCTTAACCTCTAATTTGATTGCACCAGGGTCCGGGAGACTGTTATGATTTCTGTTCTTTTGCACTTGCTGAGGAGTGTTTTACTTCCAATTCTGTGGTCAATTTTAGAATAAGTGTGATGTGGTGCTGAGAAGAATGTATATTCTGTTGATTTGGGGTGGAGAGTTCTGTAGATGTCTATTAGGTCTGCTTTGTCCAGAGCTGAGTTCAAGTCCTGAATATCCTTGTTAATTTTCTGTCTCGTTGATCTGTCTAATATTGACAGTGGGGTGTTAAAGTCTCCTACTATTAATTGGGTGGGAGTCTAAGTCTCTTTGTAGGTCTCTAAGAACTTGCTTATGAATTGGGTGCTTCTGTATAGGGTGCCTATATATTTAGGGTAGTTAGCTCTTCTTGTTGCATTGAACCTTTTACCATTATGTAATGCCCTTCTTTGTCTTTTTTGATCTTGGTTGGTTTAAAGTCTGTTTTATCAGAGGCTAGGATTGCAGGATTGCAACCCCTGCTTTTTTTTTTTTCTTGGTAGATATTCCTCCATTTCTTTATTTTGAGCCTATGTGTGTCTTTGCATGTGAGATGGGTCTCCCGAATACAGCACACCAATGGATCTTGACTCTTTATTCAATTTGCCAGTCTGTGTCTTTTAACGGGGGCATTTAGCCTGTTTACATTTAAGGTTAATATTGTTATGTGTGAGTTTGATCCTGTCATTATGATGCTAGCTGGTTATTTTGCCCGTTAGTTGATGCAGATTCTTCATAATGTCAATGGCCTTTACAATTTGGTATGTTTTTGCAGTGGCTGGTACTGCTTTTTCCTTTTTGTATTTAGTGCTTCCTTCAGAAGATCTTGTAAGGCAGGACTGGTGGTGACAAAATCTTTCAGCATTTGCTTTTCTGTGAAGGATTTTATTTCTCCTTCACTTATGAAGCTTAGTTTGGCTGGCTCTGAAATTCTGGGTTGAAAATTCTTTTCTTTAAGAATGTTGTGCCAGGCACCGTGGCTCATGTGTGTAATCCCAGCACTTTGGGAGGCTGAGGCTGGCAGATCACCTGAGGTCAGGAGTTCAAGACCAGCCTGACCAACATGGGAAAACTCCATCTCTACTAAAAATACAAAATTAGCCAGCTGTGGTGGCACATGCCTGTAATCCCAACTACTTGGGAGGCTGAGGCAGGAGAATCGCTTGAACCCAGGAGGTCAGGTTGCGGTGAGCCGAGATCTTGCCATCATACTCCAGCCTGGGCAACAAGAGTGAAACTCCATCTCACACAAAAAAAAGAATGTTGAATATTGGCCCGCACTCTCTTCTGGCTTGTAGTGTTTCCGCAGAGAAATCCACTGTTAGTCTGATGGGCTTCCCTTTGTGGATAACCCGACCTTTCTCTCTGGCTGCCCTTAACGTTTTTTTCATTCCTTTCAACCTTGGTGAATCTGATGATTACGTGTCTTGGGGCTGCTCTTCTCGAGAAGTATCTTTGTGGTGGTCTCTGTCTTTCCTGAACTTGAATGTTGGTCTGTCTTGCTAGGTTGGGGAAGTTCTCCTGGATAATATCCTGAAGAGTGTTTTCCAACTTGGTTCCATTCTCCCCATCATTTTCAGGTACACCAGTCAAACATAGGTTTGGTCTTCTCACATAGTCCCATATTTCTTGGAGGCTTTGTTCATTCCTTTTCATTCATTTTTCTCTAATCTTGTCTTCATGCTTTATTTCATTAAGTTGATCTTCAATCTCTGATATCCTTTTTTCCACTTGATCGATTTGGCTATTGATACTTGTGTATGCTTCACAAAGTTCTTGTGCTGTGTTTTTCAGCTCCATCAGGTCATTGATGATTTTCTCTAGACTGGTTATTCTAGTTAGCAATTCTTCTAACCTTCTTTCAAGGTTCTTAGTTTCCTTGCAGTGGGTTAGAATGTGCTCCTTTAGCTCGGAGGAGTTACCCACCTTCCGAAGCCTACTTCTGTCAATTCGTCAAACTCATTTTCCATCCAGTTTTGTTTCCTTGCTGGCGAGGAGTTATGATCCCTTGGAGGAGAAGAGGTGTTCTGGTTTTTGGAATTTTCAGCCTTCTTGTGCTGGTTTTTCCTCATCTCCCTGGATTTATCTGCCTTTGGTCTTTGATGTTGGTGACCTTTGGATGGGGTTTTTGTGTGGACATCGTTTTTGTTGATGTTGATGCTATTCCTTTCTGTTTTTTAGTTTTTCTCCTAACAGGCAGGCTTCTCTCCTGCAGGCCTGCTGGAGTTTGCTGGAGGTCCACTCCAGACCCTGTTTGCCTGAGTATCACTAGCAGACACTGCAGAACAGCAAAGATTGCTGCCTGCTCCTTCCTCTGGAAGTTTCGTCCCAGAGGGGCACCCGCCAGATGCTAGTGGAGCTCTCCTGTATGAGGTGTCTGTTGACCCCTGCTGGGAGGTGTCTCCCAGTCAGGAGGCACAGGGGTCAGGGACCCACTTGAGGAGGCAGTCTGTCCCTTAGCAGAGTTTGAGTGCTGTGCTGGGAGATTCGCTGCTCTCTTCAGAGCTGGCAGGCAGGAACATTTACGTCTGCTGAAGCTGCACCCACAGCCGCCTCTTCCGCCAGGTCCTCTGTCCCAGAGAGGTGGGAGTTTTATCTGTTAGCCCCTGACTGGGGCTGCTGCCTTTCTTTCAGAGATGCCCTGTCCAGAGAGGAGGAATCTAGAGAGGCAGTCTGGCTATGGCAGCTTTGCAGAGCTGTGGTGGGCTCTGCCCAATTCGAACTTCCCAGAAGCTTTGTTTATACTGTGAGGGGAAAACCACCTACTCAAGCCTCAGTAATGGTGGACGCTTCTCCCCACACCAAGCTTGAGAGTCCCAGGTCGACTTCAGACTGCTGTGCTGGCAGCAAGAATTTCAAGCCAGTGGATTTTAGCTTGCTGGGCTCTGTGGCGGTGGGATCCACTGATCCACTTGGCTCCCTGGCTTCAGTTCCCTTTCCAGGAGAGTGAACAGTTCTGTCGCTGGCCTTCCAGGTGTCACTGGGGTATGGAAAAAAAAAAAAAAAAAAAAAAAACCTTCTGCAGCTAGCTTGGTGTCTGCCTAAATGGCTGCCCTGTTTTGCGCTTGAAACCCAGGGCCCTGGTAGTGTCAGCACTCGAGGGAATCTCCTGGTCTGTGGGTTGTAAAGACCATGGGAAAAGCATAGTATCTGGGTTGGAATGCACCATTCCTCATTGCACAGTCCCTCATGGCTTCCCTTTGGTGGGGGAGGTTGTTTTCTCACCCCTTGAGCTTACCGTGTGAGGTGATGCACCCCCCCTGCTTTGGCTCGTGCTCTGTGGGCTGCACCCACTGTCTAACCTGTACCAAAGAGATGAGCCAGGTACCTTAGTTGGAAATGCAGAAATCACCCACTTTCTGCATTGATCTCACTGGGAGCTGCAGACCTGAGCTGTTCCTGTTAGGCCATCTTGCCAGCCACTCATATTTTACTTTTAAGTGATTAGGTTGTTTGGGAGAAATGGTGATTTAATGGAAAACTTATCCATGTTTACATATTTTAAAATTAGATTTATAAATGAAGATTTTCAAATATGTACAAAAGTAGAGAGAATAGTGTAATATACCATAATTCAGTGTTGATGATTTTCCTTATTTATTGATCTTGTTGCTTCTATCTTCTCACTTTTTTGGGAGGAGGGAATAGGCTAGAACATTTTAAAGCATATCTTAAATGGCATATAATTTCTTGTGTATATGCATCTTTTACATATAAAGGCTGTTTTAAAAATGAGTTGCTGCTTTATAGTTTCTTCTTTAGAAACATATAAGATTAAAGATAAAAGAAATAGAATAGGGAAATAGCCTAGCTATAGAAACAGCACTTTTAAATTTCATATGTACAGTGATTTATTATTTGCAAATCATCTACTTTTTAAAAGTATGATACTTTATTATTTGCAAATTATTTAATTTTTAAAAGTGATTTTTGTGGGAGGTCAGAGTTGGATGGAGAAGGGTCATTTTCATTTTTGATTAGAGGATTCTTGTAATGACCTGATGAAAACTGCTCTGAGGGCATCTTCAGCTGGAAAGTATGTATTACTACTTTCTGTAATCAGGGTCAGCCACCAGTGTCTCCCAGGAGCACAGCAAGTAGTCATTTCCCAGCTCTATTATAAATCACTAAGTAATCACACTGCAGTGTCTTAAACCCATAGAGTTGACAGATATGCCTGGTATTCCCCTTATATGCCGTGACCATTCAAACTAGGGGGTCAACTTGGACTCAAAGTAAGCTGACTGAAAAATGGGCAGCATACGAATACCAGGAAAGTGAAATTGAAGTCACACTTATTAAATAATCTAGATCACATTTGCCAAACAAAGTGTTCACTGTGGATCTGAAACATGTAAAAATAAATGGAAAAGTAGAGGAAGGCTTCAGGGATGCTTGAGCTGTTTCTAACATGGCATGTATAAATTGCCACACCCACTGTCTTCTGCCCACTGGCGGCAAATCCTTTGTGTTCTCATAGGTCAAAAGAGGACTCAGGAAATGGAAGTAATTATTTTTCCCATGAGCAAAGAAGAGTTGATTTCATTATATTATTTCTTGGAACTTGTCTGTTATTTTCATATTTTATTTATGTGGCAAAGAAGATATCTTCTAAGACATGCATATTATAAGAAGTTGAGGTTATTTTTTGTTTGCCTGTTTGCTTTTTTTTCGCGACAGACTCTTGTTATGTTGTCTAGGCTGGTTTCAAACTCCTGGCCCCAAGCAGCCTTCCTTCTTCAGCCTCCCAAGTAGCTGGGATTACAGGCGTGTGCCACCACACTTACCCAGCGGAGTTGGGGTTGTTAAGCTACTTTTGAGAATCGTTGTATTCTGCAATGAATAAAGATGGGTTTGCCCAAAAGAAATTTTTTTCCTCAAGTAAAGCATTGGCACTAAAAGGCTCCTCTTGACAATCTGTTTATAGCTATTCTCACAATTAAGTGTGGAGAATTAGATTAATTCCATTGAAATCATAAATGCACTGCAATCTGTAGATTATCAGTTAGTTTAGATAAACACCACTGATTACTGTTGAATTATGCATACAAATATTTATAGCATCTTGTATAAGGTACTTGTAAAAATAAATAATGATTATAATAATAAAGATTTAGATCTGGGTGTGGTGGCTCATGCCTGTAATCCCAGCACTTTGGGAGGCCAAGTGGGGAGGATCACTTGAGGCCAGAGTTCAAGACCAGCCTGAGCAACATAGTGATTGGTATTAGGTCTTCTTCACATGTTTGGTAAAAATTCAGCAATGAAACCAGTAAGCCCCAGGCTATTCTTCTCAATATCTACAAACAAAACAAAAAAGTTAGCCAGGTCTTCGATGTGTGCCTGTAGTCCTAGCTACTTGGGAGTCTGAGGTGGGGGGATTGCTTAAGCCCTGGAGGTTGAGGCTGCAGTGAGTCGTGATTGCTCTGCTACACTCCAGCCGGGGTGATGGAGCCAAGACCTTGTCTCAAAAAAAAAAAAAGACTGAGTACTTAAATTTCTATATCTTTTTCCATCTTGAAAGGAATATTTTCCAACTGGTTTAATACTGTTGTTTAATAAGAATAAGATATATCCTTAAATTAAACAACAGTATTAACCAGATTTTGAGATGCAATGTTAGCCACATTTATTTCCCTTTAGCCTTCAGAAAAATCTAAGTTTAGATACCAATTCTTTGTTTCCTGGATAAATTTCTCCATTTTTCTTTATATATTTCTGCTCAGAACTCATACTGTCAGGCCGGTATCATACCCATGGTATCTTATATTCCAACTATAAGATGCATGAATATATTAATAAGTTTTTAGTTTTAAGTGTAGTATGACATACTTTACAAAAGTTTTCAAGTTCAGAAATAGTTTCTATTTATGATAGAAATATTTAAAATGTAAGATTTTTTTCTTGAGAAAAGACTATATTTTGTTAACTTTTTCGGATTATACAAGTATTTGACTCAGATGTCTCAGAAAAGTCTCACATATTATCTCGAGGAAACATACATTGAATTATGCTTTAATTGTTTATCTCCATTGTTTTAATCTTTTGTCTAATACAGTGATATAGTTTTCTCTTCATAGTTAGACTCTCTTAAAAAAGAAGCTCTTGAGAGTGTAGTTATGTGTGGTTCATCCGTAAAATAAGAAGCTGTTTTAGAAGTAAAATGTGATGTTTATGGTGGACAAGACTTGCTGACTAATGGTTGTTGGAAATTTTCCATTTGTCAGATTGTTATGTAGATGATCATATATTAAATATAGCTAAGAGGAGAGCAAAAGCCCAAGGAATCTAAAGAACATTTTTTTTTGGCTAATAGTATGTTTTTAGGAATAAGAGCTGCTGTAAAGAATGCAGAAGCCTCATGTCATTAGCTGCACGTCCATCTCCTAGCAGATGAGCTGAGGGGTGCCACGCACTCTCTCTATATATATACGCACACACACACGTGCATGCGCACACACACACATACACACACACATACATATATATCTCTTCTTGGGGAAAATGGGTCTCGCTGCTTCACCTGAAGTCTGCATGCTTTTTGTTCCCTATTTTTTGCTAGTTTCATTTCCTCACTTCCTCTTTTCCCTTTTGTTCCCTTTTCCCCGTACTTCCCCTAGACTTAAAATGTTACATGAAGTTGAGTTTGTGGCTAGTGATTTACATGCGAACTTGTTGTTTTAAAACAAAGCCCCAAAACTGTGGCAGTGAGGATAATACAGCAAAAACAGTGAGGCTATTCCAAGTAGTTGAAAGATTTTCATTGTGAGTGAGAAGCCATTAATGATGGTTGTGGTTGTTCCTTTTTTCAAAGGTTTTCTCATTTTTGATAAGATGATATTTTACTACATTTAATAGAATTATGCTTAGATAAGATGCTTTTTTCATTGAATTGGCCTGGTCCTTGTTTTTATGTGGGCCTTTGAATCTGGGTTGATTTGAAACTACCTACTGCTGTCCTCTATACTGTCTGCAGAGACCTGAACCTGTAGATCATATAGAAGTCGTGTAATAGCTAGGACCCATCAGGTGGTTATAGAACCGAAATTAAATTCAAGCCCCAACACCTCCACTCGTCAGCCATAGACCGTTAGTAAATTAACCTGTTAATTTATATTGTATTATCTCTTATTTGGGGACAATAAAAGGCCTATTGAATAGAATTTTAGGGTCTAATACATGTGAAGCTCTTAGAACTGTGTATAGTACACATTATATAGCAAGAAATGTTTGTTGTCATTATGTGTTCAAAGGCAAATTGTTGATGGAATTGAAACCTATATTGTGACACACATTAACATATTTGGAGGCCACATTCATGTTTCAGAATCTTTGGTATTGTTTAAAATTATTTAACATTGAGTAAATTAACTGACTTCTACAGTGACCTAAATTTGATCTATGATCAGATCTATCATGTTAATCTATTGTTTCATAATAGGTTGAGCTATCAAATGATGGACACAAGGATAAGGTATAGGAAATCTTCGCTTACTGTCTTCCGTGGATTCTTGGAAACTATGACTTGACATGAAATGGAGTATAACAAAACCAATTGTTTTTCTCATTAGTGTTATAACTAAATGACCTTGAAGGAAACGATATTATTTGAGGACCTGCTGTATATTGTTTTATGTAAAGTAACAGTTTCTAAGAACCTATTGGTGATGTTAAGTGAGGACTAACTATATTAAGAATGTTTCAGGCCATGTGGGATGGCTCATTCCTGTAATCCCTGTGCTTTGAGAAGCCAAGGCAGGAAGATTGCTTGAGGCCAGGAGATCGAGACCAGCCTGGGCAACATAGCAAGACCTCATCTCTACAAAAACAAAACAAAACAAAAAAACAATTCACTAGGTGTGTTTTCTAGCTACTTGGGAGGCTGAGGTGGGAGGATCACTTGAGCCTAGGAATTAGAGGCTGAAATGAGGCACAATTTCACCACTGCACTCCAGCCTGAGTGATAAAGCAAGACTCTATGTCTATTTTTTTTAAAAATTAATGTATGTTCTAGCTACTCAAGAGAGATATAGTAATGTACTTTTTAAAAATATTTCTATTTTGCATGATAGCTCCTACCAAGAAACGGGTACAATATAATGCAACAACATGTTTTTAATGCTACCTCTCTATATTTATTTAGGTAGGTAATAGTATATTTCTACCTGGTATTTATGTAATAGCTAGACAGCTTTTTGCAAAAATCTTTTTAAATGTACTTATATCATTACTTTTTCCTTTGAAAGATTTTCTCTTTGAAATCTTCCAAGGCTTTTTACAATTCCAATAATATCAAGAAATCATACCCAAGATACTATTTTGCATCATTATTGAAACAGGAGTTTTACTTTTTATCCTTATGTTATTTATTTATTTTATATTTAGAGACAAGGTCTTGCCCTGCTGCCCAGGGTGGGATACAATGGTGCAATCATGGCTCACCGCAGCCTCAACCCATCAGGCTCAAGCAAACCTCCTATCTCAGGCTCTCAAGTACCTGCAACTACAGGCACATGCCACCATGCCTGGCTGATAATTGCATTTTTTTAGAGATCAGGTGTCACTATGTTGCTCAGGCTGGTCTCACACTCCTGGGCTTAAGTGAGTCCCCCTCCTTGACCTCCCAAAGTGGTAAGATTACAGGTATGAGCCACCATGCCTGGCCTGAAGTTTAAAATGTATGTTTGTAGTAGACTGAATACTCTATCAACTATATTTTGATTTGTAAAAGGGTCATCCTGCATGTTTAACATTAACAAATAATCTCAAACTAGATTAGAAGCAATGGAAATTAATTAAAAATTTGTCATATAAAGTCACCACTGACATTTTTGATAATTACCCTTGGGTTTCTCTTGGCAAATTGATAGACTCTACACTGAAGCAGGAACTCCTATATATTTAGCTCTCTGCTTTTAATGTGGCTATTTCTGAAAAATATTATCAGAGTTTTCTGTCAACCAATGATCATTAATATTTGGTGATTACAGCATTTTCCCTTGGAATAGAAACCACCTATGGAGGTGTACAGCTTTTCTTACAGGTTTAAATATTAAAACTATTTTAGCCTTTCTTTGGAACTATTTTGACTATGAGTTATATTTTTGGAAAAATATATTTTCCTTTCTTGGGGACCTTTCCAAATTGTTCAGAATTGTCTTCATTAAATTAAAGCACTTCTGTTTATGCATTTCAGATGCGTGTGCATGTCACTACACGTTCTTATAAGCACTGACGTAATACTTTCTCCTTCTGAATATTGATATGTTTTTGTTTGGCATTACACAGGCAGAATCTCAAAAATTTTCTAAATGACATCTACATTTAATAATTGCTGCAAATATTGTTGTAGAATCATGAGGTTGCAGTAGGGTTTTGTTTTGTTTTTGAGAAGTTTTAAAATTTGTCTTATTTTGCATTTTTTTTCCCTTTAGTTAAAGATTCAGATGAACAATGAGTCAGAAGATAGGTTAAGCTTTTCCGCCTCTGCTCCATTGGAATGAGATAGACTAATTTCCTTGGGATAGATGGAGGCTATTTATATAGGATGTTTATACTATAAGGCAATTAAATACTTACTAAGTAGATATAATTTCTAAAAGTAAAACAGAACCTAGAACCACAAGACTGCTATTCCTAGCCCAGATAAATTAATATTAATTCTAAACCTCAAAGATCTTCTTAAAGATTGCTAGATATGAAGATTTTTATACCATTGCTCAGTAGTACATAACAGGTTGTATAACCTTGTGATGAAGAAATTTTCCTTCCCTATTCGTCACTTACTGTTAGGTTCTCTGTATTTGGAAAGTCTCCTTTTGTTACAGATTTGAAGTTTGAAGATGCATCATAAAGTCTAAAAGTAGGAAATGCCCACAGAATTTAACATTAACAGTTGTAGAACATATTGAATACCTAAAATACAGTGTCTGAGTGATTAGAGAAAGAAAGTGGAGTATTTTGAGAATTTGACACGCTCCTTATCTTCCAAATTGCTCAAATCTGTTTCCTTGTATCTAAACTCAAAGTTTATGGTAAGGTCTAAACGGGCATTGAGCCAGATAGAATGGAGAGAATGAGAAGAAAAGGGGAATCGACAGGGAAACAGCATGAATGGAAAAACTTTCCAATTGTTAATTGATTACTAGATGTAAGCCCCTAAAGAGGTATTGAAAGAGGTTTTACAGCTTTTGCTTCATTATCCTTACCTTCAAAACCTTGGCTAAATGTGTCCAGAGTATTTTGAGCTCAGAGTATGAGCTGAAAAGAGTAATATTTCAGATACCTTAATACATTATATTTAGCCCTTTATGTGGGAGTTACTGCATTTTCACATTATGTACTTTAACACAACTTTAAACATTTCCTATATTGAGTTTTTTTTTTAAAAAAGGCACTTCTGATTACGTATTTCAAATGTGTGTGGATGCCACTACACATTTTTCTAAGCACTGAGTTAATATTTTTCCTTGTGAATATTCACATTTTTGTGGCACTACACACACAGACTCTGAATAATCGAACTATTCACAAGCCAATTCTAAGTTAGAATATCTTTTAATTTTTGTTATGTTTTGTTTTTGTTAATAGCAAGTTCTTATACCTTAATATTTGAGAAACACACAGTTAATAAAACAGAAGGAGGGGCAGCAATAAGATAAACTGGCTTTGCTTCATCAAATTATCTTGTTTTTAGACAAATCCAAATGGCAACAACCATGCATCTTTTCTCAAACTAAGATTTTATAATAGATGTTTTCATTATAACAAGTTGTATATCTACATTTCATTTATATAAAAGGCAGCTCTAAACTCTGACTACATTCAAAGTTACTTGTAACAAAGACTGGATTGTAATATGAACACATCTGGATTTGGGGAAATGTGTACAAATATGGCTATATGTAAAGGTAGCAGCAGTTTATAGCTTTCCTTATTAGACTTCTGTCTATATACTTCAGGCAGGAGTAGAAAAAGCCCATGGCATATTGAGCTAGTATGTGTCCTTACTTGCTAAAAACAAACAAACAAACAAAAAAAAGTAAAAACAAACGCTGTCCATAAGTGCACACTATTCTGTAAAGAAAAATTCCTATTTACAGTTAAAATATTTTAAATTTTAAAACAACATAAAAATGTGAATACATTTTGGTTACTTTTTGGAATATTAAAGCAGAATAGATAAATGTGTCTGTGTCGTTTCCTGGAAAATCATTTGTTAAAAAACTCATTTTGGTAATTATCTAGTAATTCTATAGTTAGCAAAATTTTATTTTATATTTCTATATTCATATTTCTATGAAAATTGTTCTTAATTTAACATGCCAATAATTCTTTTCATTCACATGTTAATTTCCACACCTGTTTCTATGAAATGTTTGTTTTTAATTTTTCTGATTAAAAAATGTTATCTAGTTTAGCTTTGTAACTTAGAGTGAGAAAAGGCTATGGTTTGTTCTCTGAAATGCTTAACTTACTTTCAAACTGATTAAATCAGCCAAAGAATTTGAAGGGTTTAGCTATTAGATGTCAAATAATTGCTTGATTAACCTATACTTCAGTTTTTCAACTGTTCTTTTGACATATTAACCTGCTTCAGTGCAGGGAACAAATTTTTGAGGCTGGGGACATAGTAGGTGTTTGGCGTCTTTCTCAATTGATTTAGAAACAAACTTAGTGTAACTAAGTAGGCGTAACATACTCTTTAGTTACCCCTAGAAAGGTATATTTAGACTTGTTTAGTAAGCAGAGGTGGTAATATTCAACCAAGTAAGCAAATATAAGTATGAAATAGTTTTCCTTTAAACCCACTTGGCAGTGGAAAAAGCCAAATGGAAAACTAGCTGACCACTCTGATCCTGTTTGTCTTACACAGTAGTTAAGCTAAATGCCACTCAGACAATGATTTATTTATTAAAGCAAAGAAAATATTTTTCTTTCCTAAAATCGTAATGTAAAATAATAAATATAAGAGTACATTTTGACTCTGTGATAGAATCCGTGTTCCTCGCCATAATATGTTAGGTTGCATAACATTTTTTTTAAAGGGACAAAAGCTGGAGAATTCATACGTTGTGTTAGCAAGAAAAAATAGATAATGGAAGCAGGACTTTCCTGCCCCTTCCCTAAAGCTTCAAGTAATTTGAAGCGTGAAAAAGAAAATGAAACTTAAAAAATCAGTGAGAACAATGTGCTTCCCTAGAGGCTCTTTTCATTATGATAGCACTTATTTCCAAGAATGCTTCTGAATATGTATCCCAGGCAATTAATGCAACATACATTTGTCTTTAATACTTTTCCAGTTTGAAGATATTTGTCCTCAGTGGCAGAATATAAAAAGGAGTTGAATAGGTTTCTTTCTGTTCCATTATCTTTTCTTTTTACACTGGTTGCCCTAGCAGGGGCTATCTTTTCCTTGTTTTTCCTCACCTTTTAAATCCAGTTTTTGTTATCTTTAGCATTTTATTCAACTTCGTTTTATATTTTGCTTTAACATTCTGGTTCTATAATGCTACTTTATCTTGTATATCACTCCGTACTTATTGGGGTTTTTCCATGTCTGCCAGTCACATCTCTTGAGGAATGATTCTCACTTGAGAGGTAGTGAGATTTTTCTTCCAGCTCAAAACCAGGAGAAAGGAAGACCTGCCTGATTCCGTCTTTGGACTCAAGGAGCCCATGAGATAAAGGCTGTCTCATAAGGTAGCATCAGGCTTTTGTTTTGACACAAGTTTACCATGCGTTTTCTATAGTCTCCTTTCATTACCTACTAAAACTTATCCGAATACTTACAGAGAATGGTTTTGTGCAAACTGCCTTGCTCTTGGCTGCTTAGTGGAGCCTTATTTCCTGTAGTCTGTAGCAGCTACTGCAATGGGTAGAACTTAGAATTCCACCTTAAAATTGGGATTCTTACAAAGTCCACCAAACCCATGAGGAGTCTATATTTGAGTTTTGAGGATATTCAAAAGCCCTGAAATGTTATGTAATTTCACGTGTACAGTTTTCTGGAGAGTGAGTCTGTAGCATACAGAGGTGTTTGTGTCATGCCTCACCACAGTTTAAGAGCTGTTTATATGCATTGTACAGAGCCCAAGGGTATTCTGGAAACAACAAAGATATGAAAACCTTGGTTATAGAGAATTAGAGAATTACTGTTCCATGAGTGTGGAATACATTATATTAGACTAGATGAGCTGGTGTAAAGGAGTCATTGTAACAAAATCAACAAAGGTTTCTTATGCCTGTGGAATAGCTTCCATGGAGCTTTTTCCCAAGTGATCCCTCCAGAGTTGTTTTTGTAGAATCATCTGGGCAGCTGTGCGTTGTATTCATGCTGAGGTGATAGATGAATACTTTTCAGAATGGACATGTTATGATACATTTCAGGATCCTTTTACCTTGAAAACTATGTTGCTGCCATGTTGGAAAAATAACACCTAGCAAAAATGATTAATGTGGAAGGGTACGTCTTTAATCTGTGATGAAGAGAAATTAATTTCATCTTCCCTCACCTCAAATCCCTGTTCTATGTAATGGACATTAGCAGATCTATATTGTACTCATGGCACCTAAATAAATTCATACCATTAAAGGGAGTTTTAGATTTATTACCTATTAGATATATTATTTATTCAGGTTAAATGAGAATTTGGCTTTGCAATGTGTATTCGTTATTTGGGTAATGAAGTAACAAACATTTTAATGTTACTTTTCAAAATGTAAAATGTAAATGATTTATATTTGAATTATTATAGACTTCATATGCTTAGTGTACAACAGAAGTTTGTAATGTTTTATTTTTAAGGAAAGTTACACTTTGGGAAGGGTGATCCATGGAGGCAGAATGTACCAAACTGCCTAGAGGAAATGTGTTTCTTTTTCCTAGAGGAAAAGCATAACGATTGGAGTAGCCACCAATAGTTAGGCTTTTTATCCATGTTATCAGGGCATTAAATTTTTTGGCATATAAAATAACCCTTTATCCTCAGAAGTTGCTGCTTCTGGGTTTTTGCCTGACTAGAGAGTTACAGAAAGATAATTGAAAATAAAATGTATGCAGTTTGAAAAATATTCAAACTAAATTCAAATTGGTTTTTAGAAGTTACATTTGTAAAAAATCACACTTGATTGCCATTTAAAAACCATCAAACTTCAGATGTGGGTTTAATGACAATACTATAGAACAACATATCTTAGAAAAAGAAACTACATGACAAATAGATTGCAGTGAGCATATTTAACATCCTTTTAGGCAGCCTGTCACAGTGCTGGTTAGTGACCAAGTCAGACAGGCACTTAAGCAGGTCATTTCCAGCATTCACTAGCAGGTGCAGGTTTTATATGATGTTTGTTTTCCAACTTTTGATTTTAAAACTTTGAAATCTTAATTTGCAGAGAACATTCTTGCCTGATAAAACAGACATTCTTTTTGTGTTGCTTTGAAATGTTCACTTTTATAAACCTATGCTGTCCGGAGTTTCTATTTCCAAACTTTGTACCATTAGATAGGCTGTGGTCCTGAGTGGGCCAGTTGTTTGAGTATTGCTTGCAGATTTGATTCCTCAATGGAAATGTTCCCGTAAAGCTTATTCAGATAATTATTATTTATTCTTTAAGCATGAAAAGCAGGTCAAATAGCTATGGTGTAATTTTCAGAATTATTTATACTTTTTGTGTAACACAAGAGAGATTATACATCCCTAGTAGAAATCTCAGGAAAAGAACCCTTTCCATTTGGTAGCGATACTTAGTTTTGAGATGTGATTTGCATCTTTGCTGTAATTTGAAAGACAAATGGCTTAAGGTGCATGTTTTTAAATGAAGTTTGAGATTTTTAAAAAATATGCCTTTTAAAAAAATATTTCTTCTTGTATTGAGGCCTCTCTTACATTAAATCTTTGAGAGCCATTGTTTCCTTAAGTAAATAAGGTACTTCTTTAATCCTCTCTGAGAGTGGGGAAAATGCCCACAGGGTATAGAGAAAGGAAGGACTGGTACTCTCAGATACTTTGTAATATTTTAGTTCTTTGATTTCAAAAAATCACTCTCCTCTTTCTTAACAACTGCTTTCTTTCATCTAAATTAGACATTAGATGTTAAAATCTTCATGGATTTTAATTATATCAAATCATGCTATTTCTGGATAATTAATGATGGACAATTAATACTAATGTATTAATTGAAGTATTCTATGGAGTACCTTTTTACATGTTGGGTAACTCTACCCTCAACTGATAAAGGAATAAATAATTTTAAATTTCATAAGTCATAGGATCTTTTCATTTTATGCATAAT
This sequence comes from Homo sapiens, assembly GCF_000001405.40. Classification (NCBI taxonomy): domain Eukaryota; kingdom Metazoa; phylum Chordata; class Mammalia; order Primates; family Hominidae; genus Homo; species Homo sapiens. Next base: position 152,385,648 of record NC_000003.12, read on the forward strand.
AAATCAAGACACATGCTAATAGACTGATACTTTCAAAAATCAAATTTTAAATGTGCCACTTGCCTTTTAGAGTGATACTGAAGTGGTGCAATCTGGAAAATACATGATAGAATTTCTACCAAACATTAATATTTATCTTCTGGATCACCACCTGAAGACTAATAGCACTATGTCTAGAATTCTTGTCATGGGCCGTGTTAGTAAAACAGTAATAAAAGTGATAGAGTAGTTCACTATTTTATGTCCTGTGGCTGGTTATGGTCATCTGGCTGAAGTCTATCCCATATTAATCCCTTGAGTCAACAGTCAGGAACATTCAGTGATGTACTTGAAATACTTTTAACATGTGGTATTTAGAATGTTTAGAATGTCAAAGGATCCTTTGTAATGATCTTCCCCTTGGGTAGTTCAAAAGATATTTTTAAAGTTATTTTTCAAAGAGCACAGTATTTGAAGATTTTAATAAGATATAAATCTAGAGTACTTTGGGGAAAAAAAGCTCAATTCTAGAAAAGGAAAAATCATACCATACAGTGAAGTGATATATTAGTCAAATAATCTATGAAAAAATTCAAGAAAATAGAGCATGTGTTCATTTTTGGTTGAAAAAAAGGAACTTTTTTTATGAACAAGAGAATGCATTTGATGCTCTCTTGGGAAACTGTTACACCCTTCTCTAATTGTGTTTTTCACATTTTATGTTCAAGTGTAGATGACTGAAGAGATAACATAACCTGTTCATATTTTTCATAGAACATATTAAAGCCTGTTTCTATGGCAACAACTTTTAATTGGCAAATCCCATTCTGTCAGCACTCTCAAGTGGATTTTTCTTGGGTACATTGAATTGTTAGAAATGCTTCACAAAGTAAAAGTTAGATTTGGCATTACTGTTTGGCATGAAAGATGTTCATGGTCAAGGATTTATTTTATTAAATAATTTATAGTATGTGTAGTAAGTTGCTGTACAGATGATACATCTATCTCAACATCCCGTTGGTGTGTCAAGATACCTGCTGAGAATTGATACAGACACTTAGGGCTTGCACACTGAAAATAGCAACTTGGGTTATTTCACACAAGTAAAGTAGGCAAATGCCTTACCTGGCAGGAAAAAAAAAGTTTGAAAAAAACACTAAAATCCTTTTAGGCAACATTTTAGACTTTTTAAAGCAGCATATTTATAGTTTTTATTTCCTTATGGCTCTGACTTTAATAGTATAGGTTGATTTGTTAGAAACATAGTTTGCAGCTTTCTTACTCATAAATTTTATTTCTTGAATCAATGTGGTGCAGAATGTTGAAGCAGGTATTTGGTAAGTTGGATCTGGCTACTGCAGTGTTGTAAAAATAGATTAAGTAAACAGACACAACAGGCCAATGCAGCTTGAGTTTTGAACCCTTCTGAGACCCCGTATAGCTTTAATAGTCTTTAGTTCTAAGAAGGAAAACTATGAATCTCTCAGGTAATTTTAATATTATATAATGAAGGAAGATCTATCTTACAGCCAATAATCAGGTGTTGTATCTTTTGTAATTATTTCAGAGCGCTTTATCTGAAAGCTTCAATTTTTAAGCTATTCCAGTCTGTGTATTTTTTTTTTTTTTTTTGGTCTTTGCTATTTTTATATCACTGCGGTAGCATAACCCTGCACCAAGTACAAGACAGTATTGCAGTTTGTGTTGAATGTAAAACTGTTATTAAATGAAAGCTAATAAAGCAAATTCTTGGAAAGAAGGAAATTGTCTACATTCAAGACTTAAAATATTAAAATCAAATTTGTCTTCTAAAAATTAAAATATGAAAGGACTAAATGAAACTGTATATTTCCCCCTCTTCAAAAGTCATGACTTCATGTAGTCAAGGACCAAAATCTGATTAGTCACTCGTATTAATTATTTTTCACTGTTGCATAAATTCTGTAAAAGTGTTCCTTTCTCATATATCATCTTTGTCTCTTAAAACTGTCCTTACTGTGTTTTTGGATTTTTGTCCTTTTCATCAGAAGTCACAGAAAGCTTTTATGGCTGAATAGTTCAACCTCACCTAGGTAAAGTGCCATTGTATCTTTCTAATCCATATGTTTCCTGAGCAGTTATGACTCTTGTAATTTTATAATTATATTTAAAAGAAATAAATTGTGTGTATATATATTTATAAATATAAGTATGTGTACACACATGCATATATGCTCTGTGGGTATATTTGTATGAATTTATTGCTAGTAGTCTAAGAAAAGGATGAGATGGTATTATTAATAACTTAGATGAAGAGTGGTAAGCCAGTTTACCAAGGCTTTTCCATAAATTAGTGAGAAAGGTAAAAGTAAAAATAAAGATTAGATGGCCTACAGCTCCCTGTAAAATAATCCGTTCTCAGAACCACAGGCCTTTTGCATTGTTTTATGGGCCAACAGGCTTTCACTAGACCCTTGACATTCTTGTAGTTTAGATTTCTGGTTTTTAACATTCAGGAACTGTCCCAAAGATTCATTACATGTAATCGATTGTTTTTGGTCCTTGGGAGGAAATTTTCATCAGGTGCTCTGAGTTGACTTGAGGACTCAGCTGGAGAAGGCATCTAGTTGGCTACCCTCTTCAAGATATCTTTGTTGACTGTTCATATAAGCCATAACTATGGTGAGGAGGATGGAGTATTTGTCCATTTGGGAATTTACAAAGGTCCGTGGAACACATAACATTAAAATATCAGGTTCTTTTCATACCAGTGCTTTACAAACAGGACTTGAGAAATGAGAATAGTATAATAAATGTCAGTAGTTATGGATTTTAGCTTTTCAGCTTTTATTAACCCTACCAGTCCCAGTCCCATAGTTGAGTGAAACAATAAATGTCTGTCTTCTCTTTGCTCTCAATTTCTATGCCAAGTGCAGTTCCCTTGATTGTGAGTGCTTCAGACTCCCAGCTCTTACCTTTACCTACCTAGGTCCAATCTAAAGTTTCCGACTTTGAGGAGGTATGACTAGGTACTGTATGGGAAAAGGATAGGATAGAAAGGGGCATAGAATTCCTAGGAAATGACCACTGATTCTGGTTCAGAGGCCTAGCAGTTGAAAGCTAGAGCTGGAAATCTGGAAGCTTTATTAATGGTATTTAGTAGGTATCTGGCAGCACATCTGGTAGCCTGCATGTGCATTATTTACACAGGTATTCAGGTAGATGAAGTGACTAAATGAAGAAATATCTTTATCACACACAATGAATCATGTTCTAACGTAAGGGCAAAGAAGGAAGGTGAAGTGGTGGAGGAATAGTTTCTGAGTTACTGGAAAATATGAATGTAGACATTATTAATAAAGATTAATAATAAACCTTTTCTGGTTTAGAGCCTAATTCACATGCTTTTAAACAGTTGACATGAAATATTTCATAGATTTAAATGGGGATCAGTCTTTATACATACCCTTTTTATACAGTCATGCATCTCTTTTTTTTTTGAGATGGAGTTTCACTCTTGTTGCCTAGGCTGGAGTGCAGTGGCGTGATCTCGGCTCACCACAACCTCCGCCTCCCAGGTTCAATCGATTCTCCGGCCTCAGCCTCCAGAGTAGCTGGGACTACAGGCATGCATCACCATGCCCGGCTAATTTTTGTATTTTTAGTAGAGATGGGGTTTCTCCATGTTGGTCAGGCTGGTCTTGAACCCCTGACCTCAGGTGATCCACCCACCTCAGCCTCCCAAAGTACTAGGAGTAGCACAGGTAGCACAGGCATGAGCCACAGTGCCTGGCCCCGTATCTCTTAACGATTGGGATATGTTCTGAGGAATGCATTGTTAGGTGATTTTGTCATTATGTAAACATCATAGAGTATACGTGCACACACCTGGACGATATGGCCTCCTACATATCCAGGCTATGTGGTTATAGCCTATTGCTTCTAGGCTGGAAACCTGTACTGCGTGTAACTGTACTGAATACCAAGGGCAATTGTATCTCAGTGGTATTTGTGTATCTAGACATAGAAAAGGCACAGTAAACATATGGTATGAGAGATTACAAATTTTTACACCTGTATAGTATATTTATGATGACTGGAACTTGCAGGACTGGAAGTTGTTCTGGATGAGTGAGTGAGTAGTGAGTGAATGTGAAGGCCTCAGAGATTACTATACATGACTGTTGGCTTTACAAACACTGTGCTCTTAGGCTATACTAAATGTATATGTTTTGTTCTTCAACAAATTAACCTTAATGTAATTTATTTATTTATTTATTTATTTTTTGAGATGGAGTCTCGCTCTGTTGCCCAGGCTGGACTGCAGTAGCACGATCTCAGCTCACTGCAACATATGCCTCCCGGGTTCAAGAAATTCTCCTGCCTCAGCCTCCCAAGTAGCTGGGACTACAGGCTGCCATGCCTGGCTAATTTTTGTATTTTTAGTAGAGACGGGGTTTCACCATATTGGCCAGGCTGGTCTCGAACTCCTGACCTTGTGATCCACCTGCTTCGGCCTCCCAAAGAACTTTTTTAAATTTATAATTAAAAAAAAAAAAACTTACTGACTCTTTTGTAATAACACTTAGCTTAAAATGCAAACAGATTGTACATCTGTACAAAAACTTTTTTATATCTTTAAGGCTTTTCTCTATTTTTTTTTTTATTTTGTAAACCTTTAAAAACTAAGACACAAACGTATATGTTATTTTAGGCCTACACAGGGTTGGGACCATTAATATCAATGTCTTCTTCACTCCACATCTTGTCCCACTAGAAGGTCTTCAAGAATGATACCATGCATGGAGCTGTCATCTCCTATGATAACAATGCCTTCTTCTGGAATACCTCCTGAAGGGCCTGCTGGAGGCTGTTTTACAGTTAACTTTTTTTTTTTAATTATTAGAAAGAGTACATGCTAATGATAAGTAGTATAGTAAATAAGTAAACCAGTAGCACAATCATTTATTATCATGTATTTTGTACTGTACATAATTGTATTGTTATGCACACACACACACACACACACACACACACACACTCTGATATAAGTGGGTTGTAGTCCTCTGGTGACTTAGGCCGAGATAGTTTTTGAAAATGAAATGCCATACCTTCTTTATTGTAGTGGCAAATCAAAGCTAAGTAGCAGTAAAACTGTTAATGGACTAGGATACTTGATGCAGGGAGAGGGTCACAGGGCACAGGCAAGAATGCCCTTGCCCTAAAGACTGCAGAGTAGCAGAGCAGGAGCAGCACTTTGTGGAAAGACCCAGCTTAACCAGAACAATGCCCAAAAACCTTTGAAGTGCAGTGATGTGAGAGCGAGACTAGAAAACTTTCATTTAACAAATCTAGATAAACTTAAAATAAGAACAACAGCTATACTCTACCTGTGTTCTCTAGGTGCTAGGTATTGACTTCACACAAATGTTCATTTAAATCCTCTTATATAACCTTATCAGGGAGATAGTATAGTTATTCCCATTTTATTGGTGAAGAAACAGAGGTTTAGAGGATTAAGTGCTATGTACAAGGCCGCAGGGCTGGTAAATGGCAAAATTGGGATTTGAACCTGAATACATCTTTCTGCTTTTTGAGTTCCTACTATTAAGCACTCTCTCCTTTTTCAGTTTTAAAGGAATGTTGCAGCATAATATTACACATTAAGTTGCCCTTTCTTAGATAAATTAAAACCTTACCTAAAATGAATAATGATTCTAAGTTTGAACCATGAAATCTTCATAGCAAGGACGGATGTTATGTAACTGCTTAAACTTCTGTTCACAGATTTTTGACACTACCTTTCAAATTTATGACCTTCTTTCTATGTTTTCGTTTTTTCTTCCAGTTCTTCATACCTATAAACCTTCCTCCTTTTGACCTTGTTATTTGCATTTGAAAACTTGGTCCATAAAGCTTTCCTGAAAATCACATGGGAAGCAGTATTTCATACAGCTCCAGAAAACTTTTGGAAGGAAGGCTGACAGTGTTGGGGGCTTAATTCTACATGCTTCTTTATTCTCTGCATTTAGCTCCTGCCTGACATGTGCAGCATATTGCTAAACACATGTGAGACATTATTGTAGTGATATTTCCTATAGAAAACACCTTGGTATAATTCAAGATGAAAAATAGAATATACATGAGAGGTGAAAAGGCAACTTTGATTAGTAAAGTGCTGACATCCCAGTTGGAAGCACTGAGAAGTACATTCAATTGCCTCTGGCTTGCTGAATCTGTCTATCCCATACCCACCCCCATCTCACAGGGCTAACAGGGAAGCACATTTTGAAAATTCTGATGAATGCATTCCAATTCTCTTTTGGTGGGAAAGGCTGAGTTTGCAGGGAATTGGTAGTAAAGTATTGGCACTTTCTTTGTTTCTATAATATCAATAAATTGCAAACTGTCGTTTCTTTTACTGAACATGTGTTTCAAATACAGAGCTCATCATTAAGTCCTGTCATTTTGTGCAAAAAAAAAAAGTATGATTACATTATAGAGAAGCAGTTGACATTTATAAATAGTAAGTAGTGGCATAAAGACTTTTCTCTTTACGTAGTGCAACATGAACAGAAATCTCCGCAAGAAGTACCTGAAGATGGGTCTTAATATTTTTTTAAATATAATCCCCTGCTTAGGTAACATTACACATAGGTTAATGTGTATTTCACTTATTTCTTTGTAATACTTTTATTATCAATTTCAGAGCTCATTTCTGAGACAAAAATTCAGAACTAAAATTGATATTAAAACCATTGGAGTGGTGTTAATGGGAGACAGAGTTAAACAAATTGAGCCTTTTGTACATATTTACATTTCATGTGCTTTTTAAAAACTCAAAAAATGAATGGAATGCTTTTGAAAATCAGCATACTTATTCTACTTCTTCCTCTTTGAATAAACTGCTATCCCAGAATTTCTACTTTTTAAAAGCAGCAACAAGAAGTAAAACAAAACATTCAAAGCCTTGATGTTGAGATTTTGAATAATACATGTCTGTTTTAACATTTATCCTTAACCCCTTTCTATTTTTATCCTCTTTGGCAAAATTATGTAATAGCCTTAACTGGGTGAGCCATAGTCTCCAGATGGGTAAGATATACACAGAGAAGGAAGATATATTACAAAAGCACCTTTTAGAATATTCCATGTTCTGGCAATACAAACACGTTCTTCTGAAAGGTAGCTACTCCCAGTTTTTTGCAGTAATGTCAGGGAAACTTTATATGAGATGTAAAAATATTCCTGAGAAGTATTCTGAGTAGAAAATCCCAAAGGCCTTCTTTTTTTGTTGTTTTTAACAGGAAAACATGCTTGTACAGATGGCTAGTTGAATTTTCTAGCTTTTAAAATGGTGTACAATTTGTTGCGTTGGATCCTAAGTTTCTAGAGTGCTGCTATCTTATTGCTTCAAGGTACCTCCTAAAAGAAGCCCAGAATCTCTTGCCAAGATGCCTCCCATAGGAAGGTACCAGAACTCCTTTACATAAACATCTCTGTTCTCTCACCCAGCCCTCCCTGGCCTGTCTCCTTGACTTCTGTCATTCCTCCCTGAAATCCCTTTTCCATGAATACCTGCTTTCTAGATAGTCCTGAACTGCTGGAAAATAGATATTGTATTCCCAATAGACTGGGAGTAGAAAGGGCCCCTGGCCATTGATGGCTTTTAAATCTGGAATGTAGGTTAGAGCTACAAATTAGCTTGCAGCTACAGTCTATCTTAGAGAATTTCTTGATATCCAAGACTAATCCTAGGTATCAGATAACTTTTAATGGGCATGATAATTTTAGGCCTTTTACTTTCTGAGCATTGAATCTACCCAAGAATAGCAGCAAAGAGCTAAAAGTCTCTGGAACTGTACTGAAACACTGGGTGAGAAAGCCATTGACTTACCTTCTTAAGGAAATGAATGTTACGGTGAAATATGATTCAGGTCTGAGGGAATATCGTTTGACTATTAGTATCCCAGCTTTATTTGTACCTCTTCTTGAGAGTGTTTCTCATGAAGTTACCTTCCATTAATGTCTTCTATAGCTAGCTTTCTTTACCAGTTGGAATTGCATTTTGTATTTCTTTTTCTATCCTGCATCACCCAGCATAATGATAAGCAAGTAGATACCTTATATATTTATTAATGGATAAATATGAGTATTAACAACACATTGTGGATATATGTTCCCCTTTCCTGTGCGTGAGCTATAGTTGGCACAGTGAATTTCAGCATTATGTAGTTCACTAGTTCTTTGTAGAAATTGTTTTCTCAAAGGTAATTTCTTTATCGCCTTTAGTAGGAGATATGAAATTATTTTAAATAATTTTTTCTGAGAACTATACTGAAAAAATAGTGCCTAATTTATTAAGCTATTCCAGTGGTTATTGAGAGTAACCAATTTAGTTATAAATCTATTTTTATCACTGACATTCAGTTCATCCTACATGGTTTTCCAAAACGAACCTACCATTTTAAAAACCAAGATTGTTGGGTAGATTTTCTTCACAATTTCATCCAAAGTGAGAATCTCTGAGACAGCAGTAATATTTTGAGGGCAAAACCAAATTTTTCCAAAGGGTAACAGATAACATTGTTTATAATTTGCAAAATAGTCATAGTCAATTAGTGTGAAATACATATTTTAACTAAATGTGTACTGTGATTAAAGCTATAAGAAGTCTGTCTGACTATTTATATACAGTGAGAAGAGTCTTTCACAGACTGTTTGCTTAATTGCTGCATTTTTAAACACCACTAGCTATTTGAATTTCAGTTTGACACTGTTTTAGTTCTGAATATAGCCTGCCAAATTTGTTTATACGGTACATATGCCTCATGCAGATGTCTCTGACACCTTAATTGTTCTGTGACCTTGTACAAATTATTTAATTTCACAGGATGTCTGAATCCTTGTCAGCAAAGTGGGGAGTAACAGTACTGGTGCTATAGAATCCTTGACAGAATTATGTGAGATCTACTCTTTCCTTTATTCAGCACTCTGTGGCACACTCTAAGCTAGGTGAAACAGGGTGCCTGCCCTCATGGATCTTATTCCCTAGTGCAGGAATTAGTTGATAAATAAACACATAAATAAGCAACATAATTACAGGCATGACAAGTACTATACAGAAAATAAACAGGGACAGGTGTCAGATGGAGCCTGACTCTGGGAGACCTTTAGATGGGTGTTATGTCCAGTACTCTTGGAAGAGCATAAACAATAAATAGTAATTTTCTCCCTTCATCATCCATAGTTAATTTTTCTTTTTTTGTCCCGAGAGGGAGTCTCACTCTATTGCCAGAGTGGAGCGCAGTGGAGCGATCTCGGCTCACTGCAATCTCCACCTCCCAGGTTCAAGCGATTCTGCTGCCTCAGCCTCCCGAGTAGCTGGGACCACAAACATGCACCACCACGCCAGGCTAATTTTTGTTTGTATTTTAGTAGAGACGGGTTTCACCATGTTGGCCAGGATGGTCTTGATCCCCTGACCTCGTGATCCACCTGCCTCAGCCTCCCAAAGTGCTGGGATTACAGGTGTGAGCTACCGTGCCCGGCCTTCAGCTTTTATTTAATTATTATATTCACAGTCTATAAAACAAAAATATGGATAAGTAGTTTTTATCCTGTGAGAAATATTTTTAAAGTTTAAGATTTTGTAGCAGACATGTTATTGCTTCAAGGTTAACGGAGTGACTAGTACATTTTCATTATTTTGTGGCATAATATAAATTATTTTAAACTTTTTGTTTAAATAAAATGCAGGCCAACTGTTGCGCTGTTTATCAAATGATAGTCCTAATTAATATTTGTCTGTTTTTTCTTCTCAAGCATTTTGGTGCTATATTTCACAGAAGACATTTGTGTGCTAGCTTATCTTGCCACCCCACTTGAACAATTTAGGCAGCTGTTTTGTCTTGGATTTTTAGGTCCTATATAACCAGACAATCAGTCATTACTCTTGACTTCTCTTAATGAGCGCAGTCTTTCTGTATTCTTAGGTCATCTTCACTAAGGAGTGTCTTCCTGAAATTCAAGTAGGCCTCAGCAAGAGCATTGGATGGATGGATTATCTTTGCTTGTATTTTAGAGTTCTTAACCTGGCATTTGACGTTACTTTCACTTAACTCTTGCATTAACTCTGAACTTAACCTCCCCTGAACAAAGCCTTTACCCCAAACAGATTGCTTTAGCCACTGTCTGTTGCCTAGCGGGAATGTTCACACCTGTGTGGTTTTAGTTACTGCCATTTTACCTATCAGGCCCTCCTGGCTTTTTTAATTCCTGGGAAGTCAGCTGTGTTATAGAGGAGAGGTCCCCAACCCTGGGCTGCACAGCAGGAGGTGAGTGGCTGATGAGTGGATGAAGCTTCATCTCTATTTACAGCTGCTCCGCATTGCTGGCATTACCACCTGAGTTCTGCCTCCTGTCAGATCAGTGACAACGTGTTGGATTCTCATAGGAGTGTGAACCCTATTGTGAACTGTGCATGCAGGGGATCTAGGTTGGAGACGCTTTATGAGAATCTAATGCCTGATGATCAGTCACTGTCTCCTGTCACCCCCAGATAGGACCATCTAGTTGCAGGAAAACAAGCTCAGGGCTCCCACTGATTCTACATTATGGTGAGTGTTATAATTATTTTATTATATATTACAATGTAATAATAATAGAAATAAAGTGCATAATAAATGTAATGTACTTGAATCATCCCCAAACCATCCGCCACTCCACCACCACCAGTCCAGGGAAGAATTGTCTTCCACGAGGCTGATCCCTGGTGCCAAAAAGGTTGGGGACCACTGTTATAGAAGACATAATGCTCAGACTTGATATCAGACCTGATTTGCTACTGTGTGATCTTAGGCAAATCCTTTCACCTCTCTGAGCTTTAATTTCCTCATTGGCATAATGTAGTTAGTACATTTACTCATATCATCATTTCAGGTTAATTGAATCTGCTTTGAAAGTGCTCCACTCCTAGTCTGTCTTTCCTCTGCATTTTTTCCACCCTGGTTTCACAGCGCACTTCATATTAACATTCATCTATTTTCTGTAATATATCCTATATTAAGCTTTATTGCAGCCCTACCTTGACCCTATTCCACCTTTTCTTCTGTTTTTTGTTTGTTTTTGTTTTGATTTTTGGTAGGTTGTCAGATAACAGAGATAAATTAAGATTCTCAAAAAAGTTTGGGGATTACCTGTTTATTGTAATGAACCATCTTTTCAATTGCTCGAACAGTATTTAGTATAAATGAAGTACAAGAAATGGTCTGTATGAATTAACAATTTCTTTTCCATGGTGGACCCATAGAAATACATTAAAGAAAAACTCATGGGGGTATAGCATGTTCCTAAGTGTAACATTGGGAAAACAACAAAAGGAAAAAAGGACAGAAATACACTCATGGTAAGTAGTAAGCTGGCTGGACAATACAAAGAGAAAATATAATAATGCAATCCTGTTGGCACATGTAATAGGATGTGATGTACTGCCAAAATGGATTGTCTAATCTGAAAGTTTCCCCAGCTTAAAAAAATCTTGGAGATAAGAACATTGGCATTCCATTCTAAGACTTGTTAGGTTTCAAATGATTGAGAATATGTTTATTATTATTATTATACTTTAAGTTCTGGGATACATGTGCAGAATGTGCAGGTTTGTTACATAGATGTACACATGCCATGGTGGTTTGCTGCACCCATCAACCCGTCACCTACATTAGGTATTTCTCCTGATGCTGTCCCTCTGCTAGCACCCCTACCCCTGACAGGCCCTGGTGTGTGATTTTCCCCTCCCTTCGTCCATGTGTTCTGATTGTTCAACTCCTACTTACACTTGAGAATGTGCAGTGTTTGGTTTTCTCTTCCTGTGTTAGTTTGCTGAGAATGATGATTTCCAGCTTCATCCATGTCCCTGCAAAGGACATGAACTCATCCTTTTTTATGGCTGCATAGTATTCCATGGTGTATATGTGCCACATTTTCTTTATCTATGTTTTAAGCATAAATAATAAAGCGCTGATAATCTGTAAACTTTACTTGAATCTATTTAAAGTATTTCTTGGTCCTTTCATGGTAATCTTCTTTAATCTTTCCTTAAAATAACCCTATTGACTAACATATTATAAATATTTTCCTACTGTGTGTCATGTGAGCTCCAGTGTTTTTACCAATTCACACATGTAGAGAGGAACCTTCCCCCCACCATAAACCAGTAAACTAGCAAAAATCAGTAGTCTGTAATGTGGAATACTGGTTTTAGAAGAAATTCTATTTTGTTTGTGTAATCAGTTCATTTTATTGTCAGCCAATTTTCTACTCTTTCAGAGATTATTATTATTTAAAACAAATTCACTTGCTACATAGTCTTTTCAAACCACAATTTATTCATTTATATTTTTTCACAATTTATTTTTAAAAAATCAGAACAAACCAAAAACAGTTGCCCAACTACAGTACAAAAGAAATGCATTGTAAATTCAGAGCCACATTTTAAAAATGAAATTTGAAATTATTTTAAATTATAGTTAAGTGCAATGAAACAAGATATGCATAATTTTGGAAACAGGGAAAAATAGTTGCATGTAGAGACTGGGCCCTATTTTGGATAACATAGAACTTAGTCACTCAATTATGATTTTTGAAACAGTTTCAGAACAGTTGATTAAAAATTAGGCCCATCTACTCATTCTTTCTGTTTATGTTAGTGCATGTAATATATTAGTATAGCACAGTTTTTTTTTTAATTAAAAAAGACCTATCATGTTTAATATCAGGAGAGGTTAGGATTCTTTTAGGGTGTGTAGTAAATTATTGTTTTTAAATATTATGGCTGAATATGTCACATTCAAAAAACATACATTAAAATTATCTAATAGAATCAAATGATGCAAAAATATGGAGTGTATGTGTGTTAGTATGCATTAGAAAAGGAGTAAAGTGGGAGATTATGAAAGATGGGTCTGGGATTATTATCTAGAGAATGGTAAAATCTGTTACCTCTTGCCTGGACTGTTAACATAATTACTTAATTGGTCTCCCCTTTCCAGGCTCTTAGCCACTTCAAGCCCTCTTACATTCTTGTCTGAGGAATTCATGAAGTACAGCTTTGCTTATGTCCTTTCCACCCCATTCAGTGGCTCTTTCTGGCTTACAAAAGGAAGTAGACAATCTGTAATACAGTATTTGAAACCTTCCCCAAGCTAGACTTTTCTAGGTGCTCTTTCAAACTTGTTTCCTGCTGCTCTTATTACAGATGTATTACTTGTCACTGATGCCCCAATGTATGATATTTCCTCTACCTAGATATCTTTTCCAACTCTTCATGTATAAATTTAGCTTCTTTTTTGAAGCTATTACCTGATACTTCTAAATGGAAATAGTCCCCTTGTCTTTAAAATTACCAGAACTCTTTATCTGAATGTCTTTTGTGACACTCTTTGCCCTATAACCTTATATTCTATTAATAGCTATTTATATGCGTGCCTTGTTTCCTTTCTTAGGATAGGTTTCTAGTTCATTTTGTGTTTCCACTGTCCCATAGCACAGAGCACATGAGAGGTCTCACCATACAGTAGGTGAATAAATATACAAATGAGCTATTCTGAAATTTGGTATAAAATATATTCAAGGTGAGACCACTTCTGCCTGCCTTGCCTTGCCTTCTTCTTCCTTCATCATTCTTCTTCCTTCCCTCCCCCTGCTCCTATTTCTTTTGTCTCATCCATTATTACCTTTTTTCTCCTAGCTTAGAAAACAATGAATTAATTGTTCTGCTTTCTCTTTTGCATCTATGTCTACACATACTGTATTTCTGACCTAGATATCTAGCTCTTCTACAACAATTTCAGAAAGTAGGTATACTCTGTTATTATTCTAAGAAAAACAAAAGGGACTTCTTATTTAATTAATTATTTTTTTTTTTTGAGACAGGCTTTTGCTCTGTCACCCAGGCTGGAGTATAGTAGTGCAATCATGACTCACTGCAGCCTCAACTTCTTGGGCTTAAGCAATTCTCCCAAGTAGCTGGGACCAAAGATGTATGCCACCACACCTGTCTATTTTTTTTCTATATTTTTGTAGACACAGGGTCTCACTATGTAGCCTAGGCTAGTCTCAAGCTTCTGAGCTGAAGTGACCCTCCTATCTCAGCCTCCCAAAGTACTGGGATTACAGGCATGAGCCACTGCACCCACCCATTCTTATTTAATTTTTGATGACTTCTAATGGGAGAAGCACATTATCTATTTTCATTTTCCATCTCTATTATAGTAAAATCATTTGTTGTATCTGAAAACAAGCAGGAATGACAAAGTTTTCCTTCAGTCCCTGGATTATTTAGGTCACTTTCATTCTGGCTACCAAATGGTAGAATGCATGCTAACCCTGACATTACTAGTACTTCCTAACTTCATAGCTTAACATTGTCGGGACCTTACATGAGATATTTAACCTCTGGGAACTGCAGTTTCCTGATTTGTACTATGAGGCTAATAAGAATACCTCATGGGATTGCCATGAGGATAAAAGCTACATATTATTGTGAGAGTTAATGGTAGACGTTGTAATTACCTTTGAACAGGCCACTGAGGAGAGGATTCTACTGATAGTACTAATTGTCTTCCTAAACAAACAGCAGCAGTCCTGTTGAGACATCTTCTCTCCTTACTTGAAAATTTATAATATGCCACTTTAGTTTTATAAACATTTGCTATAGCTATGAAATTTTTAACTTGAGCTTAAGCAACTTAAAATTGAGTTATAAAAGCAATATTGTCAGGTTAACATAGGAACTGCCTAAGACCTCTAGCCCTTGATGGGTGATAAGAAAACTAAATTGTATAGAATCTATTATTACTTATCTAATTTGCTATAAATAACACTGATAATACACTCTTTCTTAAGTGTACTATGTATGTTGAGTATATTTTTAAAAGAATAAGGGCTCTCATGGGTACATTGATGTTGTGGATCTGTTATCCCCGCTTTTTCCTTGAAATATTTTCTTTTTGTGAACAAGTTGTTTAGAAATAACCCTGTGATTATGCAGGTGTTGCTGGTCTTGAGACCCTGTCCAGGATTATATGCCCAAGGGAACAAAGGACAGTAGCTTTTTATGCCATCCATTGCACTTGAGTGCCCTTTTCCCCAGTGTATATGAAATGAACTATTTGGAAAATGGATAATTTAAAAATAGAAGTATCAGTTAACTAACAGTCAGATAACATTAGCAGTTATCTTGAAGTCACTGGCAAAAACAGAGTTTAAAAAAACTCTGGAAAAGGTTGTGGTTGATTGGTAAATGAGAATGTGTATTAGTATATGTAAACCAACCTGTGGTCTTCAGAGTAGCCATCATTAGAATCATCTGGGGAGCCTTTAAAATACACTTATGCCTGGGACCCAGCCAAAACTATCTAAATAAGAATTTCTGGGAGTGGAGGCTGGATGTAGGAATTTTTTATTTATAATATACAGTCATGGTCAAGGACCAGTGACTAAGCTTTACAGTATTGTCAAGTGATGTGATAGCTGGACACCCAGAAATGCCCTTCTGTCTCTTATTCATTCTACAAACATTTATTTGAAATGCTTAGGTTGCCAAAATATATAATTCCTAATCAAGAACAGTAGACAGACTTGTAGAAATTATCTATAATATAGCTTGGGAGGTGCTGAATTCACTACTGTGAGTTTATTCTACTTGGCAAGAAAAGAAGGGAGGGAAAGTGAAAGAAAACTTCTTTAGTAAGTGACATTTGAAAAGGGTCACTTCTCATAATCAAATTTAACCTATTAAAATGATTTACTTTTAATATCAACTCCTTTTAAAAACAGATGCCCAGTTTCTTAATGGTAAGTGAAATGAACATGAGTTGATTCTTACTTTGGCCTGAGGAAAGCTTTGTCACAGCTACTCTAGGAGCTACTGTTTCTTGAACACAATTTCCCAAGTGAAGGTACGGCTTGGGCAGGGAGTTTTGAGTACCTGCATAAGGTCATGTAGCTAGCGGGTGAGAGAGCTGCAATGAACACAGGTCTCATTGGTTCCTGGATATGTGTTCTTTCATTGCACTAAACTATACTATAGTCCAGTGAAAGAGGCTTCGTTTGGGTTAATTCATTAAAGGAGATTTGCGGCTGGACGTGGTGGCTCACGCCTGTAATCCCAGCACTTTGGGAGGCTGAGGTGGGCAGATCACGAGGTCAAGAGATCGAGACCATCCTGGCTAACACATCCTGGTGAAACCCCGTCTCTACTAAAAATACAAAAAAAATCAGCCGTGTGTTGTGGCAGGCACCTGTAGTCCCACCTACTCGGGAGGCTGAGGCAGGAGAATGGCGTGAACCTGGGAGGCAGAGCTTGCAGTGAGCCGAGATCGCGCCACTGCACTCCAGCCTGGGTGACAGAGCAAGACTCTGTCTCAAAAAAAAAAAAAAAAAGATTTACTAGAGGCTTTGTTGGGTTAGTTCATTAAAGGAGGTTTTAACTTGATGGTGAGCTGGCAAACTCTGACAAAGGAAATGTTGAAGGAACAGGAGAAAAGGATGCTTTCAAGCATCTCTGGAGAAATTGACCTGAGTGATGGGAACCAGGGGTTGCAAGGTAAAGAACGTGCTAGGAGAGTGAGAGCAGCCTGGTCATTTTCCTTTTCTGAGTACCAGACCATAATTGAGGCCCCTGTATATATTCCCCCATTTAATATTCACGTTATCCCTAGCCTGGTATTCTTATCCTCATTTTCATAGAAGAGGAGGTTACAATTCAATGAGGTTTAATAATTAACCCAAAGTCTCACTGTTCATAAATATCAAAGTTGGGATTTGAACAAGCAACTTTCTGATTTCACTTCATGTGATTTTTAACCATTGAGCTGGGACTGTATTGCTCTTTCCATGTCAACTCCTGGGACTGTTTCTCTGTGCTTGTCTCTAAGGCTTGTGTATATGAGAAGCTTACAAGCTTAGGATACAGATACCTCTAACAGGTGACCATATTGTTTACTTAGGTGGGAGCAGAGCCACAAATTTGTACTTGGATAACAGTAGTAAGCAGTTAACTGAGAAAAGGAGGAAATGGTAGAAGACTAGAGGAGAGAAAAATATATTTGAATGAAGAAAAAAATGGGGCTATAGTATGTCAGTTTATGGACCCTGAAAGAGATGCAAAAGGAATGTTTGAGAGCTGTTTTATTGGACAGAATATCCTATATTCTGAAATATAGTCAGGACTCATTCACTTGGTAAACACTTATGGGGTTTTCTTGGCCTGATATAGACTGTGGGCATGAGCCTCCTTCTGGAGGCTGTCACCAGGGAAGGAAGATGTGTAAACAGTGCCCAGTATTAGGAGAGGAACATGTACAAAATACAAAGGAAGATACAACAACTATTTCTAATAAAAGCCACCTGTTTTCAGCACAGGTAGAGAGTGTAGAAATCACAGATATATTCCTTTACTCACTTAATGCACCCGAGCAGAGTGTTTAGCAGATCCAGGCTTTCAGCCTAAATGTTGTTGGTGTGATAGCAAGAAAAAAAAAAAAATCGTGTGACAACCTTCTGTGCTTTCCCCTCTCACGTTCACATTCTGGTTTGTTAAAAAAAAAACTGTGTTGCCATGGCTGACGCTCCTGTGAGGCCCAACATCTCCATACTTTTCATCTTAACTAAGCACTTAAGAATATGCACTACAGCTTCTGATTGCCATTTAGAACAGAGCACCTTGTGATGACTAAGCTCTTTCAAGTATCTATGCTTAACGTGATGGCTTCAATACCCTTTTGCTATATAGACTCATCTGTAGATACTTGGTACAAGTTCCATAGTTTATAGTTGTCATCTATTTTTATTTGTATGTTTATTGTTAATATGGATCTTTTTCTGAAAAACTATTCAAGGATACTAGACACATACTGTATATGAAATGATTCTAAAAATTCTGAGACTTTTCTATTTTATTCTCA
The DNA here is from genome assembly GCF_000001405.40 of Homo sapiens. NCBI lineage: Eukaryota > Metazoa > Chordata > Mammalia > Primates > Hominidae > Homo > Homo sapiens. Next base: position 152,403,572 of record NC_000003.12, read on the forward strand.
GTGGTAATTTTTAGGTAGTTTGTTGAGTGTTACTTTAGCTATTTGGGGAACTGCCCTAGAAAACCAGTGGAATTCTCTAGGTATGGGGGTGGAGTGCAGAGGAGGAGACAGGCTCAGATAACCTGTGTTGTGATACTGCTTTTTTTTGCCTCAAGAGATTTTCTTTACCCTTACTGCTTATGCTGTTGCAGTCCATCCAATAGAAACATGTTCTGGGCTCATGAGCCAATTTGTCTTTCCCCTCGCTGCTGCCTCAAGTCTGGGAGAGCTGATGGCAGTGCACAATTTTAGCAAATGGTCATAGGCAGGGGGGTGGGGCAGGGAGGGGAGTGTTTTCTCCATGGGGACAGAGCCAGTGTCATTGAGCACATTTTGTTCAAGTACAAAGTTGATCTGTCTGAAGGAGACTGTGGTCAGCAGTGGTGAGAACCTTTATTGCCTCACCTTTTCTTCGTGCTCTGTCATTGTTTATGTGAAGCAGTAGCATTTAATGGCTGGACTTGAGGCAGAATTTGTGAGGTCAGAAATTGACAGTATTTGTTTTTCAGTTAGGGAATCTCACAGATTTAGAAAGGAGTGCCAATGAAAAATTGGGAAAAAGAAAGGGTCTTTGTATTTGGCAAAGACAATGCAGAGCAGTGTAATATATACTAATTTCTGCATGTAAATGGCAGCCAAAATTTTACACATCTGCTACAGTTTAGAAAATTATTTAAGCACTAATTATATGCATAATATATGCTGTCCCATCTAGAAGGCTGAGTAGACTTCAATGGAAGAGTTACAGTGGAAATATTGACATAGGTTGTTGGAAACATATTACATAATATTATACTTTGAAATTTATCATGACTGAATAAGTGTTATCACTTTAGAGATACTTTACTTTATTTGTAGGGATATGTGGGATCTAGCAGGTACAAATACAACAAATGCCTCATATAAATACTAAGTAATGATGTTATTATTCTCAAGCTGACTTAACCAAAATGTTTTTCCTCTCTGATTTCCTTTAGTTACTTTTATATTTCTCAATAAAGACTTGCCCCTTAAAACATACCATCCTATATTACTGTCTAACTTTATATCTTTAATTTTATGTGTTTGTATGTATGTTTACATATATATGTATGTATATATACACACACAAAGATATATAACTTTTTCATTATATAATAGTTTTTAAATTATTTTATATCTAAATATAATATATAACTATATATAATTAATTTTTCATTATTTGTGTTATATCCAAATTGAAGAGGCATGTCAGTGAAATATATAGATAATCCAAGAACCTCTTGCTTCACTAGGTTTCTTATTGAAGTAGATAATATGAAGCAATATTTTAACTTCTTTGGTGTTCCATTTCTTAAAAATATTGTTGATACTGTAAGACAGGTTCCTCTGAGGAAAAAAAAATGACAAGTAAATTGAAATTTACAAAAGCATCTAAATTTTTCCCATTACACTTTGGAAATGCTATGTGGATTAGTCTTCTCCAAATTCAGTTGCTTACATTATGAAATATCTTCTCCTTTGCAGAACTCAAAAGGGTTGAAGACTTCCATTTGGTTCTGACCTAGAGTCATCTGTTTCTAGTATTAGCAGTCAATGATTAAACAAAAGCAAAACAACTTACAGATGATCAAGTGGGATACACTTGGTACAAATACATATCCCTACAGTAATGATTAGGAGCACCTAGTTTGTAGTTAAACTGCCTGGGTTCAGTCACTTGTTTTGTCGTACTTAAGTATTCAGAAAAACTGAAATGTTACAAACAACCCTTCCCAGTAATACTGAGAGAGGATTAAGGGAATTAACATTGGTAAAGTTTTGAAAACAGTACCTGGAATATAGGAAGCACTATGTAAGTTTTATTATTCCTGTGTTATAATAAAAATATACCTTTTGGTTTTTAGTCAGTACTTCCTGAAGGGAAGGAGAGATTTAAAGTTGGAGCATTTTTGCTTTGTAAATGTACTAGGAACTAGTCTTAAACTATGTTTAAGCAGTCTGTAAAGAACTGCTTAAATAAGTCTTTCAAGAGATTGTTAGAAGAAAAATTGGATGCATTTGACTTAAGAAGTTTACCTCTGTTTTATCCCCAGGAAAGCTCTAGAAATTTAATAGAGACAGTCATACTGTAAATCCACCTAGTAATGGTACAATGATAAATTGGATAAATATTTATAACACATTTTGTGTTTCTCCACTGAAAGGCATGCTCTACACATAGAGCGCTAACATTTATTATGTAAATGTTAGGGCTTTTAACTATTAGCCAAGATTGAAAAGTGTCTGATTTGGATGTCATAAAACTTCAGAAGTATTTCAGCTACAAACAGTTTAGAAATCTGATTGTTGCTGTACTGAAAAAATAATGAAGCAATTTAAAAATAATAGAAACATAGTGATCTGCCATTTCCAGTTTCATGATGCTATAAAAAAAGCAGCCAACAAATGTTGGAGTGTTCAATGATGCTGGCACCTACCAAATGTCACTGGGCTTTCACAAGGTCATAGAGACTCTGGTTTGGCTCAGGGATGGTGGTCAGATCTGTCTTTGGAGCCTATGAAGACTATGGAATAGTGGCAGACAATAGGTGCAGTTAAGCCCTGCATAGCATTAACCTCAGCAGTGGTGATACACTTTTCTAAGATTCTCTGGGATAGAGGAGGCCATAGGTATGAAAAAAAAGTGAGACTTTCTTTTTACAGCATCCCATCACAAGCAACTCTAAATAGAAGAGCCTTATAGGCCCACTCTGAGGAGATTAAGATTTCTTCAGATGACTATCAGCTAAAATTGTGTGCTGAAATAACTGCTACTGCAACAGTTGTATGTGTATCTGATTTCTCACAGGCAAAAGCTGCTGGAGAAAAAAGTGGTATTTTTTGTCACAAGAATGTGTGTGTGATTTGTTGCCTTTTTCCCTTTCTCAGCCCTCTCAGTGGCAGCTACTTTGACTCTCATGCATTACATAATGTTCTGTAGAAGTGTAGAGTTTCAGTTATGCCATTTTCAAGATGATTAATGGGAATTGTGCAATTAAAGCTCTTAGGTTCTCTGGGGAAAAAAAAGTCATAGTATCCCAGTGTTTGAGTGGGGGTGTGTTGATATTGCGTCAATAGTGAGGATATTTTGGGATATCGTAAATGTCGCTATTGGTTTCAGTATCTGAGAATCTTCACCATTAAACTTAGGAGTGTTCTACAAAATAGTGCCTAGAACAGCTATTGAATACTCAAGAGGGCTGTTTAAGTAGCTAGAAAAGTCTAACCTAAAATCCCATTTGTGATTAGATTATGCACTGATGAAAAAATGTTTAATGCCGTTAAAAAGAATCTATTACATTATATTCTTTCAGGCCATGGTAAAGTTACAAATTTGAACTCAATAGGCTGTGTGTGTATTTGTATGTGTGTATTTTTCTTTCTTTTATTGGCAGTCTCAATAATTGTTAAGCCACTGTGTGTGTGTGTGTGTGTGTGTGTTTGTGTGAACTTTTCACAGGACCAGGAAAGGGGAAAAATCTACATTTGTTTTATATTGTGTTTCATTTGAAAACATGTTTTATATCTGTGGTAAAGTAATTGAAAGAAACTGGGATTATATCAGTGGAAATATGTTCTTTTTTTTTTTTTTTTTTTTTTTTTTAGTTTGTTTCACTGGTACGAAAAAAATCTCCCAGCTCTTGTGGTTGAATTGAGCTCCATGCATTTGCTGTTACGCTGATTGGGTGAATAAATAGCAATTTACATCTAGAAAGTTAAGCTTTAAATATTGATTAGGATTGCTATATCTACCTTAATTTAGAAGACTAGAGATTGCTTGCCTAGCAAAATAAGAGAATTGCCTCATTTTTTCACCTTCTGTGGGGATGCTAGGCATTTGTTGCTGGTGTTACCTGAAAGACCAATGAAGAAATCAAAACAGTAGAAGTTGTGTTTGATTTAAAGAATAGTTTCTTGCCTTTAAAGATGGTAAAACTATGAAATAAGTACAAGGGTGCTATGATACTAAACACAGACAATTATGTAATAAAAAAATCCTATTTACTTATTTAGGTTAAAGAGTCATGAATATTTGAGAATTTAAACATTAATAGAAAAATTAGTGTTACTACAATAGCAAAGACATGGAATTAACCCAAATGCCCATCAATGATAGACTGGATAGAGAAAATGTGATATCCCTACACCATGGAATACTATGCAGCCATAAAAAGAAACATAGTTACATCCTTTGCAGGGACATGAATGGAGCTGGAAGGCATTTTCCTCAGCAAACTAATGTAGAAACAGAAAAACAAACACCACATGTTCCCACTTATAAGTGGGAGCTGAACAATGAGAACACCTGGACACGAGGGGAACAACATACACTGGAGTTTGTTGGGGAGGGCGAGGCAAGAGATTGAGGGGGATTGGGATAGCAGTAGGAAAAATAGTGCATGCTGGGGTTAATACCTAGGTGATGGATTGATAGGTGCGGCAAACCATTCACTGTGGCACATGTTTTCCTATGTAACAAACCTTCACATCCTGCACAGGTACCCCAGAACTTAAAACAAAAAACAATAGTGTTAATATGAAAATATATTTCCTCCATAGTTTAACATATGATTTAAACATAGTAGATACATAATATTTACTTATTAACAGGATATATACTATGTATATTTACTCTGTGGTATAGTATACTACTTGTAAAACAAATAACAGCATCAAAACAGTGAAATCTCCCTAGAGACTTTTCAAAGAAAAAAATGAATGTAATGTATCTGTTATAACTACTCTAAAAATTTTAGGCTTTATTTTATAGTGCTATAAAAGCTCTTAAGAGTTTATTCAAATAAAACATGAAATATAAATTATGTCATATATCCTAAGTTTTGAATTTGTAACACAAGCAAAATCTGTTTGTAATACATATGCTGCTGTTAGAAATAGGTGCATAATTGGGGTGAGTATATAAGTGTGTATTTATGCATAATTATACACTGTTATATTTGGTATTATGATAACTATTGTTATAACTGGTTATGATAAAATCTGGTATACTAGATACTGGTATAACTGGTATTTTGTTATGATATCCCAGGCAGATGAATACAGCCCCCCACTAAATTCCATGAGGTGTAAAGTGGCGGTTGGCTCTCAACAAAGGGTGATGCTGTCCTCCCTCCTCCCCGCCAAGACATGTCTCAATATCTGGAGACATTTTGGTTTATCAGAACTGAGGGTAGGGGTAATATAGGCATTTAGTGGTTGTAAGTTAAGGATGCTGCTAAACATAGTACAATGCACAGGACAACTCCCACAACAAAAATATATCTAGCCCAAAATGTCAGTAGTGCTGAGGTTGAGAAATTGTGAACATCTTTTTAGGATGTATGTGCTCTTGTAAGCTAACCCAAGTCCTTTACGGAAACAAGTGAGTTATCAGGAAATATACATTTAAGAGCAACAATATACTTCGTGTTAGATGCAGTTATTTTCAGTACTTGCAAAAGCCAGTAAACTGTGATTCTTAGAGTGAATCAAACTCATATCTACCAAATGAAAACATAACCCTGAAGTATATATGTGTGCATGCATATTTATATTTGTATGTATGTGAAGTATAATTTTCTCTTAAAATCATTCACCTTATAAGCTGCCATAAATTTTCTAACACTAGATACTTGTAATTTTTAAATAAATATTTTATATACGTGTATGTGTTTGTGTGTGTGTGTTTATTCACCCAGGCATTAGAATTGATAACTAAAAAGCATGGCAGAGCCATAAAAAACATTTTTTGCAAGTGTGAAATAATATGGCTTGACTGCCAATGTTACTATTTTTGGCAAAAATTTTCTGAAATATTTGTATCATCTTAGCTGAAAAAAAAAAAAATGGTAAGAATTTTCAATAGCTAACTACCAAACTTGTTAGCCAGAGTTTCTGGGCAATATCTGAGCAATGAATACCCAGAAAGTGCTCCAAAAACATTTGCATATATCAGCTATCCCAAAAGGAAATCTTGGTTTTAACAATTTAAATAAATAATTATAGCTTGAACAGTCTTACCAGAAAACCATAATGAAAATTTGAAAAGACTTATGAATATAAGCTAGTAGCCCTGTACTTTTCCCATTGCTCCTTTATTTCCAGAGTCTACTTAAATAGAACTTGGTAATTGTAATCCTGCCACATAGTTACCATTTGGCTGCTTAATAACATGTGTCTTTAGACTCTGACTCCACAAATCACAGTATTCCTTTTAAGTAGAAGAAATATAATTAAAAATGGAAAATTAGTTTTCATTTGGGATTTTGATATTTTTTGCTTTATTAAGTCCAACCAACTTCTAATCGTTTTGTTTTCAATTAGCTAGTTTGTAATTGCATTGCACATAGCTAGAAAATAGCTTTCTCATATTTCTAACTTACCATCTCTAGTTTCATTTAGTTTTATTCTTATTTTGATTGGCTATTAATTACCTAGCTTCCATTATATAATTTATATCTTACTATATATATCACATATGCAGTTTATATATATACTATATTTGTACATATGTAATGTAAAGGTATACTGTATTAAACTGTAATGTTTATAAATGAATCATACATTTATTTGGAGGATTAAACACTTAATCTAAATGTATATTTTCCCTTATTATAGCCACAAAAAAATTATAGCAGTTTGAAAGACTAATGAGATAATTCTTAAATTCACAATCGAACAACTTACAACTTCAGAAATTACTCGATGAATTTATTGAATGACTGTTATTGGTCTCATACAGGTTTTTAAGACTACAAGGGGGAAATTTTGCCTTTTTTGGACAGATTACTTTTAATTGAAAAGTACAGAAAAAATATTACAAAAAATGAACTTGGTGTAGACCAATATTTTATTAATTTTCCTTCTTTCCCTTAAAATATATACTGCATATATTGCAATGATGTCTTTGGAATCTTTGTTGGATTAATTCTATTTTAAAAGCCTCCTTGAATGGAGCCTAAGGGATCTATTAGGCTGGGGCAAAAGTTTTGCCATTAATGGCAAAAACCTCAATTACTTTTCCCCAACCTAATACTATGTAGGCTCTATAGAGTGGCCTGCTAGTCAGCAGGACAGCTCTCCAAAAGTAAGATTTCAGTGTAATCAACAAAAGCAAGGCACAGAAACGTAACGTTGTAAAAAATGTGTTACAATGAGACTTTTTCTTGGTGTATGTGGCAAATACACATTGATTAAGAGCCAAGCTTTTATTACATTATTGATGACTGATATGCATTGTCACTGGGTTTTGCTACCTGTATTATTTTTAGAGCGTTTAACAGATACGCTGCTAAATTGAGCAACTGCTGCTTGTTATTAGCTTGAGAACTTAGAAGAGGAAAGTAACTAATATTTATTGGCTGCCTATTACGACAGGTGCCATTTGTGAGGATGGCCTGTAGTCTTACTAATCTTCATACATCACCAATGAGATGTTATTGTTACTATTATATAGAAAAGATGTGACCACTCAGAGAATTTCACTAACTTCCACAAGGTCACACAGCAAATAAGTAACATAGCTACAATTTGAACAAAGCTCTATTTGATAAAATTATACAGTTATCTCAATAGTTGGAGCTACCTGTACCTATCAAAACTGAAGATGGCTGGTCATGGTGGCTCACACCTATAATCCCAGCACTTTGGGAGGCCAAGATGGGTGGATCATGAGGTCAGGAGATCGAGACCATCCTGGCTAACATGGTGAAACCCCATCTGTACTAAAAATACAAAAATTAGCCGGGTGTGTTGGCGGGCACCTGTAGTCCCAGCTACTCGGGAGGCTGAGAAAGGAGAATGGTGTGAACCCAGGAGGCGGAGCTTGCAGTGAGCCCAGATCGCGCCACTGCACTCCAGCCTGAGCGACAGAGCAAGACTCCGTCTCAAAAACAAAACAAAACAAAAAAAACTGAAGACATATTTATATTTATATTTCGCATTAACCTAGCAGCCCAATTTAATGTATCTTGAAGTGAAATCTCTAAATGATTTAGAGTAGTAGCTCCAATATAAAAGTCTGTATATGTGAACTTTAGATACCGATGAATTTCTGTTTTTAGACTTTTAAAATGTAATGTCATTGTATAGATTTTATGATGCCAGAAACATTGAATGTCTATACAAATCTCCTTTCGTACCTGGTGAAACTTACAAACCTGCTTCTGTTTCCTTTTTTTCTTTTATGTGGCTAGCTTTATCATGTATTTAAATGACTGACCTCTTAATGAAAGCATCATTAGGTCAGTACAACTCAGAACCAAGATTTGGTATCATATTTAGTTTTTTCTATTATCTCCATTGTCTCTAGAATAGAGTTAGAGTAGAATTCATCTTGAGGCATTTAGTAAGAAATGAACATTCATTCATTCTGTGAATGTTTATTGAGGTGTGATGCTACTAAGGGCTCAGAGATGGATGAAGCTGGCAACATACCAACATAGTATTTACCTTAACTCTCAAAGGAAGGTATGTTCCTGGTGGTTTTAGGCAATTCTAATGGAGGATGTATATTCTAACTTATTTTTGACCTTTTTCCTTTGTCAAACTATAATCATTCAGCAGCAGAATCAGTATTAAACATGTTTTAAACTTCCTAAGAAGCAAAGTGTATCTAATATCATTTGCAGACATTATTCTCTTATTTTTTCCACACATGTCAAATGAAAATTTATCTGGCTTTGCACAATTGTATTTTGTAGTGTTTTCTGCTATATCAGAATCACCTGGAATGCTTGTTAAAATGTTAATTTCTGGGCCCTCAAACCTGTGGTCACAGCTCTCTGTGGGAGAGTCTTGGTAGTCTGTATACGTTCTCACCAAATATCAGTTGATTCTTAGGAACACAGCTTTTTGAAAATGAAGGGCTCAACACAGTCAAATCAAGCTGAGCATAGAAAGGTACCATAGATAAAAAATGTAGGAGAACAGCATTTTTCCTGAGTAGATGTCATATATTCAGAATGAAAATCAAAAGTCTGAGCGTCTTGTAAAAGTTTTGAGATGCACTGATGCAGAATATACGTATACCAAACACACGTGATTTCTCTCTGTTATTTCAGTCCAGGCTATGTTCATTGGCAGGATGGTCTGGGTGGTGTGTATTCAAGGAAGGTACTGGAATGAAGTGCTTAGGAAGACCACAGTTAGTGTTGGAAGGTCTGGTTCATGGCCCAGGGCTATCTATCTACTATTTACAGAACTATAGAAACCGATGTGAGTGAATTGATGGGAAGTGAATTCTCGTGGTGACCATAACCCCTCTCACCTGCATTTAAAGAAATCCAGTTTTAGTAAGAACTATGATGCGGAGATACTGAGAACAAGAATTTCTGTTGCAGCCAAATTATTCTTTGTATTGAAAAAGCAGGCTTTTTCTAGGAGACTTCAACTAAATATCCCTGAAATTAGACCATATGCTATCCAGGAATTTATTTATTTTTGCCAGTCCTACTCTGTGGTTTATCTTGCGAGTCTAAGGTTGTTTTTGGTTGTTTTGTATCAAGACACTTTTAAGCTAATAACATGCTCATGATCCCAACCTACATCAAGCATGGTGATTTTATATGGAATAAGTTTAATATATATGTTACTTCGTGAGCATACCAATAGCCATAACTAAAAGATGTTTAAAAAATCATCTTCATACCAATGTTTTGTTTTTCTTTTGTTTGATACACAAATTAAATTGTGGTGGCAGTGATACACGTTTTCTAATAATTCAGTACTAGATAGAGAGCCTGAGGCTTACAGAAGTTAGCTCCTTATGCAGTTCATGCATTTGATGAGTAAGAGAGCTAGGCCTCTGTCCCAGCTCATGAGACCTGTAAGGTCTCTGCTATCCACTGTCCCCTGCTGCCTACTGATTTCAAGTATTACATGAAGCTTGTAAAAATAACAAGCAGTATCCTATGATTCTAGCCTAGTGTAGAGACATTCCTAAAAACCTCATACAAAAGGAGCCAAAACCGATCATTTAAATTAGAATTATGACAGATTTTATCATAAGTATAAGCATCAGAGTCAATTTATAGCATAAAGTTCAATTATACTAAATTGGTGTTTTTAGAATGTGAATGATGGCTTCAATTAATCTTTCTTTTATTCTACTGCTTGTAAACAGTTTTAATTAGATTTATTGGTGAAAGAAGTTGTCAAGGTGGTTGATGAGATCTGCTACTATTGATATGATTTGAAAATATGTTGAAATAATATGGGTAGAGTGCCTCACACCATATTACATATTATAGGCTTTAATGAATATTTTATTAAAAAGAATTATCCAAAAGGAAGGTATATTTGTACTTATGATTTTATAGTAACTTCTTTTTTTTGAGATGAGCTCTCACTATGTTGCCCAGGCTGGTCTCAAACTCGTGTGCTCAGGAGATCTCTTGCCTCAGCCTCCCAAAGTGCTAAGATTACTAAACATGTATGATTTATCTCCATTATTTCAGTCCAGGCTATGTTCGTTGGTAGGATGGTCTGGATGGTATATATTCAAGGAAGGTACTAGAATGAAGTGCTTAGGACAGAGTACAGAGGTAGTGCACCGCCATTCCTGGCTTATAGCAACTTAGTTTCTCCATTTTTTAAATTTTTTGGAGGGTAAATATATCCATTTCTTATTGTTTCATAGATTTTGTAAAATGGAGAAGACTAGATTTATCTTTGAAAAGTTAAAGGCCACATTTTTCACCAGTATTTCATTATACTTATTAATCTCTATATACAGTGGGAACACATGGGAGTTTTCTTCTTTTCAATTGTAAATTCCTAATACATGGACTGGTAAAGCCTAGTAGTAATTTTAATTTTATTTGTTATTAGATACTTATAAAGGTGTTTTACTGAAGATACAATGTGCCTTGAGTCCTCTAAGTTCATTTCCTAAGATTTCAGTACAAGTAAAAATAAAATATAAAACTTGGATTCTTAAATCATTAAATTTAACCAGGAAGATATTATGACAGAAGCCTGATATTCTTTGTTTGATATTCTATGTTTTAGTATTACCCTAGCAGTTTGTAGATTTTTAAACTTGAATCTGGAAATGTTAATGCTAATATTATTAAAATAATTGAAACTCTTTAAGCTTTTAAACTTCTTTAAATGTCTCAACCTCTCATATTGATAGTACATTCTGGTGAATTCATTACTTGTTCTAAATGTATGATCAAATGATATGGACAATGCATTGTGTGAAAAACCAATGATACATTCAAGTGGGTGGTTTGCATTATATTTTTTTCATAATTTGCTGATTTTATTCTTTTCTAAGATGATGTTTGCTGCTTTTGTTTCTCTAGGGCCGTTGCTCCAGGGAGAACTGCAAATATCTTCATCCACCCCCACATTTAAAAACGCAGTTGGAGATAAATGGACGCAATAACTTGATTCAGCAGAAGAACATGGCCATGTTGGCCCAGCAAATGCAACTAGCCAATGCCATGATGCCTGGTGCCCCATTACAACCCGTGGTAAGCATGTTTTCAGTCTTCACTCATTAAGTTTTTGATTCAAAGTGCTCAGTTGTAGTACTAAAGTGATTATTGCACCGGATCAAATGAACACAGGCAACAATTTCAGTTGCCTTACCATTTTCTAGCAAAATTAAGTATCAGTCAAATGCTGGAACAATTTATACTTTGTGTAGGCACTCATTTTCTGGCTAAATCATGTGGACATTTACATTATAGCATTTTTTTTCCTCTAAATTTTTCTTCAAAATAAATCCCAAGACTGGCAGATGTTAAAATGCTCTGTGTTACAATGATCATCTAACTCACCGGTATAGTCAATATACATTTTCAGCCACCTTCAGAGGTAATAATGATATTTAAAATTGGTATGTATAGTCTTTAATTTTGAGAATAGTTCTCCCTTTCCTCCCTCCTTGAAAAGAATGTGTATAGTTCTTTTTCTTGAAAAGGTACCTTTCTTGTTCTTCTATAATTTAAGTTGAAATTATTTCATAGCTACAAATGCTAGGAAAATTCTGACAGTAGTAAATCAATATCATAGACTTGGAGGTCTCATTAAAGAAGAATTAATCAGGGTAGGCTGAAACTCTGAGGGCTTAAAGAGCTAAAGTTGAAAAACTGGGTGGTCATAGATATTTAGTATTTGCTGAGCAGTATATGTGGGTGACTCTTGCTTTGAAACACACATTTCTATTTAACTGTTTGGATTTCTGGAGTATGTGTGTAATAAATGACTTTAATAATCTCTATTCATATTTATTCATCAAAATGTGAAAGATTATTATAAGAATTAGTGTTAGGTTGAAAAAGGTGCTTTGACGTTAATTGTGATATAGTAATTCTACATTTAAATTCAAATGCATGTTGAAATTTGCAATTATCAGAATATATCTGTCAGTAATTTATGTCACTAGCTTATATGCAGTATCGTGGGGTCATGGGAATGTGAAGACCCATGTTTTTCTGCTATGCTAACTGTAGCATGTGTGCTGTTTTTTTTCCGAATACATTCTAAAACCTGAACTCAATGTAATTATTATTCTCTTTTAGAACTTTATGCAACAATCATTTCAAAAAAGAGTGGGGGATTGCATTTCAAGGTGGGAGGATCTCCACATTACATGGGCAGTGATACCAGTTATCAGTTCTATACAGTTGAAGTGAGAGAATATAATTAATTATGTGTCTGTTTTAACCTGATCTGGTTTTTTCCCCTATGATTGTAGGCTCAGTTAAAAATGTGATAGCTTAAAGTTATTTTTGTGACATCTACTAATTTCACATGGCTGTATTAGGATAGCATGAAGATTTCCATTTGGTTAAAAAAATTAGCTATAATAATTCTCTAACAGAACATGTAGGACAAAAGTCTCATTTGCACTTGGCTCTCACATACAGTTTCAAAGATCAGACAAGTCTTTAGGGTGGCTACCACCTTAGCTCCTCTAAGGCCTATCCTTGATGTGAAGATACTTTGTTCTACTTAAACATTTAAAGCATGCTTACCACCAGGCTGTACCCTCTCTGTGACTGGGAGCACCTTTGAGATCAGCAAGTGTGTTCCCAGATGGAAGAGAACACTGGCCACCACATTTCCTGACCTAGCCCTTGAGTCTTACTCTGAAGGCCATTCTAGGATGTCGTGTGTGCAATCCTGGGACAAACTGTAAACAATATTTATGCCCTTTGAAATACTAGTAACAAATATATTGTTCGTGAAATCACTAAATCACAGATTTCTGAAACCATGAGAACAATCATCACATTTTCTGATGCTTTTGTTAGAAAATTCTCTGCTTAGACAAAGAAATTATTTTTATTAGTTGTGAGCATATTCAGGCTTTATGTTAATTTTTCCTCATATGACTAGATTTGAATGTGGAATTACCCTTCTGCTAAAGGTATCCTGAGATCATTGTCTAAAAATATACTTTATTCAGAGTGATGACTTTGTAATAAGTACAGAAATCATTTTAATTATTCAATTTTAAGGCATTTGGGACTTTAATGACTGTAGAGAAAGCTTTAGTACAGGAAATTTGCCTTCAAAACCTCACCTGAGACTTTTTTATCCTTTTTGTAGTCAGCCCTGTTTTGATGAGGGTAATGACATGGAGATTCAGAAATGAATGGAATGGTCATAATCAGCTGCTTACTGGGAGTTTAATGTGGGCCTTACAAATAGGGATTGTAACAGGACTAGAGGAAGCCAGGTGACTAATGTGGAAAAGGGTTGCCACTCAGAGAGAATGGCCACTACTTACAGATGAGTGTTTGAAGACATGGCATTAACTTGGATCCAACCCAGGTAGTAGTCATATCAAAGAAGATAAATACTATGAGCAGTTCCATACCATCAGCAGTATTCAGAGTATCTGAGCAGTGACAAGACTTTTAGTCAAGTAGGTGACAGCATCTAACTTCTCTAGGGCCAGTTTAGCTCCCAAACCTTGGAGGAGCAGGAAGGAGAGAGGGAGACAGCAAGGTCTAAGCAAACTTGGAAGCATCTAGTATTATGCCTGGCATATAGCAGAGATCAATAATTACTTGATGAGTGAAAGAACAAATGAAGGAAGGAGTTTCCGAAACACCAGAAAAACAGGCAGAGATTCATAGTAGTTTACCTGCTCCATAGTTCAAAGGAATCATAACCAGCACCCAGAACACAAGCCCAGTTACAGAGGCTGCAACATAGAATGGGGCATAGAAGTGGACACATATCAGCAGATTATTAGCAAAGGCAGCTAGAGGCTTGATGGCTACAAGAAATATGCCACTAAGCTTGGGTTATTATGCAACCAAGTTTGGGTTCTCATTTTCTCATAAATTGTGAGTGACGAGGTCTATACATTTAATATCTTCAGAGCACAACACTGGGCTAACTTGGGGAATGCAGGGATCTGTAGGAAGGTTTCCCATTTTTATACACTTTGTGAGCTTCTATTGAAATGTACCAAGCCAAGAATCAGAAACCGGACTTAAAATTTTTGAGACAAATACAATACATTAGGGGCATTTACTGCACTTGGCACTTTTTGTATATTAAATCCTCACAAACCATCCTTTAAAGTAGTAATGTTACCCTAAATTTAGAGATAGACTGAGAAGTTCAGAAGGGTTAAGAAGTTTGCTCAGGTTACACAGCTAGTGAGTAGCAAGGCTAGGATTTTAACCACCTTGTTCTGCTTTTGGCACTCATGATGTGGAAGCACCTAATTGGAGACACACCACTGGCCAACTCAGGGTCCTTGGTTGATTCATTAAGATCTCTAACCTAGCTGGGTGTGCTGGCTTACACCTGTAATCCCAGCACTTTGGGAGGCTGAGGCAGGAGGGTCACTTGAGGCCAGGAGTTCAAGACCAACCTGGGCAACATAGCAAGACACCAACTTAGGAAGCTAAGGCAGGAGAATCACTTGAGCCCAGGAGGTTGAGGCTGCAGTGAGTTTTGATCAAACCACTGCACTCCAATGTGGGTGTCAGAATAAGACCCTGTCTCTAAAAAAAAAAAAAAAAAGAGAGAGAGAGAGAGAGATCTCTGACCTTCCTCAACAAATGGTGAAAAGTTTGGAATATATTACCTACAAGGTCTTAACAATCTTTTTTTTTTTTTTTTTTTTGAGACAGAATCTCACTCTGTTGCCCAGGCTGGAGTGCAGTGGTGTGATCTCAGCTCACTGCAAGCTCCGCCTCCCAAGTTCACACCGTTCTCTTGCCTCAGCCTCCTGAGTACCTGGGACTACAGGCGCCCGCCCCCGTGCCCGGCTAATTTTTTATAGTTTTTGTAGAGGCGGGGTTTCACTGTGTTAGCTAGGATGGTCTTGATCTCCTGACCTTGTGATCCGCCTGCCACAGCCTCTCAGAGTGCTGGGATTACAGGCGTGAGCCATCATGCCCAGCCGACAATCTTATAATGTAAACATAATCTCATTTCATAAGATGAGAAAATAAGTAGTAGAAAATGAATGATTTAATCTGTGTCCACACAGATTAATAAAACTAATATTATCAATTATAGAATAATTGACATTCTGCTGTCATTCCTATATCACTAATAAAATGCAAAATGATCTTTTTTTTTTAATCATATGTTCTTTGAGGACAAATGGAAGGCCTATAGTGTTTAATTATTTAAATTTAAAAAAATAAAACTTCTGGAATTGCCCGGGCAAGATGGCCAAATAGGAGCAACTCCAGTCTGCAGCTCCCAGCAAGATCAATGCAGAAGGCAGGTGATTTCTGAATTCCCAACTGAGGTACCCAGTTCATCTCACTGGGACTGGTTAGACAGTTGGTGCAGCCCACAGAGGGTAAGCAGAAGCATGGTAGGGTGTCACCTCACCCTGGAAGTGCAAGGGGTCAGGGAACTCCCTTCCCTAGCCAAGGGAAGCCATGAGGGACCCTGCTGTGACGGATGGTGCTGTCCAGCCCAGATACTACACTTTTCCCATGGTCTTCGCAAACCGCAGACTAGGAGATTCCCTTGGGTGCCTACACCACCAGGGCCCTGGCTTTCAGGCACAAAACTGGGCGGCTATTTGGGCAGACACTGAGCTGGCTGCAGGAGTTTTTTTGTTTGTTTGTTTGTTTGTTTGTTTGTTTGTTTGTTTTCATACTCTAGTGGCTCCTGGAACACCAGCGAGACAGAACCGTTCACTCCCCTGGAAAGAGGGCTGAAGCCAGGGAGCCAAGTGGTCTTGCTCAGCGGACCCCACCCCCATGGAGCCCAACAAGCTAAGATCCTGCTGGCTTGAAATTCTTGCTGCCAGCACCGCAGTCAACCTGAGACTATCGAGCTTGGTAGTGGGAGGGACATCCACCATAATTGAGGCTTGAGTAGGCGGTTTCCCCTCACGATGTAAACCAAGCTGCCAGGAAGTTTGAACTGGGTGCAGAAACCACCTCAGCACAGCAAAGCTGCTGTAGCCAGGCTGCCTCTCTAGATTCTTTCTCTCTGGGCAGGGCATCTCTGAAAGAAAGGCAGTAGCCCTAGTCAGGGGCTTATACATAAAACTCCCATCTCTCTGGGACAGAGCACCTGGGGGAAGGGGCGGCTGTGGGCGCAGCTTCAGCAGACTTAAATGTTTATTTCTGCCTGCCAGCTCTGAAGAGAGCAGCAGATCTCCCACCTAGCACAGCGCTTGAACTCTGCTAAGGGACAGACTGCCTCCTCAAGTGGATCCCTGACCCCTGTGCCTCCTGACTGGGAGACACCTCCCAGCAGGGATCGAAAGACACTTCATATAGGAAAGCTCCAGCTGGCATCTGGTGGATGCCCCTCTGGGATGAAGCTTCCAGAGGAAGGAAAAGGCAGCAATCATTGCTGTTCTGCAGCCTCTGCTAGTGATACCCAGGCAAACAGGGTCTTGAGTGGACCTCCAGCAAACTCCAGCAGACCTGCAGCAGAGGGGCCTAACTGTTAGAAGGAAAACTAACAAACAGAAAGCAATAACATCAACATCAACAAAAAGGACGCCCATGCAAAAACCCTATCGAAGGTCACCAACATCAAAGACCAAAGGTAGGTAAATCCACGAAGATGAGGAAAAACCAGCTCAAAAAGGCTGAAAATTCCAAAAACCAGATTGCCTCTTCTTCTCCAAAGGATCACAACTCCTCGCCAGCAAGGGAACAAAACTGGACAGAAAGTGAGTTTGACAAATTGACAGAAGTAGGCTTCAGAAGGTGAGTAATAACAAACTCCTCTGAGCTAAAGGAACATGTTTTAACCCAATGCAAGGAAGTTAAGAACCTTGATAAAAGATTACAGGAACTGCTAACTGAATAACCAGTTTAGAGAAGAGCATAAATGACCTGATGGAGGTGAAAAACACAGCATGAGAAGTTCGTGAAGCATACACAGGTATCAGTAGCTGAATCGATCAAGTGGAAGAAAGGATATCAGAGACTGAAGATCAGCTTAATGAAATAAAGCGTGAAGACAAGATTAGAGAAAAAAGAATGCAAAGGAATGAACAAAGCCTCCAAGAAATATGGGACTGTGTGTAAAGACCAAACCTACGTTTGATTGGTGTACCTCAAAGTGATGGGGAGAATGGAACCAAGTTGGAAAACACACTTCAGGATATTAGCCAGAACTTCCCCAACCTAGCAAGATAGGCTGTTTGGGCAGACACTGAGCTAGCTGCAGGAGATTTTTTTCGTACCCCAGTGGTGCCCAGAATGCCATCAAGACAGAACCAGTCACTCCCCTGGAAAGGCGGCTGAAGCCAGGGAGCCGAGTGTTCTTGCTCAGTGGATCCCACCCCCATGGAGCCCAACAAGCTAAGATCCACTGGCTTCAAATTCTCGCTGCCAGCCTAGCAGTCTGAAGTCAACCCGGGACTAAGGAGCTTGGTTGGGGGAAGGCATTTGCTATTACTGAGGCTTGAAGAGGCAGTTTTCCCCAAACAGTGTAAACAAAGCCGCTGATAAGTTTAAACTGGGTGCAGAAAATTCACATTCAGGAAATACAGAGAACGACACAAATATACTCCTCGAGAAGAGCAACCCCAAGACATATAATCGTCAGATTCACCAAGGTTTAAATGAAGGAAAAATGTTAAGGGCAGCCAGAGAGAAAGGTCAGGTTACCCACAAAGGGACTAACAGCAGATTTCTCTGCAGAAACCCTACAAGCCAGAAGAGAGTGAGGGCCAATATTCAACATTCTTAAAAGAATTTTCAACCCAGAATTTCATAGCCAGACAAACTACGTTTCATAAGTGAAAGAGAAATAAAATTCTTTACAGACAAGTAAATGCTGAGGGATTTTGTCACCACCAGGCCTGCCTTACAAGAACTCCTGAAGGAAGCACTGAATATGGAAAGGAAAAACTCGTACCGACCACTAAAAAAAAAAATACCAAAATGTAAACACCATTGACATATGAAGAAACTGCATCAACTAATAGGCAAAATAACCAGCTAGCATCATAATGACAGGATCAAATTCACACATAACAATATTAACCTTAAATGTAAACAGGCTAAATCTCTCAATTAAAAGACGCAGACTGGCAAATTGGATAAAGAGTCAAGACCCATCAGTGTGCTGTATTCAGGATACCCATCCTACGTGCAAAGACACACATAGTCTCAAAATAAAGGGAAAATAAAGGGATGGAGGAATATTTACCAAGCAAATGGAAAGCAAAAAAAAAAAAAAAAAGCAGGAGTTGCAATCCTAGTCTCTGATAAAACAGACTTTAAACCAACCATGATCAAAAAAGACAAAGAAGGGCATTACATAATGGTAAAGGGATCAATGCAACAAGAAGAGCTAACTATCCTAAATAGATATGCACCTAATACAGAAGCACCCAATTCATAAAGCAAGTTCTTACAGACCTACAAAGAGACTTAGACTCCCACACAATAATAATGGGAGACTTTAACACCCCACTGTCAATATTAGACAGATCAACGAGGCAGAAAATTAACAAGGATATTCAGGAATTGAACTCAGCTCTGGACCAAGCAGACTTAATAGACATCTACAGGACTCTCCACCCCAAATCAACAGAATATACATTCTTCTTAGCACCACATAGCACTTATTCTAACATCAACTACATAATTGGAAGTAAAACACTCCTCAAAAGGTGCAAAAGAACAGATATCATAAACAGTCTCTCAGACCACAGTGCAATCAAGTTAGAACTCAGGATTAAGAAACTCACTCAAAACCACACAACCACATGGAAACTGAACAACCTGCTCCTGAATGACTACTAGGTAAATAATGAAATTGAGGCAGAAATAAATCAGTTCTTTGAAACCAGTGAGAACAAAGACACAATGTACCAGAATCTCTGGGACACAGCTAAAGCAGTGTTTACAGGGAAATTTGTAGCACTAAATGTCCACAGGAGAAAGCAGGAAAGATATAAAATTGACACCTGAACATCACGATTAAAATAACGAGAGAAGCAAGGGCAAACAAATTCAAAAGCTAGCAGAAGATAAATAAGTAGGATCAGAGCAGGGCTGAAGGATAGAGATACAAAAAACCCTTCAAAAAATCAATGAATCCAGCAGCTGGTTTTTTGAAAAGATTCACAAAATAGATGGATCACTAGCCAGACTAATAAGAGAAGAATCAAATAGACACAATATAAATGACAAAGGGGATATCACCACTGATCCCACAGAAATACAAACTAC
Source organism: Homo sapiens (assembly GCF_000001405.40). Taxonomy (NCBI): domain Eukaryota; kingdom Metazoa; phylum Chordata; class Mammalia; order Primates; family Hominidae; genus Homo; species Homo sapiens. The sequence continues at coordinate 152,423,281 of NC_000003.12, forward strand.
CAGCAGAGAATACTATAAACACCTCTATGCAAATAAAGTAGAAAACCTAAAAGAAATAGATAAATTCCTGGACACGTACAGCCTCCCAAGACTCAACCAGGAAGAAGTCGAATCCCTGAATAGAACAATAACAAGTGCTGAAATTGAGGCAGTAATTATAATAGCCTATCAACCAGAAAAAGCCCAGGACCAGACGGATTCACAGGCGAATTCTACCAGAGGTACAAAGAGGAGCTGGTACCATTCTTTCTGAAACTATTCCAAACAATAGAAAAAGAGGGACTCCTCCATCACTCATTTTGTGAGGCCAGCATCGTCCTGATACCAAAATCTGGTAGAGACACAAGAAAAAAAGAAAATTTCAGGCCAATATCCCTGGTGAACATCGGTGCGAAAATCCTTAATAAAATACTGGCAAACCAAATCCAGAGTACATTAAAAAGCTTATCCACCATGATCAAGTCGGTTTCATCCCTGGGATGCAAGGCTGGTTCAGCATATGGAAATCAATAAACATAATCCATCACATAAACAGAACCAATGACAAAAACCACATGATTATCTCAATAGATGCAGAAAAGGCTTTTAATAAAATTCAACATCCCTTCATGCTAAAAATAATAAACTAGGTATTGATGGAATGTATCTCAAAATAATAAGAGCTATTTATGACAAACCCATAGCCAATATCATACTGAATGGGCAAGAGCTGGAAGTATTCCCTTTGAAAACTGGCACAAGACAAGGATTCCCTCCCTCACCACTCCTATTCAACATAGTATTGGAAGTTCTGGCCAGGGCAATCAGGCAAGAGAAATAAATGATATTCAGGTAGGAAGAGAGGAAGTCAAATTGTTTCTGTTTGCAGATGACATGATTGTATATTTACAAAACCCCATCATCTCAGCCCCAAAACTCCTTAAGCTGATAAGCTACTTCAGCAGTCTCAGGATACAAAATCAATGTGCAAAAATCACAAGCATTCCTGTACACCAATAATAGACAAACAGAGAGCCAAATCATGAGTGAACTCCCATTCACAATTGCTACAAAGAGAATAAATTACCTATGGATATAATTTACGAGAGATATGAAGGACCTCTTCAGGGAGAACAACAAACCACTGCTCAAGGAAATAAGAGAGGACACAAGCAAATGGAAAAACATTCCATGCACATGGATAGAAAGAATCAATATCGTGAAAATGGCCATACTGTCCAAAGTAATTTATAGATTCAATGGTATTCCCATCAAGCTACCATTGACTTTCTTCACAGAATTAGAAAAAAAAAAAAACTACTTTAAATTTCATATGGAACCAAAAAACAGCCTGTATAGCCAAGACAATCCTAAGCGAAAAGAACAAAGCTGGAGGCATCACACTACCTGACTTCATACTACAAGGCTACAGTAACCAAAACAGCATAGTACTGGTACCAAAACAGATATATAGACCATTGGAACAGAACAGAGGCCTCAGAAATCACACCACACATCTACCACCATTTGATCTTTGACAAACCTGACAAAAGCAATGGGGAAAGGATTCTGTATATAATACATGGTGTTGGGAAAACTGGCTAGCCATATGCAGAAAACTGAAACTGGACCCCTTTCTTGCACCTTATACGAAAATTAAGATGGATTAAAGACTTAAATGTAAGACCCAAAACCATAAAAAGAAGACCAAGGCACTACCATTCAGGACATAGGCATGGGCAAAGACTTCATGACTAAAACACCAAAAGCAATGGCAACAAAAGCCAAAATTGACAAATGGGATCTAATTGAACTAAAGAGCTTCTGCACAGCAAAAGAAACTATCATCAGAGTGAACAGGCAACCTACAGAACGGGAGAAGATTTTTGCAATCATCCATCTGACCAAGGGCTAATATCCAGAATCTACAAATAACTTAAACAAATTTACAAGAAAAAAAAAAACATCAACAAGTGGGCAAAGGATATGAACAGACACTTCTCAAAAGAAGACATTTATGTGGCCAACAAATGTATGAAAAAAAGCTCATCATCGGTGGTCATTAGAGAAATGCAAATCAGGGTCCGGGTGTGGTGGCTCACGCCTGTAATCCCAGCACTTTGGGAGGCCAGGGCAGCCGAGATCAAGACCATCCTGGTTAACACAGTGAAGCCCTGTCTCTACTAAAGATACAAAAAATTAGCCGGGCATGGTGGCACACACGTGTAGTCCCAGCTATTCAGGAGGCTGAGGCAAGAGAATCGCTTGAACCTGGGAGGCGGAGGTTGCAGTGACCCGAGATCACGCCACTGCACTCCAGCCTGGGTAACAGAGAGAGGATCTGTCTCAGAAAAAAAAAAAAAGAAAGAAATGCAAATCAAAACCACAATGAGATAGCATCTCACACCAGTTAGAATGGCAATCATTAGAAAGTCGGGGAACAACAGATGCTGATGAGGATGTGGAGAAATAGGAATGCTTTTACACTGTTGGGAGTGTAAATTAGTTCAACCATGTGGAAGACAGTGTGGCAATTCCTGAAGGATCTAGAACTAGAAATAACATTTGACCCAGCAGTCCCATTACTGGGTATATACTCAGTTTTGTAAATCATTCTACTATAAAGACACATGCACACGTATGTTTATTGCAGCACAATTCACAATAGCAATGACTTGGAACCAACCCAAATGTCCATCAATGATAGACTGGATAAAGAAAATGTGGCACATATACACCATGGAATACTATACAGCCATAGGAAAGAATGAGTTCCTGTCCTTTGCAGGGACATGGATGAAGCTGGAAACCATCATTCTCAGCAAACTAACAACAGGAACAGAAAACCAAACATCTCATGTTCTCACTCATAAGTGGGAGTTGAGCAATGAGAACATGTGGGCACGGGGGGGGAACATCACACACTGGGGCCTCCTGGGGGTTGTGGGGCAAGGTGGGGGATAGCATTAGGAGAAATACCTAATGTAGATGATGGGTTGATGAGTGCAGCAAACCACCATGTCCATGTCACATGTATGCCCATGTAACAAACCTGCACGTTCTGCACATGTATCCCAGAATTTAAAGTATAATAAAAATCAAAAATAATCAAAAAAATAAAACTTCTGGATTCTTTTTCCAAATTATTATTTTTACTTTGTCACATACTGTCTGGTGCAAATTTTGTCTGATGAAAAATTGGTACATAATTTAACCAAAAATAGGCTGTATATCATGGCTTGCAACCTGGAGACCTCTGGTAGATTTCTTTAGTGCATCCCAGCCAAGTGTCCTTCAGAAATTCTGTTGTTGCCAGGCTCTCTTCATTGCCCTCAAAGAGCTCTACATAAGCAGTGGTTATAAAGAGCTTTGCATGATATCTGGAGTTTCTCTAGTAATGGTCTCATGTGCCTTTACCTGTGATCCCAAAGTTAACCTTGGCTATCTATAATTTGTGATGGCAGCTATTCTTTGGGTAAACAAATTAGCTATCTCAGGGTCCATAATTTGTGTAGAAATCCTGTGCATTACATGAACTTTGAAATAGCCTAGGAATAGAGAAATTCAGTTTCTGGTTTTAGCTAATGTCTTGAGAGCTTCTTTGCTGCTTCTGTAACCTAGATAGACTTTGCTGTCACATCATGTTCCAAGCATTTGTTGCCATTCAGATGCAGAATGCTTTGAAGTCATCATTTGTCATTCATTCTTCCAGGAACACCTAGAATTCTTAAATAGTTTTTTGGTTCTTTACTTTCCACTTTATCCAGGTAATGGTTGAGATAAGGCACTTTATCCCAGAGTGTTTCTGGTAAAATGTTTCCATGTCAGTTTCTCTGAGTAGTCTTTCATCCATCCTGCTGTTGTTACTGCCTTTTTCCATTAAGGAGCCTGTGAATCCTCAAACAGCCTGAGAGAATGGGCCCTGGATTTTAGGAACTAGGCCATGCCTGGTTGATACCTTTCTACTAGGAAGTCCAGAGTGTTCTTTATTTAAATGTTTGTTATTTCAGTCAAACTGGATTGAAGGATAAAGTGAAACTAAGAATGAAGGAGGTACTCATTGATTTATCCAGTTACAAGTCAGTCTAGGAGCAAAGTTATAACAGTATCTCTTATTTTATTCGTCATTTGCTACCCTTTTTTTAAAGATAGAGGGTCTTGCTTTGTCACCCAGGCTAGAAGGCAGTGGTGCAGTCGTAGCATACTGTAAGTTCACACTCCTGGGCTCAAGTGATTCTCCTGCCTCAGCCTCACAAAGTGCTGGGATCATAGGCCAGACCCACTGTGCCTGGCCCTGCTTTCTTAGAAAAAAAGAACTTTATAATATGAATTTGTTGATAACTCCTGTTAGCTTTTGGCACTGTTTATATTCAAAATAGTTCAGTGAGACTAGTTACAGGGTTATGCCTACCCAGAAACATGCTTTCATATACCTTGATTATGTGTGCTTTTTTAAAAAAAATTTTTTTATATTAAAAACATTTTTAAAATAAAAATTTTAAAAATTTTAAAAAATATTTAAAAATTAAAAAAATTTTTTAAAATATTTTATTTCTTTATATACATACATAAAATCTAGAATAATATGACTTAAAATTTGTGATCTGTGAATTTCATCTGATATTGATTACATATTATTTGTTACATATACTCCCTCTATTTTTTTTTTAAATCTCAAACATTGCAAAACAAACAGTGTTCACATGGTGTTTTAAGATAAATATCAGCCCCTGTGATATTTGCAACATTACAGCATGGTAACTACATTACTGAAACTTAGAAAGCTTAATATAAAAAATTGCAAAACAAAAGGAAAAAATAAACTTTGGACAGGTATATTAGAGATAGTAATTATTGAATTTTGAGGTAAAGAAAGAAACAATCACTTTTATTTCACATTCAAGTATATATTCTAAAGAATATTTAATGTATTTGCTTGTTTCTGTGGCAGAGAAAAGCAGCAAATCCATTAGTATATATGTTAAGTAAATGTTTGTAGAAGATCTGTATAGATGCTAAACGCAGCGTATACATAACATGAACAAGACATAAAGCAAAAGTCTGCCCTCTAGGAGCCTCCAGTCTTGTCAGACTAGAGGAGATATTCAGGTAAACACTGGCAGTGGTATATGCTGATTCGAGTAATTAGGAGTTCGTGGGAACAGAGGGTAAGAAAAACCCCTTTATAGTTAGAGATGTAGATGGATCAAGAGAAACTTACCTAAAGAGTCCTAATTCTTGAAGCACAATTAGGAATTAAACAGATTGGCTAGGCACAGGTAGCATTCAATGTGGAGGATAAACCATGTTTAAAAGAAAAGAGCTATAAGGGAACATGTATCCTTAGAGACCTTACTTACAGTCAGAAAAATGTACCTATATCTGTAGAAAACCACATAGTGTGTGGAACTAGAATCACCTAGGAGCTTTCAAAAAATACTGCCACTTACCAGAGATTCTGACGAGTGAGGAGTGGCCAGGGCATTCACGGTTTAAAAGTCCTCCGGATGATTTTAATGGACACCTGGTTCATTGTGTGAAAACCACTTTATCACAACCACTTGGAATCAGACATACCTGTGGTCACATCCTAGGCCTTTGATTCACTCATTTGTGTCTATAGACACATAATCTTTGTGATCCTTTTTCCTTATCTGCAAAAATGGGGCTAATACCCACTTCAGAAGGCTGCAATTCACTCATTCATTCATTCACTCAAGTACTAATTCAACAGGTATTTATTGAGCGCCTACTGTGTGCCAGGCATTGTTCCAGGCTCTGGAGATTTAGTAGGGAACTAAACAGATCTCTTCTGATCTGTACCCCTCAAAAAACACAAAAGAAAAGAAAATTACCAAGGGAATTTATACTCTACTGTTGTAAGGATTAAATACAATAAATAGCACCGATAAAGCACTCAGCATGATGCTGACACAAAATAAATAAGGAATTACTACTAATAATCATGTTTGCATAGTTAACTGGGGTCATAATATGAAATTAACACTTTGATTTATAATGAAGTCTGATTACCTTAATGGAATCAATGTCTGATTTAAAACAAACAAGTGATTAACCCATAAACAGCACCAGAATTAGTAAGTTTGTACTTTGTTTTTCTCTGATGAGGATGTTCATTGGCAAAAGGCAATTATAAACCAAACTTTCTTATGTCTTTCAGGAACAGAGATACTTACAAATCATTATCACAAGAATATAGTCAGTATCAAATATACCAATTACATTGTTATATGTTATCCTTCAGAGAAAACAGGATGCCACTTGATAACAACATTGCATTAATATCTGTCTTTGAGATTCTGCTGAACCCCCTGCAGGTTAGCTTTTGGAATAGAAAACTGGCAGTAGTGCAGGTCAAGTGCTTTCCTAATCTGATTTCTCTGATTAGGGCACTCTCTGATGGGGCTAGCAGTGACCTATCTTCAACATGGCGCTCCTTGAAAAAACAATATAACTAAAGTGATGTAACAAATTTACAAAAATTTAAAATAAATGAAGGAATGGTGTGTGTTTGTGTGTGTGTGTGTGTGTGTCTGTCTGTCTGTCTGTCTTTTGGAATCAAGTTTCAAAGTATAAAGCTATTGTTACTGATTGTCTGCCTGTTCGGCAAATAGCTCTACTTATCGAAAGAGGGAACAATTTGAGATAGTGCTTGCTGAATAGTTGATGTTTCACATTTTTAAACGCTCCTACCGACTTTACTTGGGGACAGTGCCCTAAAATTGTTCAGATTTGAATTTGCTCTGCTGAATTAAAGTGAAAGATCAATTGTCTTGATGACTCTATAGAAACAACTCAGGAAATATTATTGCCAGTTATTAAAAGCAGTATTTTTACATAATAAAAGTATTATTCTGCCTGTAATGTGCAACAGCTGCATCATATGCATTTTTAGATTTCCAGTGTATTTTATTTGACGAGATTTAGAGAGCTGAGTTTTATTAGCCTCTGGTCTCATTTTATTAAAATAAAAATTGCTTTTTCTTCCAAAAACATTTTTAAATTTGACCTTTGCTTTTAAATAATTATAGTAGATTATGTGCAATAATATAAACATCTCAATAACTTTCTGAAGTATACATTAAAAATGCACTATCTGGAAATACATGTTTATTCATAGTAAAAGAATGCAAAGAGGAATGATAATGAATAGCTTCTGTTGTCCATTTGCTAAACTAGTCTGTTAGTCCCCTGACATAGACTCTTTTAGTCTTCTATGCTAAATTTCTTATAATTCTTAAATGACTAATATAGAAATTAGGGTGCTGGTCTGGCTGGATTTTCATATGCAATCTGACAATGTATAACAAAGTACAAGTTTAACCTGAATATCCTTGAATAGAAATCCAAGTTCAACATATATTCAGTATACAATCAATCCTTGTCCTGCTGTCACCTGGGCAGAGAGTGGACAGTGGCACAGCATTAAGTCAGCTGCGGCTCAGGGAAGTGTTGGTGGACAGAGAATGCCCTAGGCCCTAGTTTCTGACAGCTTGTTGATAAGATTTGGAATGCACAGATAGTTCTTGTTGTCTGCAGGTTGCTGCTTTGTGCTGGGAGGGGTTGGGGATTAGAGGTGCTACTTGAGGGCACTTCATCAGGCAAGAGCCATCGACCTGGCAGAGCAGCTAAACATGGCATTCAAACCAACATGTTCAGAGGCATAATTATTTTAAGTTGAAATGGTATAATCTATATTGTATTGTTTCTTCTCAATGAATCACATTAGGTATTACATATTCTGTTTTTTCATATTTTTGTTAGTAAAAATGTATAGCTAAATGCAAAGAGTTTGTTTCCCAAGCAATTTTTGAGGTCAACAGAAGAGTTCCCTAAGAAAGGCCTTCTTAACATTGACAGTATTGACTTTTGGGGCTGGATAATTCTTTGTTGCGAGGGGCTGTCTTGTATGTTGTAGGACACTTAGCAGCATCCCTGGCGTCCATCCATTGAATATAATAGTTCCCCTCCAGCTGTGACAACCAAAAATGTCTTTAGACATTGCCAGGTGTCTCCTGAGAGGCAAAATAACTCAGTTGAAAACCACTGCCCTAAGAAAAAGGGAATACTTGAAATTCATTTTATTTTTCTAAATATAGAATCAGGGCCAGAGTGAATAGAGGATATATTTTATCTTTTAACAAATTTCTTTTGTACTATAAGAATTACATTTGTAATATATACCTTATATTGCAAAAAGTTTTACTACAGAGCTCTCTTGAATACTACATATATTCAGATATCATGTAACTTCTTATTCCTGTCAGATGGCAGAATTAGTTATTAATACATTCTAATGTCTCTTTTATTCTAAAGAGTCTTCTATAATTCTGTTCATTACTGCTGAGTAAAGAAAATAAATTGTTAAATATTACCTTAAAGAACAGCATCCGTTTTGCCTACAAGCTTTTGTGTTTCAGAAACAAACATTATTAAACGAAGCATTAAACTTCAAGAATTAGAATTGAGACTCTATTAGGAAGTTAAAAATGTACTATGAATAAGGTATGAAATTGTGTTCTGTTATACTTTAAATACTAGAAAAACAAATTGTTAGATTTCAGGTAAATTAATGCTATTCAAGAACAAATATATTTTATGATATGCAAGTTTGCATATCAACAAATAGAAACAATCCTTATATATCCACGAAAGCATTTCTGGAAGAAATTCTGTCTTGTAGCAGTTTATTCAGTGCTGCCATATGTATTTCCTTGACCAATCATGTAGCATTTCTTTAGTAGCAGTTCTACTTCAAACTTCACATTTCAGACTTGTTTTCCCCTAATAAGGTGTGATAGGCTAGTGGAACACTTATAATTTCCCCCAGGAAAATCACCATCAAGTAAATATACCAAACACTTTATCTTATGTGCTCAAAAGGCAAGGTGTCATCATCACCTTTCACATACCCCATGAGATTTATTTACAGCTTACATTGACTGTGAAACTCTTTTATCCCCTGGGAGTTCTACTTTATTTATTCCAGATAATAGGACACTTGCAACCTATTAACAGTTGTAAACAGGTCTTTCAAGTACATCTGACATAGCAATTACAAAATGTATTTGTTAGACAAATATCTAGAATTAAATCAGGACAAAGATGAAGATTAGATGACCACAAGAAGTTTCTGCATAGTTTATCTATTTTTCAAAAAAAAAATACAAGTATTATAGACCCTCAGCTACAAAATTCCAGTGAATAATTTAATGGATATTTTACTTATTATATTTTAGAAAAACATTGATTTGATGAATGTTTATTTAATAAAACAGCCTTACCCTAAATGATAGTAAATGAACACAGGATTAAAGGGAAGGAGGGAAGGCCTAAGGAAGAATGGATAGATGGATGGAGGACAAATGTATAATTAAGAATATCAACTTTGAGCTGAGACCTGCATGTTAAATTTTGCTTTTATTTTATTTTTCAGCCAATGTTTTCAGTTGCACCAAGCTTAGCCACCAATGCATCAGCAGCCGCCTTTAATCCCTATCTGGGACCTGTTTCTCCAAGCCTGGTCCCGGCAGAGATCTTGCCGACTGCACCAATGTTGGTTACAGGGAATCCGGGTGTCCCTGTACCTGCAGCTGCTGCAGCTGCTGCACAGAAATTAATGCGAACAGACAGACTTGAGGTAGGAATGACTAGTTGGTGTCTTTATATACTACATTCTAATTCTCAAAGTGTGGTTTTTTGTTTGTTTGTGTGTTTCCATGGCCAAAAAGTTGTAAAAATTTTAAAACAGATTTTGGCTTAGGGTTTGGAACATTTTACTAGAGTATAGATAATGCTGTATTTGATTAATGTAACGTTTATAAAGGCTACAACATCCATGTTTAGAATAGTGGATAAGAGGTTGGACGCTAAAGTCACATTGCCTGGTTACATCACTGTACCTCAATTTCCTCATCTTTAAAACGGCGCTTACCTCAAAGAGTTAGGGGAATATCTGGCACATAGCAAATGCCTCCTGAATGTTTGTTGTTGTTGTTGTTGTTGCAGCTATCAAGAATAACAAATATTATCAATCCCCTAAAAATTGTTCTCATAAAGATTAACAAATATTAGTGTCTATAAAACATTTTACAATTTATTATTGCAAGTTTCCTCATAAGCTGTACAATATTTTGGTTGAAGTAGAAAGAAAACCTTATGAAGTATGCTCTCATAAAAGTTTTTTGCGGCCGGGCGCGGTGGCTCACACCTGTAATCCCAGCACTTTGGGAGGCCGAGGCGGGCGGATCACGAGGACAGGAGATCGAGACCATCCTGGCTAACACGGTGAAACCCCATCTCTACTAAAAATACAAAAAATTAGTCGGGCGTGGTAGCGGGCGCCTGTAGTCCCAGCTACTCGGGAGGCTGAGGCAGGAGAATGGCGTGAACCCGGGAGGCAGAGCTTGCAGTGAGCCGAGATCGCGCCACTGCACTCCAGCCTGGGCGACAGAGCGAGACTCCGTCTCAAAAAAAAAAAAAAAAAAGTTTTTTGCATAATCCTCTAAGTTCTAGAGTAAAGGATGATCAGATGTGTGGGCTCTGCTGTTGGTACATGAAAAAGATATTAAAGTTTTAAATCTTATTTCAAAGTGGTTGTTCAGAATTTCAGCATGACTGTGAATTAATGAATTTGGTAAACTATAGATGTAGAGAAAAAGTGACAGCATCAAATGTACACTGAAGGTACAAACGTGTCATTCATTGAACCCACCTAAAGAACAAAATGACCTTTTCCTCTTTTCCCTGGTGAGGATGAGGCAATATATTTTTTTAACTTGCATTTTAGGTTCAGGAGTACATGTGCAGGTTTTTATATAGGTAAACTTCATATCATGAGGGTTTGGTGTAGAGATTATTTCATCACCCAGATAATAAGCGCAATACCCAATAGGTACTTTTTCTGATCCTCTCCCCTCTCCCACCATCCACCCTCAAATAGGCCCTAACATCTGTTATTTCCCTCTTTGTGTCCATGAGGTCTCATCATTTAGCCCCCACTTACAAGTGAGAACATGTGGTTATGTGGTTTCCTGCTTCTGTATTAGTTTGCTTAGGATAATGGCCTCCAGCTCAATCTGTGTTGCTGCAAAGGACATGATCTCATTCTTTTTTATGTCTGCATAGTATTCCATGGTGTATATGTACCACATTTTCTTTATCCAGGCTACTATTGATGGGCACTTAAGTTGATTCTATGTTTTGCTATTGTGAATAGTGCTGCAGTGAATACACGTGTGTGTCTTTATGGTAGAATGATTTATATTCCTTTGGGTATATACCCAGTAATGGGATTACTGGGTCGAATGGTATTTCTGTTTTTAGGTCTTTGAGGAATTGCCACACTGTGTTCCACAATGGTTGAATTAATTTGCACTCCTACCAGCAGTGTATAATTGTTTCTTTTTCTTTGCAACCTTGTCAACATTCATTATTTTTTGACTTTTTAATAATAGACATTTTAACTGGTGTGAGATGGTATCTAGTGGTTTTGATTTGCATTTCTCTAATGATTAGTGATAATGGGAATTTTTCATATGCTTGTTGGCCACATGTATATCTTTCTTTGAAAAGCATCTGTTTATATCCTTCACCCACTTTGTAATAGGGTTGTTTGTTTTTTGCTCGTAAATTTAAGTTCCTTACAGATTCTAGATATTAGACCTTTGTGGGATGCATAGTTTGTAAATATTTTCTCCCATTCTGTAGGCTGTTTACTCTGTTGATAGTTTCTTTGGCTGTGTAGAAGCTCTTTAGTTTAATTAGATATCATTTTTCCATTTTTTTTTTTCGTTGCGATTGCTTTTGGCATATTTGTCATGAAATCTTTGCCAGGTCCTATGTCAAGAATGGTATTTCCTAGGTTATCTTCCAGGGTTTTTATAGTTTTGGGTTTTACATTTAAGCCTTTAATCCGTCTTGAGTTGATTTTTGTATATGGTGTAAGGAGGGGGTCCAGTTTCAATCTTCTGTGTATGGCTAGCCAGTTATCCTAGCACCATTTATTGAATAGGGAGTCCTTTCCTCATTGCTTGTTATTGTCAACTTTGTTGGAGATCAAATGGTTGTAAGTGTGCTGCATTATTTCTGGGCTCTCTGTTCTGTTCCATTGGTCTGTGTGTCTTTTTTTGCACCAGTACCATGCTGTTTGGGTTACTGTAGCCTTGTAGTATAGTTTGAGTCAGGTAATGTGATGCCTACAGCTTTGTTATTTTTGCTTAAGATTGCATTGGCTATCCAGGCTCTTTTTTTATTCCATATGAATTTTTAAATAGTTTTTTTTCTAATTCTGTGAAGAATGTCATTGGTAGTTGGACAGGAATAACATTGAATGTATAGCTTGCTTTGAGCAGTATGGCCATTTTAATGTTACTGATTCTTCCTATCCATGAGCATGGAATGTTTTTCAGTTTGTTATGTGTCATCCATGATTTCTTTGAGGAGTGTTTTGTCATTCTCATTTTAGAGAGCTTTCACCTCCCTGCTTAACTGTTATTCCTAAGTATTTTATTCTTTTTGTGGCAATTGTGAATGGGAATGCACTCCTGATTTGGCTCTCGGCTTGGATGTTGCTGGTTTATAGGAATGCTACTGATTTTTATACATTGATTTTGTGTCCTGCAACTTTGCTGAAGTTGTTTATCAGATCAGGGAGCTTTTGGGCCGAGACTATGGGGTTTTCTAAATAAAGAAACAAGTTGTCTGCAAACAGGGATAATTTGACTTCCTCTCTTCCTATTTGGATACCTTTTATTTCCTCCTCCTGAGGATGAGGCAATACTTAGTGCTGATAAATTTTACTGAGAAACTGGCAAACTGAGGCTGTTGTATGAACATAATTGATTCTAATACTTTGTCAGTTTAGCAGGAATTTAGTTAATAAGCTGATTTATTATTTATTAACTTTTGTTGCATATATTACAAAGGCTGTCAGATTTTAGCATATTGACAATCATATACCAGACACATGCATCGCAGGTTTAATGCTCAAAACAATCTTATGAGGAAGATACTATTATTAATTCTCTTTTACAGGGAAATGATTTTAGGAGAAGAGATGTGAAGCAACTCTTTCTTGTTAGGTAGATACACCTGATACACCTGGATTTTTGAGTGATTTGTCATTACACAACTGTACTTGCTTATTAATTAACTAATGCTGTTTGCAGATGGATTAAGAGGAAACTTAAAAATTTTTAAATATCTGAAATTATTGGATCCTCAGCATGTGAAGCAGTTTTATTCCCCCAACCTTTCTAAAGCAAACCCTGAGTTCTTAATGCATAATTGTTGATTGATTAGTGGGATCCAAATAAGAAGTCTGAGATTAACTTTAATGAATTAATTATTAATAGATGATATTCAAAAAGCTGGTTATAACTCTTCTAATCCAATCCTGCCACATTCACAGTTTCAGGTAGTTTGTTACTGGTTATATTTTGTAGTGCTTAATTGAAATGAAGACTTTTGTCTTTGAGTTTTTTCTTTTTGTGAGGAGCTACTTAGCGTATTTTGTCTGTTTTCTTTTGCTGTAGTCAGCACAAACGGTTACAACTGCATCAACTGTCATTTCCCTTTTATCTGAATCCTGCTGATCTAAATGCTTGATTGTAGTGCAGCTTCCTGTCTTATTCTTGTTAACAGGATCTGATCCAGTGTCACAGTTACAACCTGTTAGGATACTGCCGTGTGAAGCTCAGAGGCTTATCTTTCTGCTCTGTGCTTGTGATTTTAGACAATCCTATCTGCAGGTTATTTCCTCGCATGCTAATTGCATTACGTATTGAAGTCTAAAAGACATGGCAATAAATGCACACACTTATTAATTGACCAAATGTTTGGTCATTTGGCATTTAAATGTATACTCTACTTCTTCCTTGTGAAATTCTGAAGCATATTTTTGAATGTTGAGTTCCTTCTGAGGTGAAAAATTTTCGGAATCAGTTAAACTATTGGCCAGTTCTTCTTGCCACTTCTTCCTCTCTTTTTACTGCAACTTGTTAGACAGTAAAGAAATTTAAAATACCATAGATTGTCAGCCTTCTGGTTCTTACATAATTGCTTAAAACTGACATCTTTACAGCACCCAGTGTGATACTACAGAAAAAAAATGTTAAATTGGAAAACAGGAATTCAAGAATTACTGCATGTGATGTTGCTAATTAGGTGAGTCAGCTTGGATCGAGATGCTCTTATTCTCTGGGCTTCATATTCCTTACATGTAAAATTAGGGGGTTGCACCAGATAATCTCTAAGGTCACTTCCAGTTAGAACATTCTAGGGACATTTAGGTCATTTTCTTGTTTTTAACACCAGCCACAAGCTACTGAAACATTTATTTTTAAAAATTATATACATATATCTATAAGCATATATTACATATATCACATATACACACAACATGAGATTTATATCAATATTCATATTATCCTTTCTTTACTGACTATCTTTTAAAAGACTTTGTTGCCAAGTACTTTCTGTACTCCAAAATTCATACTTTTTTTTTTTTTTGACACTAAGTCTCACACTGTTGCCCAGGCTGGAGTGCGGTGGCGCGATCTCAGCTCACTGCAACCTCCACCTCCCAGGTTCAAGGAATTCTTCTGCCTCAGCCTCCTGAGTAGCTGAGATTACAGATGTGTGCCACCATGCCCGGCTAATTTTTGTATTTTCAGTGGAGATGGGGTTTCACCATGTTTGCCAGGCTGGTCTCAGCAATTTCTTTCCAGGATTATGTTAAGAAATTATTCAAATCTGTAGAGTCTAGGAAAGACTGAGTGTTTTAGCCATACCCCTGCTTTACTACAAAGAGTTAGTAATTGGAGAAATCATTGTTTGACTTATTTTCAAGATGCACAGTAATTTTTTATGGTGCAAAAAGAATTCATGAATGCATTCATTCTCTCATTTACTGAACGATATTCAGTAGAAAACTGTTGAAAATATTTCAAGTAGAAGATGTGAGAAATGTCTTTGAAATGCTTTAATTCCTGTCTTATCAATGACAATAAAAGATCCACATGAGAATAGTGCCCAAACTCATGACTGATGCCCAGTAACTTGTTAAATGAATGGATAAATGAGTCAGTCAACCAGTTACTCAGGTAATTAAACACAGAAAGATACATCCCCTTATTCAGGACTCAGGGTAATCCCACAGAGGTACTAAAATATAAAAAATGTTTATCATGTGTTAACATTCTCCTTGGAAACATGTTTGCATTTTGAGCACTTCAGCTATAAAATACAGCATCTTGGTTATGCACCTAGACCTAAAGGAGTGGTTTTCATACTTTAATGAGATTAGAATCACATGGGGTGATTGTTAAAAATGTAGGACCTCATCCCCAAAGATTGATTCAGTAGATCTGCAGTGGGGTTTGATAATATTTTTCTGCCATGTGATTCTAAATGCAAATAGTTAAAAACACATGCACTAAAAGATACTAGCATCTCTTATTTAGGCTTCAACTTTTTCATCGTTTACTTAATGTATTTGTAAATGATATGGTTTTTTGTGAAACTTAATTAAAAATCTGTCTCCTCAGATAAGTTGGTAAGAACACTGTGCATGGCATAGTGAAATACTTTAGGTAAACAATGATGACTGTTAAGGTAATTCATATTACATAGGCGTAATCCAATAAAAACCAGGGGACACGTATTCCAGACACTGATGAAAACATTAGATTGACATTTGGTTAGCTGCACCATTTTTACATCAGCAGTCTATATGAGAAAAGCATGAGTATTCCAGGAAAGGTGGGCAAACGACTTGGTTTCTGATAGTTTCAGTTCGCGTTTGCTTGTATTAAAATATAAAATAAATTATTCTTGGCTGAAAGTTTTATTCTGTGAGGTAATCATTACACAAGTTTCTAATTTGGGCCACTAATTGTTGTATGTTTCCATTACTTACACAGAAGAATCTAATAACCCTTTTCATGTAGGCAGAAAAAAATATAATACCCATTGACTACAAAAAATAGAACGTTTAAAGCTAAATGAGGATTAGAATGACAGTGAAAAGCATGCCTATGTTGGGATTTTTTAGGTGTTTAGTGGATTTAACATGATGGGATAAAAGACTTTCTATTCAGAAAAGATTAGGAAAGAAGATGCTTTTAATAATGTAGGAAAGTCTTATCGGTAGGATTATTTTAATTTTGCATTTTTGTAGAGGATGTTTGGCTACTGCTTGTGTGACTTTTTTTACTATCTCCAGAAAATTGCCAAGAAACCTTAAGAGTTTTCACATAGAGGTTTATGTAGGTTGTTTTTTTATATCTGTAATAAACTTTAGAATGGCTCTTAAAAATGTAGTCACATCTTCATTTAAACAATTTAATACACTATGGCTCTGTCAATTATTAATCTATGTGATTAGAGTTTTGATATGGTATAGAGTATAGTAATTGCTATATTAAGAACAGTGGTTCACACCTGCAGTCCCAGCTACTTGAGAGACTTAGGTGGGAGGATCACTTGAGCAGGGAGGTTGAGGCTGCAGTGAACTGAGATTGCACCACTGCACTCCAGACTGAGTGACAGAGGGAGACCCTATCTCAAGTAGTAATAATAATAATAATAATAACATAAATGAAATAAGGTAATGGCTAATTTGGTGTATTGACAAGCTTGTTTCAAAGTTGTGTCTATTTTCCTGTCCTCTTGGGTTTGCACAGTCATTCATGGGAATGAATAAATGACAACGTGGAAGTGGATTTAATGGTTCTGTCTTTGGTCATTCCTATTCAGATTTTATTTTATGTTTTTATAAGAGATCAAGTGGTAGATTCTTAGTTCTGTTACCTATAGAAGCATGCTTGTGTTTTCTGGCCTGAATAGTAATGATGGAGTCTGCCTTTTAGGCTTCAAAGAATGCTCCCATTTGATCCTAACAGAAATACTATGAGGTAGCTAAAGTAGGTGTCCTTTTCTTGAATTTTTTTGGAAGGAGAAAAATTGATCAAATATGTACAATTATTGAATAACCAAATGTATTAGTCCATTTTCACGCTGCTGATAAAGACATACCCAAGACTGGGCAATTTACGAAAAGAAAGAGGTTTATTGGACTTACAGTTCCACATGGCTAGGGAGACCTCACAATCATGGCAGAAGGCGGAAAGCACGTTTTGCATGGTGGCAGACAAGAAAAAAGGTTGCACAGGGACATAACCCTTTTAAAACCATCAGATGTCATGAGACTTATTCCCTATCTTAAGAACAGCTCAGGAAAGATATGCCCCCATGATTCAATTACCTCCCACCGGGTCTGTCCCACAACATGTGGGAATTCAAGATGAGGTTTGGGTGGGGACACAGCCAAACCATATCACCAACTGAAACTAGAAATCACATCATCCGATATTTATCTAGGGATTTTAATTGTACAATAAATTGACTACAGTTACATTTACCTAATCACCAGAATTATGAGGATTACAAAGTAGATATTTTAATCCTTTTTAAATGAAAATAGAGATAATTTCTTTACATTAAATTATAAACTCATGATCAGCGATGCTGTGGACACTTTGATCAAAGTGATTGATCAAAGTGATTATCTAGGATTACTTTTTAAAGTAATACTTAGAAAAATTTAGCTTGTTAGTTCCAGCTTAATAGAAAGTGAAGTCCATGCTGCTTATTGGTGAACATGTAGCTATATGTCTTTGAATACGTTTCTTAATATTGGCCATTAACTATTAAATTGACTTCTCAAAATGTTAAAATGGACAAAGTCCCTGTTTCTTGTTATAATTAGCTTTCTGTTCCTGCTTTTGATTGTTATTCTCCAAGATGACTGAGTTAATTATACAAATATGGTGAACACAAAACATATTACCTCAAAGGGATATCTCCTTAAAGAATATGCAAATGACCCTCCACTTTTGAATAAATTCAAATATTGACATTAATCTCCTTAGAATCCCAGTGCTTTAACTTGAGAGCATTGCTGAGTTTAATACTACTTATAAAACTTACGTTATTTTGACCATTTTGAAATATAGTTTTTCATGTATTAAAAAATTAGAGATCAAATGACAGGATTATTCATATTATCCAGATTTGTATGGTGTGTTGTAAGCTATGCATTATTTTATTCAGTATTCATGACCTTTTAAATAGATGTTAATAGTGTTTTCATTGTGAAGATTCCTTAGCTAGTAAAGTGATAGGAACTGGAACTCACAATTTTTGACTCCAAACCCTATTGTCTGTCCGCTATATTATTGCTATTTAGTTAACAAAAGAAGGTTTATTTAGAATTAATTTACATTTTCTTGGGAAATTTTCCTGATTATGTTTTCTTTTGATTATTTAAAGTTTATAATTATTCCATAGATGTTTTTCTGGAAATAGAACTTAAATGTTTTCAGTGAATATCTTCATTGTCAAATCTTGCCTTAGTATTTGTAAAGTAAAAGGCTCATGTTGAATCACATTATATGTGTAGCTAAATAGATCTTATTGTTTTAATGCAGGTTTGAAAACCATTTATCAAACAATATTTTTTTTCTTTTGTGACAGAGTCTTGCTCTGTTGCCCAGGCTGGAGTGCAGTGGCACGATCTTGGCTCACTGCGACCTCCACTTCCCAGGTTCAAGCAATTCTCGTGCCTCAGCCTCCTGAGTAGCTAGGATTACAGGCGCCTGCCACCATGCCCAGCTAATTTTTGTATTTTTAGTGGAGATGAGGTTTCACCATGTTGGCCAGGCTGGTCTCGAACTCCTGTCCTCAAGTGATCCACCCACCTCAGCCTCCCAAAGTACTGGGATTACCAGCTTGAGCCACCGCGCCCAGTCAGAAAATATTTTTATGTGTTGACCCAGTACATACACATATACCAATAAATCTGTACATTTATCTGCCAAAAATAATGAAAAATGCCTATAGTCATGGATATATTCTTGGAATATTACTTGTAATATGGAAATACTGGAAATTATCTAGATATCCTCCAAAAGAGTTACCTGTATTATGTACACTATTTGATGAAATTTGATGCAGCCATCAAAAGTATTCACTCTGGAAATTATTTAGCAAAATGAGAAATGCTTATGCTGCATTGTTGAGCATAAAAGATCACCAAATAATAGCTATACTATAATTACAATTATTTTTAAAAATGTGTGCATACATACAGAAGACTGGATGAGAAGAGAAAAATGAACCACAGTGTTGTTAGAATTTTCAGATTTAATTTTATATTCTGTTTCAAATTCTCTGTATGATAAATGTTATAATTTCTTATCCTGTTTTTAATTATGAGATTAAATTTGTGAAATGTTGTCAGTTATAATTTACTAATGTAATAGTATGTCTAAGAGATTTATTTTGGGTATCAGCATAGTCTAAAGTGTCCTTGAGTTTATCAGAGAAACCAGATCAAACTCATATTGAGCAACCAAGGGATAGATCCCATTTTATTGATGATGTCTATTAGGGAAAATGTGTTTTAGAAGGTTTGGGAAGTTCATGTTCCCATAGGTACCCCACTATTCAGATGCATATCTAATGCTTGGTAAATTTCCAGTCCCACTGGCCTGTAACTCTCACCAGTACAAGTTTTCACAAGAGATTTTCTCTTCCTTATTTTTTCACAAGCAAGAATAATGTGAGAGTAGCTATTACAGTATGTTTCTGTCCTATTTCTTAGGAGAAACCGTAAGCTGTAAAAAAAAATAAAAATATGAAAGAGTCAAACATGCATATTATGCAAAAGCAGTTGACTAAGTTTTTTTTAACCTCAGAAAAGGTTGGTTTTATGACACATTCTGAGCTAATTCTTAGTTATTAAGTCTGCTTAAATATTTTTAGAATTCTTTCTAAATGTTCCACAGGAGAGTAAAGAACATGAAATTATAATAAACCAATCCTTAACCTGTAGAAACCCCCCCCCCCACACACACACACATGCAAATACATACACACAGAACCTAAATAAATTCAAGTCTTCTTTCTTGTTAATGCGGCAAAGAGTAACCTAAATTGGAAAAGTAGAGTATTAGTTCCCTGCTGCCAATTCATTTTGAGCATATTCAAGAAAGCAGGAATTACTGAGGGAGCAAATAGCAGCTGAGAGAGATCACTTATAGACCTTCTGCAAGTTTCCTGTTTGGTGATGCCTACATTGACATAGACTTGCTTAAACAGAAAAGTAGCCCTTTCGTTTATGCAGTAGTATATATTTAGCATACACACACACACACACACACACAACTTTTTATCATTATTTAATGTAGGCACATCACTCTTCCTGAGTATAGTGATGAGCCTCACATACAATAAATTTTGATTAGGTACTGGGTACTGTTTTAGCAAGCTCCATAGCTGATGCTAATGTTCAGCCAGAGAGGAGGATAATTATTCTCGGTAACAGCTTGATCATTTTTTGCTTTTAAGTTATAAATCTTGGTAATACTTTTTTTCTTATGTTCAATAAGATAAATATGCTAATAAAAAACCAGAATCTTGAATAACTTTTTAAGTCATTTTTGTGATCTTAATAACTGAGTGTAGTGGTGAATGACACTGGCTCATTGTATGTATTTGGAACACAAAACTTTAGCTAGGTTGAGGTTTCCAAGTAGTGCAAGATATCATTTATAATGCTCTTTTTTAAGATGTAGCATGATACAGATTATAGTATCTCCTTCTTTAAGAAACACTTTCCTCAATAATAGGATATGAATATAATGTGGGAAAACACCCAGATTTAAATGCAATCATTGTATTTATACAAATCCAAGAAAACCTTTGCTTCCTAAGTCGTAGTAGGGTTACAGTTTTTCTTTCTTGCTTAACTTCAAAATAAAGTGCTTAGTATCTGCGTTTGCTATTTGTGAAAAGATACTTGAACAATTAAAAACTGTTTCCTTGAAGCTTGAAGTAAGAGCACGAAAATATTAAAAGGACATTCTGTGTTTTAGATGGCCCTCTTGTGGTAAAAGGGTCAAAGTATCCTGAATGAAGACTGCTTTTAAATAGTAAGAGTCAAAATTGCGCAGATGAATGAGAAATAATGTTCTCGCCTTTTCCCTAAGATCTCCGTGGCAAAATTAACAGAATTAGCAAATATAAAACAAACAGACATAACAAAACCAATCTTTTTTTACTGCTTTATATAGCTACCAAGTGAATCTCTAAAGATCAAAAAAATAACTCCTGGAAACATTTTCATAAAAAGCTATCAAATTTGATTTTGTATATTTTTCACTTGGAAATAATTTTATATTTACACGAAAGTTGCAAAAATGGACCCAAGAGTTTCTGTCTACGCTTTACTGATCTAAATATTAATATCTTACATAACTGTAGAATCCCTCTTAAGACCAGAAAAATTAACATAGATATGCTGCTGTTTAACCAATCTACAGACTTTAATCAAATTTTACCAATTGTCCTCCCAATATTCTTTCTGTGACTCCAGGATCCTCCAGCTTGTGATAATATCTCAGTCTGTCTTGCATGACCTTGACACTTTGGGAGAGTACTAGTCGGTTATTAGTAAAATATCTTTCCATTCACTTCATCTGATGTTTCATCTTGATTAAATTCAGGCAGTACTACCTCTACTGTGATTGTGTGCCCTTCTCATTGTATCATATCAATAGATACACAACATCATTATGTCTCATTATTGGTGATATTAATTTTGATCACTTGGTTAAAGTGATGTTTTCCATGTTTCTTTACTGTGAAGTTATTATTTTTCCCTTTGCAATTAATAAGTTTATCAACACCATTTCAGATTGTATTTTTACCATAATTAACATTATACATGCATTTTCTTATGGACATTTATACTGAAATGGAGTTATAATTTGTAACTAAACTAGGAAATGCTGAAGTTACTTGTTGCCTTGTTTGAAAATCATTTTCCCTTTTCATCTATAGCCTTCTGTCACCAGTCTTGCACTTTAAGTTAAAATCTTCAGAAAGCTTCTTCTTCTTCATGTTGACTAAACCTCATGTACTTAATGACCTCATAGGTATGTCGAGAGTACCAACGTGGCAATTGCAACCGAGGAGAAAATGATTGTCGGTTTGCTCATCCTGCTGACAGCACAATGATTGACACCAATGACAACACAGTCACTGTGTGTATGGATTACATCAAAGGGAGATGCTCTCGGGAAAAGTGCAAATACTTTCATCCCCCTGCACATTTGCAAGCCAAGATCAAGGCTGCCCAATACCAGGTCAACCAGGCTGCAGCTGCACAGGCTGCAGCCACCGCAGCTGCCATGGTGAGTAGAGATATCAGCTCTCTCCTTGTTAGCAGTCAGAAAAGCAAAGTGAGCAACTATATCTGACTACAAGCTATTCATTTAGTAACCTTTTTAAAAAAATTGCTGAAGATATGTTTGTTCAGGTATCCCAGACAATATATAAAGAAGTTACTTTCACAGAAGTGAGGGTAACTCCTCAAATGGTTCAGATTGCTCCTACTCTTGGCCTAACTCTTAATCTGTCTTATTGTGGATGTAGGGTTTCTGAAATCTCTGCTTTGTAAAGAACCACCTGTCTCCTTTTCAACTTAACGATATTGCCATTTTCAGTCTTCTTATTTCTGTGTGCCATCTAATCAGCCATTGTTTTCCTTTGGTGTGTTCTTTTGCACATCAAGGCTCTTCTTTACATATATCTTGCTTTTAACAATAACATGATCTGGAACTATTTAGGAGAATTGTTCAACAAAATTGTTCTTAGAATTAGCTACAGGATTTTGAGTAGTATACTATCTAGATTGTCTGAAATAATATTGTGGCATAAACATAATAGTAACACTAGAGAAGCTTGACTATGCCATTATATAGACAGGAGAGAGACAGCAGTACTCAAGGAGTTAGAAATTGGATCATTAAGAATAGCTACTAAACTATATTCTCAAGGTAAATTTTAATGTGATCTAGTAGCTGATTTTAATGAGCCCATTCTTTGTTCTTTGCTTACCTGTTTTAATGTTGTCATTTTTTTACATAAATATATGACTTAAATCAATGAAATACTCATTTTAAAAGTCACTGTGTAGTATTTCATAACACAGTGAAATAATCACGAGAGAGATCTTTTCTGTGTTTATGGATACTTGAGCAAAAATACAGAAGGCAGACTCTCTCCTCCTCTCTTCCTTTCACTCTTTTTTTTTTCTGTTAGAGTATCTTGTTTGTAATTAACTACAAAGAGGAGTTATCCTCCCAATAACAACTCAGTAGTGCCTTTATTGTGCATGCTTAGTCTTGTTATTCGTTGTATATGGCATTCCGATGATTTGTTTTTTTATTTGTTTTTTCTCACCTACCCAAAAATGCACTGCTGCCCCCATGATGCACCTCTGCTTGCTGTTTATGTTAATGCGCTTGAACCCCACTGGCCCATTGCCATCATGTGCTCGCTGCCTGCTAATTAAGACTCAGTCGGCTGTCAAATCACTGAAGCGACCCCTCGAGGCAACCTTTGACCTGGTACTATGACCTTTCACCTTTTAGCTTGGCATGTAGCTTTATTGTAGATACAAGTTTTTTTTTTAAATCAACTTTAAAATATATATCCTTTTTTCTGTTATAGAGTTGTAAAGTACAATGAAAAAACTGAGTGTGGTTTCCTGACAAAATTAGTAGAAAGACTATAATCTAAGTACATAGATGGATATCATACAATAAAAGATTCTGAAAGCCCAGCAGCCCACATTCAGTTTAACTACATTGTAGAATGTTCTGAAGAAATAGTCGGAGGACATAAAGAGTGTATTTTTGACTGTATATTTATGTACCTGTTTGGTTAGCATGGCTTTAGTGGTAGAATTATTTACATTTTAATATTTATAGTTCAGTATTTAAGGAAAAAAACTTGCATGCTCTGGGACATTTGCATGTCTAGGTAGATCTGGGGGGAGGAGCAGAGTGGGTTAGTTTTTATTTTATCTGTTTCAGTCACTCTGTACAATTAACTATTAACATTGCTTATACTTGTCAATCCTCATGGAGCTCGCAGTGCGGCTTTTCTTCTTTTCCCAAATCAATGGCTTCTCACAGAAAGCCTGAAGCATTATGGGACATAAAGCACTTTAACACATTATAACATGTGCTCTTGTACTAGTGAGATTTTGTTTTGGACAAAAATAATGCTTCCTTTAAAGCTTTTATCTTGCTTTTTTTTTTTTTTTCCTCCTTAATTTTTTGTTCATTGGATTTTTTCCCTCGGGTAGTTAAGTGCTCTGCTGCTTGCTTGCTCATGCTTCCTAACAATTTTAGCCTTCGACTGATTTTTCTTTTTTCTTTTTCTCTTTTTACTGGTATTTGTTTTTTATACTCATTCACTAAACAGGGAATTCCTCAAGCTGTACTTCCCCCATTACCAAAGAGGCCTGCTCTTGAAAAAACCAACGGTGCCACCGCAGTCTTTAACACTGGTATTTTCCAATACCAACAGGCTCTAGCCAACATGCAGTTACAACAGCATACAGCATTTCTCCCACCAGGTAAGGGGTGGGGTTTCTTAATAAATGAATCTGATGATCTACAGAGAGTCCTACTGTTAGAGCAGATAAACCACACCCCAAGTTTGTTTGTAATTATAGATGAGGTGTCAGGTAAGGTGGTCAATGATGGAAACTTATCTGAGGTATCTCATGTGGTTTTCCTTAAAAACTAAGGATTGTAGCTTAATGAAATGTGGATTAAAGATCAGTGGTATTTTATATATTTATTTGTGTTTGTGTAATTTGGAAATGAAATATAGTTCTCTTTTTTTC
Source organism: Homo sapiens (assembly GCF_000001405.40). Taxonomy (NCBI): domain Eukaryota; kingdom Metazoa; phylum Chordata; class Mammalia; order Primates; family Hominidae; genus Homo; species Homo sapiens. The sequence continues at coordinate 152,448,047 of NC_000003.12, forward strand.
TCTTTCCTCAACACTTATATATGTCTGTCAAGCTATTTTATGATACTTTCTTGCTGTAAGACCCCTTTGCCTTCATTATTCCATAGAGTTAATTTAAATTATATAAAACAGCACTTTCAGTTTTGATTTTTATTTTTCAGCCTTTTTGTTTTCAAGGTCAAGAATGAAAACAACTATGCGTTCTAGAGCTCTTAAAAAGGGCTCTTATTGGCATCAATCAGTACACTGTTTAAAATTATGACTGTTCCTAAGCTAATATTGAAATAACCCTAAGTGCTCAGCAATGTTTAATTTATTATGGAGTTCTACATTTGTGGTTTCAGCTTATTTTCAATTTGGTAATGTATACATAATCTAGAATTATTCACACAGATTGCAAAGTTTAAAACACAGACTAGCTACTCATTTAATTACCTGGAAATTTACTCTTTTTATTCACTCTGAACTTACTTCAGAAAATACATATAAGCTCATTATTATCTGGAATTTTACTAACCAGAAACTCAAATCTCACTTTCCTCTTTATTGCTTCACCCTTATTTTCAGAATACCATGGTTTTAGAGACTTACTTAATAAAATTATTTTATTAATTAAATTAATGAGTAGATATATATGTCAAAAATCCAGCTCCCAATTTTATATTAGACTATACTGGCAGTATTTACAGTGTATTAGGTTCATAATGCTATAAGAGAATGTGAATTTATTTTTGATTCACAAAATAAATTATATGAGCTTTTAATACTAACCATAAGTTTTATACAGTACATATTTGAAAATCAGTCATCCATATGTAAAATAAATACGAAGTAACAATTAACTACAATATTCCACTAGCTGAAATAGCCAGTGCCCCAGACACGTGGATAAAATGATATTTGTACTTGTGAAATAGTATCTTTCAAATTGCAGTTTGCCCATATTGGAACAAAAACTAAATCATTTTGACCTGCAGCCTCACATTTCTCTTATGTTTTGTAATATTATAACTTTCTTCTCAACATGCATAGTTTTTCAGAAATTAATCTTTTTGCTCTTGTGCAAGTTGCTGTGTCCCTAGATTTTCGCTGCCCCCAACAAACAATCCATCAGTTTTTCTATAGTCAGATGAGCAAAGTTTCAAGGGATTATATGTAACTATCATAATCTCTTTGAAGAAATTAAAACTTATTTTTGTCAGTTTATTTTATTGGCTAAAACATTACCATGATAAATGACCGTTTCAGCTAGACCAGAGGTAGTGAGTTATCTCAATAGATTGTTCACAGTCAGTTACAGATTGAACTCCTCGTTCTACTCATTGCTGTCTTCTCACTGCTGCACTTGACTAGTCTTAAAAAATATGATAGTTTCTCTACTAAAGTCTAAAAAACAAATCTGTGCTATTTAAAGAAAGCTGAAAAAATCTGTTTTATCAAATAGGTTTCACATTAGTTTTTTCAACAACTCTCAAATGACTATAGTTTTTTTTCTAAATAAGTATAACCAATTACATGGTATGATGACCCTTACTTGTGACACTAGTGTCTCCCTAGAATAGCTTTTTGTCTGTGGATAGAGCCAAAGATGCTAGATAAAGTTCAAATTAGGGAAAATAATAAACTCATTCATAAATCAGAATCAAACTTGTCTCTCTGTGCTAGGTTAAGCATTGCTAATTTAAATAAAATCTGCATTAATTGAAATATGCTGAAAATTTTAAGATATATTTGCATTTATTATGATGCATTTTGCATCAGAGATATTCTATTCTTGATCAATATTTCTCAAATATTGGCCAGGCGCAGTGACTCATGCCTGTAATCCTAGCACTTTGGGAGGCCGAGGCAGGTGGCTCACTTGAGGTCAGGAGTTTGAGGCCAGCGTGGCCAACATGGCGAAACCCCATCTCTACTAAAAATCCAAAAATTAGCCGGATGTGGTGATGCATGCCTGTAATCCCAGCTACTTGGGAGGTTGAGGCAGGAGAATCCCTTGAACCTGGGAGGCGGAGCAGTGAGCCAAGATCACATCACTGCACTCCAGCTTGGGCAAAGGAGTGAGACTCCATCTCAAAAAAAAAAAAAAAAAACCACACAAAACAACAACAACAAATATATATACACACACACACACATATTTCTCAAATATAATCAATATAGTGTGAAATTATTGCATTAGTAACATAAAATAACATTTATTTGCAACTCAGTTATAAGGGCCTGAAACAGCAAGTTGACCTTTATTAATCACATAATCAGAAGTAGGTAGTGACTCCATGATTATTTTAAAATATTTTCATTATATAATATATACCTGCATTCACAAAAATTGACGCTGTGGCATGAAAAGGTTAAAATGGATAGCTCTTCATTATTTCTGCCCCATCACTTTGTCAGACAGTCAGAAAGGAAAGAAGTCTAATGCAGGGAATGTATATGCAAAAGCCTCAGGGGCCAGGCAGGAAACACAAGTGAAGCAAGAATAAATTGGGAGCTGTGGGGTCTGGGAGGCACAGGGGAGCACAGGCTCAGTCTAAAGAGTATAGTCAATGTTCAGACTTTGCCTTTTGTTGCCTCAGAGGATTGTCTGCCTGGCAGGTTGTACTTGCTGTCCACTGCAAACCCTTTGTGGCTCCATTTATATCATAGTCTGTGTAAACCACAATTGATTGTGTATATGCCTCATAGGGTTGGTTGTAAGAAACCCGCACAACCTAACACAGTAGCCCTGACATACAGTGTTGCTAGGTCTTATGGTCTTATGATTTTTTCCCAGATACTCTAGACATTTGTATGTTTATATGTGAAATTTCTCAATATTTAAATTTTGGCAATTCAGTTTTTTAAAAACACCCTTTGAGAACTAAAGGAAATTCATCTTACCACACATTCACATGTAATCTCATGTCTAATACCTGGGAGAAAAGGAATTTCATTTTCCAAAGTTTGGTTGTTCTGCAGACAAATAATACAGAAGAATTAGATGATCAAGGAATCCGATCTGAACACAATTTAATAATTTGGAAGGTACACTTTTGAAGGCTTTATTGGAACTGGGAAGAAAATGGAATTCTTTTATTTTTTGCAGCTCAGAATTTTAGTGGTCTGTAGTCTGTTGTTTCAATGATAACTTCAGATGTGTAGATATATTTTATTCAAATTACAGTGAAGCATGGTTAGCTAAATTCTTAGAGCAGGTGGCTGCGTATAGAGTAGTTTGCTGGCAAAAGATCAGGGTTCAGTGACAAGCCAGCCAGCTAGCTAAGAAAAATTACTACATACTTTAACTTTTAAGAACAGAATTGGATTTAATATGGACATTACCCATCTAAGCATCATTCAACCATACATCCATCCATCCTCCTATCATTCTGTTCTCCCCTTTCCTTTCCTCTCTTTATCCTTTTTTCCTTCCTCCCTTCCTCTGTCCTTCAGTTTTCCATCCATCTATTCATCCCCCCATTTATCTATCCACCCATCTTTCCATTTATTCAGTCAATAAACATTGATTGTATGCCACATGGTATACCAGTATTTATGTGAAGGATTGCAAACTGATAGCTCAAGGGTAAAATCTAGTATCTAGAAATATTTTTGTTTAAGAGTGTTTAAATGAAAACTAAATGTAAATCCTTTAGATAGGACACATACTGTACCCTTCAGTTCCAAACGCTACAATTCCCTATTGCCTTAGGCCAGGTTGTTTCAGATATTTTGTTCAAAAGAGCTACGTTTTATTGAATGGTTGCTCTTGTTCCCTGCTGCACTGAGTGCTTTGCCTACATTATCTCATTTTTTTTCACAACGCCCAGAAGGTTGGCATTAATATTTTCATTTTACGAATGAGTAATTTGGAGCCTAGTAAGGTACAGTGATTTGTCCCAAGTTAAATGGCTTTTGTAAGGTTTAGATTTAAGTACAACTTGAACTCAAGTCAGGCTGACTTGGTTAGTCTCTCAATATCTATTACACGAAGACCTTAAAAATGATTTGGGAGAGTGGAAGTAGCCCTTACTGAACACCTAACTCCATGGTGTTTCACACCTTCCACCTCATTTAAAGATAAATATAAGTATTAGGTTAAATTCATATTGAAGTTTTGTCTTTTCAAATTTCGATATATACTTGTTTTAACCTTCCCCTTTCAGGACCAGATTGATTATTTGTAGATATTATGCATAATTTAGGATCTATTTATGTTATATATATGAGTTTTCACTCATGAAATTACGGCGTGTAAGAAATACCACTTTCCTTTACACCATTTCTTTTTTCGTTGAAATTAAGTCTAGCTCTGAACTGTGATCTCTATCTCCCTGGGTTGAGAGAAATAACAGGCATTACTGGGAATCCAGGACTACATGCCCCAGCTCCCTCTCTTTCCTGACCTTACCTCAATGTGAGGTCCTGTACAGTCTAGTATTCTCAGACAGGCTATGCATTCTTCATGCTTCAGTCACCGCTGCTCACTGCTGATGTGATCATTGTCTATGCTTGCAAGAGCTCTTAAGACAGGTACTCCAGGGGTTCTGTGCTTGCCTTGGATATAGGCTTCCTTGTCTATGCCCTCCAGGCTCCCATGCCCTTGAGGACCTGATGTCTGCAGGGCTATTGTGAAAGAACAGGCTACCTACCCAGCTACCTGTGGAGCTGCACACTGCCTGCCACTTCAATCTTGAGGAATTTTTTTCTCTGCCCTCCATCACCATTTTTGCTTACCTACCATCTTCAGAATCACACCTCTTGTCTCCCTCTCTAGCATATCTCCCTCAATCAGTGTTGGCTTATGAGTTTTAACAGTTCTGAAAATACATTTACTTTAAACAACTTCTATTTTGGCTTGTATTACAACTCTACCAAGAATAAGGCAACGAAAGGCCAGGAAACTCTTAGGTGGTGGTGTAGGTCTAAGGGCAGGGGTAGGCAGGGTTGTGTTTATGCAAAGAAGAGAAAAAGATTTGTCACATTTAGTATCATTAATACATATAATCATTTATAATTATGTATATTAATAAATTACTTATAATTAATAAAAATAAAGAAGGTACTGCTTGTTTGGATACCAATTTTGAGAATAATCCAACTGATTGTTAACTTTTAGTCTTAAAATGATATACACTATTTTTAGAAAATCTTAATCAGCCTAATACTTCTTATAATCAACCTAAATAGGACTGAATTATTACATCGAAATTCTAACTTCCAACTAAATCTTCATTACAATTCTTTTTCTCTCTTCTACTTACTTCCCTTCTACTCCAAGTAATTTTAAGTATGCATACATCTTATTTGTAAATTATCATCCTAGTTTTTCCTACATTTTCATACATATCAATTAAAATTTTTGATTTAAAAGGTCATGCAATTAAAATAACACATTTCTCAGAAGCACACCATTCTGCTCTGCAAATATCTTTGTAGGAGAAATTGGAAATTGACAAATACATTCACTTAAATTTTGCTTTGTGCTGAAAATTGAGGAAAAATTTAAATTGGCCATTTGCACATTATTAGTAGTAAATCAACCCATGTAAAGATGGAAACTATGGTCATTTCAAAAGTGATTTTCATTTTTGGTAAGTGGGTCCTACAGCATTATGTCCTCATATTTGTGAGTTATTGCACCCTGGCTAGTATTTTCATTGCTGCCTTATGTTTATTTGCTGCAAATCCCTCTCAAAACTGTGTGCATTGGTTATAATGCTAATGAGGAAGATAATTCAAACTAAAATTCAAATCATAATAGCTTTAGGATTTTAGAGAGATAGTATAAGGTTAACTCATTTTCAGCATGTGCAGACTTAATTATGCATGGGATGAAATACAGTAGGCAAGTCTCAGCCTAATAATAAATAATTGAAAAATATAACCTGTACAATATTTAAACTGGCTTTAATATTACTTAATTATCACATTATTCTTTTTCATTCATCATTTCTTTTCCAATTCTCTCACCCTACCATTAAGACAGTAATGATTTTATAAGATGTAGATCCGGTATTAAGTTTTGCTTGCTCTACTGTCTCAAATTATTATAACTTCTTTGTTATTACTGGCTTGTTTCTGTTTGTCTTTCACAAGTCTTTGACTCAGTAGTAGTAGCAAATGACAGAGATCTTCAAGTGTCTTAATGCTTGTCAATATAATATTATTCCACTTGATAGGATGTGTCCCCAGATACATTACAGAGTTTAATCGTTGATCACTCTGCCCACAGTCTAATTGTGATAACAAACTAATCGCAGCTGTTACAGAGATGCCAGTTAAGTAATCCGTGTTTCAGCTGAGTTTCTCAATGGCAGCTTTATTTTATAGGGCCATCTCTGACGAGATTCATTTGGCAGATATTTTTCTAACAAATGTTCGTCCCAGATGCTGCTAGTATTTAAACAGGATATGCTAAGATTTAGATAGAAATATAAAATCCTTGGATATTTTAAAACCTAGAATTCTAAAATAATCCCATAGAAAGAACAGTAGTTCTGCATATGGGAAAGTGCCTTGTACTTGGTAAAATAAGTTAAATTTTCAATATTTACATGTCAAAGAGAACAAGGACTATCTATATATGCAACATTTATTTTTGCTTATCATGGTTGAACAATTGTCAGCATCAGTGCTAACACCCCATATGTGATGTATGTATTTTCACTCTCTCCCACTCAAGGTTTTTATTGAACTCTAATTAGCAGTTTCTTGCGTGTGAAATTTTGTAGAACATTTGCTACTCCCAGAAGTCTTGAAGGTCTAAACCAGCAATGAAAACCACTCTGATTTCCTAGATACTGTGAAGTAAACCAATTTGATACTTATAAGAAATTATATTCCCCCTTAATGCTTTTCCTACATTTTAATTTCAAACTAAGGAAAGGCACAAATTTCACTTTTTTATGTATAATTTATTGCTTGGCATCCCTCCAAATACAAATCCTGTATGAATAATTACAACCCCTTTCATGTTTATATGGTTGCTGCTACAATGAACAGGAAAATAAAGCAAAAGGAATGAAAATGAATGTTTGGGTTTCATTATATTGTTAAGTCAGTTTTGTACATTGAATTATTTAGTATTTAATAATAAATATCTTTAGTAAGTTAATATGTGCCTGATATAAAGAAAATGTTAAGGCATTCATAAGTTAAAGTCAGAAATAGCAAAACGACCAGATGGTTAGTAATCAGATTAAAACAAAACAAATTACAATATTATTTTTAAAAGAATTAAGTGGATTTAAATTACTTCCAAAATACTTTTGTTTATAGGCAACAATTAAGAGAAACAAAGTGTACCAGCACACAGTTAAACTGGCTTTTATTCTTCACTTGAGACTAGTTCTAATTGATCACTGTGCTATTGTATGATTTGATTGTGCTGACAGTTACATGCCACTGTTCCCATAATAACAATTTTTCTTCTTTGTTCAAATGAATTTTCTAATTACACGTGTGATGGGATGTTTTAATTCTTTTCCCTTTTCAAATCCACCTTCCTGTTGCAATGCATGATGGGCAGGCTCAATATTGTGCATGACACCCGCTACAAGTG